>NC_000001.11:95803835-97053835 GCF_000001405.40 Homo sapiens
ACTGGATTTGAAAGAAAATGAGGAATACTCTGCTTCAATTTGCTATCCGGAGAAGGAATTTTTTTAGTTGGTCAAAATGGTTCATACAAGCTCTTCAGTGTCAATTTCTTTCTCCAAGGGCCTAGGATAGAGCCTAAGTTGGAGCTGAATGTTCTGGAATTTCCTCCCACCTCCATGTTGGAGAGGTGAAACTGCTTTTCAAAAAAATTCATTAGTTTATTTTCAGCTTTACTGAGGTGTTAATGACAAAAAAATGAATATATTCAAAGTATATAATATGATGTTTCAATGTACGTATACCTTGTAAAATGATTACCACCATCAAGCTACTTAACCTATCTATCACCTCACAGTTACTTTTTGTGTGTGTGGTGAACATACTTAGATCAACTCTTAGCAAGTTTCAAATGTACGATATGTTAATGCTAACTATAGTTGCTATGCTATAGATTAGGTTTCCAGAACTTATCCACCTTGTGACTGCAAGCCTGTACACGTTGACCAACATTTGCTATTTTTCCCACCCCGATCCCTGGTGACCACCCTTCTACACTCTGTTTGAAAGTGCTCTTTGAAGAACAAGCATTAACTTCTTGCTAATGCTGCAAAGAATACACTGCCCACAGAGCTAAAGAACTATTGCAGAGGGCTTTAGCAATTGAATTAGGTGTATAAAAGGCAATCACAGTCAGTCATTTCTGGTATCCACCCATACTAGGGGAGCTATTTTGAATTCACAGGAACATTAATAAAAATTTCCCCTTGAAGTAAATAATTAAAGGTGGATTATGATTTGAAACCTCCTAAACCATAGAGGTGGCGCACATTTGCAAATTAATATATAGAACTGACTTAGGTAAATCACACAAAATAAATGAGAACCAGATTTTGAATGAGGTTAGGCTGTGTAGTAACAAAACTAACGTTAAGGATAAAATCTTGTAAGAGAGAAAGAAAGATTTCTATACGCAGTGTTTTAAAGAATTGATAAAAATGTGCAGAATCCTTCAAGGCAACTAAATGAACTTGAGTAAGTGAAAGAAGCATTAATTATAGTTCTGCTGTGTTAAATGTTATATTAAAAATTAGGGTGTTTATTATCATGGCAATTTGTTATTAACCTTATTTAACAGGCAGAACTTTTTCTCCCTAATTTCTCTTCTCGCAAATACCATCCAGTCGATGAACCCATTTTTACTGAATACTTATATGTCACCATGCCGAGAGATTTCTTATTTAAGTATTTGGTGTTAAAGTCTGTAAAACTATCATTAAAAGTTCACCAATCATCTGGTCTGCTTGTGAAGTACATATTGTATGTTTAATCTTACCATTATTACATGGATGTTTTCTCTCATCTCTCACAAATAAGTTGTCAAATCCACACAAAAGGAAAAACGTTCTAAATTGTACCTTCTTAGAAACATTGTTCTCTCCCTTCATTAACAAAAATAATTGATTTATATGATGGAATCAAAATACAATAAGATGTCATTTAGATTTTTATTTTAATTACCTGTATTCTCATTACAATTCAGATTATTTTTTAGCATTCCCCTTTGATGCCTTTGTTTTCTTATACAAAATGAGAAAAACTTTTTTCCATCATTGATTCTATCGCTTTAAGCCTGGAAACTTTTGAATTAATTTTTATATACTATACTCAGTTTAGTAAAATATTTAGTGCTTTTATAATGTTGTAAACCATTAGGCTGTAATTACACTAACATAGTACGGAGACTAATAGTTCTGTTGGAATACAACAGTGATGCATGATGGCCTTATTAATATAATAGTCCTGAAACACTAAGAATATTAAAAAAATTAATCATTTTTACAGTCTGTATTTAGTTACAGATTGTAAAAAACTACTTATAATTTTACTACTGTTCTTACAGCCTCTGGGAGAAACCTAAAACAATTTCAGTAAAGCTTCAGAAAGTTTCAAACATCATTTCAGTCTGATGATCTAGCTATAGTTTAGTGAATTTTAAAGCAGCAGTAATTTACAGGGAGGAGTCAGACTGACTTTAGCAATTACTAAAGGTGGATCTATTGGTTCAAATACATTACTTCATGGCTACTAGATGGCTTTAAAATAAGCAGATGGATAATAGTGGGAGCTGAATTCCACACCCTAACTTGTTCCCTGTCCCCACTAGATAGTAAACTTGATGAGGTTATGGTACTTTGTGTAGTCATTTTAACCTGCAGCACCTGACACATGGAAGAAACTTAACAAAACACGTTTTGTATGAGTGTAATGGAGTGTATTCAACACGTGTTGAATGAATGCCCAGAATCCAATACATAATCAGGCCAGGCTTTTACTGAGTATGAGCATTGTGTGTTGAATGCCTCTCCCTCCCTCCCTCACTCCCTGTCCCTTCCTTCCTTCCTTCCTTCCTTCCTTCCTTCCTTCCTTCTTTCTTTCTTTTTCTCTTTCTTTCTTTCCTACCTACCTCTTCTGCTCTGCAGACCCTGCTACTACTTTACTTCCCTCCTCCTCTTAACATCTCTCTAGCCTGAGGGTGAAAATTAGAAAACTATGAGATTTATATTGTGGATAATGAAGGAACTCTGTGCATCCACTTTACTTTATAAAAACTCTTTACTGGAGTGCCTAGCAGTCTTGAAGCTGTTAGTAAAGTGAAACTTTGATTCTTAGTTGTAACTTTGCATAATTTTTGCTGGTGGCTAGACTCCACTCACTATATATCCTGACATCTTGCTAAACCATCTGCCTATTGCATATTTTTGGACTCCCTAACACCACCACCTCGATGCAGATGACCCACTTGTGTCTCTAATGGTCTCCTTTCGCCTTTTTATCCAAGACCCTTAATCTGCCTTGCTTATTCTAACTGATTTCACCAAGTTTGGTTTTGATAATTTTAGTCCACAATATTAGGAAACATCTATTTTTCTAAGGAAGAGAAGTAATGTTTATTTCTCACTTTCTACATTTTAGTGTATAACAACTAGGGATTTTTTCTTGTTTTTTTTTTCTGATTTTAGCTCCTAGCATTCAATAATGTTGACTGATTGCCTCTCTAATACTTGATCAGGGTTCTAACTGAGAAACTAGACCCTAAGAATCTGGAGTTTAAGTAGGCTGGGATCCACCAGTGGTTGTGTTGAGCATCTACCTTTCTGAACTAACTTTTATAGAATCATTCTGTAAAATCTATCTAACTACTAGCAGCAACTCACAAGTGAAAGAATTAAATGGCATAATATATGTCCCATGATTCCTTCAGGGACACCTGATATGAGGGTTTTATTGGCAAGGACAGGTAGGCTGCATGATTTCCTGGAAAACAACCTTTGGTACAAGAGTGTATATTTAATTATTTAAACACAGAGTATTGAGCCCCTACCATGTGTAAGGTGCTAAAATGCTGGAAATAAAAAGATAAATAGTAATGAATCTGACAGTGATCTCATCATCGAGGAGCCTCAGTTTAGGTGAAGATGGGGTACATTCATTAGTATATAAGACATGTGAGAAGTAAAGCCTATTGGTTGATAGCAGTCGCCTTGAAGTAGAATATAGGAATCCAAAATTGAAAGGTATTTCAAATTTAGCTCATCCACTCTCACCTAACCTATTTACCATGTGACTAGCCAGTCTTGACTTAAAAATCACAGGAAATAGGAAATACACTACACCCCCCAAAGGCAGCCTGTTCCAATTTTATGTCTCAGAGCTCAAATCTTTCTTCCTGAAATTTCCACTGTGGATCCTATTTTAAAGGCTCCATCCAAGACTAAATCTAACTTATCCTTCTAACAATTCTCAAAGTGTTTGACTGTAGTTAAGATAATATAGCTAATATTAATTGAGAAATTTGAAATGACATTATTAAAGCTTTTATATGTGTTTATTTAACCTTCACAACAACATATGAAGTAAACATTATTACTACTCCCATTCTACAGATGAAGACATGGAAGCATAAGAAATTGCCAATATTCACTTTGGGAGACCGAGACGGGCAGATCACCTGAGGTCAGGAGTTCGAGACCAGCCTGGCTAATAAGGTAAAACCCCATTTCTACTAAAAATACAAAACAAAAAAATTAGCTGGGCGTGGTGGCACATGCCTGTAATCCCAGCTACTCGGGAGGCTGAGGCAGGAGAATGGTGTGAACCCGGGAGGCAGAGCTTGCAGTGAGCCGAGATCGCGCCACTGCACTCCAGCCTGGCCGACAGAGTGAGACTCCGTCTCAAAAAAAAAAGAAAAAAGAAAAAGAGAAAGAAATTGTAATTGTCAATATCGCCAATGTCCAATATTGTCCATCAGTGAGGAGTGAAATTGAGATTTGAAGCCAGAACCCGCACTGCCTCCCTATCTTCTGAGTTCTTTTCAAAGAGAAATCTCCCTAGTTTTCTTATGTCATTTTTTTTAACTCATCATTATTCTGTTGCTACTGGAAGCGTTTTTTTTTTTTAATGTAATTTGCAGTGTGTGCCCAATGGAGAAAAGAATATTCCAGTTGTTCCCTGACCTACTTGGAGTTGAGTGGAACTCTCACTTTTATGCACCTGGATGTGCTATATTCAATAACTGTAGTTCCTATTACTTTTCAGCCTTATCTCCCAGTATCTCCCATCCTCTCCATCCCTTTGCATAAGCTGTCTGGAATGAACTGCAGTTCTGAAAACAATTCTCTCCTTAACCTAACTTTGGTCAGGCTCTTCTGAGCCCTCTTCTCAACTGCCTCCCAATCTTTAGATTTCTTCATGTTTCTTTGTATCATCCAGTCTTAGCAAAAATCCTGCTGAGTTCGTTTAGCAAGAATCCCCATCCTCAATATCTGATCACCCTTAATATCTGATCAAATTCCAAATTCTTCAGCCTTGGTGTTTGATTATATTGGCCTGCCTTCAGCGAGAATCCTGTCAGGTCGTTTAGCCAGAATCCTCCCTTCACTGCTTAGTAATTTTCTGTCCACTGATCCTGCTTCTTGGCTATAAATCCCCACTTGTTCATGCTGTATTTCGAATTGAGCTAGGTTCCATATTGGAGTCTCTTTTTCTCTACTACAATAGTTTTCTAAATGTATAATTTAACTTCACCACTTTAATTTCTGTCTGGCTCTGATTTTCTTTAACAGCTCCTTAAATGTGTCCTGTGGATGTGGGTGGGGTGGCAGCAGAAGCAGGAATCAAGAAATGCTTCCTGGAAGAGATAATGTAAAATCAGAGCTGTAAAAGATGTATGTAAAATTTCTTGGGCAGAAAAGAAGGGAAGAGAGGGCATTTCAAACATGTGATCAGCTTATACAAAGGCATAAAGATGTGAATCAGCATGGAGGCTTTAAAACAATTGTAATCAGTTCCATGTTAACTGAGCAAAGACTGGTGGAAGAGGTACTTAGGACTAAGGCGGACATTTAATACTGAATTGACAGTACTCTGAGACACCAGCCAATGGATTTGAGCAGGGTAAAAGCATATTGAGACATGGTAAAAGATCATTTTCAAATAAGAGGAAAAATCCTGACTCTAGTACAGTATAAAAATGAATATGTGTTAAACATTTTATTTAACTCATTCATTGATGAAACAAGGCAAATGTTAAAACTGTTTCAAAAGAGACTCAAAAATACAGTCACATTTACAGATCAGAAATACTGAAGTGAATTTGCAAGTGGACATAAAACTGGTTTTTCCACAGGGAGGAAGGGAAGACAAACTTCTATCAGACAGATCAGAATCTGCATAACTTGAGATAAAAATTTTGCACTGCTATCAGTTACCTAAGATTTACAGAGTTGTGAAATACCTCCTCAGATTCAGCATCAGATAAGAAAAAAGGATGCTCTATGAACAGTGCATGGATTTCTATTGGTGTAAACTTTTTTTCCTACCAGTTTGTATTCAAGAATATTTTCTTCGTGGCCCTGGAGGACAGAACAGAAAGGAAGTTAGTGTGTTTTGTTCTATTTTAGAGGACCTTCTAAATAGCCCTTTTATTTATTGTATTATTTGTGTGTGGTAGGAAGCATGATAAACAATGAAAAGAAGAAATAATTTTTCAAATTGTTATGTTCTTTACCCTGCCCTTTCACTTGTTCACATGGCATGAGGGAGAATGGTAACCAATAAAGAAACCTTGTATACAACCCTTACATGCGACTTTATTTCCTCTCTCTGTCCCAGTTAGCAAGATTGATTTGAAGTTATAAAGGAGAATAAATAAACTTTTTCTCTACCCTCCTAGGTTCTGTGACTGGGGCCCTGTAAATTAAACTGACAAAAGGCAGATTAAACAGACAAAGAGAAAAACAAAGTTTATTAACATCTACAGCACATATATAGGTGGGAGAATTTCACTGACATGTAACTCAAAGGGGTGGTCAGAACTTCAGGCTTCTGTAGCATCTTAACAAAGAATAATACATTGCAGAGAAGTAACGAAACAAAGGAAAAGGGATTTAGGCTTTTTAGGGTGGGAAACTCTGGAAAGGCAAATATATGGAGAAACTAGTGGGAGATAAGGGTTGTTTAGTAAGGTTTGTCATGCAGCTTCTTCTGGTGCCATTTGTGGGTAGATAAGAGTCTTGAGTCATCTCTGGTGATTAAAAGTCTAAGAGTTATCCTCCCCTTCTTGTTATAGGAGAGGGAGACACCTTTACAAATGGAATTTATGTCCTGCTTTTGGCCAGATAAGGGAGGGCAGAGAGTTTTTATTCTGCCTCTGGTGTTTCTTACTTGTCTTCAACTCAAAATAATTCTTATGCCAAAGTGGCATATTTTGGGGTGGGATTTTCTGATCCCCTACAGAGTCCAGGCAAATGGTTCTTGGAATTATTTTATTATTTTAATGAAGGCAAAGGATTTTATAATCAGGCCAACAAAAGAATGACTTATTCAGTAATTGATAAGTATAGAAGATCACATAGAGAAAGAGATTTTTTAAAAGAGGAACTAGAGAAAAGGATATGGTAATTTTAATCTCACATGTTTTTAATTTTACTTAAAGGAGATCATTTTTCATTACTGTATTAATTTTTGTACATTCTTGGAATGGTCCCATTTTTGTTTGTTGATACAAATCATGCTTAAAGATGCCTCATTTTGCTAATGGCATAGTTTAAAATCTAAGGCCTAATCTTGACATGATTGGCCTTATAAAGTTTCAAAATGTGTTTAAAATACAAAAGCTTCTCTTTGAAGCTGTGATTAACTACATACTATACCTTTGGATGAAGCTAAGGTTCTGATCAATATTTAATAATGATTTCATGGTAAGTGGGTGGGTATGCTCATTGGAACAGTAAGTGAGAAAAGGATGCATTTTAATGGAGAATTAACAAATGGAGCTTGAGGGCAAGGGATATTTGCTTTAGAGATTTGTTGTAATTTAAAATAAGGTATCTTAAATATAGCATTCCATGCATTTCTTTTAAATGACAAATTGTGTCCTAGATCTAAAAGTGTTACCATTATTATGATAAATGTGATCTGAGATGAGGTCTGAACAGCTTAAATAAATTAACATTGTGAAAGCTTGGCTCAAAACAATTTGGAATGGTTCAGGTTTTAATTCATTCAGACACAAGATATATTTCCCATGTTCTTAAATTCAGTGGCATGAAAGTCTAGAATTTTAAGTACAATTTTGGTAAGCTTTCTATTTTATGTCTCCTTTTTTCTCCCATGGGATAAAGTTAGCCTCAAGATCTCGTGTCTCTTGTCCATAAAATTCCACTTTGAGAAAATCTCAGATCTAAAGGCAGTCTCCATTGATTAAAAGAAAAAAAGTAGCAGTAACTATTGTAACACTCTGGCAAACTCTAAGAGCAAGCTTGACCAGTCATTAGTAAACAACACAACAGCATGTGTTGAAACCATAGTTGATCCAGAAACAGAAAACTCATGTTCTAAGTTAAACCACAAAGGGAGTGAAAGGAGAGAAAAAAAATTTATAATGGTTGTTGAGAAATTTAATTTGCATTTGTTTATTTGTAGGTAAGTATAATCTAGTTAGAATGAAGAATTCAGAAGGCCAAATGAATCTATATGAGAAAGAAAATTGGCCTGGAGAAAATGGATCTCCACTACAAGACAGAGACCATGTTAGGTGAATTAGGCTTATTACTGAAAACTTGAGCTGGCTTTCTTCTCTCTAAGAATATCTGGAGAATGGACTTACCCATGGAACATTCAAACAAACCACCACCATAGCCAAAGCTGCTGTCTGTCTTAGTAAGATCTGAACTAGAGGATCTGAATATGTTATATGTGTGTAACTGTGTGTTTGTGTGTGTAAGTGAGAGAGATGGAAAGACGAAGAATGAGTACCTGTGAATGAAAGTTTATGATAATAAATTCATTGCAGATCCAAATTCCATACTCTTATTTGCTTTAAACATTTTTCTATATGTCTCTCATTTGTAAAAATAATCTTCAACTCTTTGACAGTTTCTCCTGTTAGGAAGTCAGAAGGATTTAAGAAAACTGAACTATTATTATAGAAATTACTCTGTGTTTTAGTCCATTTGTGTTGCTATAAAGGAATACCTGGCTGGGGACAGTGGCTTATGCCTGTAATCCCAGCACTTTGCAAGGCCGAGGTGGGTGGATCACCTGAGGTCGGGAGTTCAAGACCAGGCTGGCCAACATGGTAAACCCCATTTCTATTAGAAATACAAAAATTAGCCAGGCATGGTAGTGCATGCCTGTAATCCCAGCTACCTGGGAGGCTGAGGCATAATTATTGCTTGAACCCAGAAGGCAGAGATTGCAGGGAATTGGTGGTTGCAGTGAGCCAAGAGTGCACCACTGCACTCCAGCTTGGGCAACAAAGTGAGACTCTATATCAATAAATAAATAAATAATAAAGAAATACCTCAGGCATGGATAACTTATTTTTTTTTTTTAAAAAAAGAAGTTTATTTGGCTCACAGTTCTGCAAGCTATACAAGAAGCATGGTACCAGCATTGGTACCTTGAGAGGCCTCAGACTGCTTCCATTCATGGCAGAAGAGGAAAGGAAGCCGGTGTGTGCACAGATCACATTGTGAGAGATGAGGCAAGAGAGTGTGAGGGGAAGTGCCAAGCTCTTTTTTAACACCCAGCTGTCACAGGAACTAAGAGAGTGAGAACTCATTCACCTCTCGCCAAAGGAGAGCATTAATGTATTCATGAGGGATCCACTCTCATAGCCCAAGAACCTCCCTGTAGGCCCTATCTCCAACATTGGGGATCAGTTTCAAAATGAGATTTGGAAGGGTCAAACATCCAAACTATTGCACTCTGCAAGTCAACAACTCAGCTTTTCCCAAGAAAATATTAGTGGTGTTCCAGAAAAAAATTATATTCTGACAATATATTTTTCCGAGATGTATGTACACATTTACGTAAAATTGTTATTATTATTACATATGCTTTTATCTTTAAGAAATGGTGTTTCATAATTGCATGAGGCCTGATCCAAAAATGCAGGATTTCTGTTCCATTTGCTTGTTGATGTGAATGCTGCGTTGGTGTTTTTTATGTCATTATCACTAATCCATGTCACATATTTTCTCATACTTTCAAGATGTATTTGTGATATTATCATATAGTATTAATAAAGAAGATATTTTGAAACAGAATCTTGTAGTTCTTAAGTTGTCTGAATCAAATAAGTAATACGTTTGGGTATTATTACAGCTTTTGAATTCTAAAGAAAGGAGAAAACCAGCTGTCCAAGATGAAACAATGGTGTTTAGAGTATCACAATTTAAAAATTACAGAATTTTGCAAATGTATAGTTTACATTCTCCTCTTTGTTGTAGGATAGCTGTGGGGAACCAGATTTTATAGCATTTTTCAGAGAAAATAAAATACAAGAATGGACTTGGTGCTCCACTTGGTATAAAGATCCAATTCAGTGACACTATTCCTTACTTTAAGAAGATATTTGCAAGAGAAGATGGAGAATGAGGAGTGGGAGGGGAAGATGGAGGAAAAGAAGGAGAAGAAGGCTTCTTTAAATATTATTTGTATTTTTAAATGCTGGGATTTTGTGATAAATGTGAAATGAAAGATGCTTTACTTTACCTTTTGTTTTTTGTTCAGTTTTGTTTATTAAAATGAAAGTAAGTAAATTACTTTGATTCACTATATTTGTTGTATCAAAAGAAAACATTAAGGCATATAGATTAAATTTCTAACAGCAACTTATTCTAGAGACCTTTCTTTTAATCTAAGCATGTTTATCTACTAAGATGCCAGTATCTGTTATTTTCAGAATTATTTTATTTATAACTAAGGTTATTTTTTCTAAAGTATGAGAACATTATTTTGTTTAGAATCAAATACATTTAGGAAAAACTATGCAGCTATTGATGTAATTGTCAATTCACAAGAAATAGCTAATGACTTTCTGGGAGTCCAGAGTATATGCCATACTCTTTCTGATAGTCTGACTTATCAGAAAGAGTCCAGATTTTGGGATTCAGTGAGTTGTGTTTCAAATCCCAGGTCTTCCATTCATGAGTATGCCATCTTGAATAAGTAAATTTTCCAAAACCTCAGTTTCTGTGTCTGTAAAACGGGGATAATCATAAGACCACAACAGAACTATTGAAGTAAACATTGAATGAATTGGCAGTTGGCATTATCAATTTTACATGGATAAAATTGGGTCATATTAACTGGGTCAAGAGGCTGGAGATGAGATAAATTGGTGAAAATCTCCTTTCATTTATATGGGAAGAAGAGTTAGAGGACTGATGGAACATCTTGGCCAGAAAGATGGCTTGGAACTTTGAGGCAGCAGCAGATGACTGGCTCTTCACCATCTCTCCTGCCTTTTGCTATGACAGTGTGGAGAAAGATAAATGGCAGAGGCACTTCCTGTGAGGCAACAAGTTCCAGGATAAACCTTACCTCCTCAGGCTTCTGAAAAAAAAAAAAAAAAAAAAAAAAAGAGTTCAAAAATTGATGAATCTTACTTGGAATTTGTTATGGACTGAATTGTGTCTGCAGTCCATTCTAATGTCATTATAGGAGGAGGAAATTTGGAATGCACAGAGACACTCCAGGTGAACGAGCACAGAGGAGAGGTCGTGTGAGGACATGGTGAGAAGGTGGCCATCCTTGAGGCCAGAAAGAGAGGCCTCAGAAGAAACCAAACCTGCTGACGCCTTGATCTTGGACCTCCAGCTTCCAGAACTGTGAGAAAATAATTGTCTGTGCTTAAGCCACTCAGTATGTGGTATTTTGTATGGCAGCTTTGTTAAACTGACACAGAATCCAAAGGTTAACATCTCTCCTCATCATACTTAAAACTTCACCCAGTAGTATAATGAAGAATGAAATAAACTTGGCTCTTCACTCTTACTCGTGCATGGGGAAGAGTGTGAAGAAGGGAAATAGAGAAAGGGCTGTGTATCTTTCTTCCCTGAACACTATGTGCAGAATGCTGCTGAAACATTGCTCTAATTTTGGGATTGAGTGGAGGCTTTCTGGAGGAAATCGTGCCTGAATTAAATCATGATAGATGAATGGGGCTTAGGCCCATGACTAAACTTTTGGGAAATGCATTGCAGATTGAAAGAGCAATCTGAGTGGATTCATGGAGGCAAGAAATAGCATGATATTTGTATGTCAACAGTATCAGGACTTTGGTATTAATGGAGAGTAGGTGTGAAACAAGAGTGACAGGAGAGCCTGGAGAAGGAAGGAGAGGAGAGAACCATATCTAGGTTTTTAGCAGGAGGCAGAAGTGGTCCAGTGCATGTTTCTGAGAGTGAACTATGACTACCATGCTAGAGTGAATTCAAAGTGAGTGTGGCTAGAAGAAGATGAATTAGGCACCTATTACAGTCAGGCAGCAATAATGAGGCCTTGACTCAGGCAGAGACACCTCCCGTGCAGTGGAGGTCATGAATTCCTGCTATGCTTTCCAACAAGGCTTGGAAACCTAGTGATTAAGTGGATGCAGTACAGGAGTTGTGCAGATGGATCCTGCCATTGCTGGAGGAAAATAGAAAGAGGAGCAGGGCCTTTGATTTTGAAGCTAATATGTTGACTTCTCCACTTATTTCTTTCTTTTCATTTTGTTAAGCGCATTTTTGTTAAAACATATATTTCTCACACTTTTAATTTTTTATTTTATTATATAATATATGTAAATTTCTTCAAACTTTGTCATCTGGAAACTTGACAAGCCATTCTTTTTAGATCCCCATTCAAGTCACTAATAAATCATTGAATGAGAGAAGGCTGTATATACACTGATCTGGTTAATACTGCCATACCCGCTGTGGGTTGATATTGATACAATAATGTCAACTCAACTGTAATACTTTCTAGCCCAACCGTGCCATCAGTAACTCTCCCTTCTCTTCACTACTCCTGAAAAATCTCATTAATCTGATCATCCTATTCACAAAATAAATTATTCATGCAGTATACTATACTGTATAGACAAGTATGCAGAACAGAGTTATAATAATCTTTATCTGAAAAGATTATTTGTTAGGAATTCTGTCCATAGAAGTCTGAGCAAATATTTGTATCTTTATAACCAGAATTTAAATATGTATGAACAAAAGTTCCATTTGAAAAAATATCACAATTATCTCTATGTGATTAATTCTGTACTTCTGTATGAACTAGTTTTATCGATGCTGGCATTTCTCAAAAAGACTATCCAGTCTTGTCAACCAGTAAAGTAAGCTATTGTGTCTTCATTTAGAATGTGATTTTCTAAAAAGTGAATGACTTATACATATAAAAGGTAGTAGAAATCAAAACAAATATATTTATTATATGTAAATATTTTAGATTCTTCATGGTAAATGAGTTTACTGATCTTCTTGAGCAAGCAGATCACTTGACTTTAAATAGTAATTTTTTCCTTCTGGGGTTATCTGGGGAGATCTGGAGACATTTTCAACAGTCATGACTGGGAAGAGGGTGCTACTGGTGTCTAGTTGGTAGAGACCAGTGATGCTAAGCACGCTTTGATGTGCACAACGCCTCTCAACAACACAGAATTGTCTGGCCTAGGATGTCCATAGAGTGGAGGTTGACAAACCCTGCTTTAGAGGTGCCTGATTATCATGTACTGCTTTGCAGGGTACAGCACTAATAGCCATCACTATGCTAAAATATTAATTTGCTTAGGAATAAGTTGCTAACATATAGTCCAACACATCTAATTACTTTCCAATGGAAATGGCTATACACTTACAGGTTGTGCTATATTGTTTTCTGCCAACTCTTTTTATTCAGTCCTGTAATCATTTTTTCCTAAAAGTGTTTTAATGAGTTCTACTAATCTATTAGTTCTTACACTTTAATTAATAATTTAAACTTGGCAATATTACTGTATCGTTAGAGCAAATATTATGTAACTGCCCTAACCCTACTCCCAGACTTTACTTTTTTTGTTGTTGTCCAAAATAAGTCCATTTATAAGCCCTTTTGTCTTATCAGGTGCCAGAGAAGCAATCTCTGAAGCTCAAATTCTCGTGCAAATGATTTATTGAGAAAGTGCTCCTGGAGAAACAAGCAAAGTAGGGAGCTGGAAAAGAACAGAGAGTGGGGAAGTAGCCAAGCAAGGACTATGGAGGGTTCCTTCAGCCTCTCAGGCAAGGGGACCTCTGAAGTGTATGTTACACATCAGAAGTGTCCCTTTGCAATACAGTACAGAGGCACTGAGCTTTCATCTGGACTCACAGGTCAGTCATTGACTAAGAGCCTCCACCGTGGACATAAACTCCCTGTACTCCTGCTCTCTGTGCATGTAGGTAAAGATGTTCCAGTTACATGAGAGGTTTTCTAAAAGAAGGTACTGCCTGTGGGAGAAAAAACACAGGGAAGGCAGAGGAGAGATTCCTGAAAATGGCAAAAAAGATCAGAGGGTATCTGGGAAGGTCATTGACAGCACTATCTACATCCTGAAGCAACCACATTTTTCTAAGGTTAATAAAAATGGGAGGGTTGAGTACTGCCCATGTGAGATAAATCGGTATAAATGTTCAAATTCACAAGGTAATAGTTTCCTAGGAAAGTTAGCTTAAATTTTACTGCATGACTCACTGTCAATTTATAATAATTGTTTTATATCATACTTTTAATATGAATTTCACATTTTTCATTTCTCTTCTTATAAGTTCTTAATCATTATAACCATAACTTCTGTACTTCAGTGGGATTAGCATTCCCACATGAACTAGAACTATTAAATCGTTAATAGTCTCTCTATGATTTTTCTACTTGACTTGTTATGACACTTTAATAATTCCATCAGAGTTTAGGTATTGTGAAATGTTACAATTTATACTGCTGGGTTCCAAACACAAGGCATCAATAAAGCAAACTCTTCAGTGAGAATAAAATGTTAAATAAGTTAATGTTACATAGAAAACAACCACATGAATTACCCTACAATGTTACTGATTGATTTTTTAATTTTAATTTTCAATTTTAATTTTTATTTGGTTGTATAGAAATAATGAAGAAATCCTAGGGTGCTATCTGTAAGGTTATTTCTGATTCTTATGTTTTAAGCAAACAACTTTTTATTGTCATAACAAGTAGTTGTCTCAAATATTAGATAAGATGAAAATCAATTTACAAGCTGCATACATTTTAGCTTTGATTCTATCATCTGTTGTACCTTATGTCTGGGGAACAAAAAGTATTTGGCTCTTATAACCATGCAAGGCTCCTGATAGCCAGGTTCCAAGTCTACTTCTATTGCAGGCCACAGGCAGAAAGCACTTTTTTCTTGCCCAGAGGCCCATTCTCCATCTCTACTTGCAGACTAATTAGCTGTCAATTGAATTTCTCTCTCTTTTATAGGGCTCTGCTAAAAGTGAAAGGAAATAGTCAATGAACACCAACATTTTGAATTTTGCCAATGCTATGGTTTGACTGTGCCCCCTAAAATTCATGTATTGAAACCTTCCTCCCCAATGCAACAGTCTTGAGAGGTGGGACATTTAAGAGGTGACAAATGTTGTTATCTCAGAAGTGGGTTTCTTATCACAAGAGTGGATTTGGTATAAAAGCTAATTTGGTCCTATCTTTCCTTGTTTCTCAGATGCTTTCTGTCTGTATGATGCCTTCTGCAAAGTTCTGATGCAACAAAAAGGCCCTCTCCAGATGTGGCCCCTGAATCTTGGAGTTCTCAGTCTCCAGGACTATAAGAAAAAAACATCTTTTTTACAATTAATTATGCAGTGTTGGAAGTCTCCAACATTCTGTTAAAGCAACACAAAACAGATTAAGACAGTCTACATTTCCTCCTCTTGCTACGTCCTTGAAGATATGGTCTACCTTCCAAGGGACTACAGTCTAAAGTTTGAACAATTGTGTGTGTGTGTGTTTGGTTTTTTGTTTATACAACAAAAACATCCTCACCTTTCCCAACTCTGCTATCCAAAATCTTCTGATTACCATTTATTCTAGAGTTTATTATAGGACATAATCTTGTACAGATATGAAATTTTGTAATTGTCAGGATCTAGGATTGGCTGGAAAATAGGAAAACAAAATCATAGTCACATGGGCAACATGAAAATATATTTTTTTCTTTCTTAAAAACACGAAGAAGGCCGTTTTGTTCCGCCAGGGTGTGTAAGAATCCAAGCTCCTCCAATCTTCTTGCTCTATAATATAGTCCCAAACTTCTTGCCATCAATCAGCCTTTCAAGCAGCAGTACAGAGTATGTTAGAAAGTGTTAGAAGTTAAATGGAACATCTTCTATTTTTAAAGAAAAAAGAAGAAGTAATACACTTCACTTACACTCACACCCATTGGGCAGAACTTAGTCAAATGACCACACTTTAAACTGAAGAGAAGCTGAGAAATGTATTATTTATTCCCAGCAGCCATATGCCATGTTAAAAGTTCCACTACAGTGGAACAAGGGTGGTATGGGTTTAAAAGGAATTCTACCAGTTTTCTATACTACAGTCATACCACAGAATGATATATGGTTCTATTAAACAGGAATATACAGTATACAGTATGCAATGAATCATGTGGTTTCTAACTATATAATGGAACATTTAACAAAACTAGAAGAATAGATGTACAATGTATCCTTATAATGGTAGTTGTTTTATTAACAGCTTTGTTAAGGGTTAGTTAACATACAATAAATTGCACGTTTAAAGTATACAATTTGATAGATGTGTTTCTATGTGTATATGTATGTATATACATCGGTACATATGTAGTATTGTATCATAGTTTCATGAAACGTGTATGTATATACACACGTATGTGTATACACACGCATACATTCCATGAAACTGTCATATACACATATAGCGCTTTTAGGTGTTTAATCCATCTTGAATTGATTTTTGTGTATGGTGTAAGGACAGGATCTAATTTCAATCCTCTGCAAATAGCTAGCCAGTTATCTTAGCACCATTTATTGAATAGAGTTTCCTTTCCCCATTGCTTGATTTTGTCAGCTTTGTCAAAGATCAGATGGTTGTAGGTGTGTGGCTTTATTTCTGGGCTCTCTATTTTGTTCTGTTGGTCTATGTGCCTGTTTTTGTACCGGTACTATGATATTTTGTTTCCTGTAGCCCTGTAGTATAGTGTGAAGTTGGGTAATGTGATGCCTCTAGCTTTGTTCTTTTGTGCTAAGGATTCCCTTGGCTATTTGGGCTCCTTTTTAGTTCCATATAAATTTTAAAATAATTTTCCCTAGATCTGTGAAGAATGTCATCAGTAGTTTTATAGGAACAACATTGAATCTGTAAATTGCTTTGGGCAGTACGGCCATTTTAACAAAATCGATTCTTCCTATCCACGAGCATGGAGTGTTTTTCCACTTGTTTGTATCATCTCTGATTTCTTTGAGCAGTTTTTGTAATTCTCATTGTAGAGATTGTTCAGTTTCATGGTTAGCTGCATTTCTAGGTATTTTATTTTTTGTGTGTGGCAGTTGTGAATGAGATTGTGTTCTTAATTTGGCTCTTGGCTTGGGTGCTGTTAGTGTATTTTTGTACATTGATTTTGTACATTGATTTTGTACTGATTTTTGTACATTGATTTTGTATCTTGAAACTTTGCAGAAGTTGATTATCAGGTCAAGGAGCTTTTGCACAAAAACTATAAGGTTTTTCAGATATAGAAGCATGTTGTTTGCAAACAGGGATAATTTGACTTGCTCTTTTCCTATTTGGATGCCTTTTATTCTTTCTCTTGCCTGATTGCTCTGGCCAGGACTTTAAATGCTATGTTGGATAGGAGTGATGAGAGTGGGCATCTTTGTCATATTCCAGTTTTCAAGGGGAATGCTTCCAGCTTTTGCCCATTCAGTATAATGTTGGCTGTTGGTTTGTCATAGATGGCTGTTACTATTTTGAAGTATGTTCCTTTAATGCCTGGTTTACTGAGGGTTTTTAACATGAAGGGGTGTTGAATTTTATCGAAAGCCATTTTTGTATCTATTGAGATAATCATGTGGTTTTTGTCTTTAGCTCTGTTTATGTGTTTAATCATATTCATTGATTTGCATATGTAGAACCAACCTTGAATCCCAGAGATAAAGCCTACTTGATCATGGTGGATTTGCTTTTTCATGTGCTGCTGGATTTAGTTTACTAGTATTTTTAAAAGGATATTTGCCTCTATATTTATCAAGGATATTGGCCTGAAATTTTCTTTTATTGTTTTGTTTCTGCCAGGTTTTAGTATCAGGGCAATGCTGGCCTCATGGAATGAGTTGGGGATGAATCTCTCCTCCTCAATTTTTTGGAATGGCTTCAGCAGGAATGGTACAAGCTCTTCTTTGTACGTCTGGTAGAATTCACCCATGAATCCATCTGGTTCTGGGCTTTTTTCAGTTGGTAGGCTATTTATTACTGATTCTGTTTCAGAGCTTGTTTTTGGTCTATTCAGCAATTCAATTTCTTCCTGGTTCAGTCTTGGGAGGATGTATGTGTCCAGGAATTTATCCATTTCTTCTAGATTTTCTAGTTTGTGTGCATAGACATATTCACAGTAGTCTCTGATGGTTATTTTTATTTCTGTTGGGTCAGTGATAACATACATTTTGCCATTTTTAATTGTGTATATTTGGATCTTCTCTTTTCTTTTTTATTAGTCTAGCTAGTGGTCTATCTTGTAAGTTTTTTTCAAAGAGTCAACTTCTGAATGTATTGATCTTTTGTATGGCTTTTTCTATCTTTATTTCCTGAAGTTCAGCTCTGATTTTGGTTATTTCTTGTCTTTTGCTAGGTTTGGGGTTAATTTGCTGTTGCTTCTCTAGTTTTTCCAGTTGTAATGTTAGGTTGTTAATTTGAGATCTTTGTAACTTTTTGATGTGGGTGTTTGGTATTATAAATTTCCCTGTTAACCTTGCATTAGCTGTGTCCCAAAGATTCTGGTATGTTGTGTCTTTGTTCTCATTACAAAAAACTTGTTGATTTCTGCCTTAATTTCATTATTTACCCAAGAGTTATTCAGGAGCAGGTTGTTTAATTTCCACGTACTTTCATGGTTTTGAGTGATTTTCTTGGCCTTGATTTCTATTTTTGCTGTGCTGTGGTCTGAGAGTATGGTTGATATGATTTCAGTTTTTTTGAGTTTGCTGAACATTGTCTCATGTCTGATTGCATGTTTGATTTTAGAGTATGTACCATGTGGCGATAAAAATAATGTATATTCTGTTGTCTTTGTTGGAGAATTCTGTAGAGTCTATTAGGTCCATTTGGTCAAGTGTTGAGTTCAGGGCCTGAATCTCTTTATCAATTTTCTGTCTTAATGATCTGTTGAAGTCTGCCATTATTATTGTGTGTGAATCTAAGTTACTTCATAGGTGTCTAAAAACTTGTGTTATGAATCTGGGTACACCTGCATTGGTGAATATAGATTTAGAATATTAGGTCTTCTTGTTGAATTGAACTCTTTACCATTATGTAATGTTCTTCTTTGTCTTTTTTTTTAATCCTTGTTGGGTTACAGTCTGTTTTGTCTGAAATTAGGACTGCAACCCCTGCTTTTTCTGTTTTGCATCAAGAATTTTTAAATTAAATAGTGCTATTTAGTTATTTATTTCTTCTTGAGTGAATTTTGGTAGTTTTGTACGTTTTAAGGAATTTGCCTATTTCATCCAAGTTGTTGAATTACTGGCACAATGTTGCTCATGATACTTTCTCATTATCCTTTTCAAATCTGTGGAATCTACAGTGATGTGACCTCTCATTTCTGATACTCATATTTTGTGTCCTTTCTTTTTTCCTGATCAGCCTGGCAAGGGATCTCTCAATTAACTGATTTTTTTGGTTGTTGATTTCTTTCTATTGGTTTTATTTCTTTCATAGTTTTCTGATAGATCTTTATTATTTCTTTCTTCATCTTATTTTGAGGTTTTTTGTTTTGTTTTGTTTTGTTTTGATGGAGTCTCACTCTGTCACCAAGGCTGGAGTGCAGTGGCATGGTCTCAGCTCACTGCAACCCCTGTCTCACAGGTTCAAGTGATTCTCCTACCTCAGCCTCCTGAGTAGCTGGGACTACAGGTGCCTGCCACCACACCCAGCTAATTTTTGTATTTTTAGTAGAGACAGGGTTTCACTATGTTGGCCAGGCTGGTCTTAAACTCCTGACCTCGTGATCCCCCTGCCTCAGCCTTCCAAAGTGCTGGGATTACAGGTGTGATCCACCACACACAGCCTTGAGTTTTCTTTACTGTTCCTTTTCTAGCCTCTTAAGGTGAAACTGAGGTCATTGATTTTAGACCTTTTTCTTTTTTTCTAATATAAGCATGTACTGCTATAAATTTCCCTCATATTATTATATTAGCTGCATCCAACAAATTTTGATATGCTGTTTTAAAATTTTTATTTAGCTCAAAATAAGATGCATTTTGAATTGATTTTTGTGTATGGTGTGATGTAGGGGTAAATGTTCATGAAATTATTTTTATGAAAATAAACAATTAAAAATAAATCTCTAGGAATACTTATAGATGTAATAAAATAACAATAAAAAGAAAGCAAGGGGACAATGAACATGGGATTCAAATTAATGATTACTTCTGGGTCAGGAGAGTCAGGGTTTGTGATGAGGGGTTATACTGTTTATATGTAAATATTGTATGAACTAGCTTTTATGTTTAGTAGTGGTTTCGAGGGTGCTTATTAGACGATTATACCAGCTAGCCAAACAAAAACAGCCACATATGGACTAATGATGAGGATGTATCATTAACCAAGGATGCAAATAATCAAATTCTGTTTAATATATGTGGAAGAAAACAAAGCAAGAAATTCCATTCTTGAGTATATATCCCAAAGAAATTCTTGAACATAGAAAAGAAAACACATATAAAGAATGCTCAGAGCAGATTTATAATAGCAATAAAATTGAAACAACTTAAGTGCCTATTAACAAAATAATGGATAAAATGTGCCATGTTTACATAATGGGATACCGTATACCAGTGAAAATGAACAAATTACTGTTACAGAATCAACAATTATAATTCCCTGGAAAAGCTGGTAGCTTAAAAATATACAGAATATAATACCACTGATATAAATTCCAAAAATTTCCAAAGCATTTGTATATATATTCTTAATTAACACATATAGAGTAAAATGAAAAGAAATGCATGTGAATGATAATCTGAATTCAAAAAGATGACTACATCTGGTGGAAAGAAGGAATTGAGAAGAGGAAGGGAACTCAGGTGGCTTGAACTATATAGTTAATAATCTATTATTTGAGCTTGTTTTACATGAACAAAGAAGGCCTTGGGGATTACTCCTAATACTACTTTATCTTTCTGCCCCTGCCTATTCACATTTATACTGGAGAGCTTGTTTCTCTTTCAGGTGAAATCTAAAGCAAGTGTCATGACTTTTCAGATCACATATAAAAAATTTCCCCATTACTTCTAGTCACAAAAAAAGTGTCCCTTTAGTCATTGGTGTATCCATGGTGCAATTATAAAATTCCAACTCTATGTAAAGTTAAAGCATCTTATCTCCCCTAACTCAGGCTGCTTCCCGTTGGCCTTATGCAGCAGTGAGTGAGACATGCTAGACTTCGCATCTTCTTGCTCAACTAGAGGTTCCTCCTTTCCTCCTGGACTCTCTAGGTTGCCTCTGTATTCTTCAGGGTGGAATCCTGCATGTGGGTGGGAGGATCAACCTTACTTGATTGGGACTATTAATGTAATCTAGTATATTGGAGGGCCATAGGCTTAATCCATTACTAAAAGCTGACTCTCTCTCTAGCTTTTTCGTGTTTTTGTCGAGTGAGGAGATTGCCCCTGCGTAACACTACAGGAAATCTCTGACTTGCAGTTACCTTGTACAGAGAAACTCTCTTATATCCTGGGGATCCAGGAGTACTCACCCAGCCTCTTTCATTCCTGCTGCCACTGGCTTTGTTTAGGTTCCCAGGGCTCTCATCTGGACCATTGTAATAGCTTTTCAACTGGTCTCCCTGCTTTCAGCTTCTCCAACCTCGGTTACTTTCTCCATATTTCCATCAGTGCTAGTGATTAGTACACTTTTCTACTTAACATTTGAAGGTTGTTTCTTTCTATATAATATAGCCCATATTCCTTTGTCCAGCATAAGATGGCATTCACAATTTATGCAGAATTTAACCTTTCTAATCTTATTTCTATCTTCCACAGCATGTACAGTCCACTTCCGCCACACTAAACTTATACATGTTCTCTCATGGATCCATATGCGTATACATGCTGGAATTTACTTTTCTTCTCTTTCTGCATTTTGCCCTTAATGCTGCCCTATATAGCATGGATTATAGTGTCTTTCTATCACAAATATATTATACAATTATGCTTGTCCTCTCCTTTCTCTGATTTTTTTTTTTTTTTTTTTTAGATGGAATCTCACTCTGTCTCCTAGGCTGGAGTGCAGTGCCGCGGTCTCTGCTCGCTGCGACCTCTGCCTCCTGGGTTCAAGCGATTCTCCTGCCTCAGCCTCCTGAGTAGCTGGGATTGCAGGTGCCTGCCGCCACGCCCGGCTAATTTGTGTGTGTGTGTGTTTTTTTTTGGTTTTTTTTTTTTTTTTTTTTTTAGTAGAGACAGGGTTTCAGCATATTGGCCAGGCTGGTCTCAAACTCCTGACCTTAGGTGATCTGCCCACTTCAGCCTCCCAAAGTGCTGGGATTACAGGCGTGAGCCACCATGCCCAGCCCTCCAATATATTAATGTATATTACAGGTTAGCCAGTTCAGTATACTGATGCTTAGCGGAGGCTCTCAGCTAATGAGCCCTAGAGAGACTTTCACACAGTGCCTCGCTATGAGTGGTGGTGCACATTGGTTTTAAACTCTGTATTAACTTCTCTTTGGTCTGTCTTTCTTCCATTAATATATCTTTTGGCAAAATGCTTTGATCCTTCATAGCTGACAAAATAAATACAAATGATGCTATTGGAAGTGCTGAAAAATTACCAAGAAAGTATATCATAAAGTTTTATATATTCAGTGGCTCATTGAAGGTAATAGTCAATAAATAAGAAAGCAAAGACCAGCAAACAGTTAAAGATTGAAAGAAGCACTTTTACTTTATAAAGGGCATTATCATATAAATCACTGCAGCTTGGGTGGATTGACCTGGTATTGTATGAACAGCATGTGAACAAGATTGTGGCTTGAAACAATTGTGAGAATTCTGGCCATGCGTGGTGGCTCACGCCTGCGATCCTAGCACTTTGGAAGGTCAAGGTGGGTGGATCATTTGAGGCCAGGAGTTGGAGACCAACCTGGTCAAAATGATGAAACCCCCATCTCTACTAAAAATACAAAAATTAGCCAGGCATGGTGGTGGGTGCCTGTAATCCCAGCTACTCAGGAGGCTGAGGCAGGAGAATCGCTTGAATCCGAGAGGCGGAGGTTGCAGTGAGCTGAGATTGTGCCACTGCACTCCAGCCTGGGCAAAGGAGCTAGACTCCATCTCAAAAAATAAAAATTAAAATAAAAATTAAATTTTTGTTTTTTTTAAAGAGAGAATTCCACAGCTGGTTTAGTATATGGTGCTTAGTATAAAGCTGAGATGGGAACCACATCACAAATACAGCATATCTTGCTTCATCATTCAGTAGTTTATTTATTTTCAGAAACGTATAACCTGCACTAAGGAGAGATATGCCCATATTATCTTATCAGTTCTTCAGGATCCCAAATTGCCCTTTGTTCTCTGCAATCTTCATTCCTGAGCTACCTTAGGCAAAACTATTTCATCTTTTCTGTTATAAACACAGCATCCACACATACCTTTACCATGATACTTACCATATTGAAGTGTGTATTTGTCTGTCTCCATAAATATATTTTGAGCCTCTTTGGGGCAGGGATCATGGCTTATCCATCTTTGTATCTGTAACACTTAGCATAGATTTTGACACATAGCAGATGCTTGATAAATATTTGTAGAAACAAAATAAAATGTTTACCATAGTTCTTCATTGAAACTCATAAAATCTGCACTTCCTTCCTCCCCAGACACTTACCCACCTATGTGAAGGGAAAATTTGATTCAGAATAATAAATAGAAAATATTACACTATCTAGAGCTGGCCTTGAAATAAAAGACAGCTTTGTTACTTCCACTCTCTGATTCCTCTCAGTGGCTCTTGTCAAGATCACCTATCACCTAAATTGTAAATATCACAATAAAGATTTTTCAGCCCCTGCCATATGGGAAAAGTTAACTTCTCATACTCATGTGGTCTTCAGAAATCCTTTTCTTACGTGATTTCCATAATGATCTCCTCCTCTGGTTTTCTTTAGTTTTCAGGCTTCTTCTTCTTCTTAGTTCCTTAGTAACTGTCCCCTTACTTATTTTATTCTTTAGCACTCTTATGTTCTCATTTTACACATACTTAGGCAGTCATTGCTGGTTAGGTTTTAATTATTATCTGTCTATTGATCATTCTCAAATCTCCATCTGTAGCTAAAATCTCTCCATCAGACTCAGAATTATATAATCACCATCCATCTGGTTGTTCAACATGAAATTCAACATAACATCCTTTCCAAGAAAGAGAAAAAAATGTCCTTTTCCTATAGTATTTTATGCCACAATTGGGTTCTGCCAGTCATCCCAGCCAGAAATCTGCCATGCAGTGATGAATCCTTGCATCTTCCTCATATGATCGTCTTCCTTGTTGCATACACCTGCTCCTCTTTACCTTCTCATCCTTCTTGCACTACACATTCTCTATATCACCCTCCTTCCAATCAGTCCCCTCCGTCTTGCCAACCAAATTCCCATGTCACTCTTTGGCTTAAAACCTAGCCAATAGAGCTCTGCTGTAATGATAAAGAAATCCAAATTCCTTGGCACAACATGTAATAAAAGACTTTTTATGATCCAGGCCTGTCTAGCCTTACCTCTTGGCCTTCTCATGTCTTACTCTAAGTTCCTTTTATGCCAAAACACTCGTGGCTCTTTCAAGTGCTCTGTCCTCTCATTTCCAGTCTTTTTGTATACTACATGTCTTCTTGGAAAATCCTTACCCCACATGTGTTTTCCTTGGCAAAAGTACCTGTCTTAATCAATTGTTTGCCTTTACTCAACAAATATTTATTACGTATTTTAGATACTCTCTGAGTTCTGGAGATAATCGCTGAAAGAAAAAATTTAGTGCCTTCTCTCATGAAGCTTAGATTTTAGCAGGGGAGAAAGTAATTAAACTGATAATTGTACTAATAAATATGTAATTACAAGCTCAGGCAAAGGGAATAAGTAAAAGTAAAAGGTATGTTGAAAAATTACCACAGCACGATTTCCTCTCTCATAGTAATTATCATACTGCATTGACATTGCTTTCCAAGTACCCCAACTAGGTTGTGAGCTTCTTAAGGGCAGGGATTTCTGAAATATTTCTTTTTATATTTTCAAAAAGAATTTGGGCTTCAGAAGGGAATGAGTGACTATTTCTTGAACTAATGAAATAATTTGCACCTGTCAGGTGTAGAAGTGGGTAGTATGTTGGCTGTCTCAGAAGTGTTCTGCATAATTGCATAGGTGGATGGCCTGCTGCTTATGGTTCTGTGGAAGAAATTTCCATATTTGGGAAGAAGTGAGTTAATTGATTTCTGTTGTCCTTGCAACAAAAAATATTATGATAGTTTAGTTACTCATGGGATTAAATGACCTATAAGAGGGAATCTGGCCTTGTGTACTTTGCTGTATAACAGCTGACAAAATGCTTCCTATGAGTGACCATTTACTGTGTGGGAATATGAGAATATAGATGACTAATTTTTTTTAAGGCCCTCATTGTTAACTTCAGAATAATCTAAAAGACATGGAGGTAGTCTACAAGTAGACTTGGCTGTGATGTGGTTGGCAAGCTAAATAAAAGCTTAAGGACTCAGCGGCTATTATTGTTTTTAATATTTGCTTTGTTAATTATAATATTTCCTTGATCCGTGGATCTAAACTGCCTAATAAGATTGTATTTTCCATGATTTGAAATATCAGACAAAAAGCAGGGAAATTGCAATTTTCTAGATAGACTCGAAGCGGAAAACTAGGTGATATTTAATAAGCCAATTCATTTCCTTTTTCCTTTACTGCTTCCCTCACCATGGAAGCAGGGGCTTTGCTTTCTGAAATTGACAAGAATTGACAACCCTTTGTTACAGCGTGAGACGCCTGATCCTATTCCAAGATTTTCTGTCTTGGTGCCCATAACACCCACCCCTCTTTTCTTTGGATGGTGCTTAACACAATGCATTTGTGGCTTGCCATGTTTGAGGATGGAAATGACTACAGCTTGGTAGAGGAAAAAATACTTTTCAGTGGTTTTTGTTTTTGCTTGTTATGGCTCTGAATATTTCCTGCTTTGACATGATGGCTAAAATGTGCACAGCATTTCTGTGCCATCCGCAAACATATTTTCAGCATGCCTGTTTTCATGAAAAAAGTGAAGGAAGCATAAGCTTGGCACAGCACTAAGTATGGGGTGTGTACAAGGAGACCATCTGTCCCAGAGACATGCTGCTCTGCTGACACACAGGAGGAAAGGAATCTGTGAAATCACAATATGGATTTTTAAGGCATTAACTAGTGAGTAACTTGGGTAATGGTCTTGAGGGCACCACTCTTGCTATTTACTGAAAGTTCCTCCCTCCACTTCAACCCCATTTCAGTAACTTGTGGTCAGATCAATATTTATTAGGCCATTACTTTATGTAACAAAAAGTATGTCATCATTCTCATGTTAGTGAAGAGGGAAGGATGCAGAGTGCTAGTTAGCAACATATTTCAGTTAAAAAATGTGTCAGTTAGCCATGCCATTAGGGAGAGGTGCTGTTTTTCCTACCCTTCCACTGGAGCTGGATGAGTTGGAAAAAGCTATAATTAAGACTTTGGAACCTGCTACAGAGCCACCTTCATTAATCTCTTTTTGGGGACTGCTGCCAGGTGCTGCTGGAGTGACCACATCTTAGTAATGTCTTCCTATGGAAATCTAAATTTATTCTATGGAACTATAGGATCTATCTCAAGTATGATAATAAAGATTTATGTTCAGAAAATACTCAGCTTTTCTAGAAATTATTTTCTTCAAGCATTGGCTTAATATTAGTTGTTCCAACTGAATGGATTTAATTGGGTCAAAATCCTCACTCTCCTGGGCTAATTCTTGATCCAGATCAAGAAAGATAGAGAGTGAGAAAAAGAGAGAGTCAGAGAGAGAGAGAGAGAGAGAGAGAGAGGGAGAGAGAAGAAAGAAAGAAAGAAAGAAAGAAAGAAAGAAAGAAAAAAGAAGAAAGAAAGAAGGAAAGAAAGAAAGAAAGAAGAAAGAAAGAAAGAAAGAAAGAAAGAAAGAAAGAAAGAAAGAAAGAAAGAAAGAAAGAAAGAAAGAAAGAAAAAGAAATTCACCCCGGTGAGAATCTCATATGACTTGAAGGGAGACATTATTAAAAACTTTTACCTTTTGTTTTTCACAACAGGGAAACATTAATGGAAGCAAAATCCAACTGACTCTTACCTGGCTTCCTGGTCACAGAAATAATAATCAGATGGCTACCAAGCCGCCTCAGTTTCCTCCAGGGGGCCAGTGTCTAGGAGACTGAGAACTGACCGATTTGAATGCACCCAGACTGAAGCAAGCCCACTTTCAGGCTGTCGTCTTTGGACAGTCAGATCCACTGCTCTAGACTCAACATTGAAGGAGAATAGCCGACGGCATCTATATCACCTCTGAAAAAAATAACACGGTGGTGCTTGGACATTGCTCTGTGGCTTCACTTGGTAGCTTTCTTGGCTTTCTTCTTCTTCCATAGGAACTGGGCTTTTGTTGCATTTCCAAGCTCAGCCTACAGCTCTTTGACTGAGGAAATATATGATTTAAATACAAAGAGACAAATAGATAAGTCAGAGTCTGTTCCCAACGACCCATCATCTGGCAAATTATGTGGAGCTATCTATTTCTATAATCTTAACCCAGGTGGAGAACTTACCAAGTTAATGTCAGGGGTGAAGAATGGGCTATTCCAATTGGATTCAATCAATAAACATTTTTTTCTTCATCCACAAAAAGGAGCTGCTATCATGTATAACGTAAAAGGAAAAAGCAACTCCTAGTTCACTAAAAAATATGTGTTTTGGAATACCTATTATGTGTGTGCTGTTCACAATGAAAAAAAGATAAAGTTTTTGTCTCAAGTTGCTTATGGCCTTTCGAAAAATAGTCTAAAAACCCACCCTGTAAAATTGCTCTGATAGACGCATGTGCATGATACTAAAGAAGCAGAGAGAAGGGAGCACTGAATTCATCCTGGGCTGGTAGTTTTCTTGGAGCAAAGACTATCGGATCTTAACACAGGTCTGGAAATATGGTGTCACAGACTGAAGAGTCAGAGGTGGGGTTAGCCAGGGACTAGGAAAGTCTGAAACAAAAGAGATCACATGGATTTCCAAGATAAGCAGTGTTTTGTCGTCTAGAATTTTGGGGGTGAATGATGGGGAGAAGGATGAAACTGAACAGAGGTGTTCAGTGGCCGCATCATACTGGACCTTCAAGACCAGTCTCCTTGCAGAGACATGGGTCTGCCTGACTATATACTTCTTGAGCCTGTGGCTTTCCTCTTCATTCAATGAGCTTGGATTATTGCAGAAAGAGCGAGAGCTATGCTCCAATTCCCTATTCCTGCTCTTCTGACTGCTCTCCCCTTTATAACTAATCCTGAATGGCTCTGGAAACCTCTGATTTTTAAGTAGAACTTCAATATACAGCCATTACAACTGGGAAGAAGGAGGAATAAAATCTTTTGAGCAAATATCCTTGAGGCTGTGAATCCACAGAAAGGGACATCAGGAAGAGACCATATTTTAGGTCTGGCTACCAGAAAGAACGCAGTAGTAAGAGCTCTCCATAATCAACAAAAACAGACATGGGTTATTCTCTTTTTATTATTACCAACATCACTGTCCTTTGCCTCAGTGTTTTTATCATTGTGGGATTTATAAAAAGGGCATAGACTCCAGACAAAATAAGTTCTTGCATTTTATTTTCCCAGTTGTCGCCTGTCATTTGGGAAGCAGATCAAGAGTGAGAAAGAGTGTCTCACTTTCTTTCCACTCCACCATCATACAGTCCTACCCTCTTTAAAGAAAAAGAAATGACTTCTTTTACTAGGTAGTCATCCCATATCTCTCTGACATGGGACAAGCAAACATTCCACTTTCTAGCAGATTAATGAAAACCAAGCATCCTGTTCAGCGGGTGTCCATGACTGGATGTTGGTTACCGAATGTGCTTATTCACATTTTCACAGTGCTGGCTGGGCTGCCTGCTGGCCTGCATTCTGTTTCTATCACTAGTTTCCTTTTGCCTTTGGCTCCTTCACTTGGCTTTTCTCTGTCCATTTAGCTGCTATCTGTTTCTCTTGTACTAATCTAGTATATATTGCAAATAATGTTTTTGATGAAAGGAGCTTTCCTTGTGATGGTTTTGATTTTATTTTACAATAGAATTAAAACCCAAATTGGCTTTACTGCCTTTTCTTGATGTTATTTATTCAAATTAATTTCAGAAGTATAATAACCTGTTTGGTTATGATCTAGCCACATTTCATATGCTAGTTTCTCTGTATCAGAATTCAAGTCTCATGAGTAAATGCAATACGAATTTTCAGATATATCCAGACTTAGGTTTCAAATTTAGATAAAAAACTTTATGGTGTGCATCAACTATACATGACATATGTAACTTACATTCTCAGCTAATTCAGTGACTTAGGGAAAAGAAGTCAAGGATCAAGTCAGTTTTTACTGACTTATTCCTAGAGTAAGGTTTATAACTGTTATAATTGCATCTCTCATGTTTCTATCATGAAATGGAAGGACACAATTTTCATATTTGAACAAAAGAATTGGACCCATGATCTCGAATTATTCAATAGGTTTCAATAGGCACAGAATATTTCCAAGGTTTCACATGTTTTCACATCATTTCTCTTGATATGTGAAGTGGGGTTAATCATGTGCTAAAATTCAATGAAAATTCACTTGTGGAAAGAAATCTTTACCAATTAATGACTAAGCTAACGATTTCCTAATCTCTACTGTGAATACAAGAACACCATGGAAGAGGTGCACAATTAGGCTTACAGGAGAACATGTAATACTGTGAAGATAAGTTAATTGTATCTTGCAGTATGCCTAAATTTTACTGAACATTTGATATTGAGGTTTTGAGCTTTTGATATATGGATAACCTTTTCAAAATCATTTAGTCTTTAATAACACTTCTTTTGTTCATTCACTGAGAGTATAGATCTTGATCTTAAAGCATCTTTCGTTTCATTGAATACAGTAAAATCTTAGAAATAAATCCATTAACTCATTAATACCTTTACTTTTAGGTAGTAAAGGTGGTGAGAAATTTCATGATGATAGATATTATATAATGATGATTTTAGTTACTGAGAATAACTAATAAGCTTAACATGGGAACTCTGTGCTATGGTATATCTTAACTTTCTCCTTTTACTCGTTATGAAATGCAGTTGAGAGTGCTGCAGGTAGTAGAAGACTAACAAATACTGACATAAGGAAGGGGTTATTTTTCTCACATAACTAAGAGCCTGAAAAACAGCGTGCTGGCAGCATTGATTCAGAAGCTCAGTGATGGTAGAGCCGCTGTCTGGGTATCTCTCGGTCTTTTTCTCCTGTGTCAATTCAGAGTCACAAAAATGGCTGTTGAGCTTCTGTCCGTCATAATGGTATTTATATTCCATGCAGGAAGGAATAGTATCTATATTCCATGCAGAAAGGGTGGGGGTAGCTGAAGGGGCATGCCACCAGTCTTTTTATTTAAAAAATTTATCCTAGAAGCCCCAGATAGATTTTCTGCTTTTACATTTTATTGGCCAGAACTGGGTCTTGTGGCCATTTTTACAGCAATAACTGAAACTGCCTTGGGTGGAGTGGGCACTAGGACACAGAACCAACAGTACCTGCCAAAGAATTATTAAGCACAATCACAGTGGTGTGAGTTTTTCAGGAAATTTTAATAATGCCTTAAACAAGAGTTATATGATAGAAAAAGGAAATGGGAGCCATCTAGCTGGTTTTTCATATATTCCTCTACTATTTTCTTTGTCAGCACTTCCTATGATAGTCCTTTTGTATCTGGGTTGAGCTTAACTAAATATTTGATAAATTAAGTATAGAAACCAACACAAGTTGTGTTACACAGTACAATGGGACATGTTGTAAGTATTTTTTTAATCGGTGCAAATTTAAGGGGTACATGAGAAATTTATTAAATGTATATAATAATGCGTAGTGATCAAGTCAGAGTATTCAAAGTGTTCATCACCCAAGTAAAATACATTTTTTAAAAGTATAGTCATCCTATTCTGCTATCAAACGTTGAATTTATTACTTCCAGTTTACTGTATGTTTGTACCCTTTAATCTACTTCTCTTCACCCTCCCCCTCCCCACGAACCTTTCCCAGTCTCTGTTATCTATTTTTCTACCCTCTACCTCTATATGTCCAAATTTTTTAGTTCCCACATATCAGTTAGAGCATGTGATATTTGTCTTTGCGTGCCTGACTTATGTCACTTAAGATAATAACTTCCAGTGCCATTCATGTTGTTGCAAATGACATGATTTCATTATGTATATCACATTTTCTTTATCTATTCATCCATTAAGGAACACTTAGGTTGATTTCTTATCTTTACTATTGTGAATAGTACTGCAATAAACATGAGTGCAGGTATTGCTTTGATAATATTAATTTATTTTCCTTAGATACCCAGTGTGAAGGCTGCTGGATCAAATGGTAATTCTATCTTCAGTTTTTTTTTTTTTTAAGAAATTTTCATACTGTTTTTTATAAGAACTGTACTACTTTACATTACTACCAAAAGTACATAAAAGTTCCTTCCCTTTTCTTTACACCTTTACAAACATCTATTATTTTTTGTATTTTTTAATAGTAGCTGTTATGATTGGAGTAAGATGATACCTCATTGTGATTTTGATTTGTATTTCTCTGATGATTAGTAATGTTGAACATTTTTCATATACCATTTTTTGAAACCTGGCTGTTCATATGTCTTCTTTTGAGAAATAGATACTCATTTCCTTTGCCCACTTTTTTAATGGGATTATTTGCTTTTTTCCTGTTGAGTTGTTTGAATAAGTTTTTGTTGGCTTTGTTGAAGATCAGTTGACTGTAAATATGAGGCTTTATTTCTTGGTTCTTTATTCTGTGCCATGGGTCTATGTGTCTATTTTTATACCAGTATCATGCTGTTTTGGTTACTATAGCTTTGCAGTATAATTCAAAGTCAGGTAATGTGATGCCCGCAGCTTTGTTCTTTTTGCTCAGAATTGTTAAGACTATTCAGACTCTTTTTGTTGTTGTTGTTGTTTCTTATGAATTTTGGGATTGTTAATTTTAATTCTGTGAAGAATGATGTTGATATTTTGATAGGGATTGTATTGAATTTGTATACTACTTTGGGCAATGTGGTCAGTTTAACAATATTGATTCTTCTGATCCATGAGCATGAAATGTTTTTCATTTGTTTGTGTCATCTTCAATTTATTTCATCAGTGTTTTGTAGTTTTCCTTGTAGAGAACTTTCACTTCCTTGGTTAAGTATATTCTTAGGTATTTTGTTTTCTTTTATTTTTGCAGCAATCATAAATGGGATTGCTTTCTTGATTTCTTATTTGACTAGACCACTAATAGTGTATTGAAATGTTACTGATTTTTATAGTAGTACTATGTTAAATAGGAATGGTGAAAATAGGCATCCTTTTCTTGTTCTAGTTCTTAGAGGAAAGGCTTTCACCTTTCCCCCATTCACTATGATGTTATCTGTGGGTTTGTCTTATATGGTCTTTTATTATTGTGAGGTACGTTTCTTCTATTTCTAGTTTGTTGAGAGTTTTTAATCATGAAAGAATGTTGAATTTTATCAAATGCTTTTTCTGTGTCTCTTAAGATGATCATATGGTTTTTGCCTTTCATTCTGTTAATGATATATCATATTTATTGATTTATGTATGTTAAACCATCCTTGCATTCCTTGTATAAAACCCACCTGATTGTGGTGTAATATCATTTTGATGTGCCATTGGATTTTGTTTGTTAGTATTTTGTTGAAGATTTTTGCATGTATGTTCACCAGAGATATTAGCCTGTAGTTTTCTTCTTTTGTTGTTGTGCCTTTCCCTGGTTTGGTGATCAGAGCAATACTGGTCTCAAAATAAGTTAAGGATAATTTTCTCCTCTTGAATTTTTTAGAATTGTTTCAGGAGGATTGATATTCTTCCTTGTATATTTGGTAGAATTTGGCTGTGAATCTATCCAGTCCTGGGCTTCTTTTTGTTGGGAGACTTTTTATTACTGATTCAATCTCACTACTCATTACTGGTCTGGGAGTTCCCTATTTCTTTCTGATTAAATATTGATAGCTTGTATGTTTCTAACAATTGATACACTTCCGCAAAGTTTTTCAGTTTGTGAGCATATAGTTGTTTGTAATTGTCTCTGATGATCTTTTGTAATTCTGTGGTATCTGTTGCAATGTCTCTCTTTTTTGTTTCCGATTTTGCTTACTTGGGCCTTCTCTTTTATTCTAGCTAGTGGTTTATCAATTTTGTTTATCTTTTCAAAGAACCAACTTTTTGTTTCATTGTTCCTTTGTATTGTTTCTTTAGACACTATTACATTTACTTCTGCTCTGATCTTTATTATTTATTTTATTCTGCTAATTTGGGTTTTTTCTTGCTTTTATAGCTCCTTAAGGTTCACAGTTAGATTGTTAGTTTTTAATTTTTCTACTTTTTTGATGTGGGCATTTATTGCTATAAACTTCCCTCTTGGCACTGTTTTTGCTGTATCCTACAGGTGTCAGTATGTTGTTTTCCTTTTTATTTATTTCAAGGGATTTTTAATTCTCCATCTTAATTTTTTTTATTGACAAAGTGGTCATTAAGAAAAACGATTTTTAATTTCTATGTATTTGTATAGTTTCCAGAGTTCCTCTTGTTATTGCCTTCTAGTTTTATTTCACAGTCTGAGAAGATACCTGATGTGATTTCAACTTTTAAATATTTGGTGAAACTTGTTTTGTGGGCTGACATATGTTCTGTCCTGGAGAATGTTCCATGTGCTGGTGAAAAGAATGACATTCTGCAGTCATTGGATAGAGTGTTCCATAAATATCTGTTAGGTATATTTGGGCTGAAGTTCAGTTTAAATGACATGTTTCTTTATTGATTTTCTCTCTAGATGATCTGTCTAATGCTGAGAGTAAGATGTTTAAGCTCCCCACTATTATTGTACTGCAGTCTATCTATTTAGTTTCATTAATATTTTTTAATGAATCTGGGTGCTGTAGTGTAGGGTGTTTGTAAATTTAGAATTTTTTATCCTCATGCTGAATTGATACCTTTATCATTATAATGATCTCCTGTATTAGTCTGTTCTTGCACTGATATAAATAAATACCTGAGATGGGGTAATATATTTAAAAAAGAAGTTCAATTGGCTCACAGTTCCTCAGGCTGCACAGGAAGCATAGCACCATCTGCTTTTGGGGTACCTCAGAGACCTTTTACTCACAGTGGAAGACAAAGTGGGAGCAGGTATCTTACATGGCAGGAGCAGGTCCAAGAGACAGACGGGGAGGTGCTACATACTTTTAAACAACCAGATTGTGTGAGAACTCACTCATTATCACAAGAACAGCACCAAAGGGATGGTGCAAAACCATTCATGATAAGCCCACTGCCATGATCCAATCACCTCCCACCAGGACCCTCTCCAACACTGGGAATTACATTTCAACATGAGATTGAGGTGGGGACACAGAACCAAAGCATATCACCTTTTTTTTTTTTCTTTTTTCCACTATGTTTGACTTAAAGACTGCTATTTTTTTTTCATATGAGTATTGCTACTCCACTTGCTTTTGGTTTGCCTTTGTCTGGAATATCTTTTTTCCCTCCTTCACTTTCAGTCTATACTGGTAAGGTGTGTTTCTTGTTAGCAACACATAGTTGGATCGTGTTTTTTTCCATTCAGCCATTCTGTATCTTTCAAGAGGAGAATTTAATTCTTTATATTTAATATATTGACATGTGAGGCTTCCTTCCTGTCATATTGTGGATTGTTTTCTGGTTGTCTTAGCTCCTTTCTTTTTCTCTTGCAGTTCATCATGGATTTGTGGATTCCCATAGTGGTACCATTTGAGTCTTTTCTCTTCCTCCTTTGTATTGTTGCTTTATGAGTGAGTTTTATAGTTTCATATGTTTTTATGATGGTAAATATAATGCTTCACTTCCAGGTTTAGGACTCTCTTGAGCATTTTTTATAGGACTGGTCTAGGGGTAACAAATTCTCTCAGGATTTATTTATCTGAGAATGACTTTGTTTCTCCTTTGTTTAAGAAGGATAATTTTGATGGACATAGTAGTTTTATATGGCAGGTTTTTTTTCTTTTAGCACTCTGAATATATCACCCCATCCTTTTCTGGCCTATAAGGCTTCTGCTGAGAAATCCATTATTAGTCTGTAGAGGTTTTCTTTAAACATGACTGGATGCTTTTCTATTGCTGTTTTTAGGATTTTCTCTTTAACTTTGACTTTAGACAGTCTGATTATAACAAAGGAGAAGGTCTTTTGCATTGCATCTGCCTGGGAATTGTTGAGCTTTCTGTGTCTGAATGTCTAAATCTCTTACTAGATTTGTAAAGTTTAAAATTTGTTATTTTATTAAATAGATTTCCTAATCCTTTCTTTGTTTTTTCACCCTCAGGGATACTAACAATTCACAAATTTTGTTGCTTTGTTTGGTCCCAAATGTCATGAAGCTTTGTTCATTTTTTAATTATTATTATTTTCTTTATTTTTTTTTCTGGCTGGATTAATTCAAAAGTCCTGTCTTCAAATTCCAAGATTTTTTATTCTGCTTAATCTAGTCTATTGTTGAAGCTTTCAAATGTATTTTGTATTTCCTTCCATAAATCCTTCAACTTCAGAACTTCCATTTGGTTGTTTTAAAAAACATTTATCTCATTGATAAATTTTTCATTGATGTGTTGAATTGTTTTTCTGGTTTCATTGTAATATTTTCAGAATTCTATCTCACTGAGCTTTAAAATCAATATTTTGAATTCTTTATTTTAAATCTGGAAAATTTCTTTTTAATTAAGACACTTTGCTGGGCAACTACTGTGTTCCTTTGGAAGTGTCGAATTTCTTTGCTTTTTCATGTTTCTTGTGTTTTTATGTTGCTATTGACACATCTGGTGTAACAGTTGCTTCTCCCTGTTTTTGAGTTTACTTTCACAAGGGTAAACATTTTCTTGAAGATGTGTCTACGATGTTGGTTGAGTAGGGTATTTTGCTTCAATTCTGGGTGCATACAGTGGTGTAATCTCTGTATGATTTATCTGGTTACAAACAATATTATTAGTATCTGTAATTTACTTGGTGGGTTAGGATGAGACTATTACTGGAGGCTATGGTGATGCTGTGCTGGGGACTGGGATACGAGTTGAGCTTGTCTTCAGGCTCCTGTGGTGGCAGTAGTGGCCCAAGCATACCTATCTTTGTGCCTCTGGTCAGTGCTGGCACTTGTTGGTGGTGGCCAGCACGTGGATTCATGGGCCTCCAGGGGAGTTGCTCAGATCCTGATAGTGTCAGCAGTGGACCAGGTGAGTGGGTAGGTCCTCAGGCCCCTGGATAGCTAGCATAGTGTAGGTGATGAGAGTAGCAATGACAGGATGATTCTCTAGGCCTCAAATAATGTGTGTTGCTGTTGACAGTGGCTATGTTGGGCTGAGTCGGCCAGCCTCCAGGCCTGCAGGTGGCACTTGCAGTTGTGGTGGTAGTGGCCAGAAGTTTAAGCCCGAATTTAGGCCCTCTGGAGGATTGGTCCAAGGTCCAAGGTCCAAGGTGGTATATTGCTTTGGGCAATACACTGGACCCCAGATTATGGGCTCTGTCTTGGAGGGGGTCCAAGTTGGGCTTTGTGGCCTTGTTTTCAGGCTCCTCAATGGTTACAGTAAGTACCAGCTGTGGGGTGCAGTTGTGTGGGACAACCCTGAGGCCCCAGGTAGAATTCTTGGTTGAGGTGAGGTAGCAGTCATGCTGAGGCCCTGCCACTGGAGATGGTGAGGCTTCCCTCAGTTATCACAGCCTGCCAGCAGGTGGGTGGGAAACACGTGTCTCCTTCACACCTCAATCATGGTGGGACTTGCTCCCCACAACTGGCTGCAGGATCTCATGACCAGTTCACAACCAAGTTCCAGCAGCAAATTGCGCCCTGCTTGCATTCCCATCTCAGATTCTGACAGTGCTGCACTGACTTTCTGGCATTGGTCACTGCCACCCAGGCCTTGCTCATTTTCCAGTCCTAGTTGCTGGAGTCCTCCTGGCTTGCTCCCCTATATCTGGTTCCATAATGAGTTTCCATAATGCCTTGGTTCTGGCACAGCTGAGTCCCAGGACAGTGTGAAGTTCTCCAGAGGCTAGTTTTGAAAATGGTGCCTTACTGCTGCTGCTTAAGTCTCAGAAAAGGTGTGGGACCAAGTGCAAGCTCCTTCCCTGAAACAGTTCTGTCCCATGATCTCCTGGCAGCTTCCTATGTTAGTTTCAGTGGTTGGGAGGGATAAGGGCTTCTCCCATAACCAGGACTACACAATTCCACAGGGGGGATGTAGTCCACTGGAAGTCTCTTACTCCTTCCCTGCATAGGGAACTCACTCCCAGCTCCCAGCCAATCCTGGCTACAAAAGCTGCCTCTCCTTCTCCTTCCCTGCTTCTGGTGTCTTCTTTCCACAATCCTCACTTGGATAATGTACTTGAAGTTTGAGTGTCTATGTACTACTCTTGTTCTTCTAAGTGGAGGAGACACGCATAAAATGCTTCCAGTCAGCCATCCTAAACTCTCCTCCACAGTTTAACTGTTACATCAAGTACTCCCCTATGCCAAAAAAATATGCAAAAAAAAAAAAAATCCCATCAAAACTCAGTGGATTAAAACAATAATAACTATTCTGGAGAATCTGTGAATAGCTGATTAATCTGTGCCATCTGAGGAGCTCTGCTGTGCTCTGCCTGCCTCTCATCCTCTTGCTGGAAATAGCAGTCAATTCCAGGCATATTCTTCTAGGGGATGGCTGTGGTGCAAGAGAGCAAGCCCCCATGTAAGCACTTAGCACTTACTGAGCCTTTGCTTGCATCACGGCTGCAGGACTGCAGGACTGCAAGACTAGCTAAAGCAAGTCCTATAGCCAAGTTCAGAATCAAGGGGGTTGAGAAATAAAACCACCCACAGAGTGTGAACATTTTTGAGGAATAACTTAATCTGCCATAGTCATCCAACCATCTTTGGGCAATCACTAGTTTTCAGTGATTGCTAGTGAAAACTAGTGATTGCTCTGGAATATCTAGCATAATATAGCACTATTTTCATCATGTGTTTGAAAAATAATTGTATAAGGATTGTCTGAGGTTCTTGCCTGTATTTTTAATAAATATATATTTTTAAACAGTGAGGGAGAAAAATAGAGCCTACTATTCTGCTCAGGGTCACTGTGAAATGTCAATGGAAACTTGCTGTCATACGCTGATTGCAATGGAAATTGGCAGAGTACCAGACCTCTTAAGGCAGGAACCCCTAGAGGTGTTACTTTCAAGGCAGATATACATTTTAAAATCTTTATGTAGGGAAGTTCTGGCTGGGAAAATAAGCTCAATATTATATAAATGTGCAAATGTCATGAAGAGTTCTTTCTGTTTCGAGGATAGCACTCATGTCAAAGGAGAGAATGACCCTGAAGCATCATGTTTACTCTGCTGATGAGATGAATGATATTTCATGACCTAGGTGATCCCCTTCATAAGGAGTTTCATCCTTGTACTATAACATTTTACTCTCTTATAATTGTCAGACCCTCAGACAGTCTATACTCCTTTATTGCAGAAACAATTACCCTGGAACATCCTGTCTAGATCCTGTTTATTGTTTCCTCTTGCAGAGTAGGACAGTTGTGCCTGGTAACACATTTCAGGTCTTACAACAACTGAGTAATAAGAATAAGAATAATAGACAACATTTACCAAACAATTCAGGCACTTTACCACATGGGGTAAATAGTATTGTTTCTCTTTTGTAATAGATAAAGAAATAGCTGCTTTGAACCCTTAAGCAACCTAAGCTCACATAATGGATTTATTAAATTAAACATTAAAGAGTCTGTGGTTTTTAAGTTCAAGATAGAAGAGATAATTAATGTACTTGACTGTGTATTCAGTTAAAAAAGTATTAGCATTGAGGATGATGGACATGTTCTTTATTATAAATATATTAGCTATCTATATTTTTGTACGCAATACCATATACAACACATAAAGGGAAAAATTATCATTGACCTTGTGGTGCTTCATGAGAAACAGAAATGCCACTGAAGAGGTCTCAATGTGATCTTGAGAGAAGATGAACAATTTTGCGAAGGAAACGTAGCACAGAAATTCTTTCAAAACTCAGTGATGCAAATTCACAGCTCTGGTTCATGCACTCGTTTGAGAAGAAGGTAGCCTCTGAAAGATGATGGGATTGACCTGTTGAATTATAATAGAAATAGTTCACAATATTAAACTACTTTTGTAAGTGGAGGAGAGACAGAACTCTGTTTTCTGGATAATTGATGTGCACAGTGAGCTGAATGAATATCATCTATAAAGTCAAGAGGAGCTGAGCTGGTTGAACGGATAGGGCACATATTAAATTGATAGTGATTAATTAGTTTTGTGTCACTTTGATGCTTTTAGACTTGTTCATGGTGTGGTTTTCAATTATTTTAGTATTATTGGAAGAGCCAAGATTAGACCATAGTTATTAGAATTAGATGAGTTACCTTATTTGCAGAGTGGGATAACCTTTGCTATTTTCCTTTCACGTGATCAGTGCCATTTACAAAGAAAAGAAAATGAGGTAATGAGGGCATATACAAAGGCTTCACAGAGCGCTAGATTTTTAAAAGCAGGATCAGATAAACCATACGCTCAACATTAAAAAAGATATTCAGATGGGTTGCTTAAATTGTTATTGTCACTTGCTGTCATTTCTAAGTTATTCACATTAAGATGCAAAAAGACAAGAAGGAAGTGGACTTCTGAACTTCTGAGAAAAAATTAGAATATTAAAACATCCTGATACCCTCACATTTAATTCAAAAACTTGTCCTCATGATGTCATTCAATATAATATACTTGAACATTAAAATGTATATAATAAAATATATTTATTCAAAGATTTATTCAAAATAAAATGAATATATAAAATAAGAGACAGGGAAAGAGAGGTGTCTGGGGAGTGACTAGTGATTAGTATCACAGAAATCCTTGCTTCATCTTTACCGACCCCCTGGTGAAGGACAATTTAATCTCCCGACAAACTCTTTCTCATTATTGTATAAACAAAAAACAGTCTCTCTTACTTTAAAGAAAAATAAAAGGCTGCCATTTACTTCATGACCCCTATCTCCCTTTTATCAGTCACTCTTCTGTTAAGAGTATTCTTTGCTTCCATGTTTTTATTTGGATAAAACTGACTATGATGCATTGTTGATTTCCTAATTGCTAAATCCATCTTTTTTTTTTTAATTTTTTGAGACAAGGTCTCACTCTGTCACCCAGGCTGAAATGCTGTGGTGCAATCACAGCTCACTGCAGCCTAGCCCTCCTAGGCTCAAGTGATTAACCCATCTTATCCTCCCAAGTAGCTGGCCTTACAGACATAAACCACCGTGCACAGAGTTTCACCATCTTGCCCAGGCTGATCTCAAACTCCTGGGCTCAAGTGATCTGATCACCTTGACCTCTCAAAGTCCTGGAATTATAGCGTGAGCACGCAGGGTCTAAAGCCATCTTTTAACATCCTATATAACTAACTTTTTTGATGTTTATTGTATGCCCCTGCTCCCTCCCCAATTAGGATATAAACTCCAAGAAGGTATCTTTATCTGTTTTGCTCATTGATGTGTCCCCAGATTTTAGAATGATGCCTAGTACATATGGTGCTAAAATCAAATTTATTGAATAGGTAAATGAGAAGGGGAATGTGGTCTGTTTAAATTGCTGATTCTATTATCATCTCCCTTTCCCCTCCAATGCCCTCTGAGTGGCAAACACCCAGCTGCTGACTTTTTCTCTCATGGGATGCTTTTTTACTTTCTTTATAGACCACTAGAAACCTCAATATCTTACCATGGGGTATTGTCTAGTGAGTTTGGCAAAGTACTTTCACGACAGCTCTGGCTTCTTTTCAGGCATGGGAATTCACAAACCCTTGCAACCTCCTTACTTGAGTAAATAGAAAAAAATGCTAAAATAAAGAGTATATGGAAGAGACAATTGATGACTGGCAAGAACTCAAATAATGAGAACAAGTTTCTTCTCTAAATAATCAGTTTTGAAATCCACAAATGCGTCAGAGTAGAAATAGAGTCACCTGAAGAAATACAACTCACAGGGTAGTTATGGAAGGTATTAACATAGCTGAAAAAATAATATGCTAAAAGATTATAAGAATAGAATTATAGGAAAAGTCACCGGCAAAATTTGGCAATAACCATCCAAGAATGGGCAATTTTATTTTCTTCTTTGGTTAATGGACATTTTCTCCTGAAAGCTCTGTTACCTTTGACATAATAAAATGCAATTTCTTATTAAGAAGTTGAAGAACTTAAAACGAGACATTTTAATTAATATCATAAACAAAATGAGGATAGGTCATGTGACAGGTCAAAGAAAGTAAAGGAAAATCTGATGTGGCATTTCAGATCTAAAAATCCTCTCATGATCTTTTCCACTTTCTCCATCTCTTCCCTCATCTGCCTTCCCTATAGAGGACTGAAATACTAAGGAAGGTAAGAAACTTTAATCTTTGGATATTTCTTTCAAGGCATGACTCAAACAGCCACATTATACTCTTGTGTTAATGTGTTATTGTGGCAAGTAATTGCATTTGTAATTTTTTTCTTACAGATCATAGACTATTCTACACACAGAAATTGTTGACTTAAAATGAGTTATTAATGTAGCAAAAGTACTACGATTTATGACATTATCCTAGTGCTATGCAGCAAAATAGTTGGAAAAAGTTGGAAAGATGGCAATTTATGTTGTAAAATAGCAAAACATTTCATAATACCGTAATAAGTCAGAAGACAGACAATGTACAGGTTAGCATCCCTAATTCCAAAATTCAAAATCTAGAATGCTCCAAAAGCCAAAACTTTTTGAGCACAGACATGACGCCATAAGTGGAAGATTTCACACTTCACCCCATGCAATGGGTCATAGTCAAATGCAGTAAAAAATTTGTTTCATGCACCAAATTATTAGAAATATTATATAAAATTACCTTCACATTATATGTGTAAGGTATATTTAAATCATAAATAAATAAATTTCGTATTTAGGCTTGGGTCCCAGCTCCAAGATGTCTCATTATGTATATGCAAATATTTTAAACAAAAGAAAAAAAAAGTCAGAAATTTGAAACACTTCAGGTCCCAAGTATTTTGGATAAGGGATACTCAACCTGTACATCCTGAATTTGTGTCTCTAGATTAGGGTTTCTCAACAGAAGAACAATTAGCTTTTTGAAGCAGATAATTCTTTGTTGCAGGAGCTGCCCTGTGCAGATGATGACTTTAGGATGTTTGGCAGCAACCCTGTTCTCCATCCACTAGACACTGGTGTACCTTCCTAGTCTTAACTATCAGAAACGTTCTACACATTGCCAAATGTCCACTGGAAGACAAAATTTCTCCGAGTTGAGAACCACTACTCTAGAGGAAGAGACTAGATATAATAGGACTATTTATATTGGCCACTATTGACTTCCTTTGGTGAAGTATTGAAATAAAGAGACTGACTCGGGAAAAATTGACTAGTTTATAAGCAGAAATGAGAAGAAACAGAGAGACTACATATTTGGAAGTTCCAAAGCTTGGAAAAGGTGAATTGTTCCTAGACCTCAGAGAGTAAGAGATGTTTTAAAAATATCTTGAGCATCAAAGCCTCAGTAAAACTTCTCAGAGGACAAAGAGGTTTAGTCCTATGAAAGAGATCAGATGAAGAATGTGATCTTTCCACCTTTTATTTCAGATAGCCTAAAGGTATTCCTTATAATACCAAAAAAAGAGGATCAGGAAAGCTACAAGAAAATAAATCAATTTGGTTTGATTATTATGTCTAAGAACAAACTTTGGGTATGCTTACTGGCATATGAAGTTGACTAAATGCAAATAGATAAGACAATTCCTAAGTTTTTCATTAAATTACATCTCCCCACTCCAGCAAAAACAAAGCAAAAACAAAAACATGAACCTAGACCAAAACAAACTACTGGCTCCCAAGCTTGCTCCAGCAGTAAGCAGGTCATACAAACTCTTCTATTCCCAGAAAAGGCAACCTCTGCAACACTGACTTCAGATATAACCAAGGAAAATGATAAACAAAGAAGTTACAGCCAAGAACCATGGAAAACAATGGGCAAGCATATCAAAAAGAGAAATCAGAGTTTAATTGAGGGGGAATGTCCTTGTTTATTTTTACATAAAAATATTCCATTTTATATAAAAATATGTATATTACACCCACACACATGCGTGTACATACACACACAGAGATACATTCACACACTCACTCACATGCTTCTATACCTATGAATTTTAAATTTACTCACTTTAAAATTAGTAATCATGACTCCTAAGAGTACTAGTATATCAAATCTTCCCAACCCTGCACAGGTTTCAGTGGTCATGTGTTGTTATTTTAGGCACAGTCGTGATACCATTTGTTAGTCTACAGTGTGTTTGTTCTATTTGAGACAGTTTTATTGTCATTTTAATTTTTTAAAAGAAAACAAAGACAAAAATATTTTTGAAAAAACTTGGAAAACTATTAGAAACAAGCAAGACAGGTCAGAACCACTACTATCAACGTTTGCAGTTCTTGTAAAATTTAATTATACATGCATATTTTTACATTGGCAATTTATAAAATGCCAATTATCTCAGTGTATATTTATAAGATACAAAACTAAAAAAATGCACATTGAAGCAAGTGATACAAATAAATACAAAATTAAGATACTTTCAGTATTAGTGCAATTTCACACTGCTATAAGGAACTGCCCGAGACTGGGTAATCTATAAAGGAAAAAGTTTAATTCACTCACAGTTCTGCATGGCTGGGGAAGCCTTAGAAAACTTACAATTAGGGTAGAAGGTGAAGGGGAAGCAAGCCACCTTCTTCACAAGACAGCAGGAAGGAGAATGAACTCAGGAGGAACTGCCAAACACTTATAAAACCATCAGCTCTCATGAAAACTCACTCACTATCATGAGAACAGCACGGGGGAAACTGCCCCATGATCAAATACCTCCACCTGGTCTCCCCTTTGACATGTAGGGATTATGAGAATTATAATTCAAGATCAGATTTGGGTGGGGACACAAAGCCTAACCATATCATTTTTCTCCCCAATTCTCTGAACTTCTAATGTTTCTTGTTTAAATCAATATTAATAATCTTGTTTTTTTCTGCTCATTTCTTCAGGTTCATAAAAACATATTAAACAGATGAGAAAGAAAGAGCAGGTGTGAGAGAGATTTCTGGGTTTTGTTTTATTTTGTTATTATTATTATTAGTTTTGCTATTTTTGTGTTTGTGTTTTTACAAAGTGGTATCTGGGCTGATTATTCAACACTTGTTCCCTGTGTCCCTCACATATTCTCTGTTCTCTGCTCAGTGGCCTGGGAGACTGAACTCTGCTGATTGCATCGATTGCCTTACTAGGGTTTGGCTTGGGAAAGGCATTGGAAGACAACCAGAAGGAGGAGATTTTATGTCCCCTTTGTATCCCTTTTCCCAACCACAGTCCCTTCCTACATTGCGGCCATTCTGGCTGAGGCCAATGTTCCTGTTTTTCTCTTTCACACGTGGGAATGGCACTGACTCTCTTCTGCTGTTCCTGGGTGCCTTATCATCCTTTGTTGGCTCCTGATATGGTTTGGCTGTATCCTTTCCCAAATCTCATCTTGAATTAGAGCTCCCATATTTCCTTCATGTTGTGAAAGGGACCCATTGAGAGGTAATTGAATCATGGGGGGCAGGTGTTTCCTGGGCTATTCTCATGAAAGTAAATAAGCCTCATGAGATCTGATGGTTTTATAAAGGGGGGTTTCCCTGCATGAGTTCTCTTCTCTTGTCTGCTGCCATGTGAGATGTGCCTTTTACCTTCCACCATAATTGTGAGGCATCCCCAGCAACGTGGAACTGTGAGTCCATTAAACCTCTTTCTTTTGTAAATTGCACAGTCTCAGGTATGTCTTTATCAGCATTGTGAAAACAGACTAATACAGTAAATGGGTACTGGTAGAGTGGGGTGCTGCTGTAAAGATATCTGAAAATGTGGAAGCAAATTTGGAACTGGGTAACAGGCAGAGGTTGGAAGAGTTTGGAGGCCTCAGAAGAAGAAAGGAAAATGTGGGAATGTTTGGAGTTTCCTGAAGACATGTAAAATGGCTTTGCCCAAAATGCTGATAGGAATATGGACAATAAAGTCCAGGCTGTGGTGGTCTCAGATGGAAATGAGGAACTTGTTGCAAAGGTGACTCTTGTTATGTTTTAGCAAAGAGACTAGTGGCATTTCGCCCCTGACCTAGAGATTTGTGGAATTTTGAACTTGAGACAGATGATTTAGGGTAGCTGGTAGAAGAATTTCTAAGCAGCAAAGCATTCAAGAGGTGACTTGGGTACTGTTGAAGGCATTCTGTTTTATAAGAAAAGCAGAGCATAAAAGTTTGGACAGGTGCTGTGGTTCACACCTGTAATACCAGCACTTTGGGAGGCCAAGGCAGGGGGGTCATCTGAGGTCAGGAGTTAGTTTGAGACCAGCCTGGCCAACATGGTGAAACCTCATCTCTACTAAAAAAAATGCAAAAATTGCCAGGTGTGATGGTGCATGCCTGTAATCCCAGCTACTTGGGAGGCTGAGGCAGAAGAATCACTTGAACCCAGGAGGTGGAGGTTGCAGTGAACCCAGATCATGCCACTGCACTCCAGGCTGGGTGACAGAGCTCTGTCAAAAAAAAAAAAAAAAAAAAAAGTTCAGAAAATTTGCTGCCTGACAATGAGATAGAAATGAAAATCCCATTTTCTGAGGAGAAATTCAAGCCAGCTGCAAAAATTTGCATCAGTAACATGAGGAGTTGAACGTTAATCACCAAGGCAATAGGGAAAATGTCTCCAGGGCATGTCAGAGACCTTTGTGGCAACCCCTCCCATCACAGACCTGGAAACATAGGAGGAAAAACTGATTTTGTGGGTGGGACCCAGGGTCCCTCTGCAGTGTGCAGTCAAGGGACTTGGTGCCCTGCTTCCCAGCCACTCCAGCAGTGATTAAAAGGGGCCAAGGTACAACTCGGGCTGTGGCTTCAGAGGGTGCAAGCCCCAAGCCTTGGCAGCTTCCACGTGGTGTTGAGCCTATGGGTGAACAGAAGTCAGGAATTGAAGTTTGGGAACCTCTGCCTAGATTTCAGAAGATGTATAGCAATTCCTGGATGTCCCAGCAGAGGTTTGCTACAGGGGTGGGGTGCGAATGGAGAATCTCTGCTAGGTCAGTGCAGAAGGGAAATGTGGGGTGGGTGCCCCCACACAGAGTCCTCACTAGGGCACTGCCTAGTGGAGCTGTGAGAAGAGGGCCACTGTCCTCCAGACCCAGCATGGTAGATCCACCGACATCTTGCACCATACACCTGGAAAAGCTGCAGACACTAAATTCCAGCCTGTGAAAGCAGCCAGGAGAGAGGCTGTACCCTGCACAGCCAGAGGGACAAAGCTGCCCCAAACCATGGGAACCCACCTCTTGTATCAGCATAACCCGGATGTGAGACATGAGTCAATGAAGATCATTTTGGAGCTTTGAGATTTGACTGCCCTGCTGGATTTCAGACTTCATGGGACTTTACCCCTTTCTTTGGCCAGCTTCTCCCATTTGGAATGACTGTATTTACTCAATGCCTGTACCTTCATTGTATCTAGGAAGTAGATAACTTGCTTTTGATTTTGCAGGCTCATAGGTGGAATGGACTTGCCTTGTCTTGGATGAGACTTTGGACTGTGGACTTTGGGGTTAATGCTGAAATGAGTTAAGGCTTTGGGGAACTGTTGGCAAGGCATGATTGGTTTTGAAATGTGAGGACATGAGATTTGGGAGGGGCCAGGGGCAGAATGATAGGTTTGATTGTGCCCCCACCCAAATCTCATCTTGAATTGTAGCTCCCATAATTCCCTCCTGTTGTGAAAGGGACCCATTGAGATGTAATTAAATCATGGGAGCAGGTTTTCCTGGCTATTCTCATGATGGTGAATAAGTCTCATGACATCTGATGGTTTTATAAAGGGGAGTTTCCCTGCACAATTCTCTTCTCCTGTCTTCCGTCATGTGAGACATGCATTTCACCTTCCGTCATAATTGTGAGGCCTCCTCAGCTATGTGGAACTGTGAGTCCATTAAATCTCTTTCTTTTGTAAATCGCCCTGTCTGAGGTTTGTATTTATCAGCAGCATGAAAACAGACTAATATAGCTCCCTTACTTTTGCCCTCTCCTAGGTAAATACAGTCATGCATTGCTTAACAACAGGAATATGCTCTGACAAATGTGTTGCTAGGCAATTTTGTCACTGTGTGAACATCATAGAGTGCACTTACACAAACCTAGATAGTAGAGCCTACTACATACCTAGGTTACATGGTATAGCTTATTGCTCTTGAGCTACAAACTGTACAGCATATTACCACACTGAATAGTGTTGGCAATTGCAACCATGGTTACTATTTGTACATCTAAACATACCTAAACATAGAAAAGGTACAATGAAATACTACATAAAACATTAAAAAATTAAACCTGTTTAGTGCACTTACCATGAATGGAGTTTGCAGAACTGGAAGCTGCTCTGGGTGAGTGAGTGGTGAGTGAAAGTGAAGGCCTAGGACATTACTGTATACTACGATAGACTTAACAAACTCTGTGCACATAGACTACACTAATTTTATTTTTTAAAACTTTCTTGAATAGTAAACTTAAATTGCTGAAATTTTTTATTTTATAAACTTTTTCATTAAAATTGTTTTTACTCTTTCATAATGACACAAACACATTGTACAGCAGTACAAAATATTTTCTTTCCTTATTCTATAAGCTTTTTTCTATTTTTTGAAATTTTTTATTCTTTTTTACTTTTTAAATGTTTTTTGTTAAAAGCTAAGACACAAAGAGACATTAGCCTATGCCTACAGACAGTCAGAATCATCAATAGCAGTGTCTTCCCTCTCTACATGTTGTTCCACTAGAAGGTCTTCAGGGGCAACAATACACAGAAATTTATCATCTATGAGAATAATACCTTCTTTTGGAATACCTGCTGAAGGACCTTCCTGAGGCAGTTTTACAGTTAACTTTTTGTATATGTAAGTAGAAGAATTATACTCTAAAATAACAAGAAAAAAAGTACATAAACCAGTACCAGTCATTTATTATCATTATGAAGTATTATGTACTGTACATAATTGTAGGTACCATATATTTTATGACTGGCAGCATGGTAGGTTTGTTTACACCAACATCAGCGCAAGCATGTGAATAATGCCTTGCTCTATGATGTTCTGACAGCTACACCACCAGTAGGTGATAGGAATTTTTCAGTTTCGTTACAATCTGATGAGACCACCATTATATATGTGGTCCATTATTGACCAAAATGTCTTTATGTGGCACATGACTGTGGTTCCTCATCACATACTCATCAATTAAACTGTAGGAGTGTGCTGTTTCTTGTTGGGTCCATGAATAATATTTGTACTCATAATATACTACTGTGAATAACTTCCTACTGTGCCACTTTTCTTCCACTTAATTTATCACAGACACTTTTCTAAGTCAGTGTCTATATCTTTAATTTATTGTTTATAATAGCTTTATTTTATTAATGTTTGTTATGTCTTATTCTAATTATTCCTTTACATTTTTCTGAATCATCTGGTTTTGGAAATATCTCTTTTAGATAGCATATTGATGGCAGAAGCAGGCCATCCACAGCGGGAAGGTGCAGGTGGTGGTGGCAGAAGGAATTGTGACAGCAGCAATGGCAGCAGTGGGTCCCCTGTGCCCTGCGTTCCTGAGGCAGTGACCTGCATTCCCGAGGCAGTGACCTGCACTGACCCCAACCTTGTGTGGCCAGGTGGGACCCACCCCCAGGCCCGGAGCCTTCATGGCTCTGGCCCCTGGCCCCATGTCACAGCTCTCACCTGCCACTGCTGCAGGGAGAGTGTGGGGAGGAGGCAGAGCTAGGGATGCACTTTGGGGGCCCAGAGTGGGAAGTGGCAGCAGTGCCCGCTTCAGGGATCTGGCCAGCAGCATGGTCACTGCGCCCTCCCTGCCAAGGGCTCCATGTATCTGCACCTTGGGAGGGAGCTCTGCACAGGGCAACCTGGGGCCCCATCCCTGGGGTCCACCCTGCATCCAGGTGACCACTGAATCTAACGCTCCCAACGGCAAGGCTTGGGGCCTGTGATCTGCTCCAGGAAGCACTCCCCATTGGCAGGGACAGAGCTGGGTGAGGGGATGCTCCAGGCTGCCCCTGAGCACTGGGGTCACACAGGAAAAGCTCATGGAAATATTACCCCTGCCCCAAATGCAGACCCAAGCCCAAGGAGGACCTGGAGCCCCCTCCTCAGGCTGCAGGGGGGCACAGCCAGGTGCCAAACTTTACCAAGCTGGCAGGAGCAAGGGACAAGTGGGAGCCCCACCCCTTCCAAGTTGGTGGGGCGGGAGCTCCCCAGGCACAACTGCAGCTGCCTAAGCCACAGCTGCAACCTGGGCACCCCTGTGTTCTTAGGAGCTGGGAGCAGGCAGGAGCCCTCCCCTTCCAGGTGCCACTGCCTACTCTGCCACCGCTGTGGACCCAGGCATTTCTGCACTCTCAGGGGACCCATGAAGGCCCCCCTCCCCCTGCAGCCTCAGGGGTGTCTGTTCCCACTGCCTGACCTCTCCTCACTCTTAGAACCCACTCCAATCTTGGAGTAGGGATGGGGCTGGGCCCAGGTGCTGTCACAGCCTGACTGGGTATGTGAATGTCTGGGGCAGTAGTAACACATCAACTCCCTCCTGCCTTGGCCCCCTCCAAACTTTGGGTGCTGACAAGCCTAGGAAAGGGAAAGCTGAGGGCGGCTCAGTGCTGGCCTGCAGGTCCCCCCTTGGCATGAGCAGCCTTGGCACTATGAACGGCAGCAGGAGGCAGACAGGCTGCTGTGCAGAAGGGGGCAGGTCCCTGGTGAGTCCCCACCTTCTGGCCAGGGAGAGCCTAAAGCCTGGGGGTTGGCCTGCCAGTCCCGCAGACTGGACTGGGGACATGTGGTGCCTTTTCTTGACCCACCAATGGCCTCCTGTGGACCCACTGATGGACACTTCCTCCCCTCTGAGGTCCATAAAAGCCATAGGCTCAGCCAAAGCAGAGCAGAGGACAGAGAGAGGATGGGATGACCAGCTGCAGAGAGGAGCTCTCCTTGCTGCTGAGAACTACAGATGACAGGATGACCTGCTGGAAGAGAGGAAGAGAGTCCACCCACTCTAGGACCTCCTCTCTGCCAAGAACTGAAGACCATGGGATGACCAGCTGCAGAGAACAGATACTCTCTCTGCTGAGAACACTTGTTGGGACAACTTGCCTGATGAGAGTAGCCACCCTTTCTGGTAGGAGCTGAACACTTGTCAGAGCACCCCGGTTATGGAGAGGAGTTGCCCACTGTGGGTGTTCTCTGAGCTATTGTATTGCTTAATAAAGCTCCTCTTCATCTTGCTCACCCTCCACTTGTCTGTGTACCTCATTCTTCCTGGTCTCAGGACAAGAACTCAGGGCCTGCTGAATGGTGAGGCTAAAAGAGCTGCTGTAACACAAACAGTGCTAAAACATGCCCCTTGCTTGCCACATTGCAGGTGAAGAGAAGAAGAGAAGAGCTGCAACTCTTTGGAGAGCCCAGACCTGGAAGCTCCCTGAGCCAGGACTGTGACTTCCCCTTTAAGCCCCTGTGGTTCCTGGCATCTCCAAGCTTCCAGGCATCACTGCATCCCCAGGTTCCAGCCAGGGATGTTGTTTGGCCTGGTCCAGCTGCAGCCCTGCAGAGAGCTGGCACCCCTGCCAGCATATGGAGCTGCCCACCCCGTGGCAGCAGTCAGCATGCCCCACTGTGCGGTGGCTGGACACCACACTCCCTCACACACCCCATGCTCCTCCACATCTGACTCCAGTCTTTCTTGGACGTATGTGATCCAGGCTGGCAGTGTGAGCTGAGGGTAGCCTGCCAGATCAAGTGGGTGTAACAAGCCCAGCAGGCCCAAACAAAACTTGGGCAATGGTGCCACTGGCCACAGGTTTCCAGCCAGAAATGTGACACCCCAAAGATCCCGAAACAATATAATGAATTTTTAATTTTTAACCTGAAAATCTTTGATGTTTTATTGGAGTATATAGTCTGTTTACATTTATTTAATTTTTGATATCAACTTTATTGAGGTTGTATTAGTCTGTTCTCACACTGCTAATAAAGACAGAACTGAGACTGGGTAATTTAGAAATGAAAGAGGTTTAATTGACTCACAGTTCCACATGGCTGGGGAGGCCTCACAATCACAGCTAAAGGCAAATGAGGAGCAAAGTCACGTCTTACATGGTGGCAGGCAAGACAGAGCTTGTGCAGGGGAACTCCCATTTATAAAACCATCAGGTCTCATGAGAATTATTCACTATCATGAGAACAGTGTGGAGGAAACTGCCCCCATGATTCAATTATCTCTACCTGGCCCCACCCTTGACATGAGGGGATTATTATAATTCAAGGTGAGATTTGGGTGGGGATACAGAGCCAAACCATATCAGAGGTATAATTTGAAATCAATAAAATGCACATGCTTTAAGAGTACAATTCAATCCATTTAATCACCACCACAATTAGGATATAAAACATTTTCATGATTCCTAAAGATTCCTTGGTGCCCCTCCTAGTCAATCCCTACCCTCAACCGAAACCTAAACCCAGGAAACCATTGATCTGCTTTCTATCACTGTGTGTTAGACTGGTCTTTCCTAGAATTTCTTATAAATAAAATCATACACTGAACTCTTTTTTGTCTGGGTTGTTTTGGTCAGCATAATGCTTTTGAGATTCATTCATGTTTTTTGATGTATCAGTGACATTCCTTCAAGGGTAGGTAGGATTGTATTTTACAGATACCCAATTTATTTTTCCTTTCACCTGTTGATAGAAAGTTGAGTTGTTTCTAGTTTGGGCTAATATGAATAAATCTCTTGTGAACATTCTTGTGCAAGCATGGACATATATTTTAACTTAAGTAAACACCTTGAAGTATTGTGGGATCGTATGTTAAGTGTATATTTAATTCCACAAGAAACTACCAAACTGTTTTCAAAAGTATTTGCAGTATTTTACGTTTCTACCCACAATGTATGAGAATTTTAATTGTTCCATATCCTCACTAATAATATTCTCAATCTTTTAAATTTTAGCCATTCTACTGTGTGTGCAGTTTAGATTTGCATTAACCTAATAATGATGATCATTTTTTCATGTTTTTGTTCACCTTTCATACTTATTTTGTATAGTATCTGTTCAAATCTCCTGTTTGTTTTTAAGTTGACATATTCTAATTAGTTAATTGTAAAAATTATACACTTAACTTAAACATCTTTGTGAGATATATGTATTGCAAATTTTCTCTCCTAGGCTGTTCCTTGCCTTTTTACTTCCTTATTGAAATCTTTCAAACAGCAGAAGTTTTTAAATTTGATGAATTCCACTTTGATTGTTTTTACAGTTTATACTTTTAAAAATTCCATTCAAGAAAAATGTTTCTTTATGAAAATTACAAATAATTTATTCTATATATCTTCCAGAAGTATTATAGTTTATCTTTTACATTTTGGTTGATGTTACATTTTGAGTTAATTTTTGTGCATGGTGTGAGGTAAGAATTAGAGTTTTAAAATTAATATGTAATAATTATAGATACGTGTGGGGTACATGGAATTTTTTTATGTGACTATCCAGTTGATCCAGCACCATATGTTGAAAGTATAAATTATCTTTCTTATGGAATTACCTTAGCTTCTTTGTCAAAAATCAATTGGCCATATGTCTGTTGGTTTATATCTTGATTTCTTACACTTCCACTACCTGATGAGATAACTCCAGCTACACATGACAATTTAAATTTACGTTATTTACAGTTAAATAAATCTTGAAATTTAGCTCCTTAGTCCCAAAAGCCACATTTCAAGTGCTCAATAGTCACACCTAATTAATGAGCTAATTAGGACTTTATTAGGCAGGATAAATATAGAATATTTGCCACATCACAGAAAGTTCTGTTGGATAGGACTGCTGTCTGGTGTCCTATTATCACATATATATACATACATATCCTTAAGCAAGTATCATACTGACTTAATTAGTACAGGTTCATAGTAAGTCTTGAAATAAGGCAAAACAATTTTTCAACATTTTACTTTTCCAAAATCATTTTGGCTATTCCACATTCTTTGAATTTTTATATTAATTTTAGAATCATTTTGTCGATTTCCATACATAAAAAAAGCCTGCTGGTAGTTTGACTGAAATTGAACTATAAAGAATTTGAAACTATAAACAAATGTGGAGAGAACTGACATATTAACAATATTAAATCTTCCTCTTCATGAACATAGTATATTGCTCCATTTGTTTAATTCTTTATTAATTTCCCTCAGCAATGTTTTGTAGTTTTTAATGTACAGGTCTTGTACGAATATTTTAAAAATTCATTCTCAAGTATTTCACATATCTTGATGCTATCATAAACATTTTAAAAGTTTTTTCTAAATTTGATATCTCATTATTTGTGGTACATATATAGACAATATTGATTTTTAAATATTGATCTTGTATCTTGTAATCTTGTTTAGTTCACTTGTAAGTAGTTTTTTGATAGCTATGTTAACATTTCCAACATACTTGATTATGACTTTTGTGAATAAAGAGAGTTTTACTGCTTTTTAATTTGATATGCCTTTAATTTCTGTTTCTTTACTTATTGCTCTAAATAGAATGTCCAGTAAAATAAAGACAAGGAATGGTCTGAACACATATCTTTGTTCTCAATTGTAGAAGATCATTTAGACTTTTACCATGAAATATGATGTTAGCTCTATATCTTTTTTTTGTAGATGCTCTTTATTAGGTTTAGGAAGTTTACTTTTATCTCAATTTGCTAAGAGGCCTTATTATTTATGGGTGATATATTTTTTTAAATGTTTTTGCTTTGTCTATTGAAATGATTATACAGTTTTCTCCTTAATCCTGTTAATGTGGCAAATTACATTGATTGATTCATAAATATCAAACCAATCACTTGTTTCTGGGATAAATCCTACGTGGTCCTGGTGTATTACCCTTTTTATATATTTTTGCATTTGACTTTTGAGCTCATGAGAGATATTGAACTGTAATTTTGATGTCTTTTGTTTTTGTATCAAGGTCATGCTGACGGAGGTGGGTAAACTCTAAAATGGTCCCAATAAACACTACCTCCTATTACTCATTCCCTTATGTAATTTCCTCCCATTAAGTGTAAGCTAGATTTAGTCATTGCTTCTCAAAAAATAGAATAAGGCAGAAATGCTAGGATGTCACTTCTGAGATTTGATCATAAAAAGACTATGACTTCCATCAGGGGTAATCTCTTCTCTATCTCATATAGCTTGTACTGGAGGGGCTATATCTGTGAGTCCGGAACATCAGTGAGTTTGGAAGCACATCTTCTGAGCCTCATGATATCTATGTAAATGAATTTAGAAGCAAATCAGCTCTGAGTCGAACCCTGGGATGCCTGCTGATCTAGCCAAAGATCTTGCTTATAGTATTACATGAGATTTTTTATTCTATTTTTATGCAGCAACAGATACTTAATCCGTTGACATAATAAAATGAACAGGTAAGTATTCTTTCTTTTTCTACTTTTTAAGAGTTTGTGTAGGATTAAATGATTGATAGAATTCACTAGTTAAGTCATCTGGGCTTGCAGTTTTCTTAATGGGGAAGTTTTTAATTGCAAATTCAATTCATTTAATGTAGCATTATTCAGCTTTCTATTTTCTCATGAATCAGATTTGGCAATCTGTCATTCAAGAAATTTGTGCATCTTATCTAAATTGCCTAATATATCAACAAAAAGTTATTCATAATATTCTTTTATTATTCTTTTAAGGCTTGTAGTTTCTCTAATGATTATCCCTCTTACATTTTGAATTTTGAAGTTATGGACTGAATTGTGTCCTCCCAACATTTATATGTTGAAGCATTAATCCCAAATGTAATAATATTTGGAGGTGGGTGTTTTGGGAGGTATTTAGGTTTGGGTGAAGTCAAGAAGGTGGGTCCCTCATGATCAGATTAGTGCCCAAATAAGAAGAGATACCAGAGACATTGCTTGCTCTCTCTCTCTCTCTGTCTCTGTCTCTTTCTCTCTCTCTCTCTGCTATATGAGGACACAGTGAGAAAGTGGCCATCTGAAAGCTAAAAAGAGAGGCTTTGCCAGACAACCAAATCAGCTGTCACCTTGATCTTTAACTTTCCAGCCTCCAGAGCTGTGAGAAATAAATTCCTGTTATTTAAGCCACCCAGTCTGTGATTCTTCTGTTATGGCAGCCTGAAATGACTAACATAATTAGTAATTTGAGTCTTCCTATTTTCTCATTCAGCCTAGCTAGAGGATTATCACTTTACTGATTCCTCCAAGAATCAGCTTTTGGTTTCATTAATTTTCTTTATTGTTTGTTTGTTTGTTTTTTAGTTTATTTCTACGTTTATCTCAATTATTTTCTTCCTTTCCATTTACTGAGTGTTTAATTTGATTTTCTTCCATAATCTCTTAAGATGGAAGCCTAGATTATGGATTTGAGCCTTACTTTTTTTCTACACTAAATGTTTGAAACTCTGAATTTTCCTTTAAGCATGGCTTTAGATGCATCTGTCCCCAGATTTTCATATGTCATGTTTTAACATCAATTTAATCAAAAATGTTTCCTCAATTCTTTCTTGATTTCTTTTATGACTCACTAATTGTTTAGTAGTATACTGTTTAATTTTCAAATGTGTGTGATTTTTTTCCACCTTTTTTTTATTGTTGATATATAATTTAATTCTGTTCTGGTCAGAACACACTCTGAATGAATTTAATGTTTCCAAATGTATTGGAACTTGTTTTATTCCCTAACATATTGTTTGTAATGGTGAATGATCCATATGCACTTGTTATTATTGGGGGCAGTGCTCCATTTATGTCAGTTACATTAGTTGAAAGTGTTCATTATGTCACCTATGTCCTTAGTGATTTTCTGTCTACTTGTTCTGCCAATGACTGACAGAAAAGTTTCAAAATCTTGAACTGTAATTTTTGATTTTTCAATTTTTTATATACTTTTGCCAATTTTATGTGTATGCATGTGTGTGTATGACTTTTTAGCTTCATGTCAGAATTGAGTGGAAAGTGCAGCCCCTTACCCTAACACACCTCATAGCCTCCCTCAGGATCAACGTCCAGCACCAACATGGTACATTTGTTACAATGGCAACTACACTGACACATCATTATCACCCAAAGTCCATAGTTTACATTAGGATTCACTCTTGGTGTACATTCTTTGGATTTTCAGAAATGTATAATGATATGTTTCCACCATTACAGCATCATAAAGAATAGTTTCACTGCCCTAAAAATACTCTATGTTCTGCCGAAGTATCCCTCCCTTTCTCTAATCCCTGACAACCACTGTCTTTTTACTTCCTCCATAATTTTGGTTTTTCCAGAAAGTCATATTTCTTATGCTTTCTCTTTTATATTTGCAATGAATACAAGTCAATTGTCAAACAACACTTTTCTGCTTCACAGGTAGTGCACATACCTTACAATAACAAATATACCTAATTTCTTTCTATTGTCTATTGTATTATTGATGTCATTCATTTCACTTATCCATAAGCATATAGGTATGTATGTATACACACATACACATACAAACAGAAATATACAATTGGAAATATTTTTGTGATCATTATTTAAGACAAATTATTATCTGTTACATCAATTAAGAATAAGACAAAAGTTGTTTATCTTCACTGATTTCTTCTCTGACAGTCTTCTTTATGTAGATCCAAGATTCTGACTTATTTTCATTCTCTCTGAAGAACTTCTCTTAACATTTATTACAAGACAAACAAAGTTCTTCAATTTTTGCTTGTCTGAGAAAGCCTTTATTTCTTCTTCATTTTGGAAGGATAATTTTAAAGGGTGCAGAAGTCCAAGTTGATCTGTTTTTTTTTCTCTCTTAAAACTAAAAATTTCACTCCATTTTCTTCTTGCTTGTACAGTTTCTGAGGGGAAGTCAGATGTTATTTTTGATCTTCTTGAATTTGAATATGACATGCCTTGATTTCTTTTCTTTATTTTTTATTTCTTTTTTTTTTTTTTTTTTTTTGACATTTTGTCTGCTCGGTAATTTCTAAGCTTCCTGGATCCATGGTTGGTGTCTGACAATAATTTGGGGGTAATTCTCAGTCATTTTCCTTTAAATATTGCTTTTGTTGCTTCCTCTTTTTATTCTGCTGATATTCCCATTACACATATGTTACACCTTTAGTAGTTGTCTCACAGTTTTGAGATATCTTGTTATTTTTTTTTCAGTCTTTTTTTTCTCGTTGCTTTTTCATTTTGAAAGTTTCTATTAACATACCCTCAAGTTCATAGATTCTTTCCTTAGCCATATCTAATCTATTAATAAGCCCATCAAAGGCATTCATTTCTAATACAGCTTTTTCAATTTCTAACATTTCTTTTTGATTTTTTTCTTAGAATTCCCATCTCTCTGCTTACAGTATTTATGTTCCTGCATATTGTCTACTTTGTCCATTAGATCCTTAGCACATTAAGTATAGTTGATTAATCTTATAGTCTGATCATTCCAACATCCCTGCCATATCTAGGTCTGATTCTGATGCTCGCTGTCACTTCAAACTTTGTTTTTTGCCTTTTAATATTTCTTGTAATTTTTTGTTGAAAGGCAGACATGATGTACTATGTAAAATAAACTGCTACAAATAGACCTTTAGTGATGTGGTGGTTAGTGTGGAGGTGGAGGCAGGTGGGCAGGAAGCCTTCTGTAGTCTTATGAGTAGGTCTCAGTCTTTTAGTGACTCTGTGTCCTTGGGTTGTGAACTCCACAAATGACTTTTAGTGTTTTGGTTTTTTTCCACCCTTTTAGGTGGTATAGGATAAAGGCTGAATTTGGATATTTCCCTTTCTCTAGGTGTTAGAGTCTAATAAACGCCCAAACAGGTTGGGCTCTCATAAAAAGGTTTCTCTGAGGGCCGGTCTTGTCAGGTACAACAAACAGAATTCTGTGGTGTACTTCAAAGGGGTTACTTTCCCCCTCCCACTCCCAGAGCCCAAGTGGATTTTTTGCTCTGATCTTCACTGTGAGAACCTGGTAAAGGTGCTGGAAATAAAATCCACGGAAGTGTGGATCCCAACCCTACATTCATGGCTCGGTTCCCCTGGAGATTTTATGGGTCATCCTTGTCCACACTGAGACTCCAGCGGTTCTTCTCTTATAGTTCAGATTCTCCTACTCCAGCGCTGGTTCCCACAGAGGTTTCTGCTTGTGAGTTTCTGCTCTGATAGTTGTGATTCTCTGTATCTGCCTCTCTGTGTCTCCAGTTAGAGGGAGACATTAGTTTACCCTGTGGCCTCACTTCTCTGATGGGCCTAAGAAAAACTGTTGATTTTTCAGTTTGTTCCGTTTTTCACTTGTCTTCAGGATGAATTGGCAACTTCTAAGCTCCTTATGTGTTAGACCATTGCTTCACACATTTTAAAATTCTATTATTAGGTGCTTATACATGTAGGCTTGTTAGGTTTTCCTGATGAAATGACCTTTATATCATTAAGAAATATCTATCTTTATCCCTGGTCATAAACCTTATTTTAAAGTGTACTTTTACTGTTATTTAAATAGCTATGTTAGCATTCTTAGGTTTATTGTTTACCTGTATCTTTTTCTATTTATGTGCTTATCTGTGTTTTTATATTTAAAAGGATTTTTTTGTAGATGGTATATAGTTTAATCTTGTTTTCTTATATAATCTAGTAATCTCTCCCTCTTCAGTGTAGCTTTTAGACCATCCACAATTAATTTATTTACCAATAAGGATGGGTTTAAGCCTACTGTATTGCTATACATTTTCTTTTAGTTACACGTTCTCCCTTTTTCTGTCCTTTTTAAAGGTTAACTGTGTATTACTAGAATTACATTTTCTCTCCAATATGAAATTATTAAATATACTGCTTTTGAGTTCTTTTAAAGGATTGATTTCACATTTACAATACGCGTCTTTAACTTTTTACAGTCTACTTTCAAATGATGTTTTTATATTCACTTTCAAATTATATTCTATGTTTTCCCCACATAGTGGAAAATCCTTATAACAAAATACTTACATTTCCCCCTCCCATCCTTTGTGCTATAATTTCTCATTTTGCTACATATTTTATAACTCACATAATATATTGTCATATTCTTATTTTAAATAGTTGATTATTTCTTACAGCAATAAAGATGTGAATCGTGGGGGTTATTTCAGTCCAGAAACATTTTTGATAATATGGTTAGCTTAAAATTTTTTCAGACTACCTAGGAAGTGTCACCTCAGGCTTCAAACCCTTATGTGTGCCAAACAATGATCACAAATTCACAATGGAGAGTATTTTTTCTCCTACCACTCAGTGCCAGAGCTTATTATAACCAACTGTTCTTTAGTCCTGGGGTGGATATATTTATCTCGGCTTCATCACACATATTCTACAAGATTCCTCACCATGGCTAAGGCCTGGACTTTGTATCTTGTCTCCTGAGCTCCACAAGTCTAAGAAAATTAGTGCTCATTTCACTCCTCTTGGCACATGACTTTATTTTTGGCTGAAATATTCTTCACTTTAATGCCAGCTCATGAGTGCATTTAATCAAAAAGTATTTCATCTTTTTTATTTTTGTTTTTAGTATTTTCAATTGAAGAGATGTTATTCCTCTAATAGTAATCTATTCATCATAATGCTGGAAATAAAAATCAATCATAACAGACCCAATTTGAAAGAGAGGCTTCAGGGAAAGATGGCAGAGTAAGAGCATGGGCTTTCTTTCATGATGTTCATTGAAATTTAAAAAAAATAAAGTTTCACTATCTTCAAACTGAAGAGCACTATTACATACCATAAACCTAGAGGACTATCTGTCAGGTAGAGTTTGTATCATGTTGAATGGACACACGTGCACTAAACCCAAACATTGTGTGTTTCAGGTGATAAGGAAAAGGAATCATTTGGCTTTTATTTAAGAATGGGCCAGATGCAGTGGCTCACACCTGTAATCCTAGCACTTTGGGAGGCTGAGGCGGGTGGATCACCTGAGGTCAGGAGTTCGAGATCAGCCTGGCCAACACAGTGAAACCCCATCTCCACTAAATATACAAAAAATTAGCCGGGCATGGTGGCACACACCTGTAGTCCCAGCTATTCAGGAGGCTGAGCCATGAGGATCGCTTAAGCCTGGGAGTCGGAGGCTGCAATGAGCGAGGATTGCGCCATTGCACTCTAGCTGGGCACCAAAAGCAAAACTCTGTCTCACAAAAAAAAAAAAAAAAAAAAAAAAAAAGAGAGACAATGAGGGTTCTAATCTAATAGGCCTGCGTTTAGCTTTGGAGTTTCCATATTTGAGGCTTGAGCAAGTTAGTTATGCTTCTGTTCCCTCAACTGTAATATGGAGATAATAACACCTACCTCAGAAATTTGTTGAAAGGATCAAATAAAATGAAGTCTTCTTTAAAGATTTAGCACAACTCTTGGTACTTTATGATTATACAAACAACAGTTTGCTGTCAATCACTATAACAACATTAAGAAATCATGCAGGTCAACCACACTAATTTATAGAAATGAATGTTGGGTTCATGGATGGGAATACTTCATAGTGGCCCATTTTCCTGCTATGGAACAATAGAACTGAAAGAGAATCTGTATGGAATGAATATATACATATATTTAACATGTAACATGTTACTTTTATATTATATATAGTAGCAATTTTTTTGAACAGTTTTAGGTTTACCCAAAAAAATTGAGAGGAAAGTGCAGATTGTTTTCTTATACTCCCTTTACCCACAACCCAGTTTCCCATTATTAACATCTTGCACCAGTGTGGTACTTTTGTTACAATGGATGAACTAGTATTGATAAATTATTATTAACTAAACTCCATAGTTTAAGTTTCACTTTTTTGTGTGCCTTTTATGGGTTTTAGTAAATGTATATTGACAGGTATCCATCATTGTATTATATAATATATAGTATTATATATTACTCTATTAATATATTGTATTATGTAATATAGAGAAGAACTTCCCTGCCCTAAAAATTCCCTGTGCTCTGCCTATTCATGCATTCCTCCCTTCCTCTCTCCCCACAAACTCCTGACAATCAGTGATCTTTTTATTGTCTCTGTAGCTTTTCTTTTTCCACGTTGTCATATTGTTGGATTCATGCAGTGTGAAGCCTTTAGATATTGGTTTCTTTCACTTAGAAATATACATTTAAGGTTCCTCCATATCTTTTCATGACTTGATAGCTCATTTCTTCTTATCACTGAGTTATATTTTATTTTACAGGTGTACCAATTTGTTTATCCATTTACCCACTGGAGGACATCTTTGTTGCTTTCAAGCTTTGGAAATTATGAATAAAGTTGCCTTGAACGTTCTTATGAAGGTTTTTGTGTACATACGATATCACCTCATTTGGCTAAATACTAAGGAGCATGACTATTGGATCATATGGCAAGAATATGCTTAGTTTTATAAGAGACTACTAAACAGTCTTCTAAAGTAGCTGCATCATTTTGCATGACACCACCAATAAGTGAGAGTTTCTATTGCTTCCCGTCCTCATCAACATTTGGTGTTGTCATGCTTTGTATTTTAGCTATTCTAATAGGTGTGTAGTGGTATCTTGTTGTTTTAATTTGCAATGCCCTATTGACATGCAATGTTGAGCATTTTCTTCTATGCTTAATTGACCTTTGTGTATCTTCTTTGGTGAGCTTTCTGTTCGGATATTTTGTCCCTTTTTAACCTTTTTTTACTGATGAGTTTTAAGAGTTCCTTATACATTTTAGATTCTAGTTTTTTATCAGATATGTGTTTTAGAAATATTTTCTCCTAGTCTAAGACTTATCTTTTCATTCTCTTAGTAAGATTTTTTTGGATACATTTTTTCCAGCTAACCAAGAAAGAAGAGATCTAGGAACACTAAGATAAAAAAGAAATGGAATACAACTTTATGGGAGTCAGCTGTGCAGCTTATACCAAATGCCAAGTAATCAGAGAAAATATGCAGACCCTCCAAACCAATGGCTCTCACCCAAGCAAGTGGCTTACCCTCAAGAACACTTACTCTTCCATTTCCCACAAGCAGCACACAATGTCCTGAGGAAAGTTGATAAAAACTTTTAGAGGGAAAGTGTTGGGAGTCAGGATATTTCAGCTGCTTTCTTCCTTATCTACTTCCTAATTCCTTTCAGAAAGCAAAATAACTATCCAAATAATATAAACTGGCACTACTTGATATCTAGTATCTTGATGCACAGGAAAGCAAAGGATGTGGGGATGTAGATTTCATTTACACTTGATTGGATCAAATAAGTCAGGATAGATCTGTGTCCACTCAAAAATAAATAAACAAAAAGTAAGAAAAACTTATACAAAATTCGTAATTTAATTGATGGAGAAAAAAACACATGGAAAACTAATAGGAAAAGTACATTTTAGGAAATGACATACCATGAAGCAGAAGAAAATTGTAAGGGGTTCCTTCCCACACTTAATATGCATTTTCAAAATACGAAGAGATAATGTGTCAAAAGAATGTAATAGAAAAGAAATTAGAACTGAGAAAAAATAAGAAAAAGAAAAAAACAGAAAGAGGGAGAGTAATCACAAAGATGCAAATAACACTATGTGCCAGGCAATGTTTAATTAATTTATATATTAATAGATTTAATTATTATGATAACATTATGAGTTAGCTACGTTTATATCTCAATTTTACTAATGAATAACCTGGTTAAGTAACTTGCCAAAGGTCACTAAACTAGTAAGTCTTAAAGCTGGGATTTGAACCCAGGCAGCAGAGTTTCAGAATCCATACATTTAACTAATATATCAGTAAGGTTTGCAAAGTTATGTTATGCTGATGAACAGCCTTAAAAACTCAGTGGATGCAAAAACAAAATCTCTCTCTCTCACTCTAGTTGTCCAAAAGCAAGTCAGTAGGGAGACCCAAGTTGTCGGAGTCAATCAGGGATGAAGACTGAGGAAAACTTCATCTTGATTTGTGTTTCCATTATCACCCACAGCAGGTTTAGGGAACATTCAGTGTCCTGCACTGGCAATGAAAAGATTCTGTCCAGAAGTAACATTTAGAGCATAGGCTTCCATTTCATTGGCCAAAGCAAACCATACTTACTTTTGAGAAGTGGAGGTGGAGAAACACAACCTCATAACATGTGTGAAAGAAATAGGAAAACTGGCATATTTGTAAATAAATCTAACGACTTCCACAACTGTTCTGCTATAGTGCCTTTCTTATTACCTTGCCTTTCTCTGAAGCCACTACAGAAACATCAAAAAGAATTATGGAAAAGGTCTTGAGTATACAAAGAATGTAGAATAAAAGACTGTGAAATAAAGTATTGACAGATATCATACATTAGATGGAAAAGAGATCTAAAATACAGATGAATTGCTTATGGTAAACTTATAAAAGAAATCACAAATTATTGAAGATTTTTTTTAATCTAAAGGGATACCTGAATCTTTCAATTTTAAGATCTTTAAGATCTTCTGTGTTTCAAGAGGAATCATGCAGACAGGTATTTAATTTTATGATAATTGAGGAAAAATAAAGAAAACATAAGAATCAGACACAAAAAGGAATCAGCCTACCCTGGAGCTCCCCAGCTGTGTTAGATGGCACAAAGCTCTGAAACTGTCCACAGAGTTTGGAGGGGAAACTGACTGAAGACACCCTTCCCCACCAGTGTGCAGACTGCATTCAAATGTGAAGGTAACCTGAAGGCATTCTGAGGATACAGAGACTCAAGAAGTGCTTTACTCATGTGACATCTCTAAAAATTCTACTTAAAAATGTAATTCTAAGTAACTCAGCAATGATTTTAAATTTAAAAAATCAGGAGTGGGTAAGTGATGAAGTAAAATGACTGGTGAATTACTTAAATGCATAATTACATTAAATAACAACAATACTTGATTTTAAAAACCTGAAGATATGGAAATAGAAGTGAAGGAGCCAATTAGAATATGGTGAGGAGGTGAGTAATGTCAATATATATGCTTATTTTCTCATATTTAAAGGGTAGTCTGTAGCGTCCTGTTAAGAAGTAAAGATCTCCAGACACTGTGACTCACACCTGTAATCTCAACACTTTGCAAGGCAGAGTTCGGCTGATCACTTAAGCACAGGAGTTCGAGGGCAGCCCCAACATGGCAAAACCCTGTGTCTACTAAAATACAGAAATTAACCAGGCGTGGGTGGCATGCACCTGTAGTCCCAGCTACTTACTTGGGAGGCTGAGGTTGGAGGAACACCTGAGTTGGAGGTTGCAGTGAGCCAAGATTGTGCAACTGCACTCCCGCCTGGTGACAGAATGAGACCTTGTCTCAAAAAAAAAAAAAAAAAAAAATGAAAGATCAAGGTGTATAAACTAAAATTATAAATATCATTCTATTAGAGTTAAAAATAAATTAAAAACAATTTATTTAACAAAAATATGTACTTGAGTTCAAAGATCAAGAACAAACAAAATAACAAGTAATCATTAAAAAACAAGCAATAACAAGAGAACATATAATTATGATGGCAGAAGATAAAACATATCTACTGTCATGGTACTAAATGAGTCATACAAAATAACCTATTAAAATTGAATGATTTTCACGTGCCAAAATAAGTAAGAAAATACTGTATAATGTGTATATATTTTATAAAGTACAAATAATATTAATCACAAGAAAAAGTAAAGAATAAAACAGTTGCAGGCTTTTCCAGGTCTTCATTCTAGGATCATGTCTCACTAAGGGTATTTTAATTTTTCAGGCACTTATTGGTTGAGTGGGATCAAGATGGCCTCTTATACTGAAGTCATCACTGTGGTGCATATTATAATTGTGGGATTCCAGGTTAGTGTCTAATAAGTCTATGGTCCTTTCTCCAAGGCAATTACCTTTGCTACTTCAGATTTTTTGTTTGTTTGCTTTTCTTTAAAAGTTAGAGAATATAGGATGATAGTGCCTTTCTCTTACAGACGGAAACTCATATGTGATGATAAAGTCCACAGTCAAAGAAAGGGGTTCAGCTTCCCTTTGATGTAAGCACAGCTGTTTTTGGAAGATATTGGTTCCCTTAATTCATAGAAAAAGAGAACACGAATAATCAAAGTTTCATTTCCAGAATAGAGAGTAGTGAATTTAAGTTTCAAAAGGGAAATCTTGAACCCAGATGAGAAGAGGAAAGGCAGCAGGGAAGGCAAGTGGGGTTCAAATACTTAGATATGACAATGGCCAGGGATAAATAGTTCAATGCTCTGAGAATTTTTTCCGTATGATTTTTCTATATATAACTGTGCAAACCGCAGTTCGCAGTGTCTGATAGAAAACCCACTGAAATTTAAGTTAGAAGACTGAATTCTAAGAATGGGTCTGTGACAAATGGCATGATGTGAAGGAAGTCAATTAGTTTGAATGTGCTTCTAAAATGGACATAGTGACTATTACACTATTTCTGCCCCACTGGGTAAATGAGAGGCAATGCAGTGACTTCCTTGGAAAAAGGCAGTATAGATAGCATTACTTTTGAATGTTGGACGTGTCAATAGAATAAACTTTTAAAATGTGCCAAAAAGCCTCGGAGGTTTCGTCTGCGTGAAATGTGACCATTATTTAAGTCTTCGAGAGATTAGAAGTAAAGCAATGTCTGGCAAGCAATGTTCAAAAAACAATTTATTACACTAGATTGTCAAGAAAACCTTAAGAATAAATATCACCAAACCAATTCTAGCCTTTCATGAGATCAGAGAACTGGCTATTCTGTTGAAAAGAGCTACTGAGCAGAAATATTATATTAAGACAGTACCTAGTATGAATATTGTCCTCTCAAAAATTCTATTTTCTTCTTTTGAATTTTAGATTTCACTTTACCTGTTTATTGATTTCCTTTCATCTGGTATCTGGATCATCTCTTTTCTAAGTTACAACCTATACAAAAAGTATTGCAGTTTAAGTTTACTAGAATTAGAGCAGGAGATAGGAGAATTTTGCTACAGCTTTGAAAAATGCACATTTATCCCATGTAATGAGAATGCTTATCACATCGTATCATTTGCAGACCAATCTGCTTATCTTTAATGTTGCAAAATGTAAGTAAGTAAAGCTGTAGAAGTTATCAATTTATCCTGTATATGTCACCTCCACCATTTCCATACATTTAAACTCTAGCCATATTTTAAGTTTCTGCTTAGTATCGACATCTTCCCCTAGACCTTCCCTGCCTGACCACTCTCTGGCCAAGCTGATCCTTAACCCCCATTAAACTATTTTTTTTTTTTTTTTTTTTTTTTTTTAGACAGAGTCTCGCTCTATCACCCAGGCTGGAGTGCAATGGCGTGATCTCGGCTCACTGCAAGCTCCACCTCCCGGTTTCACGCCGTTCTCCTGCCTCAGCCTCCCGAGTAGCTGGGACTACAGGCGCCCATTACCACGACCGGCTAATTTTTTTGTATTTTTAGTAGAGACGGGGTTTCACCGTGTTAGCCAGAATGGTCTCAATCTCTTGAACTCGTGATCTGCCCGCCTCGGCCTCCCAAAGTGCTGAGATTACAGGCGTGAGCCACCGCGCCTGGCTAGACTAATTTTTAATATGGCATTTACCACTTCCTAACTTTTATTATGTTCACGTCCTCCCTTTGCTACCAAATCTTTTGGGAAGCACCGTGTCATCACATTTTTTTGTTTTCTCTACACTCAGTGTTTGGCACATAAGGAATGTTCACTAAATTGTTGCATAAGTTAACTTTTAATTGGTCTATAATTTGAATTCATTGTGCCTTTTGAAGATAAAGAAGAAACAACTTTACATCTCCAGCAAACATGAATTGAATGTCTATCTTGGAACTTATAGAAGTTTCATGAATATAGGCTGATACTGCCAATATTTGAAAACTACTTAAAAGTTTTTCTTTTAAAAAAAAATCTTTACTGGGACATAATTAACATTCCATAAAATTTACCCACTTAAAATGTGCAATTTAATGGTTTTAGCAAATTCATGGGGTTGTGTAACCATCACCACCAGCTAAGCTTAGAACATTTTTATCATGCTGTAAAGAAAACCAGTACCCATTAGCAGTCACCTCCTGCTACCCTCCCCGCTTCCTAACCACTGTGTCTAACCCTCAGCAACCACTAATCTACTTCTGTATCTGTAGATTTGTTCATTCTGAAAATTTCGTATAAATAGAATACCACAATATGTGCTATTTTTTAACTGATTTATTTCACTTAGCATAATGTTTTCAAAGTTCATTCATGTATCAGTGCTTCATTCTTTTTTATGGTTGAATGATATTCAATTGTATGGATATACCACAATTTATTTATCCATTCATCAGTTGATAAACATTTATGTTGCTTCCAATTTTTGGCTATTATGAATAATGCTGGTATGAACATTCATGTGTAAGATTTTGTGTGGGTGTTTGTTTTCATTTTTCCTAGGAACGGAACTACCAACTGTTTTTCAAAGCGGCTGCACTATTTTACATTTCCACCAACAATGTATGAGGATTACAATTTCTTCACATCTTCAGCATCACTTGTTATTGCCTGTCTTTTTTATTTTAGCTATCCTAGTGGGTATGAAGTGCTAACTCATGCGGTTTGATTTGCATTTCTCTAATGGCTAATGTTGTTGAGCATCTTTTCATTTTTTACTGGTCATGTATTTATCTTCTTCTGAGAAATGTTTATTTAATTCCTTTGCTTAATTTTCAATTGGGTTGTTCATGTTTTTTTTCACTGAGTTGTAAGTGTAAGTTGTAAGTTATAGTTCCTCATCAGATATATTTTTTGCAAATATTTTCTTCCATTTTGTGAGTTGTCTTGTCTTGATAATGTCACTTAAAGCAATTAGGGAGTTTTGTTTGTTTCTTTTTAAGCCATTTTAAGACTTCTTTAGAAGATATTCAAGTTTTGACTACCTTAAACAGATAGTTTTCAATTGTCTATTATTGGCTTACTACATAAAACAACATGGAAAAAGTCTTTACTTTCCAGAATTTTTCACTGAATGGGAAACTAGAAAATTATTTTTGTACTTACTTTCTTGCTTAATAATGAAAATCTTTTAGGCTACAAATTTGTCTTGAAATATAGTATTGCCTACATTATATTTATTATTCCACTGTATTTCAAATATGGTTTTAACTTCCTAGATGACAAAACAATTAAATTAGGGAAATCTTTTTAAAATTGTTAAGTACAAGAGAAATAGATTATATATATATATATATATCATAAAGGAGAAGGAAATGGCAACTCTTTGTATTTACTTGGAAAATTGAAAGATTCAACACAAACTTTGGTAAATGTTTCAGTACAAAATGCATAAGCAGAAATGAATAGCCCCCATATCCACAAACAACAATGCATTAGAAGATATATGAAAATAATGGTTCTGTTAATAATAATTGAAAAATATAAAGTATCTATGTATAAATTTAACCAGAAATGTACAGGTTATATGAAGAAACAATAAAACTGCAATAAATGACACAAAATAACAAAATATTTGGTTTTCAGAAAGGAAAATTCATTCATAATGATATTACTTCTATTTAAGCTGTTTTATAAATTTAGCATGATCTCAGCAAAATTTTTAAAAATTAGATACGCTACTATTAAACTATGGATAAAAATTAAAAATTCTTTAAATCCAGAGAAATAAAAAATAATGAGAAGGAACTATGTGGCTTTATTAATCAAAACATTCTCAAAAACTTCCAAGGAAAAGTATTGAAAGTTTAAATCACACTGAACTACTTTATTTGACAATGGTAACATGTTAAATCAACAAAAGAAAGATGAATCATTCAAAGAATAGTGTTGGACCAACTGAGTAACCAGTTGGAGAAAAAAAATAAAGTTGGATTCTAATTTAAAAATTTTACATAGATCAAATATTTAAATGTTAAAAAATTTAAAAACCTAAATTCCTAGAAACAACTATGGTAGCATTTTTTAAAATCTCAGAGTGGGGAAAGTGCTTCTAAGAAATATACCACAATCTAAAGCCATATAAGTAAAGACTGATGAATTCAGTTAGATAAAATTTCCAGATTGGAAAAATCATGAAAAACCTAAGTCAAAAGATAAACAGGCAGTATAAAAATAAAAGCAAATGCAACTCAACTCAGAAAAAGAAATAATTACTTCGATACATAAAGAGCACCTGGAAATGAATGAGAATAAGTTGAAGAAGGCAACAAAATTTGGGCAAGTAATTTTTACAACTTCCTCATGGATCAGGAAAGCCAGTCTTAAACTCCAAAATGCTCCAACTTACTCACAATAAGAAAAATGCAAGGGAAAATTAAGAGATAAATTTTATCACTTAGATGGGTGAATATCCAAAGTTTATGTTAGCTATAGTGGGAAAATAGGGAAACTTTAAATGTAGGAGGGAGTGAAAATTCTTTCAAGCTGTATGAAGAGCACATCAGAAATACTTACCAAAATTTGAAATGCACATAGTCATACCCTTTCATCCAGCAATTCCATAGCTTGTTTTTAAATACTGTTGATTGAATTATTTTAGATACTCTAAACTTTTCCTTGCTACTGGGTGTTTCTTTTTCTATTGCATCATCTAACTGTAGATTTTATACAAGAAGGTGTACTTGAATTATTACAATATTATTTATGTGAAATATGATACATTACCCTATTATTTGGGGCAAAGTACTGCATATAACCTATATGTTTATAGTAGCAGAATTCGATGATAGATATATAACTATAAAATTTTTTAATTAATTTATTTTTTTTTAGACAGAGTCTCACTCTGTTGCCCAGGCTGCAGTGCAGTGGCATGATCTCAGTGCATTGCAACCCCTGCCTCCTGGGTTCAAGTAATTTATGGGCCTCAGCCTCCCAAGTAGCTGGGACCACAGGTGTCTGCCACCAGGCCTGGCTAATATTTGTATTTTAGTAGAGACAGGGTTTCACAATGTTGGTCAGGCTGGTCTCGAACTCCTGACCTCAAATGATCCACCCACCTCGGCCTCCCAAAGTGCTGGGATTACAGGCGTGAGTCACTGTGCCCAGCCAATAAATATTTCTGTTTGTACTAATATGAGACAATCTCCATCATATATTTGTATTAAAAAAATAAGATGAAAAAGAGTAATTACAGCTACAATCCAGAATATTTCTGAAAAATTATCCCTTCCCCAAATGTTAAGAAATATCATCTCTGCGTTCACCACAAAATTTTGCAGGCATTCTTCCATCTTTTTGTCGATGTGTAAAATTTACTTTTGCTACAACTAAATATCTATACTGTCACAGAAACATAAATAAGTGCCAAAAGGTGAGATAGTGTAGTGATAAGGATCACAGATTCAAGATCATCTGGACTCAAATGCTGCTTCATCACTAACTAGGTATGTGTCTTGGACAATTTATTTGTTGTGTTAGGTTATCATCATATCTATCAGGTAAAATAAGTGCATTCTAGTGAGAATTCAATGAGTTCACACATGCAAAATTCTTTGAATAGTGCCTGGTGCACAGTAAGCATTCAATATATGTTATCAGTTCTTAATCATGCTAGAGAATTGAGCTGAGTAGATTTTACAGAATGGTAGACTATGGGTACACTTTGCTGTGAATGAAAGACGATTTGTGATTTGCTGGAATAAATTTAAAAAAAAAGGTTGTTCCATGAGCATGTAAGAAAACATGGTTCTATTTAAAATGACACTGTGCCAAAGAGCATTGTTATGTGATTATGTGGATGTTTCTACACGGTGAAATAAAAGTAACCTTAGTTGTATAATTACAGTTCACTAGTGTAGTGTGGTTCAGTGGCCCACATTTTTTGGCCTTCAATTTTGCCAACACATTAAAAAGTTTCATATTGTGCCTTGAATATAATATGGTGATGGATTTTGACATACAACTGACCCTCTTGGTCCTGTTTAATGCAGTTTTGCCTTCAACTCTTAGATTATTTGATTTATAATTGTAATCTTAGCACTATTTTTGTTCTCCATCTTCTCATTTCATCCTTCATTTTGTTTTCTTTCACTGACTTGAGTTTGCTTGATATCTGCTTTCCCATATTTGCTCCTTACAGTCCTGTTTTATGAGTCACTTTTACAAGACAGAGTGGGATTCTGGTTTTGCCTTAGCAAGGGAGAATTTCCTTTTGATATACTTTTTCAACCCAATTACATATATTGACTTTACTAATTTATTTAGTTCTATTTTTGATGCTTAGTTTAATGCTTTCTAAAAAATGCCTTATTGCCATTTTCTGTTTTTCCAATCTACTGCAAAATGTGCACCTTGTTTTTATTTTAGTGATCTTATTTTAAATATTTATCTTTACATTTACATTTTTAAAACATGTTTTAGTTTATACTTCTCCAATTATTACTCAATAATAAAATCCTCTCTTAGTTCCTCTGTGCTCTCCACCTGTACCTGCTACCACCATTTGTGTATTCTAGTTTTACATATTTAGATTATATATTTGACCTCATCAACAGTTACTGCCTTTTTAAATGAAAATGTTTGCAGATATTTTTCTTTTGTGTTCTGGCCACCAACATACAGATTACAGAGCATACAGAATTTCTCTAAGTTGTTTGAGACTAAAATAGTTTATTTGTGGAATACACTTGAAAAACATTGATTTGAAGTAATTCCCTCTTCAGTAAGAATCAAACTGGAATTATCTGCAGTCATATGTGCAAACCAAGTTGGTTAAAATACCGTATGATTGATTCAGTTAAATAGTTGTAAGTATTGTTTTGGACTGACTTGAGTTGTCTTTGACTAATTGTTTAAGATGACTATATAAACTTCGGAAAGTATTTTCTAACTTTCATTGTTTTTTTGAAGAGTTAGAAGTTGGCTACAACTATGACACAACAGAGAAACTGGAAGAGCCAGATTAGAAGTAACACGTGGATTAATGTATGTATATGTCTATACTTATGTGTGCGTGTGTGTGTGTGCACACATAACAACCTTTAATCTTTTTTGAATGGATTTTTGGAAATATCTGCCTTTATATCTAGAAATATCAGCAGCCACTACTAAGAGTCCGTTGTCTATGTGAAATGTCTGTTCCAAGCATGTCCTTGTGTGTGAATATGACTGGAAATGTTTACAGAATATTTTAAAAAGAAAAAGGGGAAGAATTGATATAATTTTAATACAATGTTGTATACAAAATATGCTTATGATGTGAAAGATATTTCTAAAATTAAAGAAACAAAGTATTATTACCCTAGGACAAGTTACCTTTGATTCATTCTTCCTTGCTATTTCCTTCAGTTTCTCTCCTTCTGACTTTCATTGATTGATTTTTTCTTTCTCTCCTCTGCTTCGCCATCTTTTTTTGCTTCCCTTTCCCTTCCTTTCTTTCTCTCTCTCTCTCTCTTGCTCATCCTTTCTATTCTCTGGCCAGTTTCCCCTCCCTCTGGCATTTTTTTGCAATTGTTTTCTAAGTATGAAATAAGGTCTCTCTTTTGCTGCAGCTGCTACTCCATCCCCTGCTGCACTAAATTGACACTTGGGCAAGCAATGGCTCTCGTCAGTCACTCCGAAGCTGCTACTTCCAGAAGTGTCGATTTAGTGCAGCGGGGGATGAGGTGCCAGCTGCAGAAGTAGGGCACAGAAAAACTCAACAAAAGACTCTGCCTTCCCTTATTGTATGTGATATTTGGTAGGAGGAAGAGGGGGTAGAAGTCACCAAAATCAGAAATAAAAAACTGAAACAATAATAATAAGGCACCAGGAAGAACACTGGAATTTAAAAACATGTGGCTTTAGTAACTGTAGCAGATTTATGGAGAGACTGGAAGAAGGCAAAGAAAAGTCTCAATTGCAGTTAATTTCCTTTCACTTGGTTTCAAAACTAGCTGAAAATGCTGAAAATCCAGACATTTAATTCTGCTTGAGTGACATGTACTCATCGGTCATGGTGATTTCCTTAAGCATCCCCCAAAACATGCATATATCCCATTGATTTGGGTGAGAAATTGCCAGTCTGCAATGGGAAACGTGTAAACTCTCAACTTCCCTTGGCAAGTCTTGCTTTTCATTTCCTGTTGACAAAAACACCTACTCTGCTTAATTGAAAGTCCTTCATGAACATTAACACTACAGGCATCTGGTTAAGTGTAAACTCAATAGGTAGCTCTTCCACACCTATAGTAAAATTGTAGTCATATATAAGTATACGTATTCTAAAGATAAAGAGATTTATTTTTTGGAGCTATCTCCACCTCTATGCCCCTCTATTAGTTCAGATAATTTTCTATATTTCTGTGACTATGGGCTCTGTTTTATCATGACCATAGACCGACTACAGGAGATGAATTTCAAAATGCTACATGCAATGCATTTTTGTTGCATACATTGGGTTCTTTTCTAAAGTAACCATTTCAAATAAAGCCAGTTTCAAAAGTGGCACTGTAGAAGCAAAAAATGCATGTGTTACTTATGCTGAATTTTGACCCTTTTATTCATTATGCACTCTTTCAGGTGAACTGCTATGGTAATTTGCTTTTCTTATGAAATGTAAAATGAAAGTATCTTTTGTGTCAAGGAGTTCTGATATAGCTCCTTTAGAAGGACTTAGTATCTAGGTCAGTTGGCTTTCTTAAACCTGAAATAAATGAGATCTTTGATAGTGCAGTACCATGGCTTCAGGGCATAGATTAAAGGAGAAAAGGGCTTTTGCTAAGACAACTGGGAAAAAAAAAACCATCTTTGTATGTTGACTTATTTTTGTCTCCTCATATTAGAAAGACCCAGGATACAATTTTTATCAAAGTGCTTCTTTTATTCTATGACCCCTTTGTTTGTTAAATATATTTTAAACTATACTTAAGTAGACACATGTTAATTGTCTATTTAAGTAGACATGTTAAGTCTCTGATATGCACTGAGAATTGCTCTTTACTAGGTACTAATAGGGAACATGAAAGAAAGTGGTGACAGATCTGTCCATCAATTTGCAAAGATTTAATGCATGATCACTGAAAGGTGAGGGTTAATCAGGAAATGCCCCATGGAACAGGAAGATTTTGAAGACTGCTTTAGACTTACAAGAGCAAAAAATGTTGGACTCTCAAACAGAAATACAGGCAACAGAAACTCAAAATCATAGGTGAGGGGATCGGCAAACTGACTTCTAAGAAGTGGAGAAACAGGAAAGATGAATATGACAGGATGCTGGGGTGAACAAGAAGACTTCACCAAACTGATGGTCCTTAAACCTAGGCTGCAGTGTTAACTTGATATGTTAGGTGTTGGTGAACTCTGTATTACAGAATACATATGGACTAAATGGATGGAATTTATAATCTAAGAGGATCATTCTAATTTTTCAGCCTATTCATTACTGTTGGTCTTCCTTAGGGATTCTGCCCTTGCCAGTGTTTTCTTCTTGCTCTACATCAAGAGCATTTTACCTGGATTCCAAGATGGACCCCAGAGTCATACTGTATCACACTATAGCATTTTGTTTTCCATGACTGTAGTTGCTTTCATATTCTCTGTATTAGTCTGTTTTCACAGTGCTATAAAGATACTTTATAAGCACTGAGTAATTTCTTTTTAAAAAGGAGGTTTAATTTACCAACAGTTCCACGTGGCTTGAGAGGACTCAGGAAACTTACAATCATGGTGGAAGGTGAAGAGGAAGCAAGGCATGTCTTCACAAGGCAGTGGAGGTGGGGAGAGAGAGAGAGAGGGAGAGAAAGAGAGAGAGAGAGTGGTCAGGGGAAACTGCTACTTTTAAAACATCAGATCTCATGAGAACTCCCTCACTATCAAGAGAATAGCATGGAGAAACCGCCCGCATGATCCAATCACCTCCCTCCAGGTCCCTCCCTTGACACACAGGGATTACAATTCCAAATAAGATTTGTGTGGGAACACAGAGACAAACCATATTATTCACCGTCTGGCCCCTTCCAAATCTCATGTTCCTTTCACATTTCAAAACCAATCATACCTTCCCAACAGTCCCCCAAAGTCTTCACTCATTCCAGCATTAACTCAAAACTCCAAGTCCAGAGTCTCATCTGAGATGAGCTGAGTCCCTTTCGCCTATGAGCCTGTAAAATCAAAAGGAAGTCAGTTACTTCCAAGAGATAATGGGGGTACAGGCATTGGGTAAATGTTCCCATTACAAATGGAAGAAATTGGCCAAAGCAAAAGGGGCCACAGGCCCTATCCAAGTCCAAAACCCAGTAGGGCACTTGTTAAATCTTAAAGCTCCAAAATGATCCCCTTTGACTTCATGTCTCAAATCCAGGGCACAGTGATGCAAGGAGTGGACTCCAAGGGTGTTGCATAGCTCTGTCCTTGTGGCTCTGCAGGGTACAGCCCCTGCAGCTGCTTTCATGGCCTGGCATTGAATCCCTGCAGCTTTTCCAGGAACCTGGTGCAAGCTGTTGGTGGATCTACCATTTTGGGGTCTGGAGGACAGTGGCCCTCTTCTCACAGTTCCACTAGGCAGTGACTTAGTGGTGACTGTGGGTGGGCTCCAACCCCACATTTACCCTCTGTGTTGCCCTAGTAGAGGTTCTCCATGAGGGGGTCTGCTCCTGCAGCACACTTCTGCCTGGACATCCAGACGTTTCCATACATCCTCTGAAATCTAGGTGGAAGCTCCCAAAGCTCAACTCTTCTCTTCTGCACACCCACAGGCTCAACACCATGTGGAAGCCACCAAGGCTTGGGGCTTACATCCTCTGAAGCAGTGGCCCGAGATGTACCTTGGCCCTTATAGCCATGGCTGGAGCTGGAGCAGCTGGGACCCAGGGCACAAAGTCCCGAGGCTGCACAGAGCAGCTGGGCCCTGGGCCTGGCCTGTGAAATCATTTTTCCTCATAGGTCTCTGGGACTGTGATGAGAAGGGCTGCCTTGGAAATCTCTGAAATGCTCTGGAGACATTTTTCCTATTGTCATTGTAATTAACAGTCACTTCCTCATTACTTGTGCACATTTCTGCAGCTGGCTTGAATTCCTCCCCAGAAAATGTTTTTTTATTTTCTATTGCATTCTGAGGCTGCAATAAAAATTTTCCAGACTTTAATGCTCTGCTTTCCTTTTAAACATAAGTTCCAATTCCAAACTCTCTCTTTGTGAATGCATAAAACTGAATGCTATTTTTGGTCACCCAGGCTGGAGTGCAGTGGTGCAATCTTGGCTCACTGCAACCTCCAACTCCCGGGTTCAAGTGACAAGCTTCAGCCTCCTGTGTAGCTGGGATTACAGGCATTCACCACCATGCCCAGCTAATTTTTGTATTTTTAGTAGAGACAGGGTTTCACAATGTTGGCCAGACTGGTCTCAAACTCCTGACCTCATGTGATATGCCCACCTCGGCCTCCCAAAGTGCTGGGATTACAGGTGTGAACCACCATGTCCAGCCAAAACTGAATGCTTTTAAGAGAACCCAGGTCACATCTTCAATGCTTTGCTGCTTAGAAGTTTTTTCTGCCAGATACCCTAAATCATCATCTCAAATTCAAAGTTCTGTAGATTTCTAGGGCAGGAGCAAAATGTCTCCAGTCTCTTTGCAAAATCATAGCAAGAGTGACCTTTACTCCAGTTCTCAGTAAATTTCTCATCTTTATCCAAGACCAGTTCAGCCTGGACTTCATTGTCCATATTACCATGAGCCAGCATTCTGGTCAAAACCATTCAACAATTCTCTAGGAAATTCCAAACTTTTCTCCATCTGTCTTCTAAGCCATCCAAACTGCTCCAACCTCTGCCCGTTACCCAGTTCCAAAGTCATTTCCACAATTTTAGGTTATCTTTATAGCAGTGCTCTCTCCTGGTACCAATTCTCTGTATTAGTCTGTTTTCACACTGCTGTAAAGATACTACTTGAGACTGGGTAATTTATAAAGAAAGGAGGTTTAACTAACTCACATTTCTGCATGGCTGGGGAGGACTTAGGAAACTTAGAATCATGGTGGAAGGTGAAGAGGAAGCAAGGCACATCTTCATAAAGCAGCAGGAGAGAGAGCGAGCTCAGGGGAAACTGCCACTTTTAAATGCATCAGATCTTGTAAGAACTCCCTCACTATCATGAGAACAGTATGGGGGAAACTGCCCCCATGATCCAGTCACCTCCCACTGGGTCCCTACCTTGACATATGGAGATTTCAAGCCAAGATGACATTTGTGTGGGGACACAGAGCAAAACCATATTAATATTACTCCAAAGGTATTTATCACATTGAATTTAGGAACCACTTCTCTAAACAGACTTTCTGGAAAATCTTATTCAGAGTTAATTCTTTAGCTACTACTTCCTTTGATAATTTCCACATTCATAATGACAACTTAGTTGTTCATTACCTTCAGATCTTTACCTCCAAAGGCTTCCTAGACAAGTCCACCTGGCCATCTCACAGGTACTTCAAACTCAGCAAGTTGAACACTCACCTTGCTGTTATTCTATCTTCTTCATAAATGGCAACTCTTTTAGTCTTCCTGAGATGCCTAATTAATGACGACTACACATGGAACAACAGCGAAGTTAAAAATGTCTTTATTCTCTTTACACTGCCATCCAAACAGTCATCGAATTCTTTTAAGTCTACCTATTTGATAACTTCTCCCCATCCTCATTTCCAGTGCGTCCACACAGGTTTTTGGATCTTTTGTTTCTCTATCTTTCCCTTCTTTTCTTTTCTCCCTCATGAACTCCTCCACTTCTTCCTTTTCTTCCTCTTCTCTCTCTCTTTCTCTTTCTTTTTCTTAATCTAGTCTCACCTTTATTGTTTTACTAGCCTTCTGTCTTGTCTCAATTATCCTACCTTTTCTAAGGTGTTATTCAAAGTATCATCAGGATGATCCTTTCCTTCCTTTTGTTTTCCTTCCTTTCTTCCTCTTTTCTTTTCTTTCTCCTTTCCTCCCTTTCTTCATTCCTTTCTCTCTTGATCTTTCACTTTTTGAAATTTAAAAAATACAGAACAACCCAAAAAAGAAAATAGCAATAACCCATGTCTTCACCACCCAGAATTAATCACTGCTGAAATTTAGGCACAATTGCATATATTCTTCTTTTATTTTAATACAGAAATAGCTTCAAATACCCTTACTCACTTAACTACCTCTTGCCATTGGTAGAGTTCTGGTTGCCATAAGTTTTTCTCTCAACATTGCTTTCTTTTATAATTTTCTTTTAAAAATCTCCCCATTGAGCAGAATATTGTTTAGCAGAATATTTTTAAATTATTAAATGCATGGAGGTTTGGTTATTTTTGTGATTGATTTGTTATAGAATCTCCATGGGTATCAATTAGTAGTATATATTTTTGAGACTTTGTAATGAAAATTATGTTACCTTGTCAAGAAATAATCATTTAGACTTATTCACTAGTTAAATATGAGATGTAAAGTAGAGAGAAATAAAAAAGAAATATTATTACCTGTGGCATGAACTTGTGATTGCAGTGACAGTAATGAAGCAATTGAAAAGAAATTTCCATGAATTTGGAAGGAAAAGAATGAGGAGAGGATTAAGTCAAGTCTTAACTATCTATATATTTATGACTGGAAGGTAATGGCTTAAGAAATAATGGTGAATTAGGACCAAAATATAAAGAAAGTTAAAGATATTAAATGTGAGAGGACAACATGTATTTACCAGATATGAATGCAAAGTACCAGGATAGGTTTTAAGTTAACACCAGAATTTACATATGCAAATATAACGTTTTGCTCACAATATGTTGCACTGTAATTTTTCTTTTTCCAAGTGCTTGATTCTTCCACTCAACTGATTTCTTCGATGCCTAGAATAATATTTAATTTTTCTCATTTGGGCACCTAAACTAGTGCTCAAATATTTATTGATTCAAGAAAAAGAGAGAGAGAGAAAATAGAAGACAGATGGACGGAAGAAGAAAAGAATTAGGGTCATCCTTTTTAAGGTAGTTGTACTGTAGTGTTACACAGGAATTTTAATGATGCTGCATTGTTTAGAAAATTTTTGGAACTTTCTTTTGGAGCCTGCCTTCCAAGCTTAAAGATTTTAGAAGCATTCTCAGTGGCAAAACTACTTTATCTTTTGAGAGTAGATCTTCTTTTGGTAATACTCAGAAGTTAGCTGCAGCCAAGTCTATAGAAAAAAGTAAGATCATTCTTTTCAATAATAGCATATGGAATTAGAATACTAGATGTGACTAAAAGATAAGAACACTGATTTTCTTCTGTGATTTACGTACTATTTCCTGAAGGCAACACTAAAAGAGGAGTCACAGACAATTTTTTTCTTTTTTAAGCAAATGACACAAAATTGGATTGAGTACGTAGAGTCTCATGATCATTTTTTTAGAAATAAATACTCCTGTATAGGTATGAATTTTGGCATGTTAATAAGTCATTCTTCTTACTTGTTTTCAGCATTTTATTATGAAAAATCCAAGCATACAAAAAAACTTGAAAAAATGTTACAGTGCATATCTGTATACCTACCACCTAGATTCTATAATTAACATTTATTACACTTGCTTATCACATATCTATTCACTTAAATATACATCTATCCACCTATAAATCAATTTTATTTTTGACACATTTCTCAGTAAATTACAGTCATCAGTATTTATCTTCCTAAATAATTTAACATGCATATGATTAATTACAATTCAACATCTGCAATTTTTCTTTTGGTATAAAATCTACATAAAATGGAGTAGATAATAGTGTGTTTTTAGCAATGTAAAATCATGAGTTTTGACAAATAAATACATTTGTATAAGCCAAATACCTCTCAAGAACATTACCATAACCCTAGAACAATCCCTAATGTCATCTTCTGATCAATTTGCAAATTCAAACCCAGTCCCACCACCATAGATTATTTTTACTTGTTTTAGAATTTCATGTAATGGCATGTGCCTGTAGTCCCAGCTACTTGGGAGGCTGAGGCAGGAGAATGCTTGAACCTGGGAGGCTGAGATTTCAGTGAGCCAAGATCATGTCACTGCACTCCAGCCTGGGAAACAGAGTGAGACTCCATCTCAAAAAAAAAAAAAATCATGTAAATAAAACCATACAGTTGTATTTTCTGTATAAATATTTTTCAATTACTATAACATTTTTGAGATTCATATTGTGAATTGTGTATACATGACTTTTTTTCATTTAAATTGCTCAGTATCATTTCATTCTATAAATCTATCAGTTTCATTATCTATTCTCCTAATGATAGATATCTGAACTATTTCCAGACTTGGGCTATTATGAACAAAGCTGCTATGAAAAATTTTGTATCTCTTTGATAAATACCAGGGTCATTGTACAGGCATATGATGATTTTTATAACAACTGCCAGATTTGTTTGCATCTTTTATATTCTCACTAACAATGTATAAATTCTACTTACTCTAAAACTTCACCATTATTTTTTGGTGTCAGTCTTTTTAATTCTAGCCATTTTGGTTGGATCTATAGTGGTTTCTCATCATAGTTTTAATGTGTATTTTTCTGATGACCAATGTTGTTGAACAGATTTTATGTGCTGATTGTTCACTCATATACAGTTGATTCTTTTTATTTATGGTAGTTATGATCTACAAAGTCATCGCAAATACTGAATTTGAGGATACTGGCTATTGCTCCTGGAAATAAAGGGTTAGCTTCCTTTGAGCCTCTGGTCCCCAAACTTTAATCAGTCAGATTATTGATATATATATATCAATCAGTCAAGATATAATCTTGATTATATTGTTTTATGTGTGTGTTTCTGGTTAAAGACATATTATTCAATATGTAGGATTCATTAATTTTGAACTCATTGCCAACAACACTGTCTCAGTCATTGCTGAGTGAAGTTTACCTAATACACACATTTTCTCCAAAAGACACTATAATCAACATTACACAATTACACACACCATGTATAATTCAAAATAATTTGCATTCTGTAGTTGCAGATTATGATATTCTATACATATCAATAAAGCCTTTGTGGTCAGTGATGTTTTTCAGATCATTTGTGTGTTTATTAAATATTTGTGTAGTTCGGTTGTCAAGAGAGTGGTATTAAAACTCCAATTATGATATTGACATTGCCTATTTTCTCTTCCATTTTGTCAGTTTTTATTTATGTATTTTGATTTATAATGTATGTCTTCCTGATGAATTGAACTTTTCATCATTTTGAAGTGATTATGATCTCTGTTAATATTTTTCATCTTTAAGTCTATTTTATCTGATATTAATGTCCAGCTATTTCAGCTATTTTACAATTACTATTTACATGGTATAAAATTTTTTAACCATTTCCTTTCCACATTTCTGTGTATTTATATTTTAAATGCATCTTTTTCAGGCAGTGTTTAGTTGGGTTTTATAGTCTTATTCATTTTGACAATCTCTACATTTTAATTGAAACATGTATTTCATTAATATGTTTTGTGATTACCAATATGAATGTATGTTGTTCTACTATTTTATTATTTATTTATTTTTGTCGCTTCTGGTTTTGGTTCCTCTGTTCTTCCTTCCTGCCTTCTTATGGATTATTTGAATATTGTTTTAGACTTCTACCTTAATATATCTATTTGATTTCTTTTAACTCTACCTCTTTGCATTATATATATCCTTAAGGTCTCACAGTCTATTTAGAGTAAATATTATACCACATCATGTAAAATATAGGAATCTTGCATCCTACAGATCCATTTATTGTTCTTCCATTCTTTATGCCATAATTGCCATATATGTGATATCTAGATAAATTATAATCCCTCACAATACATACAATGCAATAATATGTGTTAGAAACTGTCATATACATTTTATACAAAATGAAAAAATAGTCCATTTTATTTACTCAGATATTCTTTCTGTTTTTTTTTTTTTTCTTCCTGAAGACTTGTATTTTTATTGGATATCATTTCCTTTTAGTCTCAGGAACTTCATTTACCATTTGTTTTAGTTCAGATCTGTTAAAAACAGATTCTCCTGAATTTTATTTTTTAAATATGAAGTTACTTTCATATTCGTTATTGAAAAATATATTCACTGAGTATAGAATCCTGGGTGGTGAGGTTTTTTTGTTTTGTTTTCAGCACTTTAAAAATGTTTCACCACCATCTTCTGTCTTCCACAGTTTCTTTAAGAAGTCAGTGGATTTCAAATCATAGCTCATTATATATAATATGTCATTTTACTTTTGCTGCTTTCAATAATTTTCTGTTTCTTTGGTTTTCAGCAGTTTAAATGTTTTGTGCCTGTGGATTTATACATATTTATCCTTTTTGATGTTTGCTGAGTTTCTCAAATCTGTAAAGTTATGTCTTTCACCAATATGTCCTTATCCCATCTGTCTCTCCTCCTCTTTTGATACTTACACACAGATCTTTAGGGTTCTGCATTTTTTTCTCTCTTCTTCATATTGAATTATTACTATTGATCTATTTTCAGTCTTCAACTCTTTTTTCTAGTTCTTCATTCTTAATTAAGCTTAGCCAACTGAAAAATTTTGATCTCAGATATTGTAATTTTCAGTTTAGAAGTTAGATTTGGTGTTTTAATAAATTATCCATTCTTGGTTGAGAGTACTTTTTTCAGTATTGCAATAATGTTTTATTTATTTAAATGACCATAGTTATAATATTAGGTTGGTGCAAAAGTAATTGCGGGTTTTCCCATTACTTTTAATGGCAAAAATTGCAATTACGTTTGTACCATAGCTGCTGTATACAATTTACTTGTTAACTCTAGCACTAAGGTAAACTTGAGGTTGATTTTTGTTGGTTGTCTTTTTCTGGAAAATGGGGAACACTTTTCTAATTATTCATAGGTTGAGTAATCTTGGATAGTATTCTGAACATTTTTTTTTCTGTGAAGACCTCAGATTCTATTATTTTTTTCTCTGTAGAGTATTAATGTCTTTGTTTTATCAGACAATTAGCATTTGGATTCAACTTGAAAACTTTTATATTTTGGGTTTCAGCTCAAAACTCTGTTTTGATTTTATTTTTATCTTTAACTGGACTGTTTTTTATACAATTCATGCATGCCTTTTTTCCCCAGGGGTCAGCAACAACAGACTAGGCTAGTGCGTGTGCATGTGTGTGTGTGTGCTCATGCACATGTGTGTATCTAATATAGGACCCTCCTTCTTCAACTCTCTCTTTTCTAGTATTTACCACTTACTTTCTAGCAGTCTGTTTATCTCTCACATCTGATTTTGTAGGTCAGAAAAACAGAATTTTCTATTGGGGTGTTAACCACCCATGTAGTACTATCTTCAGCCTGTCCTCAGGTTGAAAGTCACAAAAATGTATAACTCATCTTGTACTGTTCCATTCCTCATATTTTGACTGCCTTCCAGGTGCTGGTAATTTTTGTTCAATTGCCAGTGCCTTCAGATTATTGTTTTATTTTGTACTTTGTCTAGAACTTAAAGTTTTTATCTGAGTTGGAAAAGATCAGATCTGATAGCTTAATCAGCTATAACAGACATGAAACCTTATTATTTCTCAAATGTAAGTCATATTGATACCTAAGTATGGTAAACTGTACAATATAACACTAACAAAATTTCTTCTGAAGTTGGCTTTATATTGTTTTTATGTATTTTATATTAACTTAATACTAAAATTATGTGTTATATTTATTGTATAAACATAAACTTATATTTTATATTATTTATATCACAGTATTACATCTATGTTCATTATGTTGTGTATATTTACATATTATTTCCCACAGCAATTATAAAATTTGTTTCAGTAGCACATCCCTAATGTATAATATGCTTTATCATTAAGATCCAACTCAGATGTCATTTCCTTCAAGAAAATTTCCTTTAATGCTCCGTTTTCCCAGGCTCTGCTCCTGTTGAACACCATGAGTATATTTATCCCTTCATTTACAACAGGGTATTGCAATTATACATTTATGTGTCACTTTTTCAACTAGTCTGAGAAGTCCTTAGGAAGAGAGCTATGTCCATATTGCCAGGGTGATGCCTAGCAGAATGAGTGCACATTACATTGCACTCAACAATTTAAATGACATCTGTTGTCTCTCCCACAGAAACCCTCTGAGTATGCAGGGTGGGTGTTATCATCTTTATTTACAGATGAGAAATGAGACTCTAAGTCATTTAGAGACTTGGCCAAGGTCATACAGCAAAAAAGTGGCAAAGCCAACTCTTTGTGTTTTGTGTTCAGTACTGAAGTAGTTGGTACAAAGGATTTTTCTTGCCTTCTGAGCAACTTTGTCTTATCATTAAAAGACAACTATTAGTGTAATCAGTACTAATCTCTACTACATACATGCAATTTTAATAGATCTAAATATAGTGTGTTTGCTTTAAGTAAAAACATATGTATGTATATATGCTTTTTAAACATTTGATTAGTCTTGCTAAATTTTGTTGGATGAAACACTTGCTTTAGGATTAAATACTTACATTAAAGCAAAGCTATATACTGCATGTATGATGTCTAATTTTTTCTCAGGACTTAATTTTCTTCTGCAATTAAATATTCAAAGTCCAGGTTTTCATTGCTACTGATACTAGAGAGAGCCTAGTCCACCTAGGAACACTCTATCCATCTGTTCCTTACATACATTATTAAATGAGAGGCAACTAGAAGTTAGGTAAACCCTTGCCAGCTGCAAACTAAATTCTCAGGAGCTTTGGTATGTTCTATAAATTTCCTAGGGTTCATTGCCAGTTTTTGACTGTAGGGAATTTTAGACTTGGGATATCTGTGTTGAAAAGTTGCATCAAAATTCACTACCCTTTCATTATCCTCAGTTTGTAATCTTTGGATACAGTTTCCTAAATCCCTGGAGTCTTTTAAACCACACAGATTTTTTTTTTTTTTATTCAGTCTTTCTACTCTACATGTTTTTCAAGAAACAAATAAGCCACTTTACCTGTGAACCGGACAATGGGGTCCTGATGAGCACCCTTTGCATGTATTTTGGGAGCCCACAGGAATTAGTTTGACTATTTACAGATTATAACAGTTGGTAGTTGAATGTTTTATTTTCATTCCCAGTTGGTGCAATATGTTCACAGCTGATGCTAATGGCTGGCCCATTTGATTTCACATATGGTCCACTATTTGGGGCCCTCTAAGGCTTTCTTTTGTAGTTAGCTTTCTCTAAAGCCATCGTGTATTTGGTTTTGCTTTTGTCTGCTGGTCAAATGAAGAAAAAAACCCTCTGAACCTTGGCAGCTGCAGAGGAAATCAACAACTCAGTTGATAAAGATTCAAAGAACTAGGTCAAAATGTCCCAGGAAGAAGATTTTCGTTAAACACTACAAACAAACAAAATGCTTCTCTACATTTCATGAGACTGAGAGCACACACACAGACGAAGTGTTCTCTTTTGTTTTTCTTTCTCTTTGAAGCTCTGCCTAAGCTGTCCTTAAGTGTTTTCAGCACGGTTAAGTGTCAGAGAGACCGTGCTGTCCTAGGCATCCATTTACATTGAAAAACATCGTGCCACAAGTCCTTCAGAAAATATTTCCTTTTGGGCAGTTTTTACAACTTAATTTATTTGCTGCTAAAATTCACTAAGGAAGAAAGCATTAAAATTGAGCTGGAGTCTCTTTGCCAGGACTTATTTCACAAAGCATAGTAGACAAGAAGAGTAGAACTGCAAAATTAATAATATTGGAAACTCAAATGCAAGCACCCTCCAGCGGTCATTATAATTCGATACACAGTCAGTGTTTATCCTGGCTCTAAACTATAACTGATAAAGCCACAATCTCATAAAAAGATTATTTTCAAGACTATTACATTACCCTTTGAGAGCTAAAATACTCATTTATTCATAGTAGCAGATTGTAATAGCTTTAATTCCTTGAGAAGTGGGCATTGTATGATAATTGAGTGGGCTGGGATGTTAATTGTCCTCCACTTCACCTCTAGATGTTTAACTGCTTATCTCCTCAACCAGCAAACAATAATGTTCCTTATTTGTACCTTACTGTTCAGATAATTTTGTGAGCTAAGTAATTTTTTTGTAATAAGGAGAAAAGAAAGTATCTGTGCAGAAGAAATATTTAAATAGTGCCACGTTTACATATTAAAACCAATTGAAGATGCTGTGGTGTACTTACGGAGCCTTCCAACGGAGCTGCTTATGCAGTACCTGGAGAGTAATTGGAAATGCAGGAATATGGCCAAAAAATAGAACGACATTAACAGGCATCACTAAATCAATAATGCTTGGTTAGTTTTCGATGCTATTTTCTATTAGGAGCAACTTGTCTCAAACCACATGGCAGAGTAGCCTCTTACTGTTCAGGGTGTCATGCTGGTGTCCCATGCTGCTTCTTGTCAACCATTGAGATGTGGAGGAATATGCCTACAGGCCATTTTGTGGATCATCCACAAAACAATATGCTGCTGTTTTCATACTTTCCTTTTGGGACTTCGTTACAGTTTGAATAAGTTATATAGGGGAAGATGGAGAAAACCTAATAGACACTTAACTATCATTTGTTGAGCATCTGTTATATGCCAGGCATTGGGTTGCTTCTAATTTGCACAATATTTCTAGGATTTTGGTGTTAGAAAAATCATTCAAAACTTAAAAATAAAACAATGAAGGACTACATATGCTTTCAAAATCATAGTGTACCATTGTTCAATAAGACCAAGGATTATTTGGTTTTTAGGAAATATTCCTTTGATTAGGGAGCAAATTCTGTTAAAATACATGTTAACTTGTAGATTATTGTTCAGTAGAAATGACAATTATTTCTGCCAATAACTAAATAACTCAAAAATGTAAGGTTTTGTTGCTCTGTATGATATTAAATTGTTTTGTCTCCAATTTAGCAAATTTATTTCTGCATGCTTTGCCTGATAGGATATATAACTCTCTGTTTCTCGAGTTCTCCTTTGAATCAGTTTTATCACCTGGAGTTTTCCTCATTATTGATGTAAATCTTTAAAACATGCTCCTTTTATTTGTACATAGGTTATGTTTTTAACTTTTCTGAAATTATATTTTGATAGGATTAAACTGAATCTCAGAATTTATTTTCCCAAGTTGGCAGGCTACTGAGAAGTTGTGTTGTAATCCAGGTCTGCCTGATTCCAATTATCTTGATGCTTCTATTTCACTCATCATCGTGTTCTTGCCCCAGCCCTTATTAGATAAGGTAAAATTTCAAGTACAAATAAAATATTGTTTTGCTTCTAGTCCCTGAGTAGCTCCAGGGCTTAGCCTTTCATTCAATTTGTCCAGACTTATTGTCTCTGTAGCCTAATTACTAACACACTGCATGGTCCACAGTAGGAACACAATAACTTCTTATTAACTCAATGAATAAACAAATGAAAGAACAAAAGAAAAGTAAATAATTGATAATATGCCTCATTGAGTAACATATTCTTTTAGAGCAAGAAATCTTGCTTATACTAGGGAGGAAAAAATAAACAATAAATTGACAATCTTTTAGAGTAGAATTATTGAGGTATAGTACAGAACCTATTCTACAAGATATATATGCCCTGATGGGATCTCTTTCTGGATTAAATTTAAATACTTGCCTAAATTATAAACATATTCTATGCTAGGAGTCTCATCTCTTATAATTACTGGCTTTCAACCCTAGACAAATCTTTTTGGGGTTATCTCTACAATTGCTGAAATTATATCATATTCATCTGATGTACTAGATGATTTCTTGAATCTTACAAACTTTTAGGTCTATGGTTTTATGACATTCCTTAGTAGAACAAAATAAATAATCCCCTCTCCTGTTCCCTTTCCTTAGCATTCCTGTTGATAACTACACTAAGGTACTCAAAAAGAATAAGAAAGTCAATCAAGATATTGATTAAATGTCTCCTGGGTACCAGTCTCATACCATGTATTTGGACAACCAAAGATGAATAAGATTCATTCATGTTTTGCCTCCAGGCATTTGTACTTTTTCTCAGCTTCTGAAATGCTAGATCTTCACATGACTTGCCCTTCACTTTATTTAGTTCTCTCCTCATATGCTCCATCCTTAGAGAACTCTTATCTAGCCCTTCCATCGTACGTAGCAGCCCCTGCCACTCTCTGTCCTCTCACCCTGATTTACCTTTTTGTACAGTGCTTATGTATTGATTCATCTTTTACATATAAATATATAGCTCCCTCACTAAACAATAAGACCCACAAGAGGAAGGGATTATCTGTTTTATTTATTTTGTATTTCTAGCACCAGGAACAATGCTGGCTCATAGTAAGTAAAGTCAATTCAACTTTCTGTAGTAGTTTTGTTCTATAAAATTGTTGCAAACACTGAATTAGCAAATACTGAAACATTGTTCCTAAAGGAAATACAAATTTAGGCTCCTGCAAGCCTCTAGTCACAAAATTTCTATCAACTGATCAATACATAACCTTGTCTAATGTATATTTCTGTGAAGATACCATATTTAAGGTAACATTCTTATAAATAATTAATTATGTATAGTATTTCTTTATAACTAAAGACTGGTCAAGAAGGATTTAACATTTTCCTGACTCTGAATGATGTGGACATAAATTTCTTTGGCTTCTAGCCTCACAGCAATGCTGCCCACTACTCTTTTGTTAAATTGGGGGCCATCTCACAAATATACAAATTTAGCTGGTTTTCTATAGTTTCATTATTTATGATAGATGTTACTTTAGCACTTCCTGAAGGAGCATTACATATAGATGAGCAGATATGCTCTTTCTCTTTCTGGATGGACTGTATTGTTGATTAATTAACATTGAACAAATGGTCACGAGCACTATAACTCGGGCCTGAATTAAGCTTATCTAACACACATATTTTCTCTGTAAGTCAAATCATAGCCTTTCTTTGTTCAGGAACACTATGCAGCATTTTAGCACTACATTTGGAGGTTATGTTTTTATTTTTTATTTTTTTGAGATGGAGTCTCACTGTCAGCCCAGGCTGGAGTGCAATGGTATGAATGGCATGATCTTGGCTCACTGCAACCTCTGCCTTCTGGGTTCCAGCAATTCTTCTGCCTCAGCCTCCCAAATAGCTGAGATTACAGGCACCCGTCACCATGCCTGGCTAATTTTTTGTATCTTTAGCAGGTACGGGGTTTCACCATGTTGGCCAGGCTGGTCTCAAACTCCTGACCTCAGGTGATCCACCTGCCTCGGCCTCCCAAAGTGCTGGGATTACAGGAGTAAGCCACTGCTCCCAGGCTTGGAGGCCATTTTAAACAGCAAAATCGCTAACCAAAAGTGCAAAGATATGAAAATATGGCACTAAATAGACTATAAATAGGACACATTAATGGTAGGAGAGCTGAAACAAGATGAACCATTGCCTTGTTGGACTTTTCTGGGAATGAATATGAGGAAACTCAAATCTTTTGTCACTCCACACATGTCCACAAATATCCACAAAAGTGCAGTGAGCATTGATTTTGGGGGTATAAGTAAATTTTAGTGAGTAGGAGATTTGCAAAAAATGGAATCCACAAACAATGAAGATTGCTTGTATTTGGTGATTTCTCAATTGTATTGTGGAGGGATTGTTATGAAGAAGATAATTAAAGAAAAGTTTAAAGAAAAATGAGACACAGTTATTAGACAATGTGGGAATAGATTGTAGATAAACAAAAGCAACAAATATCTTCTAAAAGAGTGTTTCTCATATTTTAATGAATAACAATTACCAGGAAATTTAATGAATAAATATTACCTGGGTGTAGATGTTAATCCTGTTTCAGTAAGTTTGACGTAGGACCTGAGATTCTAACTTTCTAACAAACTTCCAAAAGACACCAAGGCTGCTATTTGATTAGCAAGGCTTTAGAGCCATTTATCAGCTTTCTCATCTTGGGCCATATACTTTATCTCTGAGTCCCAGTTACTACTGTGCTGGACCTCTCTTGACTCAAGAATGGCACCATGCCTAAGAAGCCAAAGAAGAGACTAGGAGCCAGTGAACAAGACATAGGTGCTGCAGGGTGAACTCCAAAATAGGGGCTCAGCCCAGGAGGCCAAATAGATTCTCGGCTTTGCGCAGAAAAGAATTCAAATGTGAGCTGACAGTGTAAAATGAAAGCAAGTTTATTTAAAAGTAAAAGAATCAAAAGGTGGCTATCTCATAGGCAGAGTAGCAGCATGGGCTGCTTGAGTGACTATATTTATAGTTATTTCTTTATTGTATGCTAAGCAAAGGGTGGATTATTCATGAGTTTTCTTGGAAAGAGGTGGGAGCTCCCAGAACTGAGGATTCTTCTGTCTTTCAGACTATACAGGGTAACTTCTGGACATTACCACAGCATTTGTAAACTCTCATGGCACTGGTGGGAGAGTCTTTTAGCATGCTAATATGTTATAATTGGCATATAATGAGCAGTGAGGATAACCAGAAGTTGCTTTTCTTGCCATCTTGGTTTGGCGAGTTTTGACCAGCTTCTTTACTGCATCCTGTTTTACCAGTGGGGTCTTTGTGATTTGTATCTTGTGAAATACGTCCTGCCAAATTCCTATTTCTTAGGGTTTATTGGAGGCTTACATACAAGGCAGTCTAGGATTGCGGGCTGGACAGGAAAACCATTACCATTTGTAAAAAGTATACAGTTTATATCTCATTTTTACTTAGCACCCTCCACCTAGCAACCTACCTTTAGCCCAAAACAAAGGATCTTGATCTCCTGTACAGCCTGTGTTCCAAAGAATGGGCCAGGTCAGATGTCCTTCATAGATAAGGAATGAATCTCTGGGTTGACACTCCTGGATTTCTTAGCTCAGAACTCTGAATACACATTCTTCTTAGACCTTAGGGTCTTTTTCAGGGTACATTTGAGTTATTGCTGTCAGGTGTGTCTGCTATACAGCTACCTCATCTGTGAAATGGGTAAGATAGTAGTATCTCATTGGTTTATTGTAGGATTAAATAAAACAATGCATGTAAAGCTCTTAAAACTGTGTATATCACATAGTAAACCCTCAATAAAAGTTTCATCATAATGATGATGAAAAAGCATGCTCTAATTTCTCATATTCTAAAAAGCAACATACATGCAATCTAACAAAATACTCTTATTTTTGTTTCCTCTTCTTTTAATATACAGGCTTACAAGAGTATTTTATTACCATTTTCACCTGCTATTTATTCCTTAGTTTCTGTCCCTGCCATTCTCCAAGATATGCTCCCACCAGTAATACCAGTGTGGAGGCCATAAGCTCTTGACCCCCTGAAGTTTCACCAAAAAAAATCACTGATATGAAGCAGGTTGGTTCTGATCCTCAGAAAGAATAGAAGGTAAATATTTCTTTTTAGACTTTTAAAGGTATCAGTCTCTCAATCTCTTCTGGATCCCAGGAAGGCACAGAAAGGGAAGGCATGGTTGCATTAATGGAGATTCTCAACAGATGCAAATTTTCTCCACAAAGGACAGCTTTGCAAGGACACTTCTGTTTCACCAGCTCTGTGGTAGCCATTCAAAATATGTCAAAGAAGTATATTTTGGGTTAAAATATTTTTATTTTCTTCTCCTGCAATACGTCTTTCTTTAGACCGATAAGATGAAGTCTGTTCAGGCCTTATGTGATGAAACACCTCTGAAATAACTAGACCTGATGATCTTTCCCTCCTTGAAACTATTTCCTTGATGTGGTAGATTACAACATTGCTGCTAATTCTTTCCACTTTCCTTGAATTACAATTATATATCTGAGCACTCTATCGTGTTGTTACTGGAAAGGGGTCCCCATTCAGACCCCAACAGAGGGTTCTTGGCTCTCCCACAAGAAAGAATTCTAGGTGAATCCATAAAGTGAAAGTAAGTTTATTAGAGAAGTAAATAAACAAATGTTCTGGGAAATTCCCAGAACTGAGAGTTCTTCCCATTTTAGCCCATACAGAGTAAATTTCTGACATTGCCATGGCATTTGTAAACTTCCATGGTGCTGGATGGGAGTGTATTTTAGCATGATAATGCAATATTATTAGCATATATTGAGCAGTGAGGATGAGCAGAGGTTACTTTCATTGCTATCTTGGTTCTGTTGCGTCCTGGCTGGCTTCTTTACCACATCCTTCTACCAGCAAAGTCCTTGTGACCTGTACCTTGTGCTGACCTCCTGTCTCACCCTGTGACTTAGAAAGCCTAACCTCCTGGGAATGCAGCCCAGTGGTCTCAGCCTTACTTTACCCAGCCCCTATTCAAGATGGAGTCACTCTGATTCAAACATCTCTGATATATATATCCCTCCTCCCTTTTAGAAGGAACCTTTAATCCTAAAGCTTATAGAGGGACAAAGATCAATCTTCTGTAACTTCTTCAGGCTGAATAGGGGCGATGATATTCCCACCTAACTATTAAGGTCTCTTGTATTTGGAGTAGAGAGGAGCTCAGTCAGAGAGTGTCAGTATGTTGAGGGCCACTCATAACTCTTGAGTTCCAACAGATGATATCTGGAAGATCAATAAGTGTTCAATTTAAGAAAACATTCAATAAGCTAATACTGCATTTCTATACAAAGAGTGCAACAGTAATATATTCCATAACAGTAAAGCAAATTAAGCAAAATTATCCCAGGTAAACTAAATAAGAAGGCTTTTCATGAACTGGGAAATTGTTGGAACCAACCTGATATGGGGTCACTAGCTGATTCCAATATGTATTCAGAATTAGACTATTGATCCAGATTTTTACAGTATCCATCCCTCTTTTTTCTTCTGAACAGCAGCCAGAGATCACTGGTTGGTTCACAAGAATAAGCAGAGTTAATCTAAATTTCAGAAAGAATCTTAAAAACAACTTTTGAGATTAGAATCTAATAACAGGTGTACTATAATTTTTGAAACATAATCTTTTTCTCTCTTCAGTCTTTCATTTTTAGTAAAGACAAATCATGGTAGTACCAATTTGCTTTATTATACTTGGCATGATTATTTGTATAAAGGGCAGCAAGAATAATTATTTTTCACATAGGCTTTATTTATTTATTTATTTATTTATTTTTGAGATGGAGTTTCATTCTTGTTGCCCAGGTTGGAGTGCAATGGCGTGATCTTGGCTCACTACAACCTCTGCCTCCTGGGTTCAAGCGATTCTCCTGCCTCAGCCTCCTGAGTAGGTGGGATTACAGGCACCTGCCACCATGCCTGGCCAATTTTTTGTATTTTTAGTAGAGATGAGGTTTTACCATGTTGGCCAGGCTGGTCTCGAACTCCTGGCCGCAGGTGATCCACCCACCTCAGCCTCCCAAAGTGCTGGGATTGCAGGTGTGAGCCACTGTGCCCGGTCCCACATAGGCTTTTTAATTGGCTTTGATGGAACTTTTGTTTCATAAAAGGAATCTCAGATAATTTTTTTTAAAGCCAAGCCCAACCATGGGTTTTACCATCAAATACCTATGAGTTGAGTAAACTTTTTTCCTGTTGAGGTCCCAAGATAACATGGGGTTCCTGGGCCTGTGAGAAAGTGATACTTTTTACTTATCACATGTCAGGAACCCTGTACAGGGACTGTGTAGACAAGGTATGAGGCCAGTTTTCCCAAGGGGATTTAATTGGCTGTATAAGTCAAGTTTGACTTATTAGAGGAAAGCATGCCATTCCAGTCAAACCTTGGTAAAATAACCAGTGTCTCCAATTGTGTCTTGTTACAAAAGAAAACAGATTCTTATTACACTTATGCAAATAACTATAGTGCCATAAGTTAAGAATACTCATTAATAGTTTCCAAATTCTGGAGAAATCAGGAAGAGAGAAATAAGTAAATATGCTCCAAATTTTGTTCACAAGAGTATACTTTACTCAATTGTTAAAAGCTGTCAGTAGCTCAAAAGTTTCTTTGACTCTGAAAAATAAAACAAAAGATTAGCAACTTTTTAAGCAAAGAAGCCAAAAGGATTACTTCAGTCTTCTATTAGTTCAGTCCATGCAGTTAACCTCTGTTCTGCTTGATATTCATGAAAATTCCAGCTCTCTATGAGAGTCCTGAAAGTTTTTTCCGCTATTCTAATGTGACAGTCTCCAAAGTTATCAGAAACCTGCATTTAAGAGCACCTATTAGAGTTCTATAGTTGATTAGAAAACCATCTTCTCATGAGGATCAAAACAAGACAAGAATTGTCCATGGATGACAAATTAAGGAAGCCTCTGTTAAAAACACAACTGAGTAGAATTTTGGTTATTTTTGTGGCATACAACAATTTTACATAACAATTATAAGTATAAATAACCTATGCAAAGCCATATCAGAATTATAGTAGTTTCCCATAATTTTGCAACACATACCAATAACACATTTATACAAATACAGTCTAAGGAAAGTTGAACACCATTTCCTGTTTGACAATGTTTCCTGTATGATTTTTATATAAAATAAGCCAAATGTGATTTTTGAACTTTAAGGGACCTAATATCTAAAAGATTAATTAAGTCAGAAAAAGATGTAATTTATAATTCAATTTTGGAAAGTTTGTCAAATATCAAAGGTTTGAAACACTTGATATTATAAAATTAAATCCCAAGTCACCATAATTCATTCATTTAGCCAAAATGATAACTCAAACATTTTTAAAAAGGCAAAAACCTTTACTCATTAAGAGGGCAGACTTAGTTTTCCAAATCATCTGTCTTTTGTCTTTCCCTTTTTTTTCCCTATAGTTTATTCAAAAGGCAAACAAAAAATCTTTCATTTTAAAAAATATTACATGAAAATCTTTTTCAAGAGAGAAGACAAATTTTATCTTTTATAATAGTGTACTATTACTGTCAACCCCAATTGTTAAAAAAACGTTATAGGCAAATCTACTCAATTTTAATGTCTGACCATAAGGTAAGATTCTCATAAAACTTTTATAACCCTTTACAAATTTTTGTTAAAGAGCAAATCAGTGCTCTAGAAAACACTTGTGTTTTCATTCCAATGCTCAATTTACAAAAACAAAAACAAAACAAAAACAAAATGAATAATACCCCTTTAATTTAGTCAATATGTTTACAAATAGAAATTTTTTTACAAGATTAACTTTTCACAAACCCTCTTTAACTTGTCCATTCAGCTTTATCCTATCTAACTTAAATAATCTTTTAACCCCCTGAGCTTGCCAAAAAAATCTACATTCTTATCCCTTCTTATAATCTTTTACCAAAAACACATTTCACTTTCTTTACACACCTTGCATGTAAAATTGTTTTTACTTCCCAAAGATTACTTAAGTCATGTGAACTAAAAGGCATTACACTTTTCACTTTTCTGACAAAGTATTTGATTTAAGCTTTTGTTTCTTTTAAGCCAATTCATTAGAGCTCTTTTATGTATAAACATTACAAACACAACACATATAAATAGGCAGAAGAAGATCCAGTAGTTGTAAGATTTTTCATTTGTCAGTGTTTCTCTTTAAAGCATACAGGTTTTAGGGCCTAATAAGTAGGTACATCTGGAAGGCAAAACAAATCCCCTCAAATTAAGGGTCCATTTTTATACCAGATCCTGGATCCCCCCAAAAAGAGAAACACTATGGAACAAGACAGTACAATGACTTTTACCATCCATTTCATTGCAAAGCAACCCAAAGCAAATCAGCCTATTCTGTGATTAGCTCACTTTTGATGGGAGTTTTATCCTCAGTGGAGGGTGGTGATATCTCCATACCTTCCGGTGGCAAAGAGCATGCTTCTCTGAGCCACATGTGAAAAGAGCCAAGTATCCCCCCGTAACTGCCAACAGCCATTGCTAAAAGTATATTTCCTACCTAGTTAGTTTTTACACACCAAAGTTCTCTCATAATGCAAAATAGTTTCTGATACTCTCAAAAGTAAAAAATGTAAGATAATGCAATGCAAAACAGAACAGAGCCTTAGATTTTGAGAGGGATTTATCCACTTTTAATTTCTTGAGTTCCATGAGGAAAACAGAGGTTTTTCCCAACATGGGGTCTGTGGCATCTCCTCTGTTTTTCTCAAGGAATCCCAGGCTGTTAGAGCTTGAATACTGGCTTTTAATTAAGCTGACTTTTAACTGTAGTGCTCTTTAAAAAATTTGTAAACTTATTTTAAACTTCTATTACCTGACTTTACCCATGGCAAATGGTCCATATTTCTGGTTCTAAACTTTGCCATGGCCAGGCATGGTGGATCATGCCTGTAATCACAGCATTTTGGAAGGCCGAGGTGGGTGGATCACCTGGGATCAGGAGTTTAAGAACAGCCTGGCCAAATTGGTGAAACCCCATCTCTACTAAAAAATACAAAAATTAGACAGGTATAGTGGTGGGTGCCTGTAATCCCAGCTACTCTGGAGGGTTAGGCAGGAGAATCATTTGAACCTGGGAGGTGGAGGTTGCAGTGAGCCAAGATTGTGCCATTGCACTCCAGCCTGCACAACAAGATTGAAACTCCATCTCAAAAAATAAAAATAAAAATAAGCTTTGCCAAAAGTAACCTCTCAGGTGAAACCAAAAAGCCTTAGCTACTAAGCTACAGTATTTGTCATTTGCCATTTCTCTTCCCAGAAGTCACCTAGGGCAGCTAATTTTGAGCTTGCAAAGGCTTTTAACTGCTTGAGATAATTTTTAGGGCTAGCTGATGTGAGCCCCAAGATTCCTATTCCTTGGAAGGTGGACACCAAGAGAAAGTACCATCATATGGTTACAAGGTCGAGCTCTCTAGAATATTTTTCATCATGTGGTCTCTGGGAAAGATGAAAGAGCAGACAGTTGCCCTGAGTAACAGAAAAGATAGAAAAGGGAAAAGAGAGAAAGTGAGAAAAGCATTGCCTGCAGCAGGGTGGGGAAGGTAGCAAAGCTCAGGGAGGCCAGGGAAATACCCACCCATTGCAGTGGCACTGAATCATAAGTTCGGGCAGTTGCTTTTTGGTAGCAAAGAGATCTTTTCCAGCAGTCCCATCAGCTCTCAAGCTTCCCCTTTTGGGAAGAAAAACTCCCCATGTTTCATGTTCCTGTATATGCCTAATCCTTGTCTCCCACAGCCATTAGTAGAGTGCAAGGCTGATTGATCCAAAGAGAAGAGCAGTTAACACCCCATAGTGCCAAACTCATACTTAGTCAAGAGAAACTTTACTGTCCTTTGTCTTTCCATAACCCTCTAAATCTTAGGCCTCTAACCCCCTAAATCCTAGGAATGTTTCTAACCTTCCTATGTTGGGCCTTGAACCCAAGTTTGGTCAAGCATCGGTTGGGACATCTGACTTGCTTTGTCCAGTGAAATGTTGGCAGTGGATATGTGCCAGTTTCAAGCTAAGGTCTTACAAGGCAATATGTGCTGCTACTTACACCCTTGAGTTCCTGTGATCCACAATGTAAAAAGCATTTTAGAAGTAGCTGCTGACCCTACAGCCTGAAGCCCAGAGTGAAGACATGAGGAGCAGACCTGAAACCAGCAGGAAGGCTGAGTTCAGCTTGGTACAGCAGGTGCAGTCTACCTGGATCAACTGATGTGCAACCAACCTGACGACTCCTGAGCATAAAACTAAATTTGTTTTGGTGTAAGATTTTGATTGAATAACAGCAAAGCAACTCCAATAAATATTCCTGGCTTTGTCAGTTCTCTCTCTTACTTCTTAGTTCTTAATTTTCCTTCTTCTTAGTATCCTTTTTTGGACTTACTTCCCTCCACAAATCCTAAAAATATTTGTGACTCTGAGGATTTGTTCCTAGGACAACTGTATTTTTTTACTTTTTAAATTATCCAGGACAATCTCAATGACTTATGTTTAAAACTTCCACCTATGGTGTGATGAGTCAAGGTCCTTATCACTAACCCTGTTCTTAGGGACTTCAGGCTCTTGTCTAGCATTGTAAACTGGATATATCCCCCTGGATACCTTATGGGAATCTCTTTTTCTTTTTTCTTTTCTTTTTTTTTTCTTTTGAGACGGAGTTTCACTCTTATTGCCCAGGCTGGAGTGCAATGGCACGATATTGGCTCACAGCAACCTCTGCCTCCCAGGTTCAAGCAATTCTTCTGCCTCAGTCTCCCAAGTAGCAGGGGTTACAGGCATATGCCACCATGCCCAGCTAATTTTGTATTTTTAGTAGAGATGGGGTTTCTCCATGTTGGTCAGGCTAGTCTTAAACTCCCAACCTCAGGTGATCCATCCGCCTCAGCCTCCCAAAGTGCTGGGATTACAAGCGTAAGCCACTGTGCCCAGCCAGGAATCTTAAATTAAAGGCTTCCACAGCCAAACATATATTACCCCCCACATTCTTAAACTTACTTTTTTTTGGAATCAACCCCAGAAGCAAACACCAAGCTCTGTCCTGCTGTGGGGTCTTTTTTGTAGTTCCTATTCCTTCTTCCTAGAGAACACTACAGCTGCCTCTTAAGCAGCTCATTGTCACTCATCAAACCTCAGCTCAGAAGATAGTTCCTGAAAGAGTCCTTTGTTGACCACCCTGAGTGAAAGTGCCTCCTCTACTCAGTTTATTAGCTATTTTTAATATATTTCTTTACAGTATTTAAAAGCATTAATAATTTGTTTACTTATGTGACGATTTCCCCAACTAAAATGTAAACTTCATGAAGGCAGAGAACTTTCTGATCTATTGACCATATACTCAGTTTCTAGCCTATGGATTAGCAAGGAATAGTTTCCCAATAAATATTTTACAATGAATGAATAAACTTTTTAATTTTATTTTTGGTCAAATGGCACTATCATTCTTCCAATTATCCATTCCAGAATTCTGAGAGTCATCATTATATTCTTACTCTTCTTCTCTTTCATTACTCCCCACTATTTGATTGGGGGATAATGCTTGGCAGTCAGTGTGTCTCAGGTTCTAGAATATTACATTTATCCCAGTGAGTTAAATAGCATGTACTTTTCGTTTAGCTTTTTTTTTTCTGGTTGAACTTCAAGGGGTATAAACAAGGAATACTATGAGAGACCTGATACTAAGTGAAAAAAAAAATAGCTAAGATTGTAAATGACCTCTATTTTACGGAAATATTAGTAATCTTGGCCACTATACATATTTTGGTGGCACTTCTTCAGGAAGCACTGGGGGTCAAATAGAAAAGGTTAATGTGGCCTTATGGTAGGGAAGAGCAAAGTGAGGAAAGATGAAAAAGAAGGAAAATCCCTCCGTTTCCAGGGATCTGATTATGTTGCAATATTTGAAGGGTAAAAGGACCCTGTTGTTTTGTTTCGTTTTGCTTTGTTTCTGGGATGGTAAGTGGCAGGCAGAATTTAAAATAAAGACTAATGGCAACCGTCATGTCATGATGACTTCAAGTAATCATTGAAAAGATAGCATTGAGGAAAAGTCTAATCATTTTATGGGCAGGAGTCTTGAATGAGAATAAACAACTCTTCCTTAATTGACATCATTACATTACTCACCACCCTAAGGCAACAGGTAAGCAAGCCTTAAATTGTCAGTTGCTTTCATTTATTTCATTTGCTTTTGTTAATTTCTTTGGTGCATAATTCACCCAGTGGCAGTAAAGAGAATAATTTTTTTAGTTTTGTTTGTTCTGTTTAAGTGGCAGACCTCAGGACTGACACTTTATAATAAAGACTATTGTAATGCCATTGTGTTCTTACTTGTGTTTTCATTTTCTTACTAAGGCTGGGAGAAAGCAACTGCTCCCTTTGTGTTTTCCTTTGCCTTTTGAAGTGATATTTATTTTTGAATTTCCTAAGAGATATTAATTTTAGGCAGCAAGACTGGTTCTCTATGAATGTGAAATTTATGACAGATACGTTACTTTTTAAAATTATTGTTTATGTATTATCTTCTTGTTATTTCTTATACTCTCTTCAGTACCTCCGTTTTTTAAATTTTTACCCAACATATGCCATCTTTCCTCTGGCTTGTGGGGATTTTTTTATTCTAATGCCACCTGATGTTCAGGTCACTTCAGTTTCAATTATTATAGTTTTTCTTACTTTTTCTAAACCCAGCTATTAGAAATATGCTCTGCCCTGACCCATTACGCCCAACTCTTCTCATTTCTGAAACATTTCGCTAAGGTTCTTCCACCTTGCCTGTGTGAAATTCTAACCCTTTTCCTGCAAAATAACCAGAAACCTTCAGCTCTTGTAACTGTCATCCTCCTCTTATCCTCAGCTCTCCTGGTCCTGCCACATTCTCTTTATGTCCCAATTATCTTTTGCCCTCCTTTTTGGATCTCACTTCTTGCTACTTCTCAGGAGTGGAACAGTTCCTCAATATGGTAACTATCCTTCTTGATCTCTTCCAAATGTCTCCTGAATTTGACTTCCTCTTGGCACCGGCCTTTATTATTTCCAAGAGCACAGTCTCTGTGATATGCCTTTTGAGTCTTTCTTTCTAGCAAAGATTTTACACTCTACTTATGAAAATACAATAAGACATCGAAGAATAAAAAGAATGGCTAATATTTATGAAGCTTTTATTATGTATCGGGCCCTAATCTCAGTGCATTATCTCATTTAATCCCCGCAAAAGTCCTGTGAAGTGGGCATGGTATTATTTCTATTCGTGTTATGACAAAACTGAGTTACAAAGAGGTTAAGTAACTCGCCCAATGACACATGGCAAAAGGTGGAGTGAAAAGAACAACTTTACTTCAGAAACAATTTTAGTTATAATGATCATAAATAGAATATGTGAAATGAACATTCAGAAAAATTAAATTTATTAGGTATCATTTGAACTACATAGAGTATTTATATGGGAGACAGGCAGGGGTAGTGTAAGTCCTTCAGTTTGGAGAAGAATGAGAAAATATATCAGTTTGTAAGGCAAACTTGACCTAATTGCATAAGCATTTTTGATAAGAACTACACAACTGTGGAGTAGAGTCGGATGATGATGTCCAAGTCCTGCCACGAGACCTCTGAGATCAGGGCCCGGGTTGAGATCTTTAGGGCACCTAAGCACTGCGGAGATCATTGTAACCATCTCTTTATGTGATTATTATTTCTAAATAATAGTTATAAAATTGATCTAAGAAATTTTTTTTAATCTCATTTTTTCCATGATGACTATTTTTTTTTAATCCTATTCTGGTAAAAAATAAATGCCTACTGTTTTGGTGTCCCTGTGTCAAGTAATGCCTTAAACATGTTTTTGGTCATACTATTAAGTAACTCATTACTGTATGAACAGCATAAAAATAGTGAATCATGCAAAGCAAAACTGCTATTCTTAGTAAGTCATGAATCCAACAACAATGTGATTTTCTGGAAATTCTGGCCAGATTGGATAGATTGAAGTCAGTTTCAGAGGAAGGTGATATTTCTTTATCTTGGACTCCACTTTGGTCCATTACTTTTCCTAAAACAAAGAACGCCTCAAAAACAGGAGCAACTCCTGGTCTCCTTTACAGGTTTAGCCTCCAGGGGTTTTCACAGAGACAGACTAGAAAACCATGTGGTCCATGAGACAGACAAGGAGCAGACTCAAAAGACACTCTCTAGACCAGGGGTATTCAATCTTTTGGCTTCCTTGGGTCACATTGAAAGAATTGTCTGGGCTACACATAAAATACAATAATACTAATAATGGCTGATGAAAAAAACAAACAACTCATAATGTTTTAAGAAAGTTTAATAATTTGTGTTGGCCCACTTTCAAAGCCATCCTGGGCCGCATGCAGCCTGTGGGCCATGTGTTGGACAAGCTCACTGTAGACACACAGCTTCTTGTGAGTTTAAGAAGTTCTTAAACTTTTCTCTTGGCACACAAAAGTTTTAGTTTGTACAAGTGTGAAACACCTACTAGTGTCCTGACAATGACTCTGATCCACACTAACATTTGTCCTCTTCACAGGTAAGCAAGCCCAATAGGATAGACTTGCACATCTTCTGAAGAAAAGCATGCAAAACTTGGTTTGTGAACTCTTCGTGTGTGCCTAATCATTTTCTCAGAGAGAAGGAGCCTCAAATCTAAAAAGCATTATAAACCATTGTCCTATTTTTTCAGCCATTCACCCTAAAAAAAAATAATTAGCTGCACTGAACTAAAGAAAAACTGCTCTGTCTTATTTTAATTTAGCTGGTGAGATAGATCATTCTGAAGTTCTGTCTCTTATCTCTTATTCAGAATCTGTCCTAGAGGCTCAAAATAGAGACAAGACTCAGGACTTCCGCAGGATGCATTTTATCAGCTAAATGTTAATAAGAAAGAACTGTTTTTCTGTAGCTTAGTCCACCTAATTGTGTTTTCAGGGTGAATGACTGTAAATTTGAGGAAATGATGTCCCTAAATTGTCTGTCTCCCCTCTTTGTACTGCTTCAAAGAATCAGATGAAGTAGTCTCCATTAAGCAGTAGAATTAAATTTAGGATAGTACACTGTTTTTTAGAAAAATCTAAACCTGTATTTAATTTTATTAACAAGGGACTTGGGGAACCTTGATATGAAGCTCTTTCCATATTATGAAGCAACTGCAATTTATACTAAATATGCTTATCATAAAGACCCAAGCTTCAATGAATTCTTCAAAACTTAGGTGCAATCAATTATTATAAATGATGTTCATAAGCTTGGAACTCATTTAATGCTCTCTATTGAGCTTGTTTCTCATAGCATGTAAGGTAGAAAATCTGTCACATGCAGTAAAATATCATTCATTTATTCATTTCATTCACTTAATAAGAATCCTAATCAATGCAACTGATATTATTTGTTATCCTAATACATAATGTCAGAGTATGTTGCTATAGGGATTTAAGGATTTGTAAAATTAAAAAAAAAGTCTTTGTTATCAAGGAGTTTGTGATTTAATAGTCGTTTTAGTCAACCACATGCATTCCTCCTTTAAATGGAGGATGGATTAACATTTTTAGCACAAACAAGTGCTTCGAGGTTCAGAGGAATGTGAGATTACCTTTGAATGAAGGATCAAAGAATACTTTGTGAAGAATTTGAAAATTGAAGCCAGATAGAATTTAGACTGGTGGAGGTGGGTACAGGAATAGAATGATTTTGTTCTATGTTAAAAAGCCTTTTTAAAATATCTTTTCTGCCTATGGAAGTGTGAAAATAGAATGTACTATATTTTTACTATACATTCTCTTCTGTGTCTTGTTTTATAAACTTTACTGTATACCTCAGACTTAGTTCAAAATCAGTACATAGAAGAAGAGATTCAGCTTATTGAAAGTTACATAAAATATATTTGGTTATCACTTTTTATACTATTGATATTTATTTTTAATTAGAACTATTTCATTTTTGTATTAAAATTTGTTGTATAATTTATTTAACAAGTGCATAATTAATGACACTTAGATTATTATTATTTTTTACTAGTTAAAAAATCATTTGACCAGTCCCTCATGTGGAGAATTTAGATTATTTCAAGTCATTTTTAGTATAAATACTATAACCATAGACATTGTTACCCACAGGTACAAGTGTAGGTGAAGATACATTTCTACATGGGAGAATTGCTGGGTCATGGGCTATGTACATTTAAATCTTGATAGATATAATCAAAGTCTACTCTACAATGTTCAATTTTTATTACCACAAAGAATGTTTGAGATTACTGGTTTCCCTATACAATCCCCTACACCAAGTATTACTAAACTTTGATATTTGTCTATTTGATGTGTGAACAGTGGTATTATATTGTAGTTATAATTTGTACTTTTTATTAAAAATGAGGTTGAAGATTTTTTCTTTTATTTGAAAGTTACTGATTGTGATTCCAGTAACAGCAGAAAAAACTTACTGAGGACAAACCTCCACTGAGAAAAACTGGAAATGTTGCTCTGTCTCTTCTCTCACCCTCTCACTTTTGCTCTTCATAAATATATAAAGAAAATGCAAAACTATGAAAGAAAAGTAAATGGAAAAATCTAAGACCGAAAAACACAGTAACTCAAAATAAGATCTCGTAGAAAGATTCAACAGATTAGACAAATAATGCAACAAAAACAACCTGTGAGGAGATATGGCCAGGAATATTTGAAAAGTGATAGAGAGATGTAACCCCTGGTTCCCCACCTTCAATCCATAAAACACAAAGAAAACCATACCAGGGCACAACAAGGTAAAATTGCTGGAAGCCAAAGACAAAGAGAAAATCTTGAATAGCAGCCAGAGAAAAAGACTATTGCTTTTACTAGATAAATCATGCAGTTGACTTGTGATTTTTAGGAAAAGAAGCAGGAAGACATTCGAATGGCACTAAAAGTGATGAACAAAAACAAGTACTAATCTAGAATCCACTACTGTTTGAAAATATCCTTTATAAACAAAAAAACTAAGATATTTTAGGCAATCAAAAAAGAGAGTATTTTTCTACAAGCAGAACTATACCAAAGAATCATTAAAGGGAACTATTTATATAGGAGGAAGTCATTTCAGATAAAGCATGAGAATGCTGGAAGAAAAATAAAGGTGATTTGAAAGAGTGAATATGTTGGTTATCCAAGTGAATATTGATTACATAAAATAACAATAATGATAACCTGTAGGATTTTGAGATGTATAAAATTAACATGCTCATTAACGTCACAAAAGGAGAGAAGGGCATAAATAGAGTCAATTATTCTAAGTTTCTTGCCTTCCATGTGTTTTAATTTCTAGAATCTGAAAAATCTTTTTATTGTATTTTTAATTGACATAAAAGTTATATATATTTATTGGGTGCATAATGATGTTTTGATACATATTATGTATAGTGATCAGATCAGAATAATTGGCATAACCATTATCTTGAACATTTATCATTTCTTTGTGTTTGGAACATTCAGTATCCTTCTACCTATGTGAAACTATATATTATTGTTAACTATAGTCATCTGACAGTGTTTTAGAACACAAGAACTTATTCCTCCTATTTAGCTGTAATTTTGTACCCTTTCACACATTTTTCCCTATCCCTCCTTCTTCCTACCCTTTCCAGCTACTAGTCTCTTGTTCTACTTTTTACTTCTATGAGATTGACTTTTTAAAGCTTCCACATATGAGTGAGAATATGCAGTGTTTAACTTTCTCTTCCTGGCCTGTTTTATTTAAGGTATTGTTCTCTAGTTGTTTCATCCATGTTGCCATGATTGACTGAGAGGATTTCATTGTGTTTTATGGCTGAATAGTGTTCCACTCTGTACATTTATCACATTTACTTTACCCACTTACCTGTGGTTCAACACTTAGGTTATTTTCATATCTTGGCTATTGTGAATAGTGCTACAATAAACATGAAGGTGCAGATGTTCCTTTGATATACTGATTTCTTTTCCTTTAGATAAATGCCCAGTAGTAGGGTTGCTGGAAAATATGTCACTCTATTTGTAGTTTTTTGAGGAGTCTCCACACTGTTCTCCATAGCAGCTGTACTAGTTTATATTCCCACCAACAATGTCTACAAATTCTCTTTCCTCTGCATCCTTGCAAAGTTTTTTTTAAATATCTATTTGAACTGGGATATGATAATACCTTATTCTGGTTTTGAGTTGCATTTTCCTGATTCGTAATGTTGAGCATTTTTAAATAGATTTCTTGGCCATTTCTATGTCTTCTTTTGAGAAACATCTGTTCAGATCATTTGTGCATTTGATATTCAGGTTGTTTCTTGTTGTTGAGATGTTTGAGTTCTTTAAATATTCTGGATATTAATCCTCTGTCAGATTAATAGTTTGCAAATATTTTCTTCCATCCTGTAGGCTGACTTTTCACTTGTTATTTCCTTTAATGTACAGAAGTCTTTTAGTTTGATATAATTCCATTTATTTATTTTTGTTTTTCTTGCCTGTGCATTTGAGGTCTTATTCACAATATTTTTTCCCAGACACATGTTCAGAAACATACTCTATGTTTTCTTATAGTAGTTTTATAGTTTGTTGCCATACATTTGGGTCGACAATTAATTTTGAGTGGTTTTTTGCATTGGGTGAGAGGAGGAGAGTTAGTTTCATTCTTCTGCATGTAGATAGCCAGTTTTCTCAGCACTGGTTATTAGACTGCTCTTTCCCCCAGTGGGTGTTCCTGGTGCTTTTGTCAAAAATTAGTTGGCTGTAAATATATGAATTAATTTCTGGATTTTATACTCTGTTCCATTGATCTATATGTCTGTTTTCATGACATTACCATGCTGTTTTGGTTACTACACGTTTGTAGCATATTTTGAAGTCTGGTACTGTGATACCTATAGCTTTGTTCTTTTTGCTCAAAGTTCCTTTAGCTATTTGGGGTCTTTTGTGGTTCCATACAATTTTTAAGACTTTTTTTCTATTTCTATGAAGAATGTCATTGATGTTTTGACAGGGACTGCATAGAATCTGTAGATTGCTTTGGATAGTATGGTCATTTTAACAATACTGATTCTTCTGATTCAGGAGCATAGGATGTCTCTCTATTTATTTGTATCTTCTTCAATTTCTTTCATCCATGATTTGTGGTTTTTCTTGCAAAGGTCTTTCTCCTCCTTATTTAAATTTATTCTTAGGTATTCATTTTTTTGTAGCTACTGTAAATAGGATTTCCTTTGTGCTTTCATTTATAGCTAGTTTGTTGTGCATGTATAGAAATGCTACTGGTTATTATATGTTGATTTTATATTATAAAAATTTACTAAATTTGTTTTTCTGTTCAAAAGTTTTTGGTAGAATATTTAGGTTTTTCTATATATAAGATAACGTCTTCTGCAATCAGGGACAATTTGACTTTCTCCTTTTTAATTTGAAAGCCCTTTATTTTTTTATCTTGCTTAAATTCTCTGGCTAGAACTTCCAATACTATGTTTTGAATAAGTGGTGAGAGTGGGTATATCTGTCTAGTTTCAGTTCTTAGAAGAAAAGCTTTAAACATTTCTTCATTTAATAAGATGTTAGCTATGGGTTTGTTAGATATGGGTTTTATAAGGTTGAGGTATTTTCTTTCTATACCTAATTTATTGAGAGTTTTTAATCACAAAGGAGTGTTGAATTTTACCAAATGCTTTTTCTGCATCTATTAAAACAGTCATATGTTTTTGTCCTTCGTTGTAATAATATGATGTGTGATGTTTATTGGATTCTGTATGTTGAATCATACTGGAATTCCTGAAATAAATCCCAGTTGATCATGGTGTATTATCTTTTGGATGTGTTGTTGGATTTTGTTTGCTTGCATTTTGTTGAAAATTTTTGCATCTATGTTCATCATCAGGAATATTGGCCTACAGTTTTCTTTTCTTGTTGTGTCCTTGGCTAATTTTGATATCAGGGTCATGGTGGTCTCAAATGAGTTAGGAAGAATTACCTCTGCTTTAATTTTTTTTCAATGGCTTGAGAAGAATTGATATTAACTTTTCTTTAAAGATTTGATAGAATTCAGCAGTGAAACCATCTACCTCTGGAATTCTTTTAGTTGGGAGATTTTTATTACTGATTTAATCTTGTTACTTGTTACCTACCCTCTTCATGTTAAATGGCTTAACGTATGGTCAGTCCTGGTGCATGTTTCAAGTGCTAATGTGTTGTGGGAAGTCAGGGACCCTGAACAGAGGGACTAGCTGAAGCCACAGCAGAAGAACATAAATTGTGAAGATTTCATGGATGTTTATTAGTTCCCCAAATTAATACTTTTATAATTTCTTATGCCTGTCTTTACTGCAATCTCCGAACATAAATTGTGAAGATTTCATGGATATTTATCACTTCCCCAATCAATACTCTTATAATTTCCTATGCCTGCCTTTACTTTAATTTCTTAATCCCATCATCTTCATAAGCTGAGGATGTATGTTGCCTCAGGACCCTGTGATGCTTGTGTTATCCATACAAATTGTTTGTAAAACATGTGTGTTTGAACAATAGGAAATCTGGGCACCTTGAAAAAGAACAAGATAACAGTGATTCTCAGGGAACAAGGGAGATAACCATAAGGTCTGACTGCCTGTGGGGCTGGGCAGAACAGAGTCATATTTCTCTTCTTGCAGAAAGCGAATAGGAGAAATATCACTGAATTCTTTTCCCAGCAAGGAATAACCCTGGGAAGGGAATGCATACCCAGTGGGAGGTCTCTAAAATGGCTGCTCTAGGAGTGCCTGTCTTATGCCTTTGAAGATAAGGGATGAAATATGACCTGGTCTCCTACAGCGCCCTCAGGCTTGCTAGGATTAGGAAATTCCAGCCTGGCGAATTCTAGTCAGTCTGGTTGTCTGCTCTCAAACCTTATTTCCTTTTAAGATGCTTATCAATGACAATGTGTGCCCAGTGGGACATGGAACCTCATTAGTAATTCTAATTTTGCCCTGGCCTTGTGATCTTGCTCTGCCATATGCCTTGTGATATTTTATTGCCTTTTGAAGCATGTGATCTCTGTGATCCACTTCCTGTTTGTACACTCCCTCCCCTTTTGAAATCCCTAATAAAAACTTGCTGGTTTTGCAGCTCAGGTGGGCATGACAGAACCTGCCAACATGTGATGTCACCCCTGGAGGCCCAGCTGTAAAATTTATCTCTTTGTATTCTTTCTCTTTATTTCTCAGACCAGCTGACACTTAAGGAAAATAAGAAAGAACCTACTTTGAAATACTGGGGGCTGGTTCCCCCAGTACAAAGTAAAGAAGGTAAGTTTTGTAGTTGTTGGATAAAATGTTCTGTAACTGTCTCTTAAGTCCATTTGGTCTATACTGCAGTTTAAAGTCAATGTTTCTTTGCTGACTTTCTGAGTAGATAATCTGGCCAATGATGAGTGTGGGATGTTGAATTCCCCAACTATTATTTTATTAGGGCCGTTCTTTTAGATAATATTTGCTAGGCATACTTTGGTGCTCTGGTGTTGGGTACACATATATTTACAATTGTGATATTCCATCGCTGAATTTATTCCTTTATTATTATATAATTTTCTTCATTTTCTCTTTTTACAGCTTTTGACTTGAAGTTGTTTTTTTCTGATATGAATATAGCTACTCCTTCTTGCTTTTGATCTTCATACATGTGGAATATATTTTTCCATCCCTTCACTTTCAGTCTACGTGTGTCATTGCAGGTGAGATGATTTTCTTGTAGGCAGAATATAGTTTTTTCTTATTTTTTAAATCAATTTTGCCAATCTACATCTTTTAATTTTTTACTATATTTTTTATTTTAAACTTTACATTTTAAATATAATTTGGGTACATAATAGGTGTATATATTTATAGGGTACATGAGATATTTCATACAGGCAAGGAATGACTAATAACAATATCAGTGTAAATGGGGTATAGTTTAAAAGTATGTTTTAACTCACCTGAAAATATTTTCTAGAGTTTTCAATAAAAAGCATCAAAGCAAAATAGAATAATTCAAGTAGAGAGAAGTTCCATTTCATAGAAAAACATCTGATATGAAAATCCTAAATAAAACATTAGCTAGTCAAATACAATAATGCATCACATAAGAAGCTATCAGACATCAATTCAGCCATGATGGAAAGAATAGTACTAGAATTACAATGCCATCATACCTAATAAAACTAGAAAACAATATGAAACACCTCTTTTTCAGACATTTAGCAACAGACAGGACAGCATTATGATCTCTGAGAGAAGATAAACAAATAAGCCCTACTATCTTACCTTTTTTAAAATATGGAGAAACTTTCCAGACTATGGTGCAAAGAGAGTAAACCCAAGCAGAACACAAATGTTTCTTTGAATTAAGGAGAAAGAGATCAGAGTTTAAAGAGGCTAAAATGATTGGAAAAAGTATATCTCAGAGACTTCTGCTTCTCTTAATGATGGAAGAACAACAGTTGGATTTACATTGCCATCTTAAACAGTAAAAATACTGGATAAAATATATAAAAGAACTTATTGTGGACACTGGACAACTGGTAGCACATGGCCATAATCCCTGAGAGATGGGAGTTTCACAGAGAAAGAGCTCATGAGATCTGCGTGGTGGTTTCTTTAAGTCTTGGACTGATTTTGATGGACATATGTGTGGAGTGTGACTCCATAAGAGTGGAGAAACAATCACTGGAAAGCAAACGATCATCAGAGTTCACACAATGCTGAGAAATTTTGTGTTCCCATTAGTCAATGTGAAGTGGTCTCCAAAATACATGGAGATTTGAGTATATTCTTTTGGTAATGGGGTTAAACTAGCACTATTTATTCCTTGGGAGTGACCCAAACATAAAAGCAAGCACTCCAAATATTAAACTGACTTCTACTACATTAAATGCAGCCAGAACAATGTTGAACATTCATAAAAAAGAATTCTAAAAGGTAACATATAAAATGAATCATATTCATCATCCAGATAATATTATCAGGCATGCAAAGAAGTGTGAAACTATGACCCATAAACAGGAGAAATACCAATCAATAGAAACAGATACAAGAATGAGGAAAAGAATTAAATCAGAAGGCAACTTACTAAGTTTCCTGTGTTAAGAATGAAGTAAAAGTAGAACATAATGAGGAGAGAAGTAGAGTATATATTAAAGATCTAATGGAAATGCTAGAGGTAAAAAATACAACATAAAAATACATATATTCAACAGAATAATAACAAATTAGACTATAGAGAACAGATAGTGAACCTGAAAGTATAGCAATACAAACTTTGCAAAAATTAAGCACAGATAAAAAATATCCTGGAAAAAAAAGAGCTCTAATGATTGGTAAAACAATTTCAAGCAATCTAATATAAATGCCATTAGATGCCCAGAAGAGAAGGAGACAGGGGAAAGAGAAGGGTCAGTCAAAGGTTATCTGAATGAATTATGGTTAAAATTTTCCAAATTTGAAGAAAAGTATAAAATCATAGATTGACCAACTAATGTAGATGATGGGTTGATGGGTGCACCAAACCACCATGGCATGTGTATACCTATGTAACAAATCTGCACATTCTGCACATGTATCCCAGAACTTAAAGTATCATAAAGTAAATAAATAATATAGAAAATAATTAAAGGAAATCACACTATGGTACATTAAAATAATTTGCAATAAACACTGGTAAAAAGACATTTTTTAAAGAAGCCAGAGGAAAACAGGAACACTACTTACAGAAGAACAGAGGTAACAACTACATTAGATTCTTTGTCAGAATCTATGTAAGCCAGAAGACAAAGGCAAAAAAGAAAGTAATAAAAAGACAAAAAGTGTGGGGGAGGGAAGCCTATAAATCTGGAATTTAATACCCAAATAAAATACCTTTCAGAAAATGGATACAATAAAAACATTTTTAGTAAAAGCTGAAATAATTCATTAGCAGCCAACCTATCTTATCAGATATAGAAAGGAATTTCATCAGATAAAAGAAAAATAATTTCAGATAAAAACTTGAATCTCCATAAAAGAAAAAGTATCTTCAAAAATGTAATGTACATGTAAATTCAAATACGTAGATAAGTTATTACTTTTAATTTTATAAAAAGATAACATAATTTAAATTAAAAATCATAGCAGCATTAAATGGGGTTTATAAAATATATAGAAGTAAAATGCATGATAATAATAGCCCAAAGAATAAGAGAGAGAAAATAGAAGTATGTTGTTGTAAAGTTTATACACTAATCATGAAGTAGTATAATATAATGTCAAGGAGACTTTGATAACTTAAAGATATATATTGTATACCTTAAAGTAATCACTAAATGTAAAACAAAGAAATATAGGTAATAAGCCAATGGTCAAGATAGAAGAGAGTCATAAAAATGTACTCAGTTTAAAATTAGCCAGGAGGCCAGTCACAGTGGCTCACGCCTCTAATCCCAGCACTTTGGGAGGCCAAAGTGGGTGGATCAGCTGAGGTCAGGAGTTTGAGACCAGCCTGGCCAGCATGGTGAAACCTGGTCTCTACTAAAAATACAAAAATTAGCTGGGTGTGGTGTTGTGCACCTGTAGTGCCAGCTATTTGGGAGGCTGAAGCAGGAGAATCGCTTGAACCTGGGAGGCAGAGGTTGTAGTGAGCCAAGATCGCACCACTGCACTCTAGCCTGGGCCACAGAGTGAGACTCTGTCTCAAAAAAAAGGAAGCCAGGAAAAGAGAAAATAAATAAATAAATAAATAAAAACAGATAAATTGAAGAGGGAAAAATGGCAAGAGCTTAAAGTTAAACCCAACCATATTGATAACTATATTAAATATAAATGGTCTAAACATTTAAACTGAAAGGCAAAGATTGCCAGACTGGATTAAAAAGTAAGGCAACTATCTGCTATCTATAACAAATTGACTTTAAATATAAATATGCAAATAGAATAAAATGAAAAAGATAGTATAACTCTCTACCATGGATCCCAATGAAAAGAAAGCTGGAATGGATATATTAATATTACACAAAATTGACTTTAGAACAAGGAATATTATCAGGAATATAGAGAGATATTTTAGCTTGATAAAGGAATTAATTCATCAGGAGGACATAATAAAAAAAAGTATGCATTTGATAATAGAACTAAAAATTACCTGAATTTAAAACTGATAGAACATAAAAGAGAAATAGACAAGTCTACAACTATAATTAACATAAACACTTTTCTCAGTTATCAATTAAAAATTTATATAGAAAAGTAATAAGTATAAAGCAGACTTGAAGAAGCACCACAAACAAATATACCTAATTGACATTTACAGACTACTCCACAAAACAACAGCAAAATACGTAAGTCTTTAAAGTACACATGGATCATTCATCAAGATAGATATTCTACCATAAAAATATCTGAATAAGTTTCAAATGATTTAAATAATAAAACCTTCATTCTCTAACCACAGTGATTTAAAATAGAAATTAGCAATAGAAAGATATCTAGAAAACAACCCAACGTGGGAAAAGTAAATAAGAAACTTTTAAATAACTCATGGGTTTAAAAATATGTCACAACAGAAATATATTAAATTGATTGAAATAAAAACAAAAACTATTGAAATATACAGAGGGTAACTAATTCAAGATTGCTCAAGCTATTCTGTGCATTGTAGGATGTTTTGCAGCATCCCTCATCCTTATCCACTAGATGCCAGTAGCACTCTTTTCCTCTGTTGTGGCAACCAAAATCTCTCCAGACATTACCAAACGTCCCTTAAAAGGCAAAATTACCCCTAATTGAGAATCATTGAGCAAAGATAGTGCTTAGAGAAAAATTATACCATTAAATGCTGATACTAGAAAAGAAAAAATGGTTTAAAATAAATGCCATAAGTTCTCATCTTAAGAAACCAGAAATTTATCACATTTACCTTCGACTAAGAATAAAGAAGAACAAGAGAATAAATTAGACAACTAGGAAATCAATTATAATTCTATATAATACTAATTAACATTTAAATGTTCTTTGCATAAATAGCATTAAATATACTAAAAATATACTAATATACTCTTTAGTATACTAATATACTAAAAAATACTGAGGGATAAATTGTATAAATTATGTGCAAGGACTGAACACTGAAAACCAAAAAATATTGCTGAGAAGTTAAGAAAGACCTAAATCAAGGGAGTGCTATATCATGTTCATGGATTAAAAGATGCAATATTGATTGTCAAGATATCATTTTTCTGCTAATTGATTCACAGATTCAGTGCAACCCCAAATTGAGAAAAACTTTTATTTTTTGTTAAGAGGCAAGATTTTTCAAAATTTATATGGAAATGTAAAGCACCTAGAATATGTAACACAATTTTTAAAAAGATCAAAGTTGAAGAATTACATCCATTGACTTCAAGACATCTATAAAGCTACTGTAAACCAAGACAATGTTATATCACTGCTAAGATAGACAAAACGTCATGATTTGACTAATTTGGCATTTATAGAACACCACCTAAACACTACCTTCAACAATATAATAAATAATAGCAGAAAAAACATTTCTCTTCCAAGTGAACATGGAGCTTACACCAACATAGAGCATATGCTGGGTAATACAATTCTCAATATATTTTACATTATTGAGATTAGATATAATATATTCTTCAACAAAAACAGAAGTAAATTAGAACCCAATAACAATAAATTATCCAAAAAATTCTTAATTATTTAAAAAATAATCACTTCTAACTACCTTGTCTGATAAAAATAAAATAAAAAGGGCAATTGAAAAGTATCTTGAATCATATGATTACACAAACACATCAAATTTGTAGGATAGAACTAAAACCATTGCTAGATGGAAATGTGTAGCTTTAAATACTATATTAGAAAATAAGATCAAAACTCTATTATTTAAGCTTTTGCATTAAGAATCTTAGAAAAAAATGTCCAAATTAAGCCCAAAGTAGAAGAAATATAATAATAACTAATAAAAATTAATAAACTAGAAAATGAGTAAACAGAGAGAAAAATTACTAAAACCAAAAGCTAGTTTATTAGAAAAAGCAATAAATTGTTAAATTACTATCTAGACTAATCAAGAACAGAAAGAAAATATGAATTGCTAATATCAAGAATTACATCGTAAGTATCACTATAGATTTTATAGACCCTAAGGAACAATAAGGGAACACTATGAACATTTGTATTTTCACAATTTAGATGGAATAAACAAATTTCTCTAAATATTCCAATTATGAAAACAGACACAAAGCTTAAAACCTGGCAGTCAATATTTATTAAATAAAATAATTTTTTAATTAAAACTTTCCCCAAAAGAAAACCCTAGACCACACAATTATTTTGAAATAAAGCATTCAATAAAATTCATAGCACAAATTATCTACAGAACAGATATGCAACCCAAAAGGGTCATCATTGAAACATTTACAGCCAAAATCATGTTTAAAGGTGAAAGAATAAAAGCTTTTGTTACTGAGATTAAGAACAAGGTAATGCTGTCCACACTCATTCATCATGTCTGTTCATCATTGTTCTGGATATAATATCCAGTGCATTAAAATTTTTAAAAGAAGTCAAAATGACAAGAAAAAAATTAAAGCTACTCAAGTTGGAAAAGAAGCAGTAAATTTCTCTTTATATATAGATGCCATGATCAAGCTCATATTAAATTCTAAGGTGTAGAATTTAATGTATAAAGGTATAATTAGTAAAATATATTTTTATATGCATATATATTATATACCCACAAACATAATTAAACTGTTATTATTTAATTTAATAAAAATTCAATTATGTTTGTATGTATGTGATACATATATATGTATAACATATTCATATCTTTTACTACTATAGGCATACATGCACACATACACACTAATAATTGAATTTAGTAAAGTTGCACAATACAAGGCCAATATACAAAAATAAATTTTATTTCTTTATATGTTATATTTTTATATATTTTAATTTCAAAAAATAGAACATAAAATTTAAAAACCTTTACAATAGTTTCCAAATTAAAGCAAATATATTGAAAGCTTCTTCACTGAAACCTATAAAACATTGTAGGGGAAAACTGTAGAAGACCGAAAAAAATCAAGAGTTATGCTATGATGATCAATTGCAAGACTCAATATTGTTAAGTTGTCAGTTCTTCCTAAATTAATGTATAGATTCAATGCATTGCCATACAAAATTCCAATAGGCTTTTTTGGTGTGTAAATTGATAATACAATCCTAAGATTTACAGAGAAATGAAAACGACATAATATACAGGGCAATTTTTAAAAGAACAAAGTTGGAGGACTTGTAGTACCTGGTACTGACTCAAAACTCACTATAAAACTACAGATTCAAGACATCATGATATGGATGCAAGGATAAACATACAGATAATGGAACAGAATAGAGAGTTCAGTAATACCCATGTAAATATATTCAAGTGATTTTTTATTAAAATCCCCAAATATTTTAATATTAAAATTATATTTTTTCACAAATAATGTTGTCATCAATATATATTTGTATAAAAAATGAATCTTGATTCTTACTCCATATTTTACAAAATTAAGTAAAACTGAATCATCAACTTAAACTAGAATACCATTAGAGAATAGCAGAAAATCTTCATGACTTTGGGGTTGACAAAGATTTTGTAGAACTTACTAGCCATAAAAGAAAAATATTAAATTAGACTTCATCAAAATTGAAAATTTAAATTTTGCTACATCCATAAAATGAATATACTACTCAGCAAGAAAAGCATTTCCAGTAAATGAAGGCTCCCATAAAAGTGAACATACTGTACGATTCAATTTATATAAAATTATGAAACAGGCAAAACTAACATATAGCGCAGGGCAGATTTTTTGTATCCTGGTTTAGAAGTAGGGATAAAATTACTGCAAAGAGATAAATGCAATTCTTTTGGAGATAGAAATGATTTGGTCCTAACTTAGATGGTGGTTACATGGGTGCATACATATGTCAGAACTTACTGCACTGTGTGCTTAAAATTGATGCATTTCATTGTATTCAATTTTTTATCTCAAAAACTGATTTAAAGCGAAAAATATATTATGCTGTAGTAAAGTTTATTACAAGAATGAAATGGTTAATATTAGATCGTATATCAATTTCTGATGAAACATGTCATTAAACCAGAAATAGAAGGGAATGTCTTTAACTTTATCAAGTGATAACAGTGAATAAAACCTAAAGCAAGCTTGTCCAACCTACGGCCTGCAGGCTGTACGCAGCCCAGAACAACTTTGAATGCAGCCCAGCACAAATTCATAAACTTTCTTAAAACATTATGAGATGTATGCAGAGACCATTTTTTTTTCGGTTCGTCAGCTATCGTTAGTGTTAGTGTATTTTATGTGGGACCCAAGACAATTCTTCTTCTTCCAATGTGGCCCAGAGAGGCCAAAAATTGGACACCCCTGACCTAAACCTATATGAAACACCATATTTAATCAAGAAACTCTAGAGATTTTCCCAAGGTGAAGATCAAGACAAAGATGCTTACCATCACTGCTATTTTTTGAGCAATAATGAAGATCCTGGCCAATTTTGTAATTAGAGGAAAAGAAAAAAAACTTTAATAATTGAAAAAAAGGGATTAAACTACCATTATTTACACATAATATGTTCATCAATAATTTAAAAAATTTAGAGACAATGAACAATCCAATTATTCTATCTAATTAGAGAGTTCAGCAAATGTACTGCATAAAATAGCTAAAACAAATTAATATCATTTCTCTATGGCAGGGGTCAACAAACTACTGTCTAGTAGCCAAATCCAGCTGTCACCTTTTTTTTTTTTTTTTCGAGACAGAGTTTCACTCTTGTTGCCCAGGCTGGAGTGCAATGGCATGATCTCGGCTCACCCCAACCTCTATCTCCCGGGTTTAAGCAATTCTACTGCCTCAGCCTCCCAAGTAGCTGGGATTACAGGCATGTGCCACCAGACCTGGCTAATTTTGTATTTTTAGTAGAGACGGAGTTCCTCCATGTTGGTCAGGCTGGTCTCAAACTCGTGACCTCAGGTGATCCTCCTGCTTCGGCCTCCCAAAGTGCTAGGATTACAGGCATGAGCCACCATGCCTGGCCCACCTTTCTTTTTATAAATAAATTTTTATTGTAGTACAGCCATGTTCACTTGTTTATATATTGTCTAGAGCTGCTTTCTTGCTAATATGGCAGAAGTGAATAGTTACAATAGAGACGGGTTGGCTCAAACAGCCCCAAATTATTCACTATCTGTTCCTTTACAGAAAAATTTTACTGACCCTTGCTCTACAACATCAATTAGAATTGATGTTCTAAGTAATCAATTAGAAAATAACCTAACAAAGGATGAACCACACATTTATGGAGATAATTAACGTCTTTGTTAAAGAACTTAAAAACAGATCTAACTAAATGGGATGATATTTCCTATCTACAGATAGGGCAACTTATTATTACAAAATATAATTCTTTAAAATCACTTATAAAGTTAAGGCAGTCCCAATCAAAATTACAGTTGAATCTTTTTAACAGCTTGGCAAACACCTTTTAAACGTTAAATGAGAGATTAAAGAGCAATAAAAAAGAAAAGTGAAGAGAGATGTCCTACTTTTCAGATATTTAGATAAACCTCAAAATTATTTAGTACAATTAATATGGTATTCTGGGAGAAATAAATAGACCAAAAGAGCAGAACCCAGAAAAAGGCTCATTTATATATGGAAAAATAATTGATGGTAAATACAGCACCACAAGTGGATATAAGTATCATTTGGTAAAGAGTGTTTGAAAACTGCTTACTATTTTGCAAACAAATAAACCTGGATGACTAATTAACATTGAATACAAAAGTGGAGTTCTGATGTAGTAGACATCGAAAAGGTACATTATAATACTACTGGAAGAAAAGGAAGAAAGCTATCCTGTAATGGGGCATAGGTGGAGAAAGTCTTAAAATCCCCCAAAGCACAAATCAAGATACAAATACAAGAACGGATTTGACTAAATGAAATTAACTATATACATAGTACATTGTATACGGAATTCCTAAAAATCACAACAACGAAAGAGAACAGAAAACGAATTTGAAAGGTGAGAAGGCTTTATATTTATAATACACGCAAAGAGAAGTCCCAAACTAATCACAAATATCTTGAGATATTCAAACTCATCAGTAATTGGATGAATCAAATAAAAATAAAATAATAATTGACATCCATGAGATAAACAAAGAAATTATTATTATTTTTAAGAGACAGAGTCTTGCTCTGTCACACTGGCTGGAGGGCAGCAGCACCATCATAGCTCACTGCAGCCTCAAACTCCTGGGCTCAGGCCATCCTTCTTCCTCAGTCTGCTGAGTAGCTAGGACTACTGGTGTAAACCCCCATCCCCAGCTAATTTATTTCTTAATATTTTTTGTGGAGATGGTGGCTCGCTGGTTTGCCCAAGCTGGTCTCAAACTCCTGGCCTCAATTGTTCCTCCCACCTCAACCTCTGAAAGCACTGGGATTACAGGCATCAGACATTGTGCCTGATCAGAAATTACTAGTAAAACCAAATTTGTAGCAATTATTGAGAGATAGGAACACTCAGGCACTCCTGGTGAGATTACAGCTGTTCTATAAAATAATTTGCAGTGCTTATGAAATTAAGTACATCTACAAACTTAATTATGAGTATATCTGTAATAGTGTATATTCATACTTACTGTGTATGTGGACATCTTGATTATGGAGTATGTGTTCTTCACTGCCCACTCCAAATACATTTCCCACACTTATTGTATATGTTTTCATCCTTTGTGGGTTTGTGTACCTCTTTATATCCTTACTGTGTAGGTATATATGTTTATTAGTGTATATTCATGCTTATGTCGTGCGTGCATTCTTGCTGAGTATGTGTGCATACTTTCTGAGTATGATTCAGGAAACCCACTCCTGTAATATGTTCTAGAGAAATTCTCTCATAGGTTCATAAGCAGACTTGTATGAGGTCGTTATATCATCATGCGTTATAGCAAGGAGCTGAAGGCAATCTAGTGATAGAATAGATCAGAAAATGTGGTAGAACCATACTTCAGAATCCAATACAATACTTCAGTATAAACTGATAGTATCGTAGATACATGGCTACTTAAAAAATTCACTGAGGGAATAAAAGTAAGAAACAGATAAATACTGTTTATGTAAATTCAAAACACATACACACAAAAACACTTCACATTTTAAAAGGAAATGTGAATGTTTAAGGATATATCATATCTATATATGATATATAGATATATAGATAGATAGATAGATAGATAGATAGATAGATAGATAGATATTCTCATATAAATGAGAATCAGGATCTAGGGTGAAGTGGGAGGAGAGTAAAACAAGGGCAGGGCCTTGCATCAACATAACAACTGTGCTCATATCCGCAAGTGCCCTGCATAGGAAATAAGGTGAATCAACCCCCTAAATTTATGAGTTGTGGTAGCCCTGATGATGAGGAATATGACTAACAACTTTTTGTAATTTGCCCAAAATGGGAATAGAAATCAAAGATGAAAGAGAGAATGTCAAATTGAATTTATAAAGCTTAGACATTTATAATGAGCATACATTGAGCATAGATGGGTATATATTACAATGCTTTCTTAGGGTATTTTAGCACATCTTTACTAAAAATTATATGAGATGATTCAACAAATACCAACGAAATACTCTATTTTTTGTATTTATTTCAAAATGACCCTCATAATTTATAATGTGATTTAAATATATTTTTCCCAAATTATAGTAAATATACTTTGCAAAGTCATTCTTTCTAGATGGAATTAAATTACTTACCTTGGTAATGGAGAGTCACCAGAAGGATGTAAATGAGTTGTTAACATGGCACTTCGTTGCCACAATAATTTAGAGCCACTAGCTAGCTTGATGTGTCTGCAATAAATGTTTTATTATTTAGGAAAAATACACTATACAAGTTGCAATGTGCCATGCTCATTCATGCTGTAAATCAACAAAGATCAGCAGACTGAATAGAAAAATGAAAAGCTTATTTAGAAACTGACATAAGCTTTCAGATGAGCAGGGATGGTTGAAGTTAACTGCATTCATTTTTCTTTGCTTGTCATATTTGCCACTTGAATTTCACTGCTAAAGATAGAAGATAGTCTTGCTTTATGAAATTATATCCACAGAAACAGTGTTTGCATTTATATAGATATAGTCATAATAAAGTGGAATATAAAGAAGCCACACTAAAGTGATAGTAGCCCCAAATTTATGAAGTGTGGGATGGAGTTTGCTACTCCACATCTCTAGACTCAGGGAAATTGTTCCATGGAGATCAAGGCTCATGTTAGAAGCCATGTCATGCGCCAGAGCCATATAGTAATTGCCAGGCAATACTATAAAGCACCATAAAGTTTAGCATTTGTAAAGCACCTGGCAATTTTTCTTTTATTTACATTGCTTCCATTTTGACAAACCCAAGATCCTAGAAAAATTATCACTGTGTTCTCAAACCAAGTAATGCCAGTTGAGAGATCAACATAGACCAATGAAGTGTGACCTTCACCATGAGAACTCCCTACACTCACTGTGGTCACCTAGAAAGTTCCAAAGTTGGCTACAGGTGAGGTTCTCGGTGTTGAAACAGCGAAGTGTGGAATCCAGGCTGTTGTCCCACCTCCTGCCCTGAGAGAAGGTGTCCTGGGCTACTGAATTCCAAATTCTTTTGTGTAAAAGTGACACGGGTAATTGACACCCACCCACTTTAGTGTTACTTTCATAATAACATCATTAATCTGTACTATATAATGATCCTTTTCTATGTAAAGTTCGTCAGGGAATTGGTGAGGTGTTAACCACCAAGTTGAGATTAGCTCTTCCTGGAGGTAGATTTGTTACAGATGTCAGGGCCATAAGCCCAAGTTAAAAAGAAGAAGAAAAAAGTTATATTATTGATTTATTTATGATGATAAAAAATCAGAATCCTAGAAAGGGAACATGTAAGTTATAATGTAGCTAGGTGTAGTAAGATGGGAAAAGGGTACTTGGCAATAAACAGCTATAGAATGAGTTGCCATGAGGCTGAGCTTATGGAAATCCAGGGAAGGGCCCCAGAGGTCATGAGGACGTGAGAAAGGCTATCGAGGAAATGTCAGTGATAAAGAAAATGCAGAAGCAGAGCTAAAGATAAATTTTGGGGAAAGGGGAGTGTAATTTATACATAGTGAAAGTCAGAAGTCTTAAAAGTATAGTTCAATATATGTTGACAAATACATATCCATCAAATTCATACCTCTGACAAGCTCCAGATTTTTATCACCCTAAGAAGTTTTCTGTACCTCTTTCCAAACAAAATCACCTCCTATCATAGGCAATCAATGTTTTACGTTCTATTATCATAGATTACTTTTCCGTTTTTGAACTTATTATCAATAGAGACACACATTATCTACTCTCATGTCCCACTTCTTTCACTCATATTGTTTTTGAGATACATCCTTGCTCTTGCAAGTATCAATAATTCATTCCTTTGTATTCTAAGAAAGCATCTTATCGTATGTGTGCATGTGTGTATATATATATATATATATATCTCAATCTGTTTACTGTTTCTCCAGTTGATGAATTATTGTTTCCATTTTTTTATATTATGAATAACACTGCATGAACATTCATAGACAAATCTTCATGTGGACATATTTTTTTAAACTTCTCTTGGATAAACACCTAAGAGCAGAATTGCTGGACAAGTACACATTTAGCTTAATAAGAAGCTGCCAAACTATTTCTCAAAGTGAGTTTACCATTTTATAACCTCAACAACAACATTAGGAGAGTTCTGATTGCTTCATATCCTCATCAACACTTGGTGTTGTCAGTTAAAACTATACATTCTACATTATACACAATTTGAGACAGAAATAACTGAAAGTTTAAAATTATGCACAATGTTTACATTATGCTAGTAGAAGAAAAAGCATTATTACATGATGTAAGTTAGAAGCATGCCCTACAAACTTAGTGTTCATCACACAGTGAAATGATTTCATTGGCATTCATCATTAACTTCTTTTGATAAGCTAGTGTGTATTTTTCCATTACCTCAATAAAATATCATGAATTGGTATTAGCCTGCTAAGATGAATACCAGCTGTTTTAAGATGCTAAACTATAAATGTATTTGGAATTAATATAGAGCCTTAAAAAGCTTACCATAATCTAATATTTGTTGCACTTAATTTCTTAGATCTTGCAAAAAGTCTGGAGATGTGGAAATCTAAGTGATAAAAATCTCCTGCAATTGTGAAATAATTTATTATTCTTGGACTCTAGTTTTCCTTTTTGAAACTAGAAATGATATTAAAGAGAGGGTTGTGGGAAGAGAGAGAGAGAGATTAATCTGGGATCTGTGGAACTCTAGGTAGTCTGTGCAGGGCAAAATAAAGTCTGTGATCATTCTGAAATACTATACTAAATTTCGTTTGTATAGTGTATCAGAATTTGTATGTGAATGAGGAAGGATTGTGTGCTCAAAAGAGTTTATGAGCCAGTATCTTAGTAGGGCCTGCTACCATCTTGGTATTTTTTTGATAGGTCTACTAAAAGAGGCTCTGATTGCTGTTGGCAATTAACTTATTTGGCTAAGTCTGTCCAGCTGCTTCAAACCTTTGCTGTTGGAAACAGTTTTGGGTGTGCACAAGCAGATATTACTTTACTGTTTCATATGATTTTCATAAAAAATTTTGAAAATCATTCCTTATGAACAGAGTAGACTTAACTCTGGCAGCCCAAAATGGATGAAGCTCTTGGTGCTTATCAGGAAAAAGAAAAAGCATTGCTTTCTATCTCTACTTTGATAATAAAAGGAAGTCTTCCTGCTACAACTATTTTGTGAAAATAAAGTTGAATGCCTAAACATACAACAGAGAACACTCACAGGTAAGGTTTATGAACCATGACTAACCTTGTCTCTGTGCATTTTAGCACATCTTCCCAAGATGACCCAACTTTCATGCTGCCCCAGTTTAATCTAAAATTAACCTTCATGATGCCATTTCCTGTGTGGTGCCTGCCTTTGAGTGGTGTCATTGTCACACAGTGATTTGGTTCACTAGTTCACGGCGTTCATTTGGACAAGTTACCACTAATGTGTCTATGCTTCAGTATTCTCAGCTGTGAAGGAGAAATGACCCTGTTAACAGCATGCTTCCCTGAGGTGTTGTGATGGACAGCCAATACAATTATTGTGAAACATTTTACCCGATGCAAAAAAAGGAGTTTTATGGGAAAGTTATATGACCTTCTCCCTGGCATTACATAATGGTTCAGAGAGCTTGTGTATTGCTTTATGAAAACATTTATTTAGAAAATGCCTTGACAACATTAAGCAACCAGTGTTTTACAGTATAAAATATTAAGACTACTTTTATTACTTTTGCTATCATCAATTGTTATTATTATTCTTACTGCTGTAAATGTGAAGGAAGATCCACAATTGTGGACGTTAGGGGATTTTCAAAAGTATAATGAACGGCTGAGCCATAATACATTATTATGGTCCTCCTATTAGCCCAACCATCCTGAAATCTGTACAGGTGCGTATGACAGATGTGAGAATAATATCTAAATATTTTCTTATCCACAAAGGAACAAAAAACAATTAAATGCAAGTTATGAATTGGATTTCAGCCTGAGACACATTGGGTGGCTTGGTTAGACTCCAGTAACCCTACCGATAGAGCAATGTGATGCTGTTTTCCAAGGCAAAATAAGACTTTGGTTAACTAGAAAATAACTAAAATTGAAACCTCAGTTAAGTAGACTCTACCAACCCCATTTAGAGCAAAAATAAATTATTTTTTAAAAGCAAAAGGAAGAGTTTCCAAAAAATGAAGTGAATAAGCAAACAAATTCAAATTCTAGAGAACCTGAAAAGAAAGCTGCTTGATAATATCAACTGATGGTAAATTAGGATTCTGGGAACTCTACTCTCTATGAGGCTGTTTCAGATGCTTTATAGACATTAGCTATAATTCTCACAGGAAGACTTTTATAGTTCAATGCTGATTCAAAAAGGTTACAACTTATTTATGTCATTGGTAAGTTACCAAGTGGGGGTTCAAACCCAGCTCCATCTAACGTTTTTCACAACAGCAGCAGCATGCCTCATTAGAACTGGAGTTATGAAGAAGTTGATGTAAATTACAAGAAAGATAACTTATTTACTCAGATATATTAGTTTGAATAAAATCTATGAGTAGTCTGTGGATTTTCTGTTTGGTAGGACACTTCAAAAAATTTAATAATATGCTTTATGACATTATAAAAGGTGGCTGTACTAGGCAACATTACCTAAATGTAATTAATTATGGAGCATTTACTTGGAGGGTTGCAGGGAAAGGGACTTTGCTGGACCAGCATTTCATTGAAATGTCACTACATCCACTTCTACCTGCTTTTGCAAACTAAACTTTATATTCATAGTGATTAATCTGAGAAATGCAAACTTGTAAATGTATTTAAAATGCATTGCCTATAATGTATTTAATAAGGAAGGGAAAGACTCTTAGGCATCTAAGAAAAATGTTTGATAAAACTTTAAACAAAAGACTTCTAGTTAACTGGAAAATACAGCTAACTAGAAAAAGCATCCTTTAATTACTTTGAGTAACAGGTTGTATTGAGCAAACTTGATACTCTTATTATACCAGTAATCATTCTGCTTTATATTTAAAATTTAGCATGAGGCCACAGCAGACCCTTTTGTTTGGATAACTCAGTAGCCATCCCCAATTCTCTTCATCTTTGCCCCTTTCTGTCACAGAAAGTGAAAAAAAAATTCCCCTTTTCCTATTTACTTTCCTAACTTTTTTTGAAACTAATGATAGTACCAGAGCACATATTAAACAGTGAGACATAAGCATAAGGCTTAAAAATTTTTGTGGAGGACTAAAGATATATTAACAATAGCCTAAAAAAATATGTTTTTAGACAAAGGGTCAGTTTTTTTTTAAACAAAGCTTTATTGGGATGTGAATAATGGACAATAAATTTTATTAATTTAGGTGCATAATTTGATTAGTTTTGAAAAATACGCAGTTAGGTGGCTACCACCACAACACAGATGTAGAAAATTTAAATCATCCCCCAAAAATTTCCTCATGCCCTCTGCAGACAAACTTCTTTCTTCACACCTCACCTCTGTCAAACATTGATCTGCTCTACCTTCCTGTAGCTGTTTTCTAGAAATTCGTATAAATGAAATCACGTAGCATGTTGTTTTTGGTCTAACTCCTTAACCATTAGCATTATGCTTTTGAGATTCACGGACGTTGTGTGTACCTGTAGTTCATTTATCTTTTACTTGCTGAATGGTATTTCATTTTATGAACATAACATGATTATTGCATCTATTCCCCCATTGATGGCCATTGGGTTGGTTGTTTACATAATTTGGTAAAGCTGCTGTGACAATTTGTGTATGTGTCTTTGTGTGGATGTATATGTTTATTTCTCTTTGGTAAAATACCTAGCAAAGTTCCTTGGCGTTATTTTGATACTCTCAAACAGTACTTTTAGACCGATACACTGCTGAAGACTCGACCTGGTGCCCTCAGGTGTTGAACTCACTCTCTTTTGGCCGATACAGTTATAACCTGTCCCAGCCCTGTGTCAACTCTAGATATGTTTTGTCATCCTGCTTTCCAGTGGCTCTCCTCTCAACCTTGTGGATGTTTCCTCCTATGTGCACAGATCCTTATTCAGCAAACAGTTGACCTCCCTGTGTCTCTCCAGAGCAATCTCTGTGTGCAGCTCCTGACACTCTCATGTTTGGATCTGCCAATTTAAATGACGCTGCCTTCATAAACTCTGATCTCTGCATTCTAAACTCATGGAGACTGCTGGGTTGTGTTCAGCTCCCCTCACCTTGTTGTGTGGCCTGGAAACTGCCTCTGGGCAGTAAACTGGTGTAATTGCTCACTTTATTTACTTTTTCTCAAGATCACAGTCTTATGCTTCCTGATGGCCAATGTTGCTGTTTATGGTGAGAACAGAACTTCTCTGACAGTTACTCTTTTAGGGCAGAAGTGTAAGTCCATGCATCAGCTTTTAATTAACTATGATATAGTGGTGAGGAAATGAGTTAGACAATAAAAATAGTATTTCTATAAAATAAGCATATACCAAGAAATATGCAAAGACATTCCATTTACTTTCTGATTGTAATGCTGAATCTTGAATGATTTGTAGGGAGTATCCCAACAGCATTCTGGGAAGGAATGAAATCAGAGCACCATAATTAATTTTAAAATTAATTATTTATATTATGTTAATAATAGTTTAAAATGTATACATAGTAGTAATACCATATATTTTATATGCATTATCCTAGCTGACCCTCATTACAACCTTAGACAAATTGCAATCTTGCTCTTTATTTTGCAGATGTGAAAAGTGATGTTAAAAGGTAAGTGACTGACCCAGAGTCACAAAATAGCAAATAGTTGAAACAGTATAATTGATTAATTAAATCAATCTATAGATATTTACTAATAAGCATCTAGTCTGTACCAGGCACTGGGTCAAATTAAATACATAAAGATTAAGAAAATGACTTCTACTCTTACATAATTCAAATCTTTCAGGGAAATTTTCAAAACAATATAAGATGCTAATGTATTCACGGAGGATAGACATCTAATCTAGACCTCAGGAAGAGAGGAGGTTAGGGAAAGGTTCCTGGAGGAAATAACATTTAAACAATTTGGAGAAATGAGTAAAAGTTAAATAAAGAAAAAGAGAAAAATCATTCCAGGGCAAAGGAAATCCAGTCTGTGGCACTTCCTCAGCCATCTCCAAGATTCAAATCTGTTTCCCTCCTTCTTATCATAACTAAGAGAGTAAGAAATTCTCCCAGTTTTAATGACTCCCACAACTAGGCTAACAATTCAAAAATTTAATTTGGTTCGTTACCCAGCCTCCAGCCTTTTGTGTAAATAATAGTATTCATTTCACATGGACCTTAATTCTTACATGACAAGACGTATTATACTTTGCTGATTTTTTTTTCCTCTTAGAAATAATATGTTTTTTTCCAACTCCCTGTTCAGGTTTAACAATTTTTATTATCCAATTTTATAAACATTCTTGAGCTCTCTTTTGGTAACAGACATGTGCTAAGTGCTGCAGGGGATACGAGGGTAATTAAAATATATTTCCTTTCCATAAAGCACTGATAATTTAGCAAGATGACTTAAACAAGTACATGACTGGCTTTGCTACAAGTAAAGGTGAATCTGTTAAGAAAAACAGTATTTGAAAGGGAGTTCAGAAGAGGGAGACACAAAAACTGCTTAGAAAAAAATCTAGAAAGGCTTTATAGAGGAGAAGACTTTTATCAGCTTTGCAGAATGGGCAATTTTGATAGGCAAAGAAAAGGGGAGAACATTCCAAGTATGGTAGATGTAAGTGGGGCATAGGTTTTATATGAAGAAGTGGTGGAGATGAGACCAGAAAAACGCCACATTTCAGAACCTTGAAAGCTGTGATAAGAAGTCACTATATATTTTGGTAGACAATAAAAAACCACAGGTTTTCTAGAAGTGACGTGAAGAGAGTGCATCTTAAGAAAATTATTTTGGCCCTAGGATGTATGATATCTCAGAATTAGAAGAGATATATAGGACGTGAGAGAAGCTGGAAGACCAAGTAGGAGTTAATAACAGAGTTGTAAGTGAGAAATAAAGGAGATGCCATACAGGGTTGTGGTTGTGAGGATGCGGGGGAGGAGCCAGGCTACTTATGAAAAACATTTCTAAGGTGAGTTTGGCAAACAAATGGATGTAGATTGTCATGCCTAGGAGAAGGAAAAGCAGAGAAGGGCTGTGAGACAGGTGTACTGAATAAATGATAACTCCATTTATGGGAGCAAGGAAGTCTAGAGAAACTGGGCGTCTGGAGGCCTAGAAGAGTTGGTGGGACATCAAAATGGAGAGATATAACAAATCGATGGAAATGTGGCACTAGAATTTTGGAGAAACACTACACTTTGTAAAGAAATAGATGAGGTTCCCAGAGGCAAGAATAGAGAGAAGAAAAAAGATCTTAAAAGCACTTCATAACTGCTTTATCAACCATTAGACAATGTTTACCTTTCTTGATTTTTCCTAATTTCAAAGCTTCCTGTAACATAAAACAAGTGTTTTTTATGACTGTTCTCAAAGTATATACATGTTATGTTTTCAGACATTTATTTTAACTGATTGTTAGCTGATCTACATTAAAGCTGTTATTTGATATAGCCTAGTGGGAAAAGTTAAAAAGGCTTTGGTTCAGTTGTTCTCTAGTTGTGAAGGTACTGAGCCTGTGAGCCTGGGTTTTCATCTGTCCTATGAAGTGCTAATACCTAGGATTTTTAGTAAGATTAAATGAGATAATGGTTGTAAAAAATTTAGCATATTGCCTGCAGCATAGCAGAAGTTTAACTCTTATGTATTGTAAGATAGTAAGCAAATGTCCTTGATTCCCTATGAGCCTGGAAATAAAATGTCTTAAACTTACTAGGATGTTCTTAAGATAAGGCAAAGAGGAAAAACGTTCCAAACAAAATAAAACAATAGGCTTCAAATCAACGAGAGGTTTTTGTTGAAAGTAATATGACTCATTAACAAGAGCTACTGCACAATTTCCTTTCTAAGTATTTTTAAGGGATAGCATGATAACCAATTGCTTATTATGAGTTAATCTTTATGGGGGTTTCAAATAGCTTTGTGCTTTTTAGAAATTTATTTTTTTGTGGATATTATAAAACCTGTTGACTTTAAGAGTAACGAAACAATCTGGGATGTTTGGGTGATCATACTGAAAATGAAGGTCAAATGTTCTGCTACAAAATACTGATGCAGAATTTTTGCCCCTTAGTTCAGCTAAATCTGGGTTCTTGTATCACGACCAGGAGAAATTAGGCACGCAGACACACTGAAGGGTGACAAAAGCAGAACGTATTGGGTGAAAAGGAAAAACAAACAAAAAAAACAGCAAAGCAAAAGGGAGTCCTGTCGACAGGCTCCCAACTCACAGATTGAATACCACAGACCACCACGCAGAAGCTGAAGAGGCCAGGCTCCTCCCCCTGCACAAGGCGTGAACTTCCTGTGGCTCCACCCATTTTCCCAGTGTGCAGGTGGATCTTCCCCAGTCTGTTGTGGGCATGGGCAGACAAGACCTGGGCAGGTTTCCTCATCTCCACGAAAGCATCTGATGTAATCACTTGTGGGGCGGGTCAGAGATTCTCTGGGGACCTCCCTCATCTACCTCCTGCGTCAGTCAATACCACCCAAGATTGTTTGGAGAGATGGTTTTAAAAATAAGGGTTGGCTCTTCCATAATTTTTTTATCTTTAATTGTGTGCTATTTATAAGAGACTACATATTTTGATTATCAATCTTAGCGTAAAACATATTTGAAGAAGAAGATAGATGTGTATGTGTGTGCATACATGTGTAAATGAGAAACTAAGCTTTAACTCACAAAATCAAAGCAATGTAAATGTGTTTTTCTAAAAAAAATTGCCATACCTTGTGCTTTTGAGTGTTGCTGTCAGAAAATTACTGAATCAATTTTTGTACAATCTATGCTTGGAAGAGTAAACATTAAACCTTCTCTCAAAATATTTTCTAATTGTCAATTAATATATTTAAAACAAGGACATCATCATTTATCACACACACACAAACTGAATTTTGTTGAGAGGTTAAGATAAAGTGACATATATAACAACCGAAAGACAGGTTGCCTTCAAAAAGTGATTCATGACATTGGAGAATGTATAATTGATGTGTGTGGTTGTCTGGACGGTAAAATAACAATGCCATCCATTAGAGATGAGAGCTCTAACAACTCAGGCAGGGAGGCAGTATGTATTTTATAGGTCATCTGGGTTCCATTTGGATCTACAGGTTGCTATTCCTTCTCCATACTTGAAAGCGTTTAATGGATTATTATAAAAGGAAAAAGATGGTATGCAATAATGGTTTAAATTGGAGCTCTGTGTGTATATCACCACTGTGTGACTCCTAAATGAGAGCTTCATTTTTTAAATTCTCATATGGCGTGCTCGAAAGTTTGCCAGCACATGAAGGAATCAAAACAATGAATTCAGCAGCAGGAAAGAAGGACAGAACACCAGGGAAAAGGGGGATTTTTTTTCTTCTTTCCACTCTTTTGGCATCCATGACTAAAAATAGACCAGTTCATCAGAAATGACATTGCAGATAGTTCCAAACTTCAAATAAGCAGTAATTGAGCAGTGTTTTTAGAAAACACATTGATTCAGAAAATGGGGTACAGGAACAAAGCTTAAAACCATCAGGAAAAAAAAGCTGCTGGGGGAAAGATCTTGATAGTAATTGTGGTGAAAATCAAATCAAATAGCAACTCATCTGGAAAATCCCCCCTCTTTTCTGAAATTGAGATAAGCTTCAGGGTGGAGACTCTTTTCTGCATTGTTAGCCATGAGTATAAAAGTTTATTTCTGCTTTTAATGAATAGTATTTTAGAAATGTAATGAAAGATAATTTTACTGGATTTCCCCAAGGAAAAGCCTTAGCTTAATTATATAGGCAGTCCCAGTCATTCTAGCATAATACGTATAATATATATGCATAGATACGGGTATTTCCAGTTAAAATAAAATGCAATGGAATTTGAGTAATCAGAAAGCAATGAAAGGAAAGAAGGTGGATCAGAAATGATGAGGTATTATTAAGATACTTCTGGTTTATGGTGATACATATTCTAAAATAAGGATCTCTTCAGGTTAGCCTCAAAATGACTGTCATTTCTAAGAACAAACTTACTTTGCTGGGGTTTGAAGGAAGATGTTGGGGATATAGAGAGAAGAAAAAGGTATAATTAATAATTTCATTAGTTCATATATCAACCAGGCTATACACAAAATATCTTCTATTAAATTGTGGTGTGACATATTTATCATTTGGCAATTGTGAATTAGTAACATAGTGTTTATGGCCAAAATGCAGAAGGACAGTTCTCAGTCTTCCAGGTAAGTACATGCTTTTTACAGGCATACTTAGTGGCTATTAGATGATTCTTGGTGGAAGACCTTGTTATTTTTTTCCTTGAGTATAATATTTATACATGAATTCTTTTTCAAAAAGCATCAAATGATCACACACTCTGCACTAAATACTGTATCAGGCACTGATGATACAAAGATAAATGAGATAAGATTCCTATCTCATCCTCAAGGAGTTCAGAGGATATGGAGGACTGACATGCTAAGTACAATATTATAGAATAAGTTATCCTATGAACAAGATGTTGTAGGAGCATAAAAGAGTGGCTCACTCACTGTGTCTGGGTCCTGTACAAAGGCTATGGAGATATGGGAGCTGAGTCTTGAAGGGTGAGTAGAGTGAGTAGAGATTCACCAAGTGGAGAAGTAGAGACAGGACATTACAAAAAGAAGAAAGCCCAGGACACACAAACACACCTATGTGAGACAGCATAGGATATGCATGAAATGGCAAGTGGCTCATAGAGTCTGGAGTTCAGGGTGCCTGGAGGACTGCTTAGGGGAATGAGACAAAACATGAGGCTAGAGAAGCAAGTGGGTGTTGGGTGCTTGTCTTAGTCCATTTGGAGCCACTACAACAGAATACCTGAAGATGAGTAATTTATAAACAAAAGAGGTTTATTTGGCTCATAATTCTGGAGGCTGGAAATTCCAAGAAGATGGCACTGGTACTGCTAGGCTTCCAGTGAAGGCCCTGTGCTATATCACAACGTGGCAGAAAAGCAGAAATGGAAGCAGATCCACAGCAGAAACTCAGAATAGGCTTATTAAAACATTGTCAAAATAGCTAGGCTATTAGTCTAGCTCCTGAGTCCCCCCTCTTCCAGTGGGGGTGCACACTTAGAATTTGTGTCATCTTAATTGCATCTTGCACCATCCCCCTTGCTTAAATCCTCAGAAAATTTCTATAGCACTTCTTTCAAGCATGAAGGAAAAGGATTCTGTACTGCTAAAAGAGGGCAGAATTCTCCCTCCCCCATCTCATGGCCGAGTATCTAAGCTTAGAAATGGGAGGAATTTAGTACACACCAACTGAGAGAGATAGGCTAGGAGGAGTGGATTAATCACTGGCTCTTTTATGATTGTTTTGTCTTTAATTGTGTGTTATTTATAACATACTCATTGGGGAAAGTATTGTACCTTATAGAAACCTGTCCACTTTCTTTGTATGAAAACTGTTTAAAGCAAGTATAAGTTTGTAGCCTCTTATTTGACATTCATGGAACCAGAAGCATCTAGGAATTAAATTGTTTATTTCCTCAGACTAAGTTATATTACATAATATCATGTATGTTATTTAATACCCCCAGCAGAAGTAGCACCCATTATCAAATGCATTAATATCTCGGTGGAGAAACACGAATATTTATACTAAGAGAGATAAACAAAAATAGAATTTGAACTAAATTTACTTAAAATCTTGGTTTTACAGCTTTGAAGTATTTAGGGATTATAGAGAAAAACCTGGATTTCACTCTCCTATCTGGTTATCCTGAGCAATTTTTGACCAATGGAACTGAAGGTATCTAAAACAGCATAATCCCTGGAAATACCCTTAAGCTGGAAATTTTAAAAAGGATATAGGACTATTAATATTTATATGTCTAGAGGTTATTACCAATGAACACCAGAAGTTTAGGGGTACAAATCTACTAGAACCCGGGTGTGAATTCTACAGCTATGATCTTCCCCAGCAAGTTATAGCTAACTGCATATCTGAATACCTTACTCTTAACTCAAATTTTCTGGAATGCTCTAGGTCAGAGGGGTTATTAGAGCTAATTGATCAAAGCTTCTGGGTGAAATTGCCATAAAAGCTAAAGCAAGATGAATGATTATGTGGGAAATAATTCTATGAGAAGAAAAGAGAAATGGGTATTGGAGAGGTACAAATAATAGTAATCAATTACTATGAATAGAAATATTAATATGTGAAAAATGGATGAGTCAAATAAGAGTAAGTTAAAGATCTCAACTACCATATTTAATTTAATTTGCCATCTAAACACTTTTGTCTGTATACGTGCCTATATAGTATGTGTATGAGTGTGCAAGTGCACATACACAATTTTCCCAATTGCTACACCCCAAAATTGTTGGCTCTTAAATCAACTGAGGGCTCTGAAACTTTAGGTTTCACAGGGAATGACAAATAATATTCAAGATAAACTGAAGCTTCCTTGAAATACAACATATGCTGGGTACACTGCCTCTTTTTTTATATGTTGAATTTTGAGTCTACTCCTTCCAGATTTACTTTGAAATGAATGTGCATCCTGGGAACAAAACAGGGACCTAGTAGATTATTTCATAAGATGGCTCTGACTGTCTCATTTTTTATTAGCCTAGCCTTAAAAAAAGACATTTCTATGGAGGATTCTTTTAAGATCTGATACCAGTGGAATGTACTTTAACATAAATCTCTAAGACTTAGGGTTCTTGCCACCACTATGATACATTTGAAGGTATATACAGGAAAGTCTTCCTTCAGAATGCTCATGTGATCATATCACTACCCTCTCATAGTCTGCTGTCAGTGTTCAACAGCACTGGTTAAAGGGAAAATGACCTTCTGTGTAATTTCTTAAAATTCTTATCTCTAGATATTCCTAGAGGTAGCCTGAGCTGCTGAAAAGCTTTCACATTCCTCTTTCTCTGCAGCATTGAATGGTTGGCAAACAATGGAAATTTCGTTTTCATTTTTGGATCAGTCTGCTTGATGAATTTAAACCTAGTGATTATGTTTGCTCATCTGCTTCTCCAAGTCATCTTTAGTGTGGAGACCTGAACTCATGGAATCATGGTGAGTGAAAAAGCAAGGGACAGTTGTCTCAAGTACTTTTTCAGGAAAGTCTCCATAGCGAGTCTCCCTTCTTTGTTCTGTGTGCCCACAGTAACTGCCTTATCAGACATCTACTTTAATGATGATATACATGGGAATGAGGAACAAGGGGACAAAATTCATTATTAATCCACTATTAATTTCTGCTCTTCTGGGAGGTAGGAAAACAATACATGTAATAATATAAATAATTAAGAAATAGGGCATAATTCAACACTGCACAATGCAATGATTCAACACTGTCCAGCCAGTTATGGCCCATGCCTTTCTAGCCTCTCTTATTTTCCAATTTTATGTACTACCATTATTTAGCATGTTTGGACCTCCCGAATTACCAGTTTTCTTCTTTTTAATTAAGAGATGTTTCAGGTGTTAGGCAATTTTGCTTTAAGAGAAATGGAATAAAATTTTTTAGATAGAAAGTGGGATATAATTAGACTTTTTTCGCTGGACTTTCATTGATCTTTTACATATATTTTGTGAATATACATAACATGCTGTCAAATTATCACCACACAATTTCCTTTCTGCTAGATAAGTGTTTTTCAGACATGCTGACTTTAGTGTTTATATCTTATTGTTAAACATGTTTGGAAGTAACAGACACAGTCATTCATCTACACATAGATTAATAAATATATTTCTCTTTTTTATCACCAATATAATAGGAAGTTTAGAAAACTTGTCGATAATCACTAATTATGTTTCTTGTGGTTCCAGCTTTTTCTTCTGCCAAGCCAAGGTCAAACTCTTTCTTTTACTTCTCCTGCATTCCCAATGCTGGAATCAGAGTTAGGTATAAATTTACCCAAAGAAAATATCGTAATTTGTGCCTATTAAGATAATAATAAAAAAATCTCTGAGTAGGCTTTGCATGCAGGAAGTACTTAATAAATGCAAGGGAGAGCAATGTATCCAGCAACAGAGCTCAGATATTTTGACTCCAGGAAATTATTTTATGTGATTTCTTTGCCCAGATATTCTCAGACCAGCATAGTGTAAGTGAATCTAGGTCCAATCCCTTCATGTTCCCTGTGCAGTGATAACTGAAAATGGAACGGCTGGATTACATACAGACTCAACAGCAGCAATGTCTACTGTACGCCACAGGAATTCTTTTCTGAGATGCACACATTCTTCTTTTCCTGCGGCTTCCCACATTCTATGTCAGAATATCTAATGTTGTCACCTCTAAGAGTTAATACAGTGCTCAATAAATGTGCCTAATTTGCACACATCCGCTACAGCCGCAATTAGATCCCAAGGCACATTTAGAGCAGTGGTTCACAAACTTTAATACACATAAAGTTTGCTTGATAAAAATGCCCCTCAGGCCCCACCTAGGCACTGACTAGGACCTATGGCAGAAATTCTGATTCACTGGGTCTGCAGCCACCTAAAAATTTGCATTTTTATAGACATCTTCAGATAATTCTGAAGTACCTTTTCTCTAGATAATACTCTATGAAGTACTGCTTTAGAGCTTGCATGGTAGAAATAACATTTGTTTCTTTATCCTTTCAAAAGGATTTTTTATATTCATATTTGAATGTCTGTGTACATATGTGTACATAACAAAAGTAAACACATCCCTATGTAAAGAAATCATGAGAGGGCTCTTGATCAAAAGAAATAAATCACCTTTACCCAAATGGTCATGTGGCTACATCTAAGTCTAAACTGTTATATAATTTTTTTAATAAAAAACTATTCGCTCTGCACTAGAGATTTCTAAATGACTGATATCATTTTTAGAATGTATACAACAGAAGTCAGTGCCCAACAAAAAGAGTTACTGTATTGGTTTTGCTTTCCTTGGGGGAAAGGTACTCCTCTTCCCTACTCTCTGCTTGGGGATGGGCAATAATCTTGTTTGCGATTTAATAAAAGCTGCCTTCAAATCAAAGCTTTAGAGGATGTAATCATGCATTTCACTTGATTCATTCATTAGTTTTCACCTGAGAGCCTCAGGTTCTGTAATTCCCAAAGCAAGAGAGCTATGCTTCTTTCTTTCTGCATCTTCCCCCCTCCCTCAACCCAGGAAGCTCAGAGTTTTATCAGTTCAATCTGACTCAAGGAGTATTTCTTATAAGATGTATTGCAAGAGTATTTTTCTGGCTTTGATATATCCTTTAACCCTTCTTCCCCTTTTTCTGCTCCCTTCTCTGACTATTCTCTTCCTTTTTTCCCACCATCCTCACTGCAGAAGTTGTATTTGAAAGAAAGACAGAAAAAAAGATAAAAACAAAAAGTCCTGTAAATTCAACAATAGATTATTCTCTTTCTCACAGTCAGGAGTTTTCTCCAGATGGTGCCTAGTATCTTTGTGGATATATCCTTCTTTTTATCATTAGTAGGTATTTGCACGTGTGTAGCTTTGAGATGTGAAATAACAGTGAGCCTTTGCAGGCCTTCCTAGACAGATGAAGCAAACTCCCACCAAAAAAGCCTTCTTCACAGATATCAACCAAAGAAGAATTATTTTTAAATAAATCAAAGGGGAATTCAAAATAAGGGGAAATAAGCCTATTAATTAATGACTTTTTTTTCTGGTTTTCAATGCTGATTATAAAATCAAAAGATTCTTCATGAAAGGTTGTATGATTATATGATTTCTATTTACAGAGGTAGCAACAAGCTGAAAAAGAATGGGAGAGAGAGAGAGAGAATTTCTAAACAATAAAGTTGTTACGACCAGGTGAACACACAATATTTTTTTAAAGCCCAATTATTCTCTTTGTAATCACAAAGTTTTGCATCCCAGAGAGAGAGGATGCAAGATTTCCCACAGTAGTCACATTGCAGGGAGAACAAACTCAAAGATGCTAAACTTTTCCTGCTTTTTATTTCACTAAAAGTATTTGTTCATTGATGCCCAGTTTTGGGCTGCCTGTCTTCATTATGTCTTTAGTCTCTAGAAAAAAAGTGCCAGCATCTTAACATTTTCTAGGAGCAAAATAGTAATCTAATAGGAATTAATAATGCTATTTAAATTAGGTTGCTTTCCAGGGAGCTTAAAACGTCCGGAATTATATTACATTTAAAAAAAAATCTCATGTCCTTAGTAAACTACCTACTCTTCCTTGCAGACTTAACCATTCTGAAAGCATTTTCTTGTAATTTTCATGTAACACTCAAAACAATTTAGTGAGGTAATTATTAACTTCCTTCTTACAGGTTTGAAGCAACTAGGGTTCAGAGAAAGTAAGTGATTTGTCTGAGATTAGAAAGCAAATTTATGACATAATCAAAACCGTCAGTAGATTTACTCACAACCAGTCTGAACTCTTTTCCATGTCATAAGCAAGGAAAGGGTAAAGAGAGGAAGAAGATTTTAGTGGCAGAAATTGTGCTACCATAATAACAAGCAAGAAAACATTGTCATAAGATTAAAAGTTGCAGGCACCCTGTCAATTTCATGAATATATTTCTGGACATTTTTTGAGTATTGATGACTCACAGTTATAAAACAGACTTTTACTTGGTAAGGCAGTGTTCTGTCCTCCGGCAGCCATAGCATGATGAACAAAGTTACAATTATGAAATATGCCCTTTGGTTTTAAGCAAACAGACAGACAGACAAAAACTTCACAGATTTCTGGGAACCCACGATTCTGGTCTTCCAGTAGTATTCTCATGGGACTCAGAAGATCCAGAGAAATTTTGTCTGAAAAATTGGAGGACAGCCCCTAATTTTTTTTTTTTTTTTTTTTGAGACGGAGTCTTGCTCTGTCACCCAGGCTGGAGTGCAGTGGTGCTATCTCGGCTCACTGCAAGCTCCGCCTGCTGGGTTCACGCCATTCTCCTTCCTCAGCTTCCCCAGCAGCTGGGACTACAGGTGCTCGCTGCCACGCCCGGCTAATTTTTGTCTATTTTTAGTAGAGACGGCGTTTCACCGTGTTAGCCAGGATGGTCTCGATCTCCTGACCTCGTGATCCACCCGCCTTGGCCTCCCAAAGTGCTGGGATTACAGGCATGAGCCACTGCGCCAGGCCAACAGCCCCTAATTTTTAAACCTCTCCTCCAGGACGCTTACTTACCTTGAGTACATAGGTGCACAGACTTAAAAAAACTCATCTCTACTAAAAATACAAAAATTAGCTGGGCATGGTGGCGCACGTCTGTAATCCCAGCTACTTGGGAGGCTGAGGCAAGAGAATCGCTTGAACCCGGGAGGTGGAGGTTGCAGTGGGCCGAGATCACGCCATTGCACTCCAGCCTGGGCGACAAGAGTGAAAAACTCCTGCACAATGTGCACATGTACCCTAAAACTTAGAGTATAATAATAAAAAAAAAACTCCTTCTCAAAAAACAAAAACAAACAAACAAAAAACCCTTTGGAGTATACGATAAGCCTCCCCACATACACCCAATCTTGTCTGGCCATGCCTAAAGAGAAACTGAGGACGATGAAAACTTCAGGGAGGTTGGACCAGAAGAGTGGCATCTGCTGATATGGAGGCTGAACTGGGTAGGCAAGCTCATGGAGACCACCTATCCACTGGCTTCTATTAGTTTGGTACAAAAGTAATTGCGGTTTTTGCCATTAAAAGTAATCGCAAAAACCGCAATTACTTTTGCAGCAACCTCAAAGAATGGTGGCGCTCATGACTATGGCCGTGCTATGTGGCATTCACAGTACAAGCACTCTTCTCTATGAATGTAAGCCAGAAAGCAACACCATGATGTAGACAAATATCATTGATCAGTTGTTTAAAAGATCTAATTTGATGCCTGGAGGGTGCTTTAGGGATATTACTTACTCTACGGCTATTGGACTCCAGCCCATCTCTCCCTTTGCCATTTGCCATCACTTCGCCTGGAAGTCTCCTCTCCCAGACAGCCACATACATCACCCAATCGAGCCTTTATCTGAGCCCTTACCTTGTCAGTTAGTTCTATGTGACCACCCTATTTAAATTTATAATTCCCACTCAGCTAACGCAAGACTCTCAGTCCTGCTTACCTTCATCTACTTTTTCTTTTTTCCATCGTACTGACCACCAATATGTACTATAACATACAATGTAAATTTATGTTTTCAATGTTTTTTCTTAATGTCTGTACCCCTTTAGGAAATAAGCAAAATGAGAACAGGAATTGTTTACTTTTACTGTTCATTGCCGTACCATAAATGCTCAATAAATATTTTGCTGAACAAATCAATTAATGAATGAAGAAACTGTGAATTTGGCAGTTGTAAAAAATCAAATATTTGAAAGACTAGGACCACTTATATATAATACACAAGAATAAATGATGCTCATAATGATAATCCTAAAGCAAGTGAATGCTTATTATGTTTTTAAAGATTTCTTTTTCATAATATTGTTAACATTTTTTTAATTGAATTTTAAATATATCTGGAAAAGTAACTTCATTAATATTAGGGCATATGACTTTGATTTACAAAAATATTGAAAGTGTGATAATGACCTTGGTTTACAAAAACATTGCAAGTGTGATACAATGAAATGTTAATTGAAATTGAAGATAGACCTATATTTAAATTTGTGCTCTATCACTTTATAGACATCTCATCTCGGGTGTATCTTAATTTGAATCTTCCTTCTTTGTCTACGCTTTCCTGCCTCCCCTTCTTTTCCTTTCTAACCTATTTTATTTCTAAAAAATATTTTACAGTTGCTTACAGAAATACATAAATTTCTATAAGATTGTAGATTATTAGATCTAGATATCAATAGATAGTTGAATCAGTGCAAAACATAAAGTTGAGATAGGCAAGACAAGAGAGAGTCACTACACAGAAAGGTTGTTCTTACCACTCTATTCTTAACAGACGAGGCATCATAAAATCACGTTTGAATTGCCAGAAGCTGAAAGTCATAACGGAATATTGACTGACAACAGACCCAGTCCTAACATTTGTGAATCCTAGGGCAGGACTGCATATGGAAGCCTATATATTACATGTTCAAATATTTAAATGTTAAAATCAATTCAGCATTTTAAGGAAATTTTGATTTTTACTTTGATAATACCTTCAAAGTAACAAAACTGAAAATGTTTACATACTACACCCATACACACACACATATGTGTGTACAGAAGAGTAATATGAATTTTTTTTAATATTGCCAAAAGTTCCTGAGCCACCAGATGCAATAGTTGTGAATACTCTTCTAATTCATGCATCTTCCTGGGACTGTGAATAGGAACATGAAGAAGAAAATGGACTCTTGGTGCTACTGGGAAATGGTGTTTGTTATATAAGAGGCTACCGCCTATATTTAAGGATTACAAATTTTACTCTGCCAGTATGGAGTACTGGAACCTGAGTGAGAAAGGCATCAAATGCTTTTTAAGAAAGCCGAAGCCTCTCCTGCTAGGTTTAAAGACCATACTTGCTTAAAGATATCAATATCTCAGGAGAAGGAGACCCAGATTAGAGAGAGGTTTCTATTTTAAGTTTGTTTTTATTTTTAAAATTTATATTTTATTTTATATATTTAAGGTAAACAACATGATGTTTTGATATACATATACACAGAGAAATAATTACTACAGCTAAGCAAATTAACATATCCACCACCTTTCATAGTTTCCTCTTGTGTGTGTGTGTGATAAGAGAATCTGAAATCTAATCTCTTAGTACAGTTTCAATACACAATACACTATTATTAACTATAATCTTCCTGCTATACATTAGATCTCTAGACTTACTCATCTTACGTAATTGCAAGTTTTTACCCTTTGACCTACATCTCCCCATCTACTTTAAGTTTTAGTCTCTAAAAGGACACCCAGATTGATTCAGTCTAGTGATTTCCCTTTTTTTTTTTTTGAGATGGAGTCTCGCTCTGTCGCCCAGGCTGGAGTGCAGCGACGTGATTTCGGCTCACTGCAAGCTCCGCCTCCCAGGTTCACGCCAGTCTCCTGCCTCAGCCTCCCAAGTAGCTGGGACTACAGGCAACTGCCACCACGCCTGGCTAACTTTTTGTATTTTTAGTCAAGACGGGGTTTCACCATGTTAGCCAGGATGGTCTCCATCTCCTGATCTTGTCATCCGCCTGCTTCTGCCTCCCAAAATGCTGGGATTACAGACATGAGCCACCGCGCCCGGCCCAGTCTAGTGATTTCTAAACCCAACTTAAACATTCAAATAGCCCAGGAGCTTCAGATTGAGTACATCTGGATTAGGGTCTAGGAATCTGTTGTTTTAAACGTGTTTGAAGATTAATCTGATAAACTGCAGAGGCATGCTGATTCGTGATATTCTGTATAATATATTCACAGTTATTTTGACATAGCCATTGTTTTTCTCACTCAGAAATTAGGGAAATAATGCTACCTCTTATGAAGTAGGAGCTTTAAATAAAAATATATGCACAAGAGTGTGCAACAAAAAGCAGGTATTTCACAAAGTTAGTTTAATTTGTGTATCTGAAGCATGTGAATCCGATTACATTTGAAGACATGGAATATTTATGTTTTACCTTTTCTTTCAGTGATTGATGAAAATTGGTTTTAGACCCTTGTTTATACATCTCCGGCTTACAAGAAAAATTTCTTCTTTTGAAAAATTGGAATAGAGCATAAAACCTCTAGCTCAGAAAAATTTTTATCTGCAACTTTTATTAAATTATTTTTTAGTTTTAGCCACTGAGTCTTAAACCCTTTGTATTCCTATAGTTTCATAATTTAATCTGATTTTGATACGTTCAACAAAAAGGTTTTTCATTACAAACTTCATAGATATTTACTGTAGAAACTTTAGATGATGTAGATAATAAAAAAGAAGAAAGACCATATTGTGAATAATCTGACTCTTTAGAGTTCATCACTCATGCATTTGGATATATCATTCCAGATTCCTTTCTGCAAAAGAGTCATTTAATAGACATGTGTATTAGGCCATCTTTCTATGTGTATTCATCTGTACATTCTTCATGATGATGTTTAGTAGCTTCATAATTATACAGATGCGCTAAAATGTATTCAACTAATACCAAACTGTTGGACATTTAGATATTTTTCTTTTATGAACAATGCTAGTTGTATATATTCGCATTTAAGTATTTGTCCAATTATTTCCTTAGGCTAAGTAGCAAGAGGAATTAGTGCTACAGCTGTCCAGTTGTTTAAAAAAGTACATATGCCTTTTTGAGTTTCAAGTATATGACAAATCTTTGGAATTGTCTCTTTTTTGTCTAATAAGGAACAAATGGTTAAGGGAATTGTCTCTTTTTTGTCTAATAAGGAACAAATGGTTAAGTCATTGTTTAAATTTTCATTTCTTTAGTAAAGCAATATTTTTCTTAATTTATCAAGTATTCTTGCTTTTTTTCTTTTGTGAATTAACTCATATCTTTTGCCTGTTAAGACATTATTGTTCATTGTTTTGTATTTTATTTCTATGATAGTTTTATATGCTAAAATGTCTAAGCATTATGACAAATGGCAAACTATAGGCAGAATTTAAGTATCATGTACTCAAGCAGTATGTGGCCCAAGGGATTTTTCCTTAGTTCATGGATTTCTCAAAAAATTCACCATTGCTAATCTGGTCACCTAATTCTCCTTTGGACATCCACTTCTGGAATAGCAGGATCCACTTGGGCAATGCTTAATGTGCGCTTGGCTGGGTTTTCTTTGATGTGGCCTGCATTTTCACACTGAGATTAGAATCTAAAATGAGTTCTCCACTAAACAGCCTATGGGCAAAAGTTTACATGAGAGAGAAACAAAATTTATGTTTAAGACTTGTTTCATGGGGTACACCTCCTGATTTGATTAATATTCATATCAAACCTGAGTCCATTTGGCTGTTGCAGAGAAATGTATTTGTTCTGACTGGTTAAGGACTGCCAGAAGTGCCACATGTCTTAGGTGGTGGGACCAGTGATCCACTTCCCACTACACGATTTGGCTAGACAAATCTGACAGGACCAATTGTTTAGAGGTAATCCAATCTGCACACATTCTAAGATTAAATTTCAATATAAGAAAATTAAAATTGGCTTTAAACTAGACCACACACACACACACACACACACACACACACACACACACACTAGAGACAGGGTTCTACTCTATCACACAGGCTGGAGTGGAGTGGCATGATCATAGCTCACTGCAGCCTCAAACTCCTGGGCTCAAGGGATCCTCCTGCCTCAGCCTCACAAAGTGCTGGGATTACAGGCATAAGCCATTGTGCCTGGCAAACTAGACAATATTTTTAATATAATAGATATTAACAGAATGTGTCATTAGAACTTTACCTGATATTAATAATCCATTATTTACTATTCATTTTATTTAAGCACCTTAATTAATGTTGAGCCTCAGTTTCCTCATCTATAATATGAGGATGATAAAATTTAACTGATATGGAATGTTGATTATATAATTAAAATACTTAAAACCATGCCTAAGTTATAAGTTTTTCAACAAATAGAAGCTCTCTCCAGTGAACTCCAGGATCCAGTAGAAAACATAAAGTGACTGATGTCTTTAGAGTTTTCTCTGATGTCTTCAGTAGAGGCAGGAGATTGCAATATATATCAAATTTCTTTAATATTTCTTCTATCACCTTTCTTTAAAAGAACTTTCTGTGTGGATTTAAGAAAATACAGTAGCCTTCCAAATAACCTTATGGCTGGTCTAGGAACATAGGTAAATAGGAAAATCTTGTCACTTATTCCCTAGAAATGTTCTGCCATATTCAATTCGTTATGAGTAAAGTGAAGTTCATGACATTTTATTTTAATCCCAGAATAAACAAAGGAGTTAAATCAATGTTGTATTTTTCTTCTGAAAGTTCTGCTCAAATGTATGTAAGATAATCATGAAGCCAAAATAAGATTAATACACATTGCACATGGAAAAAATTTTAAAAATATAAACATACATTTAGAGTGGCATATGAGGTTGGGCTAATTACTTGTAATGTAAGATAGAGTAGTATTTTAAATGAATGATTTAAAATAGAATTTTTTTACATTGAAACTTGTGGCTATGGCTGTCTAGAAACTAGGAAACTTAGCTGCAATAAGTTATTTATTTATTTTGTTGTTATTTAGTTGAGACCATTCTTCCAGTTTCCCCTTCCTTCCACAACTGACATTTCCATAGTTTATTCATCTATGGTGAGTCTGCTGAGTCAGTATCACCTCCAGCAGTCCTTCCTGTCAGTCATTAACACATCCTTAGAAAAGCTGACTTGGTGGAAGATAAGAAAGCTTCTTTAGATGCTTAAATCTAACTACAGAATGGTGGTGGGAATAGAAATCAATTAAAATATGGGCACCAAATAAACATGGAAGCAATTTATATGAAAAGTGTCATGGAAAGAGAAAATCTGTAGTTCTAAGAGAAGGAGTGTTGAGATTAAGTATGATTTTCTGAAAAGGAGAAAAATAAAAAAAATAAATATGATAATGAAAGGAACAAAAGAAAGGAAACAAGAAAACTTATGGACAATGTTGTAAGGTGGAATGGGGGCTCTTTAAAGATTTGTGGGGATGAAACTAACATTTATGAAGACTTTTTCTCTATGTAGAAATAAAGCCATTGGAATACATTGTTAAGTCAAAATAGCACCAAAAGGCTGTAACCTCTTTGATCAATAGAAAACCAGTTTTTCATAAAACAGGTTTTCTATTGATTGGTGACATCATCCTCATTAATGAATAAGCAGGAGGTCCTCAATGTACATCAGCCTTCACTCAACATTAGTTTTTGTTTCATGGTGTACATTATTGGCCCTTGGGTGGAAATAGAGCCCTGAAATATCTCATTGTCTTTTACTTCAATAAGTCCCAGAGGAAGAGAGTTGTCCAGTAAAGTTCTAGAATCTTGTTAGTGCTTAAGAGTGCACATTAGTAATTATAGTATAAATAAATTGCTTCCAATTTACTCTAGGATAATTTACACTTAGGTGTAATATTAATCCCTATCCTTTGTCCCCAGCTTTCAACCCAGAAGGTGAATAATTTTACAATAATTCACTAGATGGCATGTCTGGATTCAGTGTAAAAACAATCCTTCACATAGTAAGTCTGTGCATCTGTTTGGTTATGCTTCTTGGTACCTGATACCACATAACAGATAGGAAAAAAATAATAGTTGGTATCATGTACATTTGGTAAATACCAATTTTTAGTGATTTTTGCAGAAAAACTATAATAACATATACATGAAAATTACTATTTATTGAAGCATAATGCACAGTAATGTACATGTTTCCATGTAGCATCATTTGTCTACTAGAAGTGTGGAGCAAAAAAAATAAAGAAGTGTATCATGTAGAGCTTGGTGTACATGTTCTCAACTACTGCATGCTTTGTTTTTAAATAGCAATTTATAATATGTCATACATTCCTTTCTAAAGTGGGAGATTCTTCACTACAGGATTATTTTAGATGGAGTGAAAGAGTTGCCAAGGTCTCCTGCTGTAGAACTTCACCTCAAATGCTATTGAACATATTGTGTGAAGTCAGTGCATAGTGTTGGCAGCAAATATTTATTTGAAAATTTACAAATATATTTTATTTACCAAACACATTTATTACTTGTAAATAGTTGGAAGAGAAATGGCTCCTAAGCAGTTTTCTAACATGACTTTAGATCCCAACTATATTGTACAATGCTGCAGTATCTTTATGAAATTTGCATTGACATTGTTATACTTGTTGCTCATGTCATCTTTAATGTTTTCATTTTTAATTTTTGACTAATGCTAGTAAAATAATTCCAAAAGCAAATAGCCCATTTTTTCTGTTGGTCCATTAGTTTTCAAGTGTTTTATTTCAATCTTTTGGTGACAAGAAATTTTTCACCATAAAGTTGATGTAGATTTTCATGAAAATCAGCTTTCTTGCAAATTAAGATGGAATACTCAGGTTGAACTCCGGAGAGCCCAGGATAATGGCAGCAGCAGAGAGAGATTTAATTGTCATCTACTAAAACATAATTTGCAGACTACCTCACACACATGAATCACTTCCAAAGATTGGGGGATAGTCCTAGGAATATGTTACATAATTATAAATTGTAAAATTTGCAAAATTATTTATTCTTTTTTATAAGGGAATAAATTGTATAAACTCCAAGCTTTGCAAGTACTATATCTATTTATAGAGAATTCAGATCTTCTTCTCCCTTTGCCAGGGAAGATTGCTTGCTTATGTAGGTTTCTAAGAGAAATGAAAATCAACTGATATCATGGCTTAATAAACTTTCAAAAATGAGTAGATTGTTTCCAGGAGAGTTTTCAAGCTGCTGGGTCTTCTGTTTTTAACCTTAAGTTCCAGTTATTATTTTCTGTTTTCAAACAATTCTTTTTGACTTAATGAAATAATTGATATTGTTTATGTCTTGGTGATAGCCACATGCTTGAGTAGAATCAGCTTAGAAATATTGCTAATGATGAAATTGTAAATGTTAGTGTGTCAAGATATCTGTAAATGTCATTAATGTGTGTAAATAATTTAGGAAATTTATGTACCTATAATGGGGATTAATAAGAAAATTTATGTACTGCTAGAAATATATAATCAAAGAAGTGGAAAGCTATTAAAACAGATATTGAATGAAATCCAAGTATTTTCCCATGACTGGGCAGTTCCTCCATCCTCTGGGCTTTGGCTGCTTCTTCAATTTCATTTTTGGTTACCACCTTCCTTACCTGCATTAGTGATATTGAACTATTTATAGTTACCCGAAAACGCCAAGGCATTTTATATTTTTGTTACTTTACCATGGTGTTTTTCTTTGCCTCAGATCTTCTTTGCTTTCTTATTTGCCTGGTAATCTTCCATCTATTGTTGAAGATCCTGCTTTCTGAAACTTTCTCTGATTTCTTCAGCCTTCAGGACAGAGATAATAACACTCTCTGTTCCTTCTGTCCTTCATATATACTTCCAACATTACCAATATTGAAATTATTTATTTATGAATATGTTCTCTACCTGTAGACTGAAAACTCCTTGAGGACAGAACCAGTATATTATTCATAAAGTTCACCTGGAACAGAGCCAGGCGCATCAATACACATTTATTGAACAAAATTACTTGGATAAAAGTATTTACAAAACAAAATCTGTTCTCTCTCTCTCTGTGTGTATTTTTGTTTTACTTCAAAAACTAGGATCCAAAGCCCTCAGTACCTTAGAGTGAACTGATTCTTATTACCTTTTAGAGGCTACCTTCCAAGTTTGAATTCAGAGAGCTATCTGCCCTCAGTATTGACTGGATGATGTTTGGAGAGCTTTGCACCATCATCTAATAAATTAGAACTGCTACTAATATAAGACGAAGGCCTTTAGAACAAAGAGTCTGACTTCGTTTTTTGATGTTTGACTGCTGACAGCTTTTAAGCCTCAATCCCCCCTTCTTCCTTCCCCTTGCATGCTTATAAGAAGAGGTTCTCCCCCCTTTGGCATCCGCAGGAAGTTCAAACCACATGTGGGAAGCCTCAGCCTAGCCTCTCCCCTAAATACCATAAAAACTCCAAGCCAGTCTCTTTTCCCTGCTCTGTCAAGCCGTTTTCCTGATTATGAGTAGCCTGCATTCCACAGAAAGCTTCATAATGCAAGTTATAAACCTATTCACCCTCTTTTAATGTGTGAGTGGTGTTACCAGTCTCAATACCAAACCAAATTTTGCGTTGGAGTCCATCCGGATTCTGTGGAGTGTCTACGCAACAGCATCTCTCTAGATTATAATGAATTTCAAGGGTAACGGCCCTGGTAAATGATACCCGTCAGTGTCACATATTACTTCCCATCGTCCTTTTCATTTCCTTCCTTTATGTTTCTGTTGAGCAGGGTAATAGGGTTGTTTGCTTTAGATGTGATTCAAATTATAACATGGATTATAACAACTTCCTGTCTGTCAAACCGGGTCATGCAATTGACCATATGCTCTTGGATGAAGTCATGTGGTCATATTGCCGCACATTGCAACTTCCAATTACAGCTGTTAAGTGTCTTTTATAATCATCTTTATTTCCAGATGAAAGAAACGTGTTATCATTGAATAAGCTCCCTGCTAAACATTTTTATGCTTGAATTTATTCTCCTTAAAATAATGTGGTATTTGGTAAAATCCTAACATTCTGGCATTTTCTTTTTCTTTTCTTTCTTTTTATTTCTTTTTTCTTTTCTTTTTTTTGTTTGTTTGTTTTGTTTTGAGACAGAGTCTCGCTTTGTCACCCAGGCTGGAGTGCAGTGGCACGATCTTGGCTCACTGCAATCTCCACCTCCTGGGTTCAAGGGCTTCTCCTGCCTCAGCCTCCCAAGTAGCTGGGACTACAGACACCTGCCACCACGCTCGGCTAATTTTTGTATTTTCAGTAGAGGTGGGCTTTCACCACGTTGGGCAGGCTGGTCTAGAACTCCTGACCTCAAACGTTCCACCCACTCGGTCTTCCAAAGTGCTGGGATTACAAGCATGAGCCACTGTGCCTGGCCCATTCTGGCATTTTGTATTACAATAAATAAGCAAGTAAATCACTCTTTTTTTTATTTTTATACTTTCAAAGGAGAGCAAAACACTCTCTGATGCTTTATCTAATGTTTGAAATATCTTTTCCCTAAGGTTAACTTTTTTTCCCAAATTAAAATTCTTTATTGGATATTCAATTGCTTAGATTTGATTCGAATCACTTATTAATTGAGTGCATACCTTGTTCTGGGCTCTATCACACATGTATTATTTTATTAATTTTCTTATTTGAAATTGCATTCAATGTGATGTGGTTATTAAGAGGTGATATTAATTAGTCACTACAGCCATCTCCACAATGTCCTCTCCCTTCTACCTCATTTTCCAAGAGACATGAATCCTACAGTGGGATTCCCAAGAATACATTATTTCCTTAACAGGGCAATCTTTTAAATTTAAATGATTCTGTGGCTGGAATTAAGATTTTCATAAGGTCAAAGAGTCTAGATAATTTGAAGGAAAAAAATGTAGCCAGGAAGCTGGAATTGGCAGTCCAAATCTATGGGCTACCAGTCTGCCTTGTTTCAAATTAGGGCACAGTCCCATTAGGTACGCACTCCAATCAAGACCTGATATACAGTCAGAGCGGCAGGAACGGCTCTGAGCTTTCCAAGTAGAAAATTATAAACCAGCAGCAGAGAGCAGTATGGAGCCATTTTTAAAACCAGAAAACCAGGAAGGCGAGCCAAAGAGCCCAGAAAGGGCTGGGGGAAGGGAAAGAAAAGGTCCAAAAGCTGTCCAAGGTCTTGATTACATTATCTTTTTATATATGCATTTTTTTCCCTATATAGATAGCAAGTCCATGCTTTGGAGGAAAATTCATAAATATCTTTTCCTCCTGATCTTGTTGCTTGCTTTTTCTTCAGGTGTGTGTGTGTGTGTGTGTGTGTGTGTGTGTGTGTGTGTGTGTGTGTGTGTTTAGTATGTACAGGTACCTATCTATGTAGTCATATAGTTATTTTTTAACCAGTTTTCAACCATCTTTCTAAAGAACGAATGTAGAACTAAGTAGTGTTTCCTGCAGTGCAAGTCCATGCAGGATGTATTAATCAACATTTCATATGCAGCCTGGATATCCACAGCTTTCACGTTCTTAGACAAGCTTATAGATACACTGTATCTACATCCTGATTTCCTCTAATATTTTCTCTTCAATTCCCCTTGGTAACTCTTTGAGTTAGAGGATGTTATTATATTGTTGATCCCAGTTTGGTTGAATTTCTATCCAATTTAAATCAGGATCAAATGCAGTGTTTGAAGAGTAAGCAGAGTATGTGAACACAGAGAAAGCACTCTCTCTGGCCCTGTCATATTGTCTGTAGATGAGTGTGCTTTCATTTAATTAAATGTTCTCTTTTTTTAAATAAACAGAAACATTGATTTATGCCAGTGCCCTGTCTGCAAATGACACAATCTGCCGTTCTTGTTTCTCCACCATCATCATGAAATTCCAACCTTTGAGTCACATTAGCCTTGGGTATCCAATATAGGTGATCTTTTTAAAAAGCTAGGGCTTTTCTTTGCTGTTTTCAAAGTCTGTCTGGATGATTGCCTCTGCCTGTGTGTGTGTGTGTGTGTGTGTGTGTGTGGACAGGAAGGGTTAGTGTCAAAAGAAATGGGGGCTCCGAGAAACTAGATTAAGCATTTTTCATAATAGAACTCTCCTGTCTGGTGCTCAGTTTATTGCTCTCTTGATTACTGGGCATTGTTTGGCAAGAGATGGGTCAGGAGAGTTGCTAGGCTTGTCTTTTCCACCGGGGAATCTTAAATAACAGCCCGAATTTCTCAGTGATGGGAGTGAATTAAAAGGTTATGCCACTCCTTCAGGCCACCTTCTGACCATGTAAGCACTGGACAGCTTTTCCAACAAGTGAAATTTCAGAACAAAAACAGATCATCTCCTAAGGCACGTATACTTGGATTTTAAAGAAAGATGCCGTGGCATTTTCTATCAAGAAGGTTAAACTCATAGGATTATATGAAAACACTCATTTTACCCTGGCTAACCTGTAAAGATTTCATTTTGCTTCATTTATCTTCTCTCTTACCCTATGCTAAACCATCCCTGGCTTCGATGAAAGAATCATGTCTCCATTCATTTCCTATCTTGCTGAATTGCCTTCACATTTCCTATCATCTGCACATAATCCTATTCTCTCCATTATTGTCTTAATACCAAGAACAGCACAAGATAATGGATAGGCACTGTAATAACAGCGTGGCCTGTAGGAGCCCCTCGAGGGAAATATCTTTGATGCTGGTGGAATATTAATGCATTCTAGGTCCCTGATCTTCCTCTTTCACTTCATCTTCTGTTTTCTAAACTACATAATGACTTTAATATACATGACAAAAGCATTAGAACAGAAAAAGCCTCATTGATGAGCAGCAGGGCTGTATGATATTAAGAAGTCCTATTCTTACTTCTTTGTACAATTTTTGACCACCATCTGAGATTGCATGTGCAGGTAATTTCCGATTTGAATAGATACTAGTGTAAAGAAGCATAATCATATGGTGTTAATGCAAATGCCCATGAAAAGCACTGCATGAAAATAAATTAAAATATAATTCTTCAATAATGCATTTGTCCATAGGATGATTTTGGACATATTAAAAACAAACACCTTGATATCACTTAGGCAAGGGAGTAAATTGTTTCCAAGGAGGCTAATCATCAGAAGATTATGAATGGGACAGTAAATCAAAGCAGCCTATATTAAACCTTGTAGATTGGGTTATAGTTATAATTTGTTGTACATAATTTTTCAATAAAAGGGAAAGAATTGATTTTTTTCTAAGCATAAATAGTAGAGCCTAAGAAAATTCACTAGTGAATTAAAAAATAGAATGTTGGAGGAAAATGACTCAGTAGCATGATGACAATAGCCTTGATTGTGTAAAAAGTAAAGTAGAGGTTCTTCTTCAATGACTTTCCTTCCCATCTAATTAGGAATAAATAGTAACTTCTCTTAGAAGCAAAATTTATTCAAAGACCTGTGCTAACATTCTTAAATATCTGCTAGCCATAATAAAGAAATCAATGTACTTTATGTTCTTAGCTCCCACAATTTAGCCTAAATATTTGCCCTGGCATGCTTACACTGGTCCGAGCAGGCATTAGGTCATAGCCTGTTCCTCTTCCTTATTTTAAAGTGTTTTTACCTTTTTCAGCATTCCAAAAGTTACTTCCTCCTTCCTTTGTTCTCCTCTACCTTTGCCTCTTTTAAACAGTTCTAAGTTGCTAGCTAATCGGGGTGAGGTCCCGTTCCAGCCAATGGAAACCGGACACAGCAGTAGCGTGGACACGTCAGGTTATAAATGACCATGTCTCCTTTGTTCGGTGTACTCTTGTGGCAAAACTGCTGGCGAGTGTACCCTTTCTGCAGGAAGTAAAAATGGCCTGACTAAATTAAATTAATGTTCAAGTGGTATTTCTTTACAGCACCGGGGAACAAGCATTTCAAACAATTGCTTTAGGTGACATGAATGTCCTCAACAACCTGCAAGAAACAAAACTTTTGAAACTCCACCTTTTTTCCTCTTTCCTATTTTGCTTATGTGCTAGTGGCCATTGTACTGTGTGCAAATTTGTATATGAGTAAGTTGGGATGCTTATAAAAAGGATGTCTGACCAAGTTACATTGAAAAGGGATACACAGAAAATGCCCCAGACATTTCCTTCTCCTTTCAAAAGGCAGCTCACAAAGCTTATATTTCTGTATGAAGCAAACTAAGAAAGTTGGTTGTGAAGGCTTTTACTTTTGTGGATGATTTTCCTTCTACTTAAATGACATAATAAGGGCTAGTATCTGAATTTCTGTGTTGCAATACTGTTTTTAGTAATTCTATAAAAAGTCCACTGGATAGGGTTGCAGGTGTTTTTGTTTTCCTTTATGAGTCAGCTAACATTTATTAAGCATTTTCTGTTTAAGGTACAGTGTTAGGCAGCTGGTTGAAAAGATGATCAATATAGACTTGTTTCTTCTGGTCTCAGGCAGCTCACACTAGTATCTAATGGACAAAAGGAACATTCTTTTTTATTATTATTATTGGGCAGAAAAAGACATTATGTGGCAGGAAGTGTGTTAGACACAGGGAAGGACATCAAATTAAGCAAAATGTGGTTCCTTTTATTTCCCAAAATATTTTCAGTTGGTAAAAGAGGCACATGTGTCACCTATAGTCTTAATATGAGGTTAAACATGAAATGTGTTTAAGAGAGATACAAATAAAATTCTGCGAGGTCTGGAGGAGAGGAGAATAACTTCAGGCTTGAGAAATGAGTGGAGAGAGTTTGCCATAAAAATATTTCATTCCAAAGTTCTGTAGAATTTAAAAGAAAGACAAAATTGAAGGTAAAGTGGAGGGAGTGAAGGAAACGACATGAACAAAAACATAAAATTTATGTTTCAGAAACTGATCTAAATGGATAAGGAATTAGAACACAGTGCGGGATGTGATTGTTTGATTCCAGATGGTAGAACCTCTAAGATTTGGTATATTTTCCATCCGTAGAAGGGAATCTTCGAAAGATTCTGTTCACAGGAACATGATTAGCAGATGAGGAACCTGGCAGTGCTGTGTAGCTTGTGGAGAATGAAGGGGCTACTTGAGCTGGAATAACCAGTTGGGAAGTCTTCAAAGCAAGGCAGATGAGAAACCTAAAAAGCTCAAACATAGAGATCTAGTAGAAGAGCTAAATGCAGTGATGCCAAAACACAGCAATCACATAAGATACTTCACTATTTTATAATGAAAAAATAGTGAATAAAAGAAAGCTCAAACGGGACTCTTAAGAAAGTAATACTAAAAACAATAGTTCTGGAATTTGTGTGAGCTGCTCTTGAAAGTGTGAAAATCAGCATTGGGATGGAAGAGGAGGCTTCAGAGAGCACTGTGATATATTTTCTCATTTGCAGGTTGTAAATCCCTTGGCAAAAGGGAGAGATCTTCCCTGTTTCTTTTCCCAGGAGTGCTGGTTCCCAGAAAAGCTGTGTCTTAATTCAGTTTATAAGGCTTCATCAAAACCTAGCTTGGTAGCCATGAAAGAGGCCCTGTCTCCAGGGAGTAGACCAGAGTTAATCTAAAATTCTCAGCTCCAAGTAAAAAACTAGTGCCTATATAAACCTGTTACATACCTCTCTGATTATTTTAACTTCATATAAAAACAGCAGAGTGATTACTATTTAGTATATTTAGGAGTGTGGAAGAGGTCAATGATGGATTGAGACAGTGAAGCTTCTTTAAAACATGTCTTTAAGAAGAAAGATTATTTAACATGCAGCTTCATGTAACTGAACTCTAGAAACTGGAGTTCATCACTTTAAAATCCATTAGGGATAATATTATTGCATTTACTTGATATTTTTCCCTTTACAAGTCCTGCCTTGTGACCTAGATAGACGTCATTTGTAATGTGAGTGATAATGGAACTAAATGCTTAAAACTATGCATGGTATTTTTAACTTGGCTTGATGGCAAAATGTTCAAAAAAATGTTTCATTGTCAATGCTAAATGCTTTCCTTTTTAGATAACTTTATCTCACCCACTTTTACAGTGTCAGAGTGATAAGAAGGACTGGCTATTCCCTATTGAGGTGAGAGGACAACCAGCTTCGTTCTTTCCCTTTCTCCTTTCTACCTGTACCTGGAAAAGTAAGGCATAGCTTAGATTCTGCTCCCAGTCAGAAAAGGTTCATTCTTTCCCTCTCTCTCCTCTTTGGCAGTATGGCTCCCACAGATCAGCTAGTTTTGGAGGGCTCACTATTTAGCATTCATGGATTAAGCCTCAATTCTCATAATTGTCCTATGAGGCAGATACAATTATCATTATCCTTATTTTAAAAATGAGGAGCCTGAGATAAGTAGAGGTAAAGTCACTTGCCCAAAGTTACACATTAAAAAGTATCTGAACTTGTATCATCCAATGGCTGTACTCTTAACCACAACCCTATACTACCCCCTCACACTGAACCAACATATTTATTTTATGGCCCACTTCAAAGTCATGGCCTACAGTTGGAAAAATAGTGAATTAGAATGTATCCAGGGGAGGATGACGGAATTGATAAATACAATCATTTAAATCTACATCATTTGGTGAATGACTAAAGGAACTGATAGTCTTTATTCAGGAGGGATTTGCATCTTTCTTCTAATATTTAAAGGGTTTTTGCAGGGTGAGAGCAGACATTTAGAGTTGGCTTTGGTGACTTAGAAGGTAGGGCGAATTCCATAGGCAAGACAGGTCCATGGGAGGCAGAAAGTATTTTTTTTTTTAGTATAACAAATAATTTCCTAATCATTCAATCTGTCTAAAAGATACTGGGTCAACTCATGAGGTAATGAGTTTTCCTTTCATTCAAGCATTAATTTTTGATAATCAAACCAAAGGTAAGGGAATTTTCTAGAATACGATCATGAGTGAACAGAGCACACAAATCATAGGCCCTCATGGAATTTCCATTCTAGCTGAGTGAGACAGATAATAAATATAATTAAGTATGTGAGTATAATATAATATAAGCATACATAAATAAATACTGCTACACTCAAAAATTAAGGTAATAAGGTGATAGGGATTTGGAGGGACTGACAATTTATGAAGAGTTTAAGAAAAACGTTTTGCTAAGATGACATTTTTGCAGAATCCTTAAAAAAGTTGGGTACAGGGCCTTGTGTTATTAGGAAGGAAAGTTGTTGGGAGCAGGCCTCCCAAAATCTGGCCATAAACTGGCCCCAAACCTGGCCATAAACAAAATCTCTACAGCACTGTAACATGTTCATAATGGCCCTAACACCCACGCTGGAAGGCTGTGGGTTTACGGGAATGAGGGTAAGGAACACCTGGCCTGCCCAAAGCGGAAAACCGCTTAAAGGCATTCTTAAGCCACAAACAATAGCATGAGCAATCTGTGCCTTAAGGACATGCTCCTGCTGCAGTTAACTAGCCCAACCTATCCCTTTAATTCGGCCCATCCCTTCGTTTCCCATAAGGGATACTTTTAGTTAATTTAATATTTATAGAAACAATGTTAATGACTGGTTTGCTGTTAACAAATATGTGGGTAAATCTCTGTTTGGGGCTCTCAGCTCTAAAGGCTGTGAGACCCCTGATTTCCCACTTCACACCTCTATATTTCTGTGTGTGTGTCTTTAATTCCTCTAGTGCCACTGGGTTAGGGTCTCCCCAGCTGAGCTGGTCTCGGCAGAAAGCATTAGAGCCTAAAGGAAGAGCAAATACAAAGACCTTGAAGTGTATGTGTGCTCAGTGGATTTGAGGAATATCAAGTGTCAGTAGTTGAGGAATATCAAGTATCAGTTGCTGAATTTGAATAACCAAAAGAGAAAGTGGTAGAAGATGAGATTAGAGACTTTGGGAGGCATCATAGATTATATAGGACCTTCCAGGTAAAAAAATTAGAATTACCTAAGTGACAAGAGAAGGAGTTTGAGCCAAGGAATGATGAATTAAGTTTTAAAAGAATACCTCTTCTTCTTGTATAGAAAATCGCAGAACCCCAGGCTAATTAGGATATTATTGTGCCACTACAGGTGTTCCAAGTAGCCTTAGATCGTAACATATGTGAGATGTGATCAAAGAAATTCACCGCTTCATGTCTTCTCATTGGACTAGAGCACTTCTAAGATCTCTTCTCACTTTGGGATTTGTGATCCTATATTACATTTTACATTTTAACTTCTTTCCAGTGCTAAAAGGTCATGTATACAGTTTCTAATGATGTTAGGAGAATAAACGCAGCATTAATGGCAACTGAACAAAAAGAAGACTCTTAAAGATGCATTTTATACATTGTAATTCAATGTATGTAAAAGGACAAAAGTGGCTTGAAATAATTACTTACTAATATATAATTCAAAAGTGGTCAAGTCTCTGCAAGCATTTAAACACATCTCTTTAGTTACTATTACTAAAGCTGTGCACCTACTCTCTATTGAGTAAGAAAAAAGGCTAAACTCTTTTTTTTTTTTTTTTTTTTTTTTTTGAGACGGAGTCTCACTCTGTCACCCAGGCTGGAGTGCAGTGGTGCAATCTCTGCTCACTGCAAGCTCTGCCCCTTGGGGTTATGCCATTCTCCTGCCTCAGCCTCCCAAGTAGCTGGGACTACAGGCACCCGCCACCACGCCTGGCTAATTTTGTTGGTTTTTTTTGTATTTTTAGTAGAGACGGGGTTTCACAGTGTTCACCAGGATGGTCTCGATCTCCTGACCTCGTGATCTGCCCACCTCAGCCTCCCAAAGTGCTGGGATCACAGGCATGAGCCACTGCACCCAGCTAAAGGCTAAACTCTTTTGGAACACTGTGTAGTTTAAAAATATGTTTTAACACAATTAAAAATAATTTTTAGAGTTGTCAATAGAAAGCATCAGATTAGATAAACTCTTAATTTGGTCATTTTCCTTTAATTTTTCTGAGTGTATTGTAGGTGTATATATTTATGAGTTATATGGGATACTTTGATACAGGTATGCAATGCATTGTAAACACATCAGGGTAAATGGTATTCATCACCTTCAGCATTTATCTTTTGTGGTACAAACAATCCAGTTATACCCTTTTAGTTATTTTTAAATGTATAATTAAATTATTTTTATTATAGTTACCTTGTTGCCTTTGCAAACACTGGGTCTTATTCATTCTTTCTAACTAAATTTTTATACATAATAACCATCCCCACTTCCCCCACCACCCCTCCAGTATCCTTCCCAGCCTCTGGTAACCATCCTTCTACTCTCTATCTCCATGAGTTCAATTTTCTTGATCTCACAAATAAGAACATATGAAGTTTATCTTTCTGTACCTGGCTTATTTCACTTAACATAATGAACTCCAATTTCATCCATGTTGTTGCAAATGATGAGATCTCCTCCTCCTCCTCCTCCTCCTCCTTCTCCTTCTTTTTGGCAGAATAGTACTTTATTGTGTATATGTACCACATTTTCCTTACCCATTCATCTGTTGATGGACACTTAGGTTGCTTCCAAATCTTACCTATTGTGAATAATGCTGCAATACACATGGGAGTGCAGGTATCCCTTTAATATACTGATTGCCTTTCTTCTGAGTACATACCCAACAGTGGGATTGATGGATTATATGATAGCTCTATTTTTAGTTTTTTGAGGAATCTCCAAACTGTTCTCCATAGTTGTGGTACTAATTTACATTCCCACCAACAATGTACAAGGGTTCCCTTTTCTCCACATCCTTGCCAGCATTTGTTATTGCTTAACTTTAGGATAAAACCCATTTTAACTGGAGTGAGATATATCATTGTAGTTTTGATTGGCATTTCTCTTATGGTCAATGATGTTGAGCACATTTTCATATGCCTGTTGGTCATTTGTATGTCTTCCTTAGAGAAATGTCTATTCAGATCTTTTGTCCATTTATAAATTGGATTATTAGATTTTCTCCTATAGGGTTGTTTGGGCTCCTTATATATACTGGTTATTAATCCCTTGTCAAATGGGTAGATTGCAAATATTTTCTCCCATTCTGTGGGTTGTCTCCATTTTGTTGATTGTTTTCTTTGCTGTGCAGAGCTTTTTAACTTAATGTGATCCCATATTCCAATTTTTCTTTTAAATTTTGTTTGCTAGTATTTTTTTGGAAATTTTTGCATCAATATTCATCAGTGATATTGATCTATCATTTTTTTAAATTTGTCTTTGGTTTTGGTAGGAGGGTAATGTTGACCTCATATAATGAGTTTGGAAGTACTTCCTCCTCTATTTTGCAGAATAGTTTGAGTAGTATTTTTTAAAATGTTTGGTAGGGTTCAGCAGTAGAGTCATCGGGTCCCAGGCTTTTCTTTGCTGGGAGACTTTTTTTAAAGCTTCACTCTTGTTGCTTGTTATTGGTCTGTTCAGGTTATGGAATATTTTCATGGTTCAATATTGATAGGTTGTATGCATCTAGGAATTTATTTATTTCTTCTGGGGGTTCCAATTTATTAGTATGTAGTTGCTCATAGTAACCACTAATGATCCTTTGAATTTCTGCAGTATCAGTTGGAATGTCTCTTTTTTCATTTCCAATTTTATGTATTTAGGTCTTTTCTTTTTTCTAAGTCTGGCTAAAGGTTTGTCAATTTTGTTTAGCTTTTCAAAAAAATAACTTTTTGTTTTTAGTGATCTTTTATATTATTTTCTTCATTTCAAATTCATTTATTTCTGCTCTGATTTTTATTATCTCTTTTCTTTTACTAATTTTGAGTTTGGTCTGCTCTTGTTTTTCTAGTTCATTAAGATGCATCATTAGGTTGTTCAACTGAAGTTTTTCGGAAACACTTATAGCTACAAACTTCCCTCTTTATACTACTTTTGCTATATCCCATAGGTTTTGGTATGCTGTATTTCCCATTATCATTCGTTTCAAGAAATTTTTCAATTTCCTTCTTAATTTCTTCATTGATACACTGGTCATTCAGAATAATATTGTTCAATTTTCATGTGTTTCTATAGTTTTTAAAATTCCTCTTTTTATTGATTTCTAGTTTTATTCCATTGTGGTCAGAGAAGATGCTTGATATTTTTGCAATTTTTTTGAATGTCTTGGGATTTGTTTTGTGGCCTAATATAAGGTCTTATATTATAAGACCATCCTCATTGAAGATGATCAATGTGCTGAGGAAAAGAATGTGTATTTTGCAGCCATTGGATGAAATGTTCTGTAAATATCTGTTAGGTCCGTTTGGTCTATATATCAGATTAAGTCCAGTGTTTCTTTGTTGATTTTTTTTTTTTTTGTCTAGAAGGTGTGTCCAATGCTGAAAGCGAGGTGTTAAGCTCTCAAGCTGTTATTGTATTAGGTTCTATCTCTCAATAATATTTGCTTTATATATCTGGGTGCTCCAGTGTTGGCTGCATATATATTTAAAATTGTTATTTCTTCTTGCTGAATTCATCATTTTATCATTATATCGTGATGTTCTTTGCTTCTTCTCACAGCTTTTGTCTTGAAATCTATTTTGTCTGATATAAGTATAGCTATTCCTGTTCTTTTTTGGTTTCCTTTGGCATGGAATATCTTTTTCCATTTTTAAAAATGTTCACTCCATATGTGCCTTTATAGTGAAGTGTATTTCTTGTAGGCAACAGATCATTGGGTCTTTTTTTTTTAATCCATTCAACCACTGAATGTCTTCTGATTGAAGAGTTTAGTCCATTTACATTATATGTTACTGTTCATAAGTAAGGACTTACTTCTGTCTTGTTATTATTTGTTTTCAGGTGGTTTTGTGTTCTTTCTTCTTTACTTCTTCTTGTCTTCTTTTTAGTAAATGTGATTTTTCTCTGCTGGCAGAATTTATTTTCTTGCTCTTTATTTTTTGTGGGACCATTGTATGTTTTTTAATTTGAAGTTACCATGAGTCTTGCAAATACAATGTTATAACTTGTTATTTTTAGCTGATGACAACTAATAGTGTTGATATAAATAAACAAACAAACAAAAAGAAAGAAAGAATAGAAAACATAGAAATTCCAAACCGTATATTCACCACCCCCCACACTTTTCAACTTTTTGTTGTTTCTATTTATATCTTATTGGTTCATCATTTAGTTTTTCTACTTAAGATCAGAGTAGTTTACATACTATAGCTACAGTTTTATAATATTCTATGTTTTATTGTGTACTTACTATACCAGTGAATTTTGTACCTTCAGGTGATTTTTTTGTTGCTTATTAGCATCCTTGTCTTTCTGATTGAAATATTTCCATTAGCCTTTCTTGTAGGATAGGTCTGGTGCTGATGAAATCTCTCAGCTTTTGTTTGTCTGAAGAAGTATTTCTCCTTTATGTTTGAAGGATATTTTCACCAGATACACTATTTTAAGGTAGAAGGTTTCTTCCTTCAGCACTTTAAATATATCATACCACTTTCTCCTGGCCTGTAAGGCTTCCACTAAAAAGTCTGCCACCAGCTGTATTGGAGCTCCATTGTTAAGTTATTTGTTTCTTTTCTCCAGCTGCTTTCAGGATTCTTTCTTTACCCTTGACTTTTACGAGTTGGATTATTACTTGAAATTGTATGCCTTCAAGTCCTTGTTTTTTAATATCTATAGTGGCATTTATAAAAAACTTTATCTAATTATAGGTATTCATAAATCTTATAAAAATGTGACATGACATGATGACAGATTTTTTGCAAGTGTGTAGAGTTTGCAATTTTATGTTTTTAATTATTTTCATGTCCATGTGATCTTCAGAGCAATGCTATAAATTAGGTATGGCAGCTAACAGTACTGTCATTTTTAGAAGAGGTTTTGGACATTCCTTTTTAAAATAAGTTAAAAATTTCTTTCCATATTCTTTTTTGTATTATGAACATGTGAGCTTCTTTAGATTAAGGGCTGTATCTAGATAGTCTTTGATAGCCTTCTTAGTACTAGAGTAGATGTATTAGGGACTTAATACATACTGTTTAATAGATGCCCAGGAAATCTGAGCTTCTCTCCTGGTGCCAGACTCTTTTACCATGATATTAGAAACTCACTACTCACACTTATTACTCTGTGTTTTCCTCACTGGGATTCCTAGAAATTGGCAGCAAATACACAAGGAAAAAAATAGTGTGTCTTTTGCCACCTGAGAAAGGGCAGATGGGTTAGCTTTTAGGGGAAGATTTCTCACATCAGAGAGTATTTCATTGTAATGAAGGGTGGTTTGCTTATCTTAATAGTTGTGTGGATTCAATTGAGCATTTAAAGTCCACTCATAAATTTAACAATTCATTTATTTTTTTTAAGGTCAGTGTACAATGGTAGCCAAACCCCCGAAATTGCTTATTGCAGGTTCTTCCTACAAAAGCTTATATTCAAGTTAGGGAAACAAAATCTGTGCCCATGAAAGGTGTGAATGCAACTTCAATAGAGTGGAGGAAGAAGACATCAGGCTAGGCATGACTTGTGTAAAGGTGGATAACTCACTCAAAATTTGTTAACAAGAAACACATACCTAAGAAAGCTTCAGGTAAGTACAGGCTTTCCCAAGGTTATAGATATCCGTGCATTTTGAGAGCAGAAAAGAGGAATAGGGAGGTGTTGGAGAAGGATATGCAGATTGGAGCAAAAGAATTTAAAAATTGAAAAGTACTTGGATCTTTATGACATTATGCAGAAGAAAGCATGTTTTCTTCTAAGAAGAGAAAATAGACTACAAATAAGAACATTCATCTACTTTGTCCAAATGAAAATTGTCTCTTGCTCCTTGAAAACACTTAATGTGAACCTATGACTTTATAATACAGTCATACATTGCTTAACAATGAGGATACCTTCTGAGAAATGTGTCATTAGGCAATTCTGTCATTGGATCAACATCATAAAGTATACTTACACAAACCTAGATGATATAGCTTAATATGCACCTAGGATATATGGTGTAGTCTATTTCTCCAAGGATACAAACTGGTACAACATATTGCTGCGCTGAACACATAGTCAACTGGGACACATAGTAAGTATTTGTGTATCTAAAAATATCTAAACACAGAAAAGGTACAATGAAATATTGTATTATAGTCTTATGCAGTCCATCATTGACAGAAGTGTCATTATATAGTGCATTACTATATATGACACTACTAATGCCTTTATCATGTATATTGTCTTATGATTTTTTTTATCTTCCCCAATTTAAATCTTTTAATTTAAAAGTAAACTTTACTGTCGAAAATGCAAACTTGGGGAGGGCAGAAAGATCACACACAAGGCTGCCACTTCACACCTGTAGGGTTGCATGGCGGCAGGGCAGAAGCGCTCCTCACTTCCCAGATGGTGCGGGGCCTGAAAGAGGTGCTCCTCTCTTTGATTTTTAAAGAAATGTCTGGTTTCGCAACCAAACAATTCTATTCACAATCCATACTTCTCATATGTATTATCTTACAAAAAAATTTGCATTACTAGGTGGATCTGCTATTTTACTATTTAGTATAATACAGTCTGCTACTTTTTTTTCAAGAGACATAACCTTATTTATTGAACTTCAAAAATACATTTAACCTCTGTAGATAGCTTCAACACATCTAAGTGTGATTAGGTTGAGACAGATGGGATGAGACGGAAAAGACTCATCAGATAAAAGCTTACTTCTCACTCACATTTTGCCTTCATCATTTTTCTTTCCTTAATGAATCCACAGAACCCCTGCTGCATTCAGGAAAACTTTAAAAAACACCATATGTTTCCGATAACCCTACTAACCTTCTTAGTACTTTTAACTTTTTTTCCTTTTAACTGTTGCTGCAACACTTGAAGTACATTAATACACTATCTAGCTGATGGCTTCTGTATCTAAATCACAATTTCAACATCTCAGCTCATTCTCAATGAAGAACTTTATGAAAAAACAAAAAATTAGATTATGAAATTCTTTCATCAGGGCCAAAAAGGAAGCTAATTGTGGAGAATGCTTTTTTTTTCTCCTAATATACATAGTATTGCTGGAACTGATAAGAAGACACAATGTTATATATATGCCAGCTAAATAGGAATGTGGTTTTGAAAATTTGCTATCTTTCCCAGGCTGTCTAAAATGACTTCTGCTATTTCTGTAGGTAGGTCACACATTAGTCCATTTTACTTTCAGATGTGTAAAAAAATTATGCATGAACAAATCCTCTAGTTATAGATAATGTAACATAACAATTGGAAGACAGTGTATTTTAAATTGATAATGAAAATACTTCCTTTTCAAACAAACTCTACAACCATCTTGTTTCACACTGCTGATAGAGGACAATTCTAGACCAGAGAATATTCAACTAAGTGAATATGTCTTTTCTTGGCCTCCAATATTTTTCCAGTAAATATTCAGTCCATCAAGAAGTGTTTTTAAAACAGCTAGTTATCACCCAGCACTGTGCTAGGTAACGGGAAATATATCTAGGGCACTTAAAATCTAGCTGAGAAGACTACTGAATAATTCAAAATGGCATATAACCAAATTAGTGGTGAGTGACACAAACATCATGAATTTTCTAGAGTTTAGCAATTTTATATTACCCTCCCCCATTGGAAGGGGAAGAGAAACTAAAGTTCCATGAGCTGATGACGTTCCCAAAGTCACACCTAATTAGGGGTAGATGTACGCCCAGAATCCGCTATTTGTTTCCTAAACCATTGTAAAATGTTTATCTCTAAAATCCAAAGGAAGGATATGTAGGTAGTGTCTGAGTTAGTTGGAAATACAAATATAAAGGATCAGAGAACTAAAATCAAGTACTTGTATTGATTACTCCAAACTAGAAATGGCACTTTATTTATGAATACTTTCCAAGTTTTTCTGACTACACGATGCAGGGTATTTGAGAATTAATGCATTTATTATATATGCTGTGTTCATAATTGATGTTATAATGCACTTGTAGCTTTTCACCTGAATGTGTATGAAAATGAGGGGGAAAACAAGTCTGTTGTTTTTAAAGTGCCTTCACTTATCATCTTACAAATATATCTCCGTATTTCTGTTTCTCTTAACCTTTGGAAAAGTAATCTTGCATATCAGTTATCTATGTTCTAAGGAAATTTGTTCTTTATTTTGTCCTTTCATTTCCATATGGCATATTCAACTTCAGAGTGATCAGATAGTTCTCTAATAATATTCTTATAATTTCTGATGCTTGGTTTTACATTTTCATATGGCACCACAGTCCTAAAATTACTTTCATGTAAAGTGCTCTTCATTGACATACTTAATTTAATAACTACATATTGGTATAAGTTGAACATGTTAATTGTTACATGTTTAATTTAACAGCTACCTTGAAATATAAAATACTTTCCATTACATGGTGTTTATCCTTTTTCAGCCAGAGTGCTGAGTCAATACTCTGATTAGTTTACTTTAAATCGTAATTTACAGATTGGCATTTATTTAGCATAACACATATATATTTGGATTTATTATTGCCTACTTCATCAAGATATATTTAAAGACCCTCCTTATAACATCTTTCATGTTCAGTTTTATACCATATTATTATGAATAATATCTAAACTGTAACTATAGACACATCCATAAACAACATTTGCTGATATCTGCTTTACTGTTCATGACAGTCATCCATAAGCATTTTCTCATGTAATGTTTTATAGACTCATGACTTCATTTAAATATCTCCAGAAACATTTCTTCATTAATTCGCTAATATGCTGATATCCATTTGATTTATGTTTTTTAGCTTTTCCTCAGATATTATGCATATGCATAGTTTTGAAGTGCTTGAGGCTGATTTGAAGACCTGGATGTAGAACTAGTATTATGAGAAGATATCTAATAATTCATGGCTGCTGTAAGCTATTCACCTGCTGTTGCTCCACACAGCTCAAATAGACCCTCAATGCAGGCCTTGCTCCTGACCGCTTTTCTTTTCTTTTCTTTTTTTTAAATTTTACTTTAAGTTTTGGGATACGTGTGCAGAATGTGCAGGTTTGTTACATAGGTATATGTGTGCCATGGTGGTTTGCTACACCTATCAACTTATCATCTAGGTTTTAAGCCCCACATGCAATAACTATTTGTTCTAATGCTTTCCCTCCCCTTGCCCCCAACCCTCCCACCAGGCCCTGGTGTGTGTTATTCTCCTCCCTGTGGCCACGTGTTCTCATTGTTCAGCTCCCACTTATGTGTGAGAATACGTGGTGTTTGGTTTTCTGTTCCTGTGTTAGTTTACTAAGGATGATGGCTTCCAGCTTCATGTCCCTGCAAAGGACATGATCTCATTCTTTTTTATGGCTGCATAATATTCCATGGTGTATATGTACTACATTTTCTTTATCCAGTCTATCATTGATGGACATTTGGGTTGGTTCCAAGTCTTTGCTATTGTGAACAGTGCTGCAGTAAACATACGTGTGCATGTGCATTTATAGTAGAATGATTTATATTCCTTTGGGTATACACCCAGTAATAGGATTGCTGGGTCAAATGGTATTTCTGGTTCTATATCCTTGAGGAATCACCACACTGTCTTCCACAATGGTTGAACTAATTTACATTCCCACCAACACTGTAAAAGCATTCCTATTTCTCCACTGCCTTGCCAAGATCTATTGTTTCTTGACTTTTTAATAATCACATTCTGACTGGTGTGAGATGGTATCTCATTGTGGTTTTGATTTGCATTTCTCTAATGATTAGTGATGGTGAGCTTTTTTTCATATGTTTGTTGGTCATGTAAATGTCTTCTTTTGAGAAGTGTCTCTTTATATCCTTCACTCACTTTTTGATGGGGTTGTTTTTTTCTTGTAAATTTAAGTCTCTTATAGATTCTGGATATTACACCTTTGTCAGATGGGTAGATTGCAAAAATTTTCTCCCATTCTGTAGGTTGCCTGTTCACTCTGATGCTAGTTCCTTTAGTTGTGCAGAAGCCCTTTAGTTTAATTAGATCCCTTTTGTTAATTTTGCCTTTTGCTGCAATTGCTTTTGGCATTATCGTCATGAAATCTTTGCCAATGTCTATGTTCTGAATGGTATTGCCTAGGTTTTCTTCTAGGGTTTTTATGGTTTTGGGTTTTACATTTAAGTCTTTAATCCATCTTGAGTTAATTTTGGTATAAGGTGTAAGGAAGGAGTACAGTTTCAGTTTTCTGGATATGGCTAGCCAGTTTTCCCAGAACCACTAATTGAATAGGGAATCCTTTCTCATTGCTTGTTTTTGTCAGGTTTGTCAAAGATCAGATGGTTGTAGATGTGTGGTGTTATTTCTGAGGTCTCTGTTCTGTTCCATTGGTCTATATTCCTGTTTTGGTACCAGTACCATGCTGTTTTGGTTATTGTAGACTTGTAGTATAGTTTGAAGTCAGGTAGCATGATGCCTCCAGCTTTATTCTTTTTGCTTAGGATTATCTTGGCAATACAGACTCTTTTTTGGTTCCATGTGAAATTTAAAGTAGTTTTTTTCTAATTCTGTGAAGAATGTCAATAGTTTGATGGGAATAGCATTGAATCTATAAATTACTTTGGGCAGTATGGCCATTTTCACAATATTGATTCTTCCTAACCATGAGGATGGAATGTTTTTCCATTTGTTTGTGTCCTCTCTTATTTCCTTGAACAGTGGTTTGTAGTTCTTCTTGAAGAGGTCCTTCACATCCCTTGTTAGCTGTATTCCTAGGTATTTTATTCTCTTTGTAACAATTGTGAATGAGAGTTCATTCATGATTTGGCTCTCTGCTTGTCTATTATCGGTATAAAGCAATGCTTGTGATTTTTGCACATTGATTTTTTATCCTGAGACTTTGCTGAAGTTGTTTATCAGCTTAAGGAGTTTTTGGGCTGAGATGATGGGGTTTTCTAAATATAGAATCATGTCATTTGCAAACAGACAATTTGACTTCCTCTCTTCCTATTTGAATACAACTTATTTATTTCTCTTGCCTGATTGCCCTGGCCAGGACTTCCAATACCCATGTTGAATAAGAGTGGTAAGAGAGGGCACCCTTTTCTTGTGTCTGCTTTCAAAGGGAATGCTTCCAGCTTTTGCCCATTCAGCATATTGGCTGTGGGTTTGTCATAAATAGCTCTTATTATTTCAAGATATGTTCCATCAATACCTAGTTTATTGAGAATTTTTAACAGGATGTTGAAATTTATCAAAGGCCTTTTCTGCATCTATTGACGTAATCATGTCATTTTTGTTATTGGTTCTGTTTATGTGATGGATTATGTTTATCGATTTGCACATGTTGAACCAGCCTTGCATCCCAGGGATGAAGCCGACTTGATCGTGGTAGACAAACTTTTTGATGTGCTGCTGGATTTGATTTGCCAGTGCTTTATGGAGGATTTTCTCATCAATGTTCATCAGGGATATCGGCCTGAAATTTTCTTTTTTTGTTGTGTCACTGCCAGGTTTTGGTATCAGGATGATGCTGGCCTCATAAAATAAGTTAGGGAGGAGTCTCTCTTTTTCTATTGTTTGGAATAGTTTCAGAAGGAATGGTACCAGCTCCTCTTTGTACCTCTGTTAGAATTCAGCTGTGAATCCATCTGGTCCTGGGATTTTTTTGGTTGGTAGGCTATTAATTACTGCCTCCATTTCAGAACTTGTTATTGGCCTATTCAGGTATTCAACTTCTTCCTGGTTTACACCTTGGGAGGGTGTATGTGCCCAGGCATTTATCCATTTTTTCTAGATTTTCTAGTTTATTTGCGTAGAGGTGTTTATAGTATTCTCTGATGGTAGTGTGTATTTCTGTGGGGTCTTTATCATTTTTTATTGTGTCTATTTGATTCTTCTCTCTTTTCTTCTTTAGTAGTCTAGCTAGTGGTCTATCTATTTTGTTATTTTTTTTTTCAAAAACCCAGATCCTGGATTCATTGAGTTTTTGAAGGGTTTTTCATGTCTCTGTGTCCTTCAGTTCTGCTCTGATCTTAGTTATTTCTTGTCTTCTGCTAGCCTTTGTATTTGTTCGTTCTTGCTTATCTAGTTCTTTTAATTGTGGTGCTAGGGTGTCAATTTGAGATCTTTCTAGCTTTCTGGTATGGGCATTTGGTATTATAATTTTTTCTTTTAACACTGCTTTAGCTGTGTCCCAGAGATTTTGGTACATTGTCTCTTTGTTTTCATTCGTTTCAAAGAAGTTCTTTATTTCTGCCTTAATTTCATTATTTACTCAGGAGTCTTTCAGGAGCAGGTTGTTCAATTTCTGTGTCATTGTGTGGTTTTGAGTGAGTTTCTTAATCCTGAGTTCTAATTTGATTGCACTGTGGTCTGATAGACTATTTGTTATGATTTCTGTTCTTTTGCATTTGCTGAGGAGTGTTTTACTTCCAATTATGTGGTCAATTTTAGGATAAGTGCCATGTGGCACTGAGAAGAATGTATATTCGTTGATTTGGGGTGGAGAGTTCTGTAGATGTCTATTTGGTCCATTTGATCTAGAACTGAGTTCAAGTCGGAATATCTTTGTTAATTTTTTGTCTTGTTGATCTGTCTAATATTGACAGTGAGTTGTTAAAGTCCCCCACCATTATTGTGTAGGAGTCTAAGTCTCTTTGTAGGTCTCTAAGAATTAGTTTTTATAAGTCTGGGTGCTCCTGTATTTGGTACATATATATTTAAGGTAGATCTTCTTGTTGAATTGATCCCCATACTATTATGTAATGCCCTTCTTTGTCTTTCGTGATCTTTCTTGGTTTAAAGTCTGTTTTGTCAGAGACTAGGATTACAACCCCTGCTTTTTTTTTTTTTTTTTTTTTTTTTGCTTTTCATATGCTTGGTAAATTTTCCTCCACCTCTTTATTTTGAGCCTATATGTGTCTTTGCACATGAGATGGATCTCCTGAATACAACACACTGATGAGTCTTGACTCTTTATCCAATCTGCCAGTCTGTGTCTTTTAATTGGGGCATTTATCCATTTACATTTAAGGCTAGTATTGTTATCTGTGAATTTGATCCTGTTATCATGATGCAAGCTGGATATTTTGCACACTAGTTGATGCAGTTTCTTCATAGTGTTATTGGTCTTTACATTTTGGTGTGTTTTTGCAGTAGGTGATACCAGTTTTTCCTTTCCATATTTTGTGTTTCCTTCAGGAGCTCTTGCAAGGCAGGCCTGGTGGTGATGAAATCCCTCAGCATTTGCTTGTCTGGAAAGGATCTTATTTCTCCTTTGCTTATGAAGCTTAGTTTGGCTGAATATTAAATCCTGGGTTAAAAATTCTTTTCTTTTAAATGTTGAATATTGGCCCTCACTCTCTTCTGGCTTGTAGGGTTTCTGCTGAGAGATCCACTGTTAGTTTGATGGGCTTCCCTTTGTAGGTTATCTAGCCTTTCTCTCTGGCTGCCCTTAACGTTTTTTACTTAATTTCGACCTTGGAGAATCTGATGATTATTTGTCTTGTGGTTGATCTTCTCATGGAGTATCTTAGCAGTATTCTCTGTATTTCCTGAATTTGAATGTTAGCCTGTCTTGCTAAGTTGGGGAATTTCTCCTGGATAATATCCTGAAGTGTGTTTTCCAACTTGGTTCCATTCTCCCCATCTCTTTCAGGTACTCCAATCATAGGTTTGGTCTTTTCACATAGTCCCATATTTTGCAGAGGTTTTATATGTTCCTTTTCATTCTTTTGTCTCTAATCTTGTCTGCACGCCTTATTTCAGAAAGATGGTCTTCAAACTCTGATATCCTTTTTTCCACTTCATCGATTTGGCTATTGATACTTCTGTATGCTTCATGAAGTTCTCACGCTGTGTTTTTCAGCTCCTCCAGGTCACTTATGTTCCTCTCTAAGCTGGTTATTCTAGTTATCAGCTCCTGTAACCTTTTATCAAAATTCTTGGCTTCTTTGCATTGGGTTAGAACATGCTTCTTTAGCTCAGCGGGGTTTGTTATTACCCACCTTCTGACAATTCATCCATCTCATCTCCCATCTAGTTCTGCACCCTTGCTGGAGAGGTGTTGCAGTCATTTGGAGAAGAGGCATCCTGGCTTTTGGAATTTTCATTGTTTTTGTATTGTTTTTTCCCTCATTTTCATGGATGTATCTACCTTTGATCTTTGAGGCTAACAACCTTCGGATGGGTTTTTTGGGAGGTGTCTTTTTTATTGATGTTGTTGTTTTCTGTTTGTTAGTTTTTCTTCTAGCAGTCAGGCTCCTCTTCTGCAGGTCTGCTGCAGTTTGCTGGGGGTTCACATTAGACCCTGTTCACCTAAGTATCACCAGTGGAGGCTGCAGAACAACAAAGATTGCTGCCTGCTCCTTCCTCCGGAAGGTTCATCCCAGAGGGGCACTGGTCTGATGCCATCTGGAGCTTTCCTGTATGAGGCGTCTGTCGACCCCTGTTGGGAGGTCTCTCTGAGTTATGAGGCATGGGGTCAGGGACTCACTTGAGGAGGCAGTCTTTCCCTGAGCAGAGCTAGTGCGCTGTGCTGGGAGAATCCCCCTTGTCAGGATCAGCTGCTCTCTTCAGTGCCGGCAGGTAAACAAGTTTAAATCTGCTAAACCTGAGACTGCAGCCACCTTTCCCTCAACGTACTCTTTCCTAGGGAGATGAGAGTTCTGTCTGTAAGCCCCTAACTGGAGCTGCTGGATTTCCTGCAGAGATGCCCTGCCCTGTGAGGAGGCATCTAGAGAAGCAGTCTGGCCATGGCCACTTAGCTGCACTGTGGTGAATTCCACCTAGTCTAAACCTCTCAGTCTCCTTGGCACTGTCAGGGGAAAACTGCCAACTAAAGCCACAGTAATGGTGGTCACCCCTCCCCCACCAAACTGGGTCATCCCAGGCAGATTCCAAACTGCTGTGCTGGCAGTGGTTCTTAGCTTGCTGAGCTCCATGGGGGTGGAACCTGCTGAGTGAGACCCCTTGGCTCCCTGGCTTCAGCCCTCTTTCCAGGGGAGTGGATGGTTTTCCTGTGTCACTGGAGTTCCAGGTGCAACTAGAGTATGTAAAAACTCCTGCAGCTCAGTGCCTGCCCAAACAGCCATCCAGTTTTGTGCCTGAAACCCAGGGCTCTGGCGTATAGGCTCAAAAGGGAATCTCTTGATCTGAGGATTGCAAAATTCCGTGGGAAAAGTGTTGTACCCCTGGTGGGTAGCCCACTCTCTCACTGCTTCCTTTGGCTGGGGGATAAAGGTTCCCCCATTCTGTACACTCTCCAGGTGAAGCAATGCCCCACCCTCCTTCTCCTCATTCTTTATGGGCCACGTCCACTGCCTAGCCAGTCCCAGTGAGATGAACTGGGTACCTCAGTTGGAAATGCAGAAATCACCCACCTTCTGGGTTGGTCTCACTGGGAGCTGAAGACTGGAGCTGTGTTTTTTCGGCCATTTTGGCCCCTCCTTCCTGAACCACTTTTCTAAAACCATTGTATAACACTTCTCTATTCCTCCAGCTTCTAACCTTGTATTTACCCTTTAATACAAGGGTATTAAAGAGTAATACCCTTTTCTTCCCTTTCATCCTTTGTTTCTTTCCTCAAATATCCTTTAAATTATCCCATGAAGAACCTATCCAATTCAATAAGGTATTGTTCCCTATAGGTAATACTCTAGTAGGGTTTACCCCACACAGAAAGAGGAATGGGACTCATCCAATGTAAAATCTGAAAGGTGATTGTGGTATCACTTTAATACCACTAAATGAGATATTGGGATTGTTCTTTCCTTTTGCCTCTGCTTTTGGTTTCCTTACACAGAGAAAAATAATCCAGTCATGTCAAATGTTATATGTAACACGAAATTATACTCTGGGTGAAACTTGGCATTTGGGGTCAGTGGTTTTCATATGTAGGTTGCTGAAGTTCCCTGAAGGTAGTCAGTTATGACGTTTTTCTACATAGTCTATCATTCCCAGAAAACTAATTGATAAATAAAAATGCTTAGTAACTATTATTGTCCTTATTTGTTGATACAACTTGATGAAAAAGAAAGAAAATTATTTTCCAAATAGTTCTGACAATATCTTGCAACTGGAGCTAGAAAAAGAGGGTTCCAAATGCCAAAATAATGCCCAAGGATTCTAACTTAGCTGAAGAGCATAGCCCAACTGAGGAATATACTCAATAGTTATTGTAATTGGTTTATTTTCTCCAAAAATGCTGCACATCTACACTAACTATTACATTCCATGCAAGAATATTAATATTCAGCTTAAAGTGCCTCTAAACTTTACGTGATTGAATATCATTTCAGTAATAACAGTCAATTAAAAAAATTTGATGAGCCATGTTGACATGTCATGATCCCAAATTAACTTATTTTGTGAAAGTTCTTTTAGTGTCTCAGATTCTATGAAATTAGAAGAAACCAGAGTGTTGATAAAACTAAAAAAAAAAAAAATTAAATACTTCAAGTTTGTGCCTCGATTAAGTATTTTCATTTATTTTTGAGGGGAAAACATATACAAGTTAAGCCAAAATAGTACTACTTAGAAACAGCCACTAAAATCCAGTGCTTCATTAATATTTGAAAAGAAAACCTGAATTCTAAAAAATTTTAGGCAGGCCAAAGTGGAGAAGCTGTTTTCTAAAAAGCTAAGCATCGTGTACTGCACACTCCTTTTAAAAAACCAAACTCTTGTCTCTCTTTTTAGTGCTCTGCTGCTGTTTGAGGTTTCAGATACTCTTGCAAACATGTGCTTGTATGTTTTGCCCTCAAACCCTTCAAATCTCATTACTATTCTCTTCTTGCACAAACACCTCAGTCTAACTTTTCTCCTGTTTCCTTCGTAATGTCTTCTTACCTTAAAATGAACTTTTTTCTTCCTTCAAATAAGTACTAGTATTGAGGATTCAATTGTTTATCTTTCACCACTGGGTTCCACTAAAATCTTTTTCACTTCATCATAAATTTCTCTTTTTCTTTTCAGAATAAAACACAGCAGTGGAGCACTCATCACAGATCTATGCAGATAGTAGTTACAGTATTATCACTTTTAAAAAGAAAAGAAAATGACATAAAATTGATCTGGTACATTGGTTTAAAATAGCATGAAATCACTTGAATTTGTACATGGTTTATTCCATACTATGTGTTTCAAATTTCTCCCCTTGAGTACTAGTTGAGCCTCCCATTTTATTTTGTTCTTATTAATTTTTAGCATGTATTGACTGAATAAAACAATACTTTTTAAGCACTAAGAAGAATACTCCTCCAGCAGTTAGGTTTGATGATACATTCCTAAATTGCCCAATTGTAAAAACAGATTGACAAAAAGAGTATTATACTGTAAGATGGAAAACAAACGTATAGACCTATAAAGCGAATTACAAGACAAGATTTCTGCATTCCCAAAGGCAAATGATGCTGGGGAATTTTTCTCAGATCGAAATTACCCTTAAATAATTCACATTACCTGCTTTTAGGGGACTGCAGTTTGAATATAAACTATTAATTTTTGATGCTTCAAGTTGTATTTCTATGTGTCAAATTGTGACACAAAATGTTGTTTGCTAGCATATGGGATGGATTCATACTGTTTTAAAATATTAGCTTGAATGGAGAAATTTCTTTAGTGATTTCTCATTTTATAATAATAAAATGGAATTTTTATAGCCAATAAAAGACATTTGTCCTGATAATTTGTGTCACAATCGCCAAATACATGATTACCAAAATATCTATTTATGCCCTTCTTCTAGCTAGATAGTGACATTTACCACTTTCCTTTAAGAATGTGTTTAAGAATCAGCAAACAGAGCAATATGGAAAAATCATTGAATGAGATGTCAGAAAATCTGATTTTTTTCTAGATTCTTCAACTCATTAGAGAAACCAAAAGCAAACTATTTGGCATGTTGCTGTCCCCATTTTATCATTTGACATAAGGGAGTTAGATCAGACATTCCTAAATACTATTTTGAACTTTAAAATAATGTGGCTGAAAGACTATTCCTCATCTCATTGTACCTCAAAATACATCTGAATCATTTCAACCAGATTGTCTATCATTTTATCTGATGCCACTTGTATCTACATAAGCTCTAGATCCTATATTTTTTTCCTAAGCATTATATCTCAAATGTTGTCCACTCCCAAACTTCTTTTGCCAGGTTTTTCTCCCTTTGCCAAATTCCTCTTCAATTCTTTCCAAAGGCAGAGGGTTGGACTTTGGACCAAATATTAACTGTTCTCCAAGGCAATATAATTAATTTCAAGTTTGTGATTAATCCAAACAGGCATCTTAGGGAAAGCATTCAATTCAATTAAGCAAGGATTTCCTGAGCTGTTTCCTTTAATCTTAAACTACACCCTGCATTACACACATCTTTATTTTAAAGCAGCACAACATATACTTTATTGTATTCAAATATCCCCCTTTACTTTTATGCACAATGAAACTTCATAAATCCAGATAACTTAAACTTGGTGATGGTGATATAGATCTTTTAGTTCTGGAGGATTCTAAATTATAGAATACTATTATTTTCTAGCAGCTGTAAAACAATGAAGACGGCACTGGGCAGTTGGCTATTTTTTGTGCAACATAGAGGAACATGTCAGTAGCATTAAGGAAGAAACCCATAAACCACAAGAGCATTTTTATCCATTCTACAGACTGAAGAATTGCTTCTGGTAACTAAGGAAGAGGCCCGCTTAGCCCACTCACATACTATTTCCTTTTAATCAACTTTATTGAGGTATAATTTAAAAACAATAAACTGCGCTCTTCGTAATTGCTGTTTGATGAGTTCTGACAAAAATATACTCCCATGCATCTAACACCACAATCAAGATAAAGAATATTGCCAGAAAATACTCATTTATGCTTTTATCCATGCAGTCTCTTCTCCTCACCCCCGATCCAGGCAGCCAGGGATCTACTTTTCATATAACAATTTAAAATTTTCTAGAGTTTCTCAAAAATATAATCATACAATATGTTCTCTTTGTGTTTCCACAATCTTTTGATTACCATAATGTTTCTGAGATTCATATGTTGTTGTATTTATTAGTAATTCTATTCTTTTAATGCTGAGTTGCTTTCCATTGCATAGATGTGCCACAATTTGTCCACTCATCAGTTGATAGGTGTATGACTTGTTTCTAATGTTTATGCTATTGTAAACAAAGTGCCTGTGGACGCTTACCTACAAATCTTTGTGTGAATGTATTTTCACTTCTCTTGGGTAAATACTTAAGGGTAGATTGGCTGTATTATAAGGTAAGTGCATTTTAAACTTTATAAGAGACTGCAGAATTGTTTTCCAAACTAGATTAGTACCATTCTATTTCCACCAGAAATAAATGAAAGTTGCCATTGGTCCCCATTCTCACCAACATTTGATTTTATCCAACTTTTTAATTGCAACCATTCAAAGTGATGTAGTTTTAATTTGCATTTCTTAAGACAGCGGATGAGGATCTTATCACGTATGTGTTGGCTCTTCGTATATCTTCTTTTGTAAATTGCCTGTTCAAATATTTTTAGCCTTTTTCATTAGTGTGTTTCTCTTCTCATCATTGAATTGTAGGAATTTTCTGTCTATTCTGTATACAACTCTATTTTCATATCTATGTATTATGAATATTTTCTTCCAGGCTGTGGTTTGCTCTTTCATTTTCTTAACATTGTCATTCAAATAGCAGAAAGTTTTAATTTTGATGAAGTCCATTTTATAGTATTTCTAAGTGTTTTTGGCTTTTTGTGTTTATGTAAGGAATGTTTGACCACTTCAAAATGTAAGTACTCTATCCTAGGTTTCCTTATGGATGTTTTATTTTCTTTACCTTTTACATTTCGGTCAATTTTCTATTTTGAATTAATTTTATGTATTCTGTGAGTTAACGGTCAAAGATTTGGGGTTTTTTTGTTTTTTATGTTGGTGATTCCTCCTCTCCTTCTCTCCCCCCTCCTGCCACAACCCTCTTCCCTTTCTTTCTCCTCCTTATCTTCTTTTTCTTTTCCTTCTTCTGCATACAGATGTTGAAATGTTCCAATACCATTTGTGGCAAAGATTATTCATTCCTTATTGGATTACTTTTTCATGTAATTTAAAAAATCAATTGGCATTATATGTGTGAATTTGCTACTCTTATTACAATTACATTGGTCAGTATGTCTACTTTTACATTCATATTAAAGTGTCTTGATTGCTTTAGCTTTATAATAAGTATTCAAATCAGATAGTGTAAGGTACTCTGACTTTGTATTTTTTCTCCAAGATGTTTAGTCCTTTACCTATTCATAAATTTTAGAATTAAAAATTCATCAATATCTATCAAATATCATGGTATGATTTTGATTAGGATTCCATTAAAACTATAGATCAATTAGAGATAATCATCATCTTAAAATAATGAGTCTTCTGATACATTAATGTAATCCATCTATTTCTCTATTATTTTATATTGTCTTTAATTTCTCTCAGCATTCTTTTGTAGTTTTCAGTGTATAGGTTTTGATAATTTAAGTTTATCTCTAAGCACTTCTTAGATTTTGTTGCTTATATAAATGACCCTTAAAAAATGGTTTCCAATTGTTTGTTGTCTATATGTAAAAATACAATAGACTTTCACATATGGTCCTGTATCTCGTGACCTTACTTAACTCCTTTTATATTTCTAATAGCTTCTCCCTGTGACTTCTTATGATTTTTCTACAGAGCCAATCAGTTATTTGCAAAGAGAAAGAGTTTTACTTCTTCCTTTTTAAAAATCTGTATGTTTTTTGTTTTGATACTGGTAATTTGTCTCTTCTTTTCTTTTTCCATGATTATTCTAGCTAGTAGTTTTTCAGCTTTATTGATCTTGTTGAATAACTGTTTTTTGGTGGTATACATTTTTCTCTGTATTGTTCTGCATTCTATTTCTTTGATATGTTTATTATTTTCTTCTTTCTGCTTAGAGTGGGTTTAATTTTCTTTTTCTTGTTTCTTTTACTTTTTTTTTTTTATAATTTTAACTTTTATTTTAGATTCAGGGGTACATGTGCAGGTTTGTTATCTCAGAATATTGTGTGAGTTTTCTTGTTTCTTAAAGTGAAAACTTATATCATCGATTTGAGAAGTTTCTTCCTTTCTTATATAAGATTTTAATAATAGGAATTTTTCTCTTATCGTCAACCTGCATCTCCCCAATTTTTATGTTGCAATTTTATTTTCATTTAGTTAAAAATATTTTCCAATTTCCCTAGTGATTAAAGTCTTGAGTAATTTGGAAGTGTGTTATTTAATTTTCACATGTGTTTGTTGAGAGGATAGACTTTGTATAATTGGGTTTTTTTTATATTTATTGATACTTATTTTATGGAGTTAGAATATAGTCTATTTTGGTGAATGTTCCATGCAAACTTGAATGAATGGTATTCTACTGTAGTTAGATGGGAAGCTCCATAAATGTCAATAGATCATGTTTATTGACAGTGCTGCCCAAATTGTTTCAGCTACCAAGATAAGATGTTGAAGGCCCCTGCTGTAACTTTGGATTTGTCTTATTATTGTTTTTAGTTCTGTTAGTGTCCGTTTTGTGTATTTTTAAGTTCTATTATTAGGTGTATACTAATTTAGAATATTTATGCCCTCTTGATGAGTTATTCATCTCCTTATCTTTATGAAATGTCCCTCTTTGTCCCTGGCTCTGAAGTCCACTTTTTCTAGATTAAATGGTTACTCCAGCTTTCTTCTAATTCCTGTTTGCATTAATGTTTATATAGATGTTTCACTTCTATTTACAAGCAAACTTATTTATATTTCCATGTGACTGCAATACAGTATAATGGTAAAGACCTATGGACTCAGAGGCCAGCCTAGTAAACATGAGTGTTTGAAATAAAAAAGATAAAAACAAATTAAACTTTATTAAAGTTCATACTGACGTTACTACTTATAATTGCTTCAAAACAGAAGAAGATAATACACATTATTCTTTTACAAGTTTGTTTAAAAAAGAAATCTTTTCTCATTAAGTAATCAGTAAATTACATTCTTCTTAAGACATGCCCTACAGAGGAGTACTACGATTCTTCTCATTTTAGTACTTGAGACACAAGATGTCCTTTTATATATGCTTACACTCTTAAAGCTTAGCTAATATAAGTGTAAAAGTCTTCTTCCTTAAATAGCAAAAAGTAGTACAAATAAGGAATTCTACTTGGGCTTTTGTGGGTATAAGAAGTATCAAATAGAAAAAACATTATTTCATTATCAAAATAATTCACAGACATTTAAGACCTCAGTTTTACCTGGGTGATTTACAGTTCAACTATAGAGAAGCAACAGTAACATTCTGTCTGTAAGAACGCATGTACCACAGAAAGGGGTTTCGTTGTTCTCTGCTTTCTCTCCAGTGTATACAAACATACTTGGTATGTTTCTGTTGAATGGATGAATCCAAGATTTATGTGTGCCAAATGCGATGCTAGGCAATAGGGAAGAGTGAGATATCTATATATATATCTATATCTATCTATCATCCATCTATCTATCTATCATCTATCTATCTATCTATCTATCTATCTATCTATCTATCTATCCATCTATCTGTTTTTCTATCTATAGTTTGCCATCAAGGAGCTCATATTCTAGTAATGAGGATGTATAACAAGGAGCTTATATTCTAGTAATGAGAATGTGTAACTGGTGGAGGGGGGCAACAAATTGAAGCAAGAGATGGTAAGTGGTTTGAAAGAAAATTTTTTAATTTAACAAGAAGAGAAGTGTCAAAGATGGGTGGTGAAGCATATTAAAAACTAGTTTGGTGAAGGAAATTCTCTCCTTTAATAAATGCAACATCTGAGCAGAAATATCTGGAGGAAGAGAGGGTAGTCCCCATCAGCTTGCTCAGGAAGGAGCCTTCTAAGTAGAAACAGTGACACATTGGACAGGCTGTGATGTACAGGTGCATTTAGCAGGTTCCACAAATAACAAGGAGCCTGTGTGACTGGATCCAGTGGTAGGAAATGAGTCAGAGACACAGTGAGGGCTTTTTTGGCCTTAGTTAATAATTTTTTTATTCTGAATGAGATGGGAAGCCATTAGAGGTTTTTGAACAGAGGACAGAGATGATCTGACAAAAGTAGTGATACTATCTGATTTAGTTTTTGTGGAGCCTCAATTTCCAGGTATGTTAATTTTAGAATTCAGGTTTTCAAAAATACTTAACAATCTTACTTTTGAAAACATCAAGAAATTTATTACCATCTAACCACATTGCTTAGACTTGGGGCCCTCTTAGAGCCTTGGGAATGAACTGTTAGGAGAAGAACATAGAAGTTTAAGCTTCATTAGTTTCACAATAAATCTGCCTCTGAATCTCACTAGTTCTAACAGGTTCACTCTCTTGAAGTTTTAAGAATAATTTGTAGGGGTCGGGGGTGTCAAGGGTAGAAGCAAGGAATTCCATTTGGAAACCATTGCAATAATCTAGGCAAGAAATGATGGTGGCTCAAGCCAGATGAACATGGTAGCAGTGGATGTGATGAGAAGTGGATGGATGCTGAATATATATGAAAGGGAGAGATGAGAGGATTTGCCGATGGATTGAATACAGAATATGGAAGAAGGGAATGTCAAGCATCACAGTGAGGTTTGGGCCTGAGTAGTTAGAAAATGTACAGAGTGGCCAGATTGTGATAGATCTGCAGGACCCTGGGATGAACCTTAACGAACAGGCAAAGAATCCAATTTTTAAAAAGAAGTTTGTTTGTGTGGCATGGAGGAAACAAAAAGACTGAATTAAAACAGGTTCTTGACTCCCCGCCACCCTTTTTTCATTTTAGTGTCCCCATCCCCTTCATTTAAGATGGAAATCTTATTTAAAACTAAAATGCTGATGATGTCTCTCTTCCAATTATTAATTGAGAAAGAAAATCATATTCTTTTTTTTTCTATGCCTTGTATTTGGAGAAACACTGCTGCCCACTGCAGTGGCCAGCACTGTCTGGTCAGTATTTGTTGGTGCACTGTAGACTATAGGAATTTCAAGCCTATACACCAGAAGGTAGCTATTAACAATCTAGGAATCACTGAGGCAAGTGCTGATTGTGACAGCCATGCATCACTCTGCATATTAATCTGTCACTGTTTCCCAGGAACTGGAGATTTCTTTTTTTTTTTTTTCAAGAGGATGTCTTTGAAAGCTCCCCAGTTTTCTAAGAGTTATTTCCATGATGGCATTTGTTTCAGTCAGAATAAAGAAGCCACTTCTCAGGCCTCCAGAAGTGTTCATTGCACTCTCTGGTAGGTCCAAAGCTACATCCAACTTTATATGTTATTCTTTAATAACAACTTTTCATCTCATAAGAGTGAAACACAGAAAGGCTCACTAGTATCAATGACCAGGTAATTGCAGCATCAGGAGCTCTCTGTTTTACATGAGGCTCTGGCTTTGAGAATACTTGATAGTTAGCAAATTTGCTTTTGCTAGAAAAAAAATCAAAGTGATTCATAAAATTAAATTTGGAGGGGTCATGAAGAGAGGCCAACGAGGTTTTGATTCCCTGTTTTCCCTCTCTCAGGTATATTAGCAAAGATTGTTGATGAAAAGTGAACACTTAAACCTAAAAGGAAATTTAACATGAAGCTGTCTTAGGTGCAAAGCCACAATGGCTGAATAATATCTAGTGAAGTCATAAGTCTTTGAATGTAGTTTTCTTTATTAAGAAGAATAAAATATTTTCCCCAAGAATGTAGGTCTGTCATGAATACTTTATTTTGTGGTGCATTTAGGTCACACCAGAAATTACTGCTTTATTCTAAAAATGAAAACCAAATGAATCTCAGCTGGCCATTTGTGTAAGAAGAAAACAAAGCATCATTGTTTTATCCTTTTAATGGAGAGCTCCCCACCATCAATTTGTCTGCCGACTACATGAAGTTGTTTATTACTTGTAAGCTTCTGAGAGCAGATGAGTAAAAGTAAGATTTGATAACTCAGCTTTATGTCTACCAATCTACCTTGGCTGGACAGAGGAAAATGGAGTTTTATAGGATTTTCCATGGGCTGCTACTGACTGGAGTCACTTAGGAGTACATTCTGACCTGTAATAATTTATGAAATTTATTGCTACTTAAGTTTGTCTGGACAATTTCTGGCTGTTAGAAGGGTAAATAATTTATTTGAAGATGATAGCAAGGTCATATTAAATACTTCATCAGAAGAAAAGCAGTTGCAATTACATCATGCTCTCTGACCAAATGGCACACTCCTGTCAGTGAGGCAGAGGGCTCTTCCAGAGTGGGGCTGCAGAACTGCAGCAGATTAGTGTAAGTGATGCAATTTGAGTTGAGTGGACCAAGTTATGCCATTAACCAGATGATATCAATGACAGCCTTCCTCTGATGGTCAGCATTAGCTTGAAATTGTCTGTTGGGAGAAATTAGACTTGCCCTGAATCACAATTCAGCCTACCCCATTGACATTGCTTAGGCTAAACTTGCAATGTGTATGGTGAGGAACAAAGCCTGGAAGGGAATGAATAAAAAAACCCATAGCAAACTGTTGGAAGTTTCCTTCTGACAGGCAGAAAACCAACTGAGAATCAGAATCAAGGTTTCTGTCAGCTTGGAGGTGAGGCAGGAACTGCTTTGGAGATTGTGAGCATGATGGGGTACTAGCCTCTTTAAAATGAAAAGTGGAAAGCCGTAGTTAGGGAGGCAGGTGCAGTCTTTAGCAGCCCCCCAGACCCCCAAACAATTATAAGCTGATTACAGCAAATGTTGGTGATGGTAGGCTTTATTTCTTTTGAAGATAGCTACATCTTTTGACATATCTTAAATCATGAGAAGAGTTTATGTCCTAGCACATTTTTTTTTCTGTATCTCAGTAGTTCTGTAATGCCAGCTCTAGATATAAAAACACTTATGGCTCAGTAAAAGCAAGATTTACTTTTACTAATAAGGTGCAGATTATTCTCCTGATTCATAGACACAATTTCATATGTTCTGTTTGAACTTTTTACTTTTATTAAAGTTATATGCTAAGATATAGTTTTCATCATATTAATCATAACCCTTTCTTACACTGCACTTAATGTAACATCACATATTTAGAAGAGTAAAATCCTAGAAACTACAAAAATCACGTAATTTGAATCTAACTTCACTATTATATTATACTGACATTATATCAAGCATAAGTTTTAGTTTAAACTAAAATCAGTAAAATTCTGTCTTTAACTTCTAGAAATAATTTATTTATTAGTGATTGAAACAAATGTTTTTACATCTGATCAAGAAATATAGCCACAAATAATTGGTTAATCCTGCTTGAAACTATACTGTTACTTAATATGTATAATTAAATTCATATGCATTTAAATTCATTTGTTAAGCAAGCATTTGTTGAGTTTCTACTATGTGCTTGGCACTCTGCTTAGGCACTGAAGCATTATATATACGTGTGTGTGTGTATATATGTATATATATATTTCTTGGAGTGATTATTGTGTGTGTGTGTGTGTGTGTATGTATATATATATACATATATATACATATACACACACACACACACACACACAATAATCACTCCAAGAAATATACAGTTTATTATAGGGCTATAAGATTTGAGCATAATTAGTTTCAAGGCAAGGTAGAAAGTGACATCTTTTAAGCAAGTATAGGTAAATTGAAATGAAAATCCGGGAGAGAATTTTGCAATGAGGAAAAGCTTCATAGGAGATGTAACTTTGAGTTGGACTTTGAAGGATGGATAAAAGCAAATCCATTCCAGGCAAAGGAACAACATGAGCAAAGGCACAGGGGTGGGATATTACACAAAAAAGGGGAACTCAGGCTGACTCTATTACTTGACTTCTGTTCTTTAAAAGCACTCTTTCTGGTCAAGCGTGGTGGCTCACGCCTGTAATCTCAGCACTTTGGGAGACCAAGGCAGGTGGATCACTTGAGCCCAGGAGTTTGAGACCAGCCTAGGGATCCCATCTCTATCAAAACAAGCAAACAAACAAACAAACAAAAAGAAACACACTCTTCCTTCCTTCCACAGTTCTTACAAAATTAGAATAAAGATGGCTTGTATCTCATCAACTGGCTCTCAGTTGGGTAAGTTGGTCAAATCAGAGATAACTGGGTTCAGAATTACTAAGGATTTTTTTGCATATGCATTTAATATGCAATAAAAGGCTTTCTTTGACATTAACATTTTGCATAACAAGAACTACCACCACTAACAACAAATGCAATTTTTGTAACGAATTAGAAAAAATAAATTGAAGCTATGAGCATTTGTGTTCCCACAAAGAAGGCAAAAGTGACCAATGATAAAAATCCATAAAGACAAGTTAGTGATATAAAATGTGAGCAATAACTAGATAGTATCCAATTAAAAGATGTTTAAAAGCCAAAGGGAAATCTGACTACCTAAGATGAGGGAATGGAGTTAATTGCTTCACCAGCCAGATCTCATCAAAGAGTCTCAAAGAAAGATGTTTGTGTAACATCAGTATAATGCAGAGCATTAAATGTTGATAGGGTACACGTCATTGCTTTTGCTTATCAAAAAATGCCCTGAATTAGAGACAAAGTTGATAGGTATGTCTGTCCATAATATCCTAGCTTAAGTTAGAAAATCTGATTTTAAATTTCTCTCCCATTTCTGTTATTGCTTTCCTCTTACACATCCCTTTCTGCTCCTCTGTCTTACCTCCCTCACCTCGAATATCCAAACTTCTAGGTCTTCACTATCACAGAGGAAATTAGGTAAAGGACTATATCACAACTGTTGCATTTTGCTTGTGTAATAATAACTGTCCAAACACAGAAATATATTGGTGTTTTTTGAACGTTAACCGTTAATGAAGCAGCTATTTATCCATAGATAGTCCTCACAGGTATGCCTTGCCCATTTGATGGCTGAGGCCAATCTTCCTAATGGGTGGCAATAATTTTTAGAATGACTTGAGCACAGGTAAAACACGAATCAAGTAGAATTTTTCTTCAACATCATCTGCAAGGAAAATTCTGTATGTCCCATAGGAAAAAGGCACTATTGGTCCTACACCTTATTCCTTTGAGGCTTTCATCAATAATAGCTTTCTCTAGGAAAACACAAATGAGAGTTATTTCAACTCCACAAGTGCAGCATCTCATTGGGTTTAAATCTTCCAAGTATAAAAATCTTTTCCTTGGAGTAGTTTCTGAGCGACATCAGTAGCCTACAAGGGTAGAATTGCCCCAGCAGAGATGATAACAACATCATTGTTACTGATGATGACACACTATCCCAGCCCCCGTGCAGTTGGAGCTGTCACTCCTGTTTCAATTCAACGATCTTTTGATAAAATATTTGTGTCATTCCTATGGATATTTCAACTTTTTTTTTTTTTTAATTGAGACAGAGTCTCGTTCTGTCACCCAGGCTGGAATGAAATGGTGCGATCTCAGCTCACTGCAACCTATGCTGCCCAGGCTCAAGTGATTCTTGTGCCTCAGCCTCCCGAGTAGCTGGGACTACAGGTGCGTGCCTGCAGGTTAATTTTTTTGTATTTTTATTAGAGACAGGGTTTCACCATATTGGCCAGGCTGGTCTCCAACTCCTGACCGCAGGTGATCCACCCGCCTCGGCCTCCCAAAGTACTGGCATTACAGGCGTGAGCCACCGTGCCCGGCCTCAACTTTGAAATTAAAGTTTTGGCATTAGGCTTAGTTAGAATGTGTAGGACACTTATTTTATATATGATTAAAGAGAAGTAAAATAGGAAGGGAATGGAGCTGACCCCATATCAGTCAATTGTGTCCTTGTTCAGGGTGAAAACCTGGGTTCATCACCACTTATTAGCTGCTGACAATCAGTAAGAAGGGCTGCTGTGAGGATTAAATTAGATAATGCACATTAGAAATTAACGTATCTAGCACATAGTAGGCATTCAATAAATGAAGCTTTATTGCAATGTTCTTTTACATTTTGTAAATTATTTGTGTACATATATATATATACACGCACACACGACTGAACTGAGAAACAGAACCAATAGCATAGATATAGACAGAAATATATATAGATACAAACAGATATAGATAGAAAGAGAAATAGATAATCTAAATCTATTTATATCTATCTATATCTTTCTCTCAATCTGTATCTATCCTATTGGCTCTGGAGAACCAAGGTTTCTCTGGAGAATCTTGACTAATATATCTAAGGACTCTATAGGGGTTTATGGACCCTTCTCCCCCAACCCCCCACTTGAAATCCTCTGGAGAAGAGATTTTGAAAATAACTTGATTTCATTGCTTCCATGTAAAACTTTGCATCTCTCACAGAATGATTTTATCATTCTTGTAGTGGTGGCTTAGCAGGAGCTAGAAGCCCATTCAATGTTAAAGTACAAAGTAAACACTTCCTGTAGATATTGAAATAAATGTTTTCCATTTTACTCTAATTCAATTCTGGGGTAGTTAGAAAGTCAGTGATGCTCTTGGAAGAATTTCATGACAAGCATCAAAATCCCTTGACTCGCTGGTTTGGAAAAGTTTTTCTGGGCGCAGCCGCCTAAGGTCCATGGCTGTCAGGAGAATTATAGTGTGTTGACTTTAACCATCTCAGATGTGTACTTGAGAAGGTTTTGCCAGAGTCTTGGAAGGAAGTCTAGGTAAAGGAAATATAAAAATGAAGTATTTCTCATCAGGCACACACATTTTAAAAATTGTCTGAATTTTTTATTGTTTTAAAGTGTTATATGGCTTTCTATGGATATCAGGAAGAAATATTTATAAATCCTTAGAAACAACTTTGCATTTCTAAAAGCTTCAATAATAAAGGAATAGAAAGAATTTAAAAGTTGTGAATTATGTGAATTAACTATAGATAAAATTGCTGAACACTCGCACCTACAAGTTACCATCTCCCATCATATTTGAGCGAATCATTGGCAAGAACCACACAATCTCCAGCGCAGGGATTTTACTCAGAAGGAACTGTTGTCACCACCCAGGTAAATGATAAATAAATGACTTATTGGTAAGACGTATTGTAAGATGATTTTTACAGTTCTTTGGAAGGACTATTCTACTGAAACTCATTATGCAGAAAAGAGCAGTCTTACAAAAAGCGCTTTGGTCCAAGAGAAGAGAATCTGTCCCATATGCACCATCTTTCACTCATTGTCTATCATTGCCCCTGACTTACTTCATGACCAGTTTGTGACGGTTTCTTATCTTCAAAGTGGAGATAATACTTGTCTTTTCTCACAGGAACATTGTGAAGATAAATGAGATAAATCATTTGAAGTGCTTTGGGCTCCACTGATGATAAGTGCTATGTTATTTCAAAGCATTATTATTTACTTCACAAGTGACTTGTCACCATTCCTAATCTGTGTAAAGCACTTTGAATTCCTTAGAGAAAAAGGTGATATTGAGTGAAATTTTAATACAAGTGGATAAATATGCACCACATAGAATCTGTTCTGTTAGAGGCCCCATTTCTATTGTAAGGAGAAAATAACACATGTTGTAGCACACTAGATAAGAAGAAATGTCAGGAAATACTTGTGCTTCTCAACTAGCTTTCTCATGAGCCCTCCCAAACTAGCCCAAGAAATGGACTTATATTAGTGACACATTACATTAATGTGAATACTTGACTTAAATCACACTGGTCCTTAAAACTTCCCATCTTATCTTACTATTCTATATAAAAATAATTGACTTGTCAAACAATTACTGAGCATTTACTATTTATTTGCCACTGGACTAGATTCTGGAGATACAAAAATGGCCAAAGTAAGAAAAAGACAATGAAATTACATATAAAGAAAAGTAGAACATGGTAATCTAATTGGTTAAATTAGAAACACCAGTGTGACATTAGGACCTTAAAATAATATATTATTTAAAGCTTGGCACTACTAAAGCTCTCCAATAGTAGAAATAGCAGTAGTATTAGAACTTCACCCATTTCCAATTTTCAGGAAACCCCTAGGATAAAGATTTTAGTCTCTCATACTGCTCTCCACTACAGAAAATCAGGACTGTTTGGTTTTCTGTGTAGCTAATTCCACACCTTACATCAGGAGAAAAATAGAATGGGCCCGGAAATTTTACTTTTGCCACAGGAATACTTTCAAGGGTAACAGAGGCAGTTATAAAGAAAAAAACCAAAATCTAAAGAAGTTCCTGGGCCAGGCATGGTGGCTCATGCCTATAATCCCAACGCTTTGGGGGTCCTAGGCGGGCAGATCACTTGAGGTCAGGAGCTCGAGACCAGCTTGGCCAACATGGTGAAACCCTGTCTTTACTAAAAATACAAAACGTAGTTGGGTGTGGCGGTGCACACTTGTAGTCCCAGCTACTTGGGAGGCTGAGGCAGGAGAATCACTTGAGCCTGGGAGGTGGTGGTTGCAGTAAACTAAGATGGCGCCATGGCACTCCAGCCTGGGTGACAGAGTGAAACTCCGTCTCAAAATAAAATATAATAAATAAATAAATAAATAGTAAAGAGGTTCCAGATAGCCAGGTTGAAATAGTTTGACCATGTAGTAAAAATCATAGCAATAATACAGTTAATTGGAACACATTAGATTTATAAAAAACCAAAAATTCTTATTGATATTCAGATTTGATATATGTTTTATTTAATCCAGTCCTTCAACCTTTATTTATTAAGTGTCTACTTTGGGCGATCACTAGAGCTGGCATTCTAGTGGAGGGAAAAAAATGAATAAATAAGCAAAATCTTGTATCTCAATGGTGCTGAGTACTACAGAAAGAAATAAATGAGGAAGGTAGGCAATAAATGCCAGAGAGAAGCTGTGAAGAAGAGAAAGAGAACCAGGAGTTTCTTTGGGTAAAGGGTAGTATAAAGAATAAAGAATGTTGGAGATGAGGTCAGATATTTCCAGGAAATAGAATTGTGTAGAGGTTTTGTTTTTTGTTGTTGTTTGTTTGTTTTGCCAGTGGAGAGAGTTTGGCTTTTCCCCGGGTGAAATAAACAGCCATTTGCAGCTATGGGGACAATGGATTGCAGGTGGGGCAACAGTAGCAGTGAGATCACAATGTGGGAGTCCACTGCAATAATCCAGGAGAGAAATCATGTGAGCTTGAGAAGGAATCAGATTCTGCATATATTTCCAAGTTAACATGAACAAGATTTTCTGAAAGACTGCTATGGAGTCTGAGAAAAAATGTCAAAGGTAGTGCCAAAATTGTCACTTAAAGAACTGCAGGAATGGAGTTGGCATTTACAGAATTTGGAAGAGAAGCAGGTTTAGTGATAAAGACCAGAAGCACAGAGCTAAGCATATTAAATGTGAGTTGTCTATTAGGCATTCAAGAAGACATATAGAGTGGGCAGTGGCTATATGAGGCTAGAGTTCTGGGAAGGCTGGGCTGATGACAGAAATGTATTAGTCATTAACATTTATGTGTGTGTGTACACATATGCACATGAACACTGGATATGCGAATGCACAGATTGAGGACATGAAGAGGAAAGAACTGACAGAGGAGGTGAAGAAAGGTGATCAGGAAGAGCCATCAAAGTGTTATCCTGGAATTCAAGTGAAGACAGTGTTTCAAAGGTAATTAAAATAAAAAAGAAGGTTGCAAAACGGTAAGAGGTATACAGTTTTTACAGATGTTAATAAACAAACTGTTGGCATATCATTTGGGATTTTTACATTTATTGTATCCTGGTTTACCAAGTTTATCTGGGTAAACTCAAGTCATTCTGGAAAATGTAGCCACATACCAAGAATAGGAAGGAATGGTGAACAGCGATAGTCACTCATAAGAACCATATTTAAACCAGCTCCAGCTATTTATAACATATGTGGCTACACATAAAATCTCAGTGGAAAGAATGCTCCACACTATTTCAAAATTTCGATCAGTTAGTCAAAGAACTAACGATGAGAGTTAGAGTGCAGCTTCACTCCTTTATTTCCTAGGAGATGAAAATACTGGTTGGATCTTTTGAATTACAATAAAAATAATAATGAAGAGTTAATAATATTGAACCAGGTTACTGCATTGCAAAGACGATTCAATGTGTTAAGTATGGCAGGCTATTTAAAACTTGATTTATTGGAAAGATAATAATTTATGGAGATAAAAATACATGTGAGAAAGAGGGGGCATTAAAATATAAAACAAGGAAAACATTATTGTTGAAAAGGACTCAGCCAAATTATATGACACTGTGGTTTAATTCCCTTGTACCGGGGCCTGAGAGAAGATCTTCAGTAACTGTTTGATAACCTTGATTCTGTAACATCTGCTGTTCTGAGAAGAAGGGAATCTAGAAAGATCAATAACATTCCAGAACGAAATCAATATAATACTTTCTGAAACCACGGGAAAATATCAAAATAAGCATTAAAGTAATTTGAGAATGTACAAAATCTGGTATAGAAATAAGGAATAATTAAAGTAAGTCTATGGAGTTGATTCTTTTAGACAAGAAGTTAAATGTTAATGTTATAAATTTTGTATTATTGCATTTGTGTATACCTTTATTGTTGTTTAAATTGTTTAGAAATTTATAATTGCCATGTACATTATTTGAGAGAAATTAGTCAAAATAACTGATATTTGAATCTTTAAAAAAATGAGTTTTCATAGTTTTATCTTTTAGATGTGAGTTTCAATATATTGAACATTAAATGACAAAGGGAACACTCATATTTTCCTTCCCTGTAAAACCTCCTTGAACACTGAATAATTAAAGACAGCTCAGTATTCAAGGATCTAAGTGCAGGATTACAGAGACAGGCACATAAACATATTTATAAGGCCATGTGGTATGTAATAACTGAGACATGCATTAGGGAAGCAGTCCTCAAATTTTTTAAATCCCAGGAACATTTTAAATGCTTAAAAATTATTGAGGACATATATGTGTTAAAAGTATCAATATTTACTCTATGAAAAATTTAAAACGAGTTATTTCAAAATATTTATTAATTTATTTTAAAATACAATAAACCTTTTACATGTTAACATAACATTCTTCTGTGAAATATAATTAGATCTTCCAAAACACAAATCTTAGAAGAATGGCATTGTTTTAAATTATTGCAAATCTACTTAATATCCATCTTAGCAGAAGATACATGGATTTTCATATCTACTTCTATTTTTAATTTATTGTAATATGTTGTTTGGGTTGTTACATATGATAAATATATCACTTCCCATAAGTATATATTTGGTAAAAGAAGAGAATTTCAATAGCCTTTTAAGGTAATTATTTTAAACTACACCAAAATTCAAGTAGTTTCTAAAATGTTAGTATTAAAGGGTACCCTAAAGTAATATTAATAAATTTTCATATTATACATAACTAATTGATATATCTCACATATTGGATGGATCTTTTAGCCATGCATAATTATATACATTATAATTGATCATTTAAAAGATATTGGTTCACTGAGTTATATAAATCCTGTAAAATTTGATAAATGTTATTATATAATATCAAGCTCACAATGACTGATAAAAGCTTTCCAAAATTCTAATTTTCTCTTAAACGTTCAAATTTTGTCATAACAATAAAGACTATTAGCTGTTTTTCTTGAAGTAGCAGCCTAATGTCATTTATTTTCAGAAAAATATGTGCCAAATAACCAATGTCAACACAGTGAACAAGGCACATATCATCTTACTATTAGTACAAAAATAATTTGAATTTGTGGAGCCCCTAAAACGGACTTAAGAATCCCCCAAAATCTGTTGAACACTTATGATAACTATTGCATTAGGCTGCTATGGGAATACAGAGCTGATACATCCACCCCAACTTGGATGTTGGGGATGAGTGTTGCAGAAGACTTCTAAGAGAAAAGACATCTGAGCTGAGTCTAAAGAATAATTCCTATTTAGCTGAGAGAAAACATAGTGCTGTAGTATCAAATCAAGGCAAAACTGAAAGTGAAAGATAAAGTTTGGCTGAATCAAAGGAGAAATATGCCATATTAAGGATTTTAGATTTTTATCCTTTAGTCAAGAGACCGTTAGCTTTAAGGAGAAGAGCAGAATTGTTAGATGTCCATTTTAGAAAGATCATCTATATGAAGCATAGCTTTCAGGAGAACTAAATTGGAGGCAGAGAGGCAAGGTGTAGAGCACATTTCCTCTCCTGCTCCTACTACTTTGTCTTTATTTAGTAATTACCAAAATACAAAATAACAAATGTGCAACACAAACGTTTGCTATGTAAAATAAAATAAAATAAAATAAAATAGAAAACAATATAGAAAGGCAAAGCTAACCTCCCTGTCTTTCTTCACTTTCATCACCTTCAGGTAACCAATGTTAGAGCCTGGTGTGTATCTTTCAGAGGATAGTTTCTTTGTGATTGTGAGTAGCTTAGCTGTTGAGCAAGCCACTGGATACAAGACTAACCTTACAGAAAGGTCAATCCTGGATGGGTAGGATGTCATCAACATATGAGGCATGGTTAAAACCATGAATGTGGATGAGATCCTCCCGGAGGATCACATAAAGAGGTCAGCGCACTGTGACCTGACTTACGGGGATTACTATATGGAAGCTGCATACAAAGATCAGAGGTCCAGCAGGGAGAGTGGGGACAATGAGTTTTGGGTGGAAATTCTGACAACACAGGATTAAAACACTGAGGATGTCCCTTTACATCGAGAAAGTGCTGAATAAACATCCTGAAGGAGGTTGGTGGATTTTAATAAAAATTAAAAAGGGAGTCTTTATTAGACTATAATAATTCTCCTGTGTTTTTCTGCATATTATTTACATATAATGCAACTCATCTTCAGTCAGGACTTCAGGGACACTTGTGCCAGCAGACCGGTACCCAGAGAAATAAGTGAAGAACAGAGTTTACTGTAAATTTAAATATTAAACAAATGGACAGATATTTGTATGTTCTACCAAAAAAAAAAAAGAAAAGATTATTTATTGATTCATTTCTAAAATATTAAAGGAAGTACAAGTTTTTCCAGGAAATATTAGAAAAAGAAAAACATTGAGAAAGTAGTAACTTCAGTTTGTGAAGGGGTAAGAAAATCTCCAAGAAAAAAAAAAAAGATAGAGTTTGGAAGATAAAAAGGAGACGGACATTGTGACTTTTTCATGGCTAACCTGCCAAAATATACATAACATCAAAAAGTGTTGCAATTACAAATGTTGCTTTTTCTTGTTTTTATTCAAGTGGAAATGAACAGTGTCCTGTAACCCTCAGAGTGAGACTAGAGTCAGAATGCAGGCTTTTCTCATTTGAAATCTGTAAGTACTTACTATTGTCACAATGGGTGGACAACAATTTGGGTGTTTCCCCATGCAATAATTTGCATTCTTCACAACATGTCTGATATAATTAAATATTTCTAATATCTATATGTCAGATACTATACTAGATACTGAGGATATTCAGATAATTTAAATACATTTTTCCCTCAAAGAATTCACATTCTCTCTAATTAAACCCCTATCTAAGCCACTAACAATAATACACTATGATAAATATGGTATAGAAATTGCCTTTTGAAAAGTCTAACAAAACTACCTCTACCATATCTTCTTAAAGTTAGGAAAGTTTTAAGCCTTTAAGCTCTTCTCTATTTCCCAAGATGAGGCCTATGACAAGAAAAAACAATCTTTTTACAGCTGATCTAAATATCTCCTATATAGGAAGTATTATATAATTTGAACCCAATTATCCAAAGATAAAAAGTATAATTCACTACTCTATGTCCTTATGTATGAGATGGGATCATTTCAGTTCATTTAGTCAAATTTGGTGACATATACAGAGGTGTACTTAAGTGTTAAGTGCTTGAATAGAGTTATCTGTTGTGGGCTGATTCCATAGGCTGCCTTTATTTGAAATGCTAATTATCTTAAAGCAGATTTGTATGTTTTTCTGTAAAGATTGTATGTTTTAGAAACACAGTTTGAGCCATAGTTTATAGAAATCCATGTAGTGATGAACTATTTAATGGTGAAATACTATTTCTGTTAAGATGTACTCTTTTCCACAGAAATCTGTTAGGTCTAACAAACTGAGGCTTTTCTTCTTCAGTGATAATTTTTCCAATGGAGCTCAGAGTGTAGCAACACATCAGACTGTATTAGTCCATTCTCATGCTGCTAATAAATACATACCTGAGACTGGGTAATCCTTAAAGGAAAGAGGTTTAATTGACTCACAGTTCCCCATGGCTGGGGAGGCCTTGCGAAACTACAATCATTGTGGAAAGGGAAGCAAACATGTCGTTCTTTACATGGCAGCAGCAAGGAGAAGAATGAGTGAAAGACAGAAAAGCCCCTTATAAAACCATCAGATCTTGTGAGAACTCACTCACCATCATGAGAACAGCAGCAGGGGGGTAACCACTCCCATGATTCAATTACCTCCCACCTGGTCCCTCCTGTGACATGTGGGGATTATGGGAACTACAATTCAAGATGAGATTTGGGTGGGGACACAGCCAAACCATATGAGACTGTGTTTGATTGAAGCAAAGGCTGTTTACCCTGGCATTAGCTCTGTTCAAAAACTAATAGGAACAATTGGGTGGCTAAATTCAATTTAGGCAGAAATCTATCAGAATTTAGGAATAGAATTTTCCCTACATGAGGTTTAGTTACTTAAAAACATTTGTAGCCTTTTGTTTTTTTCATTTCCTCCCCCAAATAAAAGTGCTAAGACATTTTCAGAATGGCACAGGCTTTGTGATCATGGTACAAAAAAAGTATGTTCAAAAATATATGTGCTGTTACATTTGCTTATTTACTTCAGTCTGGAAAAAAATAAATGACTTTGGGAACTATTAATCGATGTCTCTCCTGATCAGTGATGTCAGGCCCATAGCTAAAGTAACTTCATCAACTTAAATACATATCTTTGTACATATATATTATTTTTTAAATGCCTCTTGAGTTCTTTCTTTTTCTTTTTCTTTTTTTTTTTATGTGAACATTCACTTTGAAGAAAACAGGTGAGAAATAACATGGAAAGTCACAGCAGAGAAGTAACTAAATAGGGGGACTTGGGACAAAGAATGACTTTACCTGTAATGTGATGCAACTCTAAAAATGGGAGTGAGAATAATGAAAGGGATGTCACAATATTTTTTTTTTTTTGAGACAGAGTCTCACTCTGTCACCCAGGCTGGAGTGCAGTGGCACCATCTCAGCTCACTGCAAGCTCCATCTCCTGGGTTCATGTCATTTTCCTGCCTCAGCCTCCCGAGTAGCTGGGACTACAGGTGCCTGCCACCATGCCCGGCTGAGTTTTTTGTATTTTTAGTAGAGACGGGGTTTCACTGTGTTAGCTAGGATGGTCTCAATCTCCTGACCTCATGATCTGCCTGCCTCGGCCTCCCAAAGTGCTGGGATTACAGGCGTGAGCCACCACGCCCAGCCAGGATGTTACAATTTTTTAAGAATGGAGAGGTAAGACAAATATATAGCACTCTGAAAAATAAAGCAATCTGTCTTCTCTTACAACACAGTAAACTAAACTAGAAATAATAACAGAGAGATAGCTTGAAAATCCCCAAATATTCAGAGATTAAACAACACACATCTAAACATGAGTCAAGAGAAATTTTAAAAGTATTTTTAACAAAATTAAAATGAAATTGCAGCTCAACAAAACTGGTGGGATGCAGCAAAAAGAGTGTTTAGGGGAAATTTATAGCATTGAATGCCTATATAAGAAAATAAGAAAGATCTAAAATTAATAACCTAAATATCTACTTTAGGAAATTAGGAAAAGATGAGCCAATTGAATACAAAGTAAATAGAAGAAAAGAAAGAATAAAAATCAGAGCAAAAATCAATAAAATTGAAAACAGGAAATCAATAAAGAATATCAATAAAACCAAGGGCTGGGACTTTGAAAAGATTGATGAAGCTAAAAAATTTTAGGCAGGCTAACTAAGAAAAAAAAAGAGGATACAAATTACTAATACCAGAAATGAAAGAGAGGACGTTACTACAGATTCAATGGACATTAAAAGGATTATAAAAGAATAATATCGTAAACTCTGTGCCCACAACTTTGATACCTTAGATGATCTAAATAGACTGATATCTATAAAATAAATTGAATCTAAAATCAGTAACCTTTCAAAACAGAAAGCATTAGGCCCAAATGGATTCACTGGTGAATTGTATCAAACAAGGAGGAAAGTATACCAATCCTCTAATAATCTCTTTCAGAAGATAGAAGCAGAGGGAATACTTCCTAACTTATTCTCTGAATCTAGCATTACCTTAATATCAAAGGCTAATAAAGACATTACAAGAAAGGAAAACCACAGACCAGTCTCTCTCATGAACATAAATTCAAATATCTTCAACAAAATATTAGGAAGTCAAGTCCAGCAATGTAGAAAGAGGAATTATATACCATGATCAAGTGAAACTTAGCCCAGATATTCAAGGCTGGTTTAATAATCAATCAATATAATCTATCACATCAACAAGCTAAAGAAGGAAAATCATATAAGCATATTAATAGATGCAGAAAGAGCATTTAAAATAATTCAACACCTGTTCATGATAAAAATCCTCAACAAACTAGGTATAGAGGAGAATTTTTTCAACTTGATTTAAAAAAGCAACCTACAGCTAACACCACACTTAATGATGAAAAACTAAAAACTTTCCACTAAGATCAGAAAAAAGGCAAGTATGTTTCCTACTATGATTCAAATGGGTCTCCCAAATATCTTGTGTTAAAACTTAATCCCCAAATTTATATGTTGATTGGAGTTAGGGCCTTTGGCTGGTAATTAGGATTAGATATGGTCATCAGGGTGGGGCCCACATGATGGAACTGGTGGCTTTATAAGAAGAGAAAGAGAGACCTAATTTGTCACACATGCTCTTGCCTTCTTGCCATGTGGTAACTTCCACCGTGTTATGAAGCAGAAAGAAGGATCCTATGAGAAGCTCAGCACGTGCTGGCACTGTGCTATTGAATTTTCCAGCCTCCAGAACTGTAGGCCAAAATAAACGTTTTTCCTTTATAAATTACCCAGCCTGAGGTATTCTGCTACAGCAACAAAAAACGGACAAGGTATCCCTTCCCACCACTACTATTCAAGATTTTACCAAAAGTTCTAGCAGATGTAATAAGGTAAGAAAAGAAAATGAAAAGTATATATACTGGGAAGAAAGACACAAAACTGTCTTTGTTCATAGATGCATGGTTTTCTGTGTAGAAAATATGAAAGAGTAGACAAAAAAATTTCTGAAACTAGTAAGTGATTATAGCAAAGTTGCAAGGTACAAGATTAATATGCAAAAGTTGATCTCTTTCTAATATACAAGCAATGAACAAGTGAAATTTGAAATTAAAAAAACACATTTATATTAGCACCCAAAAATAAAATATTTAGGTAAAAATCTAAGACAAGTACAAGATCTTTATGAGAAAAACTACAAATCTCTATTGAAATAAATCAAAGAAAAACTAAATGAATGGAGATACATTCTATATTCATGACTTGAAAGAATCAATATTGTGAGGACGTCAGTTTTTTCCAGCTTGATGTACAGGCTCAATGCAATCACAATAAAAATAACAGCAAGTTATTTTGTGGATATCAACAAAATGATTCTGAAGTTTATAAGGAGAAACAAAAGACCTAGAATAGCGACACTATATTGAAGAATAAAGTCAGAGGACTGACACTACCAACTTCAAGACATACCATAAAACTACACAATCAAGACAGTGTGGTGTTGGCAAATAAACAGGCAAATAGATCAATGGAAAAGAATAAAGAGCCCAGAAAAAAACCCACATAAATATAGTTAACTAATCTTTTATAAAAACGAATATAATGGACAAAAGATAATCTCTTTAACAAATGGTGCTGGGACAATTGGACAACCACACATAAAAAAAAAAAAGGAATCTAGAGACAGGGTTACAACCATAGCAAACATTAACTCAAAATACCATAAACCTAGATAAATAAATAAATAACTAAATAAGTAATAAGCCTAAATGTAATATTATATATATACATATAAAACTCCTAAAAGAAAACACAAGAGAACATCTAGATGACCGAGGGCACAGTAATGACTTTTTAGATGTATCACCAAAAATAAAGCCCATAAAAGACATAATTGATGAGCTGGATTTCACTATTAAAAACTTCCGCTCTATGAAAGACACTGTCAAGAATAGGAAAAGACAAACCACAGACTGGGAGTGAATATTTGTAGAAGATATATCTGATAGAAAACTGATATTCCGAATATACAAAGAACTCTTCAGATTAAAATGTAAGAAAACAACTTGATTTAAAAATATGCAAAAGACATGAATGGACACATCACCAGAGAAGATATAATGATGACAAAAGTATATGAAAAGATGCCCAAAATCATTTTTCATTAAGGAATTGCAAATTAAAATAATAATGAGATATCATTGCACACCTATTATAGTGGTAAAAATTCAGAACACCAACAACAAATCCTGGTGAAGATGTGGAGCAATGTGAACTCTCATTCTTTGCTTGGGAAATGCAAAATGGTATAGCCACTTTGGAACACAGTTTGTCAGTTTTTTACGAAACTAAACACACACCTGCCATAAAATGAAACAAGCCAACCAGATTGGTGTTTATTCTCAAGCTGTCTACTTGGGGCAGGGCAAGTGGGTCACAATTATGTTCTTTATTAACAAGCAGTTATTTTTGTTGTGACCCAACAGAATACCTTATAATATTCTGTTATTCTAATTTTTCAGAAGGTACTGAAGAAATTGAGAGATTGTGCTAAACTTGATAGAAGGCAGAACAACCTTGATTTAGCTAGGATTTGAATTTTCATGTGTGGCTTTTTCAAAAGATTTTTAACTTGGCTTTTCTAGTAAGCCTGTGGAAAGGGTCACTTAGTGCTTAGTGAACATCCCCTTATTCTTTAAGGTGATTCCTGCTTTGCCTATCCTCAGAGTGTGGTCAAAAGGCAAACTTTCCCACTTGCCTTTTCTTTAGCAGCTTTGTTAAGGGTGTCAGTGCTGAGAGTTGCTTATTTTTGGAGTGAGTGTTAATGATTTTATATTTTTCCTGTATACACTGTTCCAGCAGTGAGCAGACTCTTAACAAATCTCCAAAATAAACTCATTTACCAAGTCTTTCTCGTATTTGTCATTTTGAAAGATTGAATAAACATCAGTAAAAGAAGCAATCCAAGTTCTCATGCCAAATATGTATATGTCCAAGACCAGGATTTCTTCATGTCTGAATGTGGATATGGAGCCTAGAGTACTAGGTATTTTAAATTTTCATCTTAACTTATTTTTGCTTCTCCTCCTTCACATGCTCCAGTTTGGATGGGCCTTAAAGGTAGGGCTGCTTGCCGCTATACGAAGATCTGCTCTAGCAGACTGAAGGCTGGGCTATGTTCTATTTTATTTGGAAGAAGACTTGATTTCATAGCAGAGAATTACTAATTGTGGCTCAGAGAATCCTTTCCAGATGGCTGTAGGTTGGTCCAAAACACAAAAGGACCCAATTGGTCTAAAGCCTGGATGAGAGTCCCAGAGAGAATTGGATAAAGGTTGGAGGGAATTATTTCTGTTCTGGATCTGCATCTATAGTATCTGTAGAATGAGGCTAAGCTGAGCAAGAGGAGAGGAGAACAGAATGCATCTTTGGTTTCCTCTCCCTTTTTTCCACCCGTATTTTAAGGGAAAGCAATGTTAGGATTTGAAAACTTTTTTTTTCCATGTAACTTTTATTAGTTCATAAAGTTACATTGTGGGTCACTTAGTTCAATGCGGTTTCTCTATTACCCTCTTCTCATCTACGTCATCTACGTGCTTTTCCATAATTCCTCCGTCTCCCCACTTTATCAGACTCTAGTTTCTGTTTCTTTGTATGCAACTGAAACAATTTGAGACCAGACAAGCAATATTACTATGTCAAGTGGCAGGGCAGTGCCTCAAAAAGTTGTGGAGACTCACCAAACTGAAACGTATGACCCTCCTAAAGGTATTCAAATTCTAATGTGAATTTATTGACTAGTAGACAAATCAGAGGGTCAGGTTCCATCTACTGGTCATCTTTTCGCAACTGTTGCTCTGTTTTATTCATATCTCCTTTAATTTTCCCCTTCCACCTTTCTAAAAAATTGTACAAGATAAGGGTGAAGTTTATAATCTTAAAATTCCGGCTCTACCACTTATTTTGTGAATTGGGCAAATTAATCTCTCTGTGACTCAGTTTTCTCATCTAAAAAATGGGGTGATAAAGATATTAACCCATTGAGTTGCTTTGAAGAATATATGAAGTAATACGGATAAAGCTCTGAGAGTAGCACCTAGAACACAGATGTACTATGTAATTTTTTTAAAATAAATATTTGATTTTTTTATGGCCAAGAAGTCTGCTGAAATCTTTTCCTGAATTTCACTTCTCAGCTCACCTGTCTTCCTTCCCCCACTTCTGTGTTCCTGAGTGAAAGGCATACAAGGAATCAACATATGCAAGGAAACAAATAAGGTGCAGATTACCATTTGACTAGGCTAGTGCTGATTTCCCAATGATCAGCTATCTGCATGAAGCTTGCTGCTTAGGTTTGAGGCCTAAAAATTTTCATCACTACCCTTATGGCCACGTTTGAATCCTGTTGTCTTATCACCAGATTCAGATGTTAGGGCTTGGAAGAGACCTAGCATTATCTTTGTATTGTCATATATTTTCGTAAAATTTGCAAAAGTGCAAATGCTTTAGCTACAATCAATCTTTTTCCTTACTGACTCTCCACATTGCGTACCCTCTATCCCAAACTCATTTACCTACACATAAGGAGGCATTAATGTCTCCGCGGGAATGTATTGTGATTCGAATAGGAAGATTGAAGGAACATTTAGTTTGGATTTGTGGAGATATATTTATGAGATGTGTAGTCACTTCCTTGTATAGTTCAATTGTTGTTAACTGTCCCACAGTAGAAATGGTTTCTAACAATGTTTCAAATGCTTTTCAATTCAAAAATGTTTAATGTTTTTTTAAATTAACAAATAAAATCATATTTTTTGTCATGTACAACATGATGTTTTGAAGTATATATACACTGTGGAATAGTTAAGTTGAACAATTCAAATTTTATATGCTTGCAAGAGTATTTAAGAGTAATCACCGCACAAGAATATCTCAATGCCCTGAAATCTTGCAGCTCTTTTATGAAAATACTTAAAAAAATTTTTTCAAAAATTGACAACAATCATAAAAATGTGTATGACATTAAAATAAATGAATATATTATATAATATATGTAAAGAGGTTTTGAAAAGATGTGTGACTCCTCTGTGTTTTTTTTGTTCTAAGACCAATCTAATTTTGATAAAATACTGCAGTATTTACATCATTGCTCAAATTGTATCACATCGCATTGAGTTGCCATGTCTCCTCAGTGTCCTCTGGTGTGTTACAGTTTCTTAACGTTTCCTTGTTTTTCATGACCTTGATAGTTTTGAGGGGTATCAGTCAGGTATTTTGTAAAGTGTCCTTCAGTTTTGGTTTATCTGCTGTTTTTCTTATGATTAGACTGGGGTTATGAGTTTTTAGAAGACTACCACAGAGGTGAAGTGCCCTACTCCTCCCATTGTATTAGCAGGCACTTCATGTGCACATAAGACCACTGCTTCACCTTTATCAGGTTGAGATAGTAGTGCTTGCCAGGTATCTTCACTGTAATTGTACTCTTTTTTCTCATCCATTCACTATTCTTTGGGAGTAAGTCACTAAGTCTAGCCCATTCTTGGAAGAAGGGGTAGGGAAGACTAAATTTCATCTCTTAGAGAGCTTATTTGGGATAACTAAGCTTCATTATTTGCAATTCTTGAATAAAGATGATTTCTCATCATTTACTTATATCCAAATAGACTTGTAATATTTATTTTATATTACATTATTTATTTTTTAGTTGAAATTGTGCCAGTTTTTGCCATTGGGAATTCTTTCAATTGGCTTCTGTGTCCCTTTGACACATCTCTATCCTTTGCTTTTTTTTTTTTCCACTTTCTTACTTTCTGCCACTGTAAGAGATTCCAGGTTCATTTTGTATTTTTCTTGCCCTAACCCTACAATTAACCATTTCTTCAAGGAGCCTTGGTTTACTTGGGTAAAATGGTATTTAGAAACCAAGATCTAGGTGCTGTCTGTGCACACTGCCACTGGGTTATCATTGCTTCTAGGACCTCTCAACCAACACAACTATTATGTATACTATTAGGTGTACATGCATATCTTTAGTTTGTATATATATATATATATATATATATATATATACACACACACACACACACACTATATAGTATATTATGTATATAGTACATACATTTATATATACTAATTTATGTGTACATGAATATCTATGCTTGTTTCTGTATCTATCCATTCGCATCTATAGTAAGCTAAAAATAAGTTCATGCAGATGTCTCCAACTCTGATCCACTACTATGGAGTTTATTTTAGCCTTCCCCTCTTGCTTAGCTATAACTTTATTCTCCAACAGTGAGAAAGGTGACACCCAATATCCATCTTCCTTTTACTTATTTATCCAATCCCTATATATATATTAACCTTTCAGAAGGGCTAACATGTACCTCTATGAGAAAAATAAATGAAAACGAAAACAGAGTACAGTGTTTATGTAACAGGATCTTACTCTGTCACTCAGGCTGGAGTACAGTGGCACAATCATGGCTCACTTCAGCCCCAGGCTCAACTGACTCTTCCACCTCAGCCTTCCAAGTATCTAAAAATACAGATGCGCACCTCACCTGGCTAATTTTTGTATTTTTTTATAGAGAAGAGGTTTCACCCTGTTGCCAGGCTTATCTCAAACTCCTGGGCTCAAGCTATTTCCTCACCTCAGCCACCCAAAATGCTGGGGATACAGGCGTGAACCATCACACCAGGTCTAAAGTTCCTTTTTTTGTCCTTGACTCTACAGTTTCTCTATTTTCATTTATAATTTACATTTAAAGTTTAGCTTTACAGTCAAAACATTGTTTTCCAAAGCTACATAGGTCAGCTCTCTTTACCTCCATCTCATTCAGTGCAAATATATCATATACTTGTTAACAGTTTAATTAATTTGCCCTTCCACATGCTGGTTGATGTTTTAGTTTTCTTAGTTTGCATGCGTTAAAGTTTACTCTTTTTGATGTACAGCTCAATGAGTTTTGACAAATGCATAGAGTCATGTATCATCACCCAGTTCTACTATTTCTTTTAACTCAGCAAGGTAAGTCCAGGTCCTTACCTCCACCTAAAAGTTCTGCCATCAAGGAACATCTGCTCATTATCTTCTGTTCACACATCAAATGACTTCAATGTGATCCCTGGATGTTCTCCAAAGAGCTGAAGGGAAATAAATATTCTTTCTTTATCACCAAATACTTCAACTGCAGAGTGATTGTGCTACCAAGGCCTGAAACTTCGGAAAAACCTGCATAACACAAAATATAAAGTAAGTGCATCTCTGAGGTAATTTTATGAGTATAATATAAAAGAAGAAAGTAAGGACTTATCTTTCAAGCACACAGTTGATGCAGTGTGCGTTTGTTCCATCTTTATTTTCTCGATTTTCCTATTGTATGTATAGCATGTTTACCAGATTGGGATCAATAATATATTTCAAATTGTTTCTATAATTATAATTTAGGCTCCATCATTTTTAGCTATTTTAACTATCAGTGTTGCAAATTCAAAAGAATTCCACTTTATAAAAGCACACCATTAGTAGGCCATCTCATTATTATCTGTATAAATCATTTAAATATATTAGTAGTATTATCTTGGCCAATTGTTTTAGTATATAATTCTTTTGTTAATTCAGCATATTTTCCCACTAATAATATTTTTCTAATTATTTAATTTTGTCTTGCCTTCTATAACATGTTTTGAATCTGAATAATTATCACCTTTCATTTAATTTGTTCCCTTAGAGATAGAGAATACATGGTTGTAACACCTTATAAATCTCTTATTAAATTGATAAAGTTTACTCTTTCCTGGCTTTTTATGGAGATTAACAGAAGATCCTTGAAAACATTTTCTAAAAGCTGGCCTGGAACACAAAGCTCTCAGGTCTCCACATTAAAGTATTTTGCTTTGCATTCAAGGTTGTCAACATGATGTGTGGGCTTCTGCTTTTGCAATTATTTTAAATGTAGTTATTAAGTTCCTTTGGGAAATTGTTTTCCAGCTCTTGCATTTTCTTACATACCTCTTCTTTTATTTAGCCAAGATGCTAAAAGTGTGCTTCTTTTGATAAATATACTTGCTTTTCATTAAAAAATGAAGAAAGATAGGGGTGCATGGAGGCTACAAGAAGATAAAACATAGTGCTCAGAGAAAAGAGAAATTATTATACTTAGCCAAACTTCAATTTTAGAAAGTTATTAGTATTTTATCCCAAAATAAAATTTAAGGTAAGCACAACTTTAACTTAGAAAAATATTCAGCATAATTATTTGCATAATTACTTTCTAGCTTCAAAGTAAAATAGAAGAAAACATGTTCAAGTTTTTATTAGGAGATGGGACTTGTAAAGCAATTTAATAACTTTAAGAATCAAGTATCTTCTGAATGAAATGAAATATGCACAATTTTGTTCTTAATTGTCAAATTAAGGATGTCATCAATCTGATTAAAGGCTTTTAATTGAGTTGTCATCAAAGAGATGAACAAAGGATGGCAAATATCTAGCACAAAGAATACCACTCTTTGATGACATGCCCATGGCCGACATCACTAATTAATCACAGCACCTTTTTCCACTGTTATCAGTGGAAGTTTCCAAATTTTTCTTGTCATGGTCCTGCTAGGCACCAAATGCCCAGCATATAAAGACAAAGAAAAAGTTAAACTTATTTACCATTGATTATATAACTGCAAACTCATCTCCCTGAGTTATCAAATGCATGAGAAACATTCTCTTATGTGGATGTAATTGTAGAGGTTGCATTATTTCTTGACTAATCCCAATAAAACTCATTAAATGTCATGCAATTCCACAGGGTTTATCATGGTATATATTATTTCCACATAGATAATATTATAAATTAACAACAAAACTTCTTACTTAAGAATATGATAAACTTTTTGAAAGATCTGCTATACTGTTCATTCCATGTATAGTAGAGGACTTACCACCACGGACATGGAGATTGAGTGATAAAGTCACTTAACAAAATAGTGAAATACATACATCTATTTTAATGAAACTTAGAGAATATGAGGATTATGAGTAGAATTAATACAGTGAAATAATGAGTATTGATTTACATTTCATAAATCATTACATAAAAGTAATGATTTACATTTACTGGGAGCTATATAAAAATCAACAAATCAATCCACACTAAGTTAGTTTAGCTTCAGTTTTACACCTCCTGGGACAGGAATTGTGTAGCCTACAAAACAATTTATATTTTATCTGTACCATCTAATTAATTAAATGGCCCCAGAGTACCAGACTCACAAATCTCGTTAATAGCTGAATGCGGAAATAAAGGCTGTTCACCCCTACTAGAATAATATTTGCATATCCCCACCTGTGATGGGTAATAAGTACCTGCCACAAATCAGAATTATGAATTTTGTACGCCTAACAAAACCGCAGGGGAAATTATACCTCAGACATTCCATAATAATTGCAGCTAAGCTGTTTAGTGCCATCCACTTATTCTGCCTGAAGTGTTTAAAGCAGCAACAGTTGTAAATGAATTCAGGCACATATTCAAGGGAATGTCTTTTTTTTTTTTTCAAAAAGTTTTTCTGTCTTGCCATATGTAATTATCTTTATGGAAGTATTCAGCTGCGAGTTATAATGCATTCGCATTCAAAGAAGCAAATTAGAAAAAAAAAAAGAGGGTTCTGTCCATCAGACCATTAGATGTGTACTAGAATTCTGTTTTTGAGATTTTGGAACAGCTTAAGGTAGGTTTTGAGGTATTGACACTCTAAACCTTAGGTTGACTAGCTGGAGTGGGATTCTACTTGTTCAGTCTGTAAATTGGTAAAATTAGATTCAGAGTAGATAGTCCAAGAAGTTGTGACATTAAGATGGAGCAAATGCTGGACTAGTAACCCCAGGTTTCAAGATTACATAATGTGGCCCATCTTTAAAATGGTTTTTCTGAGCTCCAGGATTGACTGTGGAGTTCACAGGCTCCTGGGAGGAATCTAGCCTGAGAGCACTGCAATCCTAGACCTTGGGCGGGGAATGATGGGAGTTGCAAAGGGCACATTTATCTTATTGCTAAGCTCATACAGGGGAAGTGCCATGACAGTGACCAGCATAGAGTGTCACACTATAGGAAATAATAAGTACCTTGGTATTAACCATTAATTGCAATGACCATGTTCTGATTAAATATAGTATCTAATTAAATGACAAATAACTCCAATAGGGACAAGACGTAACCTGTTTAGGAGGTATGGAAGTTACTTAACAATTTTGATGGCTGTGAGGTACATTGTAGGGATTAACTAAATACTAGAAGACCTAATGTCACCTCTTGCTAAGTATTGACCTTGAGATCTTGAACAAGTCAATTTCTCTGAAATTTTCTTCCCTCATCTATAAAATGTTATCAGAAGTAGTTTCATCTATTTACTAACTGACCAACAAAATCATCTACTTCTTGAGATGGTTGTGTGCCTCAGTAGTTACACTGTATGCACCTTAGGATCACACTACAAGTGATTGCCACTATTTTATTTTCCCATTAGGGATCTGGCTGATTAGCTGCCTGCCTGAACCAAGTTTCTCCATTAAAGAGACTTTACTACAAATGGGAAGGAAGGGCATAGGAGAGAATATACATAGGAAAGAAATACAATCGTTCAAAGATAAAGAATGTCTTCCTACCTATCTAGGGTGTGTGTGTGTGTGTGTGTGCGCACTTAGCCTGAGTGTGTACATAAAAACTGCTCATTTTAAAAGGGTTTTAAAAATAATTAGGATTTATATATTTTTAAAAGAGTGAGCAGAGTGCAATGAGTCACCAAGAGGTGATTAAGTCAGGTTGTTTGAGGCTCCCTGAGGTGACAGGATGGTCTGTAGGCTTTAGAAAGAAAGCTTATATAGCCTATTACCATGATGAAGTGAAATTTAAAATTACATTTTATATTTGTAAAGGGCTAACAGGCAAGGTCCCTATGGATTGTCAAATACTACATAAAATGCTATAAAAACCAGACCGTAATCTCTCACTAACTTACACATTAGCCTCAGGCAGTAAAGATGGTTTTTATTGGAACCAGATTTTGTGAGGGGAAAAAAAAAAGTTATGCACAGTTTATTCTGGCTTTTCAGGCACTTTGCTTCTTCCTTGAGTTAACATGACGTATTCCAAGTGATTAAATAAACTTATCTAGCAGCTCTTTTCATGCACTTGAAAGAGGCAAAGTAAAGAAGGATTTACTCTGAAGAGAGGTCTTAATTCTATCACTGAAAAGTGTCTCTGTTTTATTCCAATCATTACTATGAAAACCAAGAAAGGCAAGAAAAAATTAAAGCTTCTGAAAAAGCCTTTTGTAGAGAACTGCTTGTACTCCATGTACTATTTCACTTACCACCTTGTACCTTTGAAGATCAAAAGTAATACGTGTGGGAAGAATTCAGAACACATTGGAGATATTATTGTCAGTGCCATGAATGCAACCCAGGAAAATAATAGTTTGGATGTTAGCTCCTTTGTTATCACTGAAGTGCTAAGCAAGTCTGGTCAAATATTTTGATGGACTGGTAAATTTTTTCATCTTCAAGAGTAACTAACTTTGAACAGCTTACGGTCATAGTTACAGCATGTGGCAGATTTATAAATGATCTCTAGATTCAACTGTCAAGCAGTGAGCCTATTGGTGTCTTTGGTTTTGTGCTTCTTTCAAGAGTTAGAGATTTGTAGTAGCCTATAAGCCAGGTGTAAGATTTTATGTGGAGACAAACTTGGGGCTTTTTAGATATGGTTGTTTGACCATTTACAGAGCTAGCTTGAGCAGATATTCAAAGTTCTGATCTCCCCTAATGTTTCAGTTGTGCTGGTTGAGGACTAACCCTCCGTGATTTAGCAGTCAAGGGGTAGAAGGTGGTGGCCAGTGTGAGTCTTGAGAATCCCAAGTAGGTGGCCCATGTTTAATTACATGCCTTAGGAACTCTAGAAAAGTTGGTATGGTAAAAAGCACACATGGCTTTGTTGTCAAACTGACCTTTATCCCAATCTTATACCCATCAATTACTAGCCATGACTTTAGGTAAATTACCTTCTCTGAGCTTCAAGGAGTTCTTTGTTTTTGTTTGTCATCTATAAAGTGATGCCTACCTCAAAATATTTTTGGAAAGATGAAATAAAATCTCAAGTAGAACCAGGGTTAAGTCATCTCACTGGAGCATGGATTTTGTGTATCCCGGAGCCCTAACCTTTAAGAGATAACCAGCAAAACAGAAGCCCTCAAAGTCTGAGACATAGTGGTTAAAAACAAAGATGCTTTTAAAAAGGAAAAAGAAATCAAGTATTCATTGCTATAGAAAGACCTAATAAAATAGAAATTAAAACAATCTCTCCCTCAACTTACACCCTCTCCAGCTACCGTTTTTCACCCCTTTTCCACTAGCATCTTCCTTTACTTTACTAAACTGTCCTCATCAAGGTCAAAAATAAATTTATTGTTGCTAAACACAAAAATCACTTTCTGGTCCTCATTTTATTAGACCTAAAAGTAGTACAGTTTGGAGAGTTGGAAAGGAAGCATTGTACATGGAAAGAGCTCAGAGTGAGTGTTTCGATGATGAATTGTCATCTTAGTAAATGCTTGAACTTGGAAAAGCTATTGGACGATTCTGAGCTCATTTTCCTTACTTGTTATCAGAACAAAAATCCCAGCCTTATTTATGAGGGTCTGCTAAGGACTAAGTTCTGATAACAATGCACGGAAATATCTACAGCTGCTCCTTGACTCTTGATAAGGTTACAATCCTTCAAAGCCATTGTAAGCTGAAATACTTTAAGTAAAAAATGCACTTAATATACGCAACCTAGTGAATATACCCAACCTGCTAAATACCTAGCCTAGCTTAAATGTGCTCAGAACACTTACATTAGACTATAGGTGGGCAAAATCATCTGGCAACACAGTAGAGAACCGGTTGCTCACCCTTGTGATCACAGGATTAACTGGAAGCTGCGGGTCCCTGCTGCTACCCAGAACCACAAGAGAGTATTGTACCTCCTATCACTAGCCTGGAAAAAGATTAAAATTCAGAATTCAAGTATGGTTTCTATTGAATGCATATCACTTTTGCACCCTCATAAAATCAAAAAATTGTTAAGTTGAAACATCGCAAGTTGGGAACCATCTGTAGTATCATGCTTGGAATGCAATAAGTGTCCAGTGAGTTATTTGGCTTTCCGTTTTTCCTGACACAAAATGCAACCACATAGCAGCCACCTTCATTTTCTTCTACCTTCTTATTGTGCAAGCTCCTCCGGATTAAAAAACATATTTTAAATATCCATAATCTACAGTCGTTGGCATAGTGTTGGAAATAAAGTGCATGTTCCATAAATTCTTACTGGTTGAATGAAGACAAAAAATAGTTTACTGATACAGAGAAGTTCCCATAGAGGCAATATTTGGTGGTTTCCTTTTAGTAGACAAATGTTTGTGAAGGATAGTTTTGGATTTATCATGGGAGGTTGATGACACCAAATCAGATACAGTCTGCCCTCTGTATTCATGCATTCTGTATCTGCATATTTGGGGAAAAAATAAAAATAATAATCCAAATAAAAAATTAATATAGTATAACAATTACATAGTATTTACATTACTTTAGATATAAGTAATGTAGAGATGATTTAAAGTATATGTGAGGATTGCATAGGTTATAAGCAAACACTACATTATTATAAGAGTCTTGAGCACCGGCAGATTTTGGTATCTGTGGGGTCCTGGAAGCAATCCTGCATAAATACTGTGAGAAAACTGTATCATGAAAAGACTATACATTGATAATCAATAATATATTTCAAGCCTTTATTATGGACACATTATAGTAAGTGCTTTATTGCATTACTTCATTTAATCATCATTCAATCTTCAAGAAAACTGCTTTATCCCCATTTTACGAAAGAAATGATTGCTTACACAGTTAGGCAAGCAGCCGAGATTACACACCGTCTGAGAGGAGACCTGAGTTTAAACCCAAATCTAGCTGTTTTACACAGACTATGATCTTAGCCATTATGCTATGTGTCTGGATCCCCACCAAATACAAGTTCTGAATAGACGACCTACACGGCCCTCCCTGCCATGGCTGCTGCCAACTTTGGCTTTTCACGTGAGCCTTCCCCTTCTCTTTTACAACCATACTAATCCTAATCTCCTTTCATTTTTTTTGGTATAAATTTATGGGGTACAAGTATAATTTTTTTACATGCATAGATTATGTAGTGGTGAAATCAGGGGCTTTTAGGCCATCACCCAAATAACATGCATTGTACTCATTGAGTAATTTCTCATTCTCTCCCACTCTCTCACCCTCCTTAGTCAGCAATGTCTATCATTCCACACTCTATGTCCATGTGTACTCATTATTTAACTCCCACTTATAAGTGAGAATATGCAGTATTTGTCTTTCTGGGTCTAACTTGTTTCACTTAAAATTAGGGCCTCCAGTTCCATCCATGTTACTGCAAAAGACACTATTTCATTCTTTTATGGCTGAATAGTATTCATTGTATATAATCTCCTCCACATGAGCTGTCTTGAATATGTTTCTTCTTGCCACTGAACCACCTGATTACTCTTCTGATGGAAGGCAGAATGGCAATGGTTTGGATGGAGTATGAGCCTGAAGCCAGGTGAAAGCTAATGATAATATGTATGACTTTGAGCAACTCAGTCTTTGGATGACATAATGATAGATACTTACAAGATTATTTTAGTGACAGAGATAATGATGCAACACACTTTAAACAGCATTGATTATTAAAATGATGAATACTTTTATTCTAGTTTCAAGGTTTCTAGTTGAAATTATGGTGTGAAGTTTGGTAAACCTTTTAATGTTCATTTTAGTTGTACCCAACATAAATGCTTGTTAATATGTTTCCTTATATATTGTGTCTTCAAAAGAGAAGCAAGATATGAAAATCAGTAATTGAAATTGGCATGTAAATGGGAGGAGCTTTTTTAGGGATTGCCAGGGGAAAAGGCCACATATGAAACATTGATTTATCTGCTTTTGTAAAAGACCAGAGAAATAAAGCAATAACTTTTGAGATTAAAATCAAAATACATATTAAATTGTATTTGAGCATTATTTTGGCCTGAGACTGAAATTATTTTCTTTAACCCATTCAGTTTTAATTTATGTCAGATTCAAATTTGGTAATACATTTTACTCATTGCTATTTAAATTCATGACAAATTGCATGTGTGTATATATATATATATATATATATATATATATATATATATATATATATATGCCATGCATGCTGTATATATATATATATATGCCATGCATGCTGTATATATATATATATGCCATGCATGCTGTTATGTTTTGGAGAATATTATGAATTCAAAATGGATATCCTTGTTAAAATATAATAAACTTTTTTTTCTATTTCAAAAACATATAGTTTATAAACTGTGACTGTCTTAATAAATGCTGGAATTCTCCCATAATCGTCTTAGGGATTTGTTTACCTAAGATTTTCACACACTTATGACTAAATCAGGAATTACTAAGACCAGGCCATATATCAGCAAAAAATCCTTATAATCAGTTGGGCTGTGAATCTTTCCAACTAGATGTTTTTAATTTCTGCAACAGATTTTTCAATGCATAATCTCACAGCTTTGTTAAAGACTGGTTAAGCAAAACCTGAAGTATATGAAAGGTGGTTTCTATGTCTATGTGTAGGGTAAGTAGATCTTTGGAAGGTTCACCCAGTTTTTTAAAAATCTAATCATCAATCACATCTCTACAAAAGGCTTCTTCTGTTCTTCTTTTTCTATTTTTCAAGATTCATTTCCATTATCAAAGATATTTAGTACTTCTATAAGATTTACCACATTAAATAATTAGTACAACCTTCTTTACTTGGCATTTAAGAACACCCAGATTACCCTGCAAAATATACAGAATGAACAACGGAAGTGGTCTTTCAGGAGACACAAAATAATATATCCTTGGCTACTAGGATCATCACTTTGCTGTATCATATTGCATAACTAATTTTTTTGAGTCTTTATTTTCTTAAGTGTAATGGAGGATTTCTAAGGTCTGCTATAGATCTTGAAGTCCATTTGTCTCTGACTTAACCCTTTCAGACGTATTTTCAACGAGTTCCCTACATGTTTCACTAGTTCCAGCTAAACCGGACTACCTACTAATTCATGCATGTGCCCATTATCTTTTCTGTCTTCTATTCTTTTGGCATTACTGATTTCTTTCTACAAAAAGTTCTCTCCCATTTCTGTCATTTCAAACCCTTCCAGTTCTTTACAATTCCTTTCTTACCATCCTCCACCATCAAACCCTCCCAGATTTACAACCCGTGATGATATAGTCTCTGAAATTTTGCTCGAAACTCTTTTACTGATGCCGTATGCAGACTTTGGTTACATTGTTTCTCGTTTCATCTTATCTACTAGGCTTGGAAGAAAGGCATTCTTCTACTGACTTCTGCATTTTTTCTGTAGCACCTAATAGTACATGGCGCATAGTAGGCACTCAATCAAGTGTCTGTAGAATGGGAAGTCTGGTCTATTATTCTGACACAATGCAAATGGTAAAATGATCTCCTGTTAAAAAAAAAGCTTTTGGCCATTTATTCAGTATTCATTTAGTGCATCATTTTTGATTGTTCAAAGATGCAGTTTAATACTCTTTTTTATTATACTATATGAGTATTAGCTCTCCCCTGACAGTAAGACAGGGAGAAAGATGATGCCATTTGGCTCTTTCTTTTCTCCAAGCTATTATGCAAAGAATAAGCTCTAAGTGATAAGGTCATACCCCTGTGTTCAACAAAAAACCAGGTTGCTTCTTAAACATCTCAGACCATTTCCTGTAATCAGTTAACAAATTCTGCCTGATTAAAATGTGCACAATTTTCCATTTGCTTAATTTTTGTTAAAATTTTTGGATTAAACTATGTAAGAAATTTTTGTCTGTTCCTCCTTTCCTGCAAAAACATTATTCCTTCATAAATGAATCTCTAATTGGAATTTAAATGGTCATTTTCCAATAACTAAAGCTTTCTCCATGGATGTTAAAGCAAAGGCAACCCACATTTCCTACTATCCCTTCACCCTCAATATTATGATGGAAGCTCTATAGATCCAGCGGATTTTGGCAGAAGAGGTCTAGTTGAATCATCTCAAAGCCCTGGAGTTTTGGGCCTCTGGCTATTACGACTGAGCAGCTACGAGTATGCAGAAATTGATGCTTTGTTTGCCCTGAATCCCTGTGCCATCTGTACCACACAGAAAGCACTGTGAACTTAGTCATTAAAAATGAATATTTAACAGTTCACTTTTGACATGCATTTTTAAAATTTAAATTAAACTTTTTTTTTTTTTTAGTTTTTATTTGTACCTTCTCAAATTTCTTGGTCCCAGCTGTCCTGTGTATCATTGTGCTGGCATCATTCTGTATTGACCTTGGTAAAATCAGCAATTATAGATTATCAAATAGAAATCCTCTTTTAACCCTTGAATCATTTTCATGATAAACAATCAGGACAGTCCCATGTCGCTTCAAGATTTGCTCATTTGTGTTTACTAAAAAACATCAGGGTTGGAATACATATACAGGAGGTTTATAATGCCTCTTTTTTTGTTATATTTGTTGATCTCATGTGCTTTAAACCATTTATTTTTTTCAGGTCATTGTAGCCTTGTGATGAGTTAAAATTAATGTCTTTTCATATATTGTTTAATAAATGTACATTGAACGATAATAGTTCTGAACCATTATCGAAGTGGTAGCATGCATGCATGATTTCTCTACAGAGATCCTCTAGGTTGAAGACATTTATGACAACATAATCATTGTAGTGTAATATGTAATACCTATAAGCAATTTTTACTAAGATCAATGACTGTTGCTGGTCCCAAGACTGAGAAATTCTTAAGAACATCTCTATAGTGAAAATTAAAATAGTGCAGTCTTTTCATATTTAAACATTAAAACAGAATTTAGAGCCCTAAGCCTTCCAAACCTTGTAAAAGGACAATAGTGAGGTGTCAGAGGGAGAATGAGATCTGCCCATTCTTTCGAGCACCATATATGGCACTTCACAATCTCGCCTTGCCTAATAATAAAGAGTTTAATCCTGTAGCTACAACCTGTTGAAAATTGCTTTAGTCCAGGGCTTGTCACCCTTATTCTTAACATATTTTGGGCTGGATAATTTTTACTGTATGTTCTTATGCATTGCAGAATGTTTAGCAGCTTCCTTGGCCTCTACCCATTAGGTTCCAGATGCTAGTAGCACCACCTTCCCAACTCATGACAAATATATATATATACACACACACACACAAATATATGTATGTATATATACACATACATGTATATGTATGTATATATACACATACATGTATATGTATGTATATATACACATACATGTATATGTATGTATATATACACATACATGTATATGTATGTATATATATATACACATACATGTATATGTATGTATATATACACATATATGTATATGTGTGTGTGTGTGTGTGTGTATATATATATGTATCCAGACATTGCCAAATATTCTCCAAGGGGCAAAGTTGCTCTTCACCCTCATTTGTGAACCACTGTATTAGATCCAATACTTACCCTTTTATAATTCCCTGCGTGCCCATCAGTCAGGATTCAGAAAGTTTTCAGATGTTTTAAAAGAAAGAAATTCAGTGTTTACAACAGACAACAGAAATTTTTCAGGTGTTTTATCAGAAAGTAACTGAGTGTTTACAACACTGTAGGAAGGGCTAAAGAAGACGAATTCAAGGGAGTCCCATCAGACTAGAATTTTAAGGGCATGTCAGTAAAAACTGTGAACCACATTAAGGAAGCTGCTACTCCCCCTGCCATTGCCACAGCTGTCTCTCACAACCACAAAGTTTCTGACCAAAATTGGGAATTCAGTGCTTGTATTTATTCCCACCTTAATTCCTAGAACCAGCAGAAGCAACAATATCCCAACCACATCACCCTTTCAAGCCTCTCAAACTTGTATATCATTCATTAGTTGAATTTAATTCACAGACTTCTGGTTTCAAGGAAGTTTCTAGCCCCTGCAGTACACATAGAAGATAAAAATGGAGAGTGAGAATAGATACTGTGGGCTAAAATATCATATCCAGCATACGATGCTGTGGCACATCTGCTTGTTTTGGGCTTGTAGTACCCTCTGCAGAGATGTGCTTCATTTGTTCATTTATTAATCTGTTTATTCAATTATCATTCAGTCACTCTTTCAACAACTACTTATTGAATACAGTGTTAGGACTCTTCCAGGTGCCAATAACTTGAATTAGTTTATTAAAGCATGTTAGTGGGGAAGGCAAGGAGTTAAGAGGGTATTAAATATGGTAGAACTAGGCTCATAAATGCCTTTGTGACTCTTCTGTTTTTTCCTTTCTCTCCTCCTTTCTTTGTACTTTTCCTCTAGTTTTCATCATCCTTTTCCTAGAATGGGCTTTTTCAAAAGGTGCAAAACCTAGAAGTTCCAGATTCACACTCTACCAACTTCACAACTACACAATTATTTTTTCAACAAATACATATTGAGAACTCACTAAATGTTTATCATTTTGTGTCTTAGTTCATTTTATACTGCTATAACCACACAGGATGCCACAGACTGGGTCATTTATAATGTACATAAATTTATTCAGCTTATGGTTCTAGAGGCTGAGAAATCTAAGAGCATAGTCTCAGTGTCTTACAAGGGCCTTCATAATGTGTCATCCTATGGCAGAGGTGGAAGAGCAAGAGAGCACGTGAGAATGCAAGAGAGCATATGAGAATGCAAGAGAGCATAAAGAAAGCTAAATTCATCCTTTTATCAGAAACCCATTCCCTCAAGAACTAACCCACTCCCTTGATCATGGCATTGATCTATTCATAAGAGTAGAGCCTTCATTACTCATTCATGCTTAAAGGTCCTCACTTCTCAACATTGTTGCATTAGGGATTAAGTTTCCAACACATGAACTTTGAGGAACACATTCAAACCATAGCACTACATAGTTGCTGGGTATAGGATGAGAGAAACCTGAAAAGAAAGCGCTCTCTTTCTATACATAAAGTTAATAAAGAATAAATGAGTAACCAAGAAGAACCTTAGTTTTTACAGCTTGGGCCATGGGCTTTTTCTTTGATCATGCATTGTGGCCAAGGAATAGAGTATTATGATTGCCCCAGTAGCGGTCAAATGTCTAATCACTTAGACCTTTCAGTTAGAGAAGAGGGTAGGTAGCAGAGGCCAAGGTAGGAGGATTACATGACATGACTATCAGGGGAATTTCTGGGAGACAGAAGGCTGCTATATTTGTGTCCACTACAACTATCTGCTGTGTATTAGGCACTATGCTAAGTGCTGAGGATACTGTAGTGGGTAAGACAATGTCCCAGGAAAAGTTTTCTGTTAAACCTAATCCACCAGACCTGACCACTCCCTCCTCTGGGGTACCAGTAGTTTGTGTATATTACTAACATTATTATTTCTTCTTATCTAACTTCCGCAGAAGACTGTGAAATTGAAGCCTCTGACATCTCACTCCAGCATCCCACCTGGCATGTAGATGTGATTCCATGAATGTGCATTGGCTAAATGTTGAAAGAATGAAAGAACAAATGATAGCTTGATTAAGCAAATGAATGAATGTCTCTCTTTCATACTGAGAGAACGGTAGATGAGGGCTTAGCTTTCTCCTTTCCTGAAGCAAGCCTATTGGAGAAGTGTGGCTGGCTCATGCAAAGGGTGATGGAGGGGCAACTGATCTGCTCTGACATGTTTCAATTTAAGCTTATCTTTCCCTCACTCCTTTCCTGTAAGTCTATCTTCTTGGCTATGGGATTTTTATTGAATTTCTGATATGTGAATGAATCACCATAAAAATGTAAGCTCTCTATTGAATAAAATTACACACACAAAATACTCCCAGAAAAATGAGGCAAATAAGTCTCTTCACTGGTGGCTATTTATAAGAACCTCCTCCACCTTTAAAATGCACATATTTCAATAGCCTTAAGTGTTTTTGGTTGAAATTTTAGTGAGAAAGACATATGATCTGTGAGAAGTGGCACTTTATCCTGGTTAACTATAAAAGCATTAAAAAACTTATAATGACTAAAAGTGTTTTAAGTGATTATACAAAATGTCTTCAGATTTCTTTTATCTTTTTTGGGAGGGGTAGCACACAGGGGAGATTGAGGTGAGTATGACTATGATTAAAATCAATGAAGACCATTGCTGGTTTTAACACATGATGACAATATTGTACACCACAGTGACACATAAAATGATATTACCCATAAATCCTTTGCCCTTTCTGATGCTGCTAAGAAAACACATGAAATCATTTTGACTGATTAACAAGGCTATGCTCTGCAGGCACTACTGACCCTGAAGTTACTGGTATTACCTAAAGTATCTGAGGTTATAAATCAGGAGCAGTTTGCATTATTAGAAGCAAAAAGATGTTTCTTAGGAAGGAAGAGAAAGCCAACAATTATTTAGAGTTATTTGTGGTGTGTTCCCACAGTATCATGGATGATATAAGAAGAACAATAAAAGAAATATAAGAAAATATAAGACTACAAGAAATGGAAGAAAATCTGTGATATTAATTCTTAGAAATGAGGTTACTGAAAATTAAACGAGGTATCCCAGATTCAGAGAAAGGCAAACAGTTCTCCATAGGTTAGGTTTTACCTATTGGAAGATCTGTTTATAGTCACTTAGCTGGAACAGGGGGTTCAAATACGGGTATTAATTCTCTACACTTTCTATTATCACTTACTAGTTGCCTAAATCACTCTCATCTTTGAGTTAAACTAGTTAACTCTTGATGGTGGGTTTGTAGTTTTGGTGGAGTACTGTTAGATAATAGAGAAAAGATTAAATAATTTGTGAATTAAACATGGTAAAAGTAAAACAGTACATTCCTCAAAATAAGTGACTAAAAATCAGTAAGAATTATACACATTAGATTGTTGACTAAAGATCAGTAAGAATTATACACATTAGATTGTATCTATTGTTTGGAATCACATAACAACCAATACATTTGTGTTATATTAATTGGAAGGTAAGAAGGCCCATTCTTATCAGCAACCATATATGTACTTCTCATCACTCTCTCAAGACCCTCTACTGAATCAGAAGCAAACACTAGCTACAGAGAGATGTAAGGAGAAGCTTGGGCTATTTGGTTCCAACATGACAATGTGTGAGATGCTTAGAATGACTAAATTATTGTATGGGCATCATTTTGGATAACATCTATAATTAATAAATGAGTTCATAAATATCACATGGAAGTTCACTAAAAAAAATCCATTAGATCTATTTGATATAATTTACCTTATTTTCTTATTAGAAATTACCTTGCTTTCAAACAACAGAAATAAACTCAGATTAATTTAATTAAAATATTGAATTGTTGGCTTTGTCTGAATTGGACTCCAAAATGTATGTCTTTCTTCTACCTTTTTATCTGTATTCTTTACTTTCAATCAGCTTTCCAAGCCAGCTGGTTTGATTTGACAGAGCACCAAACTAGTTTTTTACTTTAGGTATTACAGTTTAAGCATGTGATCATTGTTATTTATGATACATTTATTCATCTGTATAACAAAAGTAATAATATCTGTGTCTCCTAAGGTTCCAGAAAGAATCAAATAGTGGTACGAAAGCACTTTGTTAGGATGTTGAATAAGTATAAGAGATCTATGTTTTCTTACTTTTGATTTTATAGTTCTTAATATAACTATATAATGGAGGTTCTTAACATAACCTCCATTTGTTTTTGGAACCTCCAAACAGGTACCAAGATGAATTCAGAGAATCAAAGGGAAAGAGGATAATTGCACTTCAGAAAGAGTAGGAATTAAGGTGGCTATGGGGACCTAAACTGAAAGAGTGATTAGAGTTTTAGAAGAACTAAGAAAAGAAGAACAAGAAGTTTACAGGAACTAAGCTTTGAAAAGTGTAGGGCACTGACTACCCTCTGTGGAATTTAAAACTTATATGTATAGTCTTACCATATATATCCCTATCAATAAAAGAATAAAAGAAAGCTCAAAAACTTCTCATTTTATTTTATTACGACCTTGGTTTATTTGTGGGCAGAAGAAGATAGAAATTAAATATTTACTATTCTGGTTGATTTTGATGTTCTGCTATCACAAATATTGCCAATTTTCACTACCTCTGCTTTGTTGGTTCTCCAAGCAGATGCTTAGTCTGCCACTAGGCACTGCTGTTAATACGATTCAATTCCAGTGACTTCAAGATTTTTATTTCTCTGTCTTCATGTTTCAGATATGCCACAGAGAGGATCCAGAGAGCCCATCTCCGGTCAGTTATCTGTATTTGTATGTCAACTACAGCATCAAAAAGCATAGGCATGGATACTAAGGACCCCCTCTGTACACCAACGCCAGTCCAAAGGACAGTGTGTCACTGTGAACTGGAAATTCATCTCTCTTCTTCAATTTTTTTCTACCTACTTTATGCTTTATCTCTAAGTTGAGGCTGTTTATGGCCTCATCCTCAATTACCTTGTCCCTCATTACTCCCAGTTAATGGAGATTAAGCTTTGTATCATGACTTCCTAACTAAAATTGAAATCACAAGACATCACATAAATAAAGTTACAAATGGATTAGATAAACATTCATTTTGCTATAAGGTAAATGTAAAAGTGTATTAAAAATAATTCATATAAAGGAGAGGGAGAAGCTTTACTCTGGAGATAGAAGATACCAGAAGATTTCTTCATCTCTAAAATGGGTGCAACTTTCATTCCATTGTTAATTTAGGACAGCTTTTCTTGCAAAAGGAAATCTTGAGGTGGTACTTCAGATGTACTCAGAAGTGAGCCCTGTCAGCTTTTTGTCTGGTGACATCTGTCATTTTCTCTTGTTTACCTTCTGGAACAGCTCTAGTGATGTCTGCTGTCAGTGTCTCTGATATGGTGTTAGTATGAGAATTCGTAACTTCTTCCTCCTTTTTTCTTCTACACATCAGCTTGATTTGCTATTAACCATCTCCTGCTTGTCCCTGACAACCCTCCTGTCACCCCCAGAAGCTGCTATTGCTGATGTTTGCACTGTTGAAAGACCACAGGTGGCAGAGACCTCTCTGGAGCCCTCAGTGCCCAAGTGGCTATTTTGTGCACAGGAAAACACAACAAAACATTTATTTCTCCTCTTTTACACATTCTCATGTGAATATGAAAACAATGCTGCTTGTATCTCGTTACCTTCTTACCCATACTCTGCCACCTGCCCTTTCCATTTCTCTTATACACAAACTGTGAAAAGCTAGATCAGAAGACCAAGAGTAATGCATAAAAATAGCTCATCTTCCACTGGCCATTGTCATATATCCATGTGATGACGGGAACTTTGAGAGCCATCCCACCCGCATGAGAGAAGGCAAGGCCATGTGTTGAGGATAGTAGATCAGAAAGATAGAAACAATCTGAGTTTTTGAAGACATTAATAATCTTTAGAATTCACCAAGCCTAGAAACTTTCTGCTTCTGGACTTCTTGGTTTCAGAGATAATACGTATTTTTTGTTTCTTAAGGCCATTGAGTTGTCATATTTTGCTATATAAAACTGAAAAGATGTCTGGGCATGGTGGCTCATACCTGTAATCCAAGCACTTTGGGAGGCTGAGGTGAGTGGATTTCCTGAGGTCAGGAGTTCGAGACCAGCCTGGTCAACCAACATGGTGAAACCCCATCTCTACTAAAAATACAAAAATCAGCTGGGCATTGTGGCATGTGCCTGTAATCCCAGCTACTCAGGAGGCTGAGGTGGGAGAATGGCTTGAACCTGGAAGGCAGAGGTTGCAGTGAGCCTAGATCACACACTGTACTCCAGCCTGGGCAACGGAGCAAGACTCCTTAAAAAAAAAAAAACCCTGAAAAGACAGTAAATAATGGTCACATAACAAAAATGCACAATCTAGATGGAAATAAGAAAATTTTAATTATTAATTTGTTGTTCTCTTCTAGGCTTTTATCTCAGGAGAATCAGCTTGTCATTGGATAATTTCCCATCCTCTGTCTAATGATCTCTAGCTCTTTGATACAGTTTTAATTTTAGTTAAAGAGACATATATACACTTCAGTTATGGTAACACCACTTCTCCAACTAAGTGTTCCTTTAAAATTTTTATAAGTACATTTACGATTTTTTTTAATGTCTAGTGCATTAAAATGTTTAGGGAGAAATGGAAAGAGAAGGCAGCATTCAAGCAAATTTCATTTTGTCTCCCAAAGCCATTAACAAGTGGATGGAATTATTTTCATACACTGTAAGTTCTTCTTCTTTGATTAGAATGGTTTCTGAGTTGCTTTTTCTCCTTACTCTTAGGATAGTGACCATAGCCAAGATGTAACTATAACATTATAATAAAATTTTATTATTTAATAAATAATACATTTTTAAACAACTTAAAAATCTTTCAAGATGTCAGAATGAATATATGTTTTTCTTCATTATCTCTATGGGCATTATTTCAAATAAAACAAAATAGATATATAAAGGCATAGCCAAAAATCAAAGGAGGGAGTAGATGGGAAGAGAATACATCAATCTATGGTTGCTCTTTGAAACTGTTCCTTCTGGAAAAACAGACAAAAACCATATTGGGGATTGGGAGCCAATAAAGCAGAAATGAGAAGGATAAAGTCAAGGACACTTTTGAAAATTTTAGCCAAGGATGAAACAGATTTTTCACTGCAGAAGATCAGTAGGGCTTGGAAGCTGGAAATACTATGTCTATGAAGAGTAGGAATGAGATAGAATTAAAGTCTGTAGAAGAATCAATCGACCTCTTTCCCTCTTTCCTATGTCTGTGCACAGATTGCCTGGCATACAGGGATTTAGCCCACATGCAGAAAAGCAAAATGACAGCAACTTTAAGTGAGGTTCTTCAATTAAACTGAACCACCTCCTTGAGGGAGAAATAGGGTAGCTAGTGTAGGAGATGGCACCCCAGCATTAAACAGTCTGTCACTGACGTGTCTGAAAATTTACTGCCAGCTCTCTGCTCACTTAAATTAAGCCAAGTCTGTCAAGCCCTTAACAGTATTTATGGTCAGATTTTTTGTAGTCTCTTAATTAAATGGACAACAAGAATCTCTAGACATTAGGGGAAATCCTCAGTGCAAAGTATAATCATCCAAATACTTATTTTAAAGAAAGAGACAAAAAGAAATCCTCCCCACAGGAAAAACAAATATTTTGGGAATAGAACAATATTTAGAAAACATCCTAATTAATGTCTCTAGAGAAATTTAGAAGATAATACTTTAATAAAATGAGAGCAGGTTTACTTGAAAGGAGAAAAAATACCAAATACTAATAAGAAAGCACATTTGAATTTGAACATGTAGGTATTTACATAAATATCATATCTGTATATCTCTGTCAATCTGTCTGTAAAATGATAAAGTGAAGAAAATCTCCTGAAAAATACATCAGAAATACCAAAAGACAGACTTAATAAAATCTAAAGTAAAAGACACAGATAACCTTGTGAATCCAATGTCAGACTAATAGGTCTTCCAGAAGAGCACTGAAAATTCTAAAATTATGGCTGAACAACAAGACTAGAAAGCTAGCTGGAGTGAAAGAATTGGGGAAAAAAATTGCATACATCATTTAAAATAAGAGGCCGATTGAAAATATAGTAAAAGGATTCTGTGGGGTAAAAACAAATTCCTTGAATGTAACTCTAGGAATATTCTCCGTGAGTGGAAAAGTGAATCCTGAGAGGAGAACATATAGTCCTAGCACATTACTTGTCTCTTTAGTAATAATTATTAAATAGTCATAATACAAATGCAGCATATTTATTTACAATTTTAAGAAGCCATCTATAGGCTAGGCGCAGTGGCACATGCCTGTAATCCCAGCACTTTAGGAGGCCGAGGTGGGTGGATCACTTGAGGTAAGGAGTTTGAGACCAGCCTGGCCAAAAAGGTGAAACTCCGTCTTTACTAAATAAATAAATAAATAAATACAAAAATTAGCTGGGTATGGTGGCACACACCTGTAGTTCCAGCTACTCAGGAGTCTAAGGCAGGAGAATTGCTTGAACCTGGGAGGTAGAGGTTACAGTGAGCCAAAATCGTGCCACTGCACTCCAGCCTGAGTGACAGAGCGAGACTCCATTTCAAAAAAAAAAAAGAAAAGAAAAGAAAGAAATCATGTAAGACTTCATTCACTCTCACAACACAGTGTTAGGGCTTCCAGCTTCTACTGGAATATAGAAATTTGCAACCCATCTGTCATTTCTGTTGTAACAGAGAAACTACGAAATACAAATTATCTAGTTTTAACACTGTTAGAGAACTGTGGTCATAAAGAAGTCTAATGGAAGTATATCTTAAGGATAAAACATTTCCAAGTAAGCAGGGTTTATTTGCCACTTTCCTCCACATGGCCTGCCTAGTTTAGGTTTGGGCAGGCTGAAAATCAGACTGCCATGGGAAGAGCCACTTTTCTTGGTTAATGAGAAACAAGAGGATTTAATGACATGGTGGGCTCGCTGGCTGACATATTAGGGCTATGGATTCCCAAACACAAAGCTAATTATCTCTCCTTGCCGATCTTTTTCCCATTGGACTTTTGTTGGGTATTTGGCTATGGCAGCATGGAAGATAAGAGTCTGGGCTGGAAAGCAATAATAGCCTTCTGTAGTATCACAGTTCTTAGATCTTGCAAGAGGGAAGAGATTGCAATGCATGCAGAATGGATCTTACCCTGAAAATATTTGAAACAGGAGGTAAGTTGAAGCTAACTAAAGCTGCAACCAAGACCCATCTGAGTTCAACTGTTTGGACCTAAAGTGGTCATTTTCTCAAACCAGTTGCCGAGTTGCTTAGTTCCTATCTGGGGAGCAATGTTTATTTACTTTACTTCATAAGGATCTTTTAAATACTATATCTAGTTAAAAATAAATAATTAGATATTCAAAGATGCAAGACAAAGTAAATACTAATAACAGAAAAAGCAGTCATAGAATTATATTCAGATGTTGGAATTAGTAGACAAGCTATTGAAAGAGCTACCAAATATCTTAGAGGAATACATGAAAAATGGACAAAAAGATAAATTTTAAATTGAATTTTAAAAAGGGAACAAACTGGGCATTTTAGAACTAGAAAATATAAAACCTGAAATTACAAATTAATTGGATGGTTCAATTTCTGGGAAAATAGAGTGGATGTACTTTTCTACATTCTTCTCACTAAACTAAAAGCCCTGGACATTGTATAAAAAGCAAACATAAGAAGACTTGAAAAGGTGGAGAAAAGAGGGTAGACTGGCTTAGAGACTTTGAGAATAACACAATGATTAGTTTCTTAGCTTTCTTCTTGCCTCCTATATTCTAATCTTGGAGCTGCAGAAGCCAGTATCTCAGAAACACAATAGGTACAGACAAAAAAAAATAAAATCCCCAGCTAACTGTGTTCCTTGTAGCCAAAGAACCAGGCAAGGGGCAGCCTAGCAAGGCAACAATTATCCATTCCAGCTGAACGCCACAGGAAAGAATCATGTACTCTGTGGTGAGCTGGGCCTTTCACCTCCACCCAGCCTGACAAAGAATCACCCCCATCCCTGAAAATGTCCAGCAAGGTTCAAAAGGAAGCCTGGATTTCTAGACCCATTGGGCAGGAATTAGATGTTGTTCCCTCCTGCCCCACACTGTTCCTGCAGGAGCACTGTCAGAAAAAGTCATATAAAACAGAAATTTTAAATAAGACCTAGAATCTCATAACCTAATGTTATGACATCCCTGGGGTGTCACTTCAACAGCCAAAAGCCTCTGTGGCCTGTGGTGCCTTTGCTCCAGTTTTGCATAGGCCTGCTGGGCCCATTCGGCTTGGTAGGCTGTGCTTGGTTTGCGCTACTGGCCCGGACCCCTGCCTGCCAAAGGCAAGCAGAGTGGTGAGGGGTATGTGAGCAAGTGAGCATGGGATCCAGCCACGGTGCACACCCAGGCACACTGGCTGCAGCAGGACAGGCAGCTCCAGGTGCCAGCATGGACACTGGCTCCCTGCAAGGTTGCAGCTGGACCAGGCGCACCATAAGCATCTTCCACGGCTGGCACTGGGGAACACAATGGTGCATGGCAGGTTGGAGACACCAGGAACCACAGAGCCCCAAAGAGGGTGTCACAGCCCTGGCTTGGTGAGCTCCTAGGTCTGGGTTCCCCAAAGGGCCGTAGCTGTTCCCTCCCTCTCATCCATTTGCATCGTGGCAAGCAAGGAGTGTGTTTCAGCCCTGTTTGTGTTACAGCTCTTTCGCCCCACCAAGGTGTCTTGAGGAGTGTTCAGCTTTCAGCAGAGAGGAGACCCTGGAGTGGGTAGCTCCTCTCTGCTGGCAGGTTGTCATGGAGTCTCTCCAGTCTCCTGTGTTCGGGGTTTTATGGGCTTCAGAGGGGAGGAAGTGCATGCTGATTGGTTCATCTGGTGGCTATGAGAAGCCCAGATAAAGGACTATAAATTCCCACTCCAGTCTGTGGGACTGGGAGCCCGACCCCCAGGCTTCAGGCCTTCCCCGACCTGAAGGTAGAGCTTCACCAGGGACCTGCCCTTTTCTGCCTGGGAGACTGTCTGCCTCCTATAACTATTACTTTGTGCTAAGGGACGCTTGAAGGCCAGCGTGAACTGCCCTCAATGCCCCGGTCAGCTTCGCTGTCATGCTTACTGGTGCCCGAAGTCTGGAGGGGGTCGAGGAGGCAGGGGGCTGGTGTGACAGTGCTGCCCCCAGTTTGCACACACCTGGCCATGTTGCAACAGCACACGGGCTCAGCCTCAACTTTGCTCTGAGATCAAAGTGGGTGCAGAGAGCGGGGAGAGACCAGACAGTGGGAACAAGCACTTCTGAGCCTGCAGCGGCATAGGGGGGCCTTCCTGGGCCCTTGAGAGTGCAGAGATGCCTGAGTCCACAGCCACAGCTGGGCGGCTGCAGCTGTGCCCAGGAGGGTAGGGCTCCTTCCTGCTCCCAGCCCCCAAGAGCACTGGCATGCTCAGGTCTGCAGCTGCAGCTGGGCGGCTGCAACTGTGCTCAGGGAGCCCAAGGCTCCCACCCTGCCAACTCAGAAGGGGGCAGGGCTTCTGCCTGTTCCTGGCTCCCGCTAGTTCCATGGAGCATGCAGCCCCAACCATGCCTCCTCCCCTGAAGCTGGCATCATGGCAGTGACCACTCTAGATGGGCCGCCGCTGCCATCACTAATACCAAAATATAAAGGTTTCAGTAAAAATCACTCATCATACCAAAACCAAGCAGATCTCAAATTGAATGAAAAAACACACAACAGCTAACAGTGAAATACCAGAGATCTTAGAATCAAAAAAGATAATATAAAATCTTAGAGTCATACAATTTTAGAATCTTAAAATCTTGGAAAAGATTTTAAAGCAGCCATGATTTTTTTAAAAAAACTTCATGAACAATTATGAACACTTTTGAAACAAATGAAAAAATATCCAAAACCTTAGCAAAGGAAGTCCAGCAAAGAAATAAAAGATACAAAGGAAAACCAGATGAAAATTTTAGAAGTGAAAACAAACTAAAACACCCAGTAGAGAGGCTCAACAGTAGAATACAGGGGATACAAGAATGAATTAGCCACCTAACAATAGAATAATAGAAATTACCCAACTGAACAATATAGAGAAAACTAACTAGAAAAAAAATGTCAGAGCTTCAAGGACTTAGGGGACTGTAACAAAATATTTAAATTTTGAAATACTGAAATGTTAGAAAGAGAGGAGAAACAGCAGGGCTGAAAAAATACTTGAAATAATGGCTGAATGCTTTGCACATTTAGTAAGAGACATTGATCTATAGGTGCAAGAAGCTGAATGAAGTTCAAAAAGAATGAACCAAAGATAGCCAGGTCAAGACACATCATAAAGTCCCGATAATTAAAGACAAGGATAACATCTTGAAAGCAGCCAGAGAATAATGACACCTTATCTATTGGAGAAAAAAAATTTAAAAACAATGAATTCCTCTTAGCAACCATGGAAGCTAAAAGAAAGCGGCACCATACTTTTCCCAGTGCTGAAAGAAAAGACTATCAACCCAAATCTGTGTGCCTATCAAATATGTTCTTTAGAAATTAAGGAAAAATCAAGATATTCTCAGATTAAGAAAAACTAATCTGGCAGATATGCCCTAAAAGAGTAATTAAAATAAGTTCTCTAAAGAGAAAGGAAACAATTTTAAAAAAAAGAATATTGCAATTTTTGGAAGGAAGAAAGAACCCTGTCAGCAAAAATATTGGTAAATACTTTAGGCTTTCTTTCTCTTCCTCAATTTTCTAAATTATGCTTTATGGCTAAAGTAAAAATCATAACACTGTGGCTCTAACTGTATGTAGAGAAAATATTTCAGACAATTATATTATGAACGAGGGAGTGTAATGACATGTAAAGAGAGGCAGGTCTTCTATACCTCACTCAAACTGGTATAACAATGGCACCTGTGAATCACAGACATTACGTAGAACAAGCTCTAAAAAAGCTATATAAGAGATACACTCATAAAACACTACTGATAAAATAGAATCCTAAAAATAATGTAATCCTGTAACCCATCGGAAGATAAGAACTACAAACTAACATAGCTTCACTGGTGAATTCTACTATACATTTAAAAAAAGAAACTCCCACACTTGAAACATTTTATCTTACAACGGAGGCTAACATAAACGTGATGCCAAATCCCAATAAAGACATTACAGAAGAAGAAAATTATAGAACAATATCTTTCATGATCATAGTCACAAAAACCTAACCATATTAGCCAATTTCAGTGTTGTATAAAATGGATAAACAGTCTGAGCCAGTGGGATTTTCTATGATGCAAATAAGCATGTAAAGAAATAAAAAAGATAGTTCATTAAAAACAAAAGGAAAAAAGATGATTATCTTAATTCGTAGAGGAAAAAAGTAATATTTGCTTTATTTAAATAGGTATATTTAAATAAAGAAGAATTCATTCAATTTGAATTTTAAAATATCTACTAAAAATCCTGTAGCTAGCAGCATATTCACTGATAAAATATTGAGAGTTATCTCCTTAAAGGTCATAAACATGATAAATATTTCTGCCATCACTACTTATACTCACCATATACTGGAGGTCCTAGCCAGTATTTTAAGGCAAGAAAAAGAAATAAAAGACACAAATATTGAAAAGTAAGAAGATGATGTTTCTTTATTTGCAGACAATACTGTTGTATACAACAAAAATCCCAAGAAATATACAAGCAGCTAGTTGCCTTGCAAGGTCACAGGTTCAAGACCAATGTACAAAAATCAATCATATGTCTTTCTGCTAGCAGCAAATAGAAAATAAAATAAATAACTTCTGCAATAATATAAAAATTATCAAATTCCTAAGAATAAATTTATCAAAGGATATATGATATGTTTACCCTGAGTCCTACAAAACATTGGTGAGAAAAATGATCCATTAAGTTGAAACAACCCAGCACACATTATCTGTAGAAATGGAAAGCTGCTTCTAAACTGTACATGGAAATGCAAAACAACAAGAAAGGCTAAAATAAATAAACAAAAACCCAGAATGTTATTATTATTCATTGTTGACAATATAAAGGTAAGAGTGCTATTGTCAGATATAATACAAATGGAAGAGCATAAGAAAATAAAGGAATGCTACTTTTTGAATTTTATCAAATGTTGTGTGAACACTGAACAAGACTGAAGAAGAAATAAACTTATAATTAATTATGTTGTTTGAGGTTAAAGATATGACCCATGGAGAAACCAATAATAGTTGTAAAATTATATAGATAGGTGGTAAATTAGGGAAGTAGGGGATAGTATATATGAATTAATCTCACATCTATCATGAGAGTAAACCAATGGATATGTCTAAAGCTGGGGGAAAAAGGAGGTGTCAGTATGAAGGAAAATCTCAAACGATGAAGATTAAGGGGAATTGCTCTGGGTACCAGGACTGGAAGTGGGGAGAGATGAGCTAAGAGATGGTTGCTTTTTATTGTATTGTTTTAATTCTTTATACATCTTACCATGATAAGACTTTATAAAATGTATTAATTGGTAAGTTAAAAAGCAAAGTACTTAAATTCAAAATATGGTATCCAGGAGAAGAATGTGCATTAAAATAAGTGACAACATGAAGTTAAAAAGGTAATGATCAACTAAGTCACCTTGGGATATAGACATAAAGGAACTTTGATATTTAGCTGTTGAATCAATCTTTATTTTAATTTTTTATTTTCTTATTTTTTCAGGGGAATGACTATATTGTTTTAATAAAAAAGATACATATTTATTACTAAAAATTTAATAGAAACTTGCAGAGAAAAATGTAAAATCCTCCCTCTAATTCCATCTTTATTCATCACCAGCATTATTCTTAGCCAACTGTTCTAGGAGCTGTAAGTTTGGATGGATGAGTGGTTGGGCAGAGAAATAAGAAAAAAATGTATAAAATGGCATCAAAGTGTAATACTATTTTTAACATAAGAATTAATATTTATTTATTTAAATTTTGCAGAGAAAAATCTCATAAGAAATAAGGGAAAGGACTGCTTAACTTCAAAAAATATCTCATCACCTCAAAAGATACTGTTTCATAGTAGATCCCTCTAATCCTGAGAAACTGTGAAAAACATTGCACTTGAGTTGCCATTTTTAGCTACATGTTTTAACCTTATACAATATCAATTGACCTCTGCTATGAGACACAAAAGTATTAACTTTTTACACTTGCTCCCAGCCTCCATCTCCATCTCTCAATTTTTTTATTAGTTATATGTCATATTTAATATATATTACATTTATATGTCATAATTTTATTGTTAAGCTTACATTTACCTTTATTTGGCAACCACAATTATTGCAGGAAATAATCTTGATTTTCATTCCAGATGTTTTACAGTGGTTTCTCAATTCTGAAGTAGTGATTTTAACTTTTGAGTTTTGAGTAGTTTTCATAAGAGTGTTTATCACATTTGAATGGAGAATATGGGAGTTCTGATTTTGTTTTTCTCTTTTTGTAAGAAATACAGAAGCATGTTTCAGAAGAATTTTGGTTGTCATTTGATTTATCTGATATCTTGCCTGGGTCTAATATTTTGGATAACACATTCCCTCAAAACCTTCTAGAAATTGCTCCATTGTCTTCTGACATTGAATATAACTTTCAAGAAGTCTAAAGCCAACCTAAACTTTCTTCTGCCTGGATTTGATATGCCATTTTATGCCAGAATAACTGAAGACTGCTTCATTTTTGAATTTCAGTGACAATCAGAATTTGTCTCGGGGTGGATGGTTTTGTCGTCAAGAATTTGTCTTTGCAAAGGAGAGCAATTCTGCTGTATTTCTCTCAGTTTTGTCTCCACCCTCCATGCATCTATTTACTTTTTTTTCTTGCATCAAAATTAGATCCTTCATATGTAGAAACTCTTTGGAATACCATTCTTTATAGCATTAATCACAAAAAATAAAGAGGGAGGGTACTAATCTTGCCTGTAGAAATAAATATTAGCAGATAATTGTGCAAATAGAACACAATAGACTACTCTACTCCTAAGGAATACCGGAGACTTATAAATAAACACACAAATCAGTGGCTGCGTTCATCTATTACAGCCTCTTAAAAGCACAACCTTTGTTGCATTGTATCTGGAATATGCAGGAGGCTTGTCTAGTTTTAAGATATAGCATTGCCTCTGACCATCATCTAGTAGTCAAGAATATTTTAGTAACAAATTAAGGCAAATTGGTTCGGATTTCTGAAGGAGAAAAAAAATACAAGTCTCCCACAATAATCTGATGGTTTATTTAACCATTTATTTAAGCCAGTGAAATTAATGGGGCTGGTCTTTTGTTTAAGAAAACTTCGTTAATGTTTATCCTATCCTACTTTGACCAGGCATTTGTTGACATAAATTTAGTGCAAAATTGCCAGTTACTTTAATTTATGAATTGTTAGTACTAGCAGAATGTGTAGCACAGCTGTTACTCAATATTAGAAGGACATTTTTAAACATAATTTTTCTACATGATTAAAGACTATTGTAGAAGCAGAAGCTTAAAAATCAGTTTCACAAACTATTTTGCATCCTCATTGTTACAATATGATGTTTTGAAAAAAGGAATATGAAGGTGTAAAATATGTATTGTCATTAATTCCCCTTCTTAAAAGCAATATTGCATTCTAAGATGCTGGAAATGTTGTTTACCTTTTCCTTTTGGAAAGATTTGTTGTAGATACAATGCAACAACAAAAATATATTATACACAGACTTTATCCTAGGAACTAGACTAGACATTGGTATCACAGAAAAATCTGTCATGTTGGAATTCATTTATTTGGAAAGGAAATGCAATTGATATTTAATTGAATTCATAAAATCACAGAAAATGTTTAGACATGAAAAGTGAATCTAGTACAATCTACTTATTTTACAAAATGGAAATTTTTTTTCCAAACTATGGAGAGTCTAATATAATTTTTTTTAAATAGGGCAAAAGCAATGACTTAGTGAGTCCTTCTTTCAATAAGTACAAAACAAAAATTAACAGGGCTTACGACATGATAGTAATCTAGCTCCTTATCCCGATTTCTTTTCACTTTACACTTAAGGTTCTATATCTGTGGCTTAAAATAGCATTTATCAGAAGCCTGATGCAACTGATGTTTTAGCAAGTAATCCCAACGTTGTTTCTTGTAGGACAGGCTGATAATAGCAACCACTGATTCTACGTAATGTATTGTATCAGATAGACTGTCATCTTCTTTTACAGGTTCAGGAACAGGCCAGATTTGAGCTCAGCTTCTTCACTTATCGGGATTTTCTTAGGAAAGTATGTTCCAGTGATGAGTCTAGGAAATGATTTCCTACTGCTCTGCTGTTTTATGTTTCTTTTTGTTTTAAAGAGAAAAATAGGGTGTACTTTCCAGGATTCTATAAGAACTCAAATGTGGTAGTTTTCTCCAGGGTCTCAACTCTGTTAGTCGTAATTTGAATAAAAAGAAGGTCCTGGCCCTACCACTGGGAAATATATATATTTTGTTTCTTCATGAAGCTTGCTTGTCAGCAGTTAAGCATAAGTAGATCAGTCCCATTTGAACTAAATTGCCAAGTTTGCAAGGACTGGGAAGAGAATCCCCACTTTGCAAGACAATACGGTGATGGCTGAAGATGGCAAGCATTTGGCAAAATACCATATTTGACAAGCTCTTAGATCAATGTTTTCTATAAGCTCTTTCAGATATTTCAAGGATAAAGGAATTGTTCTTTTTTCAGATATATTATTGTTCATAAAGTTGTTTGACCTTGTTTCTTGGCTAATGCAAAGTCTTCTAAGTTTTTCTTTGAAAGGAGTTAAGAGCTATCATTTCTACTAAAAATTTTCGTGTAACATATTTTTGTTGTTCCTGCTACCTTTCAATGTAGCACTTCCAATATGCTATTTGCAAAAAAATTTTAACTTGAGGGGTAAAGAAAGAGGTAGTAATGCACACTCATCCATTAATTGTTTGCTCCTTCAACAAATATTTATTGGATACCTCCTATCACCAGGCACATTCAATACAAATGGATTAAGGTATTTTCCCTGCACTCATGTGGCTCACAGCCCAGTCTCTAACAGGTTACATGGAATTAACTAAGAAATCGGCACTAGGAGAAAGCTTCTTAAGTGTAGTCTTTACCTTGACTCTATGATTCTTACAGTATGAAGGCCAGAAACAGTGACACCTTTTGAATTGAGAAGATAATATGAGAAGTTGTTCACCCTTTCAAGTCCTCTAACATACTGGGCAGTTTACAGTTTTGGTATATTCTGAATGAGGAATGAGGATCTATAGAAGTTAATTCAGCTTGCAATATTGTCTAACTGGTTCAAATAGAAATGGGGCTTACATCCTGGAAAGCATTGATGAAAATGAAGTTCCCCACAAATGACTCTATGTAAATCCTCAATTCCAAATTTGCTTTAAAATCAAGAAAATAATTACCTTGGTCAGTGCTGTCAGGTACATACTCCTTCACTGTGTTCTGGCAGAAACTCAGAAAACCAATTCAGCAACTTAATTAAGTCCTCACAGGCAAGCATGTCCCAACTAGGCAATTTCTGGACAGTGAGATTTCCTTCCCTGTTGGGTTCTAACTTACATCAATGTCTTAGGCTACCTTAGCAGCAGCAGGACAAAAATTTGGTACTTTTGGCCTCCATTTAAGTGTTTTAGGCAGACAGCAAAATAAGGTAGCTATTTTTAAAAAATCATTCCTGGAACACGCAAAAAAGAAATTGTCACTTCTCAAAAGTCTGAAAGGAAGTCTGCTAACACTGAGTTTTTGAGAGAGAAAGAAACAAAATCAATGAGGAGAAATAATTCTCAGATTTCTGTTGAATGAAATGTTCTGATTAACACTAAAAATGTAATTCACTATACAGTAACATTTTAGGCTGAAGAGTGATTTCACTAGAGAGGTTTCTAAAGCATGGAGTGAGGAAAGCAATCACTTTTTAAAAAAAATTCTCTAAATATGAGAAGAAATTTTAATCTGGAAGTTTATTATATCTCTCTAGAATTTCACAGCGCAACAGAAGCAGACTTGTGCCTCAGATTGCTGAGATGTAGTTACAACATCAGTGAAAGCTCATCATCTTCCCAAACTGCACATGTGACCTCCAACATCTTGAATTCAGACCAGCCTATGTTTGCATGCAGCTCCCTAACTTAGCAATTCCAGTGCTGGTCTTTGTTTTGTTTTGCTGTCAAGCCTTCTACTATGGTGTCTTCTTCACTGAAGTATTTCTACATTACATTGCCCGGGACAAAGCTATTTTGTATGCACAGAAACTCGCTTCAGGACTTTAAACTATTTTCTATTCTACAGTGGTTAATTTTTCATTTATGTGGCATCTTACTGAAGAGTAGTCAGCAGTTAACAACACATTGTGAAACAACAAATATTTTACTGGATATATAATCTCCACAGTTTAAAAGTTTTATTTTCTGTGTGGATCTGTATAAAGCTGGAAATGTTCACATTTTGTGGATGCACATTTTTAATAATACACTCTATAATCACTATCAAACAAATGACCTGCACTTTAATAGGCACTCCAAACATTAGCTGCCATTTCTGCTAAACTCAGTAAACTCTAATAAAGGTGTTTTATGGGAAGAGGTTTTTTTTTTTTTTAAGAAGATATATTACTTAGATTTCATCAGCACATAAAAATGTTATCTTGGGAACACTGGAAGATTCATATATTTCTAAATTACAGCACATTCCTGTCAACTTTCACATGAGATCATTCTAATTTTTTTTAAATCATAGTTTAGATTGGGTCATGTTTCACACTTTATTCCATTTGAATTAATGATGTTATTTACTTGGAACTTGATTGTATACTGCCTCACATTCAATGAGGTAGTTCATAAGAGGCAGCAACATAATAAAGAAGGAAAATGTTATTTACTCTCTTTCCCAATTCTCAGGAGCTTGGTGTAAATTCTACCCAATAAAACGTGTTTAGTTTGTTTCTGTATTCCTTTAAGGCTCAATATACAGAAGCAGGCAGCAGGAGTGCTCAGAGTCACAGTCTTTGTAGGATTTTACTCCTGAGCACCCGCAGTGCTTGCTCTTGATCTGGGAAACAAACATATTCTCAGTTCTGGAACTCCTTGATCCAAGAAACAAAACTGTCTCCTGCCATGGAACTTCAGCTTCAGGAGTTGCTTTCGCCTCTCGAGCCCCAGGAGAGGCCAATAATCTCAGATAGCAAGGACTCAAGTGAGTTGTGCACAATAAATATTTTCTCAGAGCAGCTATAAGCATTAAATGAGAAGCGTGTACTAAAAAAAATTCCTTGTATTTCTAGAAATGCTTAATTTGGCACCTATCAACTAAATCCAAACCTAAATCTGAGTCTAGTGCAAAGCCAGAGGAATGGCCACATAAGCCAAGGGGTCAGGAAGGAGAAGAACAATTGGCATCAGGGCAGCAAGGAAATAGGGGAGAATCAACTTCTCTTGGTGTACATTTCAACCCCAAAAGCTTCTGTCCATAATTTTGTCATCACAGAAAACACTGTGGAGTTCAGTAACAAGGCTAGCCTTCCAGGCACCTCAGACCTTGGTTATTTAAAATGCCAATTACTTACCGATCTCTGATTGTTGTGGCTCATGGTTGAGGACAAAAGCATTCTAGCACCCTCTGGCATTGTCTCCATTCTAAAGCCCTAACAGCATTTTCAGGTAGCATTTCAAATTTCTGTGAGCCATAGGCAGGTAGCCATACTCCAGAGGCTGCAATTGACCAATGTGAAGTTAGAAATTAGTTTCTTATCATGGGGAGAAAACCACAAGAATCAGTGAACTTGAATGGTGCCGCCAACCTTAGGTAAGCCACTTGAACAATTTGGGTCTTATGTTCCCCATTTTATGGAATCCAGACACAAATGGGAGGCTCCTGACTTTTAGGATTCAAATGAAATATGGCCATAGGGCTCTAGGTTTACATTTCTATCATTCTTTCTTGAGATGTTGAGGAGGATAGCTTACATTGTTCTTCAAATCCTGCTCAACCAGATTTGTGTATGTCTGTAATTATCCACCACTCATCTCAGCTGTCACTCAGAACAAGCCATGGAATTTAGTCCCTTTACCTTTTTATCCATAAAATAACCACACTTACAATCCAACAGTGACAACAAAATAAAGATAACTGAACAAATACCACCTCCCAAAAGATCCCCCTAACAAGAAATAAGTGCAAACAAAAAGTGACCACTCTAAGACCATTTTGTGTTGAGCAGAATACAGCAATACATGGGGAGATAGAGAGGGCTTAGATTCCATCAACACAAAACACTTAAGATTGATTATTGGGCCTCCCTGTTCTTCAGAAACCCTCAGCATTCATTTGTGCCAGTCTGAGCTCTAGCTCTCAGCAATTGCTCTCCCTTTTTAAAATCCACCTTGAAACCTGCACGTTCTGCACATGTATCTCAGAACTCAAATTAAAATTTAAAAAAAGGGAGCAAAAAAAAAAAAAATCCACTTGTCCCTGCCCAGAACTATAAAATATCTTCAAAAAGTTCATGGAAAATACACATTATGAAAAAAATTATGTGTGAATTTCAAAAATTTTTGCACCAAAATAAACTCATACTAACTTTTCATAATGTGTGTGAACAGGATCTCATTTGAGGCCTTAAGAAGGATAAGATATCAGTTTGAAAAGAACCCCTATTGGAGCAACATTGAATTCTGCTAAAATTGAAGCAAGAATAAACATTAAATTTAGGGTAAAGCTTGGGTGGAAGAACAGTGAAATCATTAATGCTTTATGAAAAGTTTATGGGGACAATGCCTCAAAGATATCAGCAGTTTAAAAATGGATAACTTACTTTAAAAAGGGACAAGACCATGTTGAAGATAAAGCCTGTGGTAGCAAACCTTTCACCTTGATTTGTGAGGAAAAAATGAAGCTTGTTTGTACCCTGATTGAAGAGGACTGATGCTTAACAGCAGAAACAATAGCCAGCAACATACATGTCTCAATTGATTCAGCTTACATAATTATGACTGAAAAATTAAAATTAAGCAAACTTTCCACTGGATGGGCAGCAAAACGATTGTATTCAGATCAGCTGCAGACAAGAGCAGAACTTTCAAGGGAAACTTTAAACAAATGGAATCAAGATTTTGAAGCATTTCTTAAGAATTATAATGGGTGATAAAACATGCCTTCATCAGTATGATCCTGAAGACAAAGCACAATCAAAGCAGTGGCTACAAACAGGTGCAGGTGATCCAGTCAAAACAAAAGAAGACCAGTTCAGAGCAAAGGTCATGGTCATGGTCATGGCAACAGTTTTGTGAGGTGCTCAGGGGATTTTGTTTCTTGACTTTCTGGATGTCCAAAGAACAATAACATTTGTGTATTATGAGAGTGTTTTGAGAAAGTTAGCCAAAACTTTAGCAGAAAAACTCCAGGAAAACTTCATCAGAGAGTTTTTTTCTCTACCAAGGCAATCCTCCTGTTCATTACTCTAATCAAGGGCAATTTTGTGAGAGTTTCAATGGTAAATTATTAGGCATCCACTTTACAGTCCTGATTTGGATTCTTCTGACTTATATTTGTTTCCTAATCTTAAAAAATCCAGAAAGGGCACCCATTTTTTTTTCAGTTAATAAGGTAAAAAGACTTAATTAACATGGTTAAATTCTTAGGACCCATAGTTCTTTAGGAATGGACTAAAGGACTAGTATTGTTGCTTACAAAAGTGTCTTGAACTGGACAGAGGTAGTGTTAAGAAACAAAGTTTCTATTTTTTATTTGTATCCTTGAATTCCATTTTTCATGAATTTTTAAAGTCTCCTCATGTATATGTATAAACATATAGATGAGTTATATATAAACAAATAAATGTATACATATGTAAATATATACAAATGTTATATATTTTTAATGGGGGATAAAACACGCCTTCATTAGCATGATCCTGAAGACGAAGCACAATCAAAGCAGTGTCTACCAACAGGTGCAGGTGGTCCAGTCAAAGCAAAAGAAGACCAGTCCAGAGCAAAGGTCATGGCAACAGTTTTGTGAGGTGCTCAAGGGATTTACACATAAACCTAAGCTCAGCCTTCTGTGAGTTATCAAAAATCTTTACAATATTTTATTCCTAACAATGATCCGTATAGTCTAGGTTTCACTATTTCTTCCTCCCTAACTGCAATGAAAGAGGTATATTTATCTGTTTCTACAAAACCTTGGTTTTCAATGCTCTTTTCATCCTCCTTCCCTTTTACATGTAATATGAAGTATCCAACCTGAATTATTAAGTTTCCTACTGTCTCTAGAAATCTATGAAATAACTTCATGTTTTATGGATTTGAAATAATTGAGAATTGGCAAAATCTTTATGCTTACGAAAATATATTGATGGCTCCAAGGCTCAGAAGAATGGCTGGAGGAAGGTGAAGGCTTGCATGTGAGAATGCTGTGGTTAGAGAGAGGTTCAAGAGGCCCTTTGTGTGTTGGGCTGGTACTTAAGGTTTAGAAATAAAGTAAATGGTTAGTTATGGGACTGATTCTGTGTATTTCTCCATTGATCAGTGAAAGGTATTTTCCCTCAGTTATGAACATCAAATTTGGTGTAACAACATAAAAGGAGCTGCCACTGGGTGACAACCCAAGAGACACTTCACGCTGTCATAGTTTTGCTGAATCTCAGTGATTAAGTATATGATACTTAATTTTATTGGTCTAGAGCTAGAAATGCTCAGGATAGAATAAACTGACTCACAGGAATCTGAAGTATAACATCAAGTGTCAATTAATGAATTTACAAGGGAAATCCTTCTGCGTCTTTAGATGCCATGTGGGTCTTTGCTGTAAGCTATCATTATCACGTGTTGGCTTTAATGTTTTGTTCTCAGAGGCAACATTCTTTTTCTTATTTGCAATTGCTTTGGGGTCACCTCAATGTAGCCACCAACTTATTTTTTAAAAGTTTGATGGTCAGAGAGATTTAATGGCGTCAGAATTGAATTAGGTGGGTTGAGTGCAAATTTAACTGCCTTTTCATTATGCCAAACTGCATTGAATACAGCAAACAAAGGTAAAACAAATTATACTGTATAATAATAGGATATGTTAATATTATTTTGTTCCCCCTGTTGTAAAATAGAGACTAAATGCCTAAAAACAGTTTTAAACATAATAAAATTTAAACACTATTATGTTTTTTTCTTTAGAATACACATTTAAAAACAATTAACTTTGAACTTGTAATGATTGCACTTGGAAATTATGGTAGCATTTGGTTGCATAAAATATTTATTCAGTTCAACATCAATGAAACCATTGAAACTGAGTGTTGTAAATAAGAATGATAGTTTAAGGTAATCTGATGTATGAGGTCATTTCTTAATATGTATAATTTCAAAAATTTAGGATTTAACCATTCAAATCACTAAATATGATCATTAAGGACAACAAATATCTTAAGTCATCCAGCCTACCTTCTCAATTTTGCCTAATTGTTTCTTATAGTAAACCGTTACATTTACTTTCTCCCTTGCTTTAAATATCTTAAGGGATAGCCCTTCTCTAATATTGTCATAAAAGACACTTTTCAGAGGCTAATAGATTTCACAGCCAGGAAATTTTTTCATGAAATTTAGCCTGAAATTTTTTTTTTCTTTTTTTAAAAAATTTACTCAGCCAAGCATGGTGGCTCACGCCTGTAATCCCAGCACTTTGGGAGGCCGAGGCTGGCGGATCACTTGAGGTCAGGAGTTCGAGACCAGCCTGGTCAACATGGTGAAACCCCGTCTCTACTAAAAATACAAATATTAGCTGAGCATGGCGGCAAGCATCTGTAATCCCAGCTACTAGGGAGGTTGAGGCAGGAAAATCGCTTGAACCTGGGAAGTGGAGGTTGCAGTGAGCTGAGATCATGCCACTGCACTCCAGCCTGGGCAACAGAGTGAGACTCCATCTCAAAAAAAAAAAAAAAAGACAATAAAAATTTACCCTATTAGCCATAGACTTATCCTCCTGCAGCTTGCTAAATAATTTCTCTTCTGCCTTGGTGTTTATACTATCATATGTCAGTAGGCAGTTATCTTATCCTTCCATAGTCTTTGCTTCACCAATCCATACATATTTAATTCTCTTAATCTTGCCTCATAAATCAATTACATCAGATCTTCATCATGCTTGTTGGAGTGCCTGTTAGTACTTTCCAATGTGTCTATACCACTCTGATAATAGGGCTCCCAGAATGAAACACTACTTCACTATGTCTTAGAGAAGATCATTTATCTGTTGGTCATATGTGATATATATTTTATATATATATATATATATATTTTTTTTTGAGACAGGGTCTTGCTCTCTTGCTCAGGCTGGAGTGCAGTGGCATGATCACAGCTCACCACTGTAGCCTGGACCTCACAGGCTCAGATGATCCTCCCACCTCAGCCTCCAGAGTAGCTGGGGCTACAGGTGCACACCACCTTGCCCAGTTAATTTTTGTATTGTTTTGTAGAGACAGGGTATCGTCATGTTGCCCAGACTGATCTTGAACTCCTGGACTCAAGTGATCTGTCCACCTCAGCCTCCCAAAGTGCTGAGATTGCAGGCATGAGCCACCAAGCCTGGCAGATATACTTTCACTTCACGGAAGTAAATGAGTTCCTGGTGAACTGTGTACAAATCCAATAATTGCACACTAAATGGTATCTTAAATGTACCTTTTCCAAATAGAACTTTTTACAAAATGTACCTTTTCCAAATAGAACTTTTTACAAAAGTTCTTACAAAAGGTAAAAAATCAAAATTTCCTTTTTGTGTATGTATAGGGAAGAGGATTGGAAATCCTCTTAATTTGAGTGTTTTGGAAATCAGGTATGGACAAGATCCATGATCCATTACAAGATCCAACACGTGTAGAGTTTTCAAAGTATTTTTACATATTTTAATCTCTTTTTTTCTTCTCAACTTTATATAAGGTATGTAATGCTATTTCCATTTTATGAACAAGGAAACCAAATCTCAAGAGTTTCATGGACTTGCTCTGGATGATAAAGTGGAAAATGGAAGAAACATATCTTACCAAGGTCTATTGCTTCCAAATTTAGCAATTTTAAAAATAAGGAGCCTGGTAACTGAGGACAGAATTTGAGAACATGCATCATATTTGAAATCTTGGTTCTTCCATTGACTTTAGGCTACCATCAGCAAATTAGATAACCTTCATAAACCTGAGTTTTCTCATTTAAAAATGGAAAGAATATCCTACATTTCCAATGGATGATGTGAGGGGTTAGGTAAGGTAACCCATGAAATACTTAACTATGTGGAAGCGCACATCACTGACCTTCCTCCTGTTTGCACTGCCCGCTACAATGACAGTATAAACTTAGATTTTCTAACACTCAATCATAGCTGTCTTCTAAAGTCTTGACATGGTCTAGTAGAGAGGTTTTCAGGAGATAATATGCATCTTCAAGGGCCTATGAGTTGATATTATGTGTTCCTTAAAAGAAAGAAATACAGAATAAACATAATTATTATTGTCTATTGCAACACTTGATGCTCTTGAAATTTAAACAGTAATAATGAAAATCTCTGCTAAATTTTCTCAGTGAAAAGCACTGGTAGTCTAAAACAGTATTTTTTACACCAAAACCATAGTTGTTATACAAAGACTTTCCCAGTGTAATCCAGGCATGAATACTTTAAGTAGTTCTCCCACTTTACAGAAGAAAGCCAGAGCCTGTTTCCATTGCAGATTATACTGTGGTGCTTTGCCATGGGATATGAAACCTCCCAGAGTCCCTAACAATATGGAAATACTAGTAGGAGCCTCCCCTTCAATACAAACCAAGGGACCTTACACACATAGCACTTCCTGGCTTTTCCTCAGAAGACATTGGCCCATACTGAGACATTCTGAATTCAGAATACAGGAAACAGTGAAACAGTAGAGATTAGTGACACTTCGTCTTATCAACATAATAAGAATATTTTATAGAAAATGTTGAGCTTTGTCTGAGTTCTGTAATCCTGGAAAACATAATTAAAGAAATTTAAATTAAAGAAATTCCCCCTTTTTTTTTTTTTTTTTTTTTGTTGTTCTGGGAGACTGCTTACTGCAAAGAACTACCCATTCTCATATGATTTAGATAAATTTTGTGGATAATCCCCTTGTTTATTTAGCACCAGGCCAGACTCAGGCTTTCCAAATTTCCATTCTTTGCTTCATAAGTGAGTAGCTGAACTATTTGTCTCCACTGACCAATCAGAACAAAGCACTTGTTGATCTGATTTGACCAATCTTTTGTTAAGCTTCTCTTCTTCCCACTGGACCTTCAACATTGACCCACCTCAGCCTGATCCGGCTGAATAGGAAACAGCCCCTCTTTAGTGACCTTTCCTCAACACTGCTGGACCACAAAAAGCCATATTTCCTGATCAGTTGCTGAATTCGGGTTCTTTCTAGCCTTGTTTACTCCTCCCCATGAAAGAAAAGCCCTTTTCTGCCTGACGTTCAAGGCACTCACTGATCTTGTAGTCAGAGTATTCTCCCTATTGATAATCTTTCTAATAGTCTTTCTTTATGTAAGTCTGGATTTGTCTTTATTGGACAACACATTAGATAAAACATATAAAATATTATGAAATTTCTCTCAGATCTGATGAAGTTTATGTAACGAGAGAGTTAATATACATTTTATCAAATTACATTAAGAAATACATATTCTAGCTGCAGTGAATTCTCACTAGTGATGAGAAATAAACTTACTTAAAACTTACGATGAAACATTTTAGATATCAGGTTAAAATGTGCAAGAAGATACATAGTTTTGCAAAATTATTGTAGGAGATACATGAGCAAAATAATTTGAGGACCTTAGCTCTAACAAACAAAACCGAGGGAAGCAAATCATTGAAAAGATACAGTTCTATTTCAGGTTTGCTCCTGGAGGTCCTTTGACTTACGACTTCTCCCTCTGAGAAAGGAGAAAGACATTTGTATTTACATCTTTTGAAAACGTGTCTTAAAATGGGTTATTTGAATTTCCCTCCTGAGCGAGTGGGTAGTGTGTGTAGTGAGAAGTGCCATGCGTGCTGCTGAAGCTGGAGTTCTGGGAGGGCTGGGCCTGGGTAGTGGGCAGGACAGTCCCTCAGAGTGTGAAGGAAAGCAGAAGTCAAAAGACAGACCTGGCCAGATGCAGTGGCTCACACCTGTAATCCCAGCACTTTGGAAGTCCGAGGTGGGCAGATCTCGAGGTCAAGAGATTGAGACCATCCTGGCCAACATGGTGAAACCCTGTCTCTACTAAAAATACAAAAATTAGTTGGGCATGGTGGCGCGTGCCTGTAGTCCCAGCTACTCAGGAGGTTGAGGCGAGAGAATCACTTGAACCAGGGAGGCAGAGGTTGCAGTGAGCTGAGATTGTGCCATTGCACTCCAGCCTGGCGACAGAGCGAGACACTGTCAAAAAACAAAACAAAACAAACAAACAAACAAAACAAAACAAAACACAGACCTGCTGCACAAAGGTGGCCTGGGGGAGCCTTGAGGCAGCCTCAAAGGATCAGGATGTATAATTACATGGCCAAGATGGAAACCAGAGACGTGTAGACAGAAGGAAATGTTTGGTCAATGGGAGGGGCCAGGTTTTAATGGGAACCTTGTGTCTAATCCAGGGTCACGGAGGAATTTATTAAGGGCCTTGAGCTGATCAGGATGTGTCTGAGACCAAAAGGTAGCGTAAAATGTTTAGAAATGGACTTCTTATATCAGTTCTTATATTTTAATGATTTTTTCTGTCTTATTCAAGACTTGCAGCTTCACTTTACTAGTGATATAAACACAAAATACATTATGCTACTACTTTCTAGGGTATTTGTTTCAGTTTTGTTTCCCAATTTATCTCATCTAATAAATATTTTGCAGCATATAAGCTTGAAAGGCATTAAATTAATGTTGATTACCTCATCACCTCTCTCTAAGTTAGACTTTTGCTAAAATAATGACATCCGTAAGAGGTCTTTCTTATATCATTCAGAGTCAGGAGATGTTGCTGAAAGTACCCGCAAAGGTGTGGGCAAGCAATGCTGAGGTGCCGAGAGACTTAGTAGCAGCAGGAAGCTGTGAATTTCCCTAAGCAGGAGGAGCATGGAATGGGGAGGGCATGGCCAGTGTCCAGTGAGAACAGAGAATGCTCTAGGGTTCTGGGGCCGGACTTGGAGCTGTGCAGAGACCTGGGATCTACCAGAGATGCAGCCCCCAAGTACATGGGGTAGTGAGGAAGCCCTCTGGTCTCTCTTCTCCCATTCTTTTACTCTTTTCTTGTTCCTTCCACTGGCCCAAAAAACTGAACGCCAACAGGCAAGGGATCCCAGGTGAAGCCTCACAGGAGGCTGACCTCCCAGGACTTACATCAAGGCAGGTAAGACTGGAAAATATTCAGAGAGGCAAAATAAGGGGGTCTAAATTCCAATGTACTTCTCAAGGTTGGATGCCTCAGATATTTTACTAACTTACTTTTTCTTCCCAAATCTCCTTCACTGAATGTGTTTTGAATATCCTCCTCATCTTATTTCCTTTTTACTCAGCAAACTTTTGTGTATATTGATTTTTGTTAATTTGGAGGGACATAATGCTGAATATAAATAATAATTATGATAAAATATTATAATTTTTATTAAAATCAAGATAGAAATTGATTTGTTAACCTACTTATCTACTAGTCTTTTAACATTATTAAACAATCAAAAATTCTGGTATTGATTTGTTCTTTAAAAATCATGTTTATTACTTCTAATTGAGTTAACTTATTGGTTTTTCAATTTTTGAAAAAATGATAAATTTCCAGAATTGTCTTTGTTTACTTCCATAAAATTAAGCACTGGCTTTTCCCACTATCTCCTTTTTTATATCTATATTCTGTATCTTTCAAAAAATGTTTCTTATTGTTAAAGATGGTAACAGCCACTTTAAATTTCTATAGATATTTAGATTTGTAAATATGTCTTTGAATAATAGATATTTTAATAACATTTTTATATTCAATATATTTAAGTGATAGTAAATACACTAAAGATACACTTGAAACATGAATTAAATCTTACTATGTGTTTATTCAACAACCATCTATCTATTGAGCACCCACACTGCACACGATGTTAATGGCTGGCATTTCCTGAGTGTTTAACATGTGCCAGACACTGTGCTAAATACCTTCAAGGGATTATTTCACACTCTCACGATAACACTGTGAAGTAGGTTTTATTATTTTCACAGTTGTTTCTTGAAGAAACTAAAGCAGAGTGCAGTTAAATGCCGTGCTTAGGTTCCCAAAACTAGTGAATAATTGTTATTTTAACCCAAAGAGTCTGAACCTCGAAACAATTTTTCGGTCTTTATGTACCTGATGTGGTTTACAAAGAATAATAAAGAACTTCTCTGCCTCAATTGAACTTACGTCCTCTCGGCATAGATCAAGGATGAACAACCTACAGCCCAAATCTGGTTTTATACTTGGTTTTATAAATAAAGTTTTATTGAAATGCAGCCCCACTCATTTGTGTATGTATTTTCTGTGAATGGTTTTGTTTTTGCTACAAGGGCAGAGTTGAATAATTATGACAGATACTTTATACTTGCAAGGACTAAAATATTTACTGTATGACCCTTTACAGAAAAAGTTTGCCAGCCTCTGCCATAGATGTCTACAGAAGTAATTACAAAATAAGGCAGTCTGTGTTCAGCATTATTAAAGGAAAAAACATGTAGTTGAACTGCAAAGAGCAAATGATTAATTACAGTTTGAAAACATGATGAGTGGGAAGCTTTTATGAAGATAACTGTATTAGTCAGTGTTCTTCAGAGAAACAGAAAAAATACAACATGTACAGACATAGAAGAGGTTATTCATTAGGGGAATTGGCTGAGAAATCTCATGATATGCTGTCTGCAAGCTGGAGAACCAGGAAAGTTGGTGGTGTAAATCAGTCTGAGTCTGAAGGCTTGAGAACAAGGAGGGCTGTTGGTGTTAAGTCCCGGAGTCTGAAGGGCCCAGAATCTGGAGTCCTAATGTCTGAAGGCAAGAGATGATGTCCTAGCTCCAAAAGGTGGAGTTAATTTATCCTTCCTCCACCTTTTTGTTCTATCCAGGCCCTGAACAATTTGGATAATGCCATTCACATTGGTTAGGGTGGATCTTCTTTATTTAGTCTCCTGACTCAAATGCTAATCTCTTCGAGAAACACCCTCTTAGACACATCCAGAAATAATGTTTTGCCAGCTATTTGGGTATCCCTTAATCCAGTCAAGTTGACACATAAAATTAGCCATCACAATAACATTATGACTTGAACCTTGAAAAGTGAGTGGAACTCTCAAGCATTTACATTTACCATAAGCCAGTGCCCTGGAGTATAAACCAAGTACCATGACTCTCTTCTATCTTAAAGATTATTAAGGCAACTCTTTTTTCTTTCTTTCTTTCTTTCCTGTCACTACCCCTGCCAGAACAACAATCCCAAAGTATTTCCAGTATTCTCTCTTAAAAGACCAAAAAATTCTACCAGCAAGATGTCTCATTGTCCTCGCTGAAGTGTTCGAGAGATAGGCAAGCAAACAGGGCTCTTCTCCCTCAACTGCAGATCCTGATAATTTCAACAAGGAGGTGGAAAAACCCTGTTGTTCCCGAGCTTATGTTTTTGTCCAATTCTACATTGCTTGTTATACTTCTAGGACATGCATATCTTCTGCTTCTGACTGTGATGCAACCTGTTACCCTTCTGATGGCTGAACCTCAAAGTAGTCTTCCCTTTTTTCATAAGAATTAGTGACAGTCCAATATTTTTGATTAACATAAAAGTTATTTTTGAACTTAGATTATTTTTTACAGAATACATCTCTTTGGAAGATTTACAAAGATTTATAAATACACAATGCAATATATAAATACAATGTACTCATAAACATACAATGCATTGTGTATTTAAAAATGTTTGTAAATTGCCACCTCTGTAAGGTGGCAGAGAGCATGCTCAGAAAAGTCATTATCAGAGCCATTTCTATTGACTAATATATAACCTCCAAAGAATCAACTGTCAGAACAAGAGGAAACAAAGTGGGAAACCACAGAGACCAGGGAAGGTATGACCCTGTAATCCCCTTACTTGTAGTGTCTACTTGGTCAGAGTGAATGCTTTACTTACTCAGCTTTGACTTCGTCCATTTGTTTTATTTACTATGTATTTCCAATTCGCCAGCCATTGCTAAGTGTGCAACACAGCCCTCATTTCCTAAGATATATGAATTCCACTTTAAAACAGAGTTATGCGAAACTTAAAAGGAAATAGTTTGTTGAGCAAGGATGTGAGTCAGCAAAAACTAGAAGGTGAAGAGAAAGGCTGAATTGTCAGTAGGGGGGCACCTTGGCTCTAAGTCCAATCAAAGTTTACTTCTTTGGAAACAAATGAGAGTTTAACAGGAAGACCATTTCAATTAGGGCCAAGACATAGAAGAGTATGGCATAAATGTGGAGTACTGCCATGACAAAAAGATTTGGGGAATTACAACACATTTTCTTGACTTGTGCAGACTCATTCCACTAATCAAGTAAACCCAAGTAAATGATTAGTGCAATGGAAGTGTAAATACAGTTGCAATTCTCAAATTTACTACTTGTTAGTTCTTGCTATTGGCCTAATTTTGATGCTTAGCCATTAGTTATATACAAGTCAATGAAGATGACTTTTACTGTAGGCATCAGAGTTTAAATTAAAAAACAGGAAAAGACAAAGGACCACATGCCTGGGAAGTTGGGCTGAGAATATGGGGATTAAATCTAGAACTACAGTTGAAGGACCCAGACTGTCTTCTTTGACTTCCAGCATAGCCTCTGATAAGGCAGTGGATAGTGAAATAGGTTGGCTTCTCCCAGTTGTCTTTATTTCCCATTGCTGTTTCTACCATCTCCTAAGCAAAGTCTGAAAGAACTAGGAAAAGAGAGAAAGCAGAAGCCTTGATCATTCCAAAATGTAGGAGTACAAATTTGTATTTCCACTTGTAACTGCTGTGTTTTTCTGGAACCTTTTATAAAGTTGTGGTTAAAGATGAATGCTTCCCTATAACTTCATTTCTTATACCTGTGGATACTCACAGCTGCCTGCCAAATTTTGTTATCTCCATCTTCTATGGCAGTAGAGTAATTACCGTGTACTTGGCTGTCCAACAAGGCATTGAATTTCCAGGCCCACCTTTCCTTTAGGGGTGGCCCTGGGACTAGGTTTCCACCAATGGAATGTAAACCCAATTGATGCAAAACATTTTTGCCTCCCATCTCTCTTTGACCCTAGGCTTCAACTCTGCCCCTTCCAGCTAGCTGGGATGATAATGCCCAGATCAAACGTGACAGGCACCCACTGAAGGTGGGAAAGACAGCCCGAATTCATGAATGAGCACATCAAGCAAAGCCATCCTCCAACATGGAGTATTCACCTCAGCCTGTCAAGGGAGAGAGAATAAGCAAATTTGCTCATAAGCCACCTTGTACTTAGGTCTTTTGTGGCAACAACTTAGCCTTTCAACCTAACTCATGCTATGCTCATTTACATTTAAAGAAGACACGATAAAACTCTGTTTTACAATATATTTTAAAATCATTTTTTTCTCTTAACTGAAACATGCAATCAACTATTACTGAGTAAAGCAGAACTCTTCAGAACAGCAGAACATAAAGTATCTACTTCCTTTTTATTTTTTTTCTTTTTTATTTTATTATTATTATACGTTAAGTTTTAGGGTACATGTGCACAATGTGCAGGTTAGTTACGTATGTATACACGTGCCATGCTGGTGTGCTGCACCTATTAACTCGTCATTTAGCATTAGGTATATCTCCTAATGCTATCCTTTCCCCCTCCCCCACCCCACAACAGTCCCCAGAGTGTGATGTTCCCCTTCCTGTGTCCTTGTGTTCTCATTGTTCGATTCCCACCTATGAGTGAGAACATGCGGTGTTTGGTTTTTTGTCCTTGCGATAGCTTACTGAGAATGATGATTTCCAATTTCATCCATGTCCCTACAAAGGACATGAACTCATCATTTTTTATGGCTGCATACTATTCCATGGTGTATATGTGCCACATTTTCTTAATCCAGTCTATCATTGTTGGACATTTGGGTTGGTTCCAAGTCTTTGCTATTGTGAATAGTGCCACAATAAACATACATGTGCATGTGTCTTTATAGCAGCATGATATATAGTCCTTTGGGTATATACCCAGTAATGGGATGGCTGGGTCAAATGGTATTTCTAGTTCTAGATCCCTGAGGAATCACCACACTGACTTCCACAATGGGTGAACTAGTTTACAGTCCCACCAACAGTGTAAAAGTGTTCCAATTTCTCCACATCCTCTCCAGCACCTGTTGTTTCCTGACTTTTTAATGATTGCCATTCTAACTGGTGTGAGATGCTATCTCATTGTGGTTTTGATTTGCATTTCTCTGATGGACAGTGATGATGAGCATTTTTTCATGTGTTTTTTGGCTGCATAAATGTCTTCTTTTGAGAAGTATCTGTTCATGTTCTTTGCCCACTTTTTGATGGGGTTGTTTGTTTTTTTCTTGTAAATTTGTTTGAGTTCATTGTAGATTCTGGATATTAGCCCTTTGTCAGATGAGTAGGTTGCGAAAATTTTCTCCCATTTTGTGGGTTGCCTGTTCACTCTGATGGTAGTTTCTTTTGCTGTGCAGAAGCTCTTTAGTTTAATGAGATCCCATTTGTCAATTTTGGCTTTTGTTGCCATTGCTTTTGGTGTTTTAGACATGAAGTCCTTGCCCATGCCTATGTCCTGAATGGTAATGCCTAGGTTTTCTTCTAGGGTTTTTATGGTTTTAGGTCTAACGTTTAAGTCTTTAATCCATCTTGAATTGATTTTTGTATAAGGTGTAAGGAAGGGATCCAGTTTCAGCTTTCTACATATGGCTAGCCAGTTTTCCCAGCACCATTTATTAAATAGGGAATCCTTTCCCCGTTGCTTGTTTTTCTCAGGTTTGTCAAAAATCAGATAGTTGTAGATAAGCGGCATTATTTCTGAGGGCTCTGTTCTGTTCCATTGCTCTATATCTCTGTTTTGGTACCAGTACCATGCTGTTTTGGTTACTGTAGCCTTGTAGTATAGTTTGAAGTCAGGTAGTGTGATGCCTCCAGCTTTGTTCTTTTGGCTTAGGATTGACTTGGCGATGCGGGCTCTTTTTTGGTTCCATATGAACTTTGAAGTAGTTTTTTCCAATTCTGTGAAGAAAGTCATTGGTAGCTTGATGGGGATGGCATTGAATCTGTAAATTACCTTGGGCAGTATGGCCATTTTCACAATATTGATTCTTCCTACCCATGAGCATGGAATGTTCTTCCATTTGTTTGTATCCTCTTTTATTTCATTGAGCAGTGGTTTGTAGTTCTTCTTGAAGAGGTCCTTCACATCCCTTGTAAGTTGGATTCCTAAGTATTTTATTCTTTTTGAAGCAATTGTGAATGGGAGTTCACTCATGATTTGGCTCTCTGTTTGTCTGTTATTGGTGTATAAGAATGCTTGTGATTTTTGTACATTGATTTTGTATCCTGAGACTTTGCTGAAGTTGCTTATCAGCTTAAGTAGATTTTGGGCTGAGACAATGGGGTTTTCTAGATATACAATCATGTCATCTGCAAACAGGGACAATTTGACTTCATCTTTTCCTAATTGAATACCCTTTATTTCCTTCTCCTGCCTAATTACCCTGGCCAGAACTTCCAACACTATGTTGAATAGGAGTGGTGAGAGAGGGCACCCCTGTCTTGTGCCAGTTTTCAAAGGGAATGCTTCCAGCTTTTGCCCATTCAGTATGATATTGGCTGTGGGTTTGTCATAGATAGCTCTTATGATTCTGAGATGCGTCCCATCAATACGTAATTTATTGAGAGTTTTTAGCATGAAGCGTTGTTGAATTTTGTCCAAGGCCTTTTCTGCATCTGTTGAGATAATCATGTGGTTTTTGTCTTTGGTTCTGTTTATATGCTGGATTACATTTATTGATTTGCATATATTGAACCAGCCTTGCATCCCAGGGATAAAGCCCACTTGATCATGGTGGATAAGCTTTTTGATGTGCTGCTCGATTCGTTTTGCCAGTATTTTATTGAGGATTTTTGCATCAATGTTCATCAAGGATATTGGTCTAAAATTCTCTTTTTTGGTTGTGTCTCTGCCCGGCTTTGGTATCAGGATGATGATGGCCTCATAAAATGAGTTAGGGAGGATTCCCTCTATTTCTATTGATTGGAATAGTTTCAGAAGGAATAGTACCAGTTCCTCCTTGTACCTCTGGTAGAATTTGGCTGTGAATCCATCTCCTCCTGGACTCTTTTTGGTTGGTAAGCTATTGATTATTGCCACAATTTCAGATCCTGTTATTGGTCTATTCAGAGATTCAGATTCTTCCTGGTTTAGTCTTGGAAGGGTGTATGTGTCGAGGAATTTATCCATTTCTTCTAGATTTTCTAGTTTATTTGCATAGAGGTGTTTGTAGTATTCTCTGATGGTAGTTTGTATTTCTGTGGGATCGGTGGTGATATCCCCTTTATCATTTTTATTGTGTCTATTTGATTCTTCTCTCCTTTCATCTTTATTAGTCTTGCTAGCAGTCTATCAATTTTGTTGATCCTTTCAAAAAACCAGCTGCTGGATTCATTAATTTTTTGAAGGATTTTTTGTGTCTCTATTTCCTTCAGTTCTGCTCTGAGTTTAGTTATTTCTTGCCTTCTGCTAGCTTTTGAATGTGTTTGCTCTTGTTTTTCTAGTTCTTTTAATTGTGATGTTAGGGTGTCTATTTTGGATCTTTCCTGCTTTCTCTTGTGGGCATTTAGTGCTATAAATTTCCTTCTACACACTGTTGTGAATGTGTCGCAGAGATTCTGGTATGTTGTGTCTTTGTTCTCGTTGGTTTCAAAGAACATCTTTATTTCTGCCTTCATTTTGTTATGTACCCAGTAGTCATTGAGGAGCAGGTTGTTCAGTTTCCATGTAGTTGAGTGGTTTTGAGTGAGTTTCTTAATTCTGAGTTCTAGTTTGATTGCACTGTGGTCTGAGACACAGTTTTTTATAATTTCTGTTCTTTTACATTTGCTGAGGAGATCTTTACTTCCAACTATGTGGTCAATTTTGGAATAGGTGTGGTGTGCTCTGAAAAAAATGTATATTCTGTTGATTTGGGGTGGAGAGTTCTGTAGATGTCTATTAGGTCCACTTGGTGCAGAGCTGAGTTCAATTCCTGGGTATCCTTGTTAACTTTCTGTCTCGCTGATCTGTCTAATGTTGACAGTGGGGTGTTAAATTCTCCCATTATTATTGTGTGGGAGTCTAAGTCTCTTTGTAGGTCACTCAGGACTTGCTTTATGAATCTGGGTGCTCCTGTATTGGGTGCATATATATTTAGGATAGTTAGCTCTTCTTGTTGAATTGATCCCTTTACCATTAGGTAATGGCCTTCTTTGTCTCTTTTGATCTTTGTTGGTTTAAAGTCTGTTTTATCAGAGACTAGGATTGCAACCCCTGCCTTTTTTTGTTTTCCATTTGCTTGGTAGATCTTCCTCCATCCTTTTATTTTGAGCCTATGTGTCTCTGCACGTGAGATGGGTTTCCTGAATACAGCACACTGATGGGTCTTGACTCTTTATCCAATTTGCCAGTCTGTGTCTTTTAATTGGAGCATTTAGTCCATTTACATTTAAAGTTAATATTGTTATGTGTGAATTTGATCCTGTCATTATGATGTTAGCTGGTTATTTTGCTCATTAGTTCATGCAGTTTCTTCCTAGCCTCAATGGTCTTTACAATTTGGCATCTTTTTGCAGTGGCTGGTACCGGTTGTTCCTTTCCATGTTTAGTGCTTCCTTTAGGAGCTCTTTTAGGGCAGGCCTGGTGGTGACAAAATCTCTCAGCATTTGCTTGTCTGTAAAGTATTTTATTTCTCCTTCACTTATGAAGCTTAGTTTGGCTGGATATGAAATTCTGGGTTGAAAATTCTTTTCTTTAAGAATGTTGAGTATTGGCCCCCACTCTCTTCTGGCTTGTAGAGTTTCTGCCAAGAGATCTGCTATTAGTCTGACGGGCTTCCCTTTGTGGGTAACCCAACATTTCTCTCTGGCTTCCCTTAACATTTTTTCCTTCATTTCAACTTCGGTGAATCTGACAATTATGTGTCTTGGAGTTGCTCTTCTCGAGGAGTATCTTTGTGGCATTCTCTGTATTTCCTGAATCTGAATGTTGGCCTGCCTTGCTAGATTGGGGAAGTTCTCCTGGATAATATCCTGCAGAGTGTTTTCCAACTTGGTTCCATTCTCCCTGTCACTTTCAGGTACACCAATCAGATGTACATTTGGTCTTTTCACATAGTCCCATATTTCTTGGAGGCTTTGTTCATTTCTTTTTATTCTTTTTTCTCTAAACTTCCCTTCTCGCTTCATTTCATTCATTTCATCTTCCATCACTGATACCCTTTCTTCCAGTTGATCACATCGGCTCCTGAGGCTTCTGCATTCTTCCCATAGTTCTCAAGCCTTGGCTTTCAGCTCCATCAGCTCCTTTAAGCACTTCTCTGTATTGGTTATTCTAGTTATACATTCGTCTAAATTTTTTTTCAAAGTTTTTAACTTCTTTGCCTTTGGTTTGAGTTTCCTCCTGTAGCTCAGAGTAGTTTGATCGTCTGAAGCCTTCTTCTGTCAACTCGTCAAAGTCATTCTCCATCCAGCTTTGTTCTGTTGCTGGTGAGGAACTGTGTTCCTTTGGAGGAGGAGAGGTGCTCTGCTTTTCAGAGTTTCCAGTTTTTCTGCTCTGTTTTTTCCCCATCTTTGTGGTTTTATCTACTTTTGGTCTTTGATGATGGTGATGTACAGATGGGATTTTGGTGTGGATGTCCTTTCTGTTTGTTGGTTTTCCTTCTACCAGACAGGCCCTCCACTGCAGGTCTGTTGGAGTTTGCTAGAGGTCCACTCCAGACCCTGTTTGCCTTGGTATCAGCAGTGGTGGCTGCAGAACAGCAGATTTTCATGAACCGCGAATGCTGTTGTCTGATCGTTCCTCTGGAAGTTTTGTCTCAGAGGAGTACCTGGCCATGTGAGGTGTCAGTCTGCCCCTACTGGGGGGTGCCTCCCAGTTAGGCTGCTCGGGGGTCAGGGGTCAGGGACCCACTTGAGGAGGCAGTCTGCCTGTTCTCAGATCTCCAGCTGTGTGCTGGGAGAACCACTGCTCTCTTCAAAGCTGTCAGACAGGGACATTTAAGTCTGCAGAGGTTACTGCTGTCTTTTTGTTTGTCTGTGCCCTGCCCCCAGAGGTGGAGCCTACAGAGGCAGGCAGGCCTCCTTGAGCTGTGGTGGGCTCCACCCAGTTTGAGCTTCCCAGCTGCTTTGTTTACCTAAGCAAGCCTGGGCAATGGCGGGCGCCCCTCCCCCAGCCTCGCTGCCGCCTTGCAGTTTGATCTCAGACTGCTGTGCTAGCAATCAGCGAGACTCCGTGGGCGTAGGACACTCCGAGCCAGGTGCGGGATATAATCTCCTGGTGCACCGTTTTTTAAGCCCATCAGAAAAGCACAGTATTAGGGTGGGAGTGACCCAATTTTCCAGGTGCCATCTGTCACCCCTTTCTTTGACTAGGAAAGGGAACTCCCTCACCCCTTGTGCTTCCCAAGTGAGGCAATGCCTCGCCCTGCTTTGGCTCACGCATGGTGCGCTGCACCCACTGTCCTGCGCCCACTGTCTGGCACTCCCTAGTGAGATGAACCCGGTACCTCAGATGGAAATGCAGAAATGACATGTCTTTGGGGTTGCTCACGCTGGGAGCTATAGACTGGAGCTGTTCCTATTCAGCCATCTTGGCTCCCCCTCCCCCCATCTACTTCCTTTTTAAAATTTAGTCTCTTAGTCTTTGCAAAATCTAAATCCTACACCTAGTCTTAATAATGATTTTTATTACTATGCAAATATCCCCTAAGTTTAATGTGGACTCAGAACTTGTATGGCCTCCCTTTTTAGATCTCCTGCATGAAGGTACCTATGAATAACCATAGCTAACTGTGGCTTCAATTCCTACCTGACCCACCAGTAGTACCAAATGTCCCCAGAAGTCTTCAATCATTGTTCCCCTCAGTCTTAAGTTATTCTGAAGCAGTAGAAATAGCTTCCTTGTTTAGGAAACTTTTTTCAAAATAAATTTTAAAATGTCAAAAGGGTTTGATTTGCATAGTTGAATTAAATTACAGAAATAACAAAGAATGCAACTTCTATCATGAGCATTGGTGTACTATACCATCACAGAAAACCATTCCCTTACTTGTTTATCTTCCATGATAAAAATACCTGAAGTCAAGGAATAGGTCTGTCTCGTTTGTCATTTTTCTCCCAAGCACCTAGCACAGAGGCTGGCCAATGTAGACACTCATTAAATGTTTATTAAATGAATGAATAATGCTGTTTTTTTTTTTTTCTCGGGAACAAGGTCAATAGCCATTTTTACTGATGCCAAGTCCTTGTGAAGGTGTTGAGTATATATAGTTTGGTTCTGGCAACAGATAACAGGCATATGGCAATGGGTGTGACATGAATATAGAATGTGCTTTGGACTGCTCATGATTGATTACTGCTTCCAAAGGTTACTACTTGAGACAGGGAGAATCACAAGTGAGAATTCACTCAACACTTCTGGATTTTTTTAGATCCTAGATGCTGTTGTCTGAATATTTGTCCCTTTAATTCTAAGCACATATATTGCAATTCCAACACCAATGTGACAGTATTAAGAGGCGATGCTTCCAGAGTTGATGATGTCTTGAGGGCTTAGCCCTCATGAATGAGATTTGTGCTCTTATAATAGTGGCCCTATAGAGCTGCCTCAACCCTTCTACTGCATAAGGACACAGCAGAAAGGTGCCATCTATAAACCAGGAAACAGATCCTCATCAGACATCAACTCTGCCTGGTGCCTTGAGCTTAGGCTTCCCGGCCTCCAGAACTGTTAGAAATAAATTCTGTTGTTTATAAGCCACCCAGTCTATGGTATTTTGTTATAGCAGCCCAAATGAAATAAGTCATTAATTATGGTATTTATGCTTCTTTAGGGTCTATTACCTGGCCTGATGCCATCTTCAGGCTTAGTACAGATGGTTAGCGTATTTAAAGATAGTTCATAGATAGGATCAGTGTCTCTTCACAGTTATCAATTTACTTTCATTCTCTTTCCAAACACTTTGGCAAAATGTGGCCCAGTGATTTGATGTGACTTTGTTTCCACAGGGAAATTGACTAGTGATAAAACTGGTTAGTAAATTCTACTCTAACTAGTATCAGAATTACAGTAGCTCCAATGAATTCAACTCCTTTTAAAAAATTATCGATGCCTAAACTGTTTTTGCCTAGTTATGATCTCTACTTTGCATTTTGCATTCTCACTCTGCTTTTCTCTTGGCTCTCAGAAAGAGAGAGTGGAGCTAACGATCCAAAACATGAAAATAAAAACTTAAAAAGAGTCAAGATAAAGGATGCTCCAGGAACTAGTGATCATGCTAGGGCACTAACTGGCAGACAGGATGTACTGCCAATGGCCAGTTGCTAATTTGGGTTGGCTTGGGTTGACTTGGGTTTCTGCACTCATTTCCTGCAGCAACACTGCTGCCCAACATCAAACAGATACAAAATTGTATTTGTAGAGTGTGATTTATCTCCACTCACCACCACCTTGGGTTTTTCTACTACAACACCATGGCCAAGGCAAAGGACTATGAATTGAGAAAGTCCAGCCTCATAAAACCCAATTAGAATAGAAAATTAAAGGAGAGGCAAGCAGGACTAGCTGGAAATCAAAACATATGGATCCAGCAGCCTCTGCTGAAACAGTCCTGTCAGAAGAGAGTAGGTATTAGGGTCTCCTCTAGCTCATTTCTGGAAGGCAAATAATCAGAGTGGTTCAGCACTCCTGTAGTTCAAAAACGACTTCCCAAATTTATATTGCCATCAAATTTGACCTGAGCCTGGGGATATTGCTTCCTACCTAAATGGGATTACCCACAAAAGCCTTAATATAGTGCAGGTCACATAGCAAATTACCAACAAATGCTAGCGATTATCATCAGTGCTGTTATTAATTTTAGCCAGGTGTTCGCCCTCAGGTACTGAGAGGAACCAGTTTTGGGCTAAGATCCAAGTACCAACTATTACTGTCATCAAACAAATATCTGTGATAGCCTGTGTACAAGACAACCTTTCAAAGGAGTTGAGTCTAATAGGTTTGTTTTTTTTGTTTTTGTTTTTATGTCTGTTGCCTTATTTCCAGTTGACAGTCCTTGTGGCCAAGATTGGAGAAAATTCCCATTGGAAATATAAGAATTACAAATTTTCATTTCATAATGAAAGAAAATGCATGTTTCCAAAAAGCTTCATGGTACTCATATATGTTAAGGGATTTTATTTATCTTCTGCCTACATTTCTTAGAATCTGTCTTCATAAAATCAGATCATTCAGGAATTGTATGGAGGCAAAAAAAACAGGAAAGAAAAATAACTTCAAGTGTGTGCAAGTAGACACTCAACTCATTAGCAAGCAATATCCAGAAAAGACAGTTACCATATGGACTGCTATTACTGAAAAACTTCTTTCTTCTATCAAGGGGAGGGGCCGCTAAGAGGCTCAGGGATGGTTCTTAGAATGAAACATCATGCTTATTCTGGAGCAAGTTCTCCACTCCCCCAACCCCCACCAACCCCCGCCCCGTCTGCGAGAGGCTGTTGCCTTTAAGGCTTCATTTTCTTTGTGAGCCTTTCTGAATGTTAATGTCTTTGCGACTCATTAACGGGGTTAGTTGTTTTGCACTCTGAGCACCAAGACATCTCATCAGGATGAACTGGGGCAAGGCAGCCTCCAGAAACACACCTGGGTCTCTGGGCAGTCATCTGCAGGCGATTGCCTCCAGGTGTTTGCCAGTGGGAACCCATTGAAAGTCGATGCAATTTAGAGCAATTTCTCTGGCAGTGGAAATTAACCTGCAGGAATCTGCCGGCAACAGGTGTATTTTAGGGCAGACATACCAGCGTCCTGCACTGTGGAGACAGGACTTTGACTACCAGGTGTAGTGCAGAAGGCTGGATAATTGGAGGAGGCAGAAAATTAGTGCAGAGAAGATGGCCAAATTGCAGGTCAGCATGGTTTGGTGTAATTATTGGTTAACCCTCTCCTGTCTGTTAACCAAAAACTACTTGTGTGTTTGAGGAACCAGGAAATCTGCACTGAAGGGACAAGAATTATCACTCCCTGCCCAAGCCAACTGAATTTTTTGATAGCTAAGGTTTTCAGCAAATTGTTTTTGGTTTAGTGTTTGATACTCAGACGATTGCCAGGAAAACACAGGAAGAAGTGAATTTTAAGTGCTTGAAAGCCTCCTGACTCAGAAACAAACCTAATTTTACCTAGTGTGTTTGCCACTTTTTATCTCTTTTGAAAAGACTTATAGGGAGGAATGTACATAATCAGGAAAGGGCATCTATGCTCTGTACCTCCGATTCTCCTTGACAGGTATTTCTACCTTTGTTTTTCTTCTTTATGGGCTCACAGTGTGAATCCTTGATATAATTATCTTTTCCTAAGTTTTTAATGTCTATTGTTCCTTCCACTTAACTTAGTTGGTTTAAATAACTTTGAAATTAAACAAATTAAACAAAGTCCTGAACTGAACAAATTTCTAACTACAACATAATTTTAAACCAAATCTTAATATTGATATAATATCCATGACATAAAGCAATGGAAACTGTGTGATACAGGCTTTTGGCTCTCTGATCTAAAGTTTATAATATCCTTTGGAAATAAATAAAAATGTATATTATTGCCAAATAAAGTGCTGCTATAATTAATGATTATTATTAAAGCAGCTAATTTTTTTCTATAAAACCAATTATTTGGCATTTTCAAGGAACTGAACAGGGAAATGGATTTATAGTTTTGAGGAATATTTACAAAGTGTTGGATAAATAACTTTAGAGGAACATATCCTTTTTTCAATCAACACATACTTATAAAATTTAAATTATAAAAGGCAAAATAATTGATATTAAAATAAATTATGATTTTAGTCTGTTAAATTTTTTAACATAGTATTTATAACATTAGACAAAATTGTATTTAAGTATTTTATTTAGTATTTAACTAAGTCTATTTAAGCCAAGATGCCTGCGAAGAAAAATTCCTATTTGGAATTTTTCATAATTTTTGAGGATGAATTAAAAGCAGATGTCAACTTTGGCACCTCAAAATTTTCATGAGGAAAATTTCCCAAGTCGTTTATATTTGATCCAGAAATCATAATTAAAATGGAATAAAGGAAATGAAAAAATACTTCACACATTTTGTTCTCACTAGTCAAATTTCAAAGCAACAGACATTGCAAGACAACTTTAAGAAAACAATTACTGATACTTGTAATTTTGAGTCTACGGAGGTTAAACATGGTGTTTCAATTTTGTCAAGCTGAATATTTCAGTCGAGTAGTTCTCAAAGTGTGGTCCCTGAACCTGCAGGCTAGTATCACCAGAGGTGAGAAAATAAACCTAGTGGTTTTTGCTGGGAACCCTCCAGTGATGCAGAAGGTGTGCCAAAGTATGAGAATCACTCCTTTAGACTGCTAACCATTTCCAGTAGTTTAATAGGAAGAATTTTTGAAAGCTGCCCTAGCTATAAATCTGAAGCAGAAAAGTTTCTCTAGAAAAGAAATAGGTGGCCAGGTGCAGTGGCTCACACCTGTAATCTCAACACTTTGGAAGGACGAGGTGGGAGGATTGCTTGAATCCAGGAGTTCAAGAGCAGCCTGGGCAATATACTGCGACCCTGTCTCTATAGAAAATAAAAAATTAGTTGGGCATGCATGACTGTAGTCCTAGCTACTCAGGAGGTTGAGGCTGGAGGATCGCTTAGGCTGAAGTGATCATGCCACTGCACTCTAGTCTGGACGACAGAATGAGCAAAACCCTGTCTCACAAAACAAAAACAACAAGAAAAAATTGCTGAAATATGTGTTTCTGAATTTCTTTCTCCTAGATGCAAAAAGCTAATTGGTATTAGCAAATGTGCCCATTGAAAGCAAGCATATTTTAGTAACACAAGTGTACACTGTAGTGATGGTGAGTACAATCCAGCAGCTAACAGTCTTTAAGTGTTCTTGCACAATAATTTCACTTTTAAAATTTGACTATCAATGTTTTAATAATAGAATTGTAACTGTAATTAAAATATTTGATAATTTCAAATTTATTCTTTTCTTCCACAAGTTCTCTTCATGATGGTAATGTTCACTTTCAGTTGACTATTGGTTTTAACAACTGGCTGTTCTCTCCACTGGACCAAAAGGTATATTTGGTGTAGATGTAAATTATAGTTTCCTTAATAAATCTAAGCCAGAAAGAAATCTCTTTGGTTTTTTCATACATGTATGTACAGCCCTTTATTATTCTCTACCTTGTGTCCTTATTTGTTTCTTTCTTAGCATGTTCTGTAATTTATAATTTTTTTTCATTTGCTTAGTGCATTGTCTGTCTCTCCTAAGTAGAGACAACCTCATAAGGCAGAGACATGTTTACTATTTTTTTTCCTAATGTGTGGAACTGTGCTTAGTTCACAACCAGTACTCAACTGTTGAATTGTTCATACTGCCCAAGGTAATTTATAGATTCAATGCCATCCCCATCAAGCTACCAATGACTTTCTTCACAGAATTGGAAAAAACTACTTCAAAGTTCATATGGAACCAAAAAAGAGCCTGCATCGCCAAGTCAATCCTAAGCCAAAAGAACAAAGCTGGAGGCATCACGCTACCTGACTTCAAACTATACTACAAGGCTACAGTAACCAAAACAGCATGGTACTGGTACCAAAACAGAGATATAGAGCAATGGAACAGAACAGAGCCCTCAGAAATAACGCCACATATCTACAACTATCTGATCTTTGACAAACCTGAGAAAAACAAGCAATGGGGAAAGGATTCCCTATTTAATAAATGGTGCTGGGAAAACTGGCTAGCCATATGTAGATAGCTGAAACTGGATCCCTTCCTTACACCTTATACAAAAATCAATTCAAGATGGATTAAAGACTTAAACGTTAGACCTAAAACCATAAAAACCCTAGAAGAAAACCTAGGCATTACCATTCAGGACATAGGCATGGGCAAGGACTTCATGTCTAAAACACCAAAAGCAATGGCAACAAAAGCCAAAATTGACAAATGGGATCTCATTAAACTAAAGAGCTTCTGCACAGCAAAAGAAACCACCATCAGAGTGAACAGGCAACCCACAAAATGGGAGAAAATTTTCGCAACCTACTCATCTGACAAAGGGCTAATATCCAGAATCTACAACGAACTCAAACAAATTTACAAGAAAAAAACAAACAACCCCATCAAAAAGTGGGCGAAGGACATGAACAGACACTTCTCAAAAGAAGACATTTATACAGCCAAAAAACACATGAAAAAATGCTCACCATCACTGTCCATCAGAGAAATGCAAATCAAAACCACAATGAGATAGCATCTCACACAAGTTAGAATGGCAATCATTAAAAAGTCAGGAAACAACAGGTGCTGGAGAGGATGTGGAGAAATAGGAACACTTTTACACTGTTGGTGGGACTGTAAACTAGTTCAACCATTGTGGAAGTCGGTGTGGTGATTCCTCAGGGATCTAGAACTAGAAATACCATTTGACCCAGCCATCCCATTACTGGGTATATACCCAAAGGACTATAAATCATGCTGCCATAAAGACACATGCACACGTATGTTTATTGTGGCACTATTCACAATAGCAAAGACTTGGAACCAACCCAAATGTCCAACAATGATAGACTGGATTAAGAAAATGTGGCACATATACACCATGGAATACTGTGCAGCCATAAAAAATGATGAGTTCATGTCCTTTGTAGGGACATGGATGAAATTGGAAATCATCATTCTCAGTAAACTATTGCAAGAACAAAAAACCAAACACCGCATATTCTCACTCATAGGTGGGAACTGAACAATGAGAACATATGGACACAGGAAGGGGAACATCACACTCTGGGACTGTTGTGGGGTGGGGGGAGGGGGGAGGGATAGCATTAGGAGATATACCTAATGCTAGATGACTGACGAGTTAGTGGGTGCAGCACACCAGCATGGCACATGTATACATATGTAACTAACCTGCACATTGTGCACATGTACCCTAAAACTTAGAGTATAATAATTAAAAAAATTGTTGAATTGTTGAATGAATGAATGCATACATTGATGCATTAATGTGTTCAATTAGGATAACTGAGTGCATGATATATAAATCAGATGCCAAAGTACAGGGTAAATGCTCAATAAATGCTACTGTATAATAGTTGCCAGTTTCTCAATATGTAAAGTAAGTAGTTAAAGCTCTAACATTTACAAATTGAAGGGGTCCCACATGCAATTCTTCAGATATGCATCCTTTGGTGGACTATGTAAACATTAGTAGTGGTATTTTATACATAATTGCTGTAATTCTTTTATTTCTTTTTTGTTTGTACATATTTATGGGGTACATATGTAATTTTGTTATATGCATGGATTGTGTAGTCTAATCAGAGTTTTTAGGGTATCCATCACCCAAATAACATACATTGTACCATTAACCAATTTCTCATTATCCTGATCTCCATACCCTATCTTTCTGTGTCTCCATTATCTATAATTCCACCTCTACCTCCATGTGAACACATTTTTTATCACCTATGTATGAGTGAGAATATGTGATATTTGTCTTTCTGTGCCTGGCTTGTTTCATTTAACATAAAATCTCCAGTTCCATCCATCTTACTGCAAAATACATGATTTAATTCTTTTTTATGACTGAATAGTATTCTATTGTGTATATATACCAAATTTTCTTTAACCATTCATCCATTGATGGACACTTAGCTTGATTCCATGTGATGGTTAATGTTAAGTGTCAACTTGATTGAATGAAAGGATCCAAAGTATTGTTTCTGGGTATGTCTGTGAGGGTGTTGCTAGAGGAGATTAACATTTGAGTCACTGGGCTGGGAGAGGCAGACCCACTCTTACTCTGGGTGGGCACCATCCTCTTGGCTGCCAGCATGGCTGGAAAAAGCAGGCAGAAGAAGGTAGACTTGCTGAGTCTTCTTGCCTTCATCTTTCTCCCATGCTGGATGCTTCCTGCCCTCTAACATCAGACTCCAAGCTCTTTAGCTTTTGGACTCATGGACTTACACTAGTCGTTTGCCAGGGGCTTTCAGGCCTTTGGCCACAGACCGAAGGCTGCAATATCGGCTTCCCTACTTTTGAGCTTTGGGACTCAGACTAATCCACTCCTGGTTTCCTTGCTCCGCAACTTACAGACGGCCTATCATGTGACTTTACCTTGTGATCGTGTGAATCAGTTCTCCTTATAAACTCCCTTTCATGTATACATATATCCTATTAGTTCTGACTCTCTAGAGAACCCTAATATATTCCATATTTTTCTATTGTGTATAATGCTGAAGTAAATAAACAAGTGCAAGTATCTTTTTATATATTGATTTATTTCCCTTTGGGTAGATACCCAGTAGTGGGATTACTGAATCAAATGGTATTTCTATTTTTAACTCTATGAAGAATCTCCATACTGTTTTCCATAGAAGTTGTACTAATTTGTATTTCCACCAAATGTGTTTAAGAGTCCCCTTTTCTCTGCATCCTTGCCAACATTTATCTTTTTCAATCTTTTTTAACAACATCCATGCTGATTAGGATAAGATGATATCTCATTATGGTTTTGATTTGCAGTTCTCTAATGATTAGTAATTTGAGCATTTCTTCATATACCTGTTAGCCATTTGTATGTCTTCTTTTGAAAAATGTCTATTCAAGACATTTGCCCACATTTTAATGGAGGTTTTATAAATTTTGGATTTTTGTTGTTGTTGTTATTTGAGTTCCTTGTATATCCTGGATATTAGTACCCTGTCAAATGAATATTTTGCAATTTTTTTTCCTAACAGGTTGTGTCTTCACTCTATTTATTTTGCTGTGTAGCAGCTTTTTTGTTTAAGTCCCATTTGTCTACTTCTCTTTTTGTTGCCTGTGCTTTTGACATCTTAATAATAATTTTTTTGCATACACCAATGTCCAGAAGAATTTTCATTATGTTTTCTTCTACTATTTTTATAGTTTGGGGTCTTACATTTAAGTCTTTAATCCATCTTGAGTTGATTTTTTGTATGGTGAGAGAGTTCATTTCATTCTTCTGCATGTGACTATCCAATTTTCCCAGTACAATTTATTGAAGACAGTCTTCTTTTCCCAGTGTATGTTCTTGTTGGCTTTGTCAAAGATCAGTTGGCTGTAAATATTTCTGAGTTCCTTATTCTGTTCCATTAAGCTATGTGTCTGTTTTACACCAGTGCCATGCTGTTTTGGTTACTATAGCCTTATAATATAAAATCAGATAATGTGATGCTTTTCACTTTTTTTTTCTTTTTGCTCAGGATTGCTATGGCTATATGAGCTCTTTTTTGGTTCCATATGAATTTTAGGATTTTGTTCTAATTCTGTGAAAAATGACATTGGCATTGTGATAGGGATTGCATTGACTCTAGATTAGTTTGGTCAGTATGGTCATTTTAATGATATTTATTCTTTTGATCTATGAACATGAGATGTTTTCCCGTTCATTGGTGTCATTTTCAATTTCTTTCAGCAGTGTTTTATAGTTTTCCTCATAGAGATAGGTCACCCCTCTGGTTAAATTTATTCCTAGGTATTTTATTTTCTTTGTTCCTCTTGTAAATGAGATTGCCTTCTTGATTTCTTTCTCAGCTAGATCATTATTGGTACATAGAAACATTACAGATTTTTTACATTCATTTTGTAACCTGCATCTTTACTGAATTCATTTATGAAAGCTAAGAGTTTTTCGGTGAAGTCTTTAGGTTTTTATAGCTATAAGATTATGTCATTAGTAAACAGAGATACTTTGGCTTCCTCTTTTCTAATTTAGATGCCTTTTATTTCTTTCTCTTGACTGAGCTCTAGCTAGGACCTCCAGTACTATGTTGAATAGGAGGAATAAAAGAGGGCATCTTTTTCTTGTTCCAATTCTTAAAGGAAATAAATACTTTCCATTTTCCCCACTCAACACCCATTTTCCCACACCCAACAACTATAATGTTGGCTGTAGGTTTGTCAAATATGGTCTTTATTGTTTTGAGGTTATGTTCCTTCTATGCCTAATTTGTTGAGGGTTTTTATCATGAAAGAATGTTAAATTTTATTAAAAGTTTTTTCTGCATCTACTCAGATGATCATTTAGGTTTTTCCCTTTATTCTGTTTACGTGATGTATTACAGTTACTATTTGCATATTTGAACTATCTTTGCATCCCTGGTATAAAATCCACTTGATCACATTGTATGATCTATCCCATAAGCTGTTGGACTCAGTTTGCTATTATTTTGTTGAGGATTTTTGCATCAATGTTAATCAGTGATATTGGTCTGTGGTTTTCTTATTTTGTTATGTCCTTGTCTGGTTTTGGTAATCAGGGTAATACTGGCCTCATAGAATGAATTAGGGGAAATTCCTTCCTCCTTAACGTTTTGGAGTAGTTTCAGGAGGATTGATATCAGTTTTTCTTTGTGTGTTTGGTAGAATTTGGCTGTGAATCTATCTAGTCCTGGGCTTCTCTTTGTTGGGAGATATTTTTATTACTAATTCAATCTTTTTACTTATTGGTCTGCTCATGTTTTCTATTTTTTCCTCATTCAGTCTTGTTAGGTTGTATATTTCCAGAAATTTACTTATTTCTGGATTTTCTAGTTGTTCTTAACAGTCTCTGATGATCTTTTGTATTTCTGTGTTATAAGTATAATGTGTCCATTTTCAGTTCTGATTTTTGTTTATTTAGGTGTTCTCTGTTTTCTTGGTTAGTCCATTTAGCAGTTTATCAATTTTATTTACCTTTTTGAAGAGTCACTTTTTGTTCTGTTGATCTCTTGTATTGTTTTCTTATTCTCTATTTCATTTAGTTCTGCACTGATCTTTGTTATTACTTTTCTTCTGCTAATTTGGGGTTTGGTTTGTTATTGCTTTTCCCATTCCTTAAGGTACACCATTAGATTATTAATTTGTAATTGTTCTACATTTTAATGTAAGCATTTAACGTTACAAACTTTCCTCGTAGCACTGCTTTTGCTATATCTCACAGGTTTTAGTATATTTTGTTTTCATATTAATTTGTTTCAAAAAATTTTTGATTTCAATATTAATTTCTTCATTGACCCAATGGACATTCAGAAACATATTTTATTTCTATGTATATTTATAGTTTCACAAGTTCCTCCTGGTATGGATTTCTAGTTTTATTTCATTGTGGTTTGAGAAAATACTTGATATAATTTTGATTTTTAAAATTTGTTGAGCTTTGTTTTGTGGCCTAACACATGGCTTATATTGGAGAATGTTTTATGTGCAGATGAAAATAACATATATTCACCAGTTATTGGGTAGAATGTTATGAAATGTCTATTGGGTCCATTTGGTCTAAAGTCCAGTTTAAGTCCAATGTTTCTTTGTTGATTTTCTGTCTAGATGATTGGTCTAATGATGAAAGTGAGGTGTTAAATTCACCCCCTATTATTCTATTGCATTCTATCTCTCTATTTAGGTCTAGTACTATTTGTTTTATGGATCTTGGTGCTCCAGTATCGGGTACATACATATTTAGAATTGTATATCCTCTTGCTGAATTGACTCATTTATCATTATATAATGACCTTTGTTGTCTTCTTTTTTTTTTTTAACTATGATTGACTTAAAGTGTGTTTTATATGATATTAGTATAGTTATTCTTGCTTTCTTTTGGTTTCTGTGTGCATGGACTATCTTTTTCTATCCCTTTCCTTTCAATGTTTATGTGCCATTAAAGATAAAATGAGTTTCTTGTGTGCAGCATATAGCTGAATCTTTTTTTTTTATCTATTGAGTAGAATCTATCTTTTTTAATAAACTTAGGAGAAAATCTATATCTTTTAATTGGAACTTTAATCCATGTGAATTCAAGGTTATTATTGACATGTGAGGTTTTGTTCCTGTCATATTGTTAATTGTTCTCTAGTTGTTTTATAAATTATTTGCTTTTTTTCTTTTTCTCTCACTGTTTGTCTTTGTGGTTTGGTGGGATTCTGTAGTGGTGCCATTTGATTTCTTTCTTTTTCTCCTTGGTATGATTGTTTTACCAGAAAGTTTTATACTTTTGTGTGCTTTCATGATAGTAAATGTCATTCTTTTGTTTCCACATTTAGAATTTTCTTGACCATATCTTGTATGGCTGGTCTAGTGTTGAGGAATTCCTTCAACATTTGCTTGCCTGGGAAGGACTATTTCTCTCTTATTTATGAAAGTTAGTCTTGCTAGACATAGTATTGGCTGGTAGCTTTTTTCTTTGAGCACTTTGAACACATTATCCCATTCTCTTCTGGCCTGTGAGATTTCTGCTAAGAAGTCTGCTGTCTGATGGGGTTTCCTTTATAGGTTACTAAAGATTTTTCTTTGACTGTTTTAGAATTTGATTTTTTGTTTTTACTTTAGACAGTCTGATTGTAATGTGCCATGGCTAATGTCTTTTTGCATACTATTTGGGGATTGATGAGCCTCTTATATCTAGATGTCTAAAGCTTTTGCTAGACTTAGAAAATTTTCATCTATTATTTAATTAAATAAGTTTTCTAAACCTTTTGATTTCTCTTTGCTCTCAGGGATACTGATAATTTGAAACTCTGGTCACCTTATGTTGTCCCAAATGTCTCTAAAGTTTTGCTTATTTTTGAAATTCTTTTTTTCCTTTATTCTTATCTTACTGGATTATTTCCAAAGGTCTACCTTCAAGTTCTGAAATTATTCTTCTGTTTGGTCTAGTCTGTTGTTGAGACTTTCCAATTTATTTTTTATTTCCTTCAATGAATTCTTCCATTACAGATGGTGAGTGCCCCCCAATGGTGAGTGCATGTGCCAGCCATGATAGATGGGAGTGGGATGATCCTCAGGCCCCTGGCAGAGAGTTCAGGTAAGGGGTAGCACCTGTCATGCTAAAGTCTTGCCACAGGGAGGGTGGGGCTGACCTTAGAGACCATAGCATTGGCCAGCAGGTAGGAAACATGCATCCCTCTCATGCCTTAGTCCAGTCAGGACTTGCTTCACAGTCCCAGCTATTACAGCAGAACGGGCTGACCAGTCAGATCCAGCAGATCTACATAGTCTGCAACTAAACCCTGGGACACTGGAGTCACCGTCCAGGTTGGAACCAAGCCTCCATGGCAACTTTCACCCTGCTCAAGTCCCAGGGGTGGTGCCTGATTCCCAGCACTGGCATCTGCAGACCATGGCATGCTTGCTTCTCAGTCTTAACTGTGGGCACCCTGCTGGTCACCTTATGTTCCAGTTTCACAGGCAACAGCCTGAGTTTCTCTAACACCCAGTACCAGCACTGCAGAGTCCCAAAACAATGCACAATCTTTTAAAGGCTAACGTCAAAAATGGCATCTTGTGGTAGCTGCTTAAGTCTCAGGAAAGGCATAGACCTAGAGCAAGCTGCCTCCTTAATGGAGTCCCTTCTCACACTCTCCTGGTGGCTTCCTAAGTTAGATTCAGAACTTGGGAGGGTCAAGGTGCTCTTGTGGCCTGTATTGTACAATTCCCCTGTGGGAAAGTGGACCACACAGAAAATCTCTCACTCACCCTCTCCCCATATTGTGGAGGAGTCTCTCCCAGCTCCCAGCCAGGCCCAATCAAGCAGGCTACCTCTTTTCCTTCTACTTCCTAGTTTCTGGTGTTTCCTGTAATTTTTCTGTTGACTTCCTATGTTCTCTCTTGGATAATGTCCTCAAAGTATAATTGTCTACACACTATTTTCGTTCTTCTAAGTAGATGAGGCAGCATGTAATGTTTCTAGTCAGCAACCTTGAAAAAGAAAACTGATTGCTCTAATTCTTATCCTAACTGCCGTCTCTTTCATTTTCTTGAAGCTACACACACTCTGATCCCCTCAAAAATTTTTGTTTATATCCTTTCCGAGGAAGTATGTAATATAGCCTTTTAATATTTCTTAGCATGTTGATCAACCATCTTTTCTCCCATTAAATTATAAGCTTCCCGAGGGCGAAGAAAGCATGGTCTTACTTATTTTTGCATCTTCTGCTAGCTAGCATATTGCCATGCTATCTACACAGAGAGAGTTAAAGTTGGCAGCTTCAAGAATATACGCCAGCTTTATTTTCTCTTCTCCCTTTAACCTCATTGTTGTTGGCTGTGTTGAGCAGAGTGAATCATACAGCAAAGCCATAAGAGTCTGCAAGGAATTAGTATTCTGACATCTGGGAGAGACATGGAGAATCAGATTTCAGAATCCCCAGACATAAAAGTAATCAATGAATTCTGAGTTGGTGAACTAATAAGTGAGTCTCTGTGGGAATCAGTGTAAAGTCTGATTAAAGCTGCCAGCTCTGTCCTTCAAAAATATCTACAGCCATCTTCAAGTGTAAAACAAAAAGTTTGCTAAGGCTTAGGAAAAAAAACGAATGATGCGCCATCTGAAGCTCCTCTTGGTATGTTCTCCATAATTTGCTATGGGGTCATTAGGAGGCAAGGTTTCTAGTCTATTCTCTGACACCCATTCACTGTGAGATTTAGACATGAAATTAAGGTCCTTAGGTACTATATTCCCAATGTCCTCAGTTGACTTTTTAAGGGCCCAATTTTGTGAAGGATTTACTCTGTTGACTTAAAAAAAAACCATTCAACAAACTTCTTTGAACTCCTATGAAAGATGTCATAGTCTAATTCAGTGGTTAAAAATATGAGCTTTTGTATCAGATTGCATGGGTTCAAATCTCAACCCCACCTTTATTCATTATGTGAACTTGTGCAATTTACTTTCTATACTTCAGAGGGCTGACTTGTAAAGTGGGCTTAATAAAAGACCTGATGATTATCATGAGGATTAAAAGTTGTGTCATGAAAAGTACATAGAATAGTGTTTGAGATATTATAAGAGATCAGTAAATGTCAACTATTATTACATATCTGGGAGGAACTCCCAGAGTATGTGGCCTATGGCTTATAATCAGGAGATAAACAGGACACAGCTCCTCTCCCAAAAGTGCAAGATCACAGATTAATGGCAAAGAGCTCAGAAAAGAAAACTAACAATTACGCTGTAGGGCAATAGTACCACACACAGGGTCTCAAAAGAGCACCAATTAGGGGCACCAGATTCCACTTTATAAAGGTCAACAATTTTTTCTAAGAGGAGCAGCCACTTGGTTCTTGAAGGACACATTGGTATAATCCTGGCATGAGAGAGGGAAGGTAATTATTGACAAGAGACTGGTTTCAGTATAGAAGACTAGAGGTTTTACAAGTTGCTCTGCCTTTAGGGAACTGCCCTAAAGTGGTTTTAGTATGAATTTCTGTACTATAATCCCCCATCTGTAAAAAGGACTTCATAATCCTTGACTAACAGCACTGAGATTGCTTAAATGTTAATGAGAAATGTATTTATAAACAATAATGGAGTAATGCATCTTTTAGAACAAATAGAAATTTAGGAATTAAACAGATCTGAGTTCAAATTAAGGCTCATGTCTATGAATTTGAGCTAGTTGTCTAACCTGTTGAGGCCTCATTCTTCACTGATAAAAATCAGACATAATAATACCTACCTTGTGAGCTATATGAAATCACTGGTGAGAACACTTAGCACGTAGGGGTAGCTGTGTAATGACTAGCTTTGTTTTTTCCTGTCGAAAGCTTTCAAAAGAAAGATTATTTCAAATTGCAAATGAGTTGTAAAGATTGTTTATCAATGCAGTCATTTATCTCATCTTAGTAATAACTACTTAAAAATAGGTTTCCCAGAGATCTTTTCTAGTATTTCAATCACAGAGCTTGGAATTTAATAGAGAGAATTTAAAGGAGAAAATGAGAGGAGGAGGAGGAGGAAGTGAAAGAGAAGAGAAAAGGAGAGAAGGAGGAGGAAAAAAAAGACAAAGTATTTTGAATCAACACATCTTATTCAACTGCTGCTTAAGAGATCACTTTTCCTGACATTGTTATCACCTGGTGGTAATATCAAATATTATTCAGTTTTTTAAGTTCTTCCAGATCTGCATTGATTCTAATCAAAATAGATCCCTTCTCCATTTAGATCACCTACTCCTTGCTTTTAGGAAGTTTTGAAGCCAAGCATCTGATAGAGCAAGCACCAAGCTCTTTCACAAATACACGTTTCCCATGAAGAGGAAAACATGACATAAACCTAGAGAAGCTGCAAAACATATTACATTTAGTTTAGCGGCCCTGCCCTATTTTCTGGCACCCTAATACACAGAATCTCCTAGACCTGTCTATACTTTTTGGGACTTTGAAGCAGTGCACAACTCTCTGTGTCCCTTTAAATACAGTATTATTCCTATTGTAATGAAGTTAATTGCTAAAATAGAAGTGGTAGACAGCCCAGCTGTAATCTGCTATCTTACTAAAGGAAGCCAGTTTCAGGAATATCTCTCAATGGCTTAAGCATTATATTTCATTTCTCTTCTTCTATCCAGTCCATAGACAGTAATTCTCCCAAGCCATGCCAGGAAACGTTGGTATCACAAGATTGCAGGCTCAGCTGCAGGAACTTGCTACAATACCTTCATTTTTATCATAGCAGTGATTTTACAGCCCTTCTTTTCCTGGAAGTGTATGCACATTCACAGTGTGTGCTTAGTTAAAAATAATTGTGGAATGAGCTAAAGTAGAGAAAGTAGAAGGTGTGATTTGCATGCACAGAATTCTTCTAGGAAGCATCAAAACTTGTGGACTAAGGATGTACTCCCTCTATCGAATGTTCCTCTTCATGCTAGTGCAATAAACTGGAAAATGCAATAATCTTACTTTTGAGAGTAATAATAATGATAACAAACTACATATTTTTTAAATGAGAAAAGCTATGGCTCAATCTTTTTCTTTGTAATTTTCCTTCTTTGGCTTCTAGTCAGTTTTCTGACTAGTCTCAGTGGCAGACAATTAACAAAAAGTACTTTCTATTCTGATGAGATATCACTGTAGTGAAAAATACAAGGAGAGGTGAAAAGTGTTAGACAGTGTTGGGCTAGTAGAGTGAATTGCTGCAGAGATAGCAGCTCAGGCAGCTCGTTATTATGAAATGTCCCTGGGTGTGATATAATAGTCAAACAAAGGATATTCCTTTTCTTTCTTAATTAACAACTTGAAGATAAATAATTTTCCTCTTAAGCTCAAATCAGGATCAAGCAAAAACCCCTGTGTCCTTTGACTTCCCAAAGCTGCTGCATGAAGCGTCACAGCCGTTTTTTAAAAACCTCCTTCTGATTTATTAACTTAAGATAAATGGCTTTGCTATCATAACCTGTCAGTGCCATGCAATGAAAAGGAAATCAGTGGTGGTAACTGTGTGCAAAGCTGCTCAGCGTAGCTAGACTCAAACATTGGAGTCAAACCTTCAATAATTCTACCACCTCTCCCTACAGAAAATGATCCACTGGCAAGTTTCTCATTCATTAACTTTCTAAAGACGTCTGTCCTTGCAGAATCTCCAATTCAGTTGAACATGATATATGAAATCCTGCCCACCTCATGCACAAAGAGCAGGAAAAAAATGTAGTGCTTATTGAAGACAGCAATATTGTATATGGAAGCTTCAGCAGACTCAACTGTAAAAGTTGCCCACTCGGGAAGATCCAAGGGAAAGGAGTTTCTATCTCTCCATTTTTAATTCTTCAAATTTGGCTCATTGCTCTTGCCTGTGAATTACCTTCTGAGGCAACCAATGAGGCAAAACTTGTTAGTAATTGCAATAATAAAAAATGAACAAATTTCCCAATATAACAAATGTTTTATTTCTAAGATAGCAAGCACTTTATGTCAAGCCTCCTCCTCTTTTGTCAATACACTTGGAACACATTTATATACAGTGACTCATCAATGCATGTGCCAATCTTTTCTTGGTTCAGCAGAAAAAAATCAAAAGCCAGAGGGCACATAGGAAAAAATATGTGATTTTGTTGGAATTCTCATTCAGATACATAGATGATCCTGTAAGCCCGTGGATGTCATTTACAACATTTATAAGGACATTTATAATAACACCATCTCAATAGCGTGTGTGTGAAGATTTCTTCACTTACTGGAAAACTTGATTCTTTTTCTTGTTTTGTTCACAAATGGATATTAGGATGTATTATCTATAAAAGTGGACTGCCAGACTGAACAAGACTTTATTTTTTTCCTTACCATCTGCAGTTTCTGAGGTCATCAGAGAAGATTTGCCAGAGGCTTTCGCTTACCCAAGGGAAGTAATGTTAAAGGGTCATGTGTTTTTCTGAAGCAAAGTATCGCTTTTACAGAGAAATGGCTGCTACCTAGGGCCAGTGCCTTCACAGTGAGTGCCAATGTGTTTCACAGTCCATGCTCACCTCTGGTAATTTCCAAAATCTGTCATCAAAATGATCCAGATCATGAACTCAGAGAGAAACAACCCATACTGGCTTGTCTGACCTCCCTGATAGTCTATCAACGAGATTGATTCTATCTCAGTCTTACGGATGCAATTCTTCATATCCAAAAGATACTGCCATTTGTAGCACTTGTTCTAAGGCAGCAAAAGCAGCAGGAAGGACCAATTCTACCTACAGCACAGGATTCCAGAGATGTCTTGATTTTTATTAATGTTGGTTTCAATGGATGTTCCCCAGGTTTGTAATGAGATTTTAATATTGAGAAAATCTCTGTCTTTGGCTCCTAGTTGAGTCAATAGCATGACTCAACTTGCTTTTTTCATGAGTCTGTCCTTAGTAGCAGTGCAATAAGTGACAAGTTACTTGACTCATCTAAGGTCCACATTCGTCTTCTGTTAAACATGGGAGGTGTTTGTGTGAACTGAATAAAGCAATGTGTGAAAAGGTATTTGGAAGACTATGTAACGCTTTATAAATGGCAGGTATTGTATATGTTTATTTGAAATAAATTAATACATGCTTCACAATTAGGCTAGCCATAGTACTGATTAGCATGCTAGGAATAGTATAATGATTAGCTCAGGTTAAGAGCACTCTCTGGAGTCAGACTGCCTGGATTCAAATCCTGGCTCCTCCACTTGAGCTGGGTGACCTTGAAAATGTTCTTAACCTCTGTGTCAGTCTTCTCAGCTGTAAAGTGGTGCTAATTAAAGTGCCTATCTCAAAGAGCGGTTTAGAGGACTTAATAGTTGATAGATCTAAAGTACTTAGAACATTTCCTGGCATAGAGTAAGTGCTCATGAAATATTAGCTATTATCATCATCATCGTCATCATCTGAGGTAAAATTTGAACTATGAAAATAAGTGATGAAGCTATTTGTAAGAGAGGACTGCTTTTACCTTGGAGTTTATTCTTTTATGCTTTTGGAAACCAAGTAATTACTTGTATTATTATATTACTACTACATTTTTTCGAGACAGAGTCTCACTCTGTCACCCAGGCTGGAATGTGGTGGCGTAATCTTGGCTCACTGCAACCTCCACCTCTGGAGTTCAAGTGATTGTCCTGCCTCAGCCTCCCAAGTGGCTGGGACTACAGGTGTGTGCCACCACGCCTTGTATTTTTAGTAGAGATGGGGTTTTGCCATGTTGGCGAGGCTGGTCTTGAACTCCTGACCTCAGGTGATCTGCCCACCTCGGCCTCCCAAACTACTGGAATTACAAGCATAAGTCACCACACCTGGCCACATTACTATTACATTTATTTGAAAATTATTCAAGCATTATGCCCACATGAGATGCGTGAGGCTTAAATGTGAGTGTTGTCAACTGTAACAAAACTCCAGTATATTTGTTTCAAATAATATAAATCTCTTTATTTTCAAAACAAACTAACTAGCTGAAATAGAAGCCTCCTGTAAGCCTATGTCCCCTAGTCAAATTCTTTACTTCAGCAAGACTAATCTATGAAGAATTTAGGCATTTGGAACCTCTACCTCTGAACTTGTACTTTACAGTTAAAACAATGTGACTTCCTTTGGCATTTAAATCTTTATGATAATTTTCAGTAAATATTATCCCTGAATAATTATTATGTGGTTTTTTTCAACATCTATAATTACCCAATTTGGAAATAAGTTAGAGATTCTCCCTAGCCCAAGTTGAACTTAAATTGACCAAATTTATGAATGTCATTTCTTCATATCACTACGATTCAACCAAGACAGTTTGGAGAAGCAATCTGAAATATGTTTTCACTCCTCCTGGTAAATGAATGAGATAGAAAACTAACCTGACTTTTAAAATCATGTTTTAAAGACTACATAGAGCTCAAAATGTCCATGGTGTGGCATTAAATGAAAAAATAAATCAAGTAAAATAATATTGTAATATTTAAAAAGCACTTTAATATAAAAAGTTCTTATGCTAGATATGAAAATGATAGTAAAATGAGAGCAGGGATCAATTAATTCTAAGGTATGGATTATTTTCATATTTTTCCTTACACATAAGGACGTATGTGACAATAATTTTAAATTTTCCTTTAAGCAATATAAATTATTATTATTATCTGGAATAGAAAACAGACAGCAACAATATGACAACAATGAAATATTTTTCAGGTTTGGTTATGCTAAGTAGAAGATACAGATTTGTAATGCCTAAATTCTCACACTTCTAATCCTACAGTCCAATTATTCTGGTAAGTGAAGAAGAGTATTTAGCATAAACACAGGCTAACCATTCTCTGACAAAAACAATGTAGTCTGAATGAGATTTTCTAATTAACCAGGCATTTGCTACAATGTGCTCTGAAGAAATGGATTGGAAATAAACAAATAAATAAATAAATAAATAATTCCACAGGAGGAAAAAAATGCGTTCTGAAAGGATCAGGATTTTCAAAGGTAGGTTATTGGGGAAAGGCTGTTTGGAGTTTGAGGGAAGTTTTCTGGTATTATTTGAATACAGAAGAGAAAAAAAGTGAGAAGGTGAAATGTATTGCTTTAGAGAATTAAGTTAAGAGTTCTATAAAAATAACCAGAGATAGACTTAGCCTGCCTCAGTGTTCCATGCTTTCCACTCCTTACATTCCCTAATCTTGCTTAATACTAACATGCATTTCTAAGCCATGAGATGCTTGAATGCCCCCAGCCCAGAAGTCCTTCTTTTCTCTGCCTTGACTGCAGGGGCTGACTCTGCTTATATGTTCCACTCTGCCAGGTCTGCCCTATACCTCCTTTTAGATGCACAAAGAGCCACTGAGGATCACTCTTAGAGAGCAGAAAAACCTTCATTTTTACACTCTTTACTAGGCTCTGCCAGGTGCCCTGGGTATTGGAAAGTTTCAGATAATAGAAATTATGAGCCATAATAGGTGCACTGTACACCTGGGAGCAAAAATGTGATATCAGTGATTTGACATGTGAAAGGGAGGGAAGAAAACCAATGCCATTACGTTAGTCTCTTTATTCATCTTATTTGTTGAGTTCCCACTATATAATATTGTGGTAGGTAGAGAAAAGAATATAAGATGCACAAGACAGTTCTACTTGTGATAAGGCAGAGTAGTCTCCCAAAAGCCAAATCTTCTCATAGATAACTATAAACTCTGGACAAAAATACAAACAACAACAACAACAACAAAACACTATCTGGGGGCTCTGGAAAGTAAGCAAAAACAATAAATTTGAAGAGGAGGAAACATTTTTAAAAGAGATGGCACAGAGAGTGCCTCCCATCTCTATGGCTTTAGCCTGAGTGTGGTCTGATGCCACAGTGTGGCTTGATTGTGGGTGCTGAAGCTCCCTTGGAAACCAGCCATCTTTCTCACTTGAAAAGGACCCAGCTTGGGGAAGCTCCAGCTGCTGACAAATGCTAGGCTATCCTAAAAAGGAGAGAAATGGAGCAGAACAGGGCCAGTGTCTGTGTGTAAAGCCTACTAAAGGTCCTGAACCAGGGTCCTGCGTGATCAGACAGACTGCAGGCAGCCTAGCTAACAAAAAAATAAAAAGGAAATTGTATTAGTCTCTTTTCACACTGCTATAAAGAAATGCATGCATGCAGGGCTTAAAACCTAGATGACAGGTTTATAGGTGCAGCAAACCACCATGGCACATGTATACCTGTGTTAACAAACCTGCATATTCTGCACATGTATCCCAGAACTTAAAGTATAATGAAAAAAAGAAGAAGAAAGAAAGAAAGAAAGAAAGAAAGAAAGAAAGAGAAAGAAAGAAAGAGAGAAGGAAGGAAGGAAGGAAAGGAGAGACAGAGAAAGAAAGAAAGAAAGAAAGAAAGAAAGAAAGAAAGAAAGAAAGAAAGAAAGATAGAAAGAAAGAAAGAAGGAAACAAAGAAAAAGAAAGGAAGGAAGGAAGGAAGCAAGGGAAGGAAGGAAAGGAAGGAAAGGCCTGAGACTGGATAACTTACAAAGGAAAGAAGTTTAATTGACTCACAGTTCTGCATGGCTGGGGAGACCAGAGGAAATTTACAATTATGGAGGAAGGGGAAGCAGGCACCTTCTTCACAAGGCAGCAGGAGAAAGAAGCAGGAAGGAGGAACTTCCAAACATTTATAAAATAATCAGTTCTTGTGAGAACTCACTCACTATCATGAGAACAGCATGGAGGAGACCACCCCCATGATCCAATCACCTCCCACTAGGTCCCTGATAACATGGTGATTTTGGTAATTACAATTCGAGATGAGATTTGGGTGGGGACACAGAACCAAACCATATCAGAAATGAATTGAAATTTGAGCTGCTAGTCACCTCAGGCAAGAGAGTGTTCACAGTTAGAGAAATGGTCTCCCAGCTTTTCTCTTCCAATCTTTGTGAGGCAGCCTTCAGGGAAAAGTGGCACTTTGCTCCCCATTGAATTTCTCATCTCCCCTCAGCATATATTTGAACAAGAAAAAAGAAACTGAAGAGCGAAGACCAGGGAAAGAGAGGTGGCAGTGGTGCAGGAAGCCTGCACTCCATGTGTCTGGCATAAAAGGAGAAATGCATTTCCTGAGAACCAATAGCCAGGCTGGGACTATTTTGGGGGTATCGGGCCTGGGTAGCAGTCCCAGGTAGGAGGCTGAGATGAGCACATCAAGAGATGGGGACTGAGGCTGAAGTTGAAAAGAGTCATGTTAGAAGACATCTTATGCCTCCACAAGGAGGCAGCATTAAACACCAGCTATGCAACAGTCATCACCAGCCAATGAAGGTCTTATAGCTTAATCCGTTAAGAGAAAATCTTTAAACCCCTTTCTTTATCTCCAGCCCCCAAGCTTCAACATATCCGAGGATCGAAGGCCTGAATAAAGTGGCATCACAGAAGTGTGAGAACAGCCTTTCCCCATTCTCCGGAGTGGATCCATGAGCCAGGAGTCAGGCCTGCACTTTGAGGAGCGGAAGTGCTTTTGTGAGGACAAGCAAGAATGTCTTGTAATTTCAACTACCCTTAAAGCTGTTTCAGGGTTCCCTGATAATGAACTAACTGATACTGGGACTTCCCTTCTCCATCCCCCAAAGAAAAGCTGCGTTCCAACTCAACACCTCATAGAACCAGAGCCCCCTAATATCCCTAGGTGTGGGCAGCTGGCATTCCCCAACATTCCCCTAACACCCAGCACCTAAGCTAAGAATGCTTGGGGCCTGAACCCCAAATGTTTATTCAGCCATGTAAAGCCACTTGCACACTTGTCCTATAAAAAAGGAAAGCAACAGAATGTTTTTCTCCTCTTGGAGCAGAGCCCCACAGTGAATCTAGCAATGCACTGGCTCAAACATGCCCCCTTTTCAGCAGCATGCTGAAAGAAATAGGATCCATGCGTCAGCTGGAATTTCTATCTCTGAGTTTCTACCTAAACTAAGTGATACTTTCTGTTATTCCCAGTCACATCAAAACAAATGTGAGATTCAAATTTTAAACTGGGCTATACTGTAACAAATTAGACTTGACTCTTTTTGTTTTGTTTTGTTTAAATAACAGAAAGTGACTAGAAAACTATAGGATCCACCTAAGATGCTAAGACATGGCAAAGTGAGACCAAACATAGCACAACAAATAGTTGGAGACAAAATAAAAGCATTTTACATTTGTGCACTACAATGTTCAGGCTATTCAACACACTGATTTCACACATACAGTCCCATTTATTGCCAACAATAACCCTGCAAAGTAGGTACTATTATTGGGCACATTTTACATATAAAACGACTTAAAATTAGAGGAGGTAGTATATATTTTCCTAATTTTTGGCAGCCCAGCATCTAAAGCCCTTTTCTATGCTTGAAGAATGCCCTGCCTTATGAGTGAGTCTTGCTGGAAAGAAGAGACCAGCTTCCAATATAAAAACTGAAAATACCAAATACTTTTCCCATATTCCCTGATAACTATCACACTGACATTAGAAGAGTCTCCACCAACAGATGTGAGCATGCCAGTTTTCCCCAGAATCTAAAGATACAAAGAAAGAGGATTTTTGTGGGAAACCACTCTGGTGAAAATGCCAGTGGAAGTCCTACACTGAACCCGATTTCCAGTGGCAAGAATTTTAGTGGCTCCAGCAGCGATGCCCAGTGCTCCGTGACTATGGGTTCACAATGTACACAAACTGGTTGGGCCACTGCAGATGAAAGAGATGGCTTCAAGTGCTCAGTTATGTGTCTTGATTGGTAATGTGGCCATTGGCTGGGTAATGTCCACACTGCTTCTCTGGCCCTTTTGAAGTGTCTGTTAGCCATAATAACTAGATTTATTTTCTGATTAAATTAGCTAGAATTAGGTTCTGACTGACTTAGGATAAGTAATTGCTCTCTGATCACACATAGAGCAAATGATGGAGCTGGAATTCCAGTCTTCACTAGGTTATACTGAATGATGAGATAATGTTATGGGCTGAATTCATGTGTTGAAGTCCTCATCTCCAGAACCTCAGAATGTCTGTATTTGGAGAAGAGTTTTTAATGTTGTAATTCAGTGAAAGTGAGGTCAGTAGGGTGGCTATAATTCAATATGACCTGAATCCTTACGAGAATGAAAATCTGGACACAGAAATCCGTGTGGGAGGCCATGTGAAGACACGGAGAAAGCATCCATCTGTGAGCCAAAGAGAGAGGCCTCAGAAGAAACCACCCCTGCAGACACCTTGTAATTGGACGTCTAGCCTTCAGAACTGTGAAACAGGAAATTTCTGTTATTTAAGCCACCCAGTCTATGGTACTTTGTTATGGCAGTCCTAATAAACTAATACCAGGAATGAGGAATACGAAAGAATTCAAGATGATCTCAAAGTTGCTCAATGAGGTGACTTTAGAAAAGATGAAGGGTATGAGAGGAGTAGCCATTGCAGAAGGAGAACAAGATCATGAATTCAATTCAGAAAACTTTGATTTTGAGACCTCTGCAGGAGAAAATAAGAGAAAGCTTCAAAGGCCTAGCTTCCTTTATAGAGTCCTGGGAGAGACCTAAAGTTGAGGAATAGAGAGAAAAGGCACCTCTGGATACTCACTGGCATTGGATCCAGCTCTGAGTTGCTTGCTTTCTGGGCTTCAGAATGACAAAGCAGGTTTATGCACAGAGTTTTTCAATAAGCAAGTCCCCACTGAAGGTCACAGGCCTATTTCAGCAGTGGGAGAAACCACAGTCAGCAGTATTGGGCCATGCAAGTGAAGGGTTGTTCACTGGAGAGGTTTGTTACCTTATTGGGAAGATGAAGTTTTCATCCAGCATTAAGCCTATGGCTATAATTCAGGGATGAGACAAGGGTGTTTGCATTTGTTAGCATGAAGACAAACAAATCCAACACCCTTAGGTCAGAATTTCAGCTTAACATGGTATCTTGTGCTTGAATATCCCTTGCAACCTCTCCTGACTTTCCACTTTCCAAAGTGAGTCTTTTAAAATGCTCACGTTTTGGCTCACACCTGTAATCCCAGCACTTTGGGAGGCCGAGGCGGGCGGATCACGAGATCAGGAGATCAAGACCACGGTGAAACCCCGTCTCTACTAAAATACAAAAAATTAACCGGGCGTGGTGGTGGGCTCCTGTAGTCCCAGCTACTCGGGAGGCTGAGGCAGGAGAATGACGTGAACCCCGAAGGCGGAGCTTGCAGTGAGCCGAGATTTCGCCACTGCACTCCAGCCTGGGCGACACTGCGAGACTCCGTCTCAAAAAAAAAAAAAAAAAAAAAAAAAAAAAGGCCACGTTTATTGGTCTTATGCCTATAAAAAAAGTCTATGTGGACAACCACTCATTGATTCAATAAATAATGCTTAAGTGCTTACTCTGTGCCAGGATTCTGAAAGGCACTGTGGGTAAATGGTAGGCAAATCTAAACCTGGTCCTGCCTTCAGAGAGTCTACTGTTTGAACGGAAAAAGAAGAGAATGAGGCCAAACAAGAGGTTGTTCACCTGAGGAAATGGATGGGAGCTGGGCAAGCCTACCTGGCAGAGGCTCACCTGGCTGAGTACCTATGAAATTGCCATGGATGATCTCAAAATTCAAAGAAAAGTCCAGTGCATATAAATAAAAACCTTGAAAACACAAATTCATAGGCAAAAGGCTGAGAGGCCACATAAATTACTTTTAGTGAAAACAACAAATAATATTAGTATTATTTCTGTTTCAGTATTCAAGGCAGTGGTGATGGGAACTTGAGGGCATGAGAATCAGGGCAAAGAGAATTACTGAAAGAGTAAAACTATCTTAAAGATGTGAGGTTGGCCACTGATGGAGAGGACAAGCAGGACAGGGATCGGGGGACCAAAGTCCAGCTGCACTGACTCCATTCAGCTCTGCTCTGTTCACCCTCATCCCAAACCTGTCCCCATCCCCAGACAAATAGAAGCTGTGGACAAAGATTGTTTTTGCCCTCCACATCTCCAATACTCTGTTTTCAAATGACTGCAACCAACCCAACAAAAGAACTCACTTAACATATTAGTAGTATCTTAAATGATGCAATTTTATCTTGTCCATGAAATAGCTTCAATTAAAACAAATTATCTCTTTCCATTCATAGCTTAATTCATATAGCACATCTGATAGAGCCTTTTTAAATGCTCACTTTTATTGGTCTTATTTCAAAATTAATTCATGTTTATAGTCTAGCATTTAGAAAATTCCAAGGCAAAGCAGGCTACATTTGTGTGTTTCCTCTTGGTGTCTCCAGTGCCCCATGCCGCCACTGCACAGAGGACATTAAGCATTGAACACAGAGAACTAAACCACTTAAGGAACCACCCATAATCTCAATACCAATAGATACTTACCCTCACTTTTTTGATATGTTTTTTCCAGTCACTTGTGTATGTAAGCATACATACAAAAACAGGTGTGTGTGTGTGTGTAAAAATGTGTGTTTACAGAGTTCGTTTTACAGGAAAGCACAAAGTCAGATAGTTGTTATCGGGCACCTATGGGAAATGTCATAGGAGACTAAAGATGAGACGAAAACTTTGGGACCACCACTCTTAATCATCCTAATACTTGATCTTTCCATGGCTACCCTGAGATAGAATAAATGGCTTTTGTAAAACAACTTAAACCTCATCTCCTTAATTGAGGTATCCTGCTTTCTTACTCTTATTTACGTGTCTAAGTCAGGGAGAAACATCCCATTATGTCACAAATAAGATTAAAGGTAGTTGTAATTAAATTTCACCATGTGCCCTGAGTTTTCCCACCTGAGAATTATAAGAAAAAAATCAAAAGGTCTTCTCCTCTTACTAGACTACCCACCAAATGGTCATTACATTTTCCTGTAGGCTGCAGATAAAATCTCTCTATCATAAGTCTCCCAATCACCAAGTGAGAAAACACCACTCTGGGGTCCAGGGATGTGTAGGCAATTGAAGAGTTTCTCTTTTAAGAATGGCAGCTCATTAGGGTAAGTGTCCAAGAACATAATGAAAAAATTGTGGTATATTTATACTGGGGGATATGCCAGATTAAAAAACGAACACATTTGAGTTACAGATAGCAACATGGATAAATCTCTAATGCAGAATTTTAATAAGAAAAAGGCATATTGCAGAATTATAGGTGCAGTATAATACCATGTATATAAAGTTTAAACACAAAAACATGCTATATATCTTTTATGGATATATCCTTGTGCAGTAAAAAATATAAAATATGCATAAGAATGACAAAGACAAATTTTAGAGGATTTATTCCCTTAGGGAGAAAAGGAAACGGCATCACAAGGATTACAAGATTTGAATTGAATCTACAATATTTTATTCCTTAAGCTGAGTAGCGGGTACATGGGTGTTCATATACTCAAAACCATTTTTGGCACATGAAATATTTTAAAATTTTTTAAAAAGCTAGATAGTATGATTGACATCTTCAGATACTTGAAGATCTGGCATGTTGATGATGGAAAGTATCCTATGACTAAGTAGGTAAAGCTATTATGAAGGCAAATTTTAGGTCATTCTTAGGAAAAACCTAAAAGGGCTGTCTAAAAATGAACAGTGTCTTCTACATGATTAAGGAGTAAAACAGAGTTAAGGTCTTCGGAGGTAGCAAGTCACAGTGCAAGTAGAGTTCACTTGTCTTTGTCTTGAAAGCAAAGATTTCTTTTCTCTTGCAAAATTCCCGGGACATATCCTGATAAAGCTTTACATCTCAGCAGCATCACTCTGATTGCTCTTTTTTCAGTTGGTGTCATTGGAAGCCCCTAAACCCTATTTAACTTCAGTGCCATTGACTGGCACTTCCTGCCACTTACATCTTTGCCATTTGGCAGTGCCTGGGTTGGACAGATCTGCCACCTGGTTCTGGTTCTGCATTATTGTCATTCCTTGTGCCAGTCATAAGGATTCACTGGCACCCCTCTGAGATTAGGAGTTCTCCAGGTCTGGAGATATTAAAAAAGAGAGAGATGGTCAGCGATGCTATAGAAGGGATTTTAGTAGTCTCTGGTATGCTGGAGCACATAACCTTTGAGTATGGATTTCCATATTCATTTATTCAAGAAATGTTTAGTGAGTGTTTACTTTGTGCAAAGCACCTTGCTCGTTAAGCTTCTATGGCTCTAGAATTTGTCTTTGAAAATGCGTCTCTAACTTTACAGAAATGAAAATTGAGACATGATGGGAAAACTTATTTTAAGCAAACAATAAGGCAGGCAGGCAGGCTGTGGTTTGCAGACCGACCACTTCTAGCCTTATTGCCAAGAGCACTACGAGAGTCACAGGAACATTTTGGAGATAATGTTACATTCACAGACTTGTACATGTCTTACAGTGAAAGACACCCCAGAGGTTATCCAATTCAAATACTTCATTTTACAGACGAGGAAACAAAAGCCTGGGGAGGTATGTGGCTAACTGATTGCAGAATCTATTCTCAGATATGGTATTTCCTTCCCAACCTTGAAAGTTGTGTTCCTGAAAACCTCCATGGAAGGAGAAATTACACTTGAGGAACTTACGACCTTAGGAAGAAAATAGAGTTTGGGGAGTAAGATAGTGAGTGAATCTGAGAAAGTTATCATCATTGTTTTATATCTACTAATAAAACAATGTAGGTACCATTGATACCCACTTTATTTTATGCCGAACGCATTTGTAATGGTGAATCTTGTACAGGTGATTTTATTTACTTCTTAGAATTCCTTATTAACACTTCTCTAGGCTCTCTATACACAATTTTTGTAAAACTTCTTGTGAGTCATTGCCTTTTTGTGTAAATACTGGTTACAATGGATTGTTTTCTGTTTCAGGTCCTGTTGTCTCTGCCTTTTTGCATCTTTGACATTATCATTGTAACTTATAACTTCTAACCTCTACTCTGACTCAACTTGGTTGTTTCCTGATTCCTCTCTCTCCTTCTTGCTGTTCCTTCTCTCTGCTGTCCTTTAACTGTAGCTGCTCACCAGGACTATGCTGTAAACTTTCACCTCCTCTCACTGTTTACTCTACCTATGTAACTATCATGTTTGATAATGAGGTCCTGCTGAATAAGCCTGTTTGCTGTCTTTCCAGGCTGTGCTTTCCCACTCCTGCAGCTACTGCCTTAATTCAGGTTATCACTGTCTCTCACTAGGACCCCTGCACTAATCTCCTTGATTGGTCAAAGGTTTCATTATTTGCATTGTGCTCTGAGTGAAATTTTCTTATGACGGCTTACAGTTCCCAGTGGCTGCATGTGCCTATAGAACACTAACTTCCTAAGCATTTCATCCAAGGCCCTCCACCTTAGCTCTTGTACCCTTTACTCCAGCCATATTTATTGACCCTACTTGATGGCCTAATGTACCAGACTATTTGGCATCTTCATGCCTTTGTGAACTGACTTTTCTTCATCAGGAATGCCCTTCACTCTGCCCCTCTCACGCTACCCATTTCCCCTCCCACGTGCAATCACCTGCCTGGTGAACATCTACTCTTCCTCGAAAACTTTGCTCATACCATCACCTCTCCCTTGGAGGTACCACTTCCTACTCCTACTTTCTGCTCATCTCGTACCTCATTAAAGAGAATAGGAGGTTCCCACCACAAAATCTGAAAGCCTCCTGCCACAAAACCTGTCTTCTTCCCTCTGTGCAACTGAATGTGACTCCTTGTAATCAAATGCTCATCCCTCAATTCATGTTGGGAATCCCATCTCTCTCACTTTCTCAAGAAGTTCAATGCTTCTGTCAGACTGTCTCCAGTCAATTATTCCCATCAGCATATAAACATAATCCAGTATTACTGTCCTAACCAATACTCCATATTGATCCACATCCCTTTCCAGCTACCATTCTTTTCTGTCTTTCACAATAAAATTCCATAAAATAGTTGTGTACACACAGCACTTTTATGTTTTCACTTCACAGTCACTTTGGAATTCACTTCAAATTGGCATTCACCCACATGACCCAGTTGGTCACTAATGACCTTTATAGTGCTATGTCCACATTTTCATCTCACTAGAACTTTCAGCAACATCCAACAATTGACCATTCTCTTCTCAAAATTGGCCATTCTCTTCTTGAAATTGTTCTTGGCTTACATGATTCCATATTTCCCTGGTCTTTTATCTGCTTCTCTACCTGCTCCTCCTAAGCCTCTGTTGTGTCTTTTCTTCCACTTTCTATAATACCTCTAAGTATTGAATTTCCTCAGTATTCTGCTCTGAACCCCATGCCTTATGTTTCCATAAATAATCTCATTCATCCTCATGGCTTAAAATACCAATTCCAAGCCAATGACTCCTATGTCTGTATCTCTAGTCCTAACCTCTCCTCTGACCTCCTGACTTATACTCTTGTCTTTATAACACCCACTTATGAATGCTTCATGGACATCTCACATAAATATATCCAAGACTGCATTTTTATTTCCCTCTGAAAACCTAGTCCTCCTTCCATCCTCCCCACCTCCCTTTTTTGGCAACATTATCCACGCTGTTGATCAGGTCTGGATCCTGGGAGTCACTAATTATTTCTCCCTGTATTTCTTCCTCTAGTCCAATTCGTCACTAAGTCTGATCATCTGTCTCCTAAATGCAGCATAAGGAGATCCACTTTTCTTTATCGTTACTGCCACATTGTAGTTTGATCTACTATTATTTTAAACTTAACAACCACAATACCTTCAAACTGATCTCCATGCACACAGAACACAGTGACTCTCATCCTTAATTGAATCTCTACACAGCCACAGAAACAGTCTTTCTTGAAACATAAATCCCAGCATGACACTGCCTGACATGCAATCTCTCTTTGCACTTTGTCTTAGTCCAGGTACATCAGTGTTGCTATAAGTCCTGTTGGTCAGCCTCCTGCCCCGTACCCTAAGCTCATCTTACATCAGCGAGTCCTCACTCTCCACTCTCTAGACTGACTCCTGATGTTTTCTCAAGCAAGTTGATTTCTTTCTCATCTTAATCCTTCACAGGTGGTACATAGTGCTTCCCGAGTTTAGATCTCCACTCTCCCTTATGTTCTCATAAAGGATTCATATGTCCTTTAGGTCTTGGCTTAAATGCCATCTATTCAGAGAAGCCTTCCCTGGCGACCTTATCTGAGTCAATCTTCCATTGTTATATTGTTATATTGATTTGCTTTGTTTCTTGCTACTTCTTCTACTTGACTCGGTAGAAGGCTCTGCATAATTGACCAAAATATATACAGTGTTTTTCAGAGTGCTAGTCACCTATTAGTACTGAAGAATTATTTGTTGAATAACTTAATGATTTTTTTGCAGTTACACGAGTGTTGTTTTGATTGACTGAAAATAGATTGCCTAAGATGACATGAAAGATCAAAGGTGAAGAGTGGAAGATAGCACCACTTTGGGTTAAAAGTTTACTTAAGTCAGCAACTCCTCAAGAAACAGCTACCAGCATTCCTGGGACTATTATGCCCTGGTCTACTTGTAGCCTGTTTGTATTCCAGCCTACTTTGGCACCTTGCCGTCTCTGCTTACCGACTTTCTGCATAAGAGTGAAATAGAAAGTGACTTGGAACCATGTATACCTAAAGTGTGACATTTAAAAAAACGTCCTCAGAAAAACTAATATCCTGGTTATTTTTGAATGTGCTAAGAGACTCTTTTTTTTAATCTTGTTTTTTTATTTTGAATATAGAGCACATTGAGGTTTAAAATGGAAAATTCTATTAAAAATAAAAGGCATACGTTTACATATCTTACAATTACCTCTGCTTCTGTCCCTCCCATTCCTTATGAGAAACTAACATTTAGTAGAGTTTTATATTTCTTCTGCTATTTGGGCAAATATAAACAAATGCAAATATAATTTTTTCTTTTCCTCCATTTTTACTCAAAATATGATAAATCATATGCACAATTTCGTATCTTATCTTTTTTACTTAATATATTCTGGAAAACCTTCTATATTAGTATACAAAGATTATCCTCTTTTTTCACAGCTGCATAATATTCCAACATGTGGCTATATCAAAGATTATTTAACCAGTACCCCATAGATGGACATTTGGAGTGTTCCCAATATTTTGTGAGGAATGACTATGTATGTAAAAATTCCCAGAAGCTAAACAGATGGACCAATGTGTAATGCATTTTAAAATTTTTATAAATATTGTTAGCCAGGTGTAAGAGAGTCTTTTTTTCCCACAGCCTTTACAATAAAATGTGTCACCAAAGTTTTGACTTTTTTCTATTTCAATTGGTAAAATCTGACATTTCAATGTAGGTTTTATTTGAATTTTTTATTATGAGTATGGTTCAGCATCCAATTTATATATTCACTTTTTCTGTGAATTAACAATTCATGCTTTTGCCCATTTTTAATTTGATTATTGTAGCTTGTTTTTCCATATCAACTTCAGATTCAGCTGGTAAAGTTCCACCAAAAAAAAATTTTTGTAGTTTTATTGAGATTGCATTAAATATATCAATTAACTCAAAAATAGACTTTTCTTAATAATGTAGGGTCTTCCTACCCTAGAACATGGTAAATTTTTCTGTTTGTTCAAGTCTACATTGTGTGTACATCATGTGAATTTTACAGTTCTCTTCCTATAGCTGTCTACAGTTCTAGTTGTTTTCCATAGATATTTTATGTCTTTTGCTATTATAAATGTGGTTTTTATTTTTCAAATATTTGCTATCTGATTGTTGTTTGTATATATGAAAGCCAAAAAATAGAAGTAGATAAATTCCATTTCATTCACATTAAATAATAAATTCTTTTTTGTAGTCTTTACCTGATTCTTTTGTAGTTGTGGCTAACACTCATACGTAAATAAGGATAGATTTACCCTTTTATTTGTAATTTTTATTTCCAATATCTTTCTACTTTTAAACGTTAATACGGAATCCTTCTTGTAATATTAAATGATAGTATTGTAAAGGAGTTGAGAGACTTATGTTCCTGACTTTGATGAAAATGATTCTAGAGTTTCCCCATTAAATTTGATGCTGATATATAAATATTGCAGAGATCAGTTTTAGCAAAGATAGAATAATTATGCATCATAAACAAAACAACCCAAAAGTCTCAGTGATGTGAACAAATTCTATTCGAGTTTGGTGATTATGTTGTCTGGCTCCTCTTTGTCCTTACTTATTTTTTGTTCACTTGATCTTTCTTGGATTGAAAGTGGTAAATCGAAGCCTCGTGCAGTCAGTGTCTTTCCACTTCTCCACCTGTTTCCTGCAAATGCTGCTTTATTATACTTGCTGCCATTTTGATACATATATATTCATATAATTATAATTTTATGTCCTCCCTTAACATTATAAATTTTCTTCCTTATTTTGTTATGCTTATTAGCGAAAAATCAACTTTGATAACTAAGATTGCAAGCCCTACCAAACTAGTATATGTCTCATTGTCGAGCATTTGTAGTCAGTTTTCCCAGTGTCCTTGCACAATACAGACCCAAGTCTTCTTTCATTTCAGGAAAATTTTCTTAAATTATATTTATGATTTTTTTCAGTTTTATTGTTTTGATTTTCTTTGGGGAGAAATTTACTAATGGATATATTTGCATCTCTGATTATTTTTAAATCTCCTTCATTTCTGTTATACTTTGCTTTTCTAGTTTCTATCCTCTGTCTTTTATTCTCTGTGGTGACTACTCTGTCATGTGCTAATAATTAGTCTCCATTTCTGAAATAATTGTATCTTACCTATTTCTTTCCTGAGCTCTGCCAGTAACTGCTTTGCCTCTTCCAATCTTTGATGCTTTTAATCTAAGAAACACTTCCCTGATTTCTTGTATTTGTTTTATGATTTTCTTTCATAACAGTAATTGCTTCAGTATTATTTAATATTGGGTTAAAGTTTTCACATGCTTTTGGGGTAAATCTTTTCCTATTGAATTTCTTTCATTTTTAGAAAAGTTTTCTAATTTTTAAAACATTTTTTCTTGTAGTATCTTTGTATTTTTGTCTTTGTGTTGTGCCTATGCTTTGCTTTATGCTCATATTAAATGAGTTAGGTTTTTGTGGACTTGGTAATAGCCAGAGTTTCCTAGAGCAAAGGAGAGGGGAGAAGGACAATGTATAATTTGCATCTCTGTGGGTCAAAGACACCATTTTTGTTGCTACAGAGATAGATAGATTTTTAAAGTATAGTGTTTCTTTCTTTCAGAACCTTATTTAATTCAGGAGTATTTAATCAGCAAGTCCTATACTTGCGTGGGTCCTTTATAGCTGCTTCCCTTCATGGGCAAAGGCCTTGCCTTCTAATATTATCTATGTATTAAATAATAGGTATTATTTATTTGTTCTTACTGAAGTATTCTCAGATCTACCTTTGGGACCCACTGAGCACTTTTCCTGCTACACATTCTGGCTCTTCCTCCGTTTGATTCTCATTTGGTCTCAGTCTAGTTCTCAGCAATTTTTGCTTATGATAAAGTTTGGTTGGGTTTTTTTGTTTGTTTTTAGGGGCTTTTCTTGTCAGTCTTCTGAGAATTTCTGAGATCTGCCCCACTAAGCCCCAGAGCCTGCCCACACCTTCTCACTCTTCTGCCTCAGTGTTCTATGGGTAAGCCTGCAGGCTCTGTTGGTGTCACTTACTTTAGAAGATTATCTATTTTTTTCTGTTTTCTAGTCTCCATGAAAATAGAATTTTAGGTTATTTTTGTACATTCTCTTGCTCTACTCATTTTCCAAGAGGAAACATGGCAATATTCAGAGCTAAACTGCTGTCACTTTCCTTCAGAAAACTCTACTGCAAAGATTTTTTTGTTGCCATCAGGCCTGTCCCTAACATTTGCAATTCCAGGAGCAAAAGTAGGCCAACACACCATGTGCCAAAATCTTTAAGGGTCAGAAATCAAGCTAACAAACTATTAAGTGAAACATGTTCTATTCTCTTTCTTTAACACATATACCTTCATAATGACCTGGATGGCCAGATTCAAATGTAGAATTTTCAGATTCTGGGGCATGCCACTCCTGTCCTTAACCTGCACCCCACTTCTCTTACCACCAAAAACTGTTTGCACCCCATGAAGGGCCTGGTGAACATACATGGAACATCCCAGCCAGATTGTCCAAGCTCCCTCCATATTATCTGCAATCAGCTGCCCCTTGGCTAGGCTGAGGATCTGAAGGTATGCCCAACCATAATACAACCCATCCTTGGATGCTCAGAGCGGATGGGAAGGGCTCTGAGCTGGGCTCCCCAAAGCATGTTTTACAAGTTGATTGGGGCATTTCCTCTGGGCCATGTGAACTCCTTATTCAGTGGAAAGGGAGAGGTATTGGCCAAAGGCAGGCCAGAAGAGGGCTGCTAAAAGTGTGAACACCATATGATTTTCCAGAGCTGTTTGAGTTTTTATCATTAATATTTATTTAATCATAAAAAGCTTAATTTTTCTAAAAAAGGAACTTTAAATGAATCAACACCCTTTTGTTCATTTAAAGAGTATCTCGTGTTTTTCTATGGGAAATATAAAAGTTAAGTAAGTAGAAAGTAAGATTTCTGGTCGTTTTAATTTTCTTCTTTGTCCTTTCCTATAGGCTATGTATTTTCTGCTCTAAATGTGTCCTGTTTTCATGATTTTAAAAAATGGTAAAAATATAAAAGGAAAGCCTTCAAAAATAAATAGAAATCCCCCAATAGGGAATCTAATACTAATATTTACAGGTTAAAAAATTGATTTTCATTTTTCTCTAGTGAATCCAGGACATAATTTTCAAATGCTTTTCTCTTTTTTTTCCAACACACACACATGCACGCATGTACATGTTTCCGAATCTTAAGAAATGAGTATCAGTTAAACGTTTCTCTTGTCACAACAGCAGATTTAACTTTGGATCTTTGGACACACCTGTAACATGTAAGACATGTAAATATGTGCCCAGACAAACTCTGTAGCTATGACCCTTGTGAGTTTTCCTCTCTGAAGTTCAGGTCCATGGTCAGAAGGCAGAACATCCACAGAGAGGGGCCAGCTGCTCCCTACAAGCCCGTTTTCACTTGCTAGGGTGCCTAGGCATCTGTCTCTGTTCCGATGGATATACTGACTTCCTGTAGTGTTTTCTAGACAGGAAATTTAATGAATATGGAGCTGCCAATGTCTAAGAGGCACGAGATCAAGTTCTCTGACTCAGCTCTAATGTGGGAGTGGGGAGTTTTCCAGTATTTGATTTATGGTCCTTACCTCCTTGGGTCCCAGGTTCTTCCTCTTGAAAAGCTTTTAGGACTTTTCCTCAGAACATTTCCCCTCTCCATGCTTAGGTCTCCTAATTGGATAAAACTGTTAGTATTATTAAATTTTTACTTTGCTAATTCCCAATACTTGTACAAGTCTTGATTTCTTCTGTCTGTAATGTTAAGTCTGTGATTAGAGTGATATTTCATTTTTTTGTTCTTGTTTTTTGGGTTTTTTTTTTTTTTTTTTGGCTTGGAACTAGCAGTAGGACATTGATTTAATTCAAATTCATTGTTTCTCAGTTTCTCTAATTCACTTCTTGTTCTTCATCTATAAGATTTCTTTTCTTAAGTTATGATCTTTGAGGACTCACATAGCAAGTGACCTAGATGAAAATATTTGTGGTTTTAAATAATTCTTATAGGCCCTGAGTAAACAGAGTTCTGATGAAGAGGTCATTTCTCCCTTCTCAGCAGTATGACTTCATTTTCAATACTATGCCCTTATGATCTGTAGATTTATTTCACCAATAATAAGACAACATAGTTAACCTCATGACCAGATAGTCTCTGTTTATCCCGTAACTGTGTCTTTTACTTAGCTAAGTGTTCTACAAAGCATTTGGAAAGTTTATTTTGCATGTTAGTATTTTTTGTGGGCATTTTCTTGGTTTTGTTTTCTTTTCTTAAAAGCAGTTCTTTCAGAAAATGAATCTCCAACTTTTATATTTTTTAAATTTCTTGTACTTTTTATTTGATACTGTTTTGAAATGTATATTATATGAAAATTAGGAGGATTGTTTAAGCAACAAATAAACAAAACAAAAGAAGAAGAAAAGGGGAAAATCACGTATAAATCCATTAAGATAATAATTGTTACTATCCTCATTTTAATGCACAATGAAAAATGGAAGGTTTTTTTCTTTCTCTTTTCCAAATACACTGCTACACATAATGGAAGCCTCTCCAAGGATAACCCTATTCATGAGCAATTATTCTAAAGTGTTTCATTTCTAAATATAGAATCTAGAATCTAAATGACATCATATAAACAGATATCCAAACCTCTTATGCCATATTAATGAAAGTGCTCATTTCTGTGTTTGAAGATATGTGGGTCTTATCTTTTTATACCATGTTTTGCCTGAATTTTATTTCTCCTTTCTGCATGATCCAGCCAGCCATACTGCCTGTGTAAATACAACTCAGATTTTTTTTTTTCCTTTTGATACTCACAAATCCATCTTCAACATTTTTGATCAGTGTGCAGTGCATTAAATACTACAGCAGATGGTGCTTTTTGATGATGTGTTTCTACATGAAGCAACATTTTGTCTTGTATGCTGCATTATCAAAAAATCAAACATGTAATTATGCAAATATGTATGCCTTTATAATAATCAAGTTTTATTGTAAATGGTTGATGCACATCAATTTGATCCTGTAGTGCTGTTTTAAGTGCGGTTTAAGTGGCTTTTCAGTGTACCCAGAGGCAACACAAATGCATCTCTGGAATATTAATAAAATCCTGAATCTTTGAGACCCCAACTGGAATCTCATTGCTTGTACTGATTGAAACGAAATGCTAATCCTTTCCTTTAAAAAAATCCCCTTTGTTATTTAAAACACTGATATTAGTATGATATAAAGGGCCATTTTATTTTAAATTGTATTTTAATGTAGTTGTTAAAATAATGCCTAATCATACTATATTCAGTCTTCACAATGTAAATTTGATGAGACATGAATCCAATCATTTTGCAACAATGAATGCAGTCATGTATTCTAACCAGTCCGGTTTTTCTAATTCCATAAATTTCTACTGCCAGTGGCTGTTTACCGGTTTCACTTTTGGATGCATTAGCTGTCTTTTGTGGGGACATGTATTGTGAATATTCATTGCAGAAACAATTGACTTCTTATTAAAAAAAATAAAAGAAGAAGGAGGAGGAGGAAGATTCTTTAGGTTGAATTCCTATGAGCAAATTCAAGCAGGAATACAAAGTAGACAGTGAAATTTTTTACTGAACAGAATCTGGGGTTTGTACATTGGATTGTTTCATGAATACATGAGAGTGCCCGCCCGACTCTCCCCAGATACAAACACTCACACATTCTGTTGTGGTTAAACTAAACAGATGGATGTGGGTACTGATAATCTATGACTGTAAATTATTTTTGCTTGTTTATTTCTTTTGAAGAGAAATAAAAGGCTGAAAAAAGCAGAATACAAAAGGAAGCACAATGTAGCTTTAAAGGGAAGAAAATAACCATGTAATTTCCTTTTTCTATTTCCAGTTCTCCTTCGCTTTATGTTTACTTTGTTTATTGGGTTTACTGTAATATGGGTTGTGTTTTCAATGGCTGCCACTCCCTCACAAGATGAAACATGCACTTCTTTTCCTCTGGTCTCATGCCTGATCCCCTCTGCACTATCCTTCATCTTACCATAGAGCATTTCTCTCTTCCAAATATGTGGGTTTATTTGATGTTTTTCTTCCTTTTCACCTATTGTTTATATGTTGTCATTAAATCTCTGCCTCTTTTTACTTGCCTAGTGCAAAACTCTGACTCACAGGCTCTAAGGCACATTGCCCATATTCACTGGGTCCTCCCTATTTTGGTTACATTGAGGGGTGACTTGTTTACTGTCCTATCTGTAGTGTGATGTCTTTGTAGAAAGTTACATGGCTATACCACCTTCAAAATTTTGTAACTCCATTTACGCCTTTCTCTGATCCATAAAGATCAAGAGAGATCAAGATCAAGATCCAGGTAGATGGGTACATAGAGAGATGGATAGATAGATTTTTTTATTGGCAGAAGTGTGGGGCATGATGGACTAGAGTCTTTTATTGCTTAGATATCTATGTATAACCACATATTGAAATAAAACCTCAATGATTTGTATCTGAATATTTTAAAATAATGTTAATGCTCTATCTCTTTCTAAGAATATTTAAGAGCTTAAAACTTCCCTACAAGTACTCTCATAGATACCAATTATTCACGTCATTTTGCATCCTCCAGGCCACATTAGTACTAGTCTAGATGACTGAAACTTAACTGTTGGGTGTGTCATTAAAAATTCTGAGTTTTATTATTTGTTACTATAATGGAATTTTCAATATAAAAATGGCACAATCCCAGGTCTATTTAAATTGCACACCACAGAGACATCTATGTTAACATACCTGTTAAGTAATATTAGTGGCCATTTGTAAAGGTCAAGGCAAGCTCTAGCTGGTTTTCAGATTCCAATCTATGTCATTTCCTTCTCTGTCCATAATCAGAACTCTAGAAATGGCTCCTGGATTCAAGAGGAACTCAGCCTGAATTTCTGTTTGAGTGCCCATTAGATTGAGGATTTTGTTAATGACCATGTTACCAGTGGGTTAAGGCTGACCTGAAGATTCCTAGAAAAATGCCCATCTTTAAATTATGTTTGAATGTAAGTTATTTTATTTTAATTTTATATCCTTATGGGTAAGTTTTATGTAAACGTAAGAATAAGGATCAGTTATTTGGCCGGGGTTGGGGGGGTTGTTTTTTTCCAGTAGCCACCTTTGTTTTTGCAAGATGGGATTCATACATGATTTGAAACATACGTTTGATGCTTCCATCAGTCCTTTTAATCTTTATGAGGAAAATCAATAGTATCCCTGGCCTTTTGATTGTTTTTAAAATATGCAAATATAATATGCAACACATTTTTTTCAGCTTTTGAATTAAAAGTTAGATGACATGACATTTCAAGCTCAGTTTAGAGCTAAAAGCATGACAGTAACATACACAATTGTAGCATTGATTTTAATAGAGTAACAAGAAATGTAGTCACATATTCTGCTTAAGTTTCTTCCGCAGAAATTGCTTCTGCATCAGAGCTTATTACAAATGCAATTCACCAAGGTCTTATGGGTGACAAAGCTTTAATTAGCATCACATTGTTTTCTAATGTGATTTTGCACTTGTAAAAACAGGATTAGGAATCAAAATATACTTTTATAAATGCCAATTTTAATTGCATTACTGATGGTGTGCAGGTCTTTAAGCACCCCACGCAGCTTCTCACATAATACCTATTTGAAGGATTAAGTGTAAAACATAAAGAAAAGATGGCATATATTGTCCAATAAAACACCTTTAAATCAGAAGGGAAAATACAGTCGCTTATAGTACACAATACTTCATCCAACATCAGCGCCTTCTGAAGTCAGCACCCCCACAGAATTCAGTGCCCATAAAATAGGTAGTGCTTAGTAATTTGCCATTTTATTTCATAGCAGAAAATTAGAGCAGCAGTGCACGATGGGCGTGCCTGCTTGAGAACAAGTCTCAAGACCTGCCAATGTCTTTCTAGGTTCTCCTTTAGAGAACATCTGCAATTTTTGTTTGAAATTTAACATTCTTGCCACATTTATTTTACTTTTGTGTTTGTTGCTGTTATGTGTGATTCTGTGTATTCCCACCCCCAAGGGAACCCTTTAAGAAAGAGGCCATCTTTTTTTGCTCAGGGCATTTTTTAAAGAAGATCATGGTTAGTAGTTTAATCTTTGAATTAGAAATTTGTTGTTAAAAAAGGTCACAATATTTCGCCATTATACCATATCTCTATTCTGAGTCCTTTAATAGACTTGTGCTCACTCACCTGCACCAGACACCTTCTATAGGTAAGCAACAACTTTTCCTCACCTTTTAAACAGAGCTGGATCCAATGACACAGTAGGGTTAAGCAATTTATCACAGGTTAGCCAATATTTCAGTTGGAAATATAAGACCAAAGTGTGTATTTCTATTTCTCAGCTTGCAGCTATAATTAGTAGACCCAAGAAAGATAAAAACTGGATATCATCTGAAAGGCTCGTGTTTGAAGAATAAATCCTGTTTTTCTTTTGTTTTGTTTTTTGTTGGTGAAGTAAATAAATAGTGCCTCTAAGCTTTGGTTATTTGGAGAGAGATTGGAACTGAAATGATCTTAGTTGAAAGCACATTTTAATTGTAAAATGTTGCTTCAGTGCTGCAAGTGAAATGATTATTTGGAAAACTGATTCTTATTCTATAGCAGCTCTACATAGTCACAGCTATTTCCATAAACTATGTTTGTGTCCATTTAGCTATTTGCTTAAATCAGCGAAGAGAACACATTTTATGTTCCAATACAAATGTAATTGTGTTATTTATATTTGAGTTTTAGAACCTTAAGTTTTTAATATTTTATTACTGGTTTCCTCTTTTTAACTTCTTATTTTGAAAATTTTTCAAACTAATAAGAAGAATGCAAGAATAGTACAATGCAATGGATTGTTTTTAAATCTTTACTTTCTGGAGGGGGAAAACCTTACTGCTGGGTCAATGCAAATTTTTAGGCTTTTTTTTTTCATTCCTCTTTAATTGCTTCTTAATTTCTTATTGATCCACTAACTAAAGGATTATTGTTTGATTCACTGAGCGAGCCTGCAAGATTGTCTGGGTAAAATTAAATCAGTTGACCTAGCCTCTTTTACTAGAAATTGGGTTGTGCAATCATAATAGTTCCATGCACTCGATAAGACAAAGCCAGAAAGAAGAGCACAGCCAGGAAGCTCCATAACATGCATCCTACTTTAACTCATTGCCACGCTTTTCTATACACATTAGGCAGAGGAACTTTGTAGGAAAAATCCAGCCTTGTAGGAGAAATCCAATGGTGCTCAATTGCCATGAGATTTTCTTTTATTTTGCTCTTATATTATGATTTAAATAACTAGATAAAAAAGGGTTGTCATTAAACTATACATGGGATACCACATACTGTGTCCAACTTTAACCCATACTTTTTAATATCAATTTTTTCTTTAGTCTTAGCTGTCTCCTTTCTGTCTTTTCTTCACCCTACCCCATGCTCATTCTTGTCCCTGTGCCTTAATTCCTGTTGTTTCTTCTCACTTGTGTTTCATTCAACTAATACAGTTAACATCTACCTTCTTTCTGCCTGTCTAAAGTCCTTGAGCACTTTCGAGTAACAACTCAAGTCCTGTGATCTCAGGAAAGCCCCACCTGATGTGGCTAACCAAGAGCTGTCACTCCCTCCTATTACTCTGCTGCTGCTCCTATGCCATCTTGTATAGTGGAACACCTTATGTAGCCTGCCTGATTATCCAATTATTTCATATATGTCTGTCTTACATATGTTCCATGTCTGTAGGTCTTGGGTTTTTATATCTGTTGTGTCACCCTTTCCCCACTTTGCATAGGAATGGATCTTATTACACAGGCATATAGTGAAGTAGGGAGTGGCCTGAGATCTGTTCAGAAGGCAGCAAGTAAGTTAGACAAGCCAGATCCTGAGGAAGGAATTCTAGGACCCAGCCTAAAAAAATACAGCCTGAAGAAAGTCAGAATCTGGACACAGCCACATGTGTAATGTTCCAGCAGCAAAAACAAAAAAGAATCTAGATACTAAGATGTGTCTGGACCTTCTGTGATTACAGGTATGTAAGGACCAGCCTCCAAGCTGATCCTGAAGTATGGACAGGTCTATACAGCTACTTGGAATCCAGTGGGAAAGTCTGCAGGGCATAGGGAAGTGAGGAAACGGGAACCTGACAGTTCCTGACAAATACGTAAGTAGTGCTTAATAAATGCTGGCTCATTAATTAAAGTCCATTCAAAAAAAGCAGTAATGACACTCCTCTACACCTGGTGCTAGCTCAAATTATGACAAGTGGATAATATTCAAGTTATATTCAACTAGCATGTACTTCCCTGATGTCTATCTGAATTTTTTTCTACCTTCCAAGTTTTCAGACATTATATACAAGGACCGTTGACCAACTAACTTCAGAGTCAGGAATAAAAATTTTGTGTGTTTTATATGCCTCTTCTTTTAGTAAGTTACCCCAGATTTCTTTTTTGGTTAGTTTGTTTTGCTTTTGGTTTTTTGGAGACAGGGTCTTATTCTGTCACCCAGGCTAGAGTGAAAGGCACGATCACGACTCATTGCAGCATTGACCTCCTGGGTTCAAACGATCTTCCCACCTCAGCCTCCCGAGTAATTGGGACTACAGGTCCACACCACCCAGCCAGCTAATTTTTTTGCAGGGATGGGTTCTCACTTTGTTGCTCAGGCTGGTCTTGAACTCCTGGGCTCAAGTGATCCTCCTGCCGTGGCCTCCCAAAGTGCTAGGATTACAAGCTTGAGCCACTGCACCCAGCCCAGATTTCTTTCAATGGACAAATTCCTCTTCAGTAAGCAATTTTCAGCTATCTTCTGTTGAAGACAGTGAATATATTCATGACCAATTTATAGTCGTGATAGAGAAGTTTCTTTTTATTTTATGAACTATGGTCCTATAAGTGTGTACCTAGCCCCTATATGCCTACCTTTCAAATATTCCTAAGTGCTTCTCCTAATACCTGTGTGGCAGCACTTCAAACGTCTCACACATCTTGCTCACTGGAGAACTCTCAATCAATATTGGATTCTAAGACCTCTGACTCTGACATGAAGGCAAGTTTTGGAGGTCAATTTAAACCTGTTTTTCACCCATAGAAATAATGGTAGATATAGGTCATGGAAAACACATTAGCTTTGTTGCTAAGAGACATCAGTTCTAATTCTGCTCCATTATCAGTTCTCCATTTGGTCTTCAACAGGTTGCTTCTTTTGTAACTTCTCTGGACCTGTTTTCTTTCCTGTAATAGAAGGGAGTCAAATCTGTATTGACTAGGGTTCCATGTACTAGACACTGTTTTTTCTTCACACATAAATCCAAAATTTTAGGTCTAAATCTTATATAACTATGTTGATTTATGGGGACTGATATGGTTTGTCTCTGTGTCCCCACCCAAATTTCATCTTGTACTTCCCATAATACCCACGTGTTGTGGGAGGGACCTTGTAGGAGATGATTGAATCTTGGGGGCGGATCTTTCCTATGCAATTCTTGTGATAGTGAATGGGTCTCATGAGATCTGATAGTTTTAAAAACAGGAGTTTCTCTGCACAATCTCTCTTTGCCTGCCGCCATCCACGTAAGATGTGACATGCTCTTCCTTGCCTTCTGCCATGATTTTGAGGCTTCCCCAGCCACATGGAACTGTGAGTTCTCCATTAAACCTCTTTCCTTTGTAAATCACCCAGTTTGGGTATATCTTTATCAACAGCGTGAAAACAGACTAATACAGGGACAAATCAAAGTGCGAATGAAATGTATCCCAAGCAACCTTATAATGTACTTGGTATGTTTTTGTAATTTTCTGGCAGTTTTGAAACTGAGTAGGAAATTTTTTTCAGATGGTTTAGTGATTTCTTGTTGGCTAGATTGCTCTCTGGTATGGGGCATTCATTGTTGCCTATCTTATCCTTGACTATTTGAGATTATGCTTAATAGATTTGAATTTTTAGTCTCATAACTTAAAGATAATAATATTGATCACAGGTCACATTTTGGGGCACTTCTTATGTGTTGAGCAGCATTCTAAATGCTTTAAATCTGTTGATTCATTCAGTCTTGAAAACAACCTTATTACACATATTCCGTCATTATCTCCATCTGCAGACCAGGATACGGGGCACACAGAGCTTAAAAAGCTTGCTTGAGATTACCTAAGTAGAAGTTTGGGCTCTTCAGTTGGAAACCTGGCAGCATAGGTTCAGCATCCGTGTTTGACACCACCTTTCATCTTATTGTTCAAAGTGCCTGAAGAGAAAGCACGACCTTGGCTAATGTTTTCAGAATAGGTGAAACTTTTCACATATGCTAATAATCAAAATTTACTTATAGGGTAGCTGTTAACACTACAGAACAGTTGGCTAAATTTTCATACTTTGCGATTCCTACTAGCCAGCAGGGACTCTGAATGTGAATGCTAACACTCTGAGAATGCCACCCCATTTGGAATTCCAGGGAATGAACCATAACAATCAACAGGGACACAGAACATCCCCACATCAAAGAGGTGAAGTTAGTCACAAGTGACAATTCGGTGTTAAATAATTAAATTGTCTTAGCTGTTAACTGTAAGTGAATGTTGTTTTTAATTGCACTTTAATAATGCCATGCCCTTTATAACCAAAATTAATGTTTTCTGTCTCTCTGTTTTTGAAGTATGTGTCAGTTTAATTAAACTATTAATGGTAGACAGATTTTAACTACTTTGTATTCTTCATTAAATTGTATCTGTTCAACAAGCATAAACAGGAAGATGGAGTCGGTGAGGAGCAGATTCATATTCTGCCTGATAAATCACTCATCACCAGATAAGATGATGCCTTTTGCTTGTTTAGGTGCTTGCTCCCGGTGATAAACAAATCTACTTCCAGGTTAGATATTCATAGAGTTCATTTAAAAATAAAAGCAACTGCTCCTTTGAAAAAACTTGGACCAAGTAAAATGATTTGTTGCACTCTTGTGACACAGATAACAACAAAAAAATGCAAACCTTGAAGACCTGTGATGATAATGGCTTTCAGTTCATTTGGGAACATGAATACCCTTCTTCCATCTAAATCTGACAATTTAGGGAAGAGGGACTGCAAGAGGGCTTGGCTTCCTCTCCTTCATCCTTTCTGGATTGCCTAATTATAGCTGAGTCTCTTGCAAAATGCATGAAACCAACTTAACATAAAACAGCCATTTGTTTTTATTGCCAGAGATGACAATTGATAAAGTAAACACAGTGCATACCCCAAGCATCTCTTGGATTCAATTCAAGAGAATTGATTGAGTCTTGGTTAAAGATCAGGAAGAACTAGAGCAGGATAATTTCTTGTCTCTTCAGCCCATTGATGACATATGCAAATAGAAAAGGGACCCTAATTGGCAAACACTTAAAGAAGCAGGACAGGATCGAAATTATACTTCTCTAGCAAGAAGAATGGCTAGGCTACATCTGCTGCATATAGTCAAAGATGTAACATGTTATAATAGAGACAAGTGTGTCCTTCCTTTGTGTGGCAGATCAATCAATAGCTTTTCATGTGATCTTGTTCACTATTATGTTAGTAATGAAACCCTCGTGTGATGTGACAACTGTGGAATAACATTTGGTCACAAAGCTGGTGTTAACAAGCACAACTGGCACTCTGGTAATTAGACTGATTTCTGGTCTCTTCTTTCACAAATTGTCGATAAGTGCAGTAAACAGGCCGTTGATTCCTCTCCAAACAGCTATATTAAGCTTCATATTCTTGGAAATTCATCTAGTAGGTTTGTTTATGAGGGCAAAGCCATAGAAGAGAAAATTAATTATATGACAATCTCTCCCTCATGGCCACCCTGTGTATGTGTAAACACATGTATGTATGCATCCATCTATCTATCTGTCTATCTCTACTATCAAATTTTGTCAGTAAAATTCAAAGCATATATTAGCATATTTAGTTTTAATTAACTGGTAGTTGGCTGAGAACAAGATCCACACAAACAGGGACCCAGTGCCCATCTCTGGGTTTAAGATTCACTGAAAGAAGCAGGGAGCTGTAAGCATACATTAAATGGAAAGCAGAAACACACACAAAACTACCTCCTTTACACTTTTGTACAAGAGGAGCTCCATTTGAAACTATAATTAAGTTTAGCCCTGGAAAGAAACTTTAATATATGAACCTAATATCTTCCTTATTATCCACTCTGACAATTATTTTTTGCTTTTAATGTTTTCTCCTACTATATGGATTTTCTGTAGAGGTGCAGGAGAAGCTATTCAATATAAAGCAAATGGAAATCTGATCCAACTATAGACAATCAGTGATCTTTTCTCTGAAAACTCCCCCACTGTTATCAAAAGACACTAATTGCATTTAAATGTGGGTGGCCCTGAGTTCTGGGTGAAGTTTTCCCAGATGGGACCCCTGCTTCATGGAAGCTCTGTTTGAACAGGCAACGCTAAGAAAGCCTGACTTGCCTCCAGCAGTCAAAAGGCAATTTTGTTTAAGGAAATCACCATTATATGATCGCTGGAAACATTGGGGAGCCAAAATGAATTCCTGGCAGACCAGGTCTTTTGTGAAGATTTTGTTTTAAGCCCCCTATGGTTCAGTCCATCCCTTCAATCCCAGATATTTGTTTGCTGCTTGGTGCACAGATGCTTAGAGACAAAATACATTTTGTCATGGCACGTTTTGTTGGATTGTTTTCTTTGCCTCTCAGACTTGGATTTTCATTCTCTGACAGGTTTTCAGATACCATTTTTGTTGTTGAGTTCTAGTGGACATGGATATTGAAATATTTCCTTTTCTATTTCTTTTATATTTTTAGAAATGGGGTCCTGCTCCGTCACCTAGGCTGGCAGTACAGTGGTGTGATCACGGCTCACTGCAACCTTGAACTCCTGGGCTCAAGCGATTTTCCTGCCTCAGCCTTCCAAATTGCTGGGATTAGAGACATGAGCCACTGTGCCCAGTCTCTCCCTTTACATTTCAATCATGTAAGTCGTGGAGGGTTAGTCCTCAATTGGCACAACTTGGGCACTAGGGGAGGTCAGTCAGCACTTTGAGTTTCTGCTCAAACTAGCTCTGGATATAGTCCTAATTTATAGATGCTAACTTAAGAGGTGAAACAGCCAAATCTAAATAGCCAGAAGTATGTCCCCACATAAAAGCTTAGACCAGGCTTCTAGACTACTGCAAATCCTTAACTCGTGAAAAGAGAATGGGACAGGGTGCAGTGACACATGCCTATAATCCAAGCACTTTGGGAGGCCGAGGTGGGAGGATCACTTGAGCCCAGAAGTTTGAGACCAGCCTGAGCAACATGGCAAAACCCTGTCTCTACAGAAAATTTAAAAAATTAGCCAGGCGTAGTGCCATGCACCTGTAGTCCCAGCTACTGGAGAGGCTAAGGTGGAAGGATCACTTGAGCCCAGGAGGTTGAGGCTGCAGTGATCACGCCACTGCACTCCAAGCCTGGGTGACAGAGCAGGACTCTGTCTCAAAAATATTTTTTTAAAAAAGAGAAAGAGAGAATAAAACAAAATGCTCACTGCTTGATTGTTAAATCTAGAGATCATTTACAAATCCGCCACATGTTGTAAATCTAACTGTACGGGCTCTATGTGTTAGAGTTAGAACTTTCCTTCTTTTGTCCCCATGACTCACGGCCCTTTATCTATAGCTATCCCTCCCTTGCCCTCCAACTAGTTATTAAAGCCACAATTTGAACATACTTCATGGTGGGCAACATGCATTATCTAATTTTCTCCTGATGACTACCTTATGAATCTATTAAAGGGAAAGTTGAACTTTACAAATGCTGCTCCAGGTCACGTTGCTCTATGTATTGGAGTTAGAATTCAAACCCAGCCCTACCTGGCTCTTCTTACGCTGCAATTCACCGCCTTAGGGATGAAAAAATCCAGTGAGGGATAACAGATGTTGTCACAGATATTTGCTAAAAGTGCTCCCCACATCCTCCCAGGTGCCATTTGATGTTCATCCCCACTGTTTCCTTATAACTGGCTTTGGGCATGTAGTCTTGCTCCTTGAATTTGGTGACCACAGAAACTTCCTTTGTATGTTTCCCACTCGAATGTGTTTTCTACACACTCTCTGACATTACCATCTACTCTCTGCAAAACTACATTTATCAGACTCAAGCCCACAGAGCTGGGGTCTCTATGCCTTCATGAACAGTTTTTGCTAACGGAGAAAAAATTTAGATGCCATATAAGGATGGTGATAAGGTAGTGGTAAGATTGAAGATAAATTTTCAAAAAAATTTGAGTGTGGGATACAGAATGGATTGTAGGGAGACAAATGTGGGCACAAAGAGACAAATTAAAAGGCTATCGTGGTAATGCGGGTGAAGAAATGGTCTTAGCTTGCGCCAGGGCAGTTCCAGTGAAGGCCATTGACTAAGAACACATACTGGAGCCAGACTGCCCACGTATGATTCCCTGCTTTGCCATTCTCTAACTACAGGACCTTGGGCAAGTTACTTAACTCCTCTGTGTGTCAGTTGTATCACTTGAAAATGGGGTTGATATGTTATAGTAACTGCTTCCTAAGGTTATGAATATTAAATGAATTGATATATTTAAGAGTGGCTAGCCTACAGTGAGTGCAATAAAGGTGTTAGTTATTGAAAGCAGTGGAAATGGAGTAGAGAGAGATAAGCTGTAAAAAGATAGAATATATAAGCCATTTAGTTGATCTGCTTTGGGGAAGAATAAGAGAGGTGTCTAGAATGATTCCTCGGTTTCTGCCTTGAAGCATTGCTTTCTGATGCTTCAGTCCCAATAGGTGCAATTTTGTAAGCCGGGAAGGTGAAGATGTGAAGATCCCTAGGAGTGGGCAGATTGGAAGCATGTGTTTACTCACTGATTAGCTAGACTCACTCACCAGTTAAGGTTCCTACAAGTTAAGACATGCCTGCGACCTTTGAGAGATTTCTCCCTCCTAATAGGGGCCATGAATGTTAAGTTTAAGGATTTTTTGTATTTACTGTATCATTTTCATCCTACAGCTAAGCAAGCTGAGAATAAGAGACATGACTTGCCACATTCAAGAAGCTGAAAGTGAAGTAACACACATTTACCTGATTCCAGAGCCTGTGTTGTTTTGCTGTGGCCCATTGCCCCACAAGCCTCCAGTGACACCCAGACCTAGAACTAGAGGCCTGGGAAAGTACCAGATTAGAGTTTAGGGCTACAAGATGATAAATGATGGACTTAGTCCAGAGTGTGCATTTTAATGGGGTAACGCCTAAAGGATGAATTCGGTACTGTGATACTTAGGGTATTTGCTTATTTATTTATTTTGTTCTTACTCTTATGTGGCATAATTGCATTTATGAGATAAGACATTAAAAACTATTCTATCCTCAGAATGGTTTGTGTCATCTGCTCTTTGAGAGTTAATTTTTTGTTCATGTGTTTGTTTAACTACATGGAATTTGAAGATAAATGTCAATGGTCAGATTTTCTTTTTTTTTTTGGCAGCCTTACTTTGTCACCCAGGCTGGAGTGCAGTGGCACGATCTCAGCTCACTGCAGCCTCCGCCTCCCGGGTTCAAGTGATTCTCCTGCCTCAGCTTCCCAAGTAGCTGGGATTACAGGCGCCCGCCACCATGCGTAGCTAATTTTCTTGTATTTTTAGTAGACACAGGGTTTCACCATGTTGGTTAGGCTGGTGTCAAACTCCTGACCTCAAGTGATTTGCCCACCTTGGCCTTCCAAAGGGTTGGCATTACAGGTGCGAGCCACTGTGGCCAAGGTCATATTTTTTTTCCACAAGTATGTAATAGAGATTTAGGAAAGCCATAGTTGGCTATATTCAAGGAAATTAAATTGTTTTTAAATAAAAATCCATGAAACTACAATATACAAAAGTTAGTAAGCATCATAAACATGAAGTAAACTAGAAGTATGTACTAGAGAGCATTATTCCTTATTAAGTGTTAAGAAAAGTTTTATTAATAACATTAATTCTCTAGATAATCACTTTTTATATCCTTTCAAGATGTCTCTATCTTGAAACATTTATCTGCCACATTATAAAAATAGATATTATTTTATTCATTTATAGAATACTCACTGTGTTTAAGGCACTATTCTGGACATCGAGCTGCAATAGTGAACATAATCAAGTTTCTGCTCTCATTAAGCTTTGCTTCTAGTGAAGACACAAATAACAAATAACTAAACAAATGAGTAATCTAATATTTCTATATGTATTAGTTAGAGCTAAGTACCCCCTGCTCCTCCAAGCTTCCAAGCCTCCAAGCCTCCCTCCTCCAAAATGACTAAAATCATGTATTTTTCTTTCCATAGTCTTAAGGTGCCTGGTAGTGAGTAGCTCAATCCCTGTGCACATTAGAAAGAATTAGGATTCCTTCCAGGTATCTGCTGCACCATCTCCTATGGCATTGTTGGCTGATTAAGCTAGGTCACCATTACATACAGGTGACAGCTGCCAGGAGGATCTTAAGCTACCAGCGGCTTCCCCGCAGCACATTGTATTGGAGGGAACTTAGAAATGAAAGGATGCCAATGAACGTGTGGCTAGGTGACCATGTGGTCAGCTTCAATTCCATTACTTTGGAAGGAGAAGAGAGAGGATTTTAATGGCTATCTAGTAGTCTCTGCATAATTTTGTACAGTTGTTTAACAACATAGGAGATGATTATGGAGATTATTATGGTAAATTGTCATAAAAATTTCTCTACAAGCGTTGATTAACCATTCTACTGGAGCATACAGTTTGTTTCCATTGTTTTATTACTATGGACAAGTTAAAATATTAGTGGTTCATGATTACATTTTTTATTATCTCCTTAAGGTATATTTATAGAAATAAACTTACTAGTAATATTTGGACAACTTTACTTGTTGTTAATCATTTTCCAAAAGTATTATATACATTTTCATTTACCTATAGAATTTTTTTCACACTCTTGCTAGAAATGAACATGGATCTTGTTACTTATTAATATGAGAGACAAAACCACTATCTTGTTTCATTAAATATTTCTTTGATTACTATTTGTCTGATTTTTTCTCCAGTATTTTTTAGGTAATTACATTTCTTTCATGTACCTGTTGGGATACTTCAATTACATTGTATAAATTGTTATAGATTAAGTATTAATCCTTTGTTATATTTGTTACCAGTGTGTGTTTTTCTTAAGTACTTTTAAATATTGTACTTTTAAATGTTATATGGAAAATATACTTTTAAAATATACAATTATGTTCTAGTAATAACACTTATTAAAACTTCCAACATCTCCAGTCAATGGTATTCAGCAGTCACCTCTTCTTTCGCTTGCATGTGGATCTTTCAGACATACGACTCGACACAAACTGAGTATCTTCATAGGAGCCCTTCTCAGACTGAGTCATAGTTTGGAAAAGTGTTATCCAGTTTGGGAGAAGGTGCCTCCTGCTTTTTACTATTTCTTCAGAACATAACCTAAAGTATGTGATCTTAGATGACATTTGTCCATCTTTATTCACTTCATTTGTCCTTTGAGAGAAATTTGAAAGGAGAAGGTACAAGGTAGTGTGAGTTCTCTTCTCACGGTTGAGCTTCCTCCACACATTTGGTTGTCCCATTCATTCTCATCATAATATCCCAGGTGGCTCATTCTCAAACAACTTTCTTTTAACCAGTCCTAACATTTTAGGATGTATTTTTAAAGAATGAATGACTTTATGAAGTTCACAGTCAACATTTAAGCATGAAAATACACAAAAATTCCCTTTCTCAAAAGTATATAATTGAAGTCTTGTAGGAATATTTTATGTTTTAAAAATATACCAGTCAGCTTTTGCTAAGTTAGAAAGTGAAGTAAACATAATTTTAAGCCAGGCGGGGTGGCTCACACCTCTAATCCCAGCACTTTGGGAGGCAGGTGGATTGCTTGAGCCCAAGAGTTGGAGACCAGCCTAAACAACATGGCAAAATCCTATCTCTAACAAAAATACAAAAAAGCCAGGTATGGTTGTGCATGCCTGCAGTCCCAGCTACTTGAGAGGCAGAGGTGGGAGGATCACTTGAGTCTGGGAGGTTGAGGCTGCAGTGAGCCACGATTGCACCACTTCACTCCAGCCTAGAACAAATTAAAATATTAGTGGTTCATGATTACATTTTTTGTTATCTCCTTAAGATATATTTATAGAAATAAACTTACTAGTAATATCTGGAAAGTTATTTGTTGTTAATCATTTTCCAAAGGCATTATATACATTTTCATTTACCTATAGATTTTTTTATGAGAAATTTTTATGACAAAATTTATGACAAAAAAAACAAAAAAACAACAAAAAAGATAATTTTTAAAGTAAGAGCTTTACCTTTCAATGACACCTACTCTGACCATCCCATTTAAAAATGAAATCCTCGGCCGGGCGCGGTGGCTCACGCCTGTAATCCCAGCACTTTGGGAGGCCGAGGCGGGCGGATCACGAGGTCAGGAGATCGAGACCACGGTGAAACCCCGTCTCTACTAAAAATACAAAAAATTAGCCGGGCGCAGTGGCGGGCGCCTGTAGTCCCAGCTACTCGGGAGGCTGAGGCAGGAGAATGGCGTGAACCCGGAAGGCGGAGCTTGCAGTGAGCGGAGATAGCGCCACAGCACTCCCGCCTGGGCGACAGAACGAGACTCAGTCTCAAAAAAAAAAAAAAAAAAAAAAAAAAAAATTAAATCCTCATGACTCCATAGCCACTGTTCTTTTCTGATTAATTTTTTCCTCATCATATTATTTCTATCTAATACACTATATTATTTAGTTATGTTATTATCCATGTCACTCTGATAGAACATAAGTTCCACAGGGGCAAGATTTTTGTCTACTTTGTTAACTGATGTAGCCCCAGAGTCACAGTAGACACTAGAAAAATAATCATTAAATGAAGGGAAAAAAACTCAGTGGTTTACAATAGCAAATATTTTCCCTACTCATGTCACATGCCTTTCAAGGATTGGAGGCATCCCTGCTCCATGGCCTTCTCATCCTGATATCCAGTTCTCAAAAGAGCCAGAATCTTGGAAACACTGGCCTCATTGCAGAGAGAGAAAGAGATGATGGAACTCATGACAGCTTCAGCTGGAAGCACAGGTCGCTTCCACTCACATTCCCTTGGCCAAGGCAATTAATTTACCCAAACAGTATGTCAAAAGGGTGGTGATGAATAATCCTCTCACAGAGACAGACAATGAATATTTGAAACAATTATACAGGCTTCACACTAGTGTTCTCCTCATTTTCCTTCCTTATAACACATATGAAAAAAAGTTAACGGAAAGCAGAGAAAAATCTTCATAGTGTATTTATGTTCTCCAAAAAGACCAAATGCAGTGCAAAACAAAGTGATAATGGGATCTAATCTATAGTGTGGGGGTAACTAGATAAGAATAATTGTTCTAAAAAAGATCCCAATTAGAAGTAAATTTGAGTTCTTACAGCTATGCATTCCCATGTGCTCTCTCTCTCTCTTCCTCTCGTTATTATAAGGCATTCCATTCAAAGGTATTAACTTTTTGAAGATGCAATAACTATGATATTGCCTGTTTTAGATACTAAGCAGAATACACAATGCAATATTCAAAGTAAGAACTGGTTATACATGTAACCATTCTATGAGTCTTAAGAAACCCCAAACCAAACATACTGCAAAACTTAATTGGAAAAAAAAAAATAAACTTTCACAGTGACAAAGGAAAAAACTATAAACCTGTGTGAATGTTCAGAGTCTTTACTCAAAATTACTTTAATTTTGAATATCAATAGAGAATACACGGCACAATTTCTCACCAAGTAGTTCAGATAGATTCTCTAGGGACTTTAAGATTTAAGTTAGTTATTGAGAAGAAAAGCAAACACATGTATCCAACCCAAAGCACAGATAGCAAACTCATCTTCACAACTTATTTGCACAAAATTGGTTTTGAGATTGTTGTATGGAAAGACAAAATATATACATATTGTCACTTTGGCCTGAAGGCTTCATATTAATAACAGTGGCTACAAATGCCCTTCCATAAACTTACTCCCTAACAATATTATTTGATAGACCACTTTGCCTTCTGACTTTCTCTTGTATTATTTTTCCTCTTCTTCTTTCCATCCAATTTGCCCTTATACATTAGGAAGTATGATTACTAACGATATATTCCCTGCCCATGAGGACTTCACAGTCTGATAAAACAAACAGGTGAGTAAATGAACAATTGAGATGAGAGTGATAAGAAAAAATGGAGCAACGACAGACACATCATCAAATGTCAAATAAGCATAGGAAAGCAGATACACAGATGTCAAATAAGCATATGAAAAAGATGCTCCACATCTTGTCATATGTCATCAGGAAAATGAAAATTAAAACATCAATAAAATACCACCACACACCTTCTAGAATGGCAAAGTCCAGAACACTGACAACGCCAAATGCTGGTGAGGATGTGAAACTATAGGAATGCTCATTCTTTGCTGGTGGGAATGCAAAATGGTATAGCCACTTTGAAAAACAGACAGTTGGGCAGTTTCTTATAAAACTAAACATACGCTTACCACACCATCCAGCAATCCAAATTCTTGGTATTTTCCCAAAGGATTTGAAAACATCTCTACACAAAAACATTCACACGGGTGTTTATAGCAGCTTTTTTGTGTGGCGTGGGGGGAGGGACAGGCTCTCACTCTGTTGCCCACGCTGGAGTGCAGTGGGATGATCTCAGTTCACCTCAACTTCTGCCTCCCAGGTTCAAGTGATTCTCGTGACTCAGGTTCCCATGTAGCTGGGATTACAGGCCCCTGCCACCACGCCCAGCTATTTTTTGTATTTTTAGTAGAGACAGTGTTTCACAATGTTGGCCAGGCTGGTCTCAAACTCCTGGCCTCAAGCAATGCACCCACCTCTGCCTCCCAAAGTGTTGGGATTACAGGCATGAGCCACCATGCCTGGCCCTATAGCAGTTTTATTCATAATTGCCCAAACTTAGAAGCAACCAAGATGTCTTTCAGTAGGTAAATGCGTAAATAAACTTTGGTACATCCAGACAATGGAGTTCGGTTCAGCACTAAAAGCAAATGAGCTATCAAGCCAGGAAAAGACAAGGAAGAAACTTAAAGGCATATTACTAAGTGAAAGAAGCCAATCTGAAAAGGCTATATACTGTATGTTTCATACCATATGATATTCTGGAAAAGTCAAAACTATAGAGATAATGAGAAGATCAGTGGTTACTGAGAGGAGGCCAAATGGAGGAATGAATAAGCAGAGCACAAGGATTTTTAGGGTAGTGAAATTATTGCTGTTTCAGTAGTTTATATTTCTTAGTTTCACTACCCTAAAAATTATAAATATAGATGCCATAATGGTGGATACATGTCATTATGTTTGTTCAAATGCATAGAATGTACCACACCAATAGTGAACACTAATGCAAAATATGGACTTTCAGTGATTATAATGCGTCAGTGTAGCTTCATCAATTTTAACAAATGTACCATGCTGGTGAGGATGTTGATAGTGGGGAAAGCTGTGTTGTGTGGTGGAAGCAGGTGTATGGGAAATCTCTGTACCTTCCACTCAATATTTCTGTGAACCTAAAACCGTTCTAAACATATCTAATTCTATCTAAGAATTTTTTTACTCTACAATGATCTTGACATATATTTGTTATTTATTTGGCTAAGAATTGTTGGGTAATACAATATCTATAATGGATCAAATCAGTGATATTCCTCTGAATTTAAAAGATTACTTGAATTGGTTTTTTGGAATTCTAGATGAATAGTGGTGCTCTGTGGTGACACAGAGTAAAGCTACCAGGCTCAGTAGACTCTTTAGATTTTATCCCTCAATCTTCCTTTCCTAGCATTTCAAGTTGAATTCTCTCTTCCTCTCTGAAAGAAAAAAAAAAAGTCTTCTTTCCAGAAATACAAAAAATAGATGTCCACTTGATACGATTTGGCAGTGCCCTCACCCAAATCTTATCTTGAATTGTAGCTCCCATAATCCCCATGTGTCATGGGAGGGACCTGGTGGGAGGTAATTGAATCATGGGGGGCAGATTTTTCACATACTATTCTCGTGATAATGAAGAAGTCTCACGAGATGTGATGGTTTGATAAAGGGCAGTTCCCCTGCACATGATCTCTTGTCTGCTGCCATGTAAGAGGTGTCTTTGCTCCTCCTTCACCTTCCACCATGATTATGAGGCCTCCCCATCCATGTGTAACTATGAGTTCATTAAACCTCTTTTTCTTTATAAATTACCCAGCCTCGAGTATTTCTCATAGCAGTATAAAAATGGACTAATACACACTTTAGAGAGTCTTAATATCCCTGATCATTAAACTGCTCCTTGTCTCCCAACTGAAGCAAGTTACTGTTTTACCGTTTCTTTTGTAGGATTTTGTCTAAACTTATGATGCATATTGAACACATAAATTTAATAAATTAATTACATAAAATAATGAAAACCATTCTAATTACACCAGAGTACTGCATAAAACACAGTTGAACCACTCAAGTTTCACATGGTTTGGTCAATAAGTAAAACTAATCCAAGGTTCCCATGGTTACATAGGTCTAAGTTATATTATTATGCAGGAATTATACTATGGTTATTATCTAATATATGAAACATGCATTATTATATTTAATTATATAATTTTACAACCACAGATTAAAGAAAGAAAGATAGTGAAAAAGGTCTTAGTATTAGAGTCTGCTTTCTGTTCATTGTTAGAACAATGAAGCTGGCATGTTTTAGGTCTTCTGAAATAATTCAATGGGGCCATCAATTTGTACATATGCCCTCTCTCTGCCTCAGCTATGATTTCCTTCTTTCATATTAAAACTCAAGACAGAGTAAGAAATGAACACAATTACATATGCAGCTTTCCAGTGTAATTTTCCCTTTCTAGTATAACGAAAATCCTGTTTTGCCAAACCTTCTATTGGAATTGGTTAAATTTACCCCCAATTGTTGTTTGTGGTTTGCCGATTAGTTTTGCTAATGAATTAACAAGTGCAACCGACCACTTGCAGAGCTATTCTCAGTATAATGAATGTAATTATTTAACACTAAACCAGGACAGCATCTTTCTTCTTCTGTGACAGGCATTATTCTTTATTCTCCCATTAGCCAGGTGCCCTGGTCTCTGTAAACTAGTTATTGACCTGCTCGTTTATAGAGCTTCACTCTAAATGCTCCTTCCCTTATTTAACTCAAGCAAGCTCCTATAATGTCTCCTCTCCATACAGGGTTAGCATGTAAAGAGTTCATTGTTCATTTATTGTAAGTAAAGCAAGGCGTCGGGGAGCTATTCTTAGATAGATGCTCACACTCCTGAGCCCTGCTTACTTGTCCCTGGTTAAAATGGATACAAAACCGTATGGGGCTGAGCGAGCATCATGTAAGCTCCATAGGAAATCTGAGGCAATGAATCATGGAGCTGGACTCCTGCTGAGGACTGTGTGTCTGAACAGACTACAAATAGACAGAAAAGCAGCTTAAGCAAGTAGCTTTCATATGACAGGAATGCATATATTAGACATAAGAGGAAACTATTTGGATAAGGATGTTTATATATAAAGGACAATAATAATTCTTCCAGCCAGACTCTGAGAGAGCAAACCGTTCGTGAAGAACAATGCCTCTTGGGCCCACATTGATGTGTTTCAGGCCTATCTTCTGCCACTACTTAATATCCTTTTTTTAAAAAATGTCACACAATATTGGATCACCTTGACCATGATGTATTGTGTCAGGGCACATGCAATGACACATAGTGAGATGTGACTGACAAAGCCTAAAGTAAAGATTAGATGTCACAAATTAAAGAAAAAGCCATTGCCATCATTCATGATTGAATTTCACTTTGAAACTGTGAAACATTAAGAGTTTCAAAGTTGTGTGAATTATACAACTTTCTTATGTAATTTTGTAGTAATACATAAGAAATACTACAAAGAATATGTAGTATCCTTTCTCACATATTGCCTTTAAATAGCAAATGCTATATGTTATACTTGACCTCTAGCTGTAGACATGTAATTGTGCTGTTAAGAAAAAAGGAAACAATAAGCACCCCCACCTTGGGGAAACCTTGTTAACATTTTTATTAAATTTTTATGTTTGAATAATGATACTTTAATATATCTTTTTCTTGACTGCAATTCTCAGAGTCCTTTTAAGAGTAACTTGCCTTGACAGCCTAGGAATTTTGAGATAAAGAAAAGACAAATTAGGACTAGCTTTATAGGGGGAAACAAGATTATAGTGAAAAGTTTATGGTGTGATTAGTGCAGAAATGGGAGCTATTGCTTTCCTTTCAAGGCTGCTTATGTATATGTATAGTAAGTGAAAAAAGTCATACAACACATACACATAAACAAGTTTACATTTGTCCCTGTGCATGCTCCCTGGGCTATTAAAGCAAAACATACATGTATAATAACCATGGATTGAAATAATCAGCTTCTCTCAGCATAATAAATATGACTTAAGCTGGGAATTCACTTAATGAATGAAATAAAATCTCAATTAAGAATATTACCAAGGAAGAGAATGAGCTAGGCCAAAAAAAAGGGGGTGGGGGTGGGGGAAGGGATAGAATTATAGCAAATTACAGTAGAGGTGTTTTGAATCTTTTGATAGAGCTGTTCTGAGTTTGGTGAGCATGTGACATTACCAGGCATTCAAAATAACACGTCTATCAAATAAAAGCTAGGTAGCATCTCATCACATTCTCAAGTCACAAATTGAACTCCAAAAAGAGCAGGGATCTGAAATCAAACTTCCTTGCTGAAGTCTTTAGAAAAGAATTTAAAGCTTCAAAAATAAAGTACATATCCTTGAGGATGTTAATTGTAACCACCAAAAGCCAAGGCCTGGGTGAGGGAGGTACAAATAAGGTTTGTTAGTGCACTGCCATCTATGTGTCTCAGAGCCTTGGGCATGGAGCGTGCTCAACAAATAATTTCAAATAGAATTTAAATAAAGTTATACAATGTATTAGCTATGTATGTTGTTGATTTCATAGTGAAAAAAATGAAGGCAGGAAGTTAAGATTTAGAAGTTCTCAGGTAAATAAGGCAAACTAAGTATCATATTTTTCACTATGTTTTCAGTATCATATAATACATAGACACTTTTTAGTTTAGATGTGATGAATGTATCATTTATCTCCCTTAAAGGCTTATGCTTTTGTGTTTTATTCAAAGGTCATAAAGTTCTTTTCCTGCATTTTTTTCTAAGATTACGCTTTTCACATTTAGACCTTAAATCCAGTTGGAATTACTTTTTTATAAGTTAAGTGAGGTAGGGATATAATTAAAGCATAATCTTCTTATTTGTGAAATTGTTAATTCCCTTCTGTTATGCAATATCATTTCTGGAATACACAGTATAATAACTTGCTATTACTATATTATTATTATAGTAAGTTGCAGTGGTCTGTTTTTAGGTAATCTATTCTTTTCCAAAAATATTTTTCTATACCAATATCATATATCACAATGTTTGATCATTGTAACTCTATGGAGCTTGATACAGCAAATCCTCCCACCTTGTACTTCCTCAAAGATGTTTGGCTAATATTGGTCTTGACATTTCCATATAATTTTAGAATGAGCTTGTCAAATTCCATTAAAAAATCTGTTTTTAAAATTAAGTTCATATTTAACTTATACATTGATTTGGGGAAACTAAATGTTTTAACAATGTTGAAGCTTTCCACCCACAAACACATTGAATTACTTCATTTCTTTGGCCTTCATTATGTCTTTCAATACTCTTTTATTATTTTCTACATAAAAGTTGAACATCTTTTGTGAAATGTGTTACTATGTTCATTTCGGTTTTTGTGCCCTTTTTAAATGACAATTTTTAGCATTTCTAATTCCAAATTTTATCATTTTCTAATTCATTTGTTAATATTGAATTTGTGTTCAGAATACCTGCTTAATGATCTTACTGATTGTAATAATTCATCTATACATTATTTTGGGTTTTCTATGCAGATAATCATATTGTCTCTGAAAAATGAAATTTTGATTTCTTCTTTTTCCACCCATATATATTTTATTTCTTTTTCCTATTTCTTTCCGTTAGGCTCTTTCAGACACTCTAATCCTCTAGGATTCAAAGCAATGATATCAAGACTTCTGTCTTGATCCTGACTTTAAAATAAAAAGCTGCTGTTTCAGTATTTCACCATTATGTATGTTTGCTATAGTTTTAATTAAAACCACTTCATTAAGTTAGAAATTATACTTCTATTTCTACTTTGATAATAGTTATACTTTCATCATTAGTATATGTTGTATTTTCTGTATCTTGATTTGGCTATTTCTCTTTAAATCTTTCATTGTGAGAAATTGTCTAGTGTTAAACCATTCTTATCTTCCTTGGCACACCAATTTAAGTTAATCACTTGAACTTCTGGGTTCAAGTGGTCCTCCTTCCTCAGCCTCCTGCGCAGCTGGGACTACAAGCACATGCCACTGTGCCCAGCTTTTATTATTTCCTTTATTATACTTCTGTGATTTACCTTCTCTTTTTATTTTTTAAATTGGTATGCTAATTGATTTTAAGTCAATCTTTTCTAACAAACATTAAAAGACAAAAATCACTTTCTTAATTACTTTAATGGTATCCTATAAGTATTGATATGTAATCTTTTTATTTTCAATCAATTTTAAAAAGGGTGAAAATGTATTATTATTATTATTATTGGACTCATGGATTACTTAAACATTTGTGTTTGAATTTTCTTGAAATTGCTTCAGTGATCATTTTTATTGATTCAAATGGTGATGCAATGATTTTGGTTATCTTTTTGTTATTGAGTTCATGGTGATGTAGTGATTCAATTGTGTTTTAATTAGAGAACATGGTCTATATTATATTGATTTTTGCTATCAGTTTGATTTGCTTTAAAGTGTATTACATCAATTTTCATGAATGTTATATTTGTGCTTGAGAATAATGCCCAGGATACATACAAATCTGTCAAGATATACTTGATAACTAGACTAGTCAGATATTCCATATAGTTACATATTTTCTGTGTAATCAACCAATTATTGAGAAAGTTTTGTTACACTCAGCCATTAAGATTGTAGACTAATCATCAATTCCTCCTTATAATTATATCAGTTTGTTTCTTGATATATTTCAAGGCTATCTTATTATGCACTAAAATGTTCAGAATTTCTCTATTTCCTTGGCAAATAATTTTGTTTTTTTTTCTCATCTTGTGAAATTTTTATCACAAAAAATGGTTTCAACTCTATTTGATATTAATAGAGCTGCCACAGTTTTTATTTTCATTAGAATTTGCCTGTTGTATTTTTGCCATCTTTTTACTTCAACTGTTTATGCTCATATGTTTTATGCACGCCTTATGCAAGTAACAAGAAAATATTTTAAACCAATCTCAAAAATCTCTCATTTTTAACTGTTAAATGTAGTTTATTCACATTTATTTGTTTACTGACCTGGTTAGACATATTTCTATTATACTATATTTTGCTTTCTATATATCATGTCTTTTTTAGGGGACAGAGATTGTTTTTTTCTTTCTTGAATTCTAGCTCTATACATTTATGCTTTTACTTCTCCCTCCTTCCTCTATTGACTTACTGCTCATTTTATTTCTATTCATTGTGTGGCTATCATTCAAATTTTATTATATCTTGATGAGCAATTATTCTAAATTGTATTATAATCCTTATCTATTCTCAATCAGTACAAAGGTCTTAAGGCATTAACTTTGAAACCCTTCAGTTTGACATGTATTGTTGCTTGAACTTTTATTTCCACAATGAATAGCTGTGCTTAACTTACTAGTTTTGCACTATCAGGAATTATTTACATGTGCTTATGTTTTCTCAGTTTATTTACCTGCTATTATTTTCTGTGTGTGTGTCTCACTTCTTTCTTTCTAGAGTTTTTTCATTCTGTTTCTTGCATCTCACCCTTTCCTTTGTTAGTTTCTTCTTCCTGAATTTTTTTCATTTTGGATCTCTTTCTGTGAGGATCTATGAGTGAGATTAAACCTAACAATCTTTGTTCAGAAATATTTTATGCTACACTAATTCTTAGGTGAAAACTTATCTGTGTAAAATTTGTATTGACAGTTACTTCTATTTTTGCTTTTTATTTAATGCATTGCAGTTTTACTATGATGTACCTATAGCTACATGTCAATTTATTAATTCACTTATAAATGTATTTATTTAACTATACTCAGGACTTGTTCATCACATGTTTTACTAAATCTGAAACAGTCTTAGCTACTACCTCTTGTGGTAGGCTGAGTAATGGCCCCTAAAAGGATCCACATCCCTAATCTCTGGAACCTGTAAATGTTACGTTATGTGGCAGAAGGCACTTTCACCAGATCTATTTTCCATTTTTCTGATCTTGTTCAGCAGTATGTAATATGCTCATTAACTCTCCCATCGAATTTCTGGTTTTACTGACTATATTTTTCTTTTCTAGTGATTCTATTGGATCTTTTTAATGGTTGTTTTCTTTTCCTTGTTGATACTGTCTTATTGGATGTTTATAGTCCTTTTACATTTCAATAAATTTTAAACATACTTACGTTAAAATTTCTTAGTTCTAAATCTGAAATTCATAGGGGTTTGATACTAATGTCTGCTATGCCTGCTGACTCTTCTCATAATGGATTATTTTCTTATATGTTTATAATGTTGAATTGTGAGGTTATATTCAGCTGGACTTTATCTGTGGGAGTCCCGTGTTGCATGGTTGAAATGACTTGAATGTGTGTATTACAGATGCTACAGAAGTGTCACCAGTCTGAAAATAATTTTGTATGACTTTTTTTTTAAGTTTGAAGATTTCTAGACTCCCAGACATAGCCTAAACTTAAATTCCAGACCATAAAGAAGGTAAATGTTCAGGTAAAAATCTCTGAGTAGACATTCTTTCTACCTAGATCCCAGGCCAAAATGGGCAAGTTTCAAGTTGCTTTACAGATGCCTTGTGCTGGCAGCAGATTTTCTTCCCCTTCCCTCCATTTTCTCATATTTTTTCATTAAGTACCTTCCAAGTCCTAAGTTTTAGAGTGGGTCTCAGTTCCCACTCTCCACATTGAATGGGTCCAGAATCTGGTCTCCTATTTCCACCCAGATGCTAACTCAAGAATTTGTAGATTACTCAGTAGAAAAACTCTCTTAGTGTGGCTTCAGCAACAGCTCATTTGCCTTCAGCTCTGGTGCTCATTTTTCTTCATTTCTTGTCCCAGAGATTTTCCCAGCTTTCTGACAAATTTAGCCTTTACAAGGATGATTGTTACATTTTATCATGAATTTGTGGGCTTTTGTGGTAAGAAATAAGTTTATTTTATCTTGTTTAAAATTTTCCTGGAACTGAAAAGCCAGCATAAATTGTTAAGGTAATATTTTAAACCATGCCCATCTTGAGACAAATCTTTTTTTTCTTGCCTACTTTGTGGGTAATCAAGCAGAGTGGGATGTGCCCTTGATGTCAATGCTTGGAAAGTTTCTCCGTTGGGGGGAAGATGGAGATTTCTTATAAAATCATCTGAAATCAAGCATTCCGTTTTTCATACTCAACCACAAACCCTAAAATTTCAGCTTGCTTTTACAAATGTTCTTGATTTAATTTTAAAGAAAAATTTTCTCTAATGAAGAAGATACCTTTTTTCTTTTCTCTTCTCCAAATTATTGGTAAGAGAAGATGCCTTTTAGCTATAATTTTCCTCTTACAGTGGTGTTAATATTTTGATAAGCATAGGTATATTATTTTAGAAATAACAATCTAAAATCTAGAGTTAGTAGCTCATGGATTGAATATAAATTAGATGATTGAAATATGATATTTAATGAAGCTTGATTCAGTCCATGAGCTACATAAGCTTATTTTTTCCTCTGTTATTTTTGCTTCCTTTTTCCTAATAAAAGGATTAGAATGTTGATTATAATCCATGTGGATATGAAGGGAAAAGTGATAATAATCATATAATTTGCCACTGCCTATTAAGTGATTACCATGGCTAGACATTGGGATATATATTCCATGTATATTATCTAATTCAATCCTTAGAATATTCCTATAATACAGTATAATTTTACCTATTTTTTTTAGATAAGATAACCAAGGTTTTATAAGCTGTCCAAGGTCACACTGCAGGTAAGCAATGGATCTAGGATTTGAATAAAGACCTAGCTGTCTTTAAAACAGAAGATTTTAAGGTGCTCTGAATCTTCTAGAAACATACAGTATACAGAGAAAAGACATACAAACAAATAATTATTTATAGTAAATATGTAATTTGTATAGTACAAAATTTAACCTTGTATAAAAGAAATGTAGCTTTTGTCCTTGGCTTATGGGAGGTAGTCTCTAAGCCCTTGGAATGTCATGCCTGAGAGAAGTGTCTTTGCCTGAGGTCATACTGGATTGTGTGACAATATGATTTTGGGTAGAGGGTGGCCATACCAGATAGTATTTAGAGTAAGAGTTAACTTTGCCAGAAGAACAGCAATGTGATTTAGGGTAGGAGCTTTGGGTCAAAAGAGTATCAGTAGACCTGGAGACTGAGAGCCACCATAAAAGAAATTAATCAATCAATCATGCTTACCTTATGGGACTCCATTGAAAACTCTGGATGCCATAGCTCAGGGGAACTTCTTGAGCTGGTGATACTCCGTGCATATTGTCACATATTAATGCCAGGAAAGCAACATGCCCTGACTCCATGAGGAGACATCACCAGAACCTCTATGTTTAGTACTTTGCTGGACTCTACCCTATACCCTTCTTTCCTTGCGTAATTTTAATCTGAATCTTTTTCTTGCAATAAACCATACTTACCAATGGTTACATTACAGCTTTCAGTGAGCTCTGAGAGTTCTTCTGGAGAATTATTGAAATTGGACCCCCTAGAACTTGCAGTTTGTGTCAGAAATGAGTGTCTTGTGTAGATTGTGTTTCCTCTACCTGAAAAGTTGGCTAACTCCAAGAAAATAGAGAGTTATAAAAAGTGAGCTGTTGAATCACGGGAAAGAGTAGAGGAAAATGCCTGAGAAAATCAGAAAAGCCTAAACTTTACCTAGAAGTTAAGAAAAAGAAGTTATTTTAGGAAAAATTAAAGCATATACAAAGACACGGAATCAGGAAGCAAATATTACATTTGATTTAGTCAAGTTTACCATATTTAAATGATACAAAAAACAAACATACCAACAAAACAAAGCTACCAATTAAACTAAGGAAGGCTATTAATTGTAGGACATATACTCATATTAGAGATGTGAAAAGTATCTTAAAGTCAATAAAAATATAAGGCAGACTAATTAGGAACTGATGCTAAAACAAGCATGGTCCATATATTTGATACAGGCATTTCTCATTTTATTTTGCCTTGCTTTATTGTGCTTTGCAGATAATTGCATTTTTCACACATTGAAGGTTTTTGGCAATCCTGTCTCCAGCAAGTCTATCCAAGCCATTTTTCCAACAGCATGTGCTCACTTGGTGTGTATGTCACATTTTGGCATTTCTGGCAATACTTCAAATTTTTTCATTATTGTTGTATCTGTTATGATGATCTGTGATCAGTGATCTTCGATGGTACTATTTTAATTGTTTCGGGCCACTACAAACTGTGCCCATATGAGACAGCAAACTTAATAAACGTGTGTTCTGACTGCTCTACCCACCAGCCATTCCCCTGTCTCTTTTCATCTCCTTGGGCCTCTCTACTCCCTGAGATACAAAAATATTGATATTCAATCAGTTAATAAACCCAAAATGGCCTCCAAGTGTTCAAGTGAAAGGAAGGGTCTCATGTCTCTCACTTTAAATCAAAAGCTAGAAATGAGTAAGCTTAGTGAGGAAGGCATGTTGAAAGCTGAGATAAGTCAAAAGCTAGGCCTCTTTTGCCAAATAGTTAGCCAAGCTGTGAAATCAAAGAAAAGTTATTGAAGGAAATTAAAAGCTTTACTCCAGTGAACACACAAATGATATGAAAGCAAAACAGCCTTATTGCTGATATGGAGAAAGGGGTAGTGGTCTGGATAGAAGATCTAACTAACCACAAGATTCATTCTCTTAAACTGAAGCCTAATCCAGAGCAAGGCCATAACTTGTCAATTCTATGAAGTCTGAGAGAGGTGAGAGAAACTGCAGAAGAAAAGTTGGCAGCTAGCAAGTTTGGTTCATGAAGTTTAAGGGAAGAAGCCATCTCCATAACATAAAAGTGGAAGCCAAAGTAGTAAGTGCTGATGTAGAAGCTACAGAAAGTTGGCCAGGCATGGTGACTCATGCCTGTACTCCCAGCACTTTGGGAGGCCAAAGCAGGTGGATCACCTGAGGTCAGGAGTTCGAGACCAGCCTGGCAAACATGGTGAAACCCCGTCTCTATTTAAAATACAAAAAAATTGCCGGATATGGTGGAACATGCCTGTAAAATTCCAGCTACTCAGGAGGCTGAGGCAGGAGAATTGCTTGAACCCGGGAGGCAGAGGGTACACTGAGCTGAGATCACACCATTGCATTCCAGCCTGGGTGACAAGACCAAGACTCCATCTCAAAAAACAAAACAAAACAAAACAAAACAAAACTATAGCAAGTTATCCAGAAGATCTAACTAAGAAATTGGTGCAAGTGGTTACACTAAACCCTCAATTTTCAAAGTAGATTAGACAGTCTTTCACTAGAAGAAGATGTCATCTAGGACTTGCATAGTGACAGAAGAGAAGTCAATTCCTGGTTTCAAAGCTTCAAAGGACAGGCTGACTCTTTTGTTAGGGGCTAATGACTTTATTTATTTGCTCATGTAACATTCTGAAAATTTTAGGGCCCTTTAGAATTATGCTAAATCTACTCTGCCTGTGTTTTATAAATGGAACAACAAAGCCTGGATAACAGTACATCTGTTTAGAGCATGAATTACTAAATACTTTAAGCCCACTGTTGAGACTTATTGCTCAGAAAAAAAGATTCCTTTCAAAATATTACAGTTCATTGACAATTCACCTGATCACCCAAGATCCCTGATGGAGATGTACAAGGAGATTAATGTTGTTTTCATGCCTGCTAACACAACATCCATTCTGCAGCCCATAAATCAAGGAGTAATTTTGACTTTCGAGTACAGTATTTCAGAAATACATTTAGAAATACATATAGGCTATAGCTGCTATACATAGTGATTCCTTTGATGAATCTGGGCAAAGTAAACTGAAAATATTCTGGAAAGAATTCACCATTCTAGATGCCATTAAGAACATTTGTGATCCATGGGAGTGAGTCAAAATATCAGCATTAACAAGAGTTTGGAAGGAGTTGATTCCAAACCTCATTGATGATTTTGATAGGTTCAAGATTTTAGTGGAGGAAGTAACTGGTGAAAATAGCAAGTGAACTAGAATGAGGAGTGAAGCCTGAACATGTATTGCTGCAACCTTATAACAAAACTTGAACAGATGAAGAGTTGCTTCTTACGGATGAGCAAAAAAAAAAAAAAAAAAACAAACTGGTTTTCTGAGATGGAATCTCCTCCTGGGTAAAGGTACTGTAAACATTGTTGAAATGATAAGAAAAGATTTAGACTATTACATAAACATAGATGAATAAGAAGCAGCAGAGTTTGAGAAAATTGACTAAAATTTTGAAAGAAGTTCACTGTGGGCAAAATGCTATAAAACAACATTGCATGCTACAAATAAATCTTTGATAAAAGAAACTCAACTGATACAGCAAACTTCATAGATGTCTTATTTTCAGAAATTTCAACAGCCACTCTACCCTTCCACCATCTCCACCTTGGCCAGTCAGCTGCCATCAACATTGATGCAAGACCCTCTGCCAGCAAAAAGATTATGAGTCTGAAGCTGAGTGATTTTTCAGGACTCAGTTGGACTTACACGTGCTATTTTTACCCAGCTGTCAGTCAGCTTCTGGTATTTTTCTGGCTGTCGGTTGGAGTTACAGTGATAGCCTCAGAGGATCGTCAGCATTTTTTAGCAATAAAGTATCTTTAAATTAAAGCATATGCTCTTTTTTAGACATAATACTATTGCATACTTAATAGACTATGGTGTAGTGTAAGCATAACTGTTATATGCACTGAGAAACCAAAAAAATTGTGTGTGATTTGCTTTATTGCAATATTTGCTTTATTGTGTTTGTCTAGAACTGAACCCACAGTATGTCCAAGTTATACCTATATTTCAAGGGCAGGAGTGAAGGAAAAAATATTGATGGGAGGCATTAGCAAGGAATGGTATTGGAGAAGTAACTTAGAGCCAGACTGTGAAATTTAGGTTGAAATATGTTAAATAGCTACTATGTGCCAATGGTCCCTTTGATAAAAACATAAAGCACATCTTTCAACAGTCAGAGTGACTTGAAAGTGCATTATAGATATGGAGAAACTGAGGTTCACAGGGGCTACAAAGTTTCCCAAGGTCAGATACTGATTAATTTAGGAAGCTAAGATGTTAGAGCAGGCTTTTCTGATTTTAAAATCCATATAAAGTGTTTGGACTACCCGTAGCAGAAGCCTTAAGCAGGGAAATGGGGCCGGGCATGGTGGCTCATGCTGGCAATCCCAACAGTTTGGGAGGCTGAAGTAAAAGGATTGCTTGAGCCCCGGAGTGTAAGACCAACCTGGGCAGCATAGTGAGATCCCATCTCTAATAAAAATTTAAAAGTAAAATGAAAAAGCATGAGAATGCCATGATAGTATTTCTCTTCAGGAATACAACTCTATTAGGTATGTGAAAACACTGGTAACAAAGAGACTGGTGGGCTTTTGCAATGATCTGAGCTGATGTTTTGTGGTCATAAGTTAAGGAAGGATGTCACTTTGGGTGTGGAAAGGAAGATCTAAAGAAGCAACAAGGATGACTCTGAAGTTCCTCAAATGGAAATTTATGACTATCAAAATTGCAAAACACTTGGAGGACAGGTGAATAGTGACTTAAAACTAAAATGTATTTTAAGTTTTGGGTGCTTGTTAGACATCCTGATTGTGCTGTTCCTTATATGTGATAGGGCTAATGTATACATGTTTAGGTGGCATCAGTATATATACAAAATGAGAAAACCCAAGGGGTGGAAACCACTCAAGAACAGCATATAGAAGTAGAGAAAATAATTCAGTCCAGATTTCTAAGAAACTCCAACATCTAAGGGCAATCAAAATAAATTATTGCTGTGCTTTAACACAACAACAATTTTGATTACTCACAATTCTGTGGGGTAGTAATTTAGGCCAGACAGCTGTGTGATTTTTCAGGACTCAGTTGGACTTACACATGCTATTTTTACCCAGCTGTCAGTCAGCTTCTGGTATTTTTCTGGCTGTCGGCTGGAGTGACAGTGGTGACTGGGCCATGTGTCTCAGATCATCCAGCAGGCTAGTCCAAGCTTGCTCAGATGGCAGCTCTGCAGGGATCCAAGGAAGTGAGCAAAGCATGCAAGGACTCTTGAGATCTTGGTGTGGGGCTGGCACACTATCAGCACTGCTCCTCTCTATTGGTCAAAGCCAATCTCAAGGGCAACAAGATTCAGGTGGAAGGAAAATGGATTTTACTTCTTTTTTTATTGAGACGGACTTTACTTCTTGATGGGAGGAATGGCCAGCATATTGCAGGAGGATGCAGGAATAAAGAATTGTGACACTTTCACAATCTACCACAGACAAGGAGATGAGGAGGTGAAAACAGGCACTATTCCCTACCATTGTCAACAAAAAGGTGATGAGATGATAATGTTGACCCTCCATGTGAAAGGAAGGGTATGGCAGGCTCTTATTCCCATAAACAGGAGAATAAAGTTCACCTTAAGGTTCTTTGCATCTCCAATGTCTTTTGATGCTCATGCCCAACATCACATCAGCACTCAGCCTGCTTTCAGTTACAAGTCACCACAAACATGATACATTCCCAAGTTTGGGGATGCCGGAACATGAATACTGATTTGAAGAGATGAATGAGAATACAGCATTTTATCTGATCTGGTAAGTTTTGTTTCTGTCAAATTCCATTTTCCAATTAGCCACTGAAATAATCTTTCTAAACTGCATTTTCTACTGTGTTGGTTCAGGTCCTTAGAGAAGCAGTCACCAAAACAGAATTATAAGTGCAAGATAATTCTCAGAGAAACTCTCACCTAGGATTTTCTACATATAATTTTAATTAATGATCACAGGTGCATAAATGGTGGTTTATCAGCCTTCAGCAACATTTTAATCTGATCAGTGTAGACATGTAAGCTAGCTGAATTGCATCAAAATCATCTAGTACGTCTTGAATTTTTGAGAACACTTTCTGTGAACTGGCTAGTGATGCCGCATAGGAATCCTACAGCAACAAGGATCCAAGTCTTTTTTTCACACCTCTAGTCAACATTCAAGTATAGGGTTGTATTTATGATGCCATTATTAAGCAGCATTTCTTATAGGACAATTTAATGATACTTGTTGGGAAGCAAATTTAATGATACTTACTGAGAACAGAGAAATCTGTATCTTCAAGCAGACAAGATCTCTCACACGGGCCACCACCGTGATCTAGCTAATAATAATAACAACAAAGGGTAAACAGTTATACGTGAATGTGATGTTCTTTGCTTCAATACATCAAATACAAGGAAGAGTTGGTCTCAGCATGCTGTAAGATGATTGTTAATATTTAATAGTGTTAATGTTTGTTAGTGACAGATGATTAGCTTTAAGTGTCTTATGAATAATAAATAAACTAGGTGGGTGTCTTGGTGTCTGTCATGAATGTGTATTCAAAGCCAACCAAGCTGCCCTTTATTTGGCTTTGGAGGCCTTGCATGCACAGGCGATAGCAGAATGTGCCTTCAGGAATTGAGGCCTTTTCACATTTTAGCACTAAAAACAGTAGGGGAATTCTTGGCACTTTCTCAAGCCTCTGAGATTCTACTGAAGTCCTGAGATGAAGGAAAGTCCATCTCAGATGTTTTAGCAAATAGAAAACTGCTGGAAAATGTTTCTCTTGTTCCCTGGCCCTGTTGAATTCATAACACTTAAACACCTGTGTCCATCAAATAGAACACACAGGATCACAGCTAGAGCTGTTCTTGACTTTGCAATTTCATTGACTGACAGTTTAATATCTATTTATTTTCACATCTGACACCAGTAAAGACAGGCTGGCATCATGAATGTCGAGGCATTATGCTGACAACTGTATTTTTTTTTCATCATTCGGGGGGTGGGGGTGGTAAAAGAAGGTTCAACATTCTCAAAAAAAGGTGTTCTTTTCAAGCAGTGCAGCTCCAATAAAGACCAAATTATAGTTTAGATATAATTGGCAGTAACTATTGATAGGTTACCTGTACATATTTATATAGGAACGGGTACATTCAATTTGAGATTTACTAGTAAACTAACTGTTACTGTTATACTCCAGAATGAAATGTGTAATTATACTATTTAAATAGCTGAAACAGCTGCCATTACTGTGGACTGTGTAAACAGTATTTTCCATGATAAAATTGAATGTTTAGAATATGGTCCCTTATTTTCAGCAGCTCTTGTTTAGTCTCTGAAATACAAACAAGAGGTCTAGCCTTATCCCAGTTCCATAATATCAGAATAACATTCTAGATAAGAAGCATTCACACAGCGAAAGTGAGGTGGATTTTAAAAACCTTTCTCAAGATCACAGTGTTGCTCAAAATTAACCACCAAGATAGAGAACATAACATTCACATTAGGCTTCCTGCAAAATACATTTAGTTTCCATATGCTGAAGCAGATCAGCAGAAAAGTCGTTTGTCTCTCATTTACACCCACTATCTTAACAGAAAATAATTCAATTTTACTGTACCTCTATGTATGGCTGGAGAAATATTATTATGAGGCTGAGATCACTGAACTTTTCAGTCTGCTATCCTGAGAATTTTCTCATGGCTAGAGGTAAGGTCTGATAATTCACAGAACCAGTTTCACTGTGCAACCATTAAGGAGCTGCCTTATAATCAGGCAGCATTGAATGGACTGACTTTATTGCCTTTATAGTTGAGGAATGAAGTATACTATTACATCTTACAGTTCTCCTCCCCAATGTCATTTTGCCAAGTACTCTAAGAATAAAATATGCTCTCTAAACTGGAATTTTGTTCAGAGTGCATTCATTCACAGAAATTAGGCCTGAGATTGATTGTGGATTTCTACAAAATCACATTAATTTCAGTTCTTGGCAATTACAGTATAATTAGTGTTATTGATGTAGCAGCCTCATAAATAAATATTTTGTAGCTATATGGGGGTTTTTTGTTTGTTTGTTGTTTTATTTGTTTGTTTAGGCTTCAATTGTGGCTGAAATTAGACCTGGGTGTCTAAGCTCTTTCTGTAGAGGAATCATTCAGCGAGGGGGTAAAGGGAAGAGATGAATCAGGACCCTTCCTCCAATTTAATGGGTCCATCTCAATGGCACACTCCTTCGAGCTGAATCCTGACTCTCCCTCTCTTGAGTTCTCCATCTCCCCACACCTCCTCCTCCCTACAGTCAGTTTCCCTGTTTCTATCACCATCGACCTCCACTGTCTCCAGCAAAATGATGACCAAAGATGCAATGTTCTTTTTTTTTTTTTTGGAGACAGAGTCTTACTCTGTCGCCCAGGCTGGAGTGCAGTGGCACGATCTCCGCTCACTGCAAGCTCCGCCTCTCGGGTTCATGCCATTCTCCTGCCTCAGCCTCCCGAGTAGCTGGGACTACAGGCGCCTGCCATCACACCCAGCTAATTTTTTGTATTTTTAGTAGAGATGGGGTTTCACCATGTTAGCCAAGATGGTCTGGATCTCCTGACCTCGTGATCCGCCCGCCTCGGCCTCCCAAAGTGCTGGGATTACAGGCGTGAGCCACCGCGCCCGGCCCCAAGATGCAATGTTCTTAAGCCTTTCCTCCAATGATTCTAGTCATTTCCTATACGTGCTTTTGTTGTACGTCACCTCTTCTATTTTGCAAATCAAACTCTCTTAATTTGCCAGGTACACTATATTTGGAATTAGAAGCTCTGAGCTTGAATCCAGGCTCTATCACTCATGTACATGTCGTTGAGCAAATATTCATTTATTCTAAAATGAGGATGGGCCGCGTGCCGTGGCTCACGCCTTGTAATCTCAGCACTTTGGGAGGCTGAGGATGGTGGATGGCTTGTGCCCAGGAGTTTGAGACCAGCCTGTGCAACATGGCAAAACCCCATCTCTACAAAAAATAAAAGAATAGCCAGGCACAGTGGTGTGCACCTGTAGACCCAGCTACTCAGGAGGCTGAACTGGGAGGATCGCTTGAGCCTGGGAGGTCAAGGCCACAATGAGCTAAGATCACACCACTGTACTTCAGCCTGAGTGACAGAGTGAGACCCTGTCTCAAAAATTAAGTTAAATTAAATTAAAATTAAATAAAATGAGGATAATGCTAGTTTTTCCATTAGCCAAAGCTTTATTGAACAACTACTGTGTTCCAGGCATGATTTTAGGAACTACAGTCAGAGCAACGAAAATAGAATCTCTCAAGGCTCCTCCCTCCTGGGTCTTACATTTTGTAATTACCTACCCTTAAAGGATTTAATAGAAAATATGTGTGAAAACTTGTTATAAACTACAACATGTATCTATAATGTATTTTATACCATTAATAAATCAGAAAACACTTGATTTTAGTTTTGTCTTACCTATTCCAGAAATAATCAACTTGCCATCTTTCAAAGCCTAGCTTTCTAAAGTTGGTGAAAAGAGGTAAAGAAAATAGAAAATATTTGCGAGAGAGAGAGATCATGTAGTAGTGTCTTCATTTATAAATTGATAGAAATTTAATCTATGAATACTCAATTGTTGGATTTTTCTAGAAGGTATGTTTTTAATCTATGTATTTATAGTTTTCAACATTAGCTTTAAAGGAAACAACTCGAAACACTAAATTTCTGTAGTCACTAAATGCAATTCAAGATATTTTTATATATTAAACTGAAAGGTATCGTTTTTTTTTTGTTTTTTTTGTTTTTTTTTTTTTTGAGGCAGAGTCTCTCTCTGTCCGCCAGGCTGGAGTGCAGTGGCGCCATCTTGGCTCACTGAAAGCTCCACCTCCCAGGTTCACGCCATTTTCCTGCCTCAGCCTCCCAGGTAGCTGGGACTACAGGTGCCTGCCACCAAACCCAGCTAATTTTTTTGTATTTTTTTAGTAGAGACGGGGTTTCACCGTGTTAGCCAGGATGGTCTCGATCTCTACTACTTTTGCCCAAGTAGTGAACATAGTAACCAATAGGTATTTTTTCAAGCCTTTCTCCCCTCTCTCACTCCCCACTTTTGGGATCCCCAGTGTCTATTGTTTCCATCTTTATGTACATGTTTACCCAATGTTTTGCTCCCACTTATAAGTGAGGACATGCAGTAGTATTTGGTTTTCTGTTTCTGCATTAGTTTGCTTAGGGCAATGGCCTCCAGCTGCATTCATGTTAACTGCAAAGAATATTATTTCATTCTTTTCCATGGTTGTGTAGTGTTCCATGGTGTGTATGTACCACGTTTTCTTTTCTTTTCTTTTCTTTTTTTTTTTTTTTTGAGATGGAGTTTTGCTCTTGTCGCCCAGGCTGGAGTGCAATGGCTTGATCTCTGCTCACTGCAACCTCTGCCTCCTGGGTTCAAGGGATTCTCCTGCCGCCACCTCCTGAGTAGCTGGGATTACAGGTGCCCGCCACCACACCCGGCTAATTTTTGTATTTTTAGTAGAGACAGGGTTTCACCATGTTGGCCAGGCTGGTTTGGAACTCCTGACCTCAGGCCACCCGCCTTGGCCTCCCAAAGTGCTGGGATTACAGGCGTGAGCCACCGCGCCCAGCCGAAAGGTATTCTTGATATATTTTTCCAGTTGTCTGAGAATATATATAACTTTAAGGTAAAGGGTAGTTTTTGATTTTCAGACAAATTTAATGGTGCATTTTTATAAATAAATAGGAAGAAACGGACTTTTACAAACGTAATTCTCTCCTGACTTCATCTTACATATACCCCCAAAAAACCCAAGATGATGAACAATTTTAATCTAATTTTGAATATGAGAAATTCTTGAATATGAGAAAACAACACATTCCATATATTTAAAAAATTAAGTAGATAAGTAACATTTTAAACCCTGTGGGGAAAATTCTTGCTTTTATTGAATGGCAGAGAACAGTCACGTATTTTATCAGTGACATGAAGTAATCAAAAACCAGCCCCACCACTGCTGTCTGCTCTCAGTGAATGGCAGCTGCTCCTGTTCCTTCCTGCAGGCAGTTTCCCAAACTTGCTCCCTCAGGTCACACTCTTGGGCCTCTAAGAGCCCTGAGCCCCGATGTGGTGCTGCCCCCGGGGCCAGCCTGACTCACCAGAGGGTGCCCTTGGTTAGAATGGAGAGACAAATGAGACTGTCACATGATCATAACGTCATTGTTTGTATCCCCATAAAAAGAAGAACAGAGTTTTAAGGGCTAATAAAATGTTCCATTGTAATGTCATCCTTAATAGCAATGCTATTTTGCTGAAGAGAGATAAGCAAATGGAATAGAAAATGATGTAAAGCCAAAAAGCAGGTGCTGTATTTGGGCACTCGGAAATACTACTGGGAAATATTTACTAACTTTCAACAATTTCTTAAAAGGGCTACTACAAAGGGATGAAAGCTTGTAGAGTTTCTCACATAACTCTTTCTGCCACAATCAATGTCCAATATAAGCCATATAAGAGACAAAACTCAAACAGCAGCAAAAATTAATGAAAGGACCACCTCAGCATATGTTCTATGTGAAAAACCCACATTGCCCTTTTAATCAATAAGTCAGTAGAAATACACTCAAGGCATTCGTAAATTACCACCTCTGGTTTTAATTTGAAGGATGGAAAAGTAGCCACCAGGATTATCATTTTTTAAGTGACAACAATCACTAGGTCATATTTATTTAAGAGTATTTTATTTGTCTATATAAATATGAGTTAGTACTGTAATAATAAAACAACAGTATTTTTTCATTTATGAAGCATGTAAATGTCCAATGTACTTTTACTCATATGATATACTACATTCTGATGTAATATAACATAACATACTATGAAACTAGCAGTCTAATAATTAATACGTTAAACACAGCCATTTGGAATGTGGAACGTTCTGAAATATCCCTATAAATTCAAAGTGGCTGATTTGCTAATCAAATGTCTCCAGTATGATCATTCCCAGAAAAAAGATAATGAAGACACTAGTAACTCTGAAAACCTATAGGAGAGATTCATCGGCTTTTCTTCTGAGAGGCTCCAAATTATTACTATTTAGCTCTCAAAAGTAATTACCAAAACACTGTGCCTCTTAAGTATTTTTACTTGTGATATGTCTCTGATGTCTCTGAGGGTGGCTTCTGGTCTCAGGATTATGGAGTCCATTTGCGCTATTAATATGGTAGACATAGCAACGAATATTCTTTAGAACAAACAGGGTATTTGTTCTGTAATCAGCTTACAGATGACAAGTTCAAATAAAGAGGTAATCTGCTGACAGCTGAGCATCACCTTGACCTCAGTAATTTTTGGTATTAATTAAATTACATATTTAGCATGACTATCTAAAATAGTTTCTTTCTTTTCAGGCAACTTAATTAATACCATCACACTCCTTAGCTATACTGGCTGTTTGGGATCTAGCATTTCAATGCATTTCATTCATCTTCATAGTTACTTTAAAGGAATGTGAAAGGTAAGAAAGCATTTGTGTGTAATTTTGAACTTCCAACATATAGACAAGAATCTAGACTGTGGTGTGGCATCTGCTGTTGGGTGTGAAAAGGGCCTGTTAACTACATAGATGTTTCAAAGCCTCCCTCCTATAAAATATTTCACAAGGGAGAGCATTTATCTTGGCTGGGTGAGGCAGCTCATGCCTGTAATCCCAGCATTTTGGGAGGCCGAAGCTGGAGGATCACTTGAGTCCAGGAGTTCAGGACTAGCATGAGCAACATAGTGAGACTGTTTCTGAAAAAAAAAAAAAAAAAAAAAAAAACAGAAAACAAGGAACATTATATTTTGAACTGATTTAAAAAGCAGGCATTTGAGGCCGGGTGCGGTGGCTCACGCCTGTAATCCCAGCACTTTGGGAGGCCGAGGTGGACAGATCATGAGGTCAGGGGATCGAGACCATCCTGGCCAACAAGGTGAAACCCCATCTCCGCTAAAAATACAAAAATTAGCAGGGCATGGTGGCGTGCGCCTGTAATCCCAGCTACTTGGGAGGCTGAGGCAGGAGAATTGTTTGAACCTGGGAGGCGGAGGTTGCAGTGAGCTGAGATTGTGCCACTGCCCTCCAGCCTGGGTGACAGAGCGAGACTCTGTCTCAAAAAAAGAAAAGGAAAAAAAAAAAGCAGGCATTTGAAAATCATTTAAAAAGAAAACATTTAAAAGGAAGCCAGAAAGCAATGAGAATACTTGGATATACACCAATCTTTGATCCTCTCATATACTACAATCCTTAATTGTTTTTAGGTGGGCACAATGTTGCCTTCGCAGGTTATGATCTCTGGTAGGAGATGTGGGTTGTCTCTTTCTTGGACAGCCAAGTGCAGAATATATGTATGGTGGTATAAAACCAAAGGCAGTTTGCCCCTTACGAAATAAGCAAATATACTTATCAAAATTGACCATCAAAAACATTAAGTTTGCCTGAGCTAGTGTTTTCATATTTTCACCTCTAAATAATAAAGAATAAAGTTACTTTTCTGAAAAAGATAATGAGAGAACTTCAGTGATTTTACTTAAAAAAATGAATTTTTTCTCCAAATTTTCCGTTCAGGTATTAGTTGGCTGCTATAAAGGATGTGTCAGAGACTAAGCATGTCTTTCTTTGCAAATGCCAAAGGGCTGAATTTTCAATTTGAGGGTTTCCTTCCGATCGTGTTCATGTGTTATGTAGATTCTCAAAGTTGAAGAAGAAGAAAACAAAATCATAGAATCACAGAAAATAAGAGAGGTGGAAAATGTTCTGCGTCTTTTTTCCAGTTAAAAAAACTGGTCTCACATTGTTTGAATAACTCACCTGTAAGTCACCTAGAAAATTAGCAGCAGAGTCACTAAAACATTGAGACCCTGGGCATCCTGAGTGACCGATTTGTATGTTTTTCATATGTCACTCTCTTATTAGAAAAGCTGCTTTAAAATAAAGCTTTATTTTTATGTCTATTAAATTAATACAAACATATCATTTAAAATGCAAGTAGAGGCAGGTAATCATTCCCCTTGCCTCAGTTGTCCTCACACCCAGCTCTGCTTTGCAGTCTCCATATATAACCATTTCTGAGTTTCATTTTGCTGATGTTTACACACTTGCCTCATCCCTCTAAATAGAACACTCATCCTGCCATTTTTTCACTTACCTGCTTTAAACATTGTCTTTTACCTCAGGCTATGATCGATAAGACTTTAATGTACTTATACCACTCCCCACTTTCCCTCTCCTCAATTCTGTAAAATGCTTAAAACATTATTCTGTTTCTCTGCTTGCAATTTCAAATAGTATTTTTAACCTCTATTTCTTAACCCATAGCAGTAGCTCTACATTTTTTTATTTTTTTATTTGTATTTTTTTTGAGAAGGGGTCTCACTCTGTCGCCCAGGCTGGGGTGCAGTGGCACGATCTGAGCTCACTGCAAGCTCCGCCTCCTGGGTTCATGCCATTCTCCTGCCTCAGCCTCCCAATGATTCTACATTTTTAAAACAATGATATCAACCTTCCCACATTTTTCTACACCCCTCCTCCCAACTCCATTCCAAACATCTCTCACAATCTATCTTTACTTTCACAATGTCTAAGTAGATTTCATTTAGATTCTGTTTTTAACCCATAAGAAAATCTTTTGTTATTTGTCTGTGGATGGATCCTAATGAAAACCATTAATCACCATTTGTAACATTATAGCTATGTAAATATAGTTTATTTCAGAATCAAGGAGTTTGCAGCAATTATGTGTTCTTCACTACAGATTTAATGACACAACACTCTGTGTGAATTTTTCTGGAATCAAGTTGGAATGAATCCACCTTTTTTCTTTTTCTTTTTCTTTTTTTTTTTTTTTTTAGGCAGGGTTACCCTCTGTCACCCAGGCTGGAGGGCAGTGGAACAATCATGGCTCACTGTAACCTTGAACTCCTGGGCTAAAGGGATCCTTTTGTCATAGCCTCCCAAGTAGCTGGGACTACAGATGTTACACTCAACTGATTATTTATTTATTTATTTATTTTTAATTTTTTTGTAGAAACAGTGTCTCACTATGTTACCCAGACTGGTCTCAAACTCCTGAGCTCAAGTGATCCTCCTGCCTTGGCCTCCTAAAGTGCTGGCATTACCGGTGTGAGCCACCATGCCCAGCCCTGAATTCTCCTTTTCTTACACTTTTGAAATGTCTTTACTTAATCTTTTATTTACTAATTCGATGAATACTTAGTGAGCCTCTGTTATAGGTGCTAGGGTCTCAACAATTAATAAAACAAAAATCCCTGCTTTCATGGTGTTTATATTGTAGCTGGGGTACGGGAGACAAAAAAAAGTATACCATAAGTATATCAGTACTAAGTGGTGATAAGTGTTGTGAAGAAAAAGAAAACAAGGATAAGAGAATAAGAACTACGATTAAAGAGGGAGGTCAGGTAAGGCTTTCATGATAAAGTAATATTTGAAGCTAGATCTGTTGGAAGTGAAGGAAAATGTCATGTGGGTATTGATGGGAAGAGCAAAGGAAACAGCAAGTCCAGTGACCCTGAGATAACAATGTGATTTGTGTGCTCAAGAAACAGCAAGAAAGCCAGTTTGGCTGGAGAAGAATGAAGAGGGTAATAGTTGTAGGAACTGATGTCAGACATGTATCAAGAGGCTAGATCAAGTATCATCTGTGGACTTTGGGTTTCACTCTAAGTGAGATAAGAAACCATGGGAAAATTTTGAACAAATGAGTAACATAATCTGATTTATGTTCGGACAATATTGCAAAGGTTCAGGTGGGAGACTATAATGACTTTGATCAAGATAGATGCTGGATTTTTTTATGGTAGGGCCTATAAGATTTTCTGATGTATTAGAAGTGGCATGGAGGAAAAAGCAGAGAAGTTGAGGATAATTACAAAATATATGTGATTTTGGTAGAATACATAGACATGGGAAAGACTAGATAAAAAGCAGTGTTTGCTTTTAGTTGGTTTTTGTTTTGTGCTTGTGTTTCTGGGGCGATCTGCAGAGATCTGTGCTAGTTGATTTCTGCACCTTGTGTATGTTGTCATCTGAAACTTTTCTTCATTGTTTTACTAGATTGAGTTTGTTGTTTCTTACTTTCCATGGATTCTATTTTTTTTTCTTTTTTCTTTTTTTGGTTGTATTTTTGTAATTTTTGCTCCATCTATCAAGTACATTCCTAAGAATATAAGGGCTCAAATTTTCTATGTTCTTGCATGTTGAAAAATACCTTTATTTTTCTTACACACTTAAGTAATAGCTTGATCAGCTATGTGTAATTCTGGCTTAGGGAGAAGTAAACACAGTGACTCTTGTTTAATCCATTGTTATCTATTTGCTTTTGAGAAGCCTATTACCAATTTGATATTGAGAGGTGAACCCGGCTGGGCTTCTGGGTCGGCTGGGGACTTGGAGAACTTAGTTCTGTCTATATAAAGGATTGTAAATGCACCAATCAGCACTCTGTGTCTAGCTAAAGGTTTGTAAATGCACCAATCAGCACTCTGTAAAAACGGACCAATCAGCACTCTGTAAAATGGACCAATCAGCACTCTGTAAAATGGACCAATCAGCAGGACGTGGGCAAGGCCAAATAAGGGAATAAAAGCTGGCCCCCAAGCTAGCAGTGGCAACCAGCTGGGGTCCCCTTCCATGCTGTGGAAGCTTTGTTCTTTTGCTCTTTGCAATGAATCTTGCTGCTGCTCACTTTGGGTCTGCACTACCTTTATGAGCTGTAACGCTCACTGCGAAGGTCTGCGGCTTCACTCCTGAAGTCAGCAAGACCACAAACCCACCAGAAGGAAGAAACTCCAGACACATCTGAACATCTGAAGGAACGAACTCCAGACACAATCTTTTTTTTTTTTTTTTTTTTTATACCTTAAGTTTTAGGGTACATGTGCACAAGTTCAGGTTAGTTACATATGTATACATGTGCCATGCTGGTGCACTGCACCCACTAACTCATCATCTAGCATTAGGTATATCTCCCAATGCTATCCCTCCCCCCTCCCCCCACCCCACAACAGTCCCCAGAGTGTGATGTTCCCCGTCCTGTGTCCATGTGTTCTCATTGTTCAATTCCCACCTATGAGTGAGAATATGCGGTATTTGGTTTTTTGTTCTTGAGATAGTTTACTGAGAATGATGATTTCCAGTTTCATCCATGTCCCTACAAAGGACATGAACTCATCGTTTTTCATGGCTGCATAGTATTCCATGGTGTATATGTGCCACATTTTCTTAATCCAGTCTATCATTGTTGCACATTTGGGTTGGTTCCAAGTCTTTGCTATTGTGAATAGTGCCGCAATAAACATACGTGTCCATGTGTCTTTATAGCAGCATGATTTATAGTCCTTTGGGTATATACCCAGTAATGGGATGGCTGGGTCAAATGGTATTTCTAGTTCTAGATCCCTGAAGATTCGCCACACTGACTTCCACAATGGTTGAACTAGTTTACAGTCCCACCAACAGTGTAATAGTGTTCCTATTTCTCCACATCCTCTCCAGCACCTGTTGTTTCCTGACTTTTTAATGATTGCCATTCTAACTGGTGTGAGATGGTATCTCATTGTGGTTTTGATTTGCATTTCTCTGATGGCCAGTGATGGTGAGCATATTTTCATGGTTTTTGGCTGCATAAATGTCTTCTTTTGAGAATTGTCTGTTCATGTCCTTCACCCACTTTTTGATGGGGTTGTTTGTTTTTTTCTTGTAAATTTGTTTGAGTTCATTGTAGATTCTGGATATTAGCCCTTTGTCAGATGAGTAGGTTGCGAAAATTTTCTCCCATTTTGTAGGTTGCCTGTTCACTCTGATGGTAGTTTCTTTTGCTGTGCAGAAGCTCTTTAGTTTAATGAGATCCTGTTTGTCAATTTTGGCTTTTGTTGCCATTGCTTTTGGTGTTTTAGACATGAAGTCCTTGCCCATGCCTATGTCCTGAATGGTAATGCCTAGGTTTTCTTCTAGGGTTTTTATGGTTTTAGGTCTAACGTTTAAGTCTTTAATCCATCTTGAATTGATTTTTGTATAAGGTGTAAGGAAGGGATCCAGTTTCAGCTTTCTACATGTGGCTAGCCGGTTTTCCCAGCACCATTTATTAAATAGGGAATCCTTTCCCCATTGCTTGTTTTTCTCAGGTTTGTCAAAAATCAGATAGTTGTAGATATGCGGCGTTATTTCCGAGGGCTCTGTTCTGTTCCATTGATCTGTATCTCTGTTTTGGTACCAGTACCATGCTGTTTTGGTTACTGTAGCCTTGTAGTATAGTTTGAAGTCATGTAGTGTGATGCCTCCAGCTTTGTTCTTTTGGCTTAGGATTGACTTGGTGATGTGGGCTCTTTTTTGGTTCCATATGAACTTTAAAGTAGTTTTTTCCAATTCTGTGAAGAAAGTCATTGGTAGCTTGATGGGGATGGCATTGAATCTATAAATTACCTTGGGCAGTATGGCCATTTTCACGATATTGATTCTTCCTACCCATGAGCATGGAATGTTCTTCCATTTGTTTGTATCCTCTTTTATTTCATTGAGCAGTGGTTTGTAGTTGTCCTTGAAGAGGTCCTTCACGTCCCTTGTAAGTTGGATTCCTAGGTATTTTATTCTCTTTGAAGCAATTGTGAATGGGAGTTCACTCATGATTTGGCTCTCTGTTTGTCTGTTATTGGTGTATAAGAATGCTTGTGATTTTTGCACATTGATTTTGTATCCTGAGACTTTGCTGAAGTTGCTTATCAGCTTAAGGAGATTTTGGGCTGAGACAATGGGGTTTTCTAGATATACAATCATGTCATCTGCAAACAGGGACAATTTGACTTCCTCTTTTCCTAATTGAATACCCTTTATTTCTTTCTCTTGCCTGATTGCCCTGGCCAAAACTTCCAACACTATGTTGAATAGGAGTCGTGAGAGAGGGCATACCTGTCTTGTGCCAGTTTTCAAAGGGACACACCATCTTTAAGAGCTGTAACACTCACCACGAGGGTCTGCGGCTTCATTCTTGGTCAGTGAGACCAGGAGCCCACCGGAAGGAACCAATTCCAGACACAACATTATTCCTTGGTAGGTGATCTAATGGTTCCTTTTGGAAACTTTTAGAATCTCCTCTTTTTCATCATTGTTATGGAATTTCACAATGATGTGCTTGAGTGTAGGTCTTTCCACAGGGATTGTGCTGAGTAGTCAGTGTGTCCTTCTATGCTGAAAGCTCGTGGAAGTTTCCCTGTATTCTTGATAATTTTTTGTCCACCAATTACTCCATTCTCTCTGCAACTTCCGTTAATTGGATTGCTAAGCATATTACATTGATCTTCTATGTCTTTTATGTTTTCACACATGTTTTATACCTCTTTTTTCCCATTCTATTTTCTGGGACAGTGGCATGTATTAAAATCCCAACACTTTCTTTGAATTTTGTATTTCAGTGTCATAATTTTGTTTCATAAGAGACCTCTCATTCTTCATTTTTTCACCGACCATTTCATACCTTTTTAGAGAATTTATCAATTTCTTTTTAAATCTCTTTGAGTTCTAATTACAAAGATTATTTTGGGAAAGTTTTATTATCTTTTCTCCCGGAGGCTTTTTTTGTAGGTGTTTATTTTTGTCTTTCACTTTCATGCAACTTGATCTCCTAAAATAATGATCTTTGACTTCATACTGAACAGTGAGATTTTTAAATGCTACTTAAGAGCATGATGCACATGGTCAGGGTCTGATGACTGCCTGGCCCTCAAGTACCCTAGGAATTCCAAGTGCCAGGGCTTTTCTCTAGGATTCTAATGTTCACCTTAGCCATACTAGTTCTTCTTAAATACATCATGTAATTTCTTCTCAGAAGAAACCTTCAGTCTTTTCCTTGGGCAAAACATCTAGCTATACCAGGCATTCCATGCATGGACATGGTGCTGGTGATTTCAAATGTTCTGTAGAAAGGCTTTTAATTAACCCACTGCTTTCTTGTTTCTTTCCCCTTCATAACTGGTCTTTCTGATTCTGGGCTCTTTGGGGATTTGTAGGGCAAGTAGGCCCCTCTCTGGACCAGTTGTCTCTCCTGTTATCATTTCTTCAACAGCTTTTTTTCTCCCAGAAATTGTGTTTTAGGCATTGCTCACCTGAGAATCTCTTTACAAATTTCAATGTCTATTATATCTTTTTCTATCATTTAATGAGATTTAACAAGAAAGAGCGACAGGAAGGAGAGGAAAAACTTGTGATAAATCCATCTCCTTGAACAAAAAGCTTTTGAAAATGCATTCTAATCCTAGGTGTCTCTCCCCAGAACACTCTCCCTTAAATAGTAGGCACTATAGACTACATAACTATTAAAGATAAATAAGTATAGGACTCAGCCAGTCATCTAGGATGTACTTCTTAAATGCATATAAACATTTCCATAAAAAGACTAATCTACCCACTAATCCCAATCAGCCACCCACTGCAAAGTGATGGAATAAAATGACAGGTATTTAATGCCACTAAAATAGCTAATCCTACAGTGTCTTGTTGGATAATGCTCTGCTCAAAGTAATTCTGATTATGCCTGTTGTTATTATGCTGTTAACACTACTAAATTTAATATCAATACCCACAGAGAGGCTATGGTTATTTTTCACGGAAACGCCATGGTTCCAATTTGTACCAATTGGATATTAAATAACTCACAAAAATAACTCATAACAAAGGACAGGAAGAAATAATTTAGGTGTGATAAATTGGATAGTATGTTACAATGAAAACTAAAAGCAATTGAATAAGTTTAGTATTTATGAAGGAAAGCTGTGTCTTTGAATTCAACAAGTTTGACTAAATTTAGTTAAAAAAAAAAAAAAAACAGAGGTAGAGACAAGGCAATGGGAATAAAACTAAGCACATTTCTAGTTGTCTGTCTCCAAATAGAAAGATTTGACTAAAGTAACTCTTTTCCAGCAGTTGTTTGTGTATCTAAAAATAATCTTACCTTAAAGGAGGCCTCCATCTATGGTTGATCTGTAGGAAGCCCTGGGGGTAAAGAGAAGACTTTTACTTAAGGAAAAGCTAGCCTGAAAATCGCCTCAAGGCAAAAACCATGATACACTTCTCTTCCATCCCTTAGATAAGCAAAAAGCAGAGCTTCCCACTGATACAAATCAGCCCGCAACTTGGCTCTCATTAGCTCTAAGTCTATGGAAATCTTCAGAATCTTGGATCACCCTACCGAGCTCATTAAGTGTTTAAAATTAGGCATTCTTTTCATGAGAAGCAACAGCAGTTCTTCCTGTAGCACAGATATATATATATATATGGACCCCCGAGGCTTTGTTAGGTTAACAAAATGCGTTAAAAGTGTTCACTAGGCCTTCTTGGTACTTGTTAGCCCAGATTTCATACACAGCACTGAAATAGAGCAGTGATTGGTGTACCTAAATCCATTTAGATTCTAGAGACTAGATGTCTGGTCTTTTTAAAATATACTTTTAATTCTAAATCTACTTGTTTACTTTCTGTTTTTGAAAATATTTGGGGGGAAGGGCATTTGGTTATCAATGTCAAACATGCTAAAACCATGTTAAAAAAAATTTTTCCAAGAAGTCAGGGATTCAAGAACACAATTCAGATTGAATTCTACTTTATAACAAGACCTAGATTATTCAACTTCCATGAGCCCAGAAAATAAAATTGCCTGGCTCTCTTTGATATAATTATAGCCACAAAGTGTCCAAAGTCTTTTTATTTATGTCAAATTAAAGCAGATATTCATGGCCCTGAAGCTCACTGAAATGTTTCTATTTAATGTGTTCCATGACTTGTGAGGTTCTGGGAAGCAAAGGGGGCAACTGGGGAGGTAGGTTGCATTCATGTGTAGTAAAAAGTCATTCTAAAGAAAAAATCTAGCTGGCAGACCCACAGCTCTGAATCATAGGTCAACCAGCATCTGCAACCCAATAACTCTCCACTGCTTTGCTCCCACTATTTCCCAACTTATCAGGACAACATAGGAATGCAGTTCTTATTATAAAACAGTGCTGTGGGACATAAAATCTCAGCCTGCTGCCCCATTACCTCATGCCATACAGGTGTAAATCTTGAAGAGGGCATAAAGTACAACTTGCCTTCAGCATGGAAAAGAAGCAATTACTTAGCTGTTAAGAAAAATCCTAATATCATTATCAGATGACTGCAATTACCACCTGATATCTGGCTATTATTTTAAATGGATTTAAAATACATTTTAAAATCTCAAATTCAAATCATATGGAAATAACATAAGTTATCATAAAGGTGTTTTGAGATAATTCTAAATGTCAATTTAGCATATTTTCATATATTGGTTGTCTAAAATGAATGAATAGCTTCTTTTATGAGGTAAATGTCATTTGGTCAAATGAAAAGGACAATCACATTTAAAGGTCAGTTAATATAGTGAGGTAGTTGTAGTTACTAGTGTTAAAAATCTCACTATATTATCTTTAAACAAGAGTACCCCACTATTTTGAGTATAACAAAATTATGTACAGTGGCTTGACTGCTTATCTTCTTTGTTCCCGTTTTTGCTACCATGTTGATCTTCTAGTATTTCTCTTTTAGCTCAAACCATTTTTTTTTTCAGTGGATCTCACTAGATCATTGCCTCTATTTTTGATACAGTAAGGCCTAACACCACATATATTTCAAAGGCATCTTTTGTGTGTGTGTGTGTGTGTGTGTGTGTGTGTGTGTGTAATTTGAAAGAACTAAATTACTTACTTGTCAAAAAATAAGAATTTTTTAGAGTCAGGGACTAAGTTTCTAAGAAGAAGCCACAGAGAATCTGAAAATTCAGACCTATGCACCCATTCCTAAGAGTAAATTTCTCAAGCCATGTCCTGCGTGGTATGGGGGCCAAGGCCCTCAGTCCCCTAAAGGTTTGCTGAAAACTCACTGAAAGAATGGGGGGCTTAGATCCTGGCAAAACAGGTTATGGGAGAAAGAAAGGTAGACGAATTCTCTTGAGGGCAATAACGAATTACTAGAGAGAATGAATGGCTCAGGGAACAATTGATTAACTTGTAAATAGTTATCACTGATAGTGAAACTGATAGTTTGTTGAGATGTGGTTACATTCTTGGTCTTACAGGGAGAGGAAGAAAAAAACAATTGTTCTCCTTGGTGCATCTGGATCTTAGTTAGAGTAGAGCCTGTGCGTTGGGAGATATGATGGTGGCTGGGCAGGGAGATCAGAGAGACCTTGAAGCTTCTTCAGTTCAGCATGTCAAAATACCATGTTTTGGAGTATTGGTTTCTGACCTCCAGCACTGGAAACCCCATAACAACCATTTAACTGAGGAGTTTCTTGCTCACAAAACAATATGTTACTGCAATAAGAATCAATTTGTCTTTTCTCCCCACTGTTCTCTTTGTCTGTGTGTGTGTGTGTGTGCACGTGTGTGTGTGTTTCAGACAGAGTCTTGCTGTGTCTCCCGGGCTGAAATGTAGTGGCACGAACTTGGCTCATTGCAAACTCCACCACTTGGACTCAAGGGATTCTCCCACCTCAGCCTCCTGAGCAGCTGGGACTATGAATGTATCCACCACACCTGGCTATTATTTGTATTTTTTTGTAGAGGTAGAGTTTTGCCATGTTGTCCAGGCAGGTCTTGAACTTCTGGTCTTAAGCAATCCTCCTGCCTCAGCCTCTCAAAGTGCTGGGATTATAGGCACGAGCCACCACATTCAGCAGTCACTGTACTCTTAATACATGTGCAAGCATGTGCACGCACACACACACATGCAAACATAGCCTGGGCTACTTGACTCACTGTTATTCTCAACTGGCTACAAAACAACTGTGTGTGGATATTAAATTGTCTCTTTTGAAAAAAAATTTTCAATAATTCTAGTTTTTAAACTGGAATAAAAAATAATTATTTTCTACCTATTTTTACAACTAAAACTGAGAGCTGAAGCCAGCTGGACTTCCTGGGTCGAGTGGGGACTTGGAAAACTTTTCTGTTTAGCTAAAGGTTTGTAAATGCACCAATCAGCACTCTGTGTCTAGCTAAAGGTTTGTAAATGCACCAATCAGCACTCTGTAAAAACGCACCAATCAGTACTGTGTCTAGCTAAATGTTTGTAAACACACCAATCAGCCCTCTGTAAAAACGCACCAATCAGCACTCTGTAAAATGGACCAATCAGCAGGATGTGGGTGGGGCCAAATAAGGGAATAAAAGCTGGCCACCCCAGCCAGCAGCAGCAACCCTCTTGGGTCCCCTTCCGTGCTGTAGAAGCTTTGTTCTTTCTCTCTTCCCAATAAATCTTGCTGCTGCTGACTCTTTGGGTCCACACTACCTTTATGAGCTGTAACACTCACCACAAGGGTCTGTGGCTTCATTTCTGAAGTCAGTGAGACCACGAACCCACCAGGAGGAACAAACAACTCCGGACACACCACCTTTAAGAGCTGTAACACTTACTGAGAAGGTCTGAGGCTTCACTCCTGAAGTCAGCGAGACCATGAACCCACCGGAAGGAAGAAACTACGAACACATCTGAACATCTGAAGGAACAAACTCCAGACACACTATCTTTAAAAACTGTAACACTCACTGTGAGGGTCCACGGCTTCATTCTTGAAGTCAGCAAGACCAAGAACCCACTGGAAGGAACCAATTTTGGACACATTTTGGCGACCGCAAAGGGACAATCACCAAGTGGTGAGTACCATCGGACCCCTTTCACTTGCTATTCTGTCCTATTTTTCCTTAGAATTCAGGGGCTAAATACTGGGCACCTGTTGGCCAGTTAAAAGCAACTAGTGTGGCTGCCGGACTAAAGACATTGGTGTCAGGCTTTCTGGGAAAGGACTCTCTAACAACCCCCGACTCTTCGGAGTTGGGAGCATTGGTTTGCCTGGAGCCAGCTTCCGCTTTTCCTGTACTTCTGGGCTGAGCTGAGGGTTGACAGAGAGGAAAGCCATTCAGCTCCGGGGTCCCAACAAGTTGGTTGATCCTGTGGCCATGAGCGGAAGTCTCAAAGTCACATTGCCCAAGTAAGACTTACCCATCTATCCTACCTATCCTGACGTTACCTCCTGGGTCCTAATGCTTGTCAGACAAACTTCCTCTCACCTCTCTTCTCCGAGGCTAGTCCGGCTTCTGAAAACCACTCCCTGTCTCTGGTGCCTTTCTAGTTTGTCCTATAAGAATGATTTCTAGTATAAACTCCAGGACTCTGTTACCTGCTTTAGGCACCTGGGCTCACCAATCAGAAAGACATAATTTTTGCCCAAAGCCCAGTCATAGTGGGGACTATCTAGAATTTTACGATCCCTCCTCAGACAAGCAGGCCTAACAAAAGCTATTCCTGAAGCTAGGATATGGGGAGCCTCAGAATTTGTATCCTTCCTATTCATATAAGTGAGGACAAAAGGCATCACTCTTCCAACTCTGGAGATCCCTTCCCTCCCCCAGGGTATGGCCCTCCACTTCATTTTTGGGGTATAACATCTTTATAGGACACAAGTAAAGTCCCAATACTAACAGGAGAATGCTTAGGACTCTAACAGATTTTCGAGAATGCATCAGTAAGGGCCACTAAATACGATTTTTCTCAGTCCTCCTTGTGGTCTAGGAGGACAGGCAAGGGTGCAGGTTTTCGAGAATGTGTCGGTAAGGGCCACTAAATCTGATCTTCCTCAGTCCTCCTTGTGGTCTAGAAGGAAAACTAGTGTTTCTGCTGCTGTGTTGGTGAGCACAACTATTCCGATCAGCAGGGTCCAGGGACCGTTGTGAGTTCTTGGGCAAGAGGTGTTTCTGCTGCTGCTTTGGTGAGCGCAACTGTTCCTATCAGCAGGGTCCATGGACTGTTGAGGGTTCTTGGGCAGGGTGAGAAACAGACAAACCAAAACCATAGGTGGTTTTTTTACCTTTCAGATGGGAAACACTCAGGCATCAACAGGCTCACCCTTGAAATGCATCCTAAGCCATTGGGACCAATTTGACCTGCAAACCCTGAAAAAGAGGTGGCTCATTTTTTCCTGCACTATGGCCTGGCCCCAATATTCTCTCTCTGACGGGGAAAAATGACCCCCTGAGGGAAGTATAAATTACAATACTATCCTGCAGCTTGACTTTTTCTGTAAGAGGGAAGGCAAATGGAGTCAAATACCTTATGTCCAAACTTTCTTTTCATTGAAGGAGAATACACAACTATGCAAAGCTTGCAATTTACATCCCACAGGAGGACCTCTCAGCTTACCCCCATATCCTAGCCTCCCTATAGCTCCCCTTCCTATTAATGATAAGCCTCTTCTAATCTCCCTTGCCCAGAAGGAAATAAGCAAAGAAATCTCCAAAGGACCACAACAATCCCCTGGCTATAGTTATGTTCCCTTCAAGCTGTAGGGGGAGGGGAATTTGGCCCAACCGGGGAATATGTCCCTTTCTCCCTCTCTGATGTAAAGCAGATCAAGGAAGACCTGGGGAAGTTTTCAGATGATCCTGATAGGTACATAGATGTCCTACAGGGTCTAGGGCAAACCTTCAATCTCACTTGGAGAGATGTCATGCTATTGTTAGATGAAACCCTGGCCTTTAATGAAAAGAATGCAGCTTTAGCTGCAGCCTGAGAGTTTGGAGATAGCTGGTATCTTAGTCAAGTAAATGATAGAATGACAGCCAAAGAAAGGGAAAAATTCCCTACCGGCCAGCAAGCTGTCTCCAGTATAGGATCCCCACTGGGACCTCAACTCAGATCAGGGCCACTGCAGTCAAAACACAGGTTGACCTGTTTTCTAGAAAGACTAAGGAGAATTAGGAAAAAGCCCATGAATTATTCAATGATGTCCACCATAACTCAGGGAAAGGAAGAAAATCCTTCTGCCTTCCTTGAGCAGCTATAGGAGGCCTTAAGAAAATATACTCCCCTGTCACCCGGCTCACTCAAGGTTCAATTGATCCTAAAAGATAAGTTTATTACCCAATCAGCTGCAGATATCAGGAGAAAGCTCCAAAAACGAGCCCTAGGCCCTGAACAAAATCTGGAGGAATTATTAAACCTGGCAACCTCGGTGTTCTATAATAAGGACCAAGAGGAACAGGCCCAAAAGGAAAAGCAACATCAGAGAAAGGCTGCAGCCTTAGTCATGGCCCTCAGACAAACAAACCTTGGTGGTTCAGAGATGACAGAAAATGGAGCCGGCCAATCACCCAGTAGGGCTTTTTATCAGTGTGGTTTGCAAGGACACTTTAAAAAAGATTGTCCAATGAGAAACAAGCCACCCCCCAGTCCATGTCCACTATGCCGAGGCAATCCCTGGAAGGCACACTGCCCCAGAGTGCAATGGTTCTCTGGGCCAGAAGCCCCCAACCAGATGATCCAACAACAGGACTGAGGATGCCCAGGGCAAGTGCCAGCTCATGTTGTCACCTTCACTGAGCCCTGGGTACGTTTAACCACTGAGGGCCAGGAAATTGACTTCCTCCTGGACATTGGCACGGCCTTCTCAGTGTTAATCTCCTGTCCTGGACGACTGTCCTCGAGGTCCATTACCATCCGAGGAATCCTGGGACAGCCTGTAACCAGGTATTTTTCTCACCTCCTCAATTGTAAATGGGAGACTCTGCTACAGATAGTAAGTATGCTTATCTAATCCTACATGCCCATGCTGCAATATGGAAAAAAAAAGGAGTTTCTAACTTCTGGGTGATCCCCCATTGAATATCACAAGGAAACCATGGAGTTATTGCATGCAGTGCAAAATCCCAAAGAGGTGGCAGTCTTACACTGCCAAAGCCATCAAAAAGGGAAGGAGAGCAGAGAACAGCAGCATAAGCGGCTGGCAGAGGCAGGGAAAGACCAGCAGAAAGGAAAGAGAGAAAGAGACAGAAAGTCAGAGAGAGGGAGAGAGAGAGGAAGAGACAGAGAAGGAGAAAGTCAAAGAAGGAAAGAAAGGAAGAGACAGACAAAGGGAGTCAGAGAGAAAGAGGAAGAGACAGAGACAAAGAGGGAGTCAGACACAGAGAGAGAGAGAGAAAGAAGTCAAAGAGAAAAAAAGAGAAATGGAAGTAGTAAAGAAAAAACAGTGTACCCTATTCCTTTAAAAGCCAGTGTAAATTTAAAACCTATAATTGATAATTGAAGGTCTTCTCTGTAATCCTATAATACTCCAATACCACCTTGTTGTCAGTGTAAACAAGGGCGTGGCCTGAAAGCACTGAGGCCACTGACAACCCATAGCCTTCCTACAAAAATCCTTAACTGAGCAGGTTTCCTTACAGGGGACCTAAATCTTAATTAATTACCATGCAAAGGTCTGACCAGACCTAGGAGGAACTCCCTTAAGGACAAGAAGATAGATGGTTCCTCCCCTGCGATTAAGGGAAAAAGACACAATGGGTATTCAGTAAATGATAAGGAAACCCTTGTAGAAGCAGAGTTAGGAAAATTGCCTAATAATTGGTCTTCTCAAATGTGCAAGCTCTTTGCACTCAGCCAAACCTTAAAGTACTTATAGAATCAGGAAGGAGCCATCTATACCAATTCTAAGTTAATATGGACTGAACGAGGTTTTATTACTAGCAAAGAAAAATTAAAATCCCAAACTTTCAAGGTTTTCAGCAAAAGTAACATTTGCTAAAAAAGTTAACAGTGTATTATCTTACTACCACACACTCTCAAAAGATTTCTCAGTTTGCAAGAAATAACAAAATCTATCCTTACTCTACAATCCCAAATAGACTCTTTGGTAGCAGTGACTCTCCAAAACCACTGAGGCCTAGACCTCCTCACTGCTGAGAAAGAGGACTCTGCCCCTTCTTAGAGGAAGAGTGTTGTTTTTACACTAACCAGTCAGGGATAGTACAAGATGCTGCCTGGCATTTACAGGAAAAGGCTTCTGAAATCAGACAACGCCTTTCAAATTATTATACCAACTCCTGGAGTTGGGAAACATGGCTTCTCCGCTTTTTAGGTCCTGTAACAGCCATCTTACTATTACTTGCCTTTGGGCCCTGTATTTTTAACCTCCTTGTCAAAATTGTTTCCTCTAGGATCGAGGCCATCAAGCTACAGATGGTCTTACAAATGGAACCCCAAATGAGCTTAACTAAGAACTTCTACCAAGGACCCCTGGACCAACCCACTGGCCTAAAGAGTTCCCCTCTGGTGGACACTACAACTGCAGGGCCCCTTCTTTGCACCTATCCAGCAGGAAGTAGCTAGAGTGGTCATTGCCCAATTCCCAACAGCAGTTGGGGTGTCCTGTTTAGAGGGGGGATTGAGAGGTGAAGCCAGTTGGACTTTCTGGGTTGAGTGGGGACTTGGAGAACTTTTCTGTCTAGCTAAAGCTTTGTAAACGCACCAATCAGCACTCTGTGAAAATGCACCAATCAGCACTCTGTGTCTAGCTAAAGGTCTGTAAATGCACCAGTCAGCACTCTGTAAAAATGCACCAATCAGCATTCTGTGTCTAGCTAAAGGTTTGTAAATGCATCAATCAGCACTCTGTAAAAAGGCAGCAATCAGCGCTCTGTGTCTAGCTAAATGTTTGTAAATGCACCAATCAGCACTCTGTAAAAATGGACCAATCAGCACTCTGTAAAATAGACCAATCAGCAGGACGTGGGCAGGGCCTAATATGGGAATAAAAGCTGGCCACCTGAGCCAGCAACGGCAACCCACTTGGGTCCCCTTCCATGCTGTGGAAGCTTTGTTCTTTTGAGTTACCTAGACCTCATTTATGCCATGGATACTTGCATGACCTTTATCCATGAAATGGGAGTCTTGGTTTAATTGACAAGAATTAGTCATGTTCACCTATGCTGCACCTTTTAACTTCCATTATTGTCTGCCTCTGGATCCCTCAGATCCAGATTTCTTTCCTAGGGATTTGACCTGAAGCTTGGAATTGAGTTTGGGACAAAAATGTGTCTCCAGCAGGGGTGAGGGTGGGTTGTTGCATGGATTCCTTATCATAAGCCAAATGCTAAGGTGAAGCTGGAAAATTTAGTCCTCCTCCAACAAGGGAGATAAAAGGATGTCTTGTGACATGCCCAGATAACTGGTGGCTATAGTTGCTAAGCTATGCTAAGATTTGGGTGTATGGGGCTTGGCTTTGATTAGCTCCCTTGGTCTTATTTTTCCAAAAAGGAAACCTCTGGGTGATGGGCACCCAACTTATTCTCATCACCCAGCAGGATTTGCAGGATAATTGCTCAGAAATAGAGTGTTCATCCAGATTTTTACATGCCCATCCCCTTTTGTCCCTGCTGAGCTGCAATTGGAGATCACTGGTTGGTTCATAGAATAAGCAGAGTTAGTCTAAAATACAGGCAAAAGCTTAAAAAAAATAATGAGTCTAGAACTTAATGAGAAATGTATAATACATTTTGAAACATAATTTCTCTCTCTCCAGTCCTCATTTTTTATTAAAAACAAATCATGATAAGACTGCGATGTTTGCAAAATAGACTTTAGTCTTATACTTGGCCTGATTATTTGCATAAAGTGCAGCAAGAATAATTATTTTTAAATAGGCCTTTTAGATTGGCTTTGATGGGACTCTGTTCCACAAGGAATCTCAGGACTTTCCAAAGCTAAGTGCAGCCACTGGTTTGTACCCTTGAATACCTGTGAATTGGGTAAGTACTTCTATTCTTGAGGTCTCAAAGCATGGGCTTCCTCGGCCTGTTAGAAAGTGACATTCTTTACTTACCACCAGTTAAGAACCCTGTACAGGGACTATGTAGACAAAGTATGAAGCCAGTTTTCCCAAGTGGTTTTTATCAACTCTGCAAGTTGAGCTTGACTCCTTTAAGGGAAGTATACCCAGCCAGTCAAAGCCTTGATAAAACAACCAGTTTCTTCAATTGAATCATGTTGCAAAATAAAATGGATTCTTATTGCACTGATGCAAACAACTATATTGCCATCAGTTAAGGATACTCACAACTAGTTTCCAAATTCTGGGGAAGCCAAGCAGAGAAAGAGAGAGGGATGAATATGCTCAAAATTTTGTTCACAGAAGTATATCTCAATTAATAAAGGCCATAAGTAGCTTAAAATAAGTTTCACTGACTCTGAAAAACAAAACAAAGATCAGCAATGTTCTAAGCAAAAGTCAAAATAATTACTTGTTTTCTATTAGTTCAATCCATTCATTTAACTCTTCTTTTGCTTGATATTCATAAACATTTCTGCTTTTCATGAGTCCTGTATGTTTTTCCTTTATACCAATGTCACAATCTCCAAAGCTATCAGAAACCTGCATTTGAGAACGTCTATCAAAATTCTATAGCTGATTATATATCATCTTTGGAAGAGGATCAAAACAAGACAACAATTTTCTGTGAATAACAAAATGTCTAGGGCAGTTACAGTCAGAAACACAACTGATAAAGAAATTTGCTATCTCTGTGGTTTACAATAACTTAAAATAACAACCTTAATTGTGATTGATAGCATATACTCAGACATTAGAATTTTAGAAACCCCATACAATTTTGCAACATATATTCATATTATTCCCTAAAATATAACCTGAAGAAGATTAAACATCATTTTGGCAGTCCTATGTACCTAAACATGTCAAATAATCCTGTTTAATCTCTCTTCTGGGTGCTCCAGAGGTCCTCTGTAGCTTCCAAAAGCTAGGCATCAGCAAAGACAATTTTTGAAACTGAAGTTTGCTTTGGGGAAGCCTGTTAAATATGTTAGATGTTTAAAACACTTGATGTTATGAAATACAATTCCAGATTTCCGTAAGTTATTTGTTTTGCCAAAATGATGACTCAAAAATTTTTAAAAAAAGCAAAAACCTTTCCTAACCCTTTACAAATTTTGCTAAAGAGCAGATTAGTGCCTTAGAGTACTTTGTTCCACTTTTATTTCAATGCTTAATTTACAGAAAAGCCATATAATACCCTTTTGAATGTAGTCAATATGTTTACACATGGAATTTCTTTTGCAAGATTAATTTTTACAGTCCTTCCATAACTTGTTTGAACTTTTAGCTTTATCTTACCTAATTCAAAACAATCCTTTAATCCTAGGCAAAAATTTACATTTTGACATCTGCATTTTACCAGTGATCTTTAAGGCTGTTTTTATTTCTCAAAAATTAAAGTCATGTGAACTAAAAGGTACCAGAGCTTTTATTTTTCCTTTAAAAATATTTGATACAAGTCTTTATCCTTCTTTAAGTCAATTAGAGCTCTTTTTTGTAGACCTCACACACATACAACACATATATAATTACACAGACAGACAGAAGATTTTTTGTTTGCCAGTCTTCCAGTTGGATTATTGGTCTCCTGGTGTATAGCCCTTAAGGCCAAGGCTAGGAAAGCATGCAGTTTCTAAGTCCTAATTAATAGGTATTGCTGGAAGACAAAAACAGATTTTGAGAGGGATCCATCCACCTCTAATTCCTGGGGCTCCATGAGGAAAACAGAGGTCTCTCCCAAAATGGCATCCATGGCACCTTCTCTGTTTTTCCTAAGGAGTCCCAGGCCATCAGAAAATATCTCCTATATGCATTAAGAGTGGCAATGCAAAATAGAGAAAAATAATTCAGTCAACTGAGAAGAAAATCTTTTTCCATGAAAACAAAATCTAGGAAGAGAAAAAAACAAAGGCTTTTTAAATATACCCATAATTTGGATACCTGCTTTTAATTAAGCTGAGTGCTCTTTAAGAAAATTCTTTTAAATCCCTTATTACCTGACTTTAGCCATGCCAAGTGGCCAATATTTCTGGCTTTTGAACTTTACAAAAGGTAACCTCTCAAGTGCTCAGAGAAAGGAAAAGTCAAGGTGGTTCTTGGAGGGGAAGATAATCAACAAATGGCAATGGTCATACAGATATCAAACCAGAAAGGACTTATTCCATAAGCCAGGATTGAACCTAGGCTGCCATTGTAAAATGGAGGCTAAAACAAAGCACTGCCACGTGGTTACAGGTCATGCTTCCAAGGATGTAAAATGAGATGGAGGCCTGCGGCAAAATTTTCCACCTACCAGTTTGCTGGGCTGGCTCAAACAGTGGGCTTATGGAGTCCTAGGCCTGCATCTCATCCTAAGATCCTCCTCTTTCTGACAGAACTGTACAGAGAGACATGCAAAGCAAACCAGATTGGCTACAGCTTAAGACCAACCTCACAAATTCTTTTTCATAATTAAAACTTTACAGAGAAAATAAACAATGATAGTTGCAGTCCTGGACTAATAAAACGTCTTTTAAAAGGAAAAAAAAAAAAAGGATTTTGCATAAAAGTTAACTTCTGACCTGGTGGAGAAAAGAAAAAAAGCAGCATAAAGTGCAGGGCTATGTTAACTGCTGACAAGGTGGAGAAAAGAAAAGAAAAAACAGCTTAAAGTGCAGGACTGGAAAGATGCCTTGCAGAAGAACCTGTTATTCTTATGCAAATGGATTCCTCCAACATGGAGAGAAACTTTTAATTACTGTTGGACAGAGCTGGACCCCTTGGTTGAGGGATGGGAAGACTCCATGGATGTGTGGCCGGGGACACTGGCCAGGCTGCCGCGTGGGGCCCTTGGGCCATGTGCCCCAGCCCCAGCTGGGAGGGGATGAGAGTGTGGAGGCACCACTCACCTGTCTGTCCTGCATGTGCCTGTGGCCATTGGGGTGGGGTAGTGCCATTACAGTCCCAATAAAGGAAGGAAAATTCCATAGAAAAGGCTAGGTTGGACTGAGGCCAGTATTCCTCACCCCTGAGAGCAACGAGGGATGGGAGGCACAGTTTTCTCTACTCTCAGAATAAGTCCAAGGACAAAAAGGCTCAGAAGCAAGAGGGAAAAAGATTTTTTGGTCCACATTTTACTCACTTTTCCTCATGTCCTCATATGAGCCGCCAATATGATGAAGGATTTTTGCTTCTTAGTTTAGCTAAAATCCAGGTTCTTGTCACATGACCAGGAAAAATTAGGCATATGGACACATTTAAAGGTGAGGAGAGTGGAATTTATTAGAAGAAAGCTCTCAGCAAAAAATAAATAAATAAAAGAGGGGAGGTCCAGCCAACAGGCTTCCACCTCACAGATTGAAGACCAGGCCACCACACACATGAGCTGAAGAGGCCAGGCTCCAATTATCAAGTTACAAGCAGGTTTTTAAAGAAAAAGAGGCAGTTCTAAGTTGCTTACCAAGAATTTACATTAAAATAACAGATATTGTTGATTGGCTGTACATTAATCTTTGTATCACAAGTTCTAGGAACATGAAGTTAATGAGTGAGGCAGCTAGTCAGGGACAGGATAACTTGAAACGATTGATCCCAGGCATGCGTGTGGGGGGGCATGTCTGAAGACCTATACTCATGTCCCCCTGGGCTGCATTCCTCACAGAGCTCAGGCTTCTCTGAGCCATTTTTCTTCTCTCACACTTTATTCCTACCCTCACTAAAATGTTCACGAAAAAAGATTTCATGGTCAAATATTTTTGATAGACGTCATCTACAGCCCTGTGACCACCAACCACCTTCTCCACCAGCACCACCACTAGCATTGTCATTTTAAAATGTTGACAATATATGCCAAAGTTTCTCAGATACTCTGAAGTCATTAAACATACACACACACACACATACATTTGTTCCAAAAATTGGCCATCAAACTGTATCACAGAGATTAGCAGAACACACTTCAGAAAGCACTGGACAGAGGCTGGGCTAACTGGAAACCACTATGACGTGAGTGAGAGTTTTTCAGGAAAGTGGGTGCCTCAGGTGGAAAATGGCTCAAGTAGAGCCTATGATAGGAAATAGAAGGCATTTCATACAGCAGAGGATCTCATGGCCTGACCAGTCAAGTCAGCTCCTTCAGAAGGGGTAATTATTTACGTGTAACCATTTCTTTATCTTTTTATTTTTTTTTTTTTCAGTTTCACCTCAGAGTGAGACTAGATGATCTAATGAATGTGAATTGGTACCAAAGAAGAAACCACACCAGTGGGGATGACAATATTGGCTCTTGTTTCAATATTGTTTTATCTTGACCCTGGACTAGCAAATCCATCCCTGAGTATAATAGTGAGATTTTTGACCTTCAATGTCCTCAGACCTCACTTGTTTTCCACTGTCTCTCCCACCCCAGGTGAATAGTTATTATACTATCTTTAGATGCCGTATTCTCCTATAGCTATTCCTATTTTTACAACTACTTTTTCCTTGGTAGGTCTTTTCCTTCATATTCTGTCTTCAACTTCTCTCTGTCCAAACTGGCCTATTATATACTCCTGCTCTAAGCCAATCATTCTTATTAAAAAGGTGATTAGATATATTTGTTAATAGCCATTAGAAATTACTGTTGCCTACGCAGCCCCAAAGCAATAGTGAAAACAATTACAGTTTAGGTTCAAGTATAAAACCAAAGTAACCTTAGATAAAAAACTTAAATGTCACTATGAAAATGGAGGAAAAATGGACTCTCATAGGCCAAGCATCTCTCTTCCTATTCCTATTTCATTCATGTTTTCTCGTTACCTTCAACTGTTCCTTTTGCTCCACCATAATCATTACAATCAGCCACACCCCATAATGTATGCTCGAATGCAGCATGATCTCTCTGAATTTATCTAATCCCATAGTTTTCTGAGTCAGAGATTGTGGTTACCTAGTAGATTCACACTCATTGCAAGCACTGATGTCATTGTTGTGACCTTTCAGCAGAACAGTGGATAACCAGCCAATATGGATAATTAGTAATGAAAAGATGAAAGTACTCAAGTTCTACAGAGGACAGTTAGTTAAAGGACAGAACTGAACTTAGGCTCTCTGCTTTTGATCTACGTAATGCAGTTTTATTCAGTCAAACTGAATCAGGTGTCACAATATCGAACATCTCTTTAGTAGATACAAGTATTGTGCAATGTCAATAATTCTTTCTGGTTAAAAAGGGAAAGGGGACTTTGTCTGGTTAACTAAATGAATGGGCATTTGTTTGTGGTTAGCTAATCAAGCTTGCAAGCAATTTATTTAGCAAGTTTAGAGTGTAAAGACATTATGTGTAGTTGTCAGCAGGGCTGGGACCCAGGGCAAGGTAAGTGAAGCAAATCTGGCACTTACCTAGTGCAAAATTTAAGGAGGAAGGGTGCCAATAGTATAAACAAATGTATTTTGATGCTATACATTTAAAAATCCACTTTAAGGCAAAAAGTCATGATGAAGTATCAAAATGTTTAATAAAGACAGCATCAGTAACAGTGCTGTGCTGAGCTATGGTGGAGCCCAAGGCAAAAAAATAATTGTAATACTGATTTTGTCTTCATTTAAAATTTTTATATTTTGTTCACTGTGGACTTTTTCATCAATTTTGATTTTTTTAAGACCTAGGGTATCTGTGGAGTGAATTTTTAAATATTGCCTTAAAATAATATTTGTCTTGATTATTAAGTACTTAAATTTTATGCCCAAAGCAAATTCCTTGCTTGCCTCTCCCTAGAGCTGGTGCTGTTTTAGATCTATTGTTTTTTAATGTTCTAGTTATATCTGAAAATTCTTTTTCTTTTTAAAAAAATTATCATAATTTTGGGTCAAAAGCCCATACCATACATTTACGGCCAACTGATTTTCAGCAATGGTGCCAAGAATTTTCAATGGAGAAGAATAGTCTTTTCAACAAATAATGCTAGAACCATCAAATGTCCTCCTGCGAAAGACAAAGTTGGACATCTTCCTATACCGCACACCAAAGTTAACACAAAATTGATCATAGTCCTAAGTTCAGAGCCAAAACTACAAAATTCTTAAGAAGAAAACATAGAAATAAATGTTTGTCGCCTGGGGTTAGGCAAAGCATTCTTAGATAACACACCAAAAACAAAAGTTTTGACCAAAAAAAAAAAAAAATAGAATATACTTCATCAGAGTTAAAAATCTTTTGTGTTTCAAAGGACACTATGAAGAAAGTAAAAAAAAAACCTACAAAATGGGAGAAAACACTTACAAATCATATATATATATACATATATATTAAGGGACTAGCTTCCAGAATATATAAAGAATGTTTTACAACTCAACAATAAAAATATAAGTAATCCAATTAGAAAATCAGCAAAAGATTTGAATAGACATTTCTACAAAAAGGATATATAAACAGCCAATAAGCACATGAAAGAAAAAAATGCTCGATACAGTTAGTGATCAGAAAACTTTAAATTAAATCACAATAGGAGAGCACTTCACATTCACTAGGATTCTATAATTAAAAAGAAAATAAGTGCTGGCTTGGATGTATAGTAATTGAAACTCTCATACCTTGCTGGTGGGAATGTACAATGCTCTAGCCTTGTTGGAAACAGTTTGATAGTTTCTCAAAATGTTAAACGTAGAGTTACCATATTACCTCATCAATTCTAAGAGAAATGAAAACATCCACACAAAAAGCTGTACACATATATTTCACAGCAGCACTATTCAAAATAGGCCAAAGATGAAAATAACCCAAATATCTATCAACTGATAAATGAATAAACAAAATGTAATGCTTTCATAAAACTGTACAACATGGATGAACCTTGAAAACAGTAGGTTAAGTGAAAAAAAGCCATTCAAAAAAGTCCACATTGTGTGATGCCCTTTACATAAAATCAAGTATTAATTCATTTACATGAAGTGAACAGAACAGGTAAGTCTAAATCTATTGAGAAAGAAATTAGGTTGGTGGTTTCCAGGTATTGAGATGAGGAAGGAATGGGGAATTACTGTTAATGGATACAAAGTTTCTTTTGGGGGTAATGAAAATTATCTAAAATCGATTGTGTTGAGGGTTGTGCAACTCTGTGAATATATTAAACACTATTGAATTGTATGCCTTACATGAGTAAATGGTACAGTATGTAAATTATATCTCAATAAAAGTCTTTAAATAATGTTTTCCAGAGATTAGGAGACATCCATTCCTGGCCTCCATTTTATTTTCTTTGGTTGCGCTCCCAGTAAAAGCTTTGGCAAAGAACTTTCTTCCCCAGAACAGCCTTTCTCAATGATTCCTCTGTTACTATAAAGTTAAATTTTGTTGCCAAATAGCAAATGAAAAACCATCATTAGGCAAAGTTTTACTTTATTTCAATAGAATTCTTCACACTTCCCCTTTTGTTTTGCTTTGTTTTGTTTTAATTGACAAATAAAAATTGTTTATACTTATCATGTACAATATGATGTTTTTAAATATGTATACAAAGAAGAACAGCTAACTGGAGCTAATCAACCTAAGTGTCCAATGAATGGATGAATAAAGACAATGTGGTATATATACACTATGGAATACTATTCAGCCTTTAAAAAGGAGAAAATCCTGTCATTTGCAACAACATGGATGAACCTGGAGGACATTGTAGTAAATGAAATAATCCATTCACATTTCTCTTTTGATTCATTTGACTTGTTGGGGTGATTTGAAGTAACTTGCATTTAGAAGCTCACCTATAACAAAAGGTGGGAGGTGCATAGAGTCCACAGGATTTCCTTGGTCACATGCTACAAACCATCCCATTCGACTTTTTTATATTTTATTTTTTTTAGTTTCAGGAAGTTAAGTATGGTGTTTGAGTAACTAAGGAAAATATTTTGCTTTATGGAAAGATTCTAGCCTCTGCCTTATTCTCAAAGTAGAATCTATTTTCTTAGGAGATCTCTTTTTCTCTTTTGACTTTAAGAAAGCAGACATTTTAATGGGCATGCCAGTCACTATTTCTTCATACATTCCAGCATGATACCCTAGTCCAGTTACAGATACCGAAAAAAAAAAAAACAAAAACAAAAACAAAAAAACACACACAAAAAAAACAGGAAGTACCTGATTGGAAGTATAAGGACTCTTCATATCACTCTCACTGACTTCAGCATTCATTGATAACCATCCAAGACAGTTTACAGCATAAAGTGCTAGTATTACCATAGTAGGAGACCACTAAAGTGGTGTGATTTAAAAGAGACAATGTTCTCTAAACGTTTTCTCTCTTGTGCTTCCTGAATATATTCAAGGCATGGAAAGGCTTATAAGCAATATTAAAAGATGAAAGCATTGAAGGAATGGGGAGATTTTGTACTGAAAATTCATTTGGGAAGTGAGCTTGTGGTTACTGCCTTCACAGATTGGAAGGTTGTAGGAGAGGGAGCTGAGTTTTCTTTGCAGCTGTAAAAGGTAAAACTGGCATCAAAGGATAGATATTTCCACTGACAGTTTTGACTTTACCTCATTATAAAGAACTCTTTTAGCAGTCAACACTGAAGGGAATAGAACCTCCTGAGGTTTCATATTCCCAGGCACTGGGATTGTTCACACTGAAACTGATAAACTTCTGTTTCTTAAATTACGTAGATGAACATTAAAATCTATTCCATCTGAGATTCTCCAGTGCATTTTATCATGCAGTTTGGAATCACTCATTTAGTTTAATGAATATTCCTTTGTAAAGTACAAATAATTATAACCACCTCCCACTTATTAACACCATAGTATACATTAGTTTTTGTTTTTTATTATTAATACCCAACTTAAACTATTCTGAAGTGTTAGGGTAGATTTTGTTTTGTTTGGTTTTGTTTGGTTTTCAGAGAATAGAGAAGGCGGCTGAAACATAAATTAGTTTAGATTAAGTTTAGAAGCCTGACTGGAGGAGTCTGGTCAATCAAAAAGCAGCATAAAACAGAGTCCTCAGAGGGTTGCAGAAGAGGGATGGTAACCAATCTTAAAAGTTGCATACCTTTCTCAGAGGGTAGGGATAAGATCCAAAAAAAAAAAAAAAAAATACAGAACATTCCTCCTCCCAGGATTATTTAGACTTAATGCATGTCGGCTGTGCCTCTCAGGTCTCAATACAATTTCCCCTAGGCAAGGACAGAGGTGTAGCTAGGTCCCATTAGGTCTATGCTGGAAACCATACACTTTTTAAAAAAGATCTGTATCAATCACTTTTTCAGTTAGGATACTAAGGAAGAGAAAGAATGAGACTTCAACTAATAAATTACACAATACACAATAAGTACCAAATATTATTCTAACTATTCAAATTCATTTTTTAAAATGCCCTCAGTAAGTAAGGAGGTTTTTAAATGGAGAAAGACTCGCCCCCATTCCCATAAGTTATGAAGAAAACAGCTGTGGGCAGGGCTGGGCTTGAATTTGAGATGTCGTTCAAGCAAAAAGCAAAGTTCGCACATCAAAGTTCCAACAGGGTTGTTGCTTCTCAGTACGACGCAAGAGAAACAGAACTAAGTATCTGTATTCATTATCCCTTCAATAACTATCATGCCACATATTTCAAAATGGCTCCACAGAAAAGATGCCGAAGAAGACAGCTAAAACGTTCATGGGTAAGTTATTGTCTTTGTATAATATACATTTAAAGGGAGCTACAAATGTAAAGGCAGATGTGTAATATATGGCTGGCACCGTTTTTATTTTCTTATACATCTTGCTACTGTCTGGGGGCAATGCTCTAGCGACTACTGAAATATAATAGCTGCTTTCTCTCTCAGTACACAATTTGACAGCATTTATTCTTTCCTTCAGTGAACATAATTACTTCACATATGGAACCTGTGATAGCCTACAGGCATCTGAAAGAAACCAGAATCATGCAATCTGTCCCCTTTGCGAGCTTAATTTACATTCACAAGCGTCATTTTATTAGGGCTGGCATCATGTAGAATAAAAATTACAGGTCAGCTATGGCATGTCACTGGGAAGTGTGCTTAAGTCAATAATGTGGTATTATTACATTCGGGATAATTTTACAAGGGAGATCTCACAGGAGGAATCTGACCCTTATTTCTTAGTTTTCAGCTTTACTATCAACCACAAGGTAATTCATTTAGAAATAAGTATTGTAACAAATAGTTTAGCCTCCTGCAAATATTTGTGCTGTGTCATACCCTTCAATATAACTTTGTAATGATATCTTGAATCTTAATGGACATGGAGAATTTACCTTGCTAGCTATTAAAAGTGGGCATGTTTGAATTTGTGTAATCAAAATGGCATCAGTGAGAGGCTTGTGCCCTTTATTTTGGCCAGGTTGAGAGCAGAATTTAAGAAGATTGTGTTACTGACCCTTTCCATTATAATTAAAACACATTGTTGATTTAGTAGATGTTCCCAGGGAATGGGAGGAGTGAGGGAAGCTTCAGGCATTACAACTCTTGATTGTTTCTCTGTTTGAACAGTGAGGTGATCTTGAAGTAGCCCTTCTTCCTATTTGGCTCCCTTCTCTCTTGATGATGTCAGAAATTATTTTAACATGAAAAGTTAGAGATGGCCAGTAAATTCTAAACCATGATTTCTTCATGATGCCATGTTCTTTAATTAAATATATTACCTAATAAATAATCAAACATAATTCTCAGATGGTAATGATGATGTGCACTGCACCCATCCCTGAAAGCCATGGGCCAAGCCAAGACATGCCTTCAGCACAGTTGATAAACACTCTTGGCTGCATCCCACTGGGGTGGCCACAAGTATGGAGATCACTGAAACAATGGAAAACCAAGCTGAGTCTAGGGAGTGGCAAAGGCAAGGACTAGGGTTCAGATGCTGAACTAAAAGCAGAATCATTGAAGTCCAGGCAGGCAAGAGGGAGAAAACATAGGAAGTATCTGAATAATTTTTAGGCACAGAAAGAGAGCTGTTTTGACTAGCATAAGCATTGGGATTAGATCTGTTTGCCAAATTCTTGTTTGTTTGGTTTTTCTTAAGACTTACTGAATCTTTAGAATTGCCTTACTTTAAATTTCTTTAATTTTTAGAATGTTTAAGTTTATCAAATAAGTACATAAACATGGTTAGAAAATCCAATGATAGAAAATAACTTGTTTTGAGAAGCTGTTATTCTATGTACCCTATGCCCACTGTCCCATACTCCAGAAGCAGTTTCTTTTACCCTTCAACTTTAGGTCTAGTCTTTCTCTCCATATTACTTAAATTTATGCCTATGCTGACATTGGTAATCTGTCTGCTGTAGGAATTATCTCTTGGGTTACCACTTTGAAAGAATATTTAGTTGTTTATAATTTGTTGCTGAAAATAACATACTATGAATGATCTTTATAATCATTAAAATTTCTTGGCCTGCCGTGGTGGCTCACACCTGTAATCCTAACACTTTGGAAAGCTGAGCTGGGAAGACTGCTTGAGCCAGGAGTTCAAGACAAGCCTGGGCAACATATAAGACCTTGTCTCTACAAAAAAATTTTAAAATAAATAAATTTAAAAATTAAAGACATTAAGTAACTAAAAAAATCTGAATCACAAGACAGGAAAAAAATTGTGATACGCTTTTATCAGATATCTCGTACTTCTCCATGCAATAATATTTAAGACTTTGCAACCACTGTGCATTAGACTCTGGGAAAGAAGAAAGAGGTGTAGGATTCTTTCTCTCGTATTTTCATCCAAGATATAGACCACATATGCTAATTCTACAAAAATTCCTCCAGTTTCTGAGGAGGGTACCTGATAGTTTTCTTAGTATGATTCCTTCTTCATCCCCTGTAGTCGACCTTGATTAAGGTACTTTCCCTCTGGATTTTTTTCAGTGGCATGACCCAATCAATTCTCTTGAACATTTAAGTCCATTTCTTTGGAGATTTCTGTTGCTTTTAACCAGAGGCGTTTTAACTGATCCAATCAATTAAGAAAAACTATCGCATCCCCTAAGAAAAAGTCTAATTGAAAAAAATGTATATTTGTGGTTCACTATGTGCTACAGCTGTTATCCAGATACAAAGAAAACTAAGTCAATACCACCCCTCAAGGGGATCATACTCTGTTTTTAAAAATACAATATAAATAGTTCAACAATGAAGAGACACTAATAAAGTACAGAGGATGGGGAGCAACTAATTCTTTCTGAGAGATAAAAGAATGGGAAGGATTAGAAAGACTTTTTTTTTTTTTTGAGACGGAGTTTTGCTCTTGTCGCCCAGGCTGGAGTGCAATGGCGCGATCTCAGCTCACTTCAACCTCCGCCTCCTGTGTTCAAGTGATACTCCTGCCTCAGCCTCCTGAGTAGTTGGGATTACAGGTGCCCGCCACCATGCCCAGCTAATTTTTGTATTTGTAGTAGAGATGGGGTTTCACCATGTTGGACAGGCTGGTCTTGAACTCCTGACCTCAGGTGATCCACCCACCTCGGCCTCCCAAAGTGCTAGGATTACAGGCGTGAGCCACCGCCCCAGTACAGGAAAGATTTTTAAAAGGAGAGAATATTTCGACTACATTTGAAAGGATGATTATTTTAATAGGCTCTCATTTGCCTGTAAATGACAGAAACATTCCTAAAAATGCTTTATACAAAAAAAAAAAAAAGTGCATAGTTTCGATGAATCAGAGTCACATTTGATCTAATCACTCAAGCAATGCCATCCAGAATCTGGTTTCCATTCCCATGTCTGATAGTAAGATGGCGCTGCCATATTCAGGCTTTATCCTACCATCTTACCATCCTCAGGAAAAAGAATAGAGGGCTTCTTTCCCGATGGTTTCAGCAACTTTTGCAAATGTTCTCCCACTATCTGCTGGCCTACATTGTTTCTGATGATTCCTTTGTATCATTTCCTTCTATATACATGTTATTTTTTTCTGTCTTCAATTTAAAAAAAAATTTCAGCTGTTTGACTGTTATGGGCCTATATGAGATTTTCTTTGTATTTATTCTATCTGGGGTCCATTGAGTTTCTTGAATCTGTAAATTTATGTCACTCACTGAATTTGAAAAAAATGTAAGCCACCATTAAAAAAATGTTTGTATAACTCATGTTCTTTCTGCTCTCCCTTTGGGACTCCAATTATATGTATGTTAAATATTTAAATATTGTCCTACAGCTCTCTGAGGATATTTTAATATTTTTCAATCTTTTCTTTGTTCTTCAGACTGGATAATTTCCATTGATTTATCTTTAAGTTCACTGACTGTGTTTCCTTGGTTATCTTCATTCTGCTATTTGTTCAATTCAACAAATTTGTTATTTTAGATGCTATATTTTTCAGTTCTAGAGTTTACATTTGATTCATTTTTTATAGTTTATTTTTCTCTGAACCAGCAGTGCTACTTAGCTGCTGTGAGGTAGAGGCAAGTCATTTAACTTTTCTGGGCCTTCCTTTCCTCATAAGTGAAAAACAATGATTGCTATTAGGCAAGCTAATTGTTAAGACCAAATGCAAGTAATATTTTCTACAGTGTTTTAAATCAATAGTAGCTATTATTATGGTGGATTATTATTTTGTTTTGTTGTTGTTGTTGTTGTTGTTGTTGTTTTTTGCTTTTTAGAGACAAGATTTTTCTCTGTTACCCAGGCTGCAGTGCAGTGGCATGATTTCACTGCAGTCTCGACCTCCCAGACTCAGGTGATGATCTTCCATGGTGTATTATTTTAATTGCCTCCTATTTTAATTGTCTTGACAGCCATTCCCATTTTAACCATTCTCCACTTTCATTTCATGTTAGAATCATCCTTACATAACATAAATTAGTTGACTCCCATCATTAAAGGATTTAATGATGGCTCAATACCTATAGTATAGTATTTCAATTTCTTTTTTCTTTCTTTCTTTTTTTAAGATGGAGTCTTGCTGTGTCACCCAGGCTGAAATGCAATGATCTTGGCTCACTGCAACGTCTGCCTCCCAGATTCAAGCAATTTTCCTGTCTCAGCCTCCCATTTTTATTTCTTTATTTGACTTCTATTACTTGTCATTACTTAGCTCCACTGTTTTACCAGACCCATCTCTCACTATTTCTGTGGACTCTGCACTGACATGTCCCGTCACCTGCTCTTTCCCATCATGGCTATTACAGTATCAGTTCCACATTTGTACATGCTATTACCTGAGTCTAGCATTTCTCCACAACCTATCCCCTATCCTGCATGTACTCATCATCTTGTACAATCTGGCTTAGATGTATAATCCTTTGTGGATTTTTTTCTTATTTATTTTGAGAAGGATAGTCTCTCCTTCTATTGTGCTCCCATGACACTATATTTATTTCTCTGCTATTGTACTTCAATTTTATTGAAATTATTGTCTACTTATGTATCTCTATCCTTCCCAACCCCTTTCTCCCCTGACCAGACCAGCCTATAAGATCCTTGATAGCATTAACTTGTCTTGTTCACTTTTGGCTCTTAAGTTCATAAGCACATAGCTATGACATAGTAAAAAGCTGAAAACAATATTTACATGATGATTAAATATATTAATAGCAAGAATTTATTTTACTTCTAATACTTTTAGATTACCAGGTATATTTTTGAAGGAAAACCAAGTACATTTTTGTGGAGGAACTTGTACACTTTTACAGATCTTAGAATACAAAATAAATGCTCATTTTAAATAATGACAGTATTAGCTAAATGTGGCTGCATAACAAATTACCCCAATATTTAGCAGCTTAAAATAATAATCTTTATTATATCCTAGTTTTTATGAGTCAAGATTCCTGGCAACAGCGAGATGCCATTGTCTCAGGATCTCTCTCAAGGCTGCTGGTCAGGGCTGTAGACATCTCAAGGTTCAAGCAGGGGAGACCCCATTTCCAAACTCGCTCACCATGGTGTCAGGTCCTTGATGGCTATTGTCTGGAGACATCAACTTCTTGCCATGTGGACCACTTCATAAGGAAGCTTTCAACATGGCAGCTGACTTCCTTCAGAGTAAGTGCACAAGAAAGCAGAAATAGGGCACCCTAGATGGAAGACACTATTTTTTGTAATCTAATCACAGGATAACATTCCATCATTTTTTCCATATTCTATTTATTATTTGCAAGTCACTAGGTCCAGCCTACACTCCTGGAGTGATTGCTCAAGGGCATGTGTATCAATGGATTCACTGGATGCCACCTTAGAGGCTGTCTACCGCAACAACAATTAACAGTTTCAAACAAGTTTTTCTCTAATAATAAAAGTAAGAAATCTCATTACTGAAAATTTGGAAACAAATTTGTAAAAAAGAAGAAAAAGCCATCTATAGTTCTACTATCTAGGAAACCCAGTTAATATTCTGAAGTATCACACTAACTTTTAAACCAAATTTTTATATAGTTGAAATAATAGCTGCATATCTCGTTTTCAATTATTATTATGTCTCTGAAAATGCCACATTATTGCAATATATGTATCATTGCTTATCCATTCTCTAATTGTTGAATATTTTGAATGTTTACTTTTTTAGAAGCAATACTGCCATTATTTTCTAAGACTGGATTCAGTTTTCTTTCTTTTAAGACAGAGTTTTGTTCTGTCACCCAGGCTGGAGTGCAGTGGCATGATGACAGCTCACTGCAGCCTCTACCTCCTGAGCCCAAGCAATCTTCCCACCTCAGCTTCCCGAGTAGCTGGGACTACAGGTGCACAACACCACACCCGAGTAACTTTTTTTTTTTTTTTTTTTTTTTACTTTTTGTAAAGACATGTCTCCCTGTGTTGCCCAGGATAGTCTTGAACTCCTGAGCCCAAGTGATCTTCCCACCTTGGCCTCTCAAAGTGCTAGGATTACAGGCATGAGCCATCACAGCAGGCCAATAAGCAGTTTTCAAATGAACAAGCATAACTTGAAGTTTTTTGATACTAAAAAAAGAAAATAATTTTAAAAATGGGGGCAGGTTACAACTCCCATAACAGAAGGAACATATCTGCCCTGTGCCATTGTTAAGAGTGCTGCTTTTTTATTTTTACACTGTCTATGTGCTTGTTTAGGGGTTTTATTTGATGGTATTTACTTGGAACTAATCAGAAAACTCTTTTGTGTATGCTTCATTTAAATTCTTCCTCAGAGGTGGAAAAGACAGGCTTTATGAATAGATCATACTCCACAGGTTGACAAAACAGCCCTGTTGCAATTATTTTTTATTAGTAACAATAATAACCTTTGTTTAGTGTTTTACCTTGTGAAGAAGGTAAGACAGGTATTATTATCATCTACATATTTTGGAAATGTAGAGGACTTGCAGTCATTTGCCCCAGGTCATCCAACTATTGTGATTAAATATGCAAATTATATAATTGGCCACATTAGGCAAATTATACACAAATACACACACAAGCCAATTGACATACTTAACTATATTTCTAAATCAAGACTTCAAGTTTAAGTAAATTCAGTTTATGAAAAAGCCAACTGACATCCTATTCTATATCTTCAAAAAAGGATTTCAAATATATTTAAATTCAGTTTACTCAAAAGTAAATTAATATGCTGAACTACATCTTCAAATCAAAATTTCAGGTTTATATAATTTCAGGGTAGTTGATTCTACTCAAAGGTCTGTAGATAGCACCTTTTGAAATTTTGACAGACTTCCATGGTTACCATGATAACATTTCTAAATGTTAGAAAGATAAATTTCCTAAGAAAAACTGTTCTATAAAGTACATACAATATATTTGCTAAGAGAGACTATAATATGTAAAAATAGAAATATAATATCCATAATCTACTAAAAAGCATACATTATAAAATTCTTCTAATATTATATTAAAAACCTGGGCAAGGTGCTACATACTTGTAGTCCCAGCTATTCTTGAAGCTGAAGCAGGAGGATTGCTTGAACTCAGAAGTTGGAGGCCAGCCTGGGGAACATAGTAAGATTTCATCTCTTTAAAATAATTGTATTAAAAGCATGCATTATAAAATTGCTAGGGAAAACTAAAGATATATATTTTTAAACCTCAAAAATAAGAATTATGACCATATACTTTAGAGAAATGGTAAATACTTTGTGCATGCAGTTTTTTGTCTGTTTTGTTTTTATTTTTTAACACAGAATTGTCTTGAAGATTGGTTAAAGTTTGCTCATCTCTGAACCTTCAGAAAGGCTCTCTCCTACCCCCTTCTCCATTTGAGTGGATTTTTAAAAAAATTTTATTTTGAAATGATTATAGATTCAGCAAAAGTTGTAAATGTAGTACTACAGAGAGATCTTGTATACCTAACTTTTCCTAATGGTTACATCTTATATTGCTATGATACAATATCAAACATTGATGTTGTTTGATATTGTATTGATATTGTAACATTGGGACAATGTGTGTAAATAGTTTGATGCCATTTCATCACATATGTAGACTCATGTAAACACCACTGCAATAAACATGTAGAACGATCCCATCACTACAACAATGTGGTTCAAGCTGCCCCTTATAATCCTGTCCACTTCCCTCCCTGCCACCATCCTTGGTGGTAATTTGTTCTCCATCTCCATCTTCTAGCTAATTTGTTCTCCATCTCTATAATGTTTTCATTCCAAACATGATATATCAATGGAATCATATAGATTGTGATTTTTACATTGGCTTCCCCCACGCAGCATAATGCCCTTGAGATCCACTCAAGTTGTATGTATCAATAGGTCATTTTTATTGTTGAGTAGTACTGTCTGGTATAAATGTACCACAGCTTTAAAAAATCATTTGGGGTGGATATTTTTAACTAAGAGTCTTAACTAGATTCAAAAGTGATCATGGAGAAGAACCTTATCTACCTAGAAGGCATTCTCCTGGTACTCAGAGATTTTCTTATCAAGGAAGTAATTGAAGAAAGGAAAAAAAAATAAGTGTGATTAATGCAATTTTCAGGTTGAATAAAATAAATGCTGTAGAATAGGGATTTTTGGAAGATGGCTTAGGTCTTGATTTTTTGTTTAAATATCTTGTTTCTAGAAGTAAAACTTTACACAAGTACCAGTATGTATAGAGCCATTTAAGTAAACCAAGCAAGCAGAAAGACAAAGCAAGAACCAACTTAAGGATTTAAAGTCAAATCTAGTTTAAAAATCTTGGTAGTTTATCATCAAATATTATGCTGTAATAAAGCTATCAGAATAATTTATTTTTAATCTATAATTTCTTCCTACCCCAATGTAATCTTGATCAGAAGTTGAAATAAAAACAAAATGAATTCCATCTACACAAATTTCTGGTTTTCACTCTTGTGCATGTCTTCAATGTGCTGTCAGTCATATTTCCCCAGTTTTGTATGAAATTTGGTGTGACAATTAAAAACCTAGTCACTGCTTTCCTGATGAAGCAAAGGCTCATCCTCTGATTTGCATTCTGATTGCTAGCCAGTTTATGGAGTGAATTATCCTTTTTATTGTTATTTGTAACTTAAAAGACTGGTATTAAAATCTCTAGTGGAGCAATTAAGATCTGTTTGTTCATGAGAATCATGAAATATATTTTATTTTCACATTGGATTTTTTCTATTCCTATAAATTATTTTAAAAATAATTTACTTGATGCGAATATCAAAATATATCCAGGTTATACTATATCCATGGTGGGTAGAATTGCATTTTTGTGATTCTAAGTAAGAATTCACATTGACAAACCTGAGAAAAACAAGCAATGGGGAAAGGATTCCCTATTTAATAAATGGTGCTGGGAAAACTGGCTAGCCATATGTAGAAAGCTGAAACTGGATCCCTTCCTTACACCTTATACAAAAATCAATTCAAGATGGATTAAAGACTTAAACGTTAGACCTAAAACCATAAAAACCCTAGAAGAAAACCTAGGCATTACCATTCAGGACATAGGCATGGGCAAGGACTTCATGTCTAAAACACCAAAAGCAATGGCAACAAAAGCCAAAATTGACAAATGGGATCTCATTAAACTAAAGAGCTTCTGTACAGCAAAAGAAACTACCATCAGAGTGAACAGGCAACCTACAAAATGGGAGAAAATTTTTGCAACCTACTCATCTGACAAAGGGCTAATATCCAGAATCTACAATGAACTCAAACTAATTTACAAGAAAAAACAAACAACCCCATCAAAAAGTGGGCAAAGGACATGAACAGACACTTCTCAAAAGAAGACATTTATGCAGCCAAAAAACACATGAAAAAATGCTCATCATCACTGGCCATCAGAGAAATGCAAATCAAAACCACAATGAGATACCATCTCACACCAGTTAGAATGGCAATCATTAAAAAGTCAGGAAACAACAGGTGCTGGAGAGGATGTGGAGAAATAGGAACACTTTTACACTGTTGGTGGGACTGTAAACTAGTTCAACCATTGTGGAAGTCAGTGTGGCGATTCCTCAGGGATCTAGAACTAGAAATACCATTTGACCCAGCCATCCCATTACTGGGTATATACCCAAAGGACTATATATCATGCTACTATAAAGACACATACACACGTATGTTTATTGCAGCACTATTCACAATAGCAAAGACTTGGAACCAACCCAAATGTCCAACAATGATAGACTGGATTAAGAAAATGTGGCACATATACACCATGGAATACTATGCAGCCATAAAAAATGATGAGTTCATGTCCTTTGTAGGGACATGGATGAAACTGGAAATCATCATTCTCAGTAAACTATCGCAAGAACAAAAAACCAAACACCGCATATTCTCACTCATAGGTGGGAATTGAACAATGAGATCAGATGGACACAGGAAGGGGAACATCACACTCTGGGGACTGTTGAGCGGTGCGGGGAAGGGGGAGGGATAGCATTGGGAGATATACCTGATGCTAGATGACGAGTTAGTGGGTGCAGCGCACCAGCGTGGCACATGTATACATATGTAACTAGCCTGCACAATGTGCACATGTACCCTAAAACTTAAAGTATAATAATAAAAGAAAAAAAAAAGAATTCACATATAACGAATAAAGGCTTACTCTTTCTGACATTTAAAGAGCTCTTAGAAATCAATAAAACCCAAGTTTCCAAATAGGCACCTGCTTTACAAATTAAGAAATACAAATGGCTAATAAACATATTAAAAATGTTCAATCTCAGTGGTAATAAAGATGCTAGTCAAGATAACATTAAGATAATACATCACATTTCTTTTTTTCTTTTTTAGTTACTATGTCCAGTGTTGGACAGGATTCAGGAAAATAGTCATTCATGCTCAGCTCCAAGGTGATTTAGCAATGTGTGTCAAAACCCTAAACATTTTGCAAACTCTTTACCCTACAATTCTATCATAAGGAAATGATATTGGATATGCTAAATGTTTATGTACAACATATCACTATATTTTTAATATAAAAATCGGAAAAAAATTACATGACCAAAGACTAGAGGTTGGTTAAATAAATTATGGTATATTTGTGTATTAAAATTCTATCTGATAATTAACAACTATGTTCTGAAGGAAGCATAATTGATATGAAAATATTTATAATGTATTTTAAGTAAAAATAATTTATACAGGTGTTCAGTTTAGGGTGGCTCTATACGTGTGTGTTTGTTCATGCTGTGATTTCCTGCTGACTGTTCATCATTAGCTGAAAGGAAAAGAGTGATAAAATTACATAGAAAATAATAGCAGCCATGGTATTTCAAGTATTTTATTCTACTTGTTGGTATTTTTACAAATTAATATAGTCATTATGTATTACTATCATAATCAATATTGAAAAAGAGACAAAACAATAAGAGATTTTTTTTTAAAAAGTCAGAGAAAGGTATACCATTTCTCTAGGGAAATTTGGCAAGAATGATAGCTCTAAAATGAGAATTCAGAGACTCGTACTGCATATTATGATTCCTTATAAAGAGCGACTTAATTTTGCTAAAGAAAAATAACACTGTTGATTCTGGAGTGGTGACTAGAAACGTAATGATTCATCTTCATTATGTATTCATTACTTCAAGCTCAAATGTGAAGATTTGGAGAATAATAGAGCTCTGTGGTTCTCAGACTTCTCAATTCCATTCGAGATGAACATCTCTCTCTCCTTTGTGTTCCATGTTCTACCCCGTGGTTCGTTTCATCTGGCAGAGCCTTTTACAACCAGTCAGGTCTTTCACTTAATAATTGATAAGCTGACCAACTGTACAGTGCCTTAGCAAATCTGTGTCTATCACTTCTGTTTATGGGAATTCCAAATCTCTCATCCTGCATTCTCTGGTGCTTCCAGAATGCATTTGTTCTCTGTATGCATTTGCCAAAGGGCCTTAGAAAACCTCGGAGTAAGAAGGCAACACAGAGGGAACCTTTCCTAGATAGCATCTCTGAGGCAGATTATTACATAATTTATTCTCAAAAACACTACACATTTATGAAAAGTGACCCCATTTTTAATATACCTGCATCCCTCCACACAAGCTGATCTTGGTTCTTAAATAACTCCATGCACTTTACCCCATCCATGTCTTTGTCCATGCTGGTTCTTCAGTCCACTGCATCCTTGCCTTTCACATCCTTCTGTTAAAATCCAGCTCATCCTAAGTGCTTAAGAAATAGTTCCATTATTTCATTATTGCCTTCTCCATTTTCAATATTACTCTTTCAGGGTAAATTCATTGCTCTTTTAGCCTCCATGAGGAATATGTCTTTTTCATTTTTTTATTCCCCACAGCATTGTAATTAAAGGCCTCTCACTCAGTAAACAGAAAATGTTTAGTGAACTAATACTGCCTAGTAGACTGACCCTACAGATGGCGTGGGGTTTAATAACTCTTTCAGATCTGGAATAGTCAGTCTAGATTGATGAGAGATGTCTGAATTCTAAAACACTTGTAAAAGAAAAGTCCTGTAATGCCGCGGTTGATATATTATCTTTGAGTTATGTTACACACAGATTTTTTTTGGTAACAGGGCATAATAATGTATTCAATGACTTCTAGGTAACTTTTCCCCCACACTCATGATTATTTCTGAAATGTTTGAAAGTAATATTTGCTGCTATTGATAAATGATTTTCTTTTAGTCTTATTTATATTAATCATTTGCTTAGCAAATGTTCTTAACACAGCACAACAATAATAAATTCCCCAAAAGTGAGATAAACTCATTAAACATATATTCCCTGATCCTCTGCTATGTGTGGGAATCAGACATTAAGAAAAATAAGTGAAATATACAGTATGTTAAAAAGTGACAAATAATATGAAGAAAAATAAAACAATGAAGGGGTATCAGAGTTGGGGGGCAAAATAAATCCAAATAAATTAAACTTTATTGTACTTCTCATTTTACAATTCTGTATGTACTTTGGCTTGAGTCATACTAGAACCTCTTCATTTATTAAGTTGTAAGACAAAGCATAATGGACTTAATTGAACTGAAAACACAGGAATATATGTTTTAATGCTGCAATGTGGCCAAGACTATTTGAAGTGCTTGAAGAGATAATGAGGAATGCAGCACATATGTGTAAAGAAGTAAATTCACATAGTTCATTGAAGTCAATAAAGTAAAAGTCAGATAGCAATTATTTTTGTTAGTTTTCTTTTGACATGCCAACATTAAACATTTTAGGAATAGATATTTGAATCCAGTTCCATAACACCTGTATTACAATATCATTGGGATTAAATATTAATGAAATACATTAGTTTTATGGGGACAATTTTTTTCTACCATGGCAATCAGAGTTGCTTCTTTCCCTTTAAACTCTGATCTATCCTGTTATTAGCTGATACTGCATACTAGGTATGTAGAGGCACTCTGAATTTTGGAGTGAAATGCCACTTAAAATTTATTCGGGTAAATTGTGGATTCCTAAGAAATGTGATCCAGGCTTTGAATTAGGCATTTCTGGGGAAAGGAAGCAAGGGAGAAAAGGAAGGAAGGCAGGGAGGGATGGAGGGAGGGAGGAAGGAACGAAGGAAGGGGAAAAAGAAGGGAGAGAGGGAGGAAACGGAGAAAGGAGTGGAGAAGAAGGCCAGAGGAGAGGAAGAAGGAGAAAAAAGAGAGGGACAGAAAAAAAAAGGAGGAATAAGAAAAGAAAAAATAGGAAGTAGAAAGAGAAACAATGATAATAGAATTATGGCAAATGTTATAAAATAGCATATCTGGAAACAATATTATCAAGTGCTATGTAAATAACTTGATTTTCTGGGTTTTTGCTTCAAGAAAATGCTTATTTTCTTAGTTACAAAGTTTCTAGTCACTTAAAATGCCCTGGATTTGAGTCTATATTTGATCTCTATAAGCCATCTGCCTCTTTGGCAATAGCTATTATATAAATGTTATCTAGATATTTATTTGTCTTCAAATTATTTTTTAATATACCCTAGCCTCTATACTCTACTATGGTTTTTAGTTCTCTGGCTCTCATACTTTCTTTATAATAGATAAATATGTGGCATCCACTGAAATTCTTCAGTTCTAAAGGTCCTGAGATTTTACTAGTTTCTACAGCTCTCTGCTGAATATTTCAAAAACATTTACACAATAGTTTATCCAACAGAGCCATAATATTCACATTTTATTTGTTTAGCAACTGATTATATGTGTGGTGAAACCTTTCTCAGTCAGTTTTGTGATCCATTGATGGCCGATTTATAATAAATAGGTTATTTTAACATTAGTAACTCTTATTTGACTTGCTTGCTCTGGTTTATACCTGTTATTGCAGAGCCCTCAAGTATCATTAACATTTTCCCCACCACCGAAGAATTTCTGGAACTCCCCCAGGGGTACCTCACATGTGCCTAGATATGAGATCCATCAAGTATGAGTTCCACTTGCACGGATGCTGTCCCGCCCGCCACTATCCAGACCTGTCCAGCGTGGCTGTCTATGCCAGGCTTTCCTGCCTTGTCCTCTGGTACCATTACCACCCGTTTTGCTGGGGCTGCTCATGCGTTGCAGTGTTTATGGAGCCGAAGTTCCAATGTATTCTGTGGCAAAATAAAGAATGCTTCTCTCTCTCTGTCTCTCTGTCATGTAATACCTTGTTGAAACAAGCTTCTAAGCTGTGCTGCTTATACCTTAATTTAAGAGTTTCTAGTGAACTACATTTTTCAGTTTTTATTCACAACCCTTCTTCCTCTGGGCCTTAGATATGCAACTAAATGAATGACAGAGACCCTGCTATAGGTAGAATCCCTCTGACAACTGATATACTGGTTATTGGGTAAAATCTAGACTGCTTTCTCTTCCCTAAGGTGGTATTGGTTCCTGATGGTCTCCACAGCCCCTTAAATAGGTAGAATCCTGGTATGCCTAACCCAAGCAGGTCAGGAGACATACCCATCAAGGCCTTGCTCCCAGTACTAGGCACTGTTTAGGCATAAATGAGGAGCACCATTCCACAAGATAAGCCAGGTCACTGTCTTCCCACTTTCTGTCTTTTGACTACTTCACTATTTTAGATTCTGACCACTTTATAAGTTAGATTATCGACTTTTTGTGACTCATATAGGAGATATTTTTTCAATGAAGTAACTTCATCATTTTTATTCAATTCCAAGAAAGATTTTGTTGAGTGAAGGAAAAAGATTATTCGAGGAATATCTACTAACATCAATAGCCCATGCTGCTTATTTCTTCCATTTCAAAGTTAATTGATGATGGATTCATTTGGCAATTAAATATGATTTATACTACTTGTTTACTATTTAATAATACCTTGTTTTGACTAGTTAATGTGTTTCCAAAATAGAGCATGCTATTGCACCCAATCAGCTTTATTATTTTCATACTTAAAAACAAATCATGACTAAGTAGACCATAGCTAAGAATGTGTTCATATGCTGATGTTTTTCTCTACTGATTCCCCATGGTCTAGAAGGGTGCCTAGAGCATGTACAAAACACACTGGATGCTTGAATGTAGAATGAATGCATCTATCAGTCATTCAATCAAGTTTTTCTGGAGTACAGTATGATCTTGTTAATTCAGTGTTTATTCACCTCCATAATTTATTCAGATCTCTGCTAAGTTAACTAAATTCTACCAAAGGATTTCCCCCAGCAACACTACCCCTCATTTAGGTATCCTAAGTAGAGATTAGCCTCCCTGGTCCTAGCCCCACTCTATCCTTGAAAGTGTCAGGCAGGCTTGGGGCTGCTTACAAGCCCTTTTGCAACCCACCTTCTCCTTTGCTCCCCTTTGCTTACTTTCCCCTCAACCACCATCACTAGTCTGGCTCTCCACTTCCTTCTTGGCCTCCCATATCCAGTTCTCATGGCCATTTACTGCTGTGGGCCTTCACTCTAGCTCCATTCTTTTGGATTCATCATATACATTCTCTCCTTTTGATGGGCTGTTTCCTCAGACACATCCAAACAAATCAGGTAAGTCTGAGATTGACTCTCTTGATCCACAGCCCCTGCCCAGCCAGCCTAGTCCCAGAAGCAGAGAGACGAAGTCCATGGAGCATTGTTTCTCATCTGGAAACCCATGAGCCTCCTGATTCAGAAATTACCTGCAGTGACTTAAAAATAAAGATTCCCAATTTCCTGCTTTCAAGAAGCATGTAACTGGAAAAATTGCGGACTGCATCTAAATGCATGAGAATATGTTGTTCTTTATTTGAATTGTGCTTTCTCCTGATGATTTGAGTATAAAAATACCTCCTAAATTCCTTCAGATCTAGTAGTAATGGGGTTAATTTCAATTTTATTAAGAATTTTAACTTGCATGTAAGAAAGCACTCAAGCTGAAATAATTGGCTTACTTCTTTGTAAAATTCATCTTCACATTTGTGAATTCCTCTGAACAAAATGTGAGAATTCTGTATATGTGTTTTGTTGAGCATAGCTATGTATATGGACCATTCTTAAGTGATCAAAGAGCTCTATGGGTCAGAATTTTCTGTTAGGTTTATAAAAAATTCTCCCCTAAATATATTGAGGCAGCTTTTTTGCTAACACATTTTAAGACTCTTGGATTTAGTTTCCGATGTCATTGTATCTTTTAAATCAAGTCTTCCTTGGCATCCCTGATTGGGCATTTTCCAGCTCGAAACTCTGTAGCATCCTGTTTATACATCTCTAAGGGCACTTATCACACTGTATCTTGAATTGCATTTGTTTTCATTTATTTTATCTTGATGGCATTTCAGGGCACACCACTACCACCTGTCAGCAAAATGTGAGGGTAATGAAGCTGAAAATCAGGGGAGGGTCACGAATTGGATACTAAAGAATTATCAAAATGCAAAACCACACTCATGCTGGTCGGTGGAAGCAAAGTTGAAGATGTGGCTAATGGAACAAGAAACATTAAATCCATATAGGGCATGTTTGAGCATAAAAGTCCACGGGAAAACATGAGATTGTGGTGAGAGGAATCTAATAAAAAGGCAAACCTGAGAAGTAATGGTAATATGCACTTGTTCTATTCAGATTTGTTTTCATGGCTGTACTCTTGTACCATTTTGAGTTCTCTTTTGAAGGCCCAGAGCTTCTCACATCTTTGTAAGCCTTAAAGAAGCAGTCAATTCTATGTGACAAGCAAAGAATCCTATTTCCCATACTTCTATAACTTCAGTGACTATTGCTACCTTTTTTTCTCCGTAGCATTTAACAGTGACACAAATGTAAGTAATAAATCAAATTTGAATGAATAAATGAATGAAGTATATGTGTGTTTTCACTTTTTTTTTTCTTTTTCTGAGACAGAGTCTTGCTCCGTTACCCAGGTTGGAGTGCAATGGCAGCCTCAATTTCCCATGCTCAAGCGACCCTCCCACCTCAGCCTCCAAAGTAGCTGAGACTATGGGGACTCGCTGCCACACCCAGCTAATTTTTGTATTTTCTGGAGAGATAAGGTCTCATCATGTTGCCCAGGCTGGACTCAAACTGTGTTTTTCACTTTTCAGAATTAACTAAAAATTTTAACAGACACTGGTATTTGTTCGTGCATACTAGTATAATCTTCTGTGGTTGAGGTAGCAAGTTCTCCAATTATACTTTCTATTGCCTCATTAGTCTTCACCTATTAGCAAGTAAGTTTTCTTTAATGGCATATTTAGGATCATTTTAGTGATGGTCATTTATAATAAAAAACAAAGACTACAGTACACTCATACACTGTGTGCTAATGTATTGTTTAATTCTACTCCATCTGCAAGTGTTTACTTTCTTTTATTAACTGCATTAGAAGAGGCTAATTTGTATAGTGTTTACATGTTATTTTCCCCAGTGAGGTGTCTGCTGTCATGCTTCTATGGCTCTATTATACCAGAAAATGATACCACATTGCTTTCGATTGCTTTAATATAAAAATCAATAAAAAGAATTATATGGGGGGAATCCTCTTATGACTGAAAATATGTAATAAACAAGAGTGAGAGTAAAATAAAAAAACATTCTTGAACAAGTTTGATCTTTTTTCCTCTCATCTCTTGCTTTTCTCCTTAAAAGTAAAAAGTCACCTCCTGTATGTCTCAGAGGTACAGCTGTATTATCCATTGCCGCTGCTGCATCATCTCTGTAGCAGCCACTGTGTGACAGTTATTTTGCACAGTGCAGGGTAGAAAAAGGAACCAGCAGAAACAGTCTGCACCGTAATTAAGAAACACTCTTCTCATTCCACTGCTCCCCATTATCTTTTCTTCTCACCTTGGCCTGTGTTTTTCTTCTTCATGAAATGGTAGTAGTTTTCAGTCTTGTTGAGAAAATAACAATTCAGCGAACCCCAAATGATAGGAAAACTTGTGCACAGAGTCGCAGGTACATGCGGTGTCCAAGTGAGTAAACTAACCTAGTCATTTTCAGGCCAAATTTGAGGCACATAAAGCAAAAATAGAAATATGGCAGAGGTCAGAAATTGCTAGCTGAATTTGTTAAAGAAACTGGATGCCATTGATTAGTTGGAGGCTTTTTAGTCCAAGAAATTTTTGTCACTGTCCTCAGAGATTTTGTCTTCTTAAGCCATTTTGTGTGTGTGTGTGTGTGTGTGTGTGTGTGTGTGTGTGTGTAGACAGACTCTCACTCTGCTGCCCTGGCTGTAGTGCAGGGATGTGACCACAGCTCACTGCAGCCTCAATCTGCTGGGCTCAAGGAATCCTTTTGCCTCAGCCTCCTAAAGTGCTGGGATTGCAGGCCTGAGTCACCATACCTGGTCCAAATTTTTGATAAAGCATTTCTGGTAGAGCATTTCTGGGGTAAAACCCACAACAAATAGTGACGACTCAAAGTGAGAACTGACCTAACTCAAACTCCACTTTGCTTCAAGGCCTAAAGACTGGCAATCAGTCAGATTACCACCATATGACAAATACTTTTTTGCTCAGATAGACAGGTGATAAATGATAGATAGATAGATAGATAGATAGATAGATAGATAGATAGATACACAGACTATCATTTAAACTATTCATTTACACAGTACAGGTAGTTTGAAAAATGTCTTCATGGGTATGGCTTCACATTATAGAGATGTCTTATGATAGAATCCCCAAGCATGCACACATATCACCAAAATACTTTTCTATTTGTATTCTAGGTTCACTATTTAAAAGGAATCCTATAATATAATCCCCAATATATTACTAAATAGGTTTATTGTGTGTGTGTGTATATATATATGTGTGTGTGTGTATATATATGTGTGTGTGTGTATATATATGTGTGTGTGTGTGTGTGTGTGTGTATATATATATATATATATATATATATATATATATATTTGGATGTGTCATCACAAAGATTCTTAAGACTGATTGATGTGACTTCGTTTGTTGTCCATAATGAATAGAATCATTTTAAGAGATAGATTTGAGGCCAGGCGTGGTGGCTCACACCTATAATCCTAGCACTTTGAAAGGCCGAGGCAGGCGGATTACTTGAGCTCCCGAGTTCAAGACCAGCCTGGACAACATGGTGAAACCCCATCTCTACAAAAAATACAAAAAAATTAGCTGGATGTGGTGGTGTGTACCTGTCATCCCAGATACGTGGGGGCTCTGAGACAGGAAGATCCCTTGAACCCGGGAGGTCAAGGCTTCAGTGAGCTGAGATCCTGCCACCGCACTCCAGCCTGAGTGACAAAGTGAGACACTGTTTCAAAAAAAAAAAAAAAAAAAGGCCGGGGGAGGGCAGGGGGAAGAAGGGGAAGAAAGAGACAGAGAGAAGGTAGTAGAAAGATTTTTGTCTTACTCTAAATAAGGGTAAAATTCATGTTTATTTAAAAAGAATTAGGTTGGCTCAAAAAGAAAGGGTGGGGGAGGGAGTGTATGCTAAGGCCACTTGGGAGCTATTCTTGTGGGTGGTGGCCATTTACTCTTCAATAAAACACGTCTACTTACCATAGCAACCAGAGTAGTAGATAGTATAAGTGCTGCCTCTGAGATACCATGCTTAATAAAGAAATACTTGCAGTGAAGAATGAACAAACACATGGGCACTTTTTTACAATCTCATAATAGAAAACAATATCTTTTTCAAAAGCATTTATATTTTCCCAATTTTTAATACCCAGCTACTGTGTGATAATCAATACAATATGCCACAAGCCATTTGTCTTTCTTTGTGACTGGCTTGCCTTTGAAAGTGAAAATTTTTATTTGGGTGCTTGTTTCAACAGGATGAATGTTGCATTTCAGAAGGCATCAAGCTGTGATGGGGGGAAGGTAGCCTTTACTTTTCTAGAAAGGGGAGCACAAAACGACTCGGAGTCCCTGCCTAGTGAGCACACAGATCCATGTGAGTCTCTGAGGTATGCCCAGGTATATGGCTCGCAAATTATCTACTACTTTGTTTTGCACTTCATCCAGGGAGGAGGGGCTTGATGGTTTTACCGAATGTGAGAGCTAAGACACTGTGGCCTGCTGAAGAGGCTGTTCGTTGCTTTCAGCGGCAACTTAGATCCTCCATGCTTTTTTCTAAGCTCATTTATATACTTTGCCTGCTAGGTTACTTTGCAACACCCTGAGCTTTGCATGTGAGGGTCTTTAATTATCTTGTAATACTGCTACTCCCTGTGAGTGGTTTCAAAATTTTACAATAATGTTTATTTTGCATGTGTGGGATTATTCATGTATAATTACTACAAGCAGGTATGTTCCATATGTTATAAAAGTTAAATTTTTACTTGGAAATCGTAGCCAAAGAACACTTTTTTTTCCCAATGAAAGTAATTTAAATTGAAGTAAGACCCTCTAATACCACCATCTGTACAAGTAAATTACTTTCAGAGTAATTAAATATGCATATCTGAGCCATGTACTGTACAGATGAACCAAGTTTTATTGAAGCAATATGCTTATAAATCCCTTAGGTGTTAAAGCTGAAGAACCAATGGCATTTTATATTCATGCAGATACAAACAAGCACAAAGAAATATATTTGACTAGTTTCATCTTTTTAAAAAAATACATTTTATCAACTTTTCCTAGTTAATATTTCTCACCAAATAGTATGATCAACACCTTTATTAGTCTAACATTCTGCATTGATTTAAAGCTTCACCAGTTATTTTCATGTTGTATGTATGTCTGGATTTATGATAGTGCCCAATCACTTATCTTCTGCAGGTTCCTGGGGAGCAGAGCAACGCAGTGAAACTGAAATTATTAAGTTGTCTGAATTCATAATAGTTGGACTTGCCCCTCCATGAAATAGCACTGCACAGCCAATTGGAATTCATGGCCCTAGCCCTTTATTGCATCATCATGGTTTATAGTCCATAACAAATACAAATACAGAAAGGAACCATAACAATATGATACATCTGACCTGCCAGCCTACCTTCTGGGGCTTTGCTTGATGAGCTTGCATTCTCAATGCATGGGACAAAAGCAAAGGGAACACTCTCTGTTTACCCCTTCTAAGGCCTGACCTTGGGTCCCTAGTCCGTATCTTTGACCTTGTCATCACCACCACAGGCAGCCAATCTCAACTGGGAAAAGCAGTGATTTATGTAAGTTTTCCCAGAAACAAGGCTTCGTGAAGGCTTCCTGATGTCAGTTTAAAAGTGGTTTCCCACTGTGGTGAGATACCCCAGTTGCTTTTATAAAGCATTAATGTCTTCCTTACTAGAGCTGAAAAGTGACCTGGGCTCTGGAAATGGTCTGATAAATTGAAAGCTACCAAAGGAAGGTTCTTTGTCAGGAACTTTTTCATCTCAGATTCATAAAAATGGAATGTTTTTCTCTCAGATTGTTCTTAATCCTCAGGAATATAGTAATCAATTTTTATTTCCTTCACATCAATTAATTCCCATGAAGGTAAAATTAAATGTTCATTGGAAAATGTTGGGACTTTTCCTTATTGCTAGCATCCTTTCATCTTTGTAACAAAAGTGGATAAAACCTGCAAGTGATATGAAACTTTAAAAAAAAATGCATACTTACTTGCCCTTTAAACAAACAAACCAAATAAATAAATGCTTTCCATTTTGAGACAGGGTCTCACTTTGTTGCCCAGGCTGCAGTGCTGTGGCATGATCTCAGGTCACTGTAGCTTTGATCTCCTGGGCTCAAGTTATCCTTCTTCCTTGGCCTCTTGAGTAGCTGGGACTACAGGCATATACCACCGCACCTGGCTAATTTTTTTTAATATTATTTTTCATAGAGGTGGGGTCTTGTTATGTTTCCCAGGCTGGTCTTGAACTCCTGTGCTCAAGTGATCCTCCCACCTCAGACTTCCAAAGTGCTAGGATTATAGGCATGAGCCACTGCACCCCAAAACTTGCTTAAACAAAGGAAATTCCAAATCATTTTTGGAATAGAAGCACCAAGGAATGCTCTACGTATCTTCTTTGGTGCATCTTACGTTTTCATTTGTTTATAATAAGTTAAAGGGAACACACAATGCAATACCTTTAAGAGTCAGATTAAGGTTGCATATCACATTATTGAAAATGCATTTAAGACTAGAAGGCTGGAATTGTCCTCTAAAAGCAATCTATTTTATTCCCCTTTCTTTTGGCAGGAACTTATTTAGACTATCCTATTCAGTGGATCCTCATTGGAAAAGCCACCTTCAAAAAGTGTCTTTCCATTGCTGATCCATGACTAGTCCCTGAACCCAAATTTTTAGCACTCTGCCACTAAAAGAAAAAATGGGAACAAGGTAATACAGGTTTCATAAAGTTAGGAATTTATGAAAATTATGAAAAATTTTCCTCTTTTTGATGGTTAAGAACATGAACTCCAGAATCAGACTATCAGAGTTTGACTACAGGCTGTCCTACTGTTGAGCTACAAAACCAGGACAAGTTAATTAATCTTCATATGCCTTTTAAGATTTTCACACTTTAAAATAGGGGTAATAACATTCCCACTTTCTAGAGTCTCTGTGGGAACCAGATGATGTTTTACATACATGCTTAGAACAGTGCCTGCCACAGAGTAAGTGCTCAATCACTCTTAGCCATGAGGATGTTGTCCATGTTTCTTTCCTTCATATTTAGTTTTTAAATGGCCAAATTAGACTCTTTTAATACAGCTACATATTCTTTATGGCACTAATCACAACTGTAGCTTTATGTTTATTTATGCGTTTGGTTGATAATAATCCCCCATCGAAACTATAAGGACATGAGGAAACAGATTTACCACCACAGCCCCACATTTTATTTGGCACAGTGCCGGATTGAGAATAGATTTCCAATGTATATATTTGAATAAATAAATTTTTTTTAATTTAACATACCTACTTGGAAAAAATAAAGAGTTGGCAACTTTATGACAGGCCCCATATTTTCAAAATATTTCCTAGTGAATGAAGCCTGAATTGTTTTGGAAACATCATTCTATTAGAAGCTTTCACCACTGCCTTAAGAAGCCCAATTTAGCATTTGACTGCTTAGTCACAAAGGGTTTCTTTCTAATTCAAACCACTCCTGTTACAGAAGAAGTCCACTGTTTTTACTGTAAAGAGGAGGAAAGCTGCCCACCCATACTTCACAATAATTTTCTACCAGAGACTTAAATAGGATGATTTTTTCCTTCACAAGTGAACTGAAATGCGTTATCCAAAATTGACTACAGATTTCAAAGTCAAATAGTAATAACAAAACAGAGTCCAATATAGCTTAGAGAATTTTAATCACGGAATCTTGTAAAAATTTATACTCTATGACTTGTCTCCTTTCATCTAGTCTGGATAAATATGATTTTTTTTCAGACATGCACTTGGAACTCCAGAAACTGTTTACAAGGATCAAATCTGGTTTTACTAAGGACTGCCAGTGAGGTTCCAGGTTCACCCGGTCTGAAGTTCCAAGTCTCTCACTTCTGTTGAGCAATATTTCATTGCACAGATTCCCTAAAATCTAAAAGACTCCTGGAGAAGGAATAACTGGATAGTCTGTATACTGTTGTCTTAATTGGAAATAGTTGATTAGATGGGACAGGAAGGGGTGACCCTGGATTTTCATGTTTTCTTCATAATGTGCAATGATTGTATATTGCTTTTCAGGTAAAAACAAAATATAGTTTTAAAAATAGTTCACCTTGGCTTTAGTCTGACTCTCTGTGGTACAATTTTAGAACACTTAGGTACACCATAATTCAGATGATTAACTCTTCCTTATCCACCTACGAGTATAAGATAATCACAGTGACAATCATTTTAATTACACAGTAAGTGGAGCCTCACACAGAGTTGATGTTTAGAGCTGTCTAGCAGTCTAGGACTGGGAGGATTAGTAGGGACTGGTAAGGGGATCGGAATGGAGTATCCGCTAGAAGAGATTATAAGACAAATTATTATAGGAGAGTCAGGGTAGTTGAAAGAAGCAGCAGATAAGCAGCTCTCTTAAAAATGTTTGCTTTTTGAAGGCATTTCAACCAAATATGAAAGCAGCTCATACTGCCTTTAGTCTCTGAATAGAGAGGAGTAAGAGAATGAACATATCTCTAGTTTGCACATTTTCTGCCATCACATTTCAAATTACCTCTCAGTAAAAATCTGACTAGTAGAAACTTTACCTGAAAACTTTGTCCCTTAAGAAAGTACACATTTTGTACACATTTTCTTATTATGGATTTCAAACAATGCACATTTATGTATGCAAACCTGTATTTCCTTTGAGCACTCCTCTCACTCTACCAATCATTAAAAATAATAGCACGAGCCAAAAACTCATTAGTAATCAATACTACTATGAAACTTAGAATTACTATGGGTATCAAAAACACTTTATAGTTTCGTGTGGATAATTATCTCAGGTTTCTAGACTGCTTATTTTCTCAGTATTCTGTTTTTTGTCTGTTTTGTTATAGTGGGTGGGTTTTTTGTTTTACTTATCATCATCATCATCATCTTCATCATGATATGATGATGCTTTTACTGAGATATTGCTGGACCATGAATTATTGTTACCAAAGGGATCTGAGAGGATGAACCCAAAGGAATATGGGTCCCTTCAATGAGAGTGAACTTATGGTATCAAATCCGAGAAGCAGCCAAAAAATTTGCTTTCATCCTCCAACACAGATAAGATTTTACATCTTCATTTTTGAATACTATTGATCGAATCTTAATATTTTCTATTTTGTTCAACTCTGGGAAATGAGCAGATATTGGAAATTTTTAGATATACATTAGTTTTTAGTCTTGGAAAAGGATGGTAAGATGTGGGGGAGATTGAAAGCTTTTCCTTGTACTAAAATGGGTATATTTATACTTGCTCATGACCTTTGAAAGCAAAACTATGTACACTTTCTAAAATTATTTCAGAACCTAAAATAAAGGTTTCAAAAGCAGTACTTTCTAAATGCCAAGGAAAATAACAGAATGTTCTTATGTTTACAATTCTTCCTCAACTGTTTTATAGATAGAATTTTAAAATAGATTTTGTCTATGAAAGATAGTGTTCATTTAAATTGCACTAGCATGCAATTATGTCACAAGATGTTGTCATCTATTTAAAATAGCTTTTTGTCTCCTGAGATGTTTATTTCAAATAGTTACACTAAATAAGAGTTTCTACTAGAGAAAGATTAAAACTCTAGAATTTTTAAAAAATCTACATTCTGCAAGGCAAAAGAAAACTTATAAGTTTTGGGAAATAGCAAAGGCAGCATCTCCTCAGACACTGAGGCACCATTTGGTGCTTAAATTCCAGTACCAACTGTAGAGTTTTAATTGCATTTGCTTTCAGAACACTGGAAGAATACAATGAAGTCCAGATGTAAGATAGTATCTCACTTAATTCTTGAGTTTTTTTCATTCTGGAAGTTAAGAAATCAAGCAAAACTACATGTAAGACAATATATAGACATCCAATTAAAAGAGAAGCTTAGAAATCAGCTAACACATACTCAAATAAACATTATTTAGCTTCCCTAAAGAAAGGCCTTGTTAGCCTTAATCACAAATCCACTCAGGAAAAAAATATCTGGTAGAAACTCATTAGGATTTTCTGGCTGAAACTAAACTCTTTTGTTAAGAATTACCATCTAAATTATGGCTGAGTTGAAGAAACTATATATAAAATATCCATAAGAACAACATCAATAAAAGCAACAAAAATTACTTAAAAACTATACCAGGTGGTCTTCTACTTTTGGCCATGAGAGAATAAATGAGTCCAAACTTACCCTTTCATCATAAATATTTAGAAAATGGAACTAAATATATGATACAATAGATTTTAGAAAATAGACAGTCAGCATCACAGAATTATGATTCCTGAGAAGAAAGAAAAAATAAAAATAAAATGAACCTTGCAATCACTTCATATTTCTGCCTGGAGGCAGTTTCCAGGCTATGGTGCAGGGAGAGAGAACCCAAACAGACTTGTGGTCTTACCCAAATGAGAAAACAAACACCATAAAAGCTAGAATATTCAAGACAGAGTCCAAGAAAGAAGGGAGATGTATAGGAAGAGCTTCAGAAATCTGCATAAAGTCTCCTTGAGTTTTTAAATGAATACTAATCTGCATACACCTATGTGGAAACTCCATGAAGTCAGGCAAAAAGCTACCTTTAGAAAAAGAAAAATTACTAGAGAACTACAAAACAAATAATTCCCAGAGCTCACACAAAGCAGGAAATCATTCAAATTCCCACCAGCCAGAGTGGAGAGATCTCATTGACTATATGGGACATTCATAAGAAAATTCAGAAGGGTTACAATTTATTTATAGGGCTAATGTTGGCCTAGAATAAACCTTATTCTAGACTTACCTTAAAATTCCGGAAACAAGCTTTGAAAGGATCAAACTAATTCTCAAGTAATTCAGCTGTTCTTAAAGAAATACAGCAATATCCAACCCTCAAATGTATAAGATTCACAATGTCTGGCATGCAGTCAAATATTCTTATGTGTAACAAATAACAGGAAAATTTGACTCATAACCAGGAAAGAAATCATTTTATAGAAACATAGTCAAAAATGGCAGAGATAATGGAAGTAAGTAGGTGAGGATGGTAATCAGTATGCTCAAATGGTTAAAGGAAATGTGAATAAATATGGAGAAGAATATTTTTGCAAAGACCCAAATGAAACATCTAGGGATGGAATATAAAATATCTGAAGTGAAAATTTTGCTAAATAGTGTTAACAACATAATAGACATTTCAGGGAAAAAAATGCTAGTGAACTTGACAAAATAGCAATTTAAACCATTCAGAATGAGGCTGACAAAGAAAATATCTAGGAAAAAGCCAATCAAACAAACAAAAGCAACACCTCAATAGCCTATATGGTAGTATCAAGTGCTCTTGCATATGTTTGAAAGTCCCTGCAAGAAAAGAAAGAGAATGTGGAAAACAAAATAGAAAAGAAATAATGGCTTTTTTTTTCAAACTTAATGACAAAATAAACCTAAAGATCCAAGAAACATACAGAATTCTAATAAAGATGAAGACAACCAAACACATATTAAGGTACACGTAATAAAATTTCTGAAAAGAATTCATAGGAAGAAACTCTTAATAATGGCCAATAAAAATATACATTATGTACACAGGGAAAAACAAGATAAGAATGACAACAGACTTCTTATCAGAATCTTAGCAATCCAGAAGACAATGGAATGCCATCTTTAAAGTGCTTAAAAATGACCTGTAAATGTGTTATTCAATATAAATTTAAATATTTCACAAATGAAGATGAAACAAGATTGTTTATTTTCTGGGAAAATAAAAGCAAGCAGAGTGATATTGTTTGTACCTGTGTCCTTGCCAAAATTTCACGTTAAAATATAATCCCCAATGGTGGAGGGGGGTCCTGGTGGGAGGTGATTGGATTATGGTGACAGATTTTCATGGTTTAGCACCATTTCCTCTTGGTACTGCATAGTGATAGATTTCTCAGAAGATCTGGCTTAAAAGTGTGTAGCACCTCCCTGCTCTCTTCTTGCTGCTCCTGGCCATGTGAAGTGTTAGCTCCCCCTTTGCCTTCAGCCATGATTGTAAATTTCCTGAGGGCTCCCAAGAAGCTGAGCAGGTACACTATGCTTTTTGTACAGCCTCCAGAACTGTGAGCCAATTAAACCTCTTTCCTTTATAAATTGCCCCATCTCAAGTATTTCTTTATAGCAGTGCAAAACAGACTAATAAAGACAACTGGTACTGAGAAGTGGGACATTGCTATAAAGATACCTGAAAATGTAGAAGCAGCATTGGAAGTGAGTAATGGGCAGAGGAACAGTTTAGAGGGCTCAGAAGAAGACAAGAAGATGAGGGAAATTTTGGAACTTCCTAGAGACTTGTTAAATTATTGTGACCAAAATGCTGATAGTGATATGGACAGTGGAGGCCAGGCTGAGGAGGTCTCAGATGGAAATGAGACTTTCTGGGAACTTTACAGTCTCTGGGAGACTTTCTGGGAAACTTTCTGGGAACTGAAGCAGTCACTTTTGTTATACTTTAGCAAAGAGCTTGGGTGCATTGTACCTCTGACCTAGGGATCTGTGGAACTTTGAACTTTAGAGTGATGACTTAGGGTATCTGGCAGAAGAATTTCTAAGCAGCAAAGTGTTCAAGATGTGGCCAGGCTGCATCTAACAATCTAAGTTCATGTACACGAGCAAAGAAATGACCTGAGACTGGAACTTATATTTTAAAGGGAAGCAGAGCATAAAAGTTTGAAAAATTTGCAGGCTGCCTACCTGGTAGAAAACAAAAGCCCATTTTCAGGGGAGGAACTCAAGCTGGCTGCAGAAATTTGCCTAACAAAAAGGAAGGCAAGTACAATTAGCCAAGACAACAATGGGAGACCTCCAACGCATTTCAGAGACCTTCACAGCAGCCCCTCCCATCACAGGCCCAGAGGCCTAGGAAGACTGAATGGTTTCATGGGCCAGGCCCAGGGGCCTCCTGCACAGTCTTAGGACACTGCTTTCCCATCCCAGCTGCTCTAGCTCCAGTTGTGGCTCAAAGGAGCTCAGGTTCAGCTCAGGCCAATGCTTCAGTGGGAACAAACCATAAGGCTTGGCAGTTTCCATGTGGTGTTAAGCCAGTGGATGCACAGAGTGCAATAGTTGAGATTTTAAAGGTAGTATGGAAAAGCCTGGATGTCCAAGAAGAAGCCTGCTTCAGGAGTGAATTCCTAATGGAGAATCTTTACCAGGGCAGTATGGAAAGGAAATGTGGGGTTGGAGCCCTTACACAGAGTCCCCACTGGACCACTGCCTAGTGGAGGTGTGAGAAGCCACCATCCTCCAGAACCCAGAACTGTAGATCCACTGACAGCTTGCACCATGCACCTGGAAAAATGGCAGGCACTCAAAGCCAGCCCATGAAAGCAGCAGTGGGGACTGTATCTGGCAAAACCTCAGGGGCAGAACTGCCCAAGGCTTTGGGAGCCCATCCCTTGCACCAGTGTGCACTAGATGTAAGTCATGGAGTCAAAAGAGATTATTGTGTCACTTTAAGATTTAATGATTGCCCTGCTGGGCTTCAGACTTGTGTGACACCTCTAGCCTCGTTCTTTTGGCTTATTTCTCCCTTTTGAAATGAGAGTTTTTACCCTATGCCTATACCACCATTGAATCTGGGAAATAACTAACTTGTTTTTTATTTCACAGGCTCCTAGGCAGAAGGGACTTGTCTTATCTCAGATGAGACTTTGGACTGTGGACTTTTGAGTTAATGTTGGAATGGGTTAAGACTATGGAGGACTATTGGGAAGGCATGATTGGATTTTGCAATGTGAGAAAGACAGGAGATTTAGGAGGGGACAGGGCAAAATAATATGGTTTGGCTCTGTGTCCCCACCCAAATCTCATGTTGAAATATAATTCTCAATGCTGGAGGTTAGGCTTGGTGGGAGGTGATTTGATCATGGGGGCAGTTTCTCATGGTTTATCATCATCCCTCCTTGGTACTGCATAGTGACAGATTTCTCACAAGATTTGGTTGTTTAAAGGTGTGTAGCCCCTTTCTCCCACTTCTTCCTGCTTCTGGCATGTGAAGTGCCATCTCCACCTTCATCTTCCACCATGACTTTAAGTTTCCTGAGGCCTCCCAAGAAGCTGAGCAGATGCCTCATGCTTTTTGTACAGCCTCCAGAACCATGAGCCAATTAAGCCCCTTATCTTTATAAATTACCCAATCTCTGGTATTTCTTCATAGCAATGTAAGAACGAACTAATAATACAAAGAAAGGATTTATTGCCAGCAGGTCTTCACTTCAAAAAATGTCATATGAGGTTCCTCAGACAGAAATAAATTATTAGCAGATGAAAACTTGGAGCAACACAGCAGAATGAAGAATATCAGAACATAGAAGACTTTATTTCCTCATTTTAAAAATATCTTCAAAAGATAATTGATTACTTAAAGCAGAAAACAATATTGTTATAAGATTTGTAACATGTCAAAAATAATATATGACAACAGCATAATGGATATAATGGGAAAACAATAGCAAACTGTTGTAAGACTTTTATATCCCATGTAATGAGGTGTAACACAATATGAAGGTTAACTGTGACAGGTTAAACATGCACCTTTTAAATCCTAGCACAATTGCTGAAAGTATAAATCAAAGAGCAGGAGCTGATAAATCAATAGTGGAGGTAAAAGAAATTTATAAAAGTGCTCAAACCAAAACAAGAAAAGGAAATGAGGAAAACAGAGAAAAATATAGCTAGAACAAATAGAAAATAAGTATAAAGACTTCAGACTTAATACCAGCTGCACCAATCATATATCCACTAAAGGAAAAAGAAAACAATTTAATTAAAAGGAATAGACTGTCAAACTGGATAAAAAGAAAGCAAAATCCAACTATATTCTGTCTACAACAAACAACTTTAAAAATAAGTATAGTTTTATATATATGTGTAGACAGACATTGATGCAAAAAGCTATACTATGAAAATACTCATAATGAGAAAGCTAAAGTAGCTATATTAATATTAGACAAAGTAGCCTTCAGAAAGAGAAATAAAATTAGGAATAAAGAGAGACATTTCATAATCATAAAGAAAATATAACAATCATATATATTATATATACATTATATTATATATATAAATATAAAATATATATGCACCTCCCAATAAAGAGCTTCAAATGCCTAAAAGAAAACCTAACAAAATTGAAAGAAGAAATAAATAAATCCACAATTGTAGTTGGACATTTCAACATTCCTCTCCCAGATGTTGATTTTTAAAAAATAGAAAATCAATAGTAATAATGATTTAAAACATTATCACCATCTTACCTAACTAACATTCATAGAACACTGCCCCAACAACTGTAAAATACAGGGTTTTATTAAGTGCATGTGGAATATTCCCCAAGATAGGGCATATGCTGGAACATAAAACAAGCCTTAAATTTTAAAGGAATAAACTAATACAGAGTAGGTTCTCTTATCACAATGAAATTAATTTAGAAATTAATAACAGAAAGCTACATCTAAAATCCCCAAATATTTAGAAATTAAATGCCACAGTTGAATATTGTATTAGAAATCCTAGCTTATGAAACAAATAACAAATAATACATGCAGTAGAATAGAAGAAACCAAATTGTCATTATTTGTAAATGACTCCATACATAGGTCATTTGAGATAAATTAAACTAGGAATTTCATTTAAACTAGATAAACAGGAATTTCATGAAGATTCCTGCAAATAAGATCAAAATTCAAAAGCATTCCTATACATAGTCATGACTAATAATAAAAATTACTGGAAATAAAATATTTTATTCCAGTAGTAATAAAAATTATGAAGTATGTAGAGATAACTGCAACAAAACCTATACACAGAAAAACATAGTAGACTGGAATAAACAAAGAGATGTGCTAAGTTCATGAGTGAGATGGCCCAATATCCTAAAAATGTTAATTTAAAATGTTTCTAAAAAGAAGGAGATGAAAGAAGGGAAAGGGGAAGGGGAAAAAGAAGAAGAGGAAAGAGAAGGAGGAGGAAGAGGAAGAGGAGAAAGGAGGAAGAGGAAGAGGAGAGAGGAGGAGAAGGACAAAGAAGAGGAAAAGGAGAAAGAAGAAGAAATCAATACTTTCAAATCAATTTCCTGATAAGGAATCTTATGGAATTTGACAATTTATGCATAAAAGAAAAGGAACAAGAACAGCTAATACAATTTTGAGTAATAACAACTTCTGGGTAATTGCTCACCATAGCAAAACTTATACTTCTATCATAATTAAAACATCATAATACTGATGCAGTGCTAAATAAATAAACAAATTTAAAAAGATTAAAAGCCCAGAAACAGAGCAGTGTACATACAAAATTAATATATATCTCTGGTGACATTATAAGTAAGAAAAGCACAGTCTATTAAATAAGTGATATAGGAAACATTGGTCAGATAGGCACAAAATAAAAATTGGATCTCTACATCTCATTATAAACAAAAAATTTAAGCAGAAATAAATTATTTCCTAATTTGTATTAAAACTGGCAAAATAGTATATATTTAAGAGAAGATAAGATTGGGTAGAATGTCTTTAAAATGATATAAAATCATACAAACCATAAAAAACATGTTACTAAATAGTGTCGGTTTTTAAGATGCTTACATTATAATACAAATTCTCAAGTAAAGTAAAATAAGACAGTAATAGACAAAGATGAAACAATTGAAAAACAAAATAAAGTAGTATCGGATTATAATCTAAAGTATAAAATAAATATTCATGACTCCATATTGATATAATTCAATGATTGAATAAATAAATGACAGAAAATAGACAAATCTCCCATGCAAAATAATTCCAAAAGAGATGGAACATAATTTAAGTTTGGAATGTCTACTGTGACTTCTTTCCAAAGAGTTCAGTATGAAAAGGGAGGAAAAATGATTTGCTTTAGAGTGGAGAAATCCGACAAACTCAGCCAGGTGAAGGATGTTAATATTAACAGTTACAAGACATGTTGATAATAGGTATCATTCATATGATGTGATAAGAATGGTACTTTTCATCTGTGGCTTTCCTTCCCCAAACCCATAAACCCATTTCACCATGAGACAAATATCATGTGAATTTCAGTAAAAGAGTTTCCTACAAAATATTTGACTAGACTCCTCAAAATTGTTAAGGGCATCAGAAACAAAAACAAAAGAAAAGTCTGAGAAACTCACAGCTAAGAGGAGCCTAAGGAGACATCATGGCTAAATGTAGTGTGAGTGTGATCTATTGGATGGAATCCTGGTACAGAAAAAGAACATTAGGTAAGAAAATTTGAATGAAATATGGACTTTACTTAATAATAATGTATAATATTTGTTCAATAATTGTGGCAAGTGTACCATACTAATGTAAGATAATAATAAGGAAAACTAAGTGTGAGTATGTAGGAATTTTCTGTACTATTGTCTTAGTCTATTCAGGCGCTATCACAAAAATCATAGCTTTCATAGTTTATAAACAGCAGAAATGTATTCCTTACAGTTCTGGAAGCTGGAAATGTCAAGATCTGGGCACTGGCAGATTTGGTGTTTGGCAAGGGCCTGTTTCCTGGTTCATGGATGGCACATTTTTGCTATGTCCTCATGTAGTGGAAAAGGGACATGGCAGCTCTCTGGAGCCTCTTTTATAAAAACACTAGTTTTATTTATGAAGGCTCTGCCCTCATGACCTAATAAATTCCAAAAGGCCCCAACTCCTAATACCATCACATTGGTGATTAGGTTTCAACATATAAATATGAACACAAACATTCAGACCATAGCAACTATGTTTGTAATTTTTTTTTGTAACTCTAAAATTGTTCTAGCATTAAAGTTTTTCTTAAAAAGAGAAGGTAGCCATAGTGTGGAAGAAATTTTTTGCAATAGGTGTAACAGGTAAAGATTAGCATCTAGGATATGTAAAACAGTATAACAAATCAATAACTAAAAATCATATCATCTGAAAGAAAAATTGGCAAAGCATATGAACAATCAATTAACAGAATAGGTACCCCTAATAGCAATAAAAATATGAAAAGTGTCTTAATCTCACAATTCATAAAGGCAATACAAATTTATATTACAGTGTGATGAAACTACACATACATCATATGATTTAAAAATTTTTAAGTGTGACCATGTAGAAGGAGAGGTAGAACAATTACAATTCTCATGCTCTAATTATAGAATGAAAGGTCAAACATTCTAGAAAGTTGATTATATTTAATAGAGTTGAGGACAAAACACACTTTCAACTCAATAATTCAACCTCAGTGTATGTATATGATAGAGCAGTTTCTGTCCTACTGGTGATTTCATACAACTGAGGAATGTGCATCAACATTCTAGGGGATACACAGGTATGGTTCTATGGAACCATCTGATATAGTTTGGATTTGGGTCTCTGCCCAAATCTTGTGTTGAATAGGAGGAGGGGCTTAGTGGGGGGTGACTGGACCGTAGGTGCAGATTTCCCCCCTCGCTGTTCTCATGATAGTGAGTTCTCAAGAGATCTGATCTTTTAAAAGTGTGTGGCACTTCTTCCTACTCTTTCTCTGTCTCTCCTGCTCCAACATGGTAAGACATGCTTGTTTCTCCTTTGCCTTCTGCTATAAGTTTCCTGAGGCCTCCCAGTCATGCTTCCTGTTAAGCCTGCAGAACTGTGAGTCAATTAAACCTCTTTTCTTCAATAAATTACCCAGTCTCTGTCTCAGGTAGTTCTTCATAGCAGTGGGAGAACAGGCTAATACACTATCCTTTAGATATTCAACTTTATTTTAGAATTTTAGAAATGAGTCTTTAGAAAACAGGTTTGCCTATTTTTTTCTTTTTCTTTTTCTTTTTTTTTTTTTTTTTGAGACAGGGTCTTGCTCTGTACCCCAGGCTGTAGTCTTAACCTCCCAGCCTCAATTGATCCTCCCACCTCAGCCTCCCCAGTAGCTGGGACCACAGGCGTGTGCCATCATGCCTGGCTAATTTTTTAATTTTTTGTAGAGACAGGATTTTGCTATGTTGTTCAGGCAGGGTTCGAGCTCTTGGGCTCCAGTGAACCTCCCATCTCAGCCTCCCAAAGTGCTGGGATTATAACCATGAGCCACCATGCTCGACCTACCTATTTTAGTTTCTTACCTACCTCACCTTCACAATCATTCTTTTTTTAAAAGAAAGGGAAACAGTTTCCCCCAATGAACCTTAATATGATGGCTTGGCCTAGGTCTAAAAAAATCTCTGCATGCCAAAGAGACATTTCAAGAATACATAGCTCGGCCGGGCGCAGTGGATCACGCCTATAATCCCAGCACTTTGGGAGGCCGAGGCGGGCAGATCACGAGGTCAGGAGATCGAGACCATCTTGGCTAACATGGTGAAACCCCGTCTCTACTAAACTACAATAAGAAATTAGCCAGGCGTGGTGGCAGGTGCCTGTAGTCCCAGCTACTTGGGAGGCTGAGGCAGGAGAATGGCGTGAACCCGGAAGGCAGAGCTTGCAGTGAGCCAAGATCGCGCCCACTGCACTCCAGCCTGGGCGACAGAGCTATACTCCATCTCAAAAAAAAAAAAAAAAAAAAGAATACATAGCTCATGAACAAGAGTCCCAGGACTGCAAGCATTAAGCTTGGTTATGAAATATTGAAGGGCGGTGGTTACTTTCATCCAAGTGACTAGAAGAAAGGACCCTGTCTTTATCTTTTTAATTTATCCTTCTTTCTATCTTAGAAATAGAATTTTAAAATGAGATGGTTGTCATGGAGATGAGTATGAAAGCATATTTATTTGAATTGAAACATAAAGTCATATATTTCTGACAGAAAATAAGTCTGATAGCTGTTTGTTTTGACAATGAAGACTGGGTATCCATTTAAGTTAAATGATACATATTTTCTACAAATCAGATTCACCAAATCTGCTCCAAGGTTTTGACCAAAATATATTTAAAGCATGAATACAAAATATAATATGCTGAAACATGTATCTTTTGCAATTCTTAAATTTGAATTAAAAAATAGATGTTAACTTAAAAATGTGTAGGGTGACATATAGTATTCAAATAAACTAAATGTCTACCAAAAGGAAACTGAATTAATGAATTCTGGTATATTCAGAGAATGCAATAATACATATCGTCAGTTAAAATGAATAAATAGATTTACATATATCTTCAAAAACCTCAAAAATAAAGCAAGCTGCAGAATACATTTTTTGAGTATCCTGCCATCTAGTATTTATTGAGAAGCTATTATATACCAAGCATTATGTTAGGTGCTTGGGATACAGTAATCAACAAACAAAAACTTCTGCTCTTATGAGGCTCACATTTTCTCAGAGAAGAGAAACAAGCAATCTACAAACAAAATATCAACAAATACACATGATTCTAGAGCTATTTGTCAAATAATGATAAAAATGGGAAAGAAGATAGGGAATGCTAGCATAGGCAGTGTGGGATGAGGCACCAGGGGAGTTATAGTCTTAAAAAGGCTGGTGAAAGTCTGTCTCACTGAGAAGGCGACAATTGAGGAAAGACCTGAAATACAGGAGCCAGTGATCCATGTGGTCATCTGGAGGAAGCGAGTAATGGGGAAAAGGAACAGGAAGTGGAAAGGCCAAATATGAATGGTCTGAGGAACATTAAGAAGGGTATGTGGCTCATACAGAGTGAGCAAAGGAGGGAAGTAATCAAGGGTCTTGTAGAGGTAAGAGCTTCTAGATTGTGAATGAGATGAGAGTCATTGGAAGGTTAAAAAATTATCTAATTCCAGTTATTAAAAGATGACTTTTCTTTTTAAGTATCTTAAGTTTTTTTTAAAAAAGCTGTAGATGTAGGGGTCAAAAGAAGGAGTACAATACTATGATTTGAATATGGCTAATGTGTAATGTACAAAACCTGTCATATGACATTTATTGATTTCCACTATCTAGAGAGACAGCCTTGAGTGGAGAGTGAGGAGATGGGAGTAACATGTCAACTATATCAACATTGAAGTGTATAATCATACCAGGCCAACTATGTGTGTGTGTGCCAGTGAGCTATGAAGACCGACTTTAAAAAGAGTGGCAAACAACACTATCTTACACAAACTCTTTCAGAATACAGAAGATACTCCCAGATAATTTTATGTAATCTTGATAACAAAATCTAGCAATAACATTACAAGAAAGAAAACTGCAGACCAATATCTTTAATAACATACTTGAAAAAAATTATTAAGTAAATTGTTAGCAAATCAAATTCAATAATTTATTAAAAGGATTATACATCACAACCAGGGCTGTGTGTATTTAATATTAAAAATCCATAGATATAAGTTGCCTTATTAACAGCAAAAACAAAACAATCATGAACATTTTAACAGATATAGAAAAAGTGATAAAATTGAGTATTTATGGTTAAAAAACAAAAACTTATTAAATTAAATAAATTAAAAATAGAATGGTCCTCTTTTAGTCTAATAAATAGTATCTACAAAAACATCCTACATAAAACATTATATTTAATAATGAATTATTGGAAACTTTTCTCTTGAGAACAGTCATAAGGAAAAGAGGCTGAATATCATCATTCCTTTTCGATATCACACTGGAGACCCTAGTCAGTGAAATAAGACAAGAAAATTAAATAAAAGCCATTTAATTTAGAAAATAAAAAATAAAATTTTGTTGCTATTGGAGGATATGCTTGTGTATAAAGAAGATCCAAAAGAGTCTACAAACTGTAAGAAATGAATTCAACAATATCACTGGGCACAAGGCCAATAGACAAAAATTGTGTATCTATATGCTAGCCACTAGCAACAAACAATCATAAAATTAAAAAATTTAAATAATATAATTTTCAAAAGCATTGAAAGTCAGAAATGTAGAAATCAATCTAATAATTGATGTGCCAGACCTCTGCTTATAGCACCATAAAATATTACTGAGGAAGAGTAAAGAAGACCTAAACATATAAAAGATAAAGCATATTCATGAAATGGATAACTGTTTTAGAGACAAGAGTTCTCTATTTAGTCAGTAGATTCATGACAAACCCAACCAAAATTTCAAAAGGTTGGTTTGTGAAAGTTGACAAGATGATTCTAATATTTATATGGACATACAAAGGTCTAAGAATAGCCAAGATATCTTGAAGAAGAGAAATGAAGGTGGAGAAGTTACACTGTAAGATATCAAAACCAGCCGGGCATGGTGGCTCATGCCTGTAATCCCAGCACTTTGGGAGGCACGGCAGGCAGATCACGAGGTCAGGAGATCGAGACCATCCTGGCTAACACAGTGAAATCCCGTCTCTACTAAAAATATTAGCCAGGCATGGTGGCGTGCACCTGTAGTCCCAGCTACTCAGGAGGCTGAGGCAGGAGAATGGTGTGAACCCAGGAGGCAGAGCTTGTAGTGAGCAGAGATCACGCCACTGCACTCCAGCCTGGGTGACAGAGTAAGACCCTGTCTCAAAACAAATAATAATAATAATAATAAAATAAAGATATCAAAACCATGAAGTTTTGGCATAAAAACAAACAAAAAAAGCAGACAAAAATAACGGAATACAAATTCCAAAAAGAGATTTACACTGAATAGTAATAAAAGTGAAATAAAAATGATGTTACATTGCAGTGGGGATAGACATTGATAATTTTATAAATGATGGGCCAACTGGATATTCATTTGCGGCCCCTTCCTCACACCATACATAAAACCAAATCCAGTATGATTATAGATATAAGTAGGACAGGTAAAAATAAATTTAAAATAAATAAATAAGCTTTGAGAAGAAAATATAAGAGAACATCATAATGAGTTGGGTTAGCAAAATTTTCTTATATAGGATACAAAAATAGGAAGTCAAAGTGGACAACGTTAGAATTGAGAACTTTAAATGATCAAAAAATACTCCTAAGGAAGATAAAACAACAACCCACAAGATGGTAATAGTTATTTTCAATACATATACCCAACAAGGGAGTCCTATTCAGAACATATAAAGATCTTCTACAAATCAATAAAATAGAAATAATCATTTTGTTAAATGTAGAAAAACTTAAACATGCATGTCCCAAAATAAAATGACAAACTGAAACATGTTCAATTTTGATGACAGTCATCAGACAAATGCAAATTCAAACCACAGTTAATACAGCTGTACAAACTAAGAATGGTTAAAATAAAAACGACTGTCAGTACCAAGTATTGGAGAGTTGGCATCATCTAGAACTTTCATACAATGTTAGTATAATTGTAAACTGGTGAAAACACTTTGGAAAACTGTTTAGAATAATTAACTAAAACTGAATATACATAGCTAATGACTCAGTAATTTTTGTGGCAGTGCTATTCAGACTATCTCTATAAATTGAAAGTAATCCCAAAGCCTATCAACTGTAGAATGAATAAATTATGAAGTATTAATAAAATGAAATACTGTACTCCAATGAGAATAAATGAACTGGAGCCGTATGCAACATTATGCATATCTCACCAACACAATGCTGACCAAAAAATCTACACATAGGAGTACACACTCTGTGGTCCCACTCGTATAAAGTTCAAAAGTAGACAAATCTACCCTATGGTATTAGAAATCAGATAATGATTATTTGCAGAAAAGAGGTCACAAGGAAGGCTCCTGAGTTCCTGAAGATATTCTGTTTCTGAATCCAGGTACTTGTTATTTAGACGTGTAGACTATTAAACTTCATTGAGCTGGTATATTCATGATCTGTACACTTTTCTATGGGTATGTAACACTTAAATATTATTACAAAAATACCATGTACTTGAGGAAACTAGAGAAAAAAGGTTAAAAATGAATTTTTTATTTTCAAACTCTAATAAATAGAAAATAAAAATTTTAAGCAAATTTTTAAAAACTTAACAGCAGAGCCCCACACATAAAATGTACCAGAAAGAAAGAATTCAGTAAGAAAAGTCAGAGCAGATCCAGTCCTGATTGTAAGTAGTGAGTAAAGCCCAGTACAGTAGGTTCAAAGAAACCTGTTCTATATTAACTCCCTGGCTGTGATATATCCCTTGTATTAGTCTGCTCCGGCTACCATTACAAAATATCACAGACTGGGTGGCTTAAACAACAGAAATTTATTTCTCACAGTTCTGTGGGCTGGAGGTCCAATATCAAATTGTCAACAGGTTTGTTTTCTTCAGAGGTTTCTCTCTTTGGCTTGCTGAAGGCCTCCTCCTCCTGAGTCCTCACATGGTTTTTCCTGTGTGTGTGTACATCACAGGTGTCTGTGTGTCCAAATTTCCTTTGTTTTACAAGGGCACCAGTCAGATTGGGTCAGGGCCCACCATAATAGCTTAATCTCCTCTTCAAAGGCCCTATCTCCAAATATCGTCACATTCTGAAGTAGTTAGGGGTTAGGGCTTTCATGTTTGAATTGTGGAAGGGGCCACAATTGAGCCCAATCACCCCATTGAAGTTGGAAAAATAGTTAATAATGGGACTAGAAAGAGCTACTGCAATCTACTCTATATTTTGGGGGCTCCAGGTACATCACACTATGGGACTTCCTTCTGAGCATTATACATAGAGATAAAGCACTCCCCTCCCCCTCTTTAAAACTGACTTTGGCACTATAGTGATTTGGTGAGAATTGAAAGCATCAAAGATCAGCAGAGACAGTAGTAACATGACCTTATTGAGGGGTTTTGATCACAGGAGTTTTGAGAGGAAAAAAAGGACAGTCGGAAAAAGTTCCACACAGAACATGAATCTTGAATTGTGCGACTGGGGAAAGTTGGATTGGGCCAGGACAGAACGGACAGTATTATAGGATACAGGTAAAAATAGGAGGAGGAGGAGAGGAGTGTGAGCAAAAATTAGTGTGTGTTTAATATCATGCTCTGGACAATTAAATTAAAACTATTTGTGGAGTTTAATGATTGTTCTTCAGTGACACCTTGGACAATATTTTTTACTATATTAAATATTTGTTGAACAATGAATATTTGTTGAATAAATGAATTGAGCCATGAACATGTTAGTAATTAATTTTTGTTGCCAACAAATATCGGTAATAATTCTCAGGCTGTTGTTTATGTTCCTTGATTGGACATCATTCAAAAAGATCATTATTTTTCTGTCCCAATTGAAGAACTGTAAATAGGGTTTGACTAGCAATTTAGCATTTAGAAGACAGTTAATGAGAAAAGTTAACTACTACCAGAAATACAATGTACAGAACACAGAAGCTCTAACCAGATCAGTTCATATAAAACTAGAAATTGTCCCCTGGAGCTACTTTATATTTTCCAGTGTCCCATTTCCTTATTCCATGTCCGTATCTCTTTCCTTCTATTTCTGCTCCTTTCCTATCTGTACTGCCAATTACTTTCTTCTTCATTTTATATCTCTCATTGAGTGTCCTCATTGCTGTGGGGAGGGACATTTCTTCTTTCACTATTTCTTCCCCTTCCCTGGCTCTTTTCCTTTCTTTACTATTTTTCTACTTCATCATTTTTCAAAATCCACACCTTTTCCTATTTAAATCAGTCATTTGAAATCAAGTGTATTTAAAAACCACTGTGCTATGTTTGTCAAATATAATTTTAAAACCAGTCCAAATATCACTTCATATGACCGATATGGTTAGGCTTTGTGTCTTCACCCAAATCTCATCCTGAATTGTAATTCCCATAATCCTTACGTGTCAAGGGAGATACCAGGTGGAGGTAATTGAATCATGGGGGTAGTTTCCCCCATGCTGTTCTCACGATAGTGAGTGAGTTCTCACGAGATCTGCTGGTTTCTAAGTTCTTCAGCCAGTCTCTCTACTCCCACCTTGTGAAGACGGTGCCTGTCTCCACTTCGACTTCCACCATGATTGTAAGTTTCCTGAGGCCTCCCCAGCCATATCAAACCGTGGGTCAATTAAACCTCTTTTTGTTATAAATTACCCAGTCTTGGAAGGTTCTTTATAACAGTGTGATAATGGACTAATGCAATGACTCTAAGGGAAAGTACAAATCAGTTGTATTCCAATGGCAGAGGAAGGGCCTCCTCAATGTCTTAGAGTTTCTTCAGGAAATTCCCTGACCCCTAGATTGAGTTAACATTCTCTCCTCGCCTAGTATGTCCTTGAAAACATAATAAAATTCAACTATTGCTACTTTTGTTACACTGAATGACTTTTGTTTGGAAATGTCTAAAATCTGTGAAGTCAGAGATTAGTCAGTTTTGTCCATCCTGTAAGCCCTAGCACCTATGAGTGCCTGGAACATTCATTATTAAATGAATAAAGTAATGAGTAAAAAGTTTCAGTCTATTCTTGTTTTTATCTTGTCAAAAATAACTCTTCTTCCTCAGTCCATGTAAGCCATCTAAAACTTTTCTACTCATTCCACAGTTGCCTGAAAATGTGAAGATCAGAAATGGACTGAGGCAAAAGTGATAATGAAGACATTCTCATAGGCGTTGGGTTCCGAGATCAATTCCTTAAATTTTAAAAGATTCTTGCTATGATCTCATCTTTAATCCATAATGTGCTATTCATTTCTCTATTTTTCCTTGATGCTCCAGAAGTATATTCTTTAACGTGGCTTTACACACCAAAGTAGACTAGATTTTCTGCCTGTTAATGATGATGGGCTTCTTACTTACAGTATAGTACTGAGTTGTGTTTCTTATTCCCATCCCGCAATGTGTGTATGTGTGTGTTTCCTGATAATACAGGTAAAGCACTGATAAATGAAGATAAATTGTTGGCTTTGTTCCAAAACAAGCTTATTGTTCTAGGACCCCAAACTGTCTCAAACATCATTAAGAAGCAGCAGGCCACCTAAGGTTGTGCATCAATTAGCAATTAGGTCACACATTGGGTGGTTGCAGGCACTCAGCCTTTGGCCTTGTTCCTCGCAGCACACTCAAGCAGGGCACCAGTATCCAAACAATGCCCACCCTGTTGTATCTTGTTCCTTAATTGGGACAACTTAGAGATGCTAATGTGCACAGGCAGACTCTGTCCTCCAATTAGGCCTCATTAGTGACTCCGACAGTGGTGACCACTGCAAAGTGATATTTGCTCTTGGGAAGGCTTTGTGAGGTATTCTGAGTTCCTGCAGGGGAGAAACAAGGCTGCATTTTACACTCTGCCCAGCAGCCAGCTCCTTCTCTCAATTTTCTACAGCTGCTGTCAGTTGGGGCTGGCTTTACCTTCCATGGCTCAGATACTATACCATGACTCCTGCTACCTGGGGTGGTCGTTTGGACATTCTTACAGATAGCCACATATAGAGGACTGGTTTCTGTCTCCCACTTTGGCCCTATCTCTCCCCTTTCTCTAATTTTATTTGAAATACAGAAAATGTTTTCAGAGACAGGCCTGTGGCACTGAAAGTTAATACCACCCTGAATTCTGTAGTGTCCCACAGTAATTTTCATCTAAAAGGCAACAAATTGAAAGTAATAAACTTGAGAAATGCACAAGAAATAAAGAATGCAGTTATTTTTAATTTTTAAAACATGTTTCAAGGATACTTCAAAAAAACAAATTGAGAAGGCTGCTGTTGACTCTTCACAGTGAGAAAGTGGTTGTTGTTCTAACTAAATTGTGAGAAAGGCACATATCCACACTAACAGAGCACTTTTTGTAGATATTCTAGTCTGTGTACACTTAGTTTCAAAGGAGACACAATGTAATGCATCATTACGCTTCCTAACACAAATCCATCTGGGTTATACCACGGTTAGAATTTACCCCCACAGTTCTGGTGGAAAGAGCTCCTCCTTAGGCCAGGCTGGCATGGCAACATTTTCTTACATTGGGATGGGGCAGGACTGGAGGAATGTGATTAGAGCCTACTGCTGCTATTCTCTCTGTTCACTCAAAAGTCATAATCTTTGCCTTAATATTTTTATATTTTTTTCTTAAGCATTGAGGGAGTTGAATAAATGTACTTTAATAAACAAGACTGGGGACAAATTGGGTGATCCATAATAGGGGACATTCAAAAATGGCAGATCTGAGTGTCATTTGCTTGTAATTGCTTTTCAAATTAGTTTGTTGTTTTTGTTTCATTTTTTTTGTTATCATCCACATTCCAACAGCTGCCTAAACTACTGGCATTGCAGGATGTATCAAGACATTTGCCATCTAAAGAGCCATTAGGAGAATAATAAGGGTAGGACTTTGTTGGCCATTTCCATCATGTGATTTTTTTTCCCCTAGTTACTTGCATCCTTCTTCCTGCCCCCTTGACTTGTATGAGCAGTTGCTGCAGAGATGGCAGGATGTCAATGCCCCCAAAATTGAACCTGTGATTTGTTTTTCTTTGATTTATGTGCTTGTAGTCAATAAACTTTATAAAGGAAAGTATCAGACTGAACAATCAATCAAAGATAAACAGATTCCTGTCCTTTAAAAGCATTTCAGCCCAGTAGGTGAGTCTCATTCATCTTTTGCAGGCATGCTTTCGGCCTTTCCATTGAGACACAACCGACTGCTCACTACAGGCAGCTTTTCTACCAAAGGGCTGCTGCAGTTGAGCTGAGATTTATCAATTTCATGGCACCAGTGGTCCTGACATGGTATCATTTTCAGGATCTAAATGGTTAAGCATGCTGTTTGTATGCTGAGACCTGGGCTTTCCATAGACCTGAAAAGAGAGAAAGGTGACTAGTTTTAAACACTTTATACTGTATAATTCTATAAAAATTCATATTGTCCATTTTTTTTCTATTCTAAAAAGCCAAATCCCTTCCCTGCGAAGGAGAATTCCCTCTTCGTTCTATTAGTGGTTTCTGAATCTGCCTTCGAATAAGGCAAATGTCATCCTGCGTGTTTTGCTTCTCTGCAGCACAGATGGTGTGCATATGCAGATTGGTGATTTTCTAATCAATACAGTGGCACTTGGGAATATCTGTAAGTATTGTAATAATGCATTAGTCAGGAGTGATGTTGTAACACACTGAGATCATACACATAAATCTAAGACACCATGTCTAGACACTCCAGGGAAGATGGTATGGCATGGGTTAGAGCAGGCATTAAAGGAGGGCAATATTTCAAATATGATGGGAAAATAATGCAATTTGCAGACTTTAATAAAACCATTGGGGAATTAATTTCAGTAGGGGCACATTCTCTCCCCAAACATTCGCGTTCTTATGTTTGCTTCATGGACATTTGTAATGAGATACTTTTCACCTGTTATCTCAGGCATAAACACAGAACGGGATCTGTGAATTGAGCTGGTTTTTTATGTGCTGAATATGAAAATAATCCCTTCATAGGTAGTTCTTTAGCTGTACAAAAGTGCATTATGCAAACAACACATAGACAGAATAAACCTTGGAGATTCAGAGTCAGAAGAGCTTATAAATTAATCTCCTAAGTACACCTTGAGCATGCTTAGAGAGTACGTTCAGTCATAAAAACTTGACCAACTGAACCTGCAAAGTTTTAATAGGGGTGAGTTTGATGATGAAAAATGAAAATGATGTTAAATGTATGCCCATTTTAACACTGCCCAAAAGTTTCAGACTGGTTTCACTCTCTGCTGGCTCCAATGCCATTTGCTGTCTAGCCCTTCGTTTTTAATCAACCAAGCTTTCCTTAAATTCTGCAGGCTAAAAACTGTCCCAAAGTTAGGTATTCATTCTGACACAAATGCTTTGATAAAAATGTTAAATTAAATGTAGCCAGAAATGAAACCTGGATTTCCTCGCAGAAAACAGATATAGAATGTATGGCTTCCTCCGTCAGTCCCTTTCCCAGTAAGTTTCAAGCATTTACACAACAGGCTCCTGGTCCAACAGACCGCTTAGTCTGTCTTCTGGTTGTCATTTTAGTCCACCTCTGCCTAACTGAAGTCTCCTCAAGTCTCAGGCCAGCTCTGTGCTTCCAACACTCTGGAGGCTTTTCAATTAAAATGTGAGAGAAGCAAAGGCTAGATGGAATCAACCCAATTATCTTTGTAGCCATAGAAATGCACATGATAAATGAACTCCCACCTTTTCCTTTCTGATGACAACTTGAGCTCTGAATAGAGGTGTGATTTATTTTTTTCATTTTTTGGTGAGTGTGAGAAAGAATGCGGTTTTCTATAGTGTAGAGTGAAACACCACTTACTTGGCAAAATATCTCAAGGCATAACGCTTCCAGCACCTGAACAATTTGGTTCCATGAAGGCTTAAGCTTAGATATATTTTTTTTTCCTCGGACTGCTGGTCCAGAGGGGAAATACATTGCAGCATCTCATTTGTCGATGTCTTTTCTTACAATTGTAGTGATTCATTTCCTATTTTGATTTTTAAATTTGTGTTTCTAGATATTTTGCTCTGCATCTTTCCTTCAAATGTTGCTTTTAAAGGGGGAATAAGTACACACACCGAAATTTATTTAACTGTTTAAGCCCTTGACCGACTTCCCTGTTGGTGGAAGTTCATTTGATCTGCATTACTAACACTGGACACACATTTTGAGAGAAAGGATAGGAAGCTCAGCAAGAGTAAAGATCAATCCACAATTTTCCATATCCCTCAGTTCTTAGATCATTGACACACACCCAGTGGTCACTTTGTAAATGCGTTTGTTTCAGGAAATGACCATGGACAGCCTCAAGAGCAGTAGCGTCCACTTAAAACAAGAAATAATTGCCTTCCCTTTCAAATTGAGGAAATACATAATATTTCAGTCCTATATTTCTTCTAGAGGTCTTATTCTACTCCATTATTTTCTTTTTAACTTCAACAATCTTTTTTGCCAAATGCAGAGTACATGAGTCAGTGTGTCCCTTTTTCTTCATTAGCCTGCCTACAGTTTGCAATATTGCTGGAGTTTATTCCAGCTGAAGTTTTAGTCACATAATAATCAAAACTTAAGCTGCATATTCCTTTTAAGTTTTATCCCTGTCCTATTCTAGGGTCATTTTAATTTATTAGTTAGAAGTTTAAACATTTAATGACAGCTATCAAAGTATATGTTTAAGAATATGTCCCTGCAAATACTAACAAACTCTTTTATTTGACTCACTTTTAATAATCCAATCCATGAAAATCTGATTACCCAATGTCAGTTTCTCCTGACTCCATAAAAATTTGAAATGATAATGTAACCACAGAGATAATGTATATTCACTTTTGTTTAGCACTTTATAGTTTACAAAATGCATTTGGGAATATGAGAAAGAGTCTTGGTTGGGGATGAAGGAGAGAAACAGCAGTGATTATCAAATAGCATTTATGCATGATACTTCTAATGGGACCATGCTCTGGGCCCCAGCTTGGAGAGGGAGGATGAGAGATCTTTGTGAAGGGTTGAGAATCGCATTATGAGAAGGAAGAGATCTTGAAAAAGAAACTTCCCCTCTGGGTTGGGGGCCAGTGAGGAAATTGTAACCATTTCAAGCAGATCACAAAAATAGAGAGTTCCTTATACTGTAGGCAAACAGAAAAAAAAAATTATTTTTCACGGGACAAAATTTATTTCTACATTTAAAACTAGATGCATTATTGTGGGTAGTTGATCCCCAAACGCATCAAAGCTGCTTGACTTACATAATGACAACCTTTGAAGATTACACTTAACTATCTTTCTCAGCATAGGAAGATTAGTGTGATAAAAGTACAAAGGGAACAAAATAAACAAAAGACCCTGATTATTTTGGCTTAAGGCTTTGTCCCTGTTAAAATGCAAATGTCTCTATGGAAGATAACAGTTTATTAGTCATTTACACTTCAATAATAATGATATTATCAGATTCTCACCAGACAGATTTTAATCCACGTCTTAAGAGACCAATGACAGAGGGTACCTCAGAAGAATGAAGAGTGTGTCAACTAATTGGGGAGGGTGGGTAGGAAGCCCAGGCAGGGGAGTTATAATAACAGGAAGCTGAATAAACTGAAAATTTGATTCTTTGCTTACCAATTATGCCCTGAGCTACCCTGCTTTTGCCATTGCATCCCCAGAAGTTGAGACTACAACACAGGTACTTCTAAAATAAATCTTTCTTTGTATACACTCCACTAAATTCAAAACTGAAAAAAAGCACTAAGAGCTATTTTCCCAGCGTGGGACAATATGCACAGAAGGTATTGAGTCACACAGTGAAAATACAGATTTCCCATCTTGTGGTGCTTAACAGGAATGCTGGGTTCCCTCTGTCTCCTAGTTCTTATTTACCTCCTGTTTTCTTCAGAAGAGCAATGCATCATCAGATGGCAGATTACTGATTAGATCAGTCTTAGACTCAGGAATATCCACACTAGGCCCTCTATATACAGAATCTGCCATTTCAAAGTCTATGTCTTTCTCTCCCCACCCCCAAATCATTTTAAACAACTGACAATATAAAATGCTTAGAACAATGCTGAAATTCACTTGAATTACTCACAAAATGTCTCTATGTTGTTTTTCTGTTTTTATGCAACTCCCTTTTTTCACTAATTATGTATGCTAAATAAAAGGACAATTTTCTCCTTTATTTCTTTTCTAATATTTTGGAAGAGATAATGATTGTATACTATTCTATATCAATAATGCCACGCAAAAAGAAAATGTCATTCAAAAGTATCTGTGTGAAATTAAATTGCCTAAACAGCTTGGTGAAGTGGATGTACAATGGACTTGTAAACCAAATCCGACCTAGTGCAGCTTCCTCTCCTGTAAGATAAAGGGGTTGAGCTCTCAGCAACAACAAACTGATTCCCTCTTGCAGGTCAACTCAGACCAATTGCTAGTGCTACCTGAACTCCTGTGTCTTTTTGGGTTGGTTTGTTTTTGTTTTTGAGATGGGGTCTTGCTCTGTCTCCCAGCCTGGAGTTCAGTGGTGTGATCATGCTCACTGCAGCCTTGAACTCCTGGGCTGTAGCCATCCTCCCACCTCACCTTCCTGAGTAGCTACAGGCACATCCCCCACACCCAGCTAGTTTTTAAATTTTATGTAGAGACAGGTTCTCATTATGTTGCCCAGGTTTGCACTGCTGTTTTAAAATGGACTGTGATTCTCAGTCTGTGCTCTGCAGAAAAAAATTTCCATTATTCAGCAACATCTGCCAGAGGCAAGGACCTGGACCAGCAGGACCTGGACCAGATTCTGCCACCCTAGAATGAGATGATGTTAAAATGCTCCTTTGAGTTTTGGAATCTTAATTCTCAGCCACAGAATAATTTGCATGTATTATACACACACACACACACACACACACACACACACACACAAAACTGAAAATTATCAATACTTTATATTTTAAGGAAAGCTGAAAATTATCAAGACTTATTTATATATTCAAAGTAAAATGAGTAATAATGGGATCAGGTGAGGTTTACTGTGGCCTGTAGCACCTAGTTTATTTTTATGTATTTTTAAATATCTGCAAGTTTTGCCCCATCATCTAAAACAAACATTTTGCCAATTCCTAGTGCTTGAAATCAATAGCCACATAGTTCATTTCTATTTCTATGTGCTGATAGCACTTTGATGAAGTAATTCCACTCAAATAAAGATATTTATGAAGTTTTGGATAAACTCATGTGTTTTCAGATGAGCCATACTTTTCGCCTATATATTCACACCTATCGTCAGCAATTGTGACAACCAGTGTGTAAGTTCATTTTATACCAGCCCATTCAAATGTGTGATTGGTATTAAATTAGGAAATCCCATGTGATCACACCATATCACAAGTTGGGAATGACTTTGTGTTTGAGAGCTTAATTATCATTTTGTCACTTTTTAAAAGAAAAATAAATCTTAATCAGCAATATACCCTGTAAATAACGTTGTTCTCTTCACACTGAAAACCATTTAATTCCCCATTATCTCACTTCATTAGCCAAATGTCCTGTTTAGGCAAACTCTGAATAAGAAGCATATTATAATGAAGTAGGAAAATAATATTTAGAAACAGCCTTGAACAGAAAAGAAAAACCCAGCAAAACAGAAGTCCATGTAGATCTATGTATTTATCATACTCCAGGCTATTTCAGGAATCTAATTCTATTATGATTGACCTTGGAAATGCGAACAATTTTCACCCGTTGTACTAAGTAAATAATGAATTCTTGCAGACACAAAAGAATAAAGAAAGTTAGCAATTAGTTTTTTATGAAAGAATTTGAATATATGTAAGACTTTGGGCCAAACAAAGAAGGCTGTGGGAACCAGGAAAATCCTGTGTGTCACCAGCTCATCTCTCTATCTACCGTCACCCTTTCCTCTAGAAAAATATCCTTTGACGTGCAGTGAAACATGAACAAGGAGTGCATTTAATTGGAAAAATTGTTACAAAGAAGAGCCAGCTAATGAGTGTGTAAAGAAGGAAGGTGGCCCCCAAGGAGGAGGGGTGGAAGATGCCATGGGCCACAGGCAAACATGAACCCTTCAGAAATGGGTTAGCCTCTGCTAGCAAACTACTTTCTTCTCCCACTCAGATTTGCTTTCTCAGTCACTGCTCGCTCACCAGTATCAAGAGACTTGCCCTAAAATAATGAGACCTAAGGCAATCACTCTAACAGAAATGACCCCTCACTGTCAAACTAAAGTGGTCCCCTCAACTAGAACAGAGTTTCAGGAACTGCTGTTCCCTTGACAGCTCAGAGAATGAGAGGGTATAGATGTCAAGCGGCCATTCCCGCTCCTGCTACTTCTTAACACTAGTGGAAGGAGTTATTGTAGCTCCTTTATAGAGATGAAAGCAACCCCACCCCAATGTGTGCACACGCACACACACTTATACACACATAGTATAAATGAGTGATATCTTTTGATATGGCTCCTCTTTTCCAGGCCTATCTCCAAGGGAGGATGATGCCTCTTACCCCAATAATACTAGTTTAATCATGTGCGTTGTTTGGCCAATGAGTGAGAAGAGTGGAAGTGTCAAATGCCACTTTTTTTTTTGAGACAGGGTCTCACTCTGTCACCCAGGCTGGAGTGCAGTGGCACTATCTCGACTCACTGCAGCCTCTACCTCCCAGGTTTAAGTGATTCTCATGCCTCAGCCTCCCAAGTAACTGGGATTACAGGCGTGCCACCATGCCTGGCTAATTTTTGTAATTTTTGTTAGAGATGGGATTTCACCATGTTGGCCAGGCTGGTCTCAAACTCCTGACCTCAAGTGACCTGCCCACCTTGGCCTCCCTAAAGTGCTGGGATTACAGGCAAGAGCCACTGCACCCACCAAATGACACTTCTGAGTAAAAGGCGTAAAAACCTTCATGAGGTCACATTTTTCATCTTTCATGAATCTGGCAAACGGTTGCCAGGAAAAAAAAATACAGGGCACATGATTAAATCAGAATCAGATAAACAACAAATATTTTTTGGCATAAGTCTATCCCAAATATTGCAACGGCCATATTTCTGTACCCAAAAATCGTTCACTATTTATCTCAAATCCAAATTTAATTGGATGTTTTGTATTTTCATTTGCTAAATTTTGCAATCCAAGTTTGGCAGGATCCCAGATAATAGCTGCTGTATTGGCCAGTGTTCTAGAATAAAGAGAAAGTAAACAGGGCTTCAGCAGACCTACAGCCAACCTAAAATGTGATCAAGCCATTTAGAGTTGAGGGTCATTTGTTTCTGTAGTAAAATCTAGAAAAAGCTTACTGATAAAACTATCATTTTTCTTCATTAAGATTCTATTAAAGCCCATAGTAGGAGAAGTTAGGGAACACTCCTCTTTGGTACTAGTTTGAGTCTCTTCTACGTCCACTCTTCACATCAGTTTCTATGTCCTCTGCTCATCTACATTGGTCTAGTTCCATGTTGTTCAATGTTGCTTTGATCATTCCTTTTATTATCAGAGCCCCTCTGTTAATGACAGCTCTCAGTCTTCCAGCCTGCAACTAATGTGGCTTTAGCCTCCTTGGTACAGAGGTTTTTTCCCTGACTATACAAATTTCATCGGTAGTGTTTTTAATACTTTGCTTGTGTCAGTCAGTCCCTAGATGCCACTGCAGGAATTGGGTGCAAATTCTGCACTGCACCATCAAGTGCCTGTCACCTCTATAGACATACTTACTTTAAAATGTATTCTGGTTGTACAACAGTGGTTTAACATTCCAGAAGTGCTTACTGGATCCCTCTCGACTGAGAGTCAGGTATTGGCTTTACTGTGATGAACAACGCAGATGGGATAATTGGCCTCATGGAGTTTACAGTCTACAAGGGGAGGGGATGCACAGACTTTACTTGATTTTTAAAAAATAAGTATATTACAGGATTTGTATGTTTTCTCCTCTTTCACCGTCATCCCTTCCAATTTACTCATGAGCTCTTTTCCTTTAAGTTATATTTCTGTTTTTCATTATCAAATGTCCCTATATCAGCAGCAGTTGGTGGTTAAAACTTTTTTATCTTCTGCCAATGTGAGCTTTTTAATTTAACTTTTTAATGCTCCTTTAAACAAAATTTATAATTGGTTCCCTTAGGGAATATGCTATATTTTACTCTTGTATGTGTTAATTCAAATAAAATACACTCTACCAAATGCTCACTTTCAGTGGATTCGGGGAAGGGAGGAAGTGTTGTAAAAAGAAAGGCATGGTCTCTGCCCTCAGAGAGCTTAGGTATAATTTCCCAGCAGGAATTAAAACCAAGACCACTGAAATAGTTGACTAATTATATATGGTACAAGTAGTAAATGTTAAAGAAGTGGTTAAAATAACACGAGTTCTAAGATTTCAGAGAATGGAGATCCTTCTGTAGACTCAAGAACTCAAGAGGTAGAAACTAAAAAATGTGGCCCAGAAGAATGACAAATAAGAGTTTTATTGGGCATAGGGGAAGAGGCAGTCCTCTCAGTCAGGAAGCATGGCAAAAGAACTTAGCTGAGAACAGGTAGGGAGGAATTGTGTAGAAATGATGGCAAGTACTGCCACAGGTAGCTTAGGGGCTTCTGTTAAGAGACTTTGAACCCCAGACTCAAGAGTTTGCACTCTAATGATAATAGGATACAAGTAAATGTTTTGAACCAGATAATGACATGGCGAACTCTAATTTGCTTCTTCTTAATTATGCTGCTACTGTAGCCTTCATTTTTTGTAAGACAGAATCTAAACTTATATAGGCCTAGCTTTTAGCGTGTGTGTGCGTGTGCATCTGTGTTTGTATATGTGACTGTTTATTCATGGCCTTTAGACTGGTTTCTATTCAAAACTACAACATTTTCCTCTAATGGACTTGCAGGAGGCAAAATGTATTCATGATACATATTTTAGTTACAGGTGGCAGGAATTCAGCTTGAAAAGCTTTACTGAAATAGGAAAATTTATTGGGAGAATAATGAGATATCCCCGAGAATCCAGGGGAAATCTAAGCTATGGAAATGTCAATGATACAATTGGGCTCAGGAACTATCCGGGAATAGAAGAATGTCAGGATTCTCTTTATCTCTAGTCATTGTACCTTTTTATTCATCTGCTCCATTTTTCTTTCTCCTTGTGTAAATCAGTTGATTTACATTCTATGGCACAAAATTAATGTGAGGAACTCTCAGATTAATTTACAGTTAACAACTTTAGTTTCAGGAGACAATGCCAGAACTCTCACTCTAAAATTCACAATCTCAGAGAAGGGGTTCAGTGGCCCAGATTGATTCAGGTTCTAACTTCTTAGAAGTCAACTGTGACCCTCTGTGAGGCAGAGTCATATTGTATAAAATCATTGCTCCTATGTTAAAAATGTGAATGCCAAGGGGAGATATTTCTAGAAAAGTTGAGGATGGACCACCAGAGAAGAAATGTGTCTTACACACAGAAGTGACCATCTCAACCATCTTTTAATAAGGGAATATATAATTTTTACTAGAAGGGCACTTATTACACATGAATGCTAAATCGCCATCCAAAGCTTAGGCCACACTGAGGCCGTTTAGATAGGGTCTCAGAGCCTCATTGTTTCCTATATTTCTGCTCTATTATCTTACAAGTAAGTGTCTGGGTTCCATCTTTAACAGGAAGACAGAAAATGGCAACCTAGAAGATAGAACCCTGATGGAGAGGTGACTTGTGAATAAATATCCCTGAATAAATATTGGTCTCGGCCAATAGTTTCTACATTGCTGGAAGGTTCCTCCCAAAACTGCCTTAGCCAAGGGTTCATTGGTCAGCTTGAGCATGTGATACAATGATTTATTTAATTGAAAGCAAGCAGAAACAGATGGGGACATCAGCTGCTACTGCACATTGGTTGCTACCACTGGAAAAATTGGTTGCTGTAACAAGCACACATGGGGAAAGAACAAAGTGTTGAGATTATCACAAATGGGATTATAAAGGTTAATACATGTGTATAGTTATTACTTTTCAAGCTATCACTAAGATTCATCTTTGAACTGGAAATCAGGATAAACATCTTAGAAATTTGAAATGGCAAGTGTGAAGTTTCTGTATTTACCTATTTGCATGTATGTGTGCTCTTGCATTAAGCCTCTTAGTTTACTGCAATATGCATTTCAACTGAAAAATAAACTCATAGAAGCAGGAAGCTCGTTTAAAATTTTTTTGGCTACAAATCCTCCTCTCCCCACCACTTCTACCCATCTTTTGTGTCTAAAGCATTAACTGGACCCAGGAATTGTTCAATGAATATTTACTTATTGGTGGATTTATGACATAAATATTTTAGTAAGAATCCTCAGATGGTGATATGCAAAGTGAGTTGGGTAGTAGATGGAGAAAAGACTAAATATGGCAAAACACATTTGTCTCAGCTTACTAGTCTGTAGACATACTGATAAGGATCTCTACAGTCCGATGGCAATGGAGCTGAAAAGAAATAATTGTTTTTCAAAAAGACAATGAATAAAAGGAATAATGGGATTTAGAAATTGTTTGGCTATTGTGTGTTCAGAAAAAAAATTAGTAAAAGGCAATGTGAATTTTTAAACTAGGAGAATAATAGAGTTAGGGAAAACTAGAGGGAGATTTGAAGGAAGAATAAGTTTTAGGAGATTCAGAAATATTTAAGTGGAAATACCTAATCATATTTTATTATTATGACATAACATTTTCCAAAAGAAAGTGCCAAGATGCTTTAAAATGGATCTCAAGATGAACATGCCTACTGCTAAATAAAAGCTGATGTCTGGAAAATTATTATCTGAGATGATAATGCCATAAGATTTGATTCTTAAAAATTTGAAGCAAATTTTAACTAGACTATTACCATGCTTTAAATTACGTATATGAATGGGGCTGGAAAACATTCAATGAAAAACTTCAGTAAACTGCCATACTAAATAGACCTATACTTTGATATAGAAAAGAGAATCTGGATTTGGATTTCAAAGATTTGGATTCTTATCTCACCACTGCCACTAACTAGCTATGTAATGTTGGATAAGTCAGATACGCTGACTAGACTCAGTGGCCACCAGTAAAAAGACAATGTTTGTATAGATGTTCTCCAAGATGCCTTCCAGCTCTGAAATTCTCAGATTCTACTCTCTGTATGGACTTGCAGACTTGACTTTCAAAGATGCTGTTCTGTGTTTTCACTTAATACAAGGCTAGTGATTCTGTTTGACACCCAGAGGTCTTATGGAACTAGGACTCAATTCATAAGAATGAACACATTTGATGAGATGATGCAGTAATTGTGTTTTTTGTTTTGTTTTGTCTACAGTAATTCACAATGGCTACCTCAATTTAACCAGTCCCTCGTGGTTATAGTAATCGATGATTTTGCAATATTTTTTGATTCTTTACTTACATATATTATAAGAATGTATCTTGGTATGAAAGTTTTGTCACCAATGGAACACTTGGCAATCTCGGGAGACACTTTCTGTTGTCACATCTACTAGGGTGGTATTACTGGCATTTTGTGGTCAGAGATCTGAAATGCTGTTAAACATTCTTCAATGCACAGGACAATTCCTCTCTCTTCTAACAAAGAATTCTCCGCTCAAGATATCAATAGTGTCGAGTTTGAAAAACAATTTTCCTTCCTCACCTTTCTTAAGTCCATAACAAATTAGCCTTAAAAACACCATACAATATAGCCATTTCATTACTGTCCTGCTCACTTAGTCTTCTCACATGTCCATCCTTGCAAAGTTGAATGGAGGGCACATGACCCTAGTTCTCCTGATTTCTGTGGGGAGAGGGGAGGAAAAAATGAGAACTGACTCTGCAGGATGACCTTAGAGTTGGATCTAAACTCACAAACTAAGTGATTAAGTTTTCAAAAGGAATTCAGAGTCAGTAAAACAACAGGCTTTATTTTTTCTCCCTACTGTATTTTTCACGTTTGAGCAGGCAATTTTGGTGAATAGAAACTAAGACTTACAGGGGAAGCTAATGAGTTTATTCAGGAAGCACAATGTGAAATTAGTGACACAGTTTTGAAAAATTAACTCTCTCAGACAAAGCTTGTAAAAATTGATTAACAAGCTAGTAGTGGCTATTGACAGGACATGCTTTCACATCTTTTAGAAAACAACTTTCAATTATTATGAAAGTATATACGTATTTGGAATTAACACACATTTATGTACTTAAGTGTTCTTTTTTCTCCTAATGTTCCATTTTCAGTTTCTGCAAATTTGTTCGCAATTATATGATCTGGAAAATAGGACTATGCAGAAGCAAACCTGGGCTGGTGATAAAGTGATCTGTGTCACCTGGCTCTATTAGTCTTTTCTTTTCTTCCCTTTTTGTTATTATTTATTGGCATTTCGCCTGCAGCAAAACATAAGTTTTAAATGTGGACTTTATGGTGTGTGTGAGTCAGTGTAGAGAGGGTAAAGTATTTCAAGAGCAGTACAAAATATAAGAACTCTTGAATTTTAATTTTAAGCAGTTTAACATAGGTATGTAATGAAGGTTTATTTATTGAATTTGAAAAATTAATATCTTACAGCCTTGAGTGTATTTTGCTTTGTCTGCCCCTGGGTTTGTACATATTGGTGTTTTATTCTTCCTTTTTAATATTTCAACAGGTGAGGGTGGCAAGAAGGCTGATGATGCTGTTTTACACCTAGAGGTCTTATGGAACCAGGACTGCATTTGTACGCGGAACAAACAACTTTGGGGGATGGTTTAGTAATTGCCTTTGGTAGGGCTTGTCTCACATTCATTAAAAACTCCAGGCAAGGCTGCTTCCTTGATCTTTATTTCTTTTCAGTTGCCAAGCAAACAAACAAAACTCCCTTCCTGATAGTTACTTAGTTATCTAACCTAGAATGTCTTTGACTAAAGTCAACATTTAGAGGTTAGAGGTTGGCAGACATTTGGGTAATTGCTGCAATGGGTAACTAGTCTGCTTTTCTTGTTTTTAAAAACATTTGAGATACTATAGAATTTTAACCTTATATCACATTAAGGTTTCGTTGTTAAAAATATTTATTGTGTTCTCTCTTTGGTGAATGAAAAATATCATGTTGCCTAATTATCTTTGATGTAGGAAATGACTACAGCATAATTAATATAAAAGATCATGATTTTATTATTTAGGAAATTAAAAGGGAATACTAAATGTCTGTCTAGTTCATAATTACAGATATTGGAAACCATCTATCTTTTTTCCTCATTTAGTTTTATAACTAGATCTGAATTAAGGCTTATAAAAGTGACATTATATATGAAGCCCACAGGTATACACCTTGTATAGAATGTAGACAGCCAGTATTCACTTTTCTGTGTCAAAGGAATGCCCGTAAGAATTGTTGGTAGGCGTCTAAATGTGGAGGTAAGTAATAAGCAGGTATTGACTTCTGTTGAGATCAATATCAAGATTTGTTGACCCAAAGAAGTTAAAATTGACTGAAGAGTGAGACAATAAATCTTGTTATTGACTAGAAAGCAGAAGTCAATATATGTATTATTATAAACATTTTTCTTTTGGTGTAGATAGGGGTGGAGTCATTTTTAAGACCTTAAATGCATATGGCCATATGTTTTTTATATCATGGTGGTGGCCAATACAGGCTCCTTGGCTTATTAAAACAGTGGCTATTCACATGACATCAATCACATACCCGGTTCATCATTCGCCGTTTCAACCATCTTTCTCCCTGCACTTTAGGCCCTCTTATCCTGATTAATTTCAAATTCAAATGTGGAATACACAAGCTTGTATGATAAAATTTTGTTTAAAAAAAATAGAAAACACACTCATCATTTGTTTCTCTAGAAAGCAGTTGACATCTTCCCAACAGCCTTACATTTTCTGGCAATGGAAAGACTTCCTTCTAGGCTGCACATTGCAAGATGACTCTTCCCCTCAGATGAGCTATTGTATTTACTAGGTCATCTAAAAAGCATGTAACTTTTAAAGATTAAGACTTGGCTGGGCACGGTGGCTCATGCCTGTAATCCCAGCACTTTGGGAGGCCAAGGCGAGTGGATCACGAGGTCAGGAGATCGAGACCATCCTGGCTAATACAGTGAAATCTTGTCTCTACTAAAAATACAAAAAAATAGCTGGGCGTGGTGGCAGGTGCCTGTAATCCCAGCTACTCGGGAGGCTGAAGGAGGAGAATGGCATGAACCCAGGAAGTGGAGCTTGCAGTGAGCCGAGATTGTGCCACTGCACTCCAGCCTGGGCGACAGAGCAAGACTCTCTCTCAAAAATAAATAAATAAATTAATTAATTAAAGATTAAGACTTTTTAAAAATGTATATTTTAAATGAGGGGTTTTTTGAAACCGCAAAATATATGCAAGCTAGGTCATTTCTAAGACTTTCTATTCATCACCAACCAGCCATTCACAGAAAGCCAAATTGAGATTTTATTTTTCTATAGTTGAGAGAAGTAGAAATGGAAAACAATTTCCCTTTGTTCCAAATAGCTCTCATGTTGATAAAAAATTAAATTCTGTACATCCAAGCTGAACAGAGCATGCAGGGCTATACTAAGTCTCTGTTCTGTAGTTTTGCCTGAACTGAGGTCTGCACACAGCATCATGAATGCATGAAATCCTAGAGAAAGAGTCAGCCAGAGCATCCATGTTTCAGATTACCAGCCCAAAATTCCTTCACGCCATATGAATCCACACTCCTACCTCCATCCCTGGCTACATGGTAATAATGAAGGAAAAACACAGAAGTTTCTTTCCTTTCTAGGCTCCTCCCAAAAGAGAGTACTTTAGAAGCAATATTCAAGTCCATAAATGCTCAGAAATCTGTTAGGGATGAAACATGAGAGATGCCTTGAACGTCTCACACTATGGGGTGTCTCCAATTCCTTAATACACCCCATTGTGCATCACGGCTGGAGAAAGCACTGCACAACCCATTTCCTCCTTTAACTGAATTTCCTTGCTTTTATGGCTTTAGATTTTAATGGTTGAATTACATTTACATCTACTTGTGCATTTGCCATCAGCAGCCAGTTCCAGCCTTAAAGCCTTTATGAACTTTGAGAATAAGTTTCTCATAAACAACCTCATTTGGTTCATCCACATAAATTCACACAACAATTCATAGTGCTAAGAAGCTCCAGAGACACCTCTGTACTAAATGGCAGGTCTGTCTTTACTGGTTTTAAGTACTTTACAATGAATCATAGCTCAAGACAAATCGGTAATTAATTTGCAATAATTCCAAAGCCACTGGAAATGTGGCAAATGTTGGTTAGCCAGAGGCATTGATCACTTCAATTAAGTTTTAGAATCTGTGGTTTTTAGTGAGAAGGAAATAGTTCTACAATGGGAACACACCCAAGTAGTACAGAAGAGCCATCTAATTGTGTCCGGAATTGGTGGGTTCTTGGTCTCACTGACTTCAAGAATGAAGCCGTGGACCCTTGCGGTGAGTGTTACAGCTCTTAAGGTGGCGTGTCTGGAGTCTGTCCCTTCTGATGTTCAGATGTGTTCGGAGTTTCTTCCTTCTGGTGAGTTCGCTGCAGACCTTGGCGGTGAGTGTTACAGCTCTTAAGGCAGCAAGTCTGGAGTTGTTCGTTCCTCCTGGTGGGCTCGTGGTCTCGCTGGGCTCAGGAGTGAAGCTGCAGATCTTCGCAGTGAGTGCTACAGCTCATAAAAGCAGCGTGGACCCATAGAGTGAGCAGTAGCAAGATTTATTGCAAAGAACGAAAGAACAAAGCTTCCACTGTGTGGAAGGGGACCGGAGCAGGTTGCCAGTGCTGGCTAGGGCAGCCTGCTTTTATTCTCTTATCTGACCCCACCCACATCCTGCTGATTGGTAGAGCCGAGTGGCCTGTTTTGTCAGGGCACTGATTGGTGCGTTTACAATCCCTGAGGTAGATACAAAGGTTCTCCACGTCCCCATCAGATTAGTTAGATACAGAGTTTCCACACACAGGTTCTCCAAGGCCCCACCAGAGCAGCTAGATACAGAGTGTCGATTGGTGCATTCACAAACCTTGAGCTAAACACAGGGTGCTGATTGGTGTGTTTACAAACCTTGAGCTAGATACAGAGTGCCGATTGGTGTATTTACAATCCCTGAGCTAGACATAAAGGTTCTCCAAGGCCCCACCAGAGCAGCTACATACAGAGTGTAGATTGGTGCACTCACAAACCTTGAGCTAAACACAGGGTGCTGATTGGTGTATTTACAATCCCTGAGCTAGATATAAAGACTCTCCACATCCCCACCAGACTCAGGAGCCCAGCTGGCTTCACCTAGTGGATCCCACGCTGGGGCTGCAGGTGGAGGTGCCTGCCAGTCCCGTGCCATGCGCTCGCACTCCTCAGCCCTTGGGTAGTCGATGGGACTGGGCGCCGGGGAGCAGGGGGTGGTGCTCGTTGGGGAGGCTTGGGCAGCACAGGAGCCCATGGAGTGGGTGGGAGGCTCAGGCATGGCGGGCTGCAGGTCCCGAGCCCTGCCCCGCGGGAAGGCAGCTAAGGCTCGGTGAGAAATTGAGCGCAGCGCCGTTGGGCCGGCACTGCTGGGGGACCCAGTACACCCTCCGCAGCCACTGGCCCGGGTGCTAAGTCCCTCATTGCCTGGGGCCAGCAGGGCTGGCCGGCTGCTCTGAGTGCGGGGCCCGCCAAGCCCACGCCCAACCCGGAACTACAGCTGGTCCACAAGCGCCTCACACAGCCCTGGTTCCTGCTGGCGCCTCTCCCTCCACACCTCCCTGCAAGCTGAGGGAGCTGGCTCTGGCCTTGGCCAGCCCAGAAAGGGGCTCCCACAGTGCAGTGGTGGGCTGAAGGGCTCCTCAAGTGCCACCAAAGTGGGAGCCCAGGCAGAGGAGGCACCGAGAGCGAGGGAGGGCTGTGAGGACTGCCAGCACGCTGTCACCTCTCATAATCATGCAACAGAATATTGATACTATTATAGATATGCATCCAGGTTTATACACCAAAACATCTGTGTTTTCATCATAAACACAGGAAAGTACATGAGGCAAGAATGTAGCTAGAGGACAGCTCTGGGATACCACTATGAAAAAAATTGTTTTTAATCTTACCAACCCCATTACACAAATTAAATATATCTATCTTATCTGTTTATAGATTAAATTTTCTACAAAAACTGAAAAATTTTACTTTGACTTTTTACTACTTTTAATTATTGCTAAGATATATAATCTTGCTCTTTCTTTCATGCGTATTCTTTAAGTAAAGACCAGAAAAGGATATAATCTAAACCCTTTGACTTCTTGTAATAGGAGGGTTGCACTCGAAACTTCTTATTTGTTCCGTAGTTCAGCTGGTCACAGTCTGTCACAGATGCCTACTGATGGGACTTCCACCATGGTTAAGAACCACAGGAGGCAGACCAGGACCATGTCCACAAATGTAAAAAAAGCTAACGTCACTCCACAGCTAACATTGCTCCATTCTGAAACTACACCTACTCATCAGAAAAGGCATTTCTTAAGATATATACCCAAGTAGGGGGTGACTTGGAGAGGGGACAACAGCAACAACATTTTTGAAGTTGGAAAACAAATGAACAATTGGTAAAGGAGTTTGCAGACCTGAAGAAGAATGGAATCATAAACTAGCAACAGAGAAAGCTAAAATCCAACATGTTTTGTGTTGCAGAATCCTCCAAAAGCCTCAATCTCTGTAGAAACAAGGAAGAGGCGAAGGAGACTCTGAGGAAGAGGATTGATTTTAAAAAGTCTAGTAGTCGGAGCCCCTTCCCAACCTCACACAGCTGGGCATCTGCTCCTCTGTCAGTACAATGAAAGAATAAAGTCATATTCCCTGGAGTTAATAAAGCAGAGGGTCTCCGTACAGGGAGTGAGTGTTAAGGTCAGGGGTTCTATACACTGAACTTAGAAAGCGTACGTGCGTATTTACCTGGCAGGGGAGACACCCTTATCACAAAGGTGGTTTTCCCAGGGTGAGGCTTAAATGCTGCATTTCAGATATGTTGACCCTATGATTTAACCACATTTGGGAAATTCGTCTGCATAATTTGTGGTAGTGGGAGACTGCGTTTGCTTCTCCCCTGGTTAAAAAAAAAAGAAAAAAGAAAGCCTATGTGAATGTCTGCATATGATCCTTGAAATCGGGGATCCAATTACTTTTGTGATTCCCAGAACACAGGCAATCAGGCTTTCAGCCTAAGTAGAGGACTGGGGAATGGATTGCCCCCAAAGAGACAAAGAATACAACATTTGAGGTTCTTTAAATAAATGGCTTTGCCAGATCTCCTGCAGTAAATACTTCAGTCAGCTAATCTCACACCATGAACTTCCAACCAGCCTTTAAAAAAAATCGTTCTTAAATATGAGCCATCAAGGATCAGACAGTGGAAAATTATAAAATGAAGTCCAAAACAATCAAAAGTGAACACTACTTGGAGAACAGATAACGAAAAGAGAGAAGTTGAAAAGAAAAACACATCACTATGATTCATAATCATTAGCAATATAAGGAAACTACTATTACTACGAAACAAGAACAGAGGACTTGTTTTTAAGGAACACAGAGGAAACATGAGCCTTGAAAAGTAAAATTATAATAGAAAAAATGTTTAAATTCAACAGAAGAGTTGAAAGAAAGGTGAGAAAATCTCCTGAAGATAGAAAAAAGGAAAACAAGAGAGGGAATAAAAGAAAAAGATAAATATCATTCACCAGTCCAGGATGCTCAATGCTCAAATAAAAAGTGGTACAGAAACTACTTGTATACATCATCTACAAGGAAAAAAATAAATAAAATTTATATAATTTTTCCTTCATATACTAGACCTTGGCCGGTCCCTGTGACTGTGTAAGGGGTTAGTCCTCAGAGCTCTGGCTGGCCAGGCCTCATAGACTTTTACTGAGAATTCTTCAGCAGGGAAACTGACCTTCTCTGCTCAGACACCTGTGCGAATTGAGATTCATGACTGCCACAGAATACCTTGACTTACACAATGCTTTAATCTTAAAATTTCTATAAGTATTTGATTAGTTTTTAAAATTAATTTTTTTCAAAAATAGCATTGTTGTATTATAATTGACATATCAACTGGATATATTTTAATGTATATACTTTATATATTTAAAGTGTACAACTTGATCCATTTTGACATATGAATAGACCTGTGAAACCTTCACAAGATAATCAGCATATTCCTCACCCCTCCAAGTTTCCCTGTGCCCCTTTGTACTCCCTCACCCATCCCTTCCTCATTCCTGCCCTCCAAGAAACCACTGCTTTCCATCGCTACAGATGACTTTGCATTTACTTTCTACAGTTTTTTTTATTAAATAGATTCAGATAGTATATATTCTCTTGCTGACTTCTTTCATTCAGCACAGTTATTTTGAGATTCATCCATATTAGTGCAGGTACAAATAGTTCATTCTATTTATTGCGGAATTATACTTCATTGTGTGGATATACCATAATTTGTTTATCCTGTCCCTTGTTTAGTAACATTTGGGTTGTTTTCATTTGGGGGCTATTAGAAATAAGAATACTATAAACATTTGTTGGTAAGTCTTTTTACTAACATATGCTTCAACTTCTATTGGGTAAATATCTACAACTAGAATAACTAGATTCTATGGTAGGTATATATTTAGCTTTTTAAGAAACTTTCATATTTTTTCTAGAGTAGTTGTATCATTTTACATTCCTACCAGATTGTGAGAGTTCTAGCTGCTCTACACCCTTGCAACACTTGGTGTGGCCAGTCTTTTTAATAATCGTCGTTTATTAGATATTTTCTGAGTTTTGAAAAGAAATGCATTTTTCTTATAACATGCACAACTACTGATTGCCCACACAACTGTGATTTCCTGCATGTTCCTCTACGCCCATTACAGTGACTGATATTATTATAATTTCCCTAGGTTCCCTTGCAGCTAGAAAATTGACACATAATTCAAGACCAGAAAATGAGATCCGTGAGAGAATTTTCTGTGAAGCTTCTGAGAAAGTTTCAGTCTAAAATAATAATACTAACAAAGACACACCAAGAGAGACTCTCCTTCCTGTCCCTAGAAGTGGCTGTGTGAGGATACGATGCCTAGAGCATGACAGCAAAGCTGGATACCCTCTGTTTCACTCTCCAGATGCACTCCCCTCCCTTCTGCATTCTGCTCTCAGAGAAGGCTGACCTACATGGACAAGTTAAAGGGTTCCCTTTCTCTCTGAATTCCCATTGAGTTTAACCCATAAGGAGCTCTGGCAGGTGACTGGAAGAATAGAAAGTGAGAGAAGCAGTGATTCCTCTACCCCTCTCCCCACAGTCTTCACAGATGATAGCTATTTCCTCGTACTGAAGGTCACAGTTCTTCTCAGTCAGTTGCTCTACATGCCTCCTCTTTCCTGGTTCTGGTAGCTATAGCTGCTCCCTCCTCTTGCCTTACCACGCTTGGGAATGGTGGCAGTCCTGCTGTTGTTACTGGCCTCTTGGGGAACAGCATTATCCCTTGTGGTTTCCTACACTCTGCCCATACTTTTTAATAAATAATCTTGAGCTTTCCTAATTTAAAGGTCAACTATTTTGCCTGGGACCCTTAATGATTCAGTAACTCTAGAGACGATGAGGGACAAGCCTGAACATAAAGGCCAACAGCAAGTAAGAAAAAGCTGGAAAACACCTGAGCTATAGATAACGTTGTGTCTCTGAATTAACCAATGTTGGAACTTCTTGCATCCAAGCTACTTATTTGTTATATAGGACATAATAACATATCTCTATTGTGAAAAATTAAGTTATTGCCATAAGAGCCATCTGACTTAGTAAAGAGTCAGCCCATGATCCTGTAAGTTTTATCAGTCATGCTGAATTTTCCTCTTATTCTTATCACTCTTCCTAATTGGAAGAGTGAAATAACATTTTGTGACTTGGACACCTCACTCACCTAACTGTGGTCCCACCCAGTTTGCAGTGGTAGGTCTTCCATGCCTAATTTCCTCATTTCCCTCTATACCGGCCTCTTGGAACTGGAAGCCTGGATTCTGACCACTGGGTCATGAACTGTTCTAAAAGGACAGTGCTATCAGACTCTGCCCTAGTGAAAAGGAGCTCCTTGGGCTATTATAAAATCTCTAGCTTTATACTTTTCCTTTTTGGGAAGTCTCCAACTCGCAGCTGATAGCTACTTTTCTTCTCCCTTCTGGCATCCTGTGCTGTTACTTCTTGAACACTATCAACAATGACCAGTTAAATCGATACTTCTGTTTTGGGAGTGTAGCTACACACGTGCATGCCACACCTCCTCACAGTTTTGTTACCATAAATAAAACATGAGTACGACTTAGGAGGAAATTTTTCTATAGGTCTGTAACCAAAATTAAATATTTTTAACAGTGTTTTGTAATAGCTCCCAGTAACAACAGCTGTTGTACTAGCAGAATTAGTAATAGTTACTAGTATTTACTAAGCACACTATATTTAGACACTGTGATATGAGTTTTGTGTGAGTTATTTAACTTAACAATCACTACCCTAAATGGAGTATGTTGGCTGGATGGTTTTGATGGCTGTGGCCCATTGTCAAGAAAAGGCATGAGAGATTGCATCGGTTCCTATTTTAATCTGTATAGTTAACAAGTAGAAAAAACACTAATCAATTCAGAATTCTGTCAAGTTGAAAAGTCTACAGAGCTAGGTGAAAAGATGTCCTAATAACTTAAGATCAAAAGAAATACAAAGCCACTCAAATGAAGTCGCAACTTAGGTGGGGGCAACAGAATTTCTTGAGCAGCTCAAGGTTAAGGGTACTTAGATTATGAGACCAAACTTTTTTTTTTTAAATTTGGGTACCCATGAGATACAGTGACTGTGAATAGGGCTCTATGGATCTCACTAGGTCACCAGAAATCATTCATTCACCACCCTATCCCCTATCTCTTGATATTCACTCTTGACTACTTAGGAAAACATGCCCCAACACTGCTTAGGATATTATAATTGTTTCCCTAGTAGATAATTATTTTCTTAGCTTGGAAGTTTTAATTATAGAACTAGTTAAGAAAATCAAACACAGTATTAATATGAGTATATATTAAGGAAGCATGCTTGACTTTGGGGTATTTATAATGTTTAAGATATTTTAGTCTATTAGAGAACAGGTAAATCGTGTGATTCAATTTAAAATGTGTAAATAGGTAATTGATTTAGGCCTGTGAATTGAAGTTGAAATTTTATTTAGTTTATATAGTCATTGCAGTAGCTTATATAGTATTAAAACATTTAAGAGAACTTAAGGTTCATAATATTTCCAGGTTTAATTATTAGAAGCATTAGAGGTATTTTAAATGTTCTGGAAAATTTTACTTTTAAATCACACATTTGAAGTATCTAAATAGAAATCAAATACATTTAATTTATAAATTTGGTGTAAAATATTTAAAGGAGTTTAATTAACTAGTTTGTAAATGGAACTAAACATTAATCAAAGGCCTCATAAAAGTGATTGCTACATTTGCTAGACGTATAAATACAACATTATGCAACAGCTAAGCTTTCAAATTTTAAGTCAAATAATTCAAACATATTTTTAGCTAAACTAAAACTCTGAATAATCTTTCCTGCATGCAGAAATCTATCCTTGAAATTATTAACATTGAAAAACTTCATTGCCAAAGCAAAACAGATGATAAAGAAGCTTTAAATTATTGTGAAAGTAAAAACCTCCCCTCCTACAATTATTACATATTACAAATGTCTTCAAATACTCTCAACTTTAGGCATGTTTCATGGTACTGATACTGAGACGCAGAATGGGGTAGTATATTAGTCCATTTTCATAAAGCCATGAAGAAATACCCGAGACTGGGTAATTTATAAAAGAAAGAGATTTGATGGACTCACAATTCCACATGGCTGAGAAGGCCTCACAATCATGGCGGAAGGCAAAGGAGAAGCAAAGGCACATCTTACACAGTGTCAGGCCAGAAAGCTTGTGTAGGGGAACTCTCACTTTTAAAACCATCAGATCTGGTGAGACTTATTCACTACAACAAGAACAGTACGGGGGAAACTGCCCCAATGATTCAATTATCTCCACCTGGCCCCACCCTTGACACGTGGAGATTATTACAGTTCAGGGTGAGGGTTGGGTGAGGACACAGCCAAACCATATCAGGTAGTAATTGCCAATTTGGGCCCTGGAGTCAGATTTACGTGGTCAGTACCCCAGTTGCTTCATGTACTAGTTGTGAGATTCTGGGTAAGTGCTCAACTTTTTAAGATTCATTTTTTGTTTGTTTGTTTGAAAAATGGTTTATACACATAAATTGTTAAGAGGTTTGAATGAAATAATGCCTACAAAGTATTTAGCAGATAACCTGGCACCAAAGTAAAGGCTAAATAAATGTTAATTAGTACTATTAAGAGGAGAAGGCTTCTACAGGAACAACTCTTATCCTGGTTTTCAAACAGATGCCCTTAGAAAGAAAACATGATAATTACAAAATTTAGTGAATAAAAGTTTTGCACCTGGTAGTGGATAGCAAGAGCGTAAAACAGCTTCGTTTTCTGGTATATAGAAACCACAATAATCAAGAATAATAAAAGGTATTGTTTATCAACAATAAGCTCCTCTTATTTGTCTTCTGATAGAAACTTTTATATATTCATTCCTAGAGGAATTATAGTTTTACAATTGCACCCCCAAATTGTGTGACCTATTTAGTTTTAGACCCTGCCCAATTGTACTATTATAAAAGGAAATATGAAAAGAATGATAATATCCATCCCTAAAATTATCAGCTCTTTTTGTCTTGGTAAAAAGGAGAAAAAACTTAGGTGTTCCTTAGTTATACTATAGAAATGATGCTGTGAGCCTTCCAAAGCTAGGTCATAAAAGATAATCTTCTGCCTTGTTCTCATGGAATTACTCACCCTGGGGTAAGCCAACTGCCGTGTGGTAAGGACATTTAAGCAGTCCTATGCAGAGGCCAACGTGTCAAGAAATGAAGGCCTCTTTTCTTGAACAGCAGAACTAAGAGGTCCAGCCAACAGCCATGCGAGAGAGCCATCTTGAGAGCAAATTCTCCAGCCTTCTTCAAGCCTTCAGATTACGGCATCCTCAGCCAACACCTTGACTGCAGCCTGATGAGAGACTCTAAGCTAGAACCACCCAGCTAAGCTTCTTCCAGATTCTTGATACTCAGAAACTATAAGATATAAATATTTGTCATTTTTAGCCCCAACACTGATACAATCAAGCATACACTACTATGGAAAAAGAATTATTTAAATATATTCATATAAATTTATAATGGATATGTAAATTTAACTGTTTAACAGTATAAAATATGTGAGATTTCAGAATAATGCATATAGTATGACTCAATTTTTGTTTAAAAAAATCTAAAATTATCATTTGTTTGTACATGTTTGTTTGAGTATGGAGGAAGGTGCCAAATGATTCATATCAGACTGTCACTTCGGTTACCTCAGGAGCATGGGAAAGATTGTAAACTTTTCCTCATCAACCAGTACCTAGTACTAGTAATAGACAACTAATACCTTAGTACTATTTGCATCATATGAAGAAGATGTGCTACTTTTACAATTTTAGAATATATAGTAAACTAAAGAAAAGTGGGGACCAGACGCGGTGACTCACGCCTGTAATCCCAGCACTTTGGGAGGCCGAGGCGGGTGGATCATGAGGTCAGGAGATCGAGACCATCCTGGCTAACATGGTGAAACCCCGTCTCTACTAAAAATACAAAAAATTAGCCAGGCATGGTGGTGGGCACCTGTAGTCCCAGCTACTCGGGAGGCTGAGGCAGGAGAATGGCGTGAACCCGGGAGGCGGAGCTTGCAGTGAGCCAAGATCATGCCAGGGAACTCCAGCCTGGGCAACAGAGCCAGACTCCCCATATCAAAAAAAAAAAAAGGGGGGGCAGGGGAGGATAAACATTACATTTTGATAATAAAATTTTAATTTTGTTCTTTCCACATCTCTTTAAATTTTGCAGTGGCCATAGATAAATTAGATACTTTAGTTTAAAAAATGTTTAATTAACTTCTGAAAATGGAAAGTAAACCATAAATGAACCTTTAGGATATAGATAAGGAACCGTTGTTCTCAACAGGACTTTACTCACCAATCTGATCATGAGGTTTGTTCAGAGGGCTGTTTAAAATGTGAAAAACACATGCTTTCCATCAGAGTGCAGAGCATCTTTAGTCTATGAAATAATAAATATTTAAAGCATTCTTTATATTTGGGCAGGGCTTGATGGGAAAGATGGTCAAATGCTATCCCTGAGAACTTCAGTCACAGAAAGGTAAAAAAGACTCAGGCAATTATCCAACGAGTTCCTGGTTAAACTGGGAAGAGGGCTCAGCTCTCCAGTTCTGATCTGGTCAGCTGACATCTTATTTCTGAAATGCAAACTGGTAGAACTGAAAGAAATGTCTGTATATTGTACACACATCTGAGATAAAATGAACAAATATACACCAAATTTCATTGTCTAGTCCCTTTATATCAGTATTTTTTTTTTGAATCGTGGTGGGACAAAGTGCAAAAGATCTTGTGAGCATCATTTTAACAATGGGCTAATGAGCGAGAGTTTTGCTGAACTTCCACTGGCAAACTGTAGAATTCCCTAGAAAACCACATGACAGGACTTAGTCATCCCGTGTTTCTATATTCTCTTTGCCCTGGCAAAATTAGATTCCTCAAGTCAACTTGATGCACCAAACAGAACTTTAAAGACATAAGCATCTCTGCACTTTTTAAATGAAAAATGTTTTGAGGAAGGTGAAAGGAAAGAATCATTGACCTTGATCATTTCTGAGCCAAGATGTCTGATTCCCAGCAAAAGCTGTTCAAGTGAGAGGAAATGTATGAAGAAAAGGAAATACATACTTCCTAATTCTACTGTAAAGTTTGTCTCTAAGTATCATGTCCCTAACAGATAAATACACCTTTAATGAAATTTTTTAATTCATTTTTTTTTTCTAAAGAGACAGAAAAAAGATCTGCTTTATTTTTCCCGTTTAAAGCTTTCACCATTGGGACGAATTCAAACTTATATTCTTCTTAGGATTCAATTGGCAATGTCTGATATGCTTTAGTTGACAAATCACTTCCATCTTTGTGATCTGTTTAATTCTCACAAAAACCTTTTAAGTTTGTTATCACCCTCTTTAACGGACGCAACAGCTAAAGTGCAAAGAAACTGAGTGATTAATTCATAGCCACTCGGTGGCATAAGCCAGATTCAAAGTTAGGTCCTCTTTCTCTAAATTCTACATACTTTCTTCTCCTCTGCATTTGCCTCTCATGCTACTGTCTCTTTTACAGCCTTTGAATGCTTCACAAATATATCTCAGCCCCACTTCATCTCTGAGCACCAGCCCGAAAGCCTAAAATGAAAAAGCAAACATGTCAGAATTAGAGATTCAAGTAAATGTTGAGCGATAGCACCAATTATTGGCAGCCCGCCCACACCTTTGAAATGCGAGCGATTCTTCAGTCTACACCCATGCCTCAGACAGGGGCTCTCGGGAAACTGGTGACTCATTCCATAATGAGTCTGGACAAATAGAAAGGCCCAGGAGGCACTTGCATATAATAATCAGGAGATATTGACTTCTTTTGAGGTCAAGAGCAAGATTTATTAACCTAAGAGATAAATATTGACTGAAATTTTGGATAGTTTCTCTTTTTCTTCTCAGAAACCTGGTAAATTACTCAGACTGCCACTCAGACACTTGGAAACAGAATTTTCCTCCAGTTTTATGTCCGTCTTTAGTTATAGACCTCCTAAGGGAGGAAAATCTTTGTACTATATTTTAGAGAGATATTTAAAATCCTGCTAATTATTGCTTCATTTTTATCTATTCTAAGACTCGCTGGCCAGAAGCCTTTTATTAAACAGTAACAGGTTTTCACGTCCTTGGGGCTTTTTTTCTATGGTCTTCAGTGTCTGGCTGTGAGTCCAAATTTCAATTCATCTCATGTGATAGCCTCTATTCTTTTCCTCTCTAGTTTTCTCTCATCCTTAAGAAATAGTTTGCCTCCCATGGAAACCCCTCCCAGGCCTTCAAATTGTGCAAGTGGGCCTTAGGAAAGTTGTGTTCCAAAAGCCCCTCATTGTGACACACTTATCACTAAGTCATAGCAAACCCTTTTTTCTTCTGATAAGTTACACACAGATGCCCCAGTCCAGAGGGTCTGTTCAAGTATCCAGGGGCCTCCCTGTCCCTTTGCCCTGTGGCTTGAAATGGTTTGAGTTTGTCTTCAGATGTTGGTCAGATTTATTTTCTTCTTTTTCTTGACGACACGGAACAATCACCCGAGATAACCTGCTTTCTTTTCAGACCTTTTTCCTTGATATTTCTTTTCTTGGAGTCATCTCCTTTCAGTAAAGTTGAAGGTATATCCTCACATTATATTAAAAGCTTCAAAACTGTAAATCTGCGAGGCTTCAAGAATGTACTCTCTTCATTTAAACGTACTCCTTTCTGATCAGAAAGATCAATAACTTCCACAGCATGTTTTTGCTAAGAATGAGTATGTTTAAGGCTCTTATCTCCTTGACTCGAATAAATTACTAAAAGTACTCATTCTAGTTACTTTGAAATACCATAGAAACATTTGTGGCATTAACACAGTGTATTACAGCTTTTGAAGTTTTATTACTTTTCGGTTCTTTTTTATTATATATTTAAACTGTAATCCCCTTTCTTTTCTTGAGATGATTGTGTTTGCCAAAGACCTGTATGGAAGAAGTTTGCCTTTCTTTAGAAGCATTTTCCTCCCACAGACTCATTCCTTCTGAGGTTGTTATGAATTTTTAATCACAGAAGATGTTACTACTATTATTTTCTAATTCTGAGAGTCACCCCTATGCTTTGACACCACTGGAGCACCTGCAAGGCACCAAATCCAGCATGCTGCCTAGGTAGCAGGTGGGAGGTCTTGATAGAAATGCTTAATTGAGATTTGACCATGACCCACTTTCTAGTGATAAGCAATATTTGAGTATGTGACAACTATACAGTGTCCTAAGATAGGCTGTAGGTTGCTTTTAGCTGGTATTTGCATAGCACTCCTTCTGGCTTTAATACATTACATTGTGCTTTTAGCCACCAAGGAAATGGGAGGGTACTGGCCATCAGCAGTGATGTGCTTAATGTGTCGTGCACAACTTGTGAATAGAGAATGACCCTGAGAATGAAAAGAGGCTGAATCTTAGCGATAAATTCACATAGGAATTTTTGCCTCAGAAATGAACTGGAGATAATCAACAGCAAGAAAGTCCTTGAAATTCAAGAGATCTAAAGAAGCTGAAAATTAATCAGCTGCCACAAGGTGGCGAAATCACATTGATGTCCTTCTTACTGCTCTATTTCCTCATAGAAACCTTTTAATGTCAACTATCTGAGGACAAAGGTGTCATTTCTACATTTAAATAAAAACCACTTATCACCAAGATTTACAAACCATTTCAGTGCATTCAGACAGCTTTCTGGGTATACTGGATAGTGTGTGAATAAGTAAGGTGACACTGCCAAATATAAAAAGCTAAAAGTACATTTTGTTTTCTCATAGCTACGTGTGAGAACCTGTGTTCTCCCCATATTTGATGTCCATTTGCTAAAGATTAAGAACAGAAAGAATTTAGGATATATTTTAGAGCATGTTGCAGAAATTCTGTGAAGTGCAGTTTGCTTTAGCTATAAGGTGGGTACATGAACAAAGATGCACATGCTTTTGTAAACATTTCAAGTGCCATCACAGAGAAAAAGGGCAGTGTCAGGATGCAGTGGCCCTGTATCCTGGGCTGCTGCTCACCAAAGCATGAACTCTGCTCTTATTGGTGTTTTCAAATCCCAACACATCCTTTTATATTTTTAGGGATTTTATTGAACACCAGCTGCCTCTTATTTTAACATATTTGATAACAATACTTCAAACTACTGTTGTGGTGATAAAATGAGTGAATTCATATAAACATAGCTGCTACTAGCCAGAAGCACATTTGGAGATTAGACAAAGATGCCTCTCAGGGTGCACACCTCCCTTCTCTAGGAGACAGAACATGGCAAGCAAAGCTTCCGCTAGATCTCAGCTCACGTGACCCTTTCCTGGCCATCCTGTTGCAGGGATCACTCTGTGCAATCGTATGTCCAGGGTCTGCATGTAAAGTACTTAAAATAATGCCTGGCACAAAGAAGATGAACCCTCTAAAAATCATCATCATCTTCATCATCATCATCATCATCACCAGCACATCCCTAGTGGCCTTGTCATTGTAGCCTTACTATGTCTAGTTTATTCTACAGGTGTGTGAGAAATATATCTATAGATATGGTAGCAGGGAGATACAATGCAGATTAAATAACTTTATAAACAAATATGCTGACCTGATGGTGAAAAGCACAATAAAAAATTATGAGTCAGAGTGGTGTGAAATCAAGACCGTAAAAAAAATAGAGAAGGTGTAAAGGGTAAGACCTTTTTACAATGGTAGATCCCCAGCCAACCCCCATTGTAACCCTCCCTTCCACCCTATCCCTACCTAGCCCAAGGCTTACTACAACTGGTACTAGGACTCAGCTACACATTTAAAGTAGGTCTTTTGCTTTATTTAGTGCTTTTTCAGACACCATTTCTGGGACCCAGTAGTACCACATGACTTCCTGGGTGATCACCTTTCTGCAGGGCCTCATGTCATCTCACCCAGACATCAATTTACAGTGACTACTGTACTCACTGGTAGATGGCCACCAGGTATCCCTGACTGTCATTAGGAGTGCATAAAGGACGACGGGCAAGGAACCAGTTAACAGAACCAGGCTCTGACAAACCTCAGGGTCTCAAGGCACCTCTTTATCAAAAGAGCATCGCTATTTACTTTAACTGTGGCATTAGGAGCAGTGGCAACAGTTTGTGTCGGAGCGAGTATGTAATATAGGTAAGGTGTCTGACCAGGACTCTTTCAGTCTAAATGAAACAAATACTAACACAGGAGAAGTGAAGAATGTGACAGTTTTGCTCTTACAGTTTACATCTTCTTCAGAAGACCTTGGCACACTTTTCAGAAGGTGAATAAAGGGTATTCATGCCATGTCATAGGCCACTCAACACAGAACTTCCATTTTACTGATTTATTCTCAGAATGCAGTTGCTGACAAAATGCACATTGATTATGAAAAATGAGGACTTCTAAAATATTGATAGAACTTTTTATGGGGGAGGGAATTAACTTAGAACTTAAAGCATGAATAATATGTTTTGATGATATAGCAATTAAGTCAGTTTTATTGTTTTGGAACTGTTAATTTTCTACTCATTCAAGGGAAAAGGAGGCCTTTGTTTTCTGAAATAAAAATTTTCAACTGTCAGGTTTTGTACCACAGGCCACAAGCCCTTTTGACATCAGCTTTTCGTGAGGCGCTTTTGAAGTAAATGTGTTATTAGTACAAGAAAATCATGACTATTGTAAACAAACAATAACTATTAGTTTTTCCTGCGTGTGTTTGACACATGGTTATGGAGCCATTGTAACACTAAGCCACTTGAAAAGTCATTGATCCAAAGCACAGCATTTTCAGGGCAGCTCTTGTAAATTCTTCCATAACAGAGTCATATTGGGTAGTTTATGACAAGCTCTGAAGCAGTCGCTGGTGGTAACTGGAAAACATACACAGGGCAAAAGCAGGAACATTCATATAGGGCCCAGCAGAAGTCAGAGCCCCATTCACAGGGACAGCTTGGGATTAATATGATGCTGTGCGGGGCAACCTCCCATAGGCATGCTGGGACCCTCATATCAGCCTAGGGAACAGCTGGGCGTTATTAATATGATACTCACTTGCCTTCCCTGGATGAAACAGCAGCTTGGAGAAGTTGATGGGATTGTAAAACTGGAGTGGGAGAGTCCCAGGATCTCTACTCCAAATTTAACAGCAGATCTGATCATCTGTTTTACACATGGGGCTTCTGAGAAAGACTATTTAAAGAAAGGGCCTCACTACTTTTTTAAAAAGCAACTTTTTTAAAAAAAATTGCTCTGATAGAAAGGGTTAGTGTTGGGAAACTGGAGAAAGGGAGATGAAGGAAGAATGAAACCAAGTTCAAACTAGAGGGTTGATTAATGCTGAGTCCTTTGGGCATCTTGCTGGAGAATAGGTGAGGGTGCGGGTGTGAAAGCCGCATCCTGGCAGCTTTGCTGCACCGCAGGATGAAATTAATTTAGATGATGAGGAACAGGAGTACAGAAACAAAGACAAAAATCTCTTTCTTGAATGGAACTTTTAATCTTAGATATAGCAAGATTAAAATGTGGATTATATATTTTATGTATTATTTTTTTCTTTGGTAGAGAAATTACTTTATTCCATTTGTTATGGTTAATTTTATGTGCCAAGGTAGCTAGGCTATGATGCCCAGCTGTTTGGCCAAATACTAGTCTAATGCTGTTCTGAAGGTATTTTTGTAAATGGGATTAACATTCACTACTGGTTGACATTCAGTGAAACATATTACCCTCCATAACGTAGGTGGGCTTCATCCAAGTTGTTGAAAGCCTTAAGAGCAAAAAACTGAGGTTTCCAGAAGAAATTCTCCCTCATACTATAATATAGAAGTCTTGCCTGAGATTACATCCTGCTGGCCTGCCCTACTGATTTTGCATTTAAGATTGAAGCATCAACTCTTATCTGAATTTCCAGCCCACGGGCCCACTCTACAAATTTCACATTTGTCAGTCCCATAATTGGGTGGACAAACTCCGTAGAATAAATCTCTTTCTCCGTACACACACAGACATACACATACAATATGTATATACATATAATTGCTTCTGTTTCTCCGGAGAATCCTGAATGACACACTAGTCATCCCAGACAGGTTCTGATTACACTCAGCCTTGTACTAAAAGGGCATGATGGCTTCAGGTACCACGTGGCCCAAGATTCAAACCCAGGCACTGCTGCTTATTAGTGAGGTCCTGTGTAAGTTATTTAATCTCTTTAAGTCCCAATTTTCTCAACTATAAAATGGGAGTAATATTACTTATCTTCCTGGTATTTTTCTTTATGAGAATTAAATGGGAAAATGCACACAAAAGTATACGGTACAAAACTTGGCATATAGTAGCTGATCAACAAGTAGCAAACAATGTGGATTATCTATGTGTTGTACTGAAGAACGTTCATATTATTTTACCAGCTATTCGGGTCTGTGAATTCAATATTATCTGTTTCTGTTTCTAGACATAGTCAATTAAAAATAGCCTTTAGTGTATATACAATTTCTTAATATGAATTTCATGAAACACTAGTGCCATGAAATTATTGAAGACAAAAAAGGTCCCAGATTGAAATAGGAGTGGCAGTCTGCCTAGTGTAACACCCTCTGGGAGAGTCACATTTTACTTTAATATATTAAAGACTCAGAAATTCTGCAGTTTCATTTACTTTTGAATAATCTGATTATGGTAATCATTTGGCCTATTTACAAATATTCAATTTTCCTTTCCTCCATGAGGTGGTAAGTTTTACCTCCTCACTCTTTCAAATTAGATATGGTCATATGACTTGCTTTAGGGAAAAAAAGTGAATGAAGTGACATGTGACATTTCCTGGTGGAACCACTAGATCCACTTCCCTTTTCCTGTCTTGGACATTGCAGAAGCATAAGTTAGATGGATCTTCAGTCAGTCTGGGTTGCTGACTGACAATATTGAGCAGTGTTTCCTCTCTACTGATCTGTTTTGCTTTTTGTTTTTTTTTTTAAAGTATTTTTTTCTTTTATTATTATACTTAAATTTTAGGGTACATGTGCACAATGTGCAGGTTAGTTACATATGTATACATGTGCAATGCTGGTGCGCTGCATCCACTAACTTGTCATCTAGCATTAGGTATATCTCCCAATGCTATCCCTCCCCACTCCCCCCACCCCACAACAGTCCCCAGAGTGTGATATTCCCCTTCCTGTGTCCATGTGATCTCATTGTTCAATTCCCACCTATGAGTGAGATTATGTGGTGTTTGGTTTTTTGTTCTTGAGATAGTTTACTGAGAATGATGATTTCCAATTTCATCCATGTCCCTACAAAGGACATGAACTCATCATTTTTTATGGCTGCATAGTATTCCATGGTGTATATGTGCCACATTTTCTTAATCCAGTCTATCATTGTTGGACATTTGGGTTGGTTCCAAGTCTTTGCTATTGTGAATAATGCCGCAATAAACATACATGTGCATGTGTCTTTATAGCAGCATGATTTATAGTTCTTTGGGTATATACCCAGTAATGGGATGGCTGGGTCAAATGGTATTTCTAGTTCTAGATCCCTGAGGAATCGCCACACTGACTTCCACAGTGGTTGAACTAGTTTACAGTCCCACCAACAGTGTAAAAGTGTTCCTATTTCTCCACATCCTCTCCAGCACCTGTTGTTTCCTGACTTTTTAATGATTGCCATTCTAACTGGTGTGAGATGGTATCTCGTGGTTTTGATTTGCATTTCTCTGATGGCCAGTGATGATGAGCATTTTTTCATGTGTATTTTGGCTGCATAAATGTCTTCTTTTGAGAAGTGTCTGTTCATGTCCTTTGCCCGCTTTTTGATGGGGTTGTTTGTTTTTCTTGTAAATTTGTTTGAGTTCATTGTAGATTCTGGATATTAGCCCTTTGTCAGATGAGTAGGTTGCAAAAATTTTCTCCCATTTTGTAGGTTGCCTGTTCACTCTGATGATAGTTTCTTTTGCTGTGCAGAAGCTCTTTAGTTTAATGAGATCCCATTTGTCAATTTTGTCTTTTGTTGCCATTGCTTTTGGTGTTTTAGACATGAAGTCCTTGCCCATGCCTATGTCCTGAATGGTAATGCCTAGGTTTTCTTCTAGGGTTTTTATGGTTTTAGGTCTAATGTTTAAGTCTTTAATCCATCTTGAATTGATTTTTGTATAAGGTGTAAGGAAGGGATCCAGTTTCAGCTTTCTACATATGGCTAGCCAATTTTCCCAGCACCATTTATTAAATAGGGAATCCTTTCCCCATTGCTTGTTTTTCTCAGGTTTGTCAAAGATCAGATAGTTGTAGATAAGTGGCATTATTTCTGAGGGTTCTGTTCTGTTCCATTGATCTATATCTCTGTTTTGGTACCAGTACCATGCTGTTTTGGTTACTGTAGCCTTGTAGTATAGTTTGAAGTCAGGTAGTGTGATGCCTCCAGCTTTGTTCTTTTGGCTTAGGATTGACTTGGCGATGCGGGCTCTTTTTTGGTTCCATATGAACTTTAAAGTAGTTTTTTTCCAATTCTGTGAAGAAAGGCATTGGTAGCTTGATGGGGATGGCATTGAATCTGTAAATTACCTTGGGCAGTATGGCCATTTTCACGATATTGATTCTTCCTACCCATGAGCATGGAATGTTCTTCCATTTGTGTCCTCTTTTATTTCCTTGAGCAGTGGTTTGTAGTTCTCCTTGAAGAGGTCCTTCACATCCCTTGTAAGTTGGATTCCTAGGTATTTTATTCTCTTTGAAGCAATTGTGAGTGGGAGTTCACTCATGATTTGGCTCTCTGTTTGTCTGTTATTGGTGTATAAGAATGCTTGTGATTTTTGTATATTGATTTTGTATCCTGAGACTTTGCTGAAGTTGCTTATCAGCTTAAGGAGATTTTGGGCTGAGACAATGGGGTTTTCTAGATATACAATCATGTCGTCTGCAAACAGGGACAATTTGACTTCCTCTTCTCCTAATTGAATACCCTTTATTTCCTTCTCCTGCCTAATTGCCCTGGCCAGAACTTCCAACACTATGTTGAATAGGAGTCGTGAGAGAGGGCATCCCTGTCTTGTGCCAGTTTTCAAAGGGAATGCTTCCAGTTTTTGCCCATTCAGTATGATATTGGCTGTGGGTTTGTCATAGATAGCTCTTATTATTTTGAGATACATCCCATCAATACCTAATTTATTGAGAGTTTTTAGCATGAAGCGTTGTTGAATTTTGTCAAAGGCCTTTTCTGCATCTATTGAGATAATCATGTGGTTTTTGTCTTTGGCTCTGTTTATATGCTGGATTACATTTATTGATTTGCGTATATTGAACCAGCCTTGCATCCCAAGGATGAAGCCCACTTGATCATGGTGGATAAGCTTTTTGATGTGCTGCTGGATTCGTTTTGCCAGTATTTTATTGAGGATTTTTGCATCAATGTTCATTAAGGATATTGGTCTAAAATTCTCTTTTTTTGGTTGTGTCTCTGCCCGGCTTTGGTATCAGAATGATGCTGGCCTCATAAAATGAGTTAGGGAGGATTCCCTCATTTTCTGTTGATTGGAATGGTTTCAGAAGGAATAGTACCAGTTCCTCCTTGTACCTCTGGTAGAATTCGGCTGTGAATCTGTCTGGTCCTGGACTCTTTTTGATTGGTAAGCTATTGATTATTGCCACAATTTCAGATCCTGTTATTGGTCTATTCAGAGATTCAACTTCTTCCTGGTTTAGTCTTGGGAGAGTGTATGTGTCGAGGAATTTATCCATTTCTTCTAGATTTTCTAGTTTATTTGCGTAGAGGTGTTTGTAGTATTCTCTGATGGTAGTTTGTATTTCTGTGGGATTGGTGGTGATATCCCCTTTATCATTTTTTATTGCGTCTATTTGATTCTTCTCTCTCTTCTTTTTTTTTTTTTTTTTTTTTTTTTTTTTTGAGACGGAGTCTCGCTCTGTCGCCCAGGCTGGAGTGCAGTGGCGGGATCTCGGCTCACTGCAAGCTCCGCCTCCCGGGTTCACGCCATTCTCCTGCCTCAGCCTCCCAAGTAGCTGGGACTACAGGCGCCCGCCACTACGCCAGGCTAATTTTTTGTATTTTTAGTAGAGACGGGGTTTCACCGTTTTAGCCGGGATGGTCTCGATCTCCTGACCTCGTGATCCGCCCGCCTCGGCCTCCCAAAGTGCTGGGATTACAGGCATGAGCCGCTGCGCCCGGCCGTCTCTCTTCTTCTTTATTAGTATTGCTAGCGGTCTATCTATTTTGTTGATCCTTTCAAAAAACCAGCTCCTGGATTCATTAATTTTTTGAAGGGTTTTTTGTGTCTCTATTTCCTTCAGTTCTGCTCTGATTTTAGTTATTTCTTGCCTTCTGCTAGCTTTTGAATGTGTTTGCTCTTGCTTTTCTAGTTCTTTTAATTGTGATGTTAGGGTGTCAATTTTGGATCTTTCCTGCTTTCTCTTGTGGGCATTTAGTGCCATAAATTTCCCTCTACACACTGCTTTGAATGCGTCCCAGAGATTCTGGTATGTTGTGTCTTTATTCTCGTTGGTTTCAAAGAACATCTTTATTTCTGCCTTCATTTCGTTATGTACCCAGTAGTCATTCAGGAGCAGGTTGTTCAGTTTCCATGTAGTTGAGTGGTTTTGAGTGAGATTCTTAATCCTGAGTTCTAGTTTGATTGCACTGTGGTCTGAGACACAGTTTTTTATAATTTCTGTTCTTTTACATTTGCTGAGGAGAACTTTACTTCCAAGTATGTGGTCAATTTTGGAATAGGTGTGGTGTGGTGCTGAAAAAAATGTATATTCTGTTGATTTGGGGTGGAGAGTTCTGTAGATGTCTATTAGGTTCGCTTGCTGCAGAGCTGAGTTCAATTCCTGGGTATCCTTGTTAACTTTCTGTCTCGTTGATCTGTCTAATGTTGACAGTGGGGTGTTAAAGTCTCCCATTATTAATGTGTGGGAGTCTAAGTCTCTTTGTAGGTCACTCAGGACTTGCTTTATGAATCTGGGTGCTCCTGTGTTGGGTGCATATATATTTAGGATAGTTAGCTCTTCTTGTTGAATTGATCCCTTTACCATTATGTAATGGCCTTCTTTGTCTCTTTTGATCTTTGTTGGTTTAAAGTCTATTTTATCAGAGACTAGGATTGCAACCCCTGCCTTTTTTTGTTTTCCACTTGCTTGGTAGATTTTCCTCCATCCTTTTATTTTGAGCCTATGTGTGTCTCTGCATGTGAGATGGGTTTCCTGAATATGGCACACTGATGGGTCTTGACTCTTTATCCAATTTGCCAGTCTGTGTCTTTTAATTAGAGCATTTAGTCCATTTACACTTAAAGTTAATATTGTTATGTGTGAATTTGATCCTGTCATTATGATGTTAGCTGGTTATTTTGCTCGTTAGTTGACGCAGTTTCTTCCTAGTCTCGATGGTCTTTACATTTTGGCATGATTCTGCAGCAGCTGGTACCGGTTGTTCCTTTCCATGTTTAGCGCTTCCTTCAGGAGCTCTTTTAGGGCAGGCCTGGTGGTGACAAAATCTCTCAGCATTTGCTTGTCTGTAAAGTATTTTATTTCTCCTTCGCTTATGAAGCTTAGTTTGGCTGGATATGAAATTCTGGGTTGAAAATTCTTTTCTTTAAGAATGTTGAATATTGGCCCCCACTCTCTTCTGGCTTGTAGGGTTTCTGCTGAGAAATCCGCTGTTAGTCTGATGGGCTTCCCTTTGAGGGTAACCCGACCTTTCTCTCTGGCTGCCCTTAACATTTTTTCCTTCATTTCAACTTTGGTGAATCTGACAAATATGTGTCTTGGAGTTGCTCTTCTCAAGGAGTATCTTTGTGGCGTTCTCTGTATTTCCTGAATCTGAACGTTGGCCTGCCTTGCTAGATTGGGGAAGTTCTCCTGGATAATATCCTGCAGAGTGTTTTCCAACTTGGTTCCATTCTCCCCATCACTTTCAGGTACACCAATCAGACGTAGATTTGGTCTTTTCACATAGTCCCATATTTCTTGGAGGCTTTGTTCATTTCTTTTTATTCTTTTTTCTCTAAACTTCCCTTCTCGCTTCATTTCATTCATTTCATCTTCCATCACTGATACCCTTTCTTCCAGTTGATCGCATCAGCTCCTGAGGCTTCTGCATTCTTCACATAGTTCTCAAGCCTTGGTTTTCAGCTCCATCAGCTCCTTTAAGCACTTCTCTTTATTGGTTATTCTAGTTATATATTCTTCTAAATGTTTTTCAAAGTTTTCAACTTCTTTGCCTTTGGTTTGAATGTCCTCCCATAGCTCACAGTAATTTGATCGTCTGAAGCCTTCTTCTCTCAGCTCGTCAAAGTCATTCCCCGTCCAGCTTTGTTCCGTTGCTGGTGAGGAACTGTGTTCCTCTGGAGGATGAGAGGCGCTCTGCTTTTTAGAGTTTCCAGTTTTTCTGTTCCGTTTTTTCCCCATCTTTGTGGTTTTATCTACTTTTGGTCTCTGATGATGGTGATGTACAGATGGGTTTTTGGTGTGGATGTCCTTTCTGTTTGTTAGTTTTCCTTCTAACAGACAGGACCCTCAGCTGCAGGTCTGTTGAAATACACTGCCGTGTGAGCTGTCAGTGTGCCCCTGCTGGGGAGTGCCTCCCAGTTAGGCTGCTCGGGGGTCAGGGGTCAGGCACCCACTTGAGGAGGCAGTCTGCCCCTTCTCAGATCTCCAGCTGCATACTGGGAGAACCACTGCTCTCTTCAAAGCTGTCAGACAGGGAGGGACATTTAAGTCTGCAGAGGTTACTGCTGTCTTTTTGTTTGTCTGTGCCCTGCCCTCAGAGGTGGAGCCTACAGAGGCAGGCAGGCCTCCTTGAGCTGTGGTGGGCTCCATCCGGTTCGAGCTTCCCGGCTGCTTTGTTTACCTAAGCAAGCCTGGGCAATGGTGGGCGCCCCTCCCCCAGCCTCGCTGCTGCCTTGCAGTTTGATCTCAGACTGCTGTGCTAGCAATCAGCGAGACTCCGTGGGCGTGGGACCCTCCTAGCCATGTGCGGGATATAATCTCCTGGTGCGCTGTTTTTTAAGCCCGTCGGAAAAGCGCAGTATTCCGGTGGGAGTGACCTGATTTTCCAGGTGCCGTCTGTCTCCCCTTTCTTTGACTAGGAAAGGGAACTCCCTGACCCCTTGCACTTCCCGAGTGAGGCAATGCCTCGCCCTGCTTCGGCTCACGCACAGTGCACGCACCCACTGTCCTGCGCCCACTGTCTGGCACTCCCTAGTGAGATGAACCCAGTACCTCAGATGGAAATGCAGAAATCACCCGTCTTCTGCGTCACTCATGCTGGGAGCTGTAGACCGGAGCTGTTCCTATTTGGCCATCTTGACCTTGACAAAAATTACTGATCTGTTTCGATATGGTACTCATGATTGGGAAATCAATATTGTGTTATTGTATGCCAGATTTTGAGGCTGTTTGTTACTACAGCATAACTTAGCTTATTTTGTGTCACACAGGATTTTGAAAAGAAAAAAGTGAGGTGCTGGTATAACAATACCCTAAAATACGTAGCACGAGTTCCATGGTATGATGGTTAATTTTGAGTGCCAACTTGATTGAGTTGAAGAATGCAAAATATTGCTCCGGGGTGTGTCTGTGAGGATGCTGCCAAAGGAGATTAACATTTGAGTCAGTGGACTGGGAGAGGCAGGTCCACCTTCAATCTTGGTGAGCACCATCTAATCAGCTGCCAGAGTGGCTAGGATAAAAGCAGGCAGAGGAACATGGAAGGACTAGACTGGCTAAGTCTTCTGGCCTCCATCTTTCTCCCATACTGGATGCTTCCTGCCCTCAAACATCAGACTTCAAGTCCTTCAGCTTTTGGACTCTTGAACTTACACCAATGATTTGCCAGGGGCTCTCAGGCCTTTGGCCACAGACTGAAGGATGTACTGTCGGCTTCCCTACTTTTGAGGTTTTGGGACTGGGACTGGCTTCCTGACTCCTCCACTTGCAGAAGGCCTATTGTGGGACTTCACCTTGATATTGTGTGAGTCAATCCTCCTAACAAATTCCCTTTCATATATTCATCTATCCTGTTAGTTCTGTCCCTTTAGAGAACCCTGACTAATACACATGGTTCAGTTGCAAATATTGAGGAAACTGTTAACAGAACCTGAAAGAATAGCAAAATGTTTTAAAACATAAAAATATACATGACCACAAAATCATTTTTCCTGGAATCTCTTTTAGTCAACATACTTTTGAAAACATTGTTTCAGAATGTTCCTTGCAGTGCTTTCCTTTCTCTTTGCATGTGAATTATTACCAAAATAAATCAGTAACTAAAAGTGCAATAAAATATTTTATGAATGGGAAATTATTATCTAACATTTCTTGCATAGGCTGTGCATTTTATACTCCCTTCTGTTTGCTCAAACTGCAATGATTTTTCTCCCTCTTCATCTACTTCATCCCATGTTATTCTTCAAAGTTTACCTAAAATAATACCTCCTCAATAAAGCCTTACCAGATTTAACTGCTTGTGATTAATTGCTCAGTACCATTAATTTTGAATTTTAACTTATTTCTAGCATTTACTATCTTCTGCCTAATAGTATGATTAGTTTATATATATATATATATATCTCATCCCTACCAGGTTACAATCTCCTTTAAACTTGGAACCATCTCATTGGATCTTAGTATCTTCTACAGGGTTTTGCACAGGATTTTTCATTTATATTAAACTCAATGATCGTTCTTGGAATAGCATTATGCTAACGACTAATAATACAATTAATAATAATAACAATGACATAACTAAAAATTTTGAGCGCTTAGTAATGTGCCAGAAACTATAACAGATGTATATGACTATTTCTTTTATTCTTAATATTATACCTATGTGGTAGTTACTGTTATCTCCATTTTATAGGCAAGAAAACTGATGCTGAGAGAGGTTAAGAAACTTGGCCAAATTCACACAGCTGATAAGCAACTACCATATTTTTGCAAATGCAAGCCTAGATATTGGTCTCAGGTGCAGAAAGACAGATTGTCACAATTATACGTGTGGTATTGGCATGTGCTTGTATTTCTCTTTTCCAATTTAAGGTCGTCAACCCCAAAGTCTGGCAGAGTTAGCTTGGTACACACAAAAATGGGGTTTGGGCTGGCAGAAAAAGAAACAATGAGAGAGTGTAAAAGGCAGAGGCATACTTGGTAGAAACAGATAATAAGGCCATGACAGCCACCCCTCATCCTTCCCCTCTCATAAATATGGAGAAGTGGCAAAGAGCAACAGAAGAGGGAATAGAGGAGGAGGAGGAGGCGAGTCGGTTGTGCATGCAGCACATTTTGCTGAGCCAGAAATAAGAGTGAAGCTCAGTGATGTCCTGGCTTCAGAACCTTAGGGATGCTGGTGGGGAAAATATTCAAATAGCATCATTGGATATTAGATGTTGAAAGAGCTAAGATAAGCTGCAGATTACTTTTTAATAAAAGTAGCTTTGGAAGTTGTCTTTGTCTCTTATCCTTCTTATTTGCTGTATTCATTGGAAACCCTGCCATTAGCATTAATTGAAAGAAAGCACCCAGTGTGCTTAAATCTTTGTCAGAGGAAAAAAGACTCCTCCAGATCAAAGAACCAACATTATGCTCTGATGAAAAGATAATCCTATTTCAGTGACACACCACAATTGATTTCTTTGTGGACCATCAGCAATCCATTTACATACGACAGTTGATGTTCAATGTAATCGTGGTTCAACAGGGGCTTAATGAATGCCTACTATGTGCTAGCCCAAGTTCAAGTGCCAGAGAGAACAAAAATGACCTCAGAAAAAGTGCCCCTCCCTTCTAAGAGCATGGAACACATTTGAGACAGTAAAATATTGTAGGATATATACATGGAATCTCAGGAGAAAACAGAGTAATGTGGTTCACCGTAATGTTGTCATAATTAACAAAGGAAGGGCTAAAAGACCAAATACAAAACTGTAAACAAAGTATTGTCAATATGGGTAGAGAAACTTCAATTCATTAAAAAAAAATTTAACTACACATCATCCATATTAAAGTATGCAATACTGACTCTGTGTCAATGTCCAGAGCCTCCTCCTGTTTCACAAAGAAGACCTGAGAGGGAGCATAAATGTAAGAGTGAATACCAAAAGAGAATCCTAGCAGATGAGTAAGATAAGTATGGTATGCCTTATCTAAAGAGGTTGATAAATCTTATTTTATAGATAAAACTGAGACCCAAGGATATAAAGCAATCTGTCACTTGTTGCACAGATGAACAAACTGAAATTCAAACACAGACCATCAGAATCCTAAAACCATTTTTCTTTTGTTCTGTTTTTCTCCACATTATTCTGGTTTCCCTGCCATAACCAGGAATAGCTAAGATTATGTCTGGGGAAGACAGGATAGTAGATATCTAGCAAGCTGCCTCACCTAACCATCCTCACATTCTCTAAGAATAGCCAGAAGAGCCTCCAAATCCACACAGTAACATTGGTGTGCTCCTGAGAGCAATTCTGTGATCCTTTCCTTATGACCAAGGTTGATTGGGCCAGAAGTGGTATATGACATGGTTGAGACAATTGATGACCTTTCTCCCTATTTCATTCTTTGACCCTAATTGTTTTTTTTTTCAGGGATGATTGGTCCCTAAACCAAACAGAGTAAGGAAAAGAAATTCAGTCTCAGATGAAGTGGTGGGTTTTTATTAGGAAACTGGGAAATGTCAGCTCCATGTGTTCTGCAATATGCTCCAATCATTCAATCCAATCAAAGCTGGTCTATAGAGAAAAAAAATATAGCCTGGAAAGAAGCAGACTCTGTCCCTTTTGGAGGCCCAGCTGCATCTCTGCCCCGGGCTTTGTGAAATACTCTGAGAGGAATTACCCTTTTCTGCTTAAGCCAACCTAGTGGATTTTAGTCACTTGCAGTGAAACGAATTTGACCCAAGAGGAAGTACGTGGATCTTAGTGGCGAAGTGAGGAAGCAATGTTAAGATAAGCAAAAAGGCTGAGAGGTTTAGAGAAACAGAAACAAATGATGAGATAGTGAAGAGGTACATGGTTTAGGAAGTTAGGGTCCAAACATGGAGTAACCATCCTTTTATGCTACACTTGCCATGTAGTGGCAGATTTTCTAAGAAGGCAGAGCCGTTAGAAAATGTGATTATGAACTGGTCAATAGCAGATTTGTCATCTATGTTCACTGGAATCTCCCCTGGGTTCAGAATGAATTAGAATGGGTAAGATGTTTATCATTGTAGCCAATAGCAGCATAAATGGAAGCAGAATTTGAATCATAATTGAAAAAGGCGTTCAGTGAAGTGAAATGGGAGTGATGTAACCTTATAAGGAAGAGATAGATATCAGACTTAAATTTGCAAGTGGAAAGACATGGGAATTCCTTATTCCAGTTTGTTACTGTTAACAATTCAAGACTAATGGGATGGATGATAGCAGGTTGTAAAGCATGGAGACTGCAGTCAGGCTGCTAGGTTCAAATCCCAGATCTGCTACTTGTTAGCTTCGGAACCATGGGTTAGTTATTTTATACTTTGTAAATTTCTAAAAGAAGAATAGCTGACAACCTGCTATCTGTTGCTACGTAATATAACCAACCCAAAACTTGTTGCCCTAAAACAAAGAGCATTTATTCTTGTTCACAGTTACCTGGTTTCTTTAGATATTTTTTATGGTCTCAACTCAGGGATTCTTCTGGTCTCAGTTGGGCTTATTCATGGGCCTACAGTCTGAGTACAGCATCCATGCTCTGAAACCACTATGCCATATGGCTTCACAAGCATAAATTATATCACCTGCTGCTCTTGGCTTGGTTCTCTTACATATTTTGAGGTTAACTGGATGGAAGCTACTCTAGATAGTTTGACTGCGACAGATCTCCTTTATGTGGTCTCTCAACTACCAGGAGGTTAGCTCAGGCTTATGGCAGGAGCCATCTGAGAGAGAGACAGCAGAAATATGCAAGTTGTGGCATGATCTCAGAACTGGTACAACATCACTTCCACTGCATTCTATTGGCCAATGCAAATCAGATCAACTCAAATTCAGAGTTTAAGAAAACAGACTTTACTGCTTGACAGAAGAACCTACAATGTTATACTAAATGGGCAGTTATAGGACTATCTGGGTGAAAGGGTATTTTGCATTCAATTTATCACAATGGACATAATAATAGTACCTACTACCTAGTGTTATTTTGAAGATTAAACGTGTTATTGTATGCAAAGCCCTTAGCATAGTGTCTGACAGATGTGCAGTGTTATTTAAGAGTTTGTTTGTTTTTATTATCCTGATATCTTAATAGACCCAGACAGGACAACAATTTGTCACCTTCTTAGCATGGGGAACAATGATATTATCATGATTTTTTAAGTCATATCTTAAAATTTGAGCCAAAGAGTGCACCCATTGTTACAACACATCATTGCTTTCCAGTATTTAAAACTGCAGGAGAGGCAAGGGCTCTAACCTCTAGTTTTATTTGTATCAGTGCATTGCTATGACTTCTGGCAAGATACCTGATATGCGCAGGCTTCTGCTTCCTCACTGTAAAGCAAGGTTTGGACTTCATGATCTTAAGTGTCTCCTAACTGCTAACCACTAATGAATCCTGAGAAGAATACTCTCCCCAATTTTATTCCAACAGCTAATGGGAAAGGGTGAGTCTTCTCACTGCATTGACAAAAAATTGCTTTTAACGAAAAAGAATGCCAGATGGAACTGGGCTGCTGAGAATAACCAGGAACTTAAAGTGAATTGTCAAAAACAAGTTGACCTAAAACAATTTTCTCAAAGTCTAAGTGTTGGAAAGAATAAATTGGTCAAAAAATCATCTAATACAGATTTTTCATTTTAGTAATTTTGATGCACTTGAAGAAGTTTTATTAGCTTTCATGAGTAATTAAGCTTTTTTGTCATTTTATTCCCCACAATTTTCAGGGGAACAAAGGTTCCTTTTCTTTTTTGTTTCTAATTCATATAGTCAATTATGTCTGCTCTGCTCATTTGTCTTAAAGTTAATTATTCTAAAAATCAATGTTTCCAACTGCCAGTTAACATTATTTATAATTTTGAAATTTGTTATAATTCTTAGAACTTTTATCCATATTTTTTATGTTATACTTCTTACTACATAATTTCACTTTTTAAAATGTTTAGATTCATTTTCAGCCAGTGATGTTAACTTCATTTACTTAATCCTATTTTGTGTTCCATTTTGGTTGCACATTTCTTACGTATTTCAGCAAATTTTACAGAGCAGCATTTTTACTACTCAAGGTTGCTGTCAGATTGAAGCTGTAATGAAAAACATGTAAAGTCTCAGTGTGGCTTCTCAGACAGCTATAAGCTTAGGCTAAAATTTGTTGACCTAACAATGAATAAATGTTTCATGGGTAAAACTCTTGATAGCAATTGGCTCTGGGCCCCTAGTAACTTCACTGAAGAAAGCTAGGAAAAGAAATATATGCTAGCTTTTCTGATCCAGTTAATCACTACATTAACTTTATAGTTGAAAGCCTTCATGACTGAAATGAAAAATGCAGAATGTTCTAAGTCAATGTGGTGATTAACACAACTTCAACGATATCCAGTAACTTTATTCTTCAGAATCATCTTTTGTCACATCACGTCTTTAATTCTGCAGATTCCTTGGAACACACAATTGTTACAAAAGAGCAAATGACTAATTAAAACAGATTTAGACTAGGTCGGTTTGAGCAATTTGGTACAAAATCATAAAAGTATTGCTAAATCAGAAAAGCAAACATAATGGGATGAAAATGCATCATAAATTGAAAACAGAAGTTTAAAAAACTGGAGAAAAATCTTCTAAATCCTGAAAAAGGAAAAAACAAACCATTACAATTCTAAACACCTTCCACATTATTTCCACATTAATAATATATGAATAACCAATTATAGAAGAATAGTCATGTTTTATCATTTTTACTAGTTTGGTTTTAGGCAAATTGTTTTTGACCAAATTGGCAGCTAACAAATAGAAGCAGTGATTTGAGCCAATACCCTTTAAATGTGCTAGGGTGATTCATGGTGCTATTTTAAACAGACAGAATTTCATCTGGGTTTATTGACACAATTTATCTCAAACTCTTCAACTTCTTGCTCTTTGGTTCTAGAATTTCTTTTCAGTTCTGACCTCCCCACATGTGTCTGATGTTGGAATTCTCATCGCTGGCCTCTGCTTTCATTTACATCTAGTGAGAACTAGACCAGGTTTTCAGCTTTCTGCTTTCATCATTCCTTTTGTTCATTAGGTCCTTTTTCTTTCTTTGGAACCAAAATGGTCCAGGATGCTCACCAAGGCTTCTCCCCCTTATTATCTCTAGTAATCACCCTTTAAGATGAGGCTGCCATCTCAGGGATTCCCACAGTTCTCTCTGGCTGTTGTAACCAAGTCAGGGTCTCAGGGACTCAGGGACTCCAAAATCTGTCTCCTAGCTTCTTATGGGGCAGACATTCTTATTTCTTCCCTCAGATCCACAAGGGTATACCAATTGGAAGCCATACTGGTATTATATGAACCACCCTTCCTGATCTTAAGGTAAGATCTTACCTATCTTTTATCTTACCTCCAATAAGGTAAGATAAAGGAGTAAACATACCTTAACAAACTGGGTCAGATTTTCTTTACCTAGTATCTGGAAGACTGTTGTTGATATGGTTTGGCTGTGTCCCCACTCAAATGTCATCTTGAATTTCCATGTGTTGTGAGAGGGACCCAGTGGGAGGTAATTGAATCATGGGAGCAGGTCTTTTCCATGCTGCTCTCGTGGTAGTGAATAAGTCTCAAGAGATTTGATGGTTTTAAAAACAGGAGTTTCCCTACACAAGCTCTCTTCTCTCGTCTTCCACCATGTGAGATGTGCCTGAAATCTTGTCCTTCTGCCACTGAGTGGCTTCTCCAGCCACATGGAACTGTAAGTCCAATAAAGCTCTTTCTTTTGTAAGTTGGCCGGTCTTAGGTATGTCTTTATCAGCAGCATGAAAGTGGACTAATACAGTTGTCATCTTTGTAAGTGACTAGAATATCATATAAGTCAGATGCTGAGGCTGGGAAGGCATTTTGCATCATGTCAATCAGTAAGTCAGAGAAAGCTAGTTGTTGCTTGTAACCTCAGAAAGATATTTTATTCTTTGTTAAGCAATATTCCTTCATGATTAATCAATGTTGAACAGTTTGACATTTATTGCTAGCCAACAGAAGCCAATTCTCATTGAACTGTAAACAATGTGTATATCCACAGCTTAGTGACCTTTTCCTGTTTAGTATATTCATGTGCACAGTAACAAATTAAATACCTACAATTGTTTGTGTACTTTTAAAAAAACTGTCGTGAAGGCCGAAGAACTACCTATTCAGTACTGTGCTGACTAATGGGGTGACAGATTCAATCATACCTCAAACCTCAGCATCAAACAATATACTTTTGTAACAAACCTGTGTATGTTCCCCTTGATTCTAAAATAAAACTTGAAAGAGAAAAAAACATCAGTAAAATAACAGAATTTACTATCTTAACCATTTTTAAGCATATAGTTCATTACTAACTTAACCATTTTAAAGCACATAGTTCAGTAGTGTTCATATATTCACAATGTTATGCAAGCAATCTTCAAAATTCTTTTGATTTCACAAATTAAACAACAGCTCCCTAGTCTCTCTTTCCCTTCCCCGGAGAAACCACCATTCTACTTTCTGTCTTTATGAATGTGACTACTCTAAGTACCTGATATAAGTGGAATCATATGTCATATAGTATTTGTCTATTGTGATTTGCTTATTGCTTTTAACATAATGTCTTCAAAGTCCATTCATGTTGTAGCATGTGTCCGGATGTCCTTCATTGTTAAGGCTGAATAATATTCCGTTGTATGTATGTACCACATTTTCTTTATCCATCCATTTATCGATGGATACTGGATTGCTTCATTTCTTGGCTATTGTGATCAATGCTGCAATGAACATGGGCATACAGATAGAAGGCGAATGTTTAAATGGAAAGAAGATAAAAGGATACATAGAGGAAACTAGAGACAATAAACAGATTCCTGATCCCTTTCCTGCTCCTAGCTATCATCATCTATTGCGATCCACTTGCATTTCTGTTCTTGAGTTATGTGAGTCACCTCTGCATTTATATACAATAAATTCTCCTTTTTTGCCTAAGGTAGCTCAGACTGGTTTCTCTTATTTACAGCCAGAGTCTTGACTAATATATGGTTAGGAGAAAATCTCTGCAAATAAAGACAAGTCCAACTCATGACAAATATTTCTTTTATTCTGTAAATAAGAAATAAGATAAAATTTCACTGTCAACAAAGAAATTACAAACTGCAAGAACCATCATAAGGTGGAACTTTTGCAACCTCCCAGACCTTTAATAAGAAGCTGAGAAAAGGAGGAAAAATTCCTTCATGAGACCCAAGAGGAAGGTTAATGACATTTTAGATTTGGTTATTCTTTTTGTTCTGCTTTTGCTTCAATTTTTTACTGTCTCCCTGCAAAACCAGAACTGTCCAACAGGGATTGAATTTCCTGTGGACAGTTTGTCTTTCATAAGCTTCACAGACAAAATTAACCAGCAACGGAAAAATAAGATGACATTACTATTTTTGCAAGTTTAAAATCATTCTGCCAAGTATCTATTGTATGTCTCATTTTTTTTTCTTAATCCCTTGGCTTCATCTTCTTTGAAATTACTGCTATAAGAGTTAAGATAATACACATTACTAGTATCCCGGCATCCAAACAGAAGAGTTTTTCTCATCCCACGTTTCATAGAAGCAGTTGAAACAAAAACAAATTGCCACATAGCCTCTCTCTTATCCCTGTCTTGTGGTTTTCATAAAGATGTTAGCTTGGAAATTTCATCAAGTCTGAAAGATACCAAGTGATCTTTTCTTCAAAAAAAATTGGTAGTAAACCTCTCTTCAAAAAAAATTTAATTTCTATATTTATTTGACCCAGTCTTCTATCCATTTTCTCCAAAGTAATTTCAGTATTCAGACCTTGACTCCTAACTCCCACAAAATTCTTTGTGTTTCTGCCTCTTCCTTTCCCATCACTCCTCTCAATAATTTTCTCAAATAACCTGCTTCTTTTTCTCATCATACTTTGGCCTTGTATTTTTTTAACCTGCTTTCTCTTTTTTTCCACACTGTCTGGATAGTTTTATTTTAAAAACTTGATTTCTAAGGGACGGTGCTAAAGAGAAGATACGCGACAAAGACAGAGGGGAAAGGGATATATTTTTAAATGCTTCTAAGTACCCATGCTGGTGTTCTCCCTCTGTGCTAAGACACAGCAACCTGAATTTATGGCATGCTTAGAGTTTCGTACTGAAAAAGCATAAAGACCTATAGAAAACCCCTCCAAAAACCTCCTAAAAAAAATCTGCACATGTTGACATAGTTGAATGATGTCATCAGCCAAATCATGCATTGGGAGAGAAATTAATATTTAAATAATATAAACATCCAGGAGAACTGTACTCCTGCAAACTTTCTTTACGTTGGAATCCTTGTCTGGTTAAACTTCTTATACTAAATCAATGTGAGAAAATATAACATGGGATCAAATAACTTCTCTTAAATGACTTTTCCTCATGCTACTCACTGAGGAATTATTAAAGATTTAAAAGTTAAATTGACTTTTGGCTGTATACAGATTAATTTAATTCAACAATAAAATGTCCTAGTTATATTTTTGTATATATTCATGCTCTTTCAAGGTCAGAAAAAAATAAAAGTTTTGTGTGGCTTTTAAAAACAGCTGCCTAAATCATATAAAATTGCTTCGACTGATTTTAAAAAAAACATTCCATGCTGGAGCAGTGGCTCAGGCCTATAATCCCAGCACTTTGGGAGGACAAGGCAGGAGGATTGCTTGAGTCTAGGAGTTTGAGACCAGCCTGTGCAACATGACAAGACCTTGTCTCTACACAAAATTGAAAACTAGTATTTTTTTAAAGAACCCATTTCGTGTCTGCAATTAATGACATATTGTCCAGTCAATAGTTCCCATTTAGCATGAACATGTAGAAGCAGATGCTGAATCTCAGCCATCATAGCCTCTGTCAAAGCTAAAATATATAGTAAAACTATAAAATTTATTATTCAAATATTTATCAATGCCTATTTTGTGCATTGTCACTAAAAACTGATAGGGAAGGAATCCATTCAAGACATAGACAACTTCTCCCAAGGAACTCATTAGCTTAGTTGGAGAGATTGAATATACATTCACAAAAGAATTATTAAAAATACAACATACAACCTGATAAGTGTAAAAATGTCAAATGAAAATTGCAAACAAAAATTCCTACTGAGATTCACACAAGGGAAACAGTCATTGACATGGGTGGACGGGAGAGTCCAGAGGAGGTGCAAGGCTGAGCTTGGAATAGTTTGCAGGGATCAGGGAAGCAGGAACTCAGAGCAGGGCATTACAGGTGCATGACTGTGGGATGGAGAATATGATCAGAGACAAAAACAAAATCATTCCCATCCTGCTTGAGGGGAGGGAAAAAAGAATAGAGCAGTGTGTCTAGATAGGAGAGTTATCAAGAGAAAAAAAAAACAACTCATCCGACTTCTCCAATAAGGATGAAAAAAAGCTTTTCAACTAGTGAACCAGCTGCAGAGACACTAGGGTTCTCATATGGTTATGTCTTACACAGAAAAAGAAATAGATATCTGCCTAACTAAAGCAACCTTAATGACTTTCAACAAATATTACAGAAACTCGTATGTATATTCAGAGTTTCTAAGCTAAAGAGAGAGACATTTAACAGAAAATAAAAGTGAAATAAAGCAAATACCCCTGTAGTTTATCTGTGGCAATTTTCTTTAAGGAAATACACATACATTGAATATGTTTCTTTGACTATGCACAAACACACACACATGTCCAAGTAGAGTATAAATAAAGATTATACTGCTGGTATTTTACTTGTTATTTTGAAACATAAGATTGAGATTTGTGAGTAGAACTTTAAAGTTCAAAAATCAATGAGCAAAATTTAATCAGTAAGAGAGTTGAAAAATCTTTTTTGTGCACCTTTATTAAAGATTAGGCTTAAGACTGCCCTCACAAAGCACAAAGAAGAGTATTTCCTAGACCTGATGCACTTTATTCTCACAAAGATCTTCTCAGATTAGATTACGCATGCACCTAAGGGGATGTGGTTGTGTGCTGGTGCAGGATGCCATGAGATAAATGCACCACATCTTCCTGGAGTTACAATTTTATCCAATGATTTGGAAGTAGGGCAAGTTAAGTAATTTAATAGTAAGTAATTGAAGACATAGTTTTTATATTAAAGCACATACAGAAAAATTATACTGCAGAGTACAAAATGCTCCTGAAATTTCATGAGAAAATATGAGGCATCAAATAAATTTCCTACATGGTTGGTTGCAAGGAATTTCCCACATAGCAAGAGAAACAAAGAAGGCTGCTTAACAGAGTTTCAAGCTAGTTTACTCTCCTTACTTTGGGAGAAATTTTTACAGTATAATTGCTCTAGTAGATTATTCCTTCCATACTTACGTAGCCTGCTTTTTAGTTAATCTTATTATTTAAATAGTTGAAAGATAATCGATCATGTAAGGTTGTTTTCCAGTTTTTAAGGACAAGTTTAGTAACCCATTCTAACTTTATGCGTGCCTCTGGGGCTTCAGGCTGGTGACAATACCTCCAATCCCATCTCCATCCCGTTGAGTTGGTCCTGAGTCCCAAACAATGCTTCCTAGGGCTGTGGGTAATGCCAGACAATCAGTTCAGTCTGCACCATTAACCTCCAGGGATTAGTAGCTCTCTGTGCAATTGAATGTTCCCAGATAAGTCCCTGTGGTGAGCCACCTGCCAGGACTCAGCACTTCACAGGCAAAGCTAAGAAGCTAGTAAAAGATTTAAAGCTCAAACTTGAGCTGAGCAATCAGGATATTTTTCTCCCACAATTTACAGCTACTGTGGCATGACCTAATTTCTTATTCCCCATTTTTTCTCTTTAAATTTTGAGGTTTGATTTACCTGATAGAATTTGTTTCACAAAAATTAATGGAAGAAACATCAATTTTCCTATCATAAAATTGGAAAGCATACTGCAATCCAACATAACCTTTAAGCTTTCGTTAAATTCCCATATGTTAACACTTGATACATATTAAAATAAGAGCTCTTAGAGTTTTGCAAGTAAGGACTACCTTTCATTTGTTTGATGGAAACACCCAGCCAGTAGCAGAAAAACATATGGGGAGATCCACACTCTACGTGGTGTGCACACAAAGTATACAGATCGTAAAACATAGGATTGACTCATTGTAAGTTGACATATTGATGTATAAAGTGGTATAAGGTTATCAATTTGTATCCTGAAAAGGGGATAAGTGTTTTGCTATAAAATGAGATAGAGTAGGAGGGAACAAATGGAACCTATTCATGCCTGAAACAACTAAAACAGACAAAATATACAATAAAACCATTTTGAAGACACTAGATATCTGGTAACTAAGGGCAATAAACCCAGAGAGATGAGAAGCAAGTGAGATGTGCTCTGATTTCCCCAGTGTAGTGGCTTAATTGTTTGGGGAAACCATGGTGCATGGAGAGTAACCTCGGGTAAAACCTGTCAACTCTCTGAGAAGACAGAGATGAAAATGTGAGGAAAACAAAGTGGCTAGATTTTGCCAGAGAGAATATTGGCAAAAAGAGAGCTACAGAGAGAAAAAACTCCAGAGACCTTGAAGGGTCCTCCTCAAATATTCAGCAGAGTACCAGTCAGTGCACATGTATGAGGAAACTCCTCATGGATGGGTAGAATCATCCCAGAGGATTACAGAGAGCAATGTTCAGTGTTCACATAGACCAAGAACAGTTCCTGTTTCCATCACCCAGACTGGAAAAACATAATTCATGGCACATCGGGTAGAGTGATTCAAAAGGGTCTTGCTTCAGTAATGGGAAATGATTATCCCTATGCTGAATGCTGACCTGCTCCTACATTTAGTAGATTGTAAATCTTCTTTTTAAAATTCTTAAAAGAAAGACATGGATGGATCAAACTATTTCTTAGTAACCAATTGTTTATAAGAATACAAAAATATCTTGCATTGAACAAAATAATATTCACAATATCTTGCATCCAATCAAAGAGTAAGAGGCATACAAAGATGCAGGAAAATATAATCCATAATGAGGAGAAAAGCCAATTAAAACCAATCCAGAACTGACACAGATATTAGAACTAGCTAACAATGACATTAAAACAGTAATTATAACAGTATTATTGGTGGTGATTAAAAAAGGCACAAATTGGACATCAAAGGGCAAAAACTACAAAATCTGAAATAAACAGTGCTCTGGATGGAATTAATGGTAGATCAGACGTCATAGAAAACTAATGAATTTGAAGGCATAGTAATAGAAACTATCCAAACTAAAACTAATAAAAATATAAAAGAACATTAAGGATTTGTACAATTTCAAGCAGCCCAGTGTTAAGGTTCCCTAAAACACAGTAAAAATATTTGAAGAACTAATGGCTTAAAGATGTTCAAAAAAATTTTTTTAAGAAAACTATAAGCACTTAGATTCAAGAAGTTCAATTCACTCCAAGCACAAGACATTTGAAGAAAACCATACCAAAGTACTTTATAGTCAAATTATTTTTAAAAACTTATGATAAAAAAATCTTAATAGCAACTGGAGAAAAAAATCCTTATATGCAGAGGAATAAAGATCAGAATAATAGCATATGTCTCATCAAAAACAATGCAAGAAAAAAAGAGGGAAGTGAAAAATCATTAAAGTACTGATGGTAAAAGCAAATACAAAAAACCTACCAATCAAGGATTCTACACTTAGAAAAAATACATTTCATGCAAATCAAAACCACAATGACATACCATCTCACACCAGTTAGAATGGCGATCATTAAAAAGTCAAGAAACAACAGATGCTGGAGAGGATGTGGAGAAATAGGAACACTTTTACATTGTTGGTCGGACTGTAAACTAGTTCAGCCATTGTGGAAGTCAGTGTGGCGATTCCTCAGGGATCTAGAACTAGAAATACCATTTGACCCAGCAATCCCATTACTGGGCATATGCCCAAGGATTATAAATCATGCTGCTATAAAGACACAGGCACATGTATGTTTATTGCGGCACTATTCACAATAGCAAAGACTTGGAACCAACCCAAATGTCCAACAATGATAGACTGGATTAAGAAAATGTGGCATATATACACCATGGAATACTATGCAGCCATAAAAAATGATGAGTTCATGTCCTTTGTAGGGACATGGATCAAGCTGGAAACCATCATTCTCAGCAAACTATCGCAAAGACAAAAAACCATACACCGCATGTTCTCACTCATAGGTGGGAATTGAACAATGAGAACACATGGACACAGGAAGGGGAACATCACACACCGGGGCCTGTTGTGGGGTGAGGGGAAGGGGGAGGGATAGCATTAGGAGATATACCTAATGTTGCATGACGAGTTAATGGGTGCAGCACACCAACATGGCACATGTATACATATGTAACTAACCTGCACGTTGTGCACATGTACCCTAAAACTTAAAGTATAATAATAAAAAAAAAGAAAAAATACATTTCAAAAACAAAGGTAAAATAAACATTGATTTTTGGCTATACAAAAGCCGAAAGAATTCACCAGTAGATTTACACCAAATATATTTTAAATAAAGTACTCTAGGAAGAAGAAAAATAACATCAGTTAGAATAGTAACTACATGGGTAAATATAAAAAGTTTTAATATTTAAATTTCTTTAAAAGGTAATTGGCTATATCAACAAAAATAATAATATTGTATTGAGAGTTTATAACATGCATTAATGAAATATATAACAACAGTAGCATAGGGGAAATGTAACTACACTATTGAAAAATTATTCTACATGAAGTAATATAATCTCACTTGAAAGTACACTATAATCAATGAAAGATATATAATATAAATCCTAAAGCATCAACTAAAATAGCAAAAAGTTATGGTTAATAAGCCAACAGAAGAGATAAAATAGAATGAAATATTCAATTACTCTAAAAGGAGGCTGAAATAGTGAATAAAGAACAAATGGAACAAATAGAAATGAAATAACAGGATGATAGACTTAACTCTAATGATGTCAATCATCATATTAAATTTAAATGTTCTTAACACTCAGATCAAAAGGCAGAGATTGTCAGATTGAAAAACTTGAAGAAGAGAGAGTACTTCCTAATTCACTTTATGAGGATAGCATTATCCAGATACCAAACTCAGACAAAGACATTGGGGAAAAAACTATAAACTAGTATTTCTTACAAAAAAAATTAGTGAATCAAATTCTAAAGTATATAAAAAGTAATTATAGGCTTTATGCCAGGAAGGCAAGTTTGACTTAACATTCAACAATCAATCAATGTAATTCTCCATGTTAACAAATTTAAAAAGTAAAGCCTGATCATTCAATAGATGCAGGAAAAACATTGGACATAATCCAGCATTCATGCCTGGTAAATATTCTCAAAAAACTAAGGATGGAAGACTTCATCAACTGTACAAAAGGTAAAAATCTACAGTTAACTTCATACTTTATGATGAAAGATGGAATGCTATATTTTCCCCTAAAACAATGGACAAAATAAGGGTGTCTACTCTTCCATTCAGCATTGAATTAGAGAGTTGTAGCCTGTGGAATAATGTGAGAAAAAGAAATAAAAGCAGTGGAAAGTAACCTAGGAAAAGAAAATGAAATTTGTTTTGTTCATAGATGACATGATCACCTTGGAAAATGTGATGAAATCTACACATAAGCTACTAGAACTAGTAAATGAATTTGGCAAGTTTGCAGGATGTAAGATTAAAGTAAAATATTAATTGTATTTCTAAGCATTCTGTTTGAATCAGAGGAGAATGTTTTGTAAAACATGACAAACTGATTCTAGAGTTCATATAGAAATACAAATAGCCTAGAACAGCCAAAACAACTTTGAAAAAGAACAAAGTTGACAAGCCAGAACTATCTGATTTCAAGACTTTATTATATGCTCCACTTATTTATTGTGCTCCACCTCCTTGAGAGACAGTAGCTACATAAATAATTTGGAATTCTTCGAAGTCAGAGATTTGCTTCTTCTATCCACTAATTTATTTATTTATTCATATCTGTGTGGGTCCATTAATATTTATTTTATAGTCTGGGTTATAAACCAATACAACTTTATTTTGTTGCTCAAATTGTTCCAGCTTTGGTCATTGAGAGCTCTTTCAAGACTTTATTATATAATTTATTTCAAGACTTTATTATAAGTTTACAGTAATCTTAGCTGAGCATGGTGGCACATGCCTGTAGTCCTAGTTACTTGGGAGGCTGAGGCAGGAGGATTGCCTGAGCTCAGAATTTGAGGCTGTAGTGAGCTATGATTGTACCATTGCACCCCAGACTGGGTGACAGAGAGAGACCCCATCTCTAATGAATAAGTAAATGAATAAAAATTGCAGTAATTAAGACAATGTGTATATTAGTCTGTTTTCACATTGCTGATAAAGACATACCTGAGACTCAGCAATTTACAAAAGAAAGAGGTTTAACTGGACTTACAGTTCCACATGGCTGGGGAAGCCTCATAGTCATAGCAGAAGGCAAGGAGGAGAAAGTCCCATCTTCCATGGATGGCAACAAGCAAAGAGAGAATGAGGAAGACGCAAAAGCAGAAACCCCTAAAAAAACCATCAGATCTCGTGAGACTTTTTCAATACCATGAGAACAGTATGGGGGAAACCACCCCCGTGATTCAATTATCTCCCACTGGGTCCCTCCCACAACATGTGGGAATTATGGGAGTACAATTCAAGATGAGCTTTGGGTGAGGACACAGCTAAACAATATCAATGTGGTATCAATGTCATGAGAGACAAACAGATAAAATGGGAAAGAATACAGGCCACAAATAGACCCACACATATATGGACTGCTTATTTTTGACAAAGGTGCAAAAAAAATTCAGTGGGGAAAGAATAGCTTTAAAAAATGCTGTTATAAAAACCTGTTATCCATATGCCAACATAAATAAATACCAATGCATACACAATCTAATTTATATAAAAATTAATCCCAAATGGATCATAGACATAAATATAAAACCTAAAACTGTAAAACTTGTATAAGAAAACAAACGAGAAAGCCTTTATGACCTTGGGTTAGGCAAAGAAAAAAATTAAAAATTGATAAATTAGACTTTATCTAAATTTAAAACCTCTGTTCTTAAAGACATTGCTAATTGGATGAAAACATAATTTTCTACTGGAACAAAATATTTGCAAGTATATGTCTGATAATAGGCTTGCACCCAGCACATACAAAGAAATCTCAAAACTCAAAAGTAAGAAATCAACCCAATAAACAACTGAGCAAAAGATTTAAACAGACACTTGTCCAAAGAGTGCATGAAGAAAAATAATTTTAAGTAAGGCACATAAAAATATATATAGCATTATATATATTTATATAATTTATACATATAATTATATATATAATATATATAATTATATATAATGTATAATATATTATATGTACTATATATTTACATATATTATATAAATTTATATATAATATATTTATATAAATATATTATATATATTTTATATATAAATTATATATATTATATAAAATAAATTATATATAATATATAATGTATTATATATAATATATATATAATGAATTATATATATTATATATATAAAATGAATCATATATAATATATATATAAAATGAATCATATATATTATATATAAAATGAATCATATATACTATATACATAAAATGAATCACATATATTATATACATAAAATGAGTCACATATATTATATATAAAATGAATTATATATATTATATATAAAAAATGAATTATATATATTATATATAAAAATGAATTATATATATTATATATATAAAATGAATTATATATATTATATATATAAAATGAATTATATATATTATATATAAAATGAATTATATATATTATATATAAAATGAATTATATATATTATATATAAAATGAGTTTTATATATTATATATAAAATGAATTATATATATTATATATAAAATGAATTATATATTATATGTAAAATGAATTATATATATTATATATATAATGAGAGAAATTATTAGTCATTAGAGAAATGCAAATTAAACCACAAAGATATACCGTTATGTACCTTTTGGAACGACTAAAATTTAAAGGACAGATCATAAACAGTGTTAATAAGGACTTGGAGAAACAAATTCTATACACGGCTGGTAGGAATTTTACATAATATCACTACTTTGAAAAACAGTTTGTCCATTTCTAAAAAGAAAAAAATTAAACATACGACGACCATATGGACCAGCTATTCCACTCCTAGGCAGTTAGCCAAGAAGAAGGAAAGCCTATATCCTTCTAGAAAGTTGTACTTGAATAAACACCCGAATACCCATCAATCGATGAATGGACAAACAAATCATGGAGTATATATCCATACAATGGAATATTACTCTATAATTAGGCTGAATGAAAGGAACCTTACTAAAAAAATACATACTATATGATTCCATTTCTTTAAAACTATGGAAAATGTAAACTAATCTATAGTGATAGATCAGTGGTTGTCTGAGGGAGGATGGGAGGGTGGCAGGTGGAAGGGATTACAAAGGGCATAAGAAAACTCTTACAGATGAAGAACATGTTCATTATGTTATTGCGGTAATAGTTCCACAGGTTTCTACATATGTCAAAACTTATTAAATATGTTCAGTTGATTTTATCCCAATTATAAATCTTTTTTTATTAAGAGAGAATAAATCAACCCTACAGGGGTACAGTTCTACCTGTTAAAAATAGTTTTCTGTCCTTGGATGCTGTGAATCAGACATATCCATTTGGCTCTATCACTGTTGGCTTCCTAAAACCATGGTGCCCCTATCCACATGGTGAAAGGATAGAGACAGAACAACCCTGCTCCATATGGATATTGTACAATTCTGAGTGGAATTGTAGAACTCCACTTTGTGGAATTTGTAAGCAAAAAACATATAGCACATTAGGAGTCATTAAATTCCACAGGTCTTTATTTTTCTTTTTTTTTTTGACTGAAAGTATTTTTATTTATTTTTTTCTTTTTATTATTATTATTATTTTTATTATACTTTAAGTTTTAGGGTACATGTGCACAACGTGCAGGTTAGTTACATATGTATACATGTGCCATGTTGGTGTGCTGCACCCATTAACTCGTCATTTAACATTAGGTATATCTCCTAATGCTATACCTACCCCCTCCCCCCACCCCTATTTTTCAAAAGAAAATGTTTAGGACATAAGAGTAGCTGTTGCTTTATTTTAGTAGATTTTTAAATAAATACATGGCAGTAGCTCAGGGTAACACCTGCCAGTGTAGCAAAGACCAACAGCTTAATTTGAGTCACCAGAGTAGCACAAGCAATTTCAGTACTTTATCCTCAATGCAGAAGTCATTTATTGCCCTTTGCAGGGCAATAAATTGATTTTTCTACCTTTAAAAGATGTTTTACTTAAATTGTGCAAACGTGATTTACAACGATTAGCGACAGTGTAGTTCTTAGACATTGGAGCCAGCGCAATATGGGCAACACACAAACTACAATTTCTAACCCCACAGAAGAAAATTATTCCAAAATTTTATACCAACTTTTATATTTTTTGGTTTTCCTTCTAGTATATAATACAAAAGTATTTTTAATATAAAATATTTACAATTTTTCTAATATATGTGAAATGTATTTGAAAAAATAAATGTTGATATTTAATCCTGTTATTGTGGGTATCAATTTTAGCACATTTATTTTTTTCATCCTATTATTGCAACCCTAGAATGCTAACTGGCAAAGAGATACACTCCAACTCTTACGCTCTGGCATTGCAAAAGGCATTACCCAGAGTATCTTGCTGAATTATGGCACCTGTAATGTCAGCAGAAGATATCTAAAGACTCTATAATTTGGGACTTATTTTTAAAGATACCTCATAGATTGCTTTCTGCTTGTTAATGACATGCTGAGGACTATGACATGACATGATCATCACCATACAAACATGAAATTGCCTACTGCTGCTTGAAACTGCACAATAAAATTTTTTTCCTTGGATTAAACATTGAGCTCTCCGTAGGGTAAAATACTTTTAAACTTCATTTTAATCATTAAGGTTTTTAAGTTTATTTTAAAGTTTATCCTTATGGGATTTTTAGTTTATTTTTATTTGGTTTACTATTTATTTTAGTTAATTTAGTTTTGTTTTATAGTTATAGAAAAATTGGAAGATAGAGTGCCCATATACCCACAAAGCAAGTTTCCCCCATTGTTAAATTAGCACCTTACATTAGTGAACAGATTGTACATTTGTTACAATTAATGAACCAATACTGATACATTACTATTAACTGAAGTCCATACTTTATTCATATAGCCTTAGATTTTACCAAATGTCCCGGTTCTGTTTCAGGATCCCATCCAGGATGCTACTTTGCATTCAACCATCTACCTCTTTAGGCTTCTGTTAGCTGTGACAGTTTCTTAGATTTACCTTGTTTTTTGGTATTTTACACATGTTATTCCTTTGGACTTCTTTGACGTTTTTCTAATTACACTGGAGTTACAGATTCTTTGGAGGATGACCCAGAGATAAAATGCCATTCTCATCACATCGTATCGTGGTTATGCGCTATTAACATAATTTACCACTCTTTTTTTTTTTTTTTTTTTTTTTTGAGACGGAGTCTCTCTCTGTCTCCCAGGCTGGAGTGGAGTGGCGCGATCTCCGCTCGCTGCAAGCTCCGCCTCCCGGGTTCCCGCCATTCTCCTGCCTCAGCCTCCGGAGTAGCTGGGACTACAGGCGCCCGCCACCACGCCTGGCCAATTTTTTTGTATTTTTTTAGTAGAGACGGGGTTTCACCGTGTTAGCCAGGATAGTCTTGATCTTCTGACCTCGTGAGCCGCCTGTCTCAGCCTCCCAAAGGGCTGGGATTACAGGCGTGAGCCACCGCGCCCGGCCGATTTACCACTCTTGATGTTCACCACCTGGCTGAGGTAGTACTTGACAGTTTTTTCCGTTTTAAAGTTTAATCTTTTTTCCTCCTTTTCATAATGGAATGAAGAAAATTCAGTCACTGTGCACCTAATGAGTGGGGAGTTATGCTCCACCTCCTTGAGAGACAGTAGCTACATAAATAATTTGGAATTCTTCGAAGTCAGAGATTTTCTTCTATCCACTAATTTATTTATTTATTCATATCTGTGTGGGTCCATGAATATTTATTTTATAGTCTAGGTTATAAACCAATACAACTTTATTTTGTTGCTCAAATTGTTCCAGCTTTGGTCATTGAGAGCTCTTTCAGTTGGTCCTGTCTCACTTTAATATACTCCCATAATTATGGGTTTGTGGGGCTTTAAAAAAAATTCCTTATTTTCTAGCACTATAAGATGCTCCAGGATTATCTTATATATTTTTTGTTGTAGTCTGGAATCATTTCTTCATAATGACATTTTCTCCTTTTATTGGAGAATGTTAGAAACCAAGATCAAGAGCTTGATGTGCTTGTTGATACTGGAGTGTCATTGATTCTTGGCCCTGTCAACTGACCAGATCAAGGAACTACATGTGTATAAGCTAAGGTATGTATATGCACATATATAGATTTATATATATTGTGTATGTAACTATCTGTATCCGTATTAAGCTACACGTGAGTTCATTCTGATGTTCTCCACTCTGGCAACACACATCACTGCGGCCTCTCACCCTTGCTTATCTTTAGACTCCCATTGGGTGTCAAGTAACCTGGCTCACATCATACACCATCCACTTGGTTAGTTGCTTACTTTCAGTATATGTGAACAGTGGCATCAGAATTATTAACCTGTACCTTAGTTTCTTGTGCCTTCGGCCTTACTGACTTTTCTCATTTCCAACGCTACTTAGGTAGGCACCGTTTCCTCCACCCCCTTCAGTAAGGTTGTTTCATATGTTTAGAATACAATTAGGTGGTTATCACATTCTGCATTCTATCTTGGGTTCCCCAAACCTCCTAAATTCATTTTCATATTTGCATACATCAGGGTTCACTCTTTGTGCTGTAAAGTACTTTGGATTTTGACAAATGCATTGTGTGACAGTATCCACCATTACAGTGTAGTATTCTACACCAGATATAATACTGTATAGTATAATATTGTATAATTTCTGTATTGTATAATATTCTGACCAGATATAATACTGCATAGTATAATATTGTACAGTATAATTATAATATAGTATAATACTGCATAGAATACTGGATAATACAGTATAGAATACTATGCTGTAATGGTGGATACATCACACTAAGCATTTGCACCACTGTAAAATCCTGTGTGCTTTAATTATTCATCCTTCCCTTCTCTCCTACCAAATAATCACTTGCAACCATTAATTTTTTTTGCTGTCTCTATAGTTTTGCTCTTTTCAGAATGTGACTTAATTGGAGTCATACAATAAGTTGCCTTTTCATACTGGCTTCTTTCACTTACAGTATGCATTTAAGATTCATATATGTCAAAAAAGAACGAGATCATGTCCTTTGCAGGGACATGGTTGGAGCTGGAGGCTATTATCCTTAGCAAGCTAACACAGGAACAAAAAACCAGATACCACATGTTCTCACTTATAAGTGAGAGATAAATGATGAGGACACATGAACACATAGAGAGGAACAACACACACTGGGGCCTATGGGAGGGTAGAGGTTGGGAAGGAGAAGATCAGGAAAAATAACTAACGGGTATGAGGTTTAGTACCTCGGTGATGAAATAATCTATATGACAAACCGCTGTCACATAAATTTACCTATGTAACAAACCTGCACATGTACATAAACTTAAAAGTTAAAAAATTTATATATGTCATTTGTGACTTGATAGCTCACTTCTTTTTAGTTATAAGTAATATTTTATTGTATTCATGAATCACAGTTTGTTTATCCATTCACTTATTGAAAGATATCTTGGTTGCTTTCAGTTTGGGGAGATTGTAAATAAAGTTTTTATAAACTTTTATGTAGACATAATTGTTTTAATTAATTAAGTAAATACCTTGGAGTGTGATTGCTGGATTATGTGGTTAGAATGTGTTGTTTTTTAAAAAACAGCCAAATTGTCTTTGAAGTGGCTGTATCATTTTCCATTCCTACCAACAATGAATGAAAGTTACTGTTGTGCTTCATTCTTACCATTAACTAGCATTGCTATTTTCATTTCTAGTTTAATTCCATTGTGGTCTGAGAAAGTAAGTTGTATGATTTCAATTCTTTTAAATTTGGGAAAGTGTGTTTTAGGATACAGAATGTTGTCTATCTTAGTGAATGTTTCATATGAGCTTGAGAAAAATGTATAATCTATTGTTGTTGGAAAGAGTTGTCTATAAATACCAATCAGATCAAATTGATCAATAGTACTCTTCAGGTCAAAGCCACCCTTACTGATTTTCTGCATGCTTGACCTATCAATTACTTATAGAGTAGTGTTAAGGTCTCCAGCAATAACAATTAATTTGGCTATTTCTCCTATCAGTGTGATTAATTTTTGTCTCACATATTTTAACATTCTATTGTTACGTGTTTACCTATTTAGGATTGTTTTGTCTCTCAGAGAATTGATCACTTTATCATTATGTAATACCACACTTTATTCCTAATAATTACCTTTGTTTTGAAGTCTGCTTGTCTGAAATTAATATACATACTCCAATTTTTATTTGATTATTGTTACCATGGTTTATCTTTCTCCATCCCTTTACATTGAAGCTGTGTCTTGATAATTAAAGTGGATTTCTTGTAGACAACATATAGTTACAGATAAAATATAGTTGGATTATTTTTTCATCCACTCAGACAATCTGCATCTTTAATTAATGCATTTTGACCACTTACATTTAAAGTGATGATTGGTAGAGCTGGATTAATGTTTAACTTATTTGTAATTGTTTTCTAATGGTTGCATTTATTCTTTGTTTCTGTTTATCATCTTTTAATGCCTTTACTGGTTTTAATTAACAATTTTATATAATTCTATTTTATCTTCTCTCTTAGCACATCAGTTATCACTTTAAAAACATAGTAATTGCCCTGGAGTTTGCAATGTGCATTTTTTCCAGCTGCATTGATGTATATTGACAAATAAAAATTTTATGTACTAATGACATACAACAAAATGTTCAGATATATGTATAACATTATGAGATGATTACCACAATCAAGCTAATTAACATATCCATCACTTCACATAATTATCTTTTTTATTTTGTGGTGAGAATATTTCTACTTTCTTAGCAAATTTTAAGTGTAGAGTACAGTATCATTATAGTCACCATGATGTACAATCATTCTCAAGAACTTATTCATCCTATCTATCTGAAACCTTGTACCTTTTGACCAGCATCCCCCATTTTCCCTACTCCCCAGCCCCTGGCAACTATCATTCTACACTCTGCTTCTTTCAGTTCAACTGTTTTAGGTTTCAGGTTTAAGTGAGATCATGCAGTATTTGCCTTTATATACCTGGCTTATTTAACTTACCATAATATACTCCGGGTTCATCCAGGTTGTTGCAGTTACAAGATATACTTCTTGTGTGAATATTTTTTCATGTGGTAGAATATATATGTGTGTGTGTACATATGTATATATGTGTGTATATACATGCATATGTATATATGTATATACATGCATATGTATATATGTATATATCTATATACATATATGCCATTTTCTTCATTCATTCACCCATCTATGGACACTTAAGTTGATTCCATATCTTGACTACTGTGAATAATGATGCAGTGAACACAGTAGTGGAGACGTCTCTTCAACATACTGATTTTATTTCCTTTGGATATATACTCAAAAGTGGGATTGCTGAATTATATGATAGTTTTGTTGTGTATAATTTTTTGAGGCACCTCCATGCTGTTTTTGATAATGGCTGTACTAATTTACCTTCCCACTAATAGTGTGCAAGGGTTTTCTTTTCTACACATCTTCACCAACACTTATCATCTTTTGTCTTTTGATTAATAGCCATTCTAACCTGTGTGAGGTGGTATCTTATTATGGTTTTAATTTGCATTTCCCTGATGATTAGTTATATTGAGCATGTTTTCATATACTGTATTAGTCTGTTCTTGCACTGCTATAAAGAAATACCTGAGACTGGGTAATTTATAAAGAAAAGAGTTTTGATTGGCTTACAGTTCTGCAGGCTCTGCAGGAAGCAAGGCGGCATCAGCCTCTGGGGAGGCCTCAGAAAAAGCACAAAGAAGGGAGGTGCTACACACTTTTAAACAACCAGATCTCACAGTAATTCACTCACTGTCACGAGAACAGCACCAAGAGAATGGTGCTAAAACATTCATGAAAAACCACCCCCACAATACAATCCTCCCACCAGGCCCCACCTCCAACACTGGGGATTACAATTGAACATGAGATGAGCTTTGGGTGAGGACACGAATCCAAATCATATCATACACCTATTGGCCATTGGTATGTATTCTTTTGAGAAATGTCTACTCAGATCCTTCATCCACTTTTTAATCAGGTTATTTGTTTTTTCACTATTGAGTTGTTTAGTTGCTTATGTATTTTAAATATTATCCCCTTATAAGATGTATGGCTTACAAATATTTTTCCTATTCTGTAGATTTTCTCTTCATTCTGTTGATTATTTCCTTTGCTGCACAGAGGTTTTTAGTTTGAAATGATCAGATTTATCTATTTTTGCTTTTAGGATCATATTCAAAACATCACTGCCCAGACCAATGTTATGTAGTTTTCCCTCAATTTTTTTCCTAGTAATTATAGAGTTTCAGTTTTTATGTTTAAGATTTTAATCCATTTTGAGTGGATTTTTTGTTTATGGTGTGAGATAAGGGTCCAAATTCATTCTTCTGTGGGTAGAAAACAAATTTTCCCATTGTTTATTAAAGAGACCATCTTTTCTCCATTGTATACTCTTGACATCTCTGTCAAAGATCAATTGGCCATAAATGCATGAATTCATTTCTGAGCTGCTCTATTCTGTTTCATTGTCTATATGCCCATTTTTATGTCAGTACCATGCTGTTTTGATTACTTTAGTTTTGTAGTATAATTTGAAATTGCAATACAATGTTATACTATACTACAGTACAGAACAAATACTGTAAGTATTATGATACATCTTGCTTTGTTCCTTTTGCTCAAGATTGCTTTGGCTACTCAGGGTCTTTTGTGGTTCTATATTAATTTTAGCATTGCTTTTTCTATTTTTGTGAAAAAATGACATTGGAATTTTGGTATGGATTGCATTGAATCTCTATACATTGCTCTGGGTAATATGAACATTTGAACAATATTAATACTTACAATCCATGAACACAGATATCTTTCCATTTATTTGTGTCTTCTTCAATTTCTCTCATATATGTTTTATAGTTTTCAATGTACACATCTTTTACCTTCTTGGTTAAACTTACTCTGAAATATTCTTTCTTGCTATTGTAGGTGGAATTTTTTTCTTGGTTTTATTTTCACATAGTTTATTGTTAGTTGATATGGTTTGTCTGTGTCCCCAACCAAATCTCATCTTGAATTATAGCTCCCATAATTCCCTCATGTTGTGGGAGGAACCCAGTGGGTCCCAATTATTTTAAGATAATTGAATCATGTGGCCAATTTCCCCCACACTGTTCCTGTGGCAGTGAATAAGTCTCACGAGACCTGATGGTTTTATAAGGGGAAGCCCCTTTCACTTGGCTCTCATTCTATTCTTTTGTCTGCTGCCATGTGAGACGTGCCTTTAACCTTTTGCCATGATTGTGAGGCCTCCCCAGGTACATGGAACTGTGAGTCCATTAAACCTGTTTCTTTTGTAAATTGCCCAGTCTCAGGTATGTCTTTATCAGCAGGATGAAAACAGGCTAATACAACCAATACGGTAAATTGATGCCAGTAGAATGGGTTGCTGCTGAAAATATACCTGAAAATGTGGAAGCAGCTTTGGAACTTGGTAACAGGCAAAGGCTGGAACAGTTCAGAGGGTTCAGAAGAAGACAGGAAAATGTGGGAAAGTTTGGAACTCCCTAGAGACTTGTTGAATGGCTTTGACCAAAATGCTGATAGTGATATAGACAATGAAATCCAGGCTGAGGTTGTCTCAGATGGAAATGAGGAACTTTTTGGGAACTAGAGTAAAGGTGATTCTTGTTATGTTTTAGCAAAGAGACTGGCAGCATTTTGCCCCTGCCCTAGAGATTTGTGGAACTTTGAACTTCAGAGAGATGCTTTAGGGTATCTGGCAGAAGAAATTTCTAAGCAGCAAAGCATTCAAGGTATGACTCAGGTGCTGTTAAATGGTTTCAGTTTTAAAAGGGAAACAAAGCATAAAAGTTTGGAAATTTTGCAGCCTGACAGTGTGATAGAAAAGAAAATCCCATTTTCTGAGGAGAAATTCAAGCCAGCTGCAGAAATTTGCATAAGTAATGAGGAACAGAATGTTAATCACCAAGACGGTGAGGAAAATGTCTCCAGGGCATATCAGAGACCTTTGCAACAGCCCCTCCCATCACAGGTCTGGAGGCCTAGGAGGAACTGGCCAGAACCAGGGTCCCTCTGCTGTGTACAGTCTAGGAACTTGGTCCGCTGCATCCCAGCTGCTCCAGGTGTGAATAAAAAGGGCAAGGTAAAGCTCGGGCCATGGTGCAAGCCCCAAGTCTTGGCAGCTTCCATGTAGTGTTGAGCCTGCGGGGGCACAGAAGTCAAGAATTGAGGTTTGGGAAACTCCATCTAGATTTCAGAGGATGTATGGAAATACCTGGATGTCCAGGCAGTAGTTTGCTGCAAGGGTGTGGCTCTCATGGAGAACCTCTGCTAAGGCACTGCTGAAGGGAAATGTGGGATGGGTGCCCACACACAAAGTCCCCACTGGGGTGCTGCCCAGTGGCACTCTGAGAAGAGGGCCATTGTCCTTCAGACCCCAGAATGGTAGGTCCACAGACAGCTTGCACTGTGTGCCTGGAAAAGCCACAGACACTCAATGCCAGCCCATGAAAGCAGCCGGGAGGAAGGCTGTACCCCACAAAGCCACAGGGACAGAGCTGCCCAACACCATGGGAACCCACCTCTTGCATCAGCATGACCCGGATGTGAGAAATGGAGTCAAATTAGATCATTTTGGAGCTTTAAGATTTGACTGCCCTGCTAGATTTTGGACTTGCATGGGACATGTAGCCCCTTTGTATTGGCCAGTTTCTTCCATTGGGAAGAGCTGTATTTACCCAATGCCTGTATCCCCATTGTATCTAGGAAGTGACTAACTTGCTTTTGATTTTACAGGCTCATAGGTAGAAAGGACTTGCCTTGTCTTATATGATATTTTGGACTGTGGACTTTTGAGTTAATGCTGAAATGAGTTAAGACTTTGAGGGACTGTTGGTAAGGCATAATTGGTTTTGAAATGTGAGGACATAAGATTGGGGCATGGCCAGGAGCAGAATGATATGGTTTGGCTCTGTCCCCATCCAAATCTCATCTCGAATTGTAGTTCCCATAATTCTCTCATGTTGGGAGGGACCCAATGGGAGAACCAGTCCCATGGTTCTGTTTTCCCCAATATTGTTCTTGTGGTGGTCAATAAGTCTCATGAGAGCTGATGATTTATAAGGGGAAACCCATTTCGTTTGGCTCTCATTCTCTTCTCTTGTCTGCTGCCATGTGAGACATGCTTTTCACCTTCCACCATGATTGTGAGACCTCCCCAGCCATGTGGAACTGTGAGTCCGTTAAACCTCTTTCTTTTATAAATTGTCCATTCTTGGTTATGTCTTTATCAGCAGCATGAAAACAGACTAATATATTAGTGTATAGAAATGCTATTAAATTCTGTGTGTTGATTTTCTATCCTACAGCTTTACTGAATTCATTTATTAGTTCTAATAGTTTTTCAATGGAGTCTTTAGTTTTCTGTTCTTATTTATTGAAATTTGCTTTTCCCTATTTCTCTTTCTTTGCTTCTTCTGAAACTCCTATAATGCATATATTGGTTCATTTGCTGGTGTCCCACAAATTCTATAGGCTTTCTTCACTCTTTCATTCATTTTGTTGTTGTCATTTCTCTGAGTGAGTATTTTCAAATGACCTGTCCTCAGGCTCACTGATTCTTTCCACTGCTTGTTTGAGTCTGCTGTTGAAGCTATCTGTTGAATTCAGTTCAATCATTGTGTTCTTTGCCTCCAGAATTTCTGCTTGGTACTTAGGAAGTTTATCTCTTTGTCGAATTTCTCATTTTGTTCACATATTATTTTCCTGATTTCATTTGATATCTATCTGTATTCATTTGTAGTTCACTAAACTTCTTTAAAATAATTATTTTGAGTTCTATATCAAGCATTTTGTAGATCTTTATTTCTTTACAACCAGTTATCAGTAGGTACTGTGTTCCTTTGGTAGTGTTATGTTTCCCTGGTTATTAATGATGTTTGTGTCCTTGCATTGACGTCTGCGCATTTGAAGAAATGAACAACTTTGCAAGTCTTTACAGACTACTTTTGGCAGGAAAAGCCCTTCAACCAATCAGACAATCTATAGGTTCTGGGCAGGCTGCCTGGCAGGTTCCTTGGGCTGGCTTGCTGCTGGAATCTTTGGATGAGCTGACTTGGTGCTTGGGTCAGTTGGAAGGTGGGCCTGTACCTAGTTCCACAAGGGTGGCCCTAGGACTAGGGTCTGGATCCTGAGGCCATGGTAGCCAAGTAGGCCTGGATCCTGAGGCCATGGTAGCTTGCTTTGTACCAGGTCCACTTGTCGAGCCAGTCACCTCAATCCCCACAGACAGGCCTGAAGTCTGGATCCACAGGGTAGTAGGAAGAGGCCTGACACTATGTATGCAAGGATCATCCTGAAGTCTGTGTCCGCAAGAGTTAACCTGGCACTAGGATGTTTGTTGAACCTGAAGCTGCAAACGGCAGGCTGGAGCTTGAGAACACAGAGTTTTATAGATCCTTGATTTATAAGGCTATCCTGAAACCTGGGACTATGAGGGCTAACCTGGAACTAGGGCAGGCCTGGAGTCTGAGTCTCCAGGGGCAGACCTGAGTCCAGGGCTGTGAGGGTCAAGCTGGAAACTGGGGACTTGGGGGCTGGTCTGGAACCTGGGCTGGTCTGGCCTGATGCTAAGGCAGGTCTAAAGCCTAGAATCACAGAGTCAGGCCTGAGCCTGAGAACATAGGAGTTGGCCTGGTGATGGAGCAGGCTTGGAGTCTGGGACATCAGGAGTGGGCCTACAGCTTGCAACTATAGGACTGGCTGGGTGCTAAAGGGGAAAACTTCACACTGGGATTAACTGGAGTCGGCCTAGTCCTGAGATCCACAGTGAATCAGGTGCTCATTTTAGTCTCCTCCCCACAACCTAAAGGTTATCTCTCCCCGTGCTGTGCTGACTGGGCTTAGAAGAGGGGTGATGTGGGTCTTGTGAAACTGTCCTCCCTATCCTCTTCCATGTGACTTTTTCTATTTCTGTGCTATACCCAGGTGCTCTAATCTTTCACCTGGATTCCTTAGTCCTTGTGAAATATTTTTGTGCATGGATATTTGTTCAAATTGATGCTCCTGCAAGGGAAAGAGAGGTGGAAAGTTCTATTCTGCTATCTTCTTGATTTCAGTCTGTGGAATATATGTTTTTACTAATCTAAGTCTACTTTTTTTTTTATTATACTTTGTTTTAGGGTACTTGTACACAACGTGCAGTTTAGTTACATATGTATACATGTGCCATGTTGGTGTGCTGCACCCATTAACTCGTTATTTAACATTAGGTATATCTCCTAATGCTATCCCTCCCTGCTCCCCCAACCCCACAACAGACCCCAGTGTGTGATGTTCCCCTTCCTGTGTCCATGTGTTCTCATTGTTCAATTCCCACCTATGAGTGAGAACATGCGGTGTTTAGTTTTTTGTCCTTGAGACAGTTTGCTGAGAATGCTGGTTTCCAGCTTCATCCATGTCCATACAAAGGACATGAACTCATCATTTTTTATGGCTGCATAGTATTCCATGGTGTATATGTGCCACATTTTCTTAATCCAGTCTATCATTGTTGGACATTTGGGTTGGTTCCAAGTCTTTGCTATTGTGAATAGTGCTGCAATAAACATGCGTGTGCCTGTGTCTTTATAGCAGCATGATATATAATTCTTTGGGTATATGCCCAGTAATGGAATTGCTGGGTCAAATGGTATTTCTAGTTCTAGATCCCTGAGGATTCGCCACACTGACTTCCACAGTGGCTGAACTAGTTTACAGTCCCACCAACAGTGTAAAAGTGTTCCTATTTCTCCACATCCTCTCCAGCACCTGTTGTTTCCTGACTTTTTAATGATCACCATTCTAACTGGTATGAGATGGTATCTCATTGTGGTTTTGATTTGCATTTCTCTGATGGCCAGTGATGATGAGCATTTTTTCATGTGTCTTTTGGCTGCATAAATGTCTTCTTTTGAGAACTGTCTGTTCATATCCTTTGCCCACTTTTTGATGGGGTTGTTTGTTTTTTTCTTGTAAATTTGTTTGAGTTCATTGTAGATTCTGGATATTAGCCCTTTGTCAGATGAGTAGATTGCAAAAATTTTCTCCCATTCTGTAGGTTGCCTGTTCACTCTGATGGTAGTTTCTTTTGCTGTGCAGAAGCTCTTTAGTTTACTTAGATCCCATTTCTACAACCATCTGATCTTTGACAAACCTGACAAAAACAAGAAATGGGGAAACGATTCCCTGTTTGATAAATGGTGCTGGGAAAACTGGCTAGCCATATGTAGAAAGCTGAAACTGGATGCCTTCCTTACACCTTATACAAAAATTAATTCAAGATGGATTAAAGACTTAAATGTTAGACCTAAAACCATAAAAACCCTAGAAGAAAACCTAGGCAATACCATTCAGGACATAGGCATGGGCAAGGACTTCATGTCTCAAACACCAAAAGCAATTGGCAACAGAAGCCAAAATTGACAAATGGGATCTAATTAAACTAAGTCTACTTTTAAAGTATACTATTTTATTCTAATGCAAGTACTTTATAGCAGAGAATTCCCAATTCTTACTTCTTATCTCTGATAATACTGTCATTTGTTTCATACACTTATATGCTACCATCACCCAATCCATTGTTACTATTATCATTATAAACAGTTATCTTTTAGATCAATTAAGAATAGAAAAAATAAAAATATATCTATTTTAACCTCATTTAGTTCTTCTCCAACACCTCCTTTCTTTATGTGGATCTGAGTTTCTGACCTATCATTTTTCTGTACCTGAAGAATTTCTTGCCAGATAGTCTACTGGTGATAAATTCCCTCAGGTTTGTTTTCCTGTGAAAGTTATATTTTTCCTTCACTTTTGAATGATGATTTTGCAGAATATAAGATACTAGGTTGATGTTTTTCTTCTTTCAACACTTTGCTTTATTCTCCTTTCTTCTTGGATGCATGATTTCTAAATAAAAGTCTGGTGTTCCTTGTTTTTCTACAGGTATGGTTTCTTGTTGTTTTGTTTTTTGTTTGTTTTTGCAATTTGAATATGATGTGGCCAGGTGTCATTTTTTTGGTGTTTATAGCTTCACATTATCTGAGATTCCCTGTGTTATAGTTTGGTGTCTGTCACTAATTTTGGAAAGTTCTGTGCCTTTATATTTCAAAGATTTTTATGCCTCATTCTTTCTCTCTTCTCTCTCTGATAATCCAATGATATGTAGGTTATACTTTCAGAAATTGTCCTACAGTTCTTGGATTTTTCTCTTCTGTTTAATTATTACTATTCTGTTTTTCTTTGTATTTTAATTTGGAAAAGTTCTACTGATATATATTCAAGCTCACTAATTCATTTCTTGGCCATGTTTGGTCAACTGATTAGTCCACCAAAGGCATTTTTCTAGTTGTAGCATTTTCTTAACATTCTTAGAGTTCTCATTTATCTGCTTTCATTCCCATTTGTTTTTGTACATTGTATATTTGTTATTAAAGCCTTTAATATATTAGTTATAATTATTTTAAATTCCTTATTTAATAATTCCAACATGTGTGTCATATTTGAGCCTGACCAGATGTTTACTTTTCCTCTTCATATCTTGTATTGTCTTCCTTTTAGCATGCCATATAATTTTTGTTGAAAGTTGAGCATGATAAATGAATAATAAAAATGATTGCAAAAATAAAAGTAATAGGAACTAAGGTAAATATGTCTTTAGTGTGAGATTTTATCTTAATCTGGCTAGAGCTGTAGGTTTCAGAGGTTTTAAATTAATCTAATGCCCTTGTTTTTGTCTCCCCTCTCGACCTCAGTCTTCACTAAGTACTTCTCAGAGATAATCTGTGTCTTGCAGTTCTTCCATCTATAATCCACTGTTATGCTGGAGCCCATTGGTGTAATGGTAAAGTGTGGGGGAGGGGAAACATTCGATAATCTTATGATTAAATCTCAGCCCGAGTCCCTGGTCTGTGACTATTACAAGTGCTTCTTAGGTTTTTTGTCCCCCCACACCCCTTTTCACTGATGAGATGAGACAAGAAGGTTAAGGGGTGGGGGTTGGCAGCTGGAACAAGAGAAATACATTTTCCTCAAGTAGGATAAGGCTCCTGTAAAGTCTTTTACTCTAAAAAGTATGTCTTTGTAATGGAGAACATGCTGGGGATATTTCACAATGGTTTCTCTAACTCTCCTTTTGCCAGTCATGAGATCTTTTTCAGAACTTCAATATGAGGACCTGACAGGGTTTTCAGAGTAAAACTATAAAAATGTAGGCCTCCCCTGAGACTGTGGTCTGTAGCGCTTTCTCACTGTCATACTCACACACACTCAGCCTCCAATAATTCACCAAAATATGATTCCAATGGTTTCTCTGCTCAGTAAACAAATTTCATTTGTGACCTTAATTTCACTTGTCTCCAGATTTCAGGGTAGTAGTGTGCCCTGTGACCTTATATCTCTGATGGGTCTAAGGAAAGTAATTAATTTGCAGTTCGATCAACTTTTTTTCCTTTGAATTATAGAGGATTGAATAATCAACTTCTTATTTTAAGGATGATAGTGATGTTTTCCAAGCTTTTTTTTCATGCTGGATCTGATTTCAGAAGTCTATATAGGGTAATATTTGTAAAAGCAACATTCTAGAAGAAATAACATGATAAATCCTTACACTTAATATGTACTGGACACTGTACTATTTATATATGGTATATTATTTAAAAGATAAAACATATCTATAAGATAGTTGTCAGAAGACCTAGTATCCAGTACTGTATGCTTTTTACTAAGTCATGCTGCCTCATGTTTGAGAAACTTTGATCTCATATTTAAATAGAAAGACTTACAACAAATATTTTTTTCAGCAGAAAATATTTTGGTCAGCAGGACTAAACTGTATTAATTACTGAAACATTGTTTGACAAGCAGACTCCATGTTGAGAAAAGACCTTGAGGCTTCTATCAAACTCTCTTTTTTCTTCTATTTGGTCTTTAAATGAGCTACATTTTGCTTATACACCTCCAGAATAAAACTGAAATTTTTTTTTTAATGAAATGACAGTTTATTTTTTAAAAAGATCAACTCTAAGCAACCGGGAAAATTTGCTCTTTAGAATATATTTCAAATAAAGAAAAATTTGAAAGGACAATTGCAGGACAGAGAAATCCTTACTAACGCAAGAGAATTGTACAAAAAAAAAGTCACAACATATGGCACTGTATTTTCTTCAGAAAAGCAAGCCTCCTGGGACCCAGTTCTTTGATACTAATCACAACAGTAATTAGAGATGATGTTGGCTAGTGTTCTTGAATGTTTTCTATGTTGAGTACAAATATACAACTAACCAAGGTGTCTTCCTTTTCCCACCCCGTTGGTGGCCTGACAAGTTCATCTCTAAGGTTGGTTTCACTATTGCTAATGCTAGAGACTTGTCACACACATTTCCAACAATGAAACTGGAAAACTATTTATTTGAAAGCCTTTCTTTAATTATAGTTGTTTGGTCTCTAAGTAATAGTTCTGAGGTTTGCAGAAAAGTAAAACAAATAGTAGGAGATTTTAAAGCAAACTCGAGCATGTAAATGTGGGTTTGGCAGGTAAGCATCCAAACAAAAGAACTGCTCTATATTCAGAAACACTGGTGTTGAAATATTATGTGGATCAAATCTACATTGTGACCGAGTTGTTTTCAAGTGTCAATGGGAAGATTTTAACCAAGAGAGCATGGGCAGTATTGATGGCAGAATTTTGTGTTGTAAATATAGGAGCCAGTCTAAGCAGGATGGAACTATATGATATGGAAGCCAATTAGGAATAAAAAACAAAAGGGATGGATTTTTTTTCTGTTTTTTTAACTTTTATTTTAAGTTGAGGGGTACATGTGCAGTTTTGCTACATAGGTAAACTCGTGTCATTGGGGTTTGTTGTACAGATTATTTCATCACCTAGGTACTAAGCCTATCACCCATTAGTTATTTTTCCTGTCCTCCTCTCCCTCCTCTTACCCTCCATCCTTTGTTAGGCCCCAGTGTGTTGTTTCCCTCTATGTGTTCATGTGTTCTATCATTTAGCTCCCACTTATAAGTGAGAACATGTGGTATTTGGTTTTCTGTTCCTGTGTTAGCTTGCTAAGAATAACAGCCTCCAGCTCCATCCGTGTCCCCTCAAAGAACATGGTCTTATTTGTTTTTATGGCTGCATAGTATGCATGGTGTATATATGTCACATTTTCATTACCCAGTCTATCACTGAAGGGCATTTAGGTTGATTCTATGTCTTTGATATTCTGAATAGTGCTGCAGTGAACATATGCATGCCTGTGTCTTTATAATAGAATGATTTACATTCTTTTGGGTATATACCCAGTAATGGGATTGTTGGGTCAAGTGGTATTTCTATCTAGGTCTTTGAAGAATCATCACACTGTCTTCCAATGGTTGAACTAATTTACACTCCCACCAAAAGTATATAAGCATTCCTTTTTCTCCACAACCTCTCCAGCCTCTGCTATTTTTTGACTTTTTAGTAGTAGCCATTCTGACTGGTGTGAGATGGTATCTCATTGTGGTTTTGATTTGCATTTCTCTAGTGATCAATGATATTGAGCTTTTTTCATGATTCTTGGCCACATGTATGTCTTCTTTTGAAAAGTGTCTGTTCATGTCTTTTGCCCATTTTTTAATGGGGTCACTTGTTTTTCTCTTGTAGATTTCAGTTCCTTATAGATGCTTGATATTACACTTTTGTTCCAGATGCATAGTTTGCAAAAATTTTTTCCCATTCTGTAGGTTGCCTTTTTATTGTTTATAGTTTCTTTTGCTGTGCAGAAGCTGTTTAGTTCAATTAGATTCATTCATCAATTTTTGCTTTTGTTGCAATTGCTTTTGGTGTCTTCATCATGAAATGCTTGCCTGTGCCTATATCCTAAATAGTATTGCTTAGGTTGTCTTCCAGGGTTTTTGTTTGTTTGTTTGTTTTTTAGTTTTGGGTTTTACATTTAAGTCTTTGATCCATCTTGAGTTAATTTTCGTATATGGTGTAAGAAAGTGGTCCAGTTTCAATCATTTGCCTATGGCTAGTCTTTTATCCCAGCTCCATTTATTGAATAGGGATTCTTTCCCCATTGCTTGTTTTTTGTCAGGTATGTCAAAGATCAGATAGTTCTAAGCATGTGTCCTTATTTCTGGGTTCTCTATTCTGTTCAATTCTCTATTATGTGTCTGTTTTTGTGCCAGTACCATGCTGTAGCCCTGTAATATAATTTGAAGTCGGTTAGTGTAATGCCTCCAGCTTTGTTCTTTTTGCTTAGGATTGCCTTGGGTATTCAGGCTCTTTTTTCGTTTCACATGAATTTTGAAATAGTTTTTTAACTATTTTACTATTTTAAAATAGGGTTTTTTTTTTTTTTTGCTTTTTGTTTGTTTGGTTGGTTTTAGTTCCATGAAGAATTTCAATGGTAGTTTAATGGGAATAGCATTGAATTTATACATTGATTTGGGTGCTGTAGCCATATTAACAATAGTGATTCTTCCTATCCATAAGCATGGAAGTTTTTGCATTTGTTTGTGTCATCTCTGATTTCTGATTTCTTTGAGCAGTGTTTTGTAACTCTCATTGTAGAGATTGTTTACCTCCCTAGCTAGCTGTATTCCTAAGTATTTTTTATGGCAATTGTGAATGGAATTACATTCCTGATTTAGCTCCCAGATTGATGGTTGTTGGTATATAGAAATGCTACTGATTTCTGCACATTGAGTTTGTATCTTAAGACTTTGCTGAAGTTGTGTATCAGCTTGAGCTTTTGGGCTGAGACTGAGGTTTTCTAGGTAGAAGCACATATTGTCTGCAAACAGGGATAATTTGACTTTCTCTCTTATTTGGATTCCCTTTATTTCTTTCTCTTGCCTGATTTCCCTGGCCAGGGCTTCCAATACTATGTTGAATAGGAGTGGTAGAAGAGGGCATCCTTGTCTTGTGCCAGTCTTCAAGGAGAATGCTTCCAGCTTTTGCCCCTTCAATATAATGTTGGCTGTGGGTTTGTCATATATAGTTCTTATTGTTTTGAGGTATGTTTCTTCAATACCTAGTTTATTGAGAGTTTATAACATAAATTTTATATAAAACTTTTTTTTCTGTATCTATGGAGATGATCATGTGATTTTTATTCTTAGTTCTGTTTATGTGATGAATCACATGTATTGATTCGTGTAGGTTGAACCAATTTTGTATCCCAGGGGTAAAGCCTACTTGATTGTGGTGGATAAGCTTTTTGATGCACTGCTGGATTTGGTTTGCCAGTATTTTGTTGAGGATTTTTGCATCGATATTCATCAATGATATTAACCTAAAATTTTCTTTTTCCATTTGTCTCTGCCAGGTTTTGATATCAGGATGGTGCTGGCCTCACAGAATGAGTTGAGGAGGAGTCCCTCCTCCTCAATTTTTTGGAATATTTTCATAGGAATAGTGCCAGCTCTTCTTTGTACATCTGGTAGAATTCAGCTGTGAATCCATCTGGTACTGGGCATTTTTTTGGTTGGTAGGCCATTTATCGCTGCCTCAGTTTCAGAGCCCATTTTTGGTCTGTTCAAGGATTGAATGTCTTACTGGTTCAGTCTTGAGAGGGTGTATGAGTCTAAAAATTTGTCCATTTCTTCTAGATTTTTGAGTTTATGTGCATAGGCATGTTCATAATATTCTATGATGGTTTTTTGTATTTCTGTGGGGTCAGTGATATATCCCCTTTGTCATTTCTAATTGTGTTTATTTGTATCTTCTCTCTTTTCTTCATTAGTCTACCTAGCAGTCTATCTATTTTACTAATTTTTTCAAAAAAACCAGCTCCTGGATTTGTTGATCTTTTGAATGTTTTTTTATGTCTCTATCTCCCTTAGCTCAACTTCAATTTTGGTTATTTCTTGTCTTCTGCTAGCTTTGGGGTTGATTTGCTCTTGGTTCTCTAGTTTTTTCAGTTGTAATGTTAAATTGTTAACTTGAGATCTTTCTAGCTTTTTGATGTGAGCATTTAGTGCTATAAATTTCCCTCTTAATAGGAAATTTCTCTTAATTGCCTTAACTGTGTCCCAGAGATTCTAGTATGTTGTATCTTTGTTCTCATTGGTTTAAAAGAACTTCTTAATTTCTGCCTTAATTTCTTTTTTTACCCAAAAGTCATTCAGGAGCAGGTTATTTGATTTTCATGTAATTGTATGGTTTTGAGTGAATTTCTTAGTCTTGATTTCTGATTTAATTTCTCTGTGGGCCAAGAGATTGTTTGTTATAATTTTAGTTCTTTTGCATTTGCTGGGGAGTGTTGTGTGTACAAATATATGGTTGATTTTAGAGTAAGTGCCGTGTGGCAATGAGAATGTATATTCTGTATTTTTAGGGTACAGAGTTCTTTAGATATCTATTGGGTACATTTGATCCAGTGCTGAGATCAGGCCCTGAATATCTTTGTTAATTTTCTGTCTCAATGATCTGTCTAATATTGTCAGTGGGGTGTTAAGGTCACCCACTGTAATTGTGTGGGAGTCTAAGTCTCTTTGAAGATCTCTAAGAACTTGCTTTATTAATCTGGGTGCTTCTGTGTTGGGTGCATATATACTTAGGATAGTTAGGTCTTCTTGTTGAATTGAACCCTATGCCATTATTTAATGTCCTTCTTTGTCTTTGTTGATCTTTGTTGCTTTAAAGTCTGTTTTGTCTGAAATTAGGATTGCAACCCCTGCTTTTTTCTGTTTTCCATTTTCTTGGTAGACTTTTTTTCCCCATTCTTTTATTTTGAGCCTATGGGTGTCATTGCATGAGAGATGGATCTCTTGTAGACAACATAACATTGGGTCTTGATTCTTTATCCAGATTGCCACCATCTCTTTTAATTGAGGCATTTAGCCCATTTACATTTAAAGTTAGTATTGATATGTGTGGATTTGATCCTGTCATCATGATGTTAGCTGATTATTATGCAGACTCGTTTATGTGGTTGCTTTATAGTGTTATTGGTCTCTCTACTTCAGTGTATTTTTGTAGTGGCTGGCAATCATCTTTCCTTTCCATATTTAGTGCTTCCTTTAGGAACTCTTGTAAGGCAGCTCTGTTGGTAACAAATTCTCTCAGCATTTGCTTGTCTGGAAAGGATCTTATTTCCCTTTTGCTTACAAAGCTTAGTTTGGCCAGATATTAAATTCTTGGTTGGAATTTCTTTTCTTTAAGAATGTTGAATATTTGCCCCCAATCTCTTCTGACTTATAGGATTTCTGCTGAGTGGTCCATTGTTAGTCAGATGAGCTTCCCTTTGTAGGTCACCTGACCTTTCTCTCTTGCTGCCTTTAACATTTTGTCTTTCATTTTGACCTCGGGGTTTCTGATGATTATGTGTCTTGGGGCTGATTTGCTTGTGAATTATCTTACTGGAGTTCTCTGCATTTCCTGCATTTAAATGTTGGCCTCTCTAGCTAGGTTGGGAACGTTCTCATGGATAATATCCTAAAATACGTTTTCCAAATTGGTCCCCTTCTCCCCTTCTCTTTCAGAGATACCAATCAGTCATAGATTTGGTCTCTTTACATAATCCCATATTTCTCGGAGGTATGTTAGTTGATTTTCATTCTTTTTTTTCTCTATTCTTGTCTGTTTGTCTTATTTCAGAAGGCAATCTTCAAACTCTGAGATTATTTCCTCCACTTGGTCTATCCTGCTATTAATACTTGCAATTGCATTATGAAATTCTTATAGTGTATTTTTCAGCTCTATTATCAGGTTGTTTATATTCTTTTCTATATGGGTTATTTTGTCTGTCAGTTTCTGCACTGTTTTATCATGATTTTTAGCTTCGTTGCATTGGGTTTCAATATATCTTTGTAGCTCAATGATCTTCCTTTCTATCCATATTCTGAATTCTATTGCTCTCATTTCAGCCAGTTCATCCCAGTTTCCAAACCCTTGCTGGAGAGGTGATTTGCTGGTTTGCATGATAGAAGACACCCCAGCTTTTTGAGCTTTTGGCATTCTTGCACTGATTCTTTCTCATCTTTGTGGGCTTACCTACCTTCAATCTTTGAGATTGCTGACCTTTGGATAAGTTTTTTTTTTTCTTTTATCCTATATGATGACCTTGAGGGTTTGATTGTGGTGCAATGTGGATTCAGTCAACTGGCTTTGTTTCTGGAAGATTTTTAGGGGTTCAATACTCAGCTTCCAGCTCCTGTACTGCATACTCTAACTCTGGCATGGGGGGACTTGCATTGAGCCCTGACTTTGTTCTCTGGCTCCTCAAGGTTTGGAGTCTGCTGCGCTGTGGTGGGCTGAGGTGCAGCAGCAGCAGCAGAGTGCTAGTGGATGCAGGGCTGCCTGCCTCCCTGTGGACTTTCACCACAGTGGTGGAGGCAACAGAACTGTGAGAGTGGGGCTGTAGGGGGCCCCTGTTGGAGACTGCATGAGCAGTTGCACTGGAGGTGGTGTTGGCTTGGGAACAGAGTACTGGTAGGTGCAGGTCTGGGTGCCTTCTCTGTGCTCTGCAAGCAGAAGTGATTGCTTAGGGTGTGGGAGGATCCACTCTTCTCTGCCTAGTGTTAGTGCAGAGTCGGGCACTGGTAGAGGCATGGCTTGCTGGGTCTGTGGCTACCAAAGCTCTTTCTGCAATGGCAGTCAGAAGGGGGATGGGGGGTAAACTGTACTCCCTCATGTTGGTAGGTAAAGAAAAACCTACTCATGCAGACATGTGCCCACAAAGTGATGTGGGGAGTTGCCACGGACCCTGGCGGAAGCTGTAGTATGTGAAGGGAGCATGAGATCTGATGCATGGCCATAGAAGCCACCTTGCTGGAGCTCTTCACAGGTCAGGCACAGTCCACCAGCACAGAAGCTATGATGTGGGCCCCCAGGGCCCTTGAGACTGCCCTGTGAGCAGGTATGGCCAGGCTGGAGCCCCAGGAGAGGTCACCAGACCAAAGGATACATGGGTTGGACTAGCCCCATCTGATGTGCAAGACTGCTCTGCAGCAATCAGGTCCAATAATTTCCCTAGGGCTAAAGTCTCTTATAGGAGCAAGTTGAGCCCAGGGAGATGGCCTTCCCTGGCTGCTCTCTACTATAGATGCTCCAGCACCAAATCTTCTGGACTCTACATCAGCTGGCTTGCTGCTGCTACCATTTCTTTAAACAGCTCTCCCTGCCACCTAAAGTGTCCATGGTGGTCAAGAGGTCCCCTCTTGCTGGGTTTCCAGAGGCCTGTAGCAAGAGCAGGTTGCTCCTTGCCAGCTCAACTCACCCATTACCCTGGAGCTGTTGTGGTTCAAAAATGGGTCCCAGTGTGTGGTAGCCCATGCAGAGTTCCCAGCTTTCTCCTGCTTCAGCCCACTCTCTGTGTCTTCCCTCTGTCCACTCTTGGAACCTTCCCTCTGAACATCTGTTCAGAGTACACCAGTTGTCTCAGTCCTGTGTGGGAGCTGTTCCATTTGTCTGCATCTAGTGGCCATGTTGCTCTCTCTCCTTTTCTGATACTTCTCATGGAAGGCAGGAGCATGGAGAATAGCACGATTAGATGACAGAGAGCATTTTGTGAAAATTATAGTAGTAATTTCTTCTGAGAAGCCTAAAAGAATATTATTCTTTTTTACCAGTCATATTGGCCAGTGGGCAGGTTAATGTTATGTTAGAGGTTTACATGAAGGGTCAGCCTCATAAAGTTTCCCTGCTTACTGCAGTGCAATCCTCAGCAAGTCACTGGGAAACTCCCTAGTGGGGCTGCAGAGCAAACACATAGGCAGCACTCTGATCAATGGGTTGAGAAGCCTCCTAGGAACTGGGGGCCAAGAACACAGATGAAACAAAGCCCTGTTGGGTTGCCTGGTGTGCAGGCTGTAGTGTGGGCAGAATGAATATTTCAAACAAGGACAATGGAGCCTTATTATGGAAATGATGTACACTGAAACTTCTAAAGGTTGTCTGTAACGTTTTTCCTCTCTGAAGAAGTCATGCTTCTATAATAACATTTACAAAGTTTAACATTTTAACCTGGTTAAACACACTTTGCCTTTTTCCTTTTTTTGCTGTCAATAAGCATCTATAACTAGCAACAAAATTAAGTAAGGTCACAAGAAATTTTCTGAAACTTCTCATATGATGAATGTTCCTCAGAATAATGATGATCATGAAGCTAGAAATGTACTCAAGTTGATTCTCAATTATATGCACTAACAGAGAACAGCAATGGGGTAAACAATCCAAATTGAGAGAATGGTAAAAAAAATAATTTTTTGACTTTAGAAATATCTTCTATGATTTGTCTCCAGAGTATGTACTTTCATAATTTTGAATAATTTCTCTCCTTAAAAACTCTTCAACTGTTCCCATCAACTATAGGATAAAGTCCAATAATTCTTAATGTGCCCCTTGTGATCTGTGACCTCTCTGTTTCCATAGGTCTTTGTCCTCCAGTCATACTAAATTATTTGTGGTTTGTTAAATCTATGCAGTTTTCAAATCCAGAAGCTAAAGTGTGGCTGATATTTCTTATTTCTCTTTTTCCACTTGGCAAGTTTTTACTCCCCTTCCATAATAAATTCAAACTCTCCTCTGTGAATATTTGTCCTCCCTGTAGCCTACTTACTGGGAGATACTAATGAGCTCTCCACTGTATTCTTTCAGAATTATTTTCCTACTTCTTTCTTGGAACTCACAGCACTATAGAACAACTGTCTACATGTGTCAGTTTTTCATCAAAAGTGTGAGCTACTTGAGGCCAGGGAACTGTTGGAATTCTCAGAGACCCCAAATAGCAGCATAATGAATGGTAAATGACCGAGGGGCTGAGTTATGAAAAGAAAGTACAGATTAGAACTCTGCAAGAAGAGAGATACTCTGGGATTTGTCTTTTATGTGAGAAAACCCACACAGTACATAAATCTCCCTGGAATAAATGCATAGTTAGAATTTTATATGTGCTTTTGCCTCCTAGATTATAGAGGCCACAGAGACCATTTGTATTTTATTCTTCCCAAACAAACAAACCTCAGTTTTTCTAACATACTTGACAAGTGACTTTCAGGGAGGAGGCATTCACTGTCTCAAAAGGAAGACCACTCCATTCTTGAATGCTTATAATTGTGAAAATATTATTGTTTGTTGTTTGTTGTAAATCAAACCAAAATCTTTTTCTCTGTTAATTCATCTTTTCTCCGCCAGTCTTGGAGTCAGAACATGCCCTGACAGGCTAAAGAATAAGGTTAACTTGATTTCGTAAAACAAATCATCAAACATTTGAAATCTGAGATCTGAGGTAAATTACCTAATCCCTCAAAGACCCATTGGTTTTTCTTTCTTTTTTAAATCTTTCAATGGAACCATTCTTTCAGATCTTTAAATAGCACTAACCTCCCAGGGTTGTAATGATGACTAGATAAAATTAAACATGTAAAGAACCTAAAACAGTGCCAGGTAAATAACACTAAAAAGAAAAAATCTAGTTAAACAACTCTTAGGTCTTTCAATAATTAACTACATAAAATGTCCCCCTTTTTTTTGTTTGTTTTTTTGAGACACAGTCTCGCTTTATAGCCCAGGCACGATCTTGGCCCACTGCAACCTCCACCTCCTGGGTTCAAGGGATTATCCTGCGTCAGCCTCCCACGTAGCTGGGATTACAGGCGTGCACCACTACATCTGGCTAATTTTTGTATTTTTAGTAGAGATGGGGTTCCGCCATGTTGGCCATGCTGGTCTCAAACTCCTGACCTCAGGTGATCCACCCACTTTGGCCCCCCAAAGTGCTGGGATTAGAGGCATAAGCCACCGTGCCTGGCCTATACAAAATTTTCTACAACATCCTGGCTACCCTCAAGTCCCTGCACTTCAGTTTATAACAGTCTCTCTAGTAACAGAGTGTCCAGAATGTTATGGGTCATAACAGATGTGGACAAAGTAGTGCAGATTCCAGTGGGATGATGTCCTTCCTTTATGAGACACCAATTTTCCATTACAGCAACAACATTTACATTCATTTTTTGGCAGCTTCGTAACACTATTGATTTATATTGAGTTTATAGTTGACTAAAACCCCTAGGTCACCTGTGAATGAAGTTCTCTAATCCAGGTCTCTATCATTCTAATCTTGTACAGTTGGTCATTTTGAAGGAATGTGTAACATTTTCATTTTAATCCAATTATCCTTCTTCTTGGGTTTAGCTTTTTCTTAACTTTCTCAAAGTACAAGGTCAACAAGATATTGGCAATCATTTTGTGCTTTTGCTGAGTGCACAGAATATAAAATAAAGAAAATAAAATTTTGACCTGAACTGTGGAAAGGATTAAATAGCACAGCATATATAAAATTCCAAGCACATTGCCTAGAATATAGGAAGTGTTTTATATTTAATACTTTTCCTTTATGTGATATTCAAATATGATAATCAACACTTTATATATTTTAGGCTAGGACCAAAGCAGAGTAGTTCTCAGTAATAAAAATCAAGGAAACATCAATCAACTATTAATGTTGTTTATGAATGGCCTTATAATCATCTATGAATCCATTTAATTCTACTCTTAACTTGCATTTTCTGGTTACTTTATATTAATAACTAGCTTTGATTATGTTGTCCTTTGCAAAAAAGGCCTACTAACACTGGGGTACTCATTGTACACCCTCTTGTTCTGGCTGATGATTGTGTGTGTGGGCAGTGGAGAGGGGTGTCCCTCCTGATGATTGCCCAGGGCTCAAGCATAAGGGAAGTGCTTTGTTGGAAAGAACTGTTTTCTTCAGGCTTCTCTCCTCTCTTCAGAGCCCTTGTTTTCTCGTAGGTGCTTACTCTGTACCCCTTATCTATAAGGCATTGCCTTGATCAACATATACTGATTCTGCTAAAACATTAGTAACAGATTCAGGTTTCAATTCTTGTGGATATATTTTCTTTTTATTGAAAAACCATTGAATCTTTCATGATTCAAAAAAAAGATTCCAGGTCACTTAATTTTAGCAAGCTTTCCTGGCCACATGCAAAGTAGCACCATAGACTTAACAGTCTATTGAGAAAGGTGATAAATGATACTACATACCACATTAACTCATGCATTCAACAGATGCTTACTGATCATTTATTATATGTGGAGGCACCAAAGATAGGTGATAAACAAGACAGAGATAATCCCTCCCCTCATAATGTTCCCAGTGTATTGAGGGAGATAGGCAATAAACAAATTAGCCCAAAAGAGGTGGTGATGAGACTTTGCAGGATAATATTTTAAGATACTAATTTAGTTTTTTAATGTTATATTTTCCCTTTTCTCATTAATGCCCTAGGAGAAGTTTGTGACAGGAAAAAATAGGCTAACATGAAGTTTCTTCCCTGGCTTTTGTTTCCAAATGCCATTGGTAATTGAGGAACTCATGCTAGGTGTTTAGAAGGAAAGAGGAAAGGATGTGCCTCTGGAAAGTCAGGGAAAATAGGCTTCCCTTGAGAATTAAAGAAGTTCCCTTAAGTTGGAACTTGGATTGACAGTTGTTGGTATATAGGAATGCTAGTGATTTTTGTACATTGATTTTTGTATCCTGAGACTTTGCTGAAATTGTTTGTTAACTTATGGAGCTTTTGTGTTGAGACTATGAAATTTTCTAGCTATAGATCATGTGGTATACAAACAGGGATAGTCTGACTTCCTCTCTTCCTATTTAGATTCCCTTTATTTCTTTCTCTTGCCTGATTGCCCTGGCCGGGACTTCCAATACTATGTTGAATGGGAATGGTGAGAGAGGGCATCCTTGCCTTGTACCATCTTTCAAGGGGATGCTTCCAGCTTTTGCCCAATCCCTATGATGTTGGCTGTGGTTTGTCATGGATGACTCCTATTATTTTGAGGTATGTTTCTTCAATACCCAGTTTATTGAGAGTTTTTAACAGGAAGGGGTTTGAATTTTATCAAAAGCCTTTTCTGCATCTATTGAGATGGTCATATAGTTTTTGTCTTTAGTTCTGTTTATGTGATGAATCACATTTATTGATTTGCATATGTTGAACCAAACTCACATCTAAGAGATGAAGTCTACTTTATTGTGGTGGATTAACTTTTTGATGTGCTGCTGGGCCAGGCGCGGTGGCTCATGCCTGTAATCCCAGCACTTTGGGAGGCCAAGGCAGGCGGATCACCTGAGGTCGGGAGTTCGAGACCAGCCTGACCAACATGGAGAAACCCCGTCTCTACTAAAAATACAAAATTAGCCAGGCGTGATGACACATGCCTGTAATCCCAGCTACTCAGGGGGCTGAGGCAGGAGAATTGCTTGAACCCGGGAGGCGGAGGTTGCGGTGAGCCAAGATCGCACCACTGCACTCCAGCCTGGGCAACAACAGCAAAACTCCATCTCAAAAAAAAAAAAAAAAAAAAAAAAAAGATGTGCTGCTGGATTCAGTTTGCCAGTATTTTGTTGGAGATTTTTGCATAGATGTTCTTCAAGAATATTGACCTGTGATTTTCATTTTTTGTTTTATCTCTGCCAGGTTTTGGTATCAGGATGATGCTGGCCTCATAGAATGAGTTAAGGAGGAGTCCCTCCTCAAACTTTTGGAATAGTTTCAATAGGAATGGTACTAGCTCTTCTGTGTTCTCTGGTAGAATTTGGCTTTGAATCCATCTGGTCCTGTGCTTTTTTTTGGTTAGTAGGCTATTTATTACTGATTCAATTTTGTAGCTGATTATTAGTCTGTTTGGGGATTCAATCACTTTTAAGTTCAGTCCTGGGAGGGTGTATGTATCCAGAAATCTATATATTTCTTCTAGATTTGTGTGCTTATGAGCACACAAACTATAGGTGTTCATGATATTCTCTGATCGTTATTTGTTTTTCATAATGTTCTCTGATGTTTATTTGTATTTCTGGGGGTCATTGATAATACCCGGTTCATCATTTCTAATTGTGTATGTTTGCATCTTCTCTGTTTTCTTCTTTATTAGTCTACCTAACAGTCTATCTATTTTATTAAATTTTTCCCAAAAAATCCACTCATGGATTCATTGATCTTTTGAATGTTTTTTTGTTTCTCAGTCTCCTTCAGTTCAGCTCTGATTTTGGTTATTTCTTGTCTTCTGCTAGCTTTGATTTGCTCTTGGTTCTCTAGTTCTTTTAGTTGTAATGTTAGGTTGTTAACTTGATATCTTTCTAACTTTTTGATATGGACATTTAGTGCTGTATATTTCCCTCTTAACACTGCCTTAATTTTGTCCTAGAGATTCTCATATGTTGTATCTTTTTTTCTCATTAGTTTCAAAGAACTTCTTGACTTCTGCCTTAATTTCATTTTTTACCCAAAAGTCATTCAGGAGCAGATTATTCAATTTCCATGTAATTTTATGTTTTTCAGTGATTTTCTTAGTTTTGATTTCTAATTTTTTCCTCTGGAGTCAGAGTCATAGTGGGTGTTATGATTTTAGTCCTTTTGAATTCACTGAGGAGTATTTTTGTGTCTGATTATGTGATTGATTTTAGAGTATGTGCCATGTAGCAATGAGAGGAATGTATATTCTGTAGTTTTGGGGTGGAGAGCTCTGTAGATATCCATTAGGTACATTTAATCCAGTGCTGAGTTCAGGCCCTGCATATCTTTGTTAATTTCCTGCCTCAGTGATCTGACTACTACTGTCAGTGGAGTGTTGAAGTTTCTCACTAATATTTTATGGGAGTCTGAGTCACTTTGAAGGTCTCTAAGAACGTGCCTTATTAATATGAGTGTTTCTGTGTTGGGTGTATATATATTTAGGATAGTTAGGTCTTCATGTTGAATTGAATCCTTTACCATATGTAATGCCCTTCTTTGTCTTTTATGACCTTTGTTTAAGTCTGTTTTGTCTAAAATTAGGATCGCAACCCCTGCTTTTTTTTGTTGTTTTCCATTTGTTTAGCAGATATTTCTCCATTCCTTTATTTTGAGTCAATGTGTGTCATTGCATGTGAGATTGGTCTCTTCACAGCATACCAATGGATCTTGATTATTTATCTAGCTTGCCACTCTGTCTTTTAACTGGGGGATTTAGCCCCTTTACATTTAAGGTTAGTATTGATATGTGTGGATTTGATCCTGTCATCATGATGTTAAGCTGGTTATTATGCAGATTTGTGTGGTTGCTTTATAGTGTCTCTGGTCTATGTACTTCAGTGTGTTTTTGTAGTGGCTGGTAATCGTCTTTCCATATTTAGTGCTTCCTTTAGGAGCTCTTGTAAGGAAGGTCTGGTGGTAACAAATTCCCTCAGCATTGCTGGTCTGAAAAGGATCTTATTTCTCCTTTGCTTATGAAGCTTAGTTTGGCCAGATATGAAATTCTTGGTTGGAATTTCTTTTCTTAATGAATGTTGAATATTGGCCTCTAATATCTTCAGGCTTGTAGGGTTTCTGCTGAGAGGTCCGCTGTTAGTCAGATGGGCTTCCCTTTTTAGGTGACCTGACTTTTCCCTCTAGCTGCCTTTAACATTTTCCCTCATTTCAACCTTGGAGAATCTGATGATTATGTGTCTTGGGGATGATCTTCTTGTGAAGTATCTTACTGGGGCTCTCTGCATTTCCTGAATTTGAATGTTGGCATCTCTAGCTATGTTGGGGAAGTTTTCATGAATATCTTGAAACATTATTTGTAATTTGCTTCCATTCTCCCCATCTTTCTCAGGCACAACAGTGAGTTGTAGATTTGGTCTTTTTACATAATATCATACTTCTTGGAGGTTTTGTTTGTTCCTTTTTTTCTATTACTGTCAGTCTGACTTATTTCAGGAAGCCAGTCTTCAAGCTCTGAAATTCTTTCCTCAGTCTGGTCTGTTCTGCTATTAATACTTGCAATTGCGTTATGAAATTCTTCTGTGTTTTTCAGCTCTATCAGGTTGTTTATATTATTTTGTATACTGGCAATTTTGTGTGTCAGCTCGTATATCATTTTATTGTGATTCTTCACTTCCTTGCATTGGGTTTCAAAGTACTCCTTCATCTTGATGATCTTCATTTCTGTCCATATTCTGAATTCTATGTCTGTCATTTCAGCCATTTCAGCTCAGTTCAGAACCCTTGCTAGAGAACTAGTGCAGTTGTTTGAAGGAATTAAGGCACTCTGGCTTTTTGAGTTGTCAGCGTTCATGGACTGGTTCTTTCTCATCTATATGGGCTGGTGTTCCTTCAGTCTTTGAAGCTGCTGTCCTTTGGATGGGTGTTTTTTACTTTTAGCCTACTTGATGATTTTGAGGATTCGATTGTGGTATAAGGTGGGTTCATTCAACTAGCTTTGTTTCTAGAAGATTTTAGGTGGCCAAGGCTCATCTCCCAACTCCTGGACTGTATGCTCTAACACTGGGGATCTTGTATCAGGCCTCAACTTAGCTCTCTGGCTCCCTGCAATTAGGAATCCATTGTGCTGAGGTGACCAAGGTGTTCCCAGACCACTGGTCACTACACTCCAATGAGTGGTGCAGCAGCAGCAGAGTAATGGGGTACGTGCTTGTCAGCTGCAGCAGGTGACAGCAAGGGCCAGGGTGCCTGCTTTTGTGTGGGCATTTACGGCAGCGGGGGAGGTAGCACAGTTTGCAGGGAAAGGGAGCCCTCGTTGGTGACTGCACATGGTCACACTGGTGATGTTATTAGCATGGAGGCATGGCCCTGGCGGGTGCAAGTCTGTGCTTTTTCTACCAAAAAATAACTGGTCTTCAAAAATGTAGGGTCATGAAAGACAAAGAAAGGAAGTACTATTTTAGATTAAAGGATACTAAAGGAACATGACAAAGAAATAAAATTAATTCTTGATCACAGCAATTTTTTTTCTTTTGTTATATAATGCTCTAGCAGAACAATTTGCAATATTTGAATAATAGCTATAGACTACATGGTAATATTATACCATTGTAAATTTTCTGAGTTTGATAATAGTGCTGTAGTTAAGACAATGTCCTTGTTTTTAGTGAAAACGTACTGAATTATGTAGTGATAAAGAACTTTTTCTGCACAATATTCTCTCAGTATGTATGTATACATACTACATATGTATGTACATGAGAGAAGGAAGATAGAAAGCAAATGTGATAAAATTTTAACATTTGGGGAAATTAGGTGAAAAATATAATAAATTCTTTGTACTATTTCTGCATCTTTACTGAAAATCTGAAATTATTCCAAAAAATTAAAATTAAAAGAGTAAGTCGTAAACAGAGAAGATATTTATAATGCATGTATCTTACTAAGGACTTGAATCCAAATATAAAAAGATTTATATAACTCAAGAATAAAAAGATAAACCTATAAAAATAGAAAATATATGTGAATAGATAGTACAAAAATATTTGCCTGTAGCCAAAAAAAATACATAAAAGATTCAATGTTACTCCTCATCAGATTAATAACATTCTTATCATTGTGTAGTTGTTTACTTTATTACTAATGACCCTTTTTCATTTATGGAGCATATTTCTAAAACTTTTATGGCTACCCTTCATTTCTTCGGGTTAGTGTTTGTGTTTCTACTTTTTTCCATTCATTTACTTTCATATTTTCTATAATTTTGTTTAGGTGTGTCTTTTAAAACATACCTTTAGCTAGATATTTTCTTAACTAGTCTGATGACTCTGTCTTTAGACTGATGAATTTAGTAATTTTACATTTATGTGATTAATAATATCTTTAGAATTAAGTTTGCCATCTTTTTTCAGCTTTATATTTCCCTTGTGTTTCCATGTTTCTTTTATCTAACTTTCCTGCATTCTTTAAATTGATGTTTCATTTTATTTTTATTCTTTATTTTAAAAAATTATATACTGTATTCATATTCTCTTACTTCTAAACCTTTAATATAGTATACTTAAAATCTACAGTTAACATTTCTACACTTCAGTATAATACACATATTTCAGAACTCTTTTAACTCCAGTAATTCCAACTTCGTATTGTCTGTCATGGGTAGTCAATATCATCTTTAGTCTCTATCATTTTATGTAGAGATTAATATTACTGTTTACACAGCCAATATTTGTTAAGAATGATACATGTGATTTTTAAAGTTATTCACTCACCATGCTTTCTTATATCTCACATCATTATAACCTGATTATTTTCCTTTTTTCCTTAACTACCACCTTGAGAATTTCCTTAAGTCTATACTTGACAAATTCTCATCTGAAAATGACTTTATTTTAACCATATCCCGGATTGATAATTTTACAGGGTAAAGAATTTTATGTTGATAGTCATTGTCCATCAGCTATTATTTTTCTTTCTTGTGGTTTTTATCATTACTATGAGAAAGTCACCTTCTAGTATAGTTGATTGTTGATGGCTAAATTTAAGATTTTCTGGTTGTCTGGTCTCCTGCAGTCATCTACTGAGGTTTCATTTCTGCCTTTTGAATCTGATAATTCTTACACTTAATCAGTCTGGAATCTTCATTCTCTCTTATTGTTGTCTTGCCTCCATTCTCTCTATTTTTTCCCTTTAAAAATTTAATTAGGTGTATCTTTGAATAACTATTCTTATCTTTATGCCTGTTAACATCTTTCTAATTTTCCATTTCCTTTATTTCTGTACTTCATTTGACAATTTCTTTTGATTAATCTACCACTTAACAAATTTACTCTTCAACCACGTGTATTCTTTTGTCTACAACATTGGTTTCAAATTCATTCCAATCATTCTATATATATTGCCGTTTCTAGGAGTTACATGCAGTACTTTTTCTGAAGGTACTATCTAATCATTTTTATGGTATTTTTTTCATTACTTATGCTTTGAACCCACATTTTGTCTCTTTAATCATTTTTAATATAGTCATTTTATATTCTTTGCTTAATTATTCTAAAATATAAAACTTTTGGAGGAGTTTAATTATTCTTTATATAATTTTTTTCTTCAATTCTTTCTCATACCTTATTTCCTCATGTGATTTTAATTTTGGTTTGTATGAGTAACTGAATCTGTGAAATATTTGGAGTATGAACTGAGGTATAGTGCTCTAGAGAGGCTGTGTGCTTGTTACTGCCAGGCACTCTGGGCATGAAAAATCTAATTCTACTTTAAAATAATGTTTTCACTTGAGATTTTTGTATCACTCAGGCACACCCACATAAGGATAGCACTATAGCTACAAATTCTCCATTACCTGAAGATATAGGCTTTCAGCCGGGTGCAGTGGCTCACGCCTGTAATCCCAGCCCTTTGGGAGGCCAAGGTGGGCAGATCACGAGGTCAGGAGATCAAGAGCATCCTGGCCAACATGGTGAAGCCCCGTTTCTACTAAAAATACAAAAATTAGCTGGGCATGGTTGCACGCGCTTGTAATCTCAGCTACTTGAGAGGCTGAGGCAGGAGAATCGCTTGAACCCGGGAGGCAGAGGTTTCAGTGAGCCGAGATTGTGCCACTACACTCCAGCCTGGTGACGGAATGAGATACTGTCTCAAAACAACAACAACAACAACAACAAAAAAAAAACTGGATCCCTTCCTTACACCTTATTAAAAAATTAACTCAAGATGGATTAAAGACTTAAATGTAAGACCTAAAACCATAAAAACCCTGGAAGAAAACCTGGGCAATACCATTCAGGACATATGCATGGGTGAAGACTTCATGACTAAAACACAAAGGGCAACGGCAACAAAAGCCAGAATTGACAAATGGGATCTAATTAAACTAAAGAGCTTCTGCACAGCAAAAGAAACTATCATCAGGTTGAACAGCCAACCTACAGAATGGGAGAAAATTTTTGCAATCTATTCATCTGACAAAGGGCTAATACCCAGAATCTACAAATAACTTAAATAAATTTACAAGAAAAAAAAACAACCCCATCAAAAAGAGGGTGAAGGATATGAACAGACACTTCTCAAAAGAATACATTTATGCAGCCAACAAACATGAAAAAATGTTTATCATCACTGGTCATTAGAGAAATGCAAATCAAAACCACAATGCGATACCATCTCATACCAGTTAGAATGGTGATCACTAAAAAGTCAGGAAACAACAGATGCTGCAGAGGATGTGGAGAAATAGCAATGCTTTTACACTGTTGGTGGGAGTGTAAATTAGTTCAACCATTGTGGAAGACAGTATGGAGATTCCTCAAGGATCTAGAACTAGAAATACCATTTGATCCAGCAATCCCATTACTGTGTATATACCCAAAGGATTATAAATCATTCTACTATAAAGACACATGCACACTTACGTTTATTGCAGCATTGTTCACAATAGCAAAGACTTGGAACCAATGCGAATACCCATCAATGATAGACTGAATAAAGAAAATGTGGCATATATACACCATGGAATACTATGCAGCCATAAAAAAGGATGAGTTCATGTACTTTGCAGGGACATGGATGAAGCTGGAAACCATCATTCTCAGCAAACTAACACAATAACAGAAAACCAGATACCACATGTTCTCACTCATAAGTGGGAGTTGAACAATAAGAACACATGGACACAGGAAGGGGAACATCACACACGGGGGCCTGTCGGGGGGTGGGGGGCTAGGGGAGTGATAGCATTAGGAGAAATACCTAATGTAGATGACGGGTTGATTGGTGCAGCAAACCACCATGGTACATGTATACCTATGTAACAAACCTGCACATTCCGCACATGTACCCCAGAACTTAAAGTATAATTTAAAAAAAATAAATAAATTTAAAAAAGAAAAAAAGATATGGGCTTTTTAATGATATTCTCAGTTCCAACACTACCTCAGGTGGGTCCAAGGCCTTGCCTGCTTCCCCATATAGCTATTACATTAAAAACAAAAACAAAATGAAAAACAGGTTTCTGCTTCTCAAAGTAAGTTCAACATCAGTTTCTGTTTATCACATTGATAGACATGTCCTTCTTCAGTATTTTCCTACTTTTCTTTTCCTTGCAAATTCATCTAGGGTTTTGATTTTCAAGTTTGGCAATTTCAACTGTTTGGTAATAAAATTTTTTCTGAATATCTAGACTACCTATTTTCAGAAATCCATCTCATAGTTGTTTAAATTTCAGGGTTATATTTACATTAGTGGTGGAGAGTTTATTCACTTCAACTAGCTCATGATCAAATACTGTCATTTTCCAATGAATGACCCTCATTTTGAGTTTCTTGTTTGTTTATTCTTTTTCATTTATTTATTATTTTGTTTGTTTAGTTTATTTCTCTCCTCTTATTCTCGTTCTGCACTTCACTTTTCTTCTTTTCTAATGGTCATTTATTTGAAAGTGTTTAAGGTCTCTTCTTTCATTTTTAGGTTTCCCTGTAAAACATGCAATATTATTTTGCATGTGTATGTTTTACCTGACATTGATGTTATTACACTTTAAACTTTTGATTTTTACTCTCTCACTCAAGTTATGTTTCTGTGGTCTATCATTTTGGTCTATATATCTATACGCATCTGTTCCTTTGCCTTCAACTGCTTTACAGCATTTATAGTGAACACTCACTATTAGTGACAGTTACTTAAATTGCCCCCAACTTTCTTTTACTACAAATATTGTAGTGAATACTCTACTACATGTTTTCTAATGGGCACATAAAATTTTCCCTGAAACATGTAAGGAGGAGAGACATTCCTAGTTTGTATAATGCTTGTATTTTTAATTTGGCTGACTACTGACACAGTGCCCTCTCAAATACCTGTACCAGTCTACACACCCCCACTGTGTGTCTTCACCCCTCCAATAGATTTGAAGGAAGCATCTTGTCCCACTCATCTTTCTATCTCTTACGATTTACTCAGCTCCTGGAACATAGTCATGGCTCAAAACATTCATAAACTTTAGCAGAAACTCAGTCCATGGAAATGCAAAAAAAAAGTAATTTCTAAATATTTGAATGATCTGATACCTAAGTAACAATTTTCATAAAATGAGAACATAGTATGAGCAGTTTCTTTTTTACACTTAATCATTTTGTTTTAGCTCACATTCTAATACAGGGAAATTACTAAAACTATTGCTTTCTTTCCGCTATTGGATTACTCTAGGGTGAATTATTGACACAACAAATACCTAGTTCATGTTATATGCTGTTTAAAAAAAGATCGTCTGAAGTTAATAATTCAGCTCACCTTTCAAAACACTCTTGCTTTCTGCTTATCGTTTTGCTTCATTATGATGATTTAGTTATTCACGGAACTTTGTTTTCTTTCCTGAAACCAGGTATATTAAAGAGGAGGTTATGTTGTTGTATAACAAAAAATATTTTAAATTCAACCTATTTAAAATGCAACCTCTAGTCTTGACAGCATCTTTTAAAATGTTGTACTTTAACGAACTTGAGGTTTCTACTGAGAAAGTTAATTTCTTTCTCTGTGTTGGTATATGTCCTAGCTTTAGGGCAATAAACATAAATAAATACTACTTTTTCAAAGATCTTGTTGCTATTGAGAATTGATGTCTAATAGACATCCTAAATTCAAACACCTCATTTCATAAAGCGTGAGACCATAATGCTTCCTAACAATAGTTTGTGACTTTGAGGTGTGTAGAGATAATTTGTAGAAATAGCATTTAACATTCACTTCTATTTTCTTTATATATATATTTTTTCTTCTTTCTTTCTAGATAAATTTTCTCAGCATAATTCATTTTCTTAAGATATATACCTTGTGCTTTTATGTGTGTACCATTTTCAGAGCTTTTCATAAACCTGAACTAATATATATCCCTTTGTAACACAGTATACCAATAGTTGATTCTCATTCAAACTGTGGATTAAATATCTGTTAATAAAATATTTTTGTGGGTCATTGCTTTATCTCCAATTTCAAGTAATAAATAAGCATTTAAATAAAAGCAATAGGTCAAAATGTTGCTTGTAGTTATTCTTTTAAAATATCAGAGGGATTCATTCCTACCTTGTTGCAGGTGGAGTACATAATGATTTTATTGAAAAAGGCTTGCTGGATAGAGGATACATCCTTCTGAAACAGAAACCCAAAATAAAGTGACTTAATGTCATACAAGTTCACTTCTGTCACATGTAACAAACTAGATTGAAGTATCTCAGGCTGGTATGCAGGTTCTGCTGTGTCTAGGACTAGATTTCTTCTATCTTGTTACCATGCCATCCTTAGAAACTTGCTTTATATCCATTGATCCAAGAGGAATCACCACTATATCTATGTTCCAGTTGGCAGGAGGGAGAAAGGATAAGGGAAGGGGTGGGGGAGAGACATGCATCCTTTGAAGGTCAGGATTCAGAAGTTGAAATTATCATTTCCAATCAAACCCTTTTCACCACAATTTAGTCATGTGGCCACACATAACTGCAATAGAGACTTGAAATGTATAATCTTTATTCTGGGTGGTCATGTAAAATTCAGGAGCTCTATTAAAATAGAGAAAGGGAAGAGTAGATAATTGGAAAATAACCAGCCATATTCTGCATACATCGTGGCTGAATTTCAGCTTATATTTCCTATCCAGAATGGATAACATCTAAAAACGTGTGAGAACAATTTTAAGATTCCATGAACCAATGAGAAGGTGGTGAGCCTGAATAAATAATGACATTTCCACTTATGTGAAAAATCCATTTTGTTAAACACATACCTTCCAGATTTCCAAAGTAACCGTAAACAGAGGTGCAGGTTTCCCATCAGTGGAGAAACTATCCAAGTGGATTCAAAACTCTTTAACTTTTTATATTCAAGTATTATCTTTGCATTATCCAAAAGGAGACATGCACCTTTAAAATATAGTTGCTGTGCAACTCCTTACTAGTGGATAAAACAGATCGCACTTTGTGCCCAATGAACATGATACAGAAAAGGAAGCGTAGGTGTTTCTAAATAAGTCTTAAGCAAGAGCAAAGCTCAGAAATTCAAATGAGGGGTAAGGGAGATGAGCTGATTTCTAGCTATATAACATAATACAGTCAAGATAATTAATAATTATTAATAATTAAAAATTACCCGGGTACTCACCCAGATTCCCTTTAGCAGCCTGTGAAGTCTATACCCCTACTTCTGCAGGCATTGGCTGCGAAGGATCATCACATCTGCACCTTCTGCCGAAAATTGCCCTTAGTTGATAGGCGCTGCCTTGCTGGAAGACGCCTGGGATTTACCCTGGCGCGTGACCACTGCTTGGCAGGGTCTTTAAAAGCCCAGTTCCTGGCCTCTGGGTGGACCAAACTCTGTAATGTGATGTACTCTTCAGCACTTGCAGTGTGATCTGATTGAGTCTGTACTTCTGCTAAAACTGTATCTTTGCTTAGTTTCTTCCTCTTTATCTTCATTCCCTTCAATAAATCCCTGGGAGTATTCCTTAATAAATCACTTTCATAAGAACCCTCATCTCAGGCACTGTTTCTAGAAATCCCAAACTAAGATATTTTTCCTTAAGTAGGTTTATTATTCTGTTAACATGAGGCATAATTAGACACATCCTGATACAATGCTCAATCTACGTCATCATCAACAACTGCCATTTTGATTAGGGACATCGAAATATTTTCACTAATCATTTACTTTATCAGAAAACAATATATAATATGTAACCCTATCACAGAGAAATATAGCTTAGTTAATCTATCCAATAATGGCCTGGCACAGTAGCTCATGCTTATAATCCCAGCACTTTGGGAGGCCGAGGCAGGTAGATCACCTGAGGTTGGGAGTCCAAGACCAGCCTGGTCAACATGGTGAAGCCCTATCTCTACTAAAAATACAAAAATCAGCCGGGCTTGGTGTCAGGTGCCTGTAATCCCAGCGACTCAGGAGGCTGAGGAAGGAGAATATCTTGAACACAGGAGGCGGAGGTTGCAGTGAGCCAAGATCACACCATTGCACTCTAGCCTGGGCAACAAAGCAAGACTCTGTCTCAAAAAACAAAACAAATAAACAATAATAAATATATTTTAGCCATAAATGATGCAGAATTGTAGGCCTAATGCTGGTCAATATATAATTTTGATAAATACATATAATTAAATTCTACCAGAACCGTTTTTGATTACAAAAAATTCAGGATCATGAAATCATGAGGCTAATGAAATGGCCTAGATGAGCTTACTGTGAAGAATAGGAGTCAAGCTCCAATTGTGCTACTGTATCTCCAAATTCATATTATGGAGAGGCTTATTATTGCAGGGTGTCATTCTACATGACTACTCAAACATTCTTAAAATTTGCAAGATACATTTAGCCCTGGAATATCACAATTCTGACTCTTCTTTACATCATGAATACTGCCAAATTTACCAGTTTTATAGTAAAAAAAAATGTATTTTTCAAAAGCCCATGAGATGTAAAAGTTGCTTACAGTAACTTCACAATAATTCTAAGGCCAAAAACTTTGCAGTAATTCTAAGAAATATATTTGTATTTATAAAATATCATCGCTTTTTAATGAATAGTTTTGGTTTTTAACCAAATCAGTTTTATTTGAAACTAGGTCACATTCATTAAACAGATACTTGTTAATTCTTGATATTTGCAGTCCAAAGGCAACCACAAGAATTTAAAATGATTCTTGCTCCTATTCATGTTTCCAAGGAGAGGGACTGCTTCTAGATTAACATTCCTGGTATCTTGTCTCATTTTCTTACTCATTGTTTCTTATGAAATAAAAGTGAAATTACTGACTCTTGTGTCCACATTGAATGATTGGGAAATCTATTAAAAAATGACCAAGGATTTATTTCTATGTTTTCTTCCATCTCCAACCCTGACCGATGTAACTCAGCAATGAGTGTGTCACCTCTTCCATTCCACACGTTCCTTTAGGTGAGTGTCTAGACCACCAAGGACTGAGAGTGCTGCAGGACCATTGAACTACCGCGGGCCCATTACTGCCAATCAAATGTTTACCAATGATAAAGGTGTAAATTTTATCTCATTTTTGGTCAGTTATTTCTCATTGTTTTCAAAACTAGAATACAGGAGAGAAGATGGTTATTCATTGACTCTCTAAAACCCCAAGAATTCTTTTCAAAATGTTTGTGCCTGTTGATGTGGTGACTGACTTCCCACCAAGCCGCCTGACGACCCCACAAAACGTATGATGCACTGATCACAGGGCACTTCAGAAAAGGCAAATGTGTTTTCTGTATTTGCAATCAAGCCAATGTGTATGCATATTTTGATCCTGAGTGAACTTTTTAAAATACTTTATTTTATTTTATTATTTTATAAGTTCCAGGATGCACGTGCAGGATATGCAGGTTTGTTACAGAGGTAAACATGTGCCGCGGTGTTTTGCTGCACCTATCAATAGCTAATGCATGCATTCGCTCTTTATCCTGATGCTCTCCCTCCCCCAAACTCCCATGACAGGCCCCAGTGTGTTGTTCACCTCCCTGTGTCCATGTGTTCTCATTGTTCAGCTCCCACTTTTAAGTGAGAACATGCAGTATTTGGTTTTGTGTGCCTCTGTTAGTTTGCTGAGGATAATGGCTTCCAGCTCCATCCATGTCCCTGCAAAGGACATGATCTTGTTCCATTTTATGAACCTGAGTGAACTTTTTTACTTAAATCAATAATATTCTTCATTCATATCTTTTAATGTACAGCTTATTTTTAAAACTTGAGTCGTCAGAAGTCTCTAATTAAAAAAAAATATATTGCCTCAAGAAACTGCTCAGTATCTCCAAAAATATTCATAATAAAACCCTGAACTGAGTTTTTTTGTATCTTACACATTATATTAAAAGACATTGCCTGACCATCAAGAGGTTTCTCTTTTTTTGTTTTTTGCAATTTCTTTTTTTGAGGTGTTGTCTCGCTCTGTTGCGCAGGTTGGAGTGCAGTGGCACGATCTTGGCTGACTGCAACCTCCGCCTCCCAGGTTCAAGCAATTCTCCTGCCTCAGCCTCCTAAGTAGCTGGAATTACAGGCGCCCGCCACCACAACCGGCTAATTTTTTTGTATTTTTAGTAGAGACAAGGTTTCGCCATATTGGCCAGGCTGGTCTCAAACTCCTGACCTCAGGTGATCCGCCTGCCTCAGCATCCCAAAGTGCTGGGATTACAGGGGTGAGCCACTGCACCCGGACTTTTTGCATTTTAAAGGGTCATTTTTTGTCTATAACACATTTATTCAACCTGACAAGAAAAAGGGGAAGAGAAAAAACACACCACGAGTTCCTCAAAAGCGGTCCACTGCTGAAATGTAGGAATTTCTCCCACCTCTTAAAAACAGTCTTTTCCTCTCACTATACCCTGGGCAATCTCATCTGCTTCATGACTTTGTACTTCATCCCTGTGTTTCTGACTTGTACCATTTGTACATCCTGTCTTGCCCACAACGTTAACATATTTGCTCTATCCTATAATATATAAAACATAATTTCAGAATTGCTACATCCATACCGCTTAGCAAAACAAACCTTGTCATAAAAGTCAGGAATTTCTTTGCATTTTTTTAGTCCTTAGAATATATCCCTCTGAGGCTGTATAGTCAGAATACAGCATTCCAAAATTACCTGGATTAATTCTTTTTTTCTTTTTTGTAGTTTTTTTTAGTGAGCTACAAAGTTCAGTTTATTTGTTTCTGCTTATCTCCAGTTTGAAGTTTCTTTTCTTCATCTTTGTTGATTTAATTTTCTAAAATTTGTTTTAAAAAAAGCATAGTTCACAATGAAAACTATATCAAATATATATGCAAAAAAAATCACACTCACATCTATACCCCTTCCACCTAACTCACAACCCTGTAGGTAATCAATTTTATTACTTTCTAGTTCGTTATTCCTGTATTTGTTTCAGTGAAATTAAACAAGTATAGACATACATATTCTAATTTCCTCTTGCTTCTTAGAAGAAAGGTAGCATATTGTAGGTTTTTCATTTGCATCTTGCTTTTTTCGTATAACAATGCATCCTAGAAATCACTCACATTAAAGAGATTTTTAATGTCAAATTAAATCTCTTTAATGTCATATTAAAGAGATTTTTTTATCATTGCTTGTACTGATTATTTTACTAATTAATATTTGGCAGCTACATAGTACTCCAATGTGTGAATGTGCCAGAGCGTATTTGACTTTCTATATGGTATTTAGGTTGCTTCCAATTTTTACTTGCGAGTAATCTTGTACCAAATTTTTTTTTTTTGTATCTTCAGACTAAAATCCTAGAAGTGGGATTGCTGAGTCATGTGGCAAAGAATATATAATTTCCATATATATTACCAAGTTTACCTTTACTGTGGCTGTACCATTTTGCACCCCCACTAGGAGAGTGCCCATTCCCCCACCTCTGTTGAACAGCCTGTGGCCAATCTTCTGGCCAGTAATTTGACAGTTAAAAATAATACATCAGTGTACTTTTATCATTTTTTCTCTTATTATGAGTAACATTAAGCATTTCTTTTATATATTAAAAAGCTATTTGTGTATCATTTATTATAAACATTTCATGATTTTGTCCATTTTTCTTTTTTGTTATTGTTGTTGTCAGTTTTTAAGAGTTCTATATATATTGTCAGTTCTTCCTTTATGGTTGGTTTCTTTTCTCCTAGCCCTAGTCATAAAGATGGTATCTTATGTAAACCTCTGCTGATACTGTCCAACAGAACTTTCTACAGTGATGGACATGTTCCATATCTTTGTTGCTCAATGCAGTGGCTGCTAGCCACAGGATTGTGGCAAAAGCTAGCTATTGCACAATTGAAATGTGACTAATACAACTAAGGAACTGAATTTTTAATTGTTTTTAATTTTAATTAATTGAAATGTAAATTTAAATACCCATGTGACTAATGGCTACCTTATTGACTAGCGCAGCTTTATATAGATACTTTAATTTTTTTATCTTTTGAATTTAAATCTATATGAGGAATTTATTTATAATTGGGAAGTGGCTGGCAGTTTTATTTTTTTAATATGGACACTAAATTTATCCAGCACCATGTATTGAAAAGATTCTGTTCTGCAGGGTTATGTGTAATAAATCAAGTGACCATGTAGTTTCGTTTCTAAATTGTTCTGATCCACTAATCTGTTTTTCAGTCCTTAATTTCAATAACACTTGTGTAATCTCAGTGGGCTTATAATGTTCATATGTGGTAATATGTTTTGCGACTTTATCATCTTAGAGAGGCTAGTTTGAGTCCTTTAATTTTCCTTGTAATTTCTAGAATAATAATTTTACTTTACACAATTGGGGAATTTTAGTCTATATATCAATGTACAGAGAATTGACATCTTAAAATATTGGATCTTTCAATCTCTAAACATGGTATATCCTTTCCCAGTAATAGCAACATTAACTGTGATCACTTGGTTAAACTGGGGTCTCCCAAGCTTTTCCACTGTAGACTTAACAATTTCTTGATTTTTTTATATTAAATGAAATTTGCATTTCTACAAAATGTTCAACATGGTGGTGATATATTATCCTTTATATACATTGTTGAGTTTGGAATGCTAATATCACTTTAAGATATTTAATCAATGTTCATAACAAAGATTGACCAGTAACATGTTTTTATCAAGTTTTGTATCATGTTATGCTGGCCTTAAAGATTAGTTGAAAATTGTTTTTCCTTTTGCACATTTTGAAAACAAATTACAGATATGATTCTCATTTATTTTATCTAAATTTTTAATTTTGAGGAAAAAAGGTGTTCATGATAGTCATTGAATATCTTTTAATGTTTCTAGGCTCTATCGTTATACCCCTTCTTTTATTACTTAGTATTGGTAATTTGTACCTTTTTGCTCCACTGTCTTGGTTAGTCTTCATATGTATTTATCAAATTTTGGCTTTTGAAATGAACAACTTCTGATTTTGCTGATTTTCTCTATTGTGTGCTTGTTTTCTATTTTATTAAATTTGATTCCTTATTATTTTCTTCATTCCGCCTTATTTAGGTTTAAACTTATGCTCTTTTGCTAACATCTTCAAATGGATACACACAGGTCATCAATTTTCAGGTTTTTATCTTTAAATATATAATTTGCAGGCTATAAAATTTGCAAATATATAATTTATATATTTAATATTTTATATTAATTATATTTAATATAATTATATTTAATATTTTATATATTATATATTATATTTAATATTTTATATTAAAATAAAATTTGCAAATTATATAAAATATATAATTTGCAGGCTATAAAATGGCTGTAACGCCATACCACAAATTTTATATATTCTTTTTTGGTTATATTTTGCTTCAAAATATTTTTTATTATTTTATTGATTCTTTAAAAAATTATGGATTATTTAATTTTCATACTTTAGGGGGTTAACCGTCACTAATTTCAAATTTAATTCCATAGTAGTAAAAAAACACACTTTGTATTATTTCAATTATTTGATATATGTTGAGATTTGCCTCATGTACATATATAGTCCAGGATATAAACATTTTGAGAAATATTGCATGTGTACTCCTGTATATTGTACAGTTGAATGCAGTGCTCTATATGATCGATTAGGCCAATGCTTATTAATCTTACTTTTTGAGTATTCTATATTTTTACTGATTTTTTTACGTGCCTTATCCTACGACTTTTTGTGAATTTTGTGTTAAAAATCTTTCACCGTATTTGCGTACTTATTTATTCATTAATTTTTTTCAGTTTTGATTTCTAAGGTATGTAATTAGCTGCATAAAAATTTTAAATTTTAAATTGATCTTTTTATCATTACAAAATGTCCCGTCTTTACCTCTAATATACTTCCTGTCTTAAAGTCTACTATTTCTTATCTTAGCATAACTACATGTTTATTTTGATTATCCTTTGAATGTTATACCTTTTTTCTTTTATTTGACTTTACAATTTTTGTGTAGTTATTTAAGTTTTTATCTCTTTTAAAAACCACTGTATATAATTGGCAGTGGTTTTTATTCTGAAAATCTTGACTATTAATTGGATAATTTAATAGAAATTTAATAACTATTATTAATTTAAGTAATTACTGATACATTTGGATTTAAATCAACCATCTTAATGCTTTATTTTATTTCTTCCACTTGGTCTAGACTTCTCTCCTTTTCGTTTTTTGGGTTTATCGAGTATTTTTTTGTTATCATATTTTCTCTATTAAGTTTTAAGTTATATTAATTCACTTTTAAAATTTTTTTTATTTGTCCTTTTGGTGGCTCTCCTGTAGATCTCTCACTTCTAAATCTCATATAAATTAGCATCCCTAGGTAAGGCAAGGATGTTACAACACTTCAGTTACCCCTTTTCCATTTGTTATTTTGTCATGTGTTTTGATTAAATGTCACAATACATTATTATTATTGTTGTCGTTTTATATATATTTTGTTTTTGTTTATAAGGAAATCTCTCTACTCTCATTTTTGAAGAATATTTACTCTGAGAATTCTACTATAACAACTATTTTTTTTCAGCATTTTAAAGATGCCATGTCAGTCTTTTCTAACTGCTATTGTCTTTGTTGAGAAGCAAGTTAATAATTATAAAATTGTTTCTTTGAAAGTAATTTATCTTTTTCTTAGATGTTTCTAAGATTTTGCTCTTTGTCATTAGTTTTCATTAACTTTACCATAATGTGCCTGAAAATGATTTCTTTGTTCTCATTCTGATTGGGCTTTATAGTGTTTCTTGAATATGTGGCTTAATGTCTTTAATCAGTTTTGGGTAATTTTTGCCCTTTATTCGGTCTCTTTTGCAGTCCTGAGAGTCTGTCACATATATGTATTTTCTATGTATTATACAAGTCATATTATCCTTTTTGTGTTTGCCATCCTATTTTGTATTTTTTTTTTACTAACATCTTTCAAAATCACTAATCCTCTGTCTTGCAACTCTCTGATAGCCAGTTAGTGTAAAAGTCAGTCACTTTAATACAATTAGATATTAAGCTATTTATAACTGGTTTTAGGCCTGGTCTTCTAATTTGCTATTATTTCTAGTATATGCTATTTTAGGAGAGTTAGAGAAATACCTAGAAAGTTTATTGTGGTTTTCCCCCTTGCTGGGCTTTGAACTTCATTTAAAAATCTCCAAACAGCACTGAAATTCTCTGCCTCTTAGCATCCATCTGCCTTCTTTTAGCTTCTGAGCCTTTCTACCCACATTGCATATGCACTAACTAATGACTCAAAGGGAAAAGCTGCCAAGAAAAATACTCTTAGCAAATTTTCCTTCTCTTTGGAATCCTGGGTCTCCAAGTTTGGTTGCCTTGATTACTTTCTGGTGGGTTCAAACAGGTTTAATTTTTATCTAGCTTTTATTTTTGCTCTCATTGAGAAGGTGGTCTGCTACGATCTATTTCTTTTTAGCTGGGAATATAAAGTTCAAGATACTTTTTATAATCCTATGTTAATAATAACTCCTCCATAAAGCTTTTTTTCTTATTCTTTCATCAGAAAAAATCACTATCTCAACTAAATTCTTATGAATGTAGTGATTAAGAGCACAGAATATGGAGCTTTTAGAATCAACCTTCACCATGGCTTTAGACAAGTTACCTAACTTCCTTTTGCCTCAGTTTTCTTATAAGATTGAGATAATATTTGTACTTATGTCACAGTACTGATATAAAGATTAAATGAGATAATGGATATAAATCACATAAGCATTCCATAAGGGTTAGATATTTTTGGTAATAGTTTTAGTAATATTATGGCATTTTTTATTAAAAACTTTGTTATTTAAGCACATAAGTACCTGACTAGATTCCCTGATAGAGAGAAATGTCTTCCTCATCTTTATTCCCCAGCCTTGAGATATTCCCACACAAGGTATCTAATTGCATTGGTGGATAAATGCAAAATTAATTGCATACAACCAAAATTGTTAATTCAGTGAGATGAAATGAAAATTTATTTCCAAAGACCCATGGCAGGGGGAAGAAGTTAAGCTATTGCAAATGAGACCTGAATCTGTAGATTTTCCTTATCCAGTTAATATGTTTTTAACTCCTTGAAACCAGTAATTTTTTGTTTTGTTCATCTCTTTATGTCAGCACCTAGCTCAGTTTTTGGTTAATAAGAGACAATCAGTGTTCGCTACATGACTAAATAAATAATTCATTTTTACCTTCTTTATTACTATTGATTATCTAATGTTGTCTTTTCACAAGTACTTCTTTATTCAGATTTCAACTTATCAAATCTTCAAAAATTTTAAAAAAATCCACTAGTTGTTTTAAGAGCCAGTTGTATTTCTTTTTTTTCAGTAAGCTGTGTTTGCCATTGAGTTTATTTTAGAAGCAGATTATAAATGATCTGTATCGGTCAGGTGTGTTTCTGCTATGCTGAACTCATAATACAAGTATCATCCAGGTGTCTGTAGACCAATAGACCAAACAATTTAAACACCTTCTCATATGCTACAGAAGGCAGTGAAAGTTTTTTCATATTTTTCTTTTAAGCCTAGATTGTCCTTTTAAACTTTTGATCCTAATCTTCATTTTTCATAACATTTGCCAAGGTCTCATGGATTTTATTTTCTGTGTTGCCTTCCCAGTTGTTCTTTGATGAAGAGAAGAAAATGTTCAAAGACTCTATCTGGACAGCAGAGCAGTGCACAGCTGTGATGTTTCTTTTTTCTCTGCCTTGACCTTACTCTGAAGAAAGTACTCCTTTAGGCTCAAACTCCTGAAATTGACTGAAGTATCTCTTAGGGAATGCTTTGGTCATAACAGATTTTTTTAAAAACTTATTTAAATTCCATTCCAGGTGCAGCCTCCCTTTACTTTATAGGTTAAAGCGGGAAATATCACTGGGAAAGGGAAAAGGATCATGAATATTTAAAGTTTATCATAAATAAGAAGTCTGTGAACAAAGCCTGCCCATGAGCCTGAGTTTTGTGTTACATCATCTCTTGAAATCCCTCTGAAAAAAGAGTATGCACTAGACAATTGCACCAACATAGGGAAAGCAAAGGCATGTCTCATTATCACCCTGAGAAATGCCAACACCTATGGTCTTGATCATTTTTCGACATTTTTCCTTTAAGTCACATAGGCCTTATGGTTCACACAACAGAGAAATTATTCTTAAGTCAATTATAATTGATTGTTGTTGTCATCTTTTTAAAGGAATTTTGAAATTAAGAAAATATATGAGAAAAATATTTGTTAGATGAAGAGAAGAAAAAGCAACTATCTGGCATAAAATGACTGACTTCCAAGGTTAATATTTCACTGGAAAAAACACCAGTAATCTTTGAATGAATGATGTGTATAATAACAGTATTAAATATTCACTTACCTATTGAACAAACATTAAAATGTGCTATATACAAGACACTGCAAAGTGCCAAGTGAATTTACAAATTTGGCCCAAATTTGCTATAGACACAATGCCAACCACCAATCAGAATATAAACCATAAAACAATGCTATTTGATGAAATTATATAAACCCTATCCTATAGCTTTAAATGTAAACAAAACAACTCCCTCCATTTTCAAGTATGTCTTAAACCTCCATTGCTTTTACCTGCTACATAACACACCAAATCATGGCGTACACTGGTGCATAAATGATGTGTAGTCCATAGCCTTTACCATCATTGAAAAAATAGTGTCCCTCCACTAATTAATTCATTTATTATCAAACATTACGATTCTACTATATGCAAGGACGATCTATATAATACACACTAACTTCAGTGTATTCCATATTGTTGGGTTATTGAGTCTGAGGGATTAGCAGATTTATTTGTAAAGGACTAGGCAGTAAATATTTTAGACATTGGGGGCCACATATATATCTCTTGCTGCTGCTTTTTAAAATTTATATTATTTTTAACTGCCAAACCATAATATATTACATTTATGGAGCACAATGTGATATTTTGGCATGTATATGTAATGTGGAATGATTAAATCAAGCTAATTAATATATTCATCACCTACTTGTTTAACATTTTTTGTGATGACACATTTGATATTTACTCATGTATTTTGAAATATATAATACATTACTATTAACTATGGTCACCCTGTGTGACCAAAACTTAAAACATTCCTCTTGTCTAGCTGAAACTTTGTCCCTTTGACCAGCAGTCCTCAAACCCATCTTGCCTTCCCACCCACCTCCCCACCCCCACACCAGGCTTCTGGTAACCATCATTCTACTCTCTATTTCTGTGAATTCAACTTTTTTGAGATTCCATATATAAGTGAGATCATCCAGTACAGCAGTCCGCCCTTATGCATAAAAGATATGTTTCAAGGCCCCCAGTTGATGCTTGAAACTGCAGATAGTGCTGAACCTTATGTGTACTAAGTTATTTAGGTCTAGTAACCAAAATGGCTACTAAGTGACTAACGGGCAAGTAGTGTATACAAAGTTAATTTGCTGGACAAAAGGATGGTTGATATCCCAGGTGGAATGAAGCAGGAAGACAAGAGATTTCATCATGTTACCCAGAATGGCATGCAATTTACAAATTATCAACTGTTTATTTCTGAAATTTTTCATTTAATATTTTTAGACCATGGTTGAGCCTAGATAACTGAAATTTTGAAAAGCAAAACTGGAGATAAGTGGAAAGTACATATTTGTCTTTCTGTGCCTGGTTTGTTCCAAATGACATGATTTTGTTCTTTTTTTAAAGGCTAAATAGTGTTCCATAGTGTATATATATTTTTTAAATATTTTCTTTCTTCATCAGTTAGATGGACATTTAAGTTAATTCCATATCTTGCCTATTGTAAATAATGTTGCAATGTACATGAAAATTTACACATCCCTTCAACATATCTATTTCAATTCTTTGGATATATTCCCAGAAGTGAGATTGCTGGATCATATGGTAGTTCTACCCCCATATCGTTTTCCATAATGGCTGTACTACTTTACATCCCCACTAGTAGTATATAAGGATCCCCTTTTCTCCACATCATTGCCAACACTTATTATATTTCATTTTTTAATAAAATCCATTCTAACAGGTGCAGATGATATTTTGTTGTGGTTTTAATTTGCATTTTCCTAATAATTAGGAATACTGAGCATTTTTTAATTAATCTATTGGTCATTTGTATGTCTTCTTTTAAGAAACGTCTGTTCAGGTCCTGTGCTCATTTTTTAAGCGAGTTGCTTTCTTGTTCTTGAGTTATTAAAATTCCTTATATATTTTGGATATTAGCTCCTTATCAGCTGTATGGTTTGCAAATATTTTTTGTAATCTGTGGGTTTCTTCTTCTTCTCAATCCTTTAGAGATTTAAAAATTATTCATAGCTCATGAGCAATACAAAAACAGGCCTTGAGTTGGATTTGGCCAGCAAGACATAGTTTGACAATTCCTGGTCTTGAAGAATGTGTTTATCAGAATAGTACAAATTGAGCTCTAACACTCTCACTCTTATCCTCTTTAGAGTCTCTGCCACCATGAGAGAAATATAAAATTCATGTTTTTTTCATCATCAGGTTTCTGCCTAGGTTTGTAGATGGTAAGTGATTAAACATGGGTACACACGTATTTATGTTTAGAAACCATTTCTCTAGTGATACATAATCTCCATGGATGCAATTTCACTCAAACTGAAGACCACTTCAGTATTATCATGCAAAGCACTTTTTTCACCATGGGGTTAAACCTCTGTAACAAAACATAGGATTGCAATTTTCTCTGCAGAAATAGTCTGTTAAGGTGATCTTTCATATCAAAGGAGTAGTGTGCTTTAAAATATAATTCTTAAGGAATAAAACTGCAGTTTAAAAATGTTAATGCTAATTTCTGGATTCTGTTATCCACGATTTCAAAACAGTCTTGGGTACAGGCTTAGAAAATATAAATACAGTAACATACATACAGTGAGTCCCACACATGTTGTGAGAAAGAATAAATTGGATTCAATTTTATTTATGGTTTTTGGAATCAATACCATTTGTTCAGGGTTATATCTAATATGTGTATATATACATATACTACATTATAGTGAAATTAGTAATGCTAAGTGACTGTTAGTTATAATACATAGTCATATGTAATAGATACCCAAAATAAAATGGGTTAAATAAGATAAACATCTATTACTTTCTCACTTAAAAGTCTTGATGTAAATATTTCACCATTGGTATGGCAGCTCAATAGTCATATTGGACTCAGGCAACATTTGTGCTTCTGCTCTTCTATCTCTAGGACAGGTCTGACACAATAAATGGAATAAATAAACATCTTATTAAAGGCTATTAGGATGGAGTGACATCAGCAAGATGGAGAGGAAAGACTTTCTAGCACTCATCCCCTTGCAGAAACATAAATTCAATCAACTATCCATGCATGAAAATGTTTTCATAGTAGCTAAAGAATCCAGGTGAGAGGTTAGATTGTTTCAGTGGAGCACAGAAATTAAAAAAAAAAAGAGGCGTTGATGGGAGTAAGAACAGTTTCACATTATCACATCACCAATTCCCTGAACCCAGGTAGCACAAAGAAGATACTCTTCACCTAGAAAAAAGAGAATGAAGTAAGAATGAAGTAAGTATCTAACTTCACTGTGGAACACCAGCAAAATTCAGCACTAGGCTAGTCCCCACAGCCTCAGGCTCCAGGTTAGCCCTTATATCTCCAGGCTGCAGGCCAGAACCCTTACTTATGGACTCAGGATCCAGGCTTGGCCCTATGGACCCCGGTCCCAATCTGGCACACTCACTGACCAAGACACTAGGTCAGCCTGCCTGAGGATTCCAGCAGCAATCCCATCAACAAACCCTTTCAGACAGGCTGCTGAGAATCTCTGGGCTGGCTGACTGTTGAGGGGATTTCCCCAATGAAGCCAGTTCATAAAACTAAAAGAGGTGTGTCTATATCTTAAAATTCGCAGACACTAACACAAGGCCACAAGGATCAGGAATAATCAGGGAAACATGACACAACCAAAGGAACAAATAAAGCACCAGTAAGCAACCATAAAGGAAAGAATATCTACAAATCTAAAAAATAATTCAAAATAATTGTTTTTAAAACAGTGATATACAGAAGAACACAGACAACAAAATGATGTCAGGAAAACAATGTATGAACAAAATGAGAAGTTCAAAAATGATATCAGAGAATAAAAAAAAAAACAAACAGAAATTCTGAAGCTAAGAAACACAATAAACTGAACTGAACAGAAAAATTCCACAGAGAGCTCCAACAGCATACTCAATCAAGCAGAAGAAAGAACCTGCGAGCTAAAAGACAGCTGCTATAGTTTAAATGTCTCCTCCAAAAATCAAGTTGAAATTTAATTGCTATTGCAAACATTTTCAAGAGGTAAGACCATTAAAAGGTGATTAGATCATGAGAGATCCACCCTTATGGGTAGGCTGGATACTTTTTAAAAAAAAGAGTTTTTAGCAGTGGGTTCCCTCTCTTTGTCCTTCTGATCTTTTGCCATGTAAGGAACAGTGTTTCTCCCCTCTGGAAATTTCAGTGTTCAAGGTACCATCTTGGAAACAGAGATCAGATCTTTATCAGACACTAAACCTGCTGCCATCTTGATCTTGGACCTTCCAGCCTCCAGAACTGTAAGAAAAAATTTTTATTCTTTCTAAATTATCCAGGCTCAGGTATTCTGTTATAGCAGCACAAAAAAGTGAGACCATAGCTTCTTTAAAATTATCCTGTCTGAGGAACAAAAAGAAAAGTGAATTGAATGAAAAAGAGTAAAGAAAGCCTGTAGGACTTATGGGACACCATCAAGAAAACCAATATATTAAGTTAAAAAGTTCCAGAAGGAGCAGAGAAAGAGAAAGCGTGAGAAATCTTCTTTAAAGAAATAATGACAGAAAACTTGTCAAATCTGAAGAAAAAAATGAAGATCCAGATCTATGAAATCCAAAGAACTCCAAATAGATTAAATATAAGAAAATTATTACTGAGACATATTATAATTAAATTATCAAACATAAAAGAGAATTCTGAAAGCAGCAAGAGAAAAGCAACTCATTAACTGTAAGAGAACCCCCATTAGACTATCAGCAGATGTCACAGTGGAAAACTTGCAGACCAGAAGAGAGTGAAATAATACATTCAAAGTGATGAAAGAAAAAAACCTGACAACAAAGATTACTATACCTGGCAAATCTGTTCTTCAGAAATGAATGAGAGATAATGATTTTCCAGACAAACAAAAGTTGTGGGAGTTTATCACCACTGTATCTCCTTTTTACAAAAAAAAAAAAAAAAAACTACACAGAGTTCTTTAAGTTGAAATAAAAGGATACTAATTAAAAACATGAAAAAATAAGAAAGTATAAAACATAAAACTCATTGTAAAGATAAAAATATAGTCAAATTCAGAATACTCTAATACTGTAATGGTGGTGCATAAATAACTTTTAACTGTAGTATAAAAGTTAAAGAACAAAAGTATTAAAATAACTATAGCTACAGTAATTTCTTAATGGATGCATGATATATAAAAGATATGAATTGCTACATCAATAATATGAAATATGGAGGGAAGAGAAGTTAAAGCACAGAGTTTTTGTATTCAAAGGTAAGTTGTTATCAACTTAACATCGACTATTAATTATATTTACAAAATGTTTTAGGTAAGCTTCATGGTAAATGAACAAAAACAAAAGGCCTGTAGTAGGTAACACAAGGCCATGAGGATAAAGATAAAGAAAAAAAATAAAAGCATACAACTATAAAAATAATCAAATCATAAGGGAAGAGAGCAAAAGAAGAAGAATGGAATAAAGGAAATGAAAAAGAGAAAATAATTAACAACATGACAGTAGTAAGTCCTTATCTATCAAAAATGGCTTTGAATATAAATGGATTAAATCATCTAATCAAAAGGCATACAGTGGCTGAATGGATTTTAAAAATCCAACTATATCCTGCCTATAAGAAACTCACTTTAGCTTGAAGAACACAGAGGCTAAATGTGAAGGGATGGAAAAAGATATTCCATAAAAATATAAACAAAAAGAGTAAGAGTAGCTGTAATTCTATCAGATGAAATAGATTTTAAGCCAAAAATGGCCACGAGACAAAGAAAGTCAACATATGGTGACAAAAGGGTCAATTTTTCAAAAAGATATAACAATTGGAAATACATATTTCAGAGCACTTAAAAATATAAAACAGATAGTAACAAAACTGAAACGAGAAATAGAGAAAATATAATAACAGTAGGAAATTTTAATACCTCAATACAAATAATGCATAGATCATCCATTCAGTCAGTTAATAAAGAAACAGCAGTTTGAACAACATGTTAGACCAAATGAACATAACAGACATATTGCATAGATCCTATCCAACAGCAGCAGAAAACATTGCTTTCAAGTGCACATAAATATTATCCAAGATATGTGATATGTTAAGCCCCAAACAAGTTTTTATGCATTTGAGTGCAATTATATCAAGTGTCTTTTCAGACAGCAGTGCTATAAAATTAGAAATCAGTAACAGAGGGGAAATTCACAAATATGTGGAGATTAAGCAACACACCAATGAAGAACCAATGAGTCAAAGAAGAAATCAAAAGAAAAATTTTAAAAATCTGATACAAATAAAGAAGGAAATACAACATACCAAAAATCGTGGGATCCAGCAAAAACAGTTTCAAAACGGAAGTTTATAGTAATGAATGCCTACCGTAAGAAAAAAAATTTCAAATAAACAACTTAACTTTACACCTCGAGAAACTAGAACAAGAACAAATCAAGCCTAAAGTTATCAGAAGGAAGAAAATAATAAAGATCAGAAGAGAAATACATGAAATAGAGAAAAAAGCAAATAGAAAAGACCGACAAAACTAATCATTTCTTTTGAAAAAATAAACAAAATTGACAAACTTTAGCAAGAGTAGGAAAAAAGAAAAGACTCAAAATTGTAAGTGAAAGAAAAGACATTACAAGTGATACCATGGAAATACAAAAGATCATGAAGAATCATAAGCAACTACTATGAATAATTACATGCCAGTGAGTTAGATAACCAAGAAGAAATGGATAACTTCCTGGAAACATGCAACCTACCAAAACAGAATCATGAAGAAACAGAAAATATTAACAGACCAATGAGGAGTAAGGAGAGTGAATCAGTAGTTACAAACCTTCCGACAAGGAAAAACCCAGGACCTGATGGCTTCTCAAGTGAATTCTACCAAATATTTAAAGAATTACATGATTACTTCTCAAACTCTTCCAAAAAAATGAAGAAGTTTATTTTATGAGGCCAGAATTACTCTGATATCAAAGCCAGACAGGACTCTACAAGTTAAGAAAATACAAGTTAATATTGCTGATAAACATACATGCAAAAATTCTCAAGAAAATACTAGCAAATGGAATTCAATAGCACACTCAAAGTATCATACACCCTGATCAAGTAGGATTTATCCTTGGGATGCAAGGATAGTTCAACATACACAAATCAATAAATGTGACACATGATATTAATAGAAAGAAGGATAAAATTATACAATCATTACAATAGATGCAGAAAAGGAATTTAACAAAATTCAACATGATTTCATAATTTAAAAAAAAGCTCAACAAATTAGGTATAGAAGGAATGTACTTCAACATGATAAAGCCCAAAGCTGATATATGACAAACCACCGCTAATATTATATTCAATAGTGAAAAGCTGAAAGCTATCCTCATGTGAACAGGAAGAAAACAACAAGAAGTGCCCACTCTTACCACTTCTTTTCAATACAGTACTGAAAATCTGAGCCAGAGCAATTAAACAAGAAAATAGAATAAAATGTATCCAAATAAGAAAGAAAGAAATGAAATTGGATCTGCTTTCTGACAACATGATCATAAAGCCTCTACCAAAAATTGTTAGAAATAATAAATTTAGTAAAATGGCAAAATCAACATAGAATCAGCAGTGTTTCCATACACTAACAACAACCTATCTGATAAAGAAAGCAAGAAAATAATCTCATCGTTTAACCTGATGAAGGATTAATATCCAAAATATATAAGGAATGCAAACAAATAATCTGATTTTTAAATAGTCAAAGAGGCTGGGCATGGTGGCTCATGCCTGTAATTTTGGGAAGCTGAGGTGGACAGATTCTTGAGCTCAGTAGTTCAAGACCAGCCTGAATAACATGGCGAAACCCCATCTCTATAAGAAATCCAAAAATTATGCAGGCATAGTGGCATGCACCTGTAGTCCCAGCTTCCCAAGGGACTGAGATGGGAGGATCACTCGAGCTTGGGAGGTTGAGGCTGCAGTGAGCCATGATCACACCATTGCACTCCAGCCTGGATGACAGAGTGAGACCCTGTCTCAAAAAATAAAAATAAAAATAGGCAAAGAACCTGAGTAGACATTTCTCAGAGGAAGACATACAAATGGCCAAGTATATGAAAAAAATGTTCAATATTGCTAACCATCAGGCAAATAGCATTTTAAAAACAAAATACTTAGGAATAAATTTAACCAAGGAGAGAAAAGACCTATAGAATGAAAACTCTAAAACATTAGTGAAAGAAATTGAAGAAACACAAATAAATTGAAAAATGTCCTGTGTTAATGGACTGGAATAATTAACATTGTTTGTATATCCATAGTACCCAAAGTGATCTACAGATTCAATGCTATCCCTAAAGTTCCAATGGTATTTTTTAAAGAAATAGAAAAATAATCATAAAATTTTTATGGAACCACAAACGACTTTGAATAGCCAAAGGAACCTTAGGGGAAAAAAAAAACACCAAAAAATCAAAACAAAACTAAGCTGGAGGCATCACACTACCAAATTTCAAAATATGCTACAAAACCATAGTAATAAAAATAGCATGGTATGGGCATAAAAACAGACACATCAACCAATGGAACAGGATTGATAGCCCAGATATAAATCCATGCATTTATGGTCAATTGATCTTCAGCAAAGTTGCCAAGAACACAAAATGAGAAAAGGATGGTCTCTTCCATAGATGATGGTGGGAAAACTGTATATCCACATGCAGAAGAATGAAATTGAATGCTTATTTCACACCATATACAAAAATCAACTAAAAATGAATTAAAGATTTAAACATAAGGCCTGAAGGTATAAAAATACTAGAAAAAAATCATAGGGTGAAAGTTCCATGACATTGGTCTAGGCAATGATTCCTTGGATATGAACCCAAAAACACAGTAACCAAAAAAAAAAAAAAAAACAAATTCTAAAAAGTTTCTGCACAGCAAAGGAAACAGTCAACAGTGAAGACACTACCCATGGTTTGAGAAAAAAATGTTTTCAAACCATACACCTAAGTTATGGGGTTAAGTATCCAAAATATAGAAGGAATGCAAATGACTCAATAGCGAGAAAACAAATAATCTGATTTTAAAATAGGTAAAGAATCTGAGTAGACATTTCTCAGAGGAAGACATACAAATGGCCAACAAGTATATGAAAAAATGTTCAACACCACTAACCATCAGGGACATGCAAATTAAAACCAGAGTAAGTTATCATCTCACACCTGTTAGAAAAGCTAATATCAAAAAAGAGATAAGTATTGGTGAGGATATGAAGAAAAGAGAACCCTTGTGCAATGTTGGTAGAGATATACATTATTACAGCCATTATGGAAAATAGTATAAAACTTCCCCCTAAAATTAGAAATAGAACTACCACATGATCCTGAATCTCACTTCTAGATATACAGCCAAAGGAAATAAAATCAGCTGTGGCCTATCTGTACTCTCATGTTCACTGAAGCATCCCTCACAATACCCAAGATATGGAATCAATGTAAGTGTCCATCAGTAGATAATGGATAAAGAAAATGTGGTATAGACACACGATAAAATATTATCCAGCCTTAAGAATGAAGGAAATCCTGTCATCTGTGATAACATGCAGGAACCTGGAGAATATTAAGTGAAATAAGCTAGGTACAGAAAGACAAATACTGCAGGATCTCACTTATCTGTAGACTCTAAAAAAGTTGAACTCACAGAAGCAGAAATTAGAATGGTGATTGCCAGTGGCCGGTGTGGGGAGAAATGGAAAGATTTTGGTCAAAGGTACAAAGTTTCAATTAGGATGAATAAATTCTAGAGATCTATTGTACAGCATGGTGATGATAGTTAATAATAATGTATTGTATACTTGAAAATGCTGAGATCAGAGCTTAAATGTTCTCCCCACACACATAAAAATAACAATGTGAAGTGAGAGACATGTTATTTAGCCTGATTGTGGTGATTATTTCACAATATATCAAAATATCATGCTGTATACCATAAATATTTACAATTTTTATTTGTCAAAAACATATGAAGATAATATTTTTGTAAAAAAAAAAAAGCTATTTGGAAGCATTCAGTAATGACCTAAAAACTTTAATTAGAAGACAGTGGTGAAATAAAATCAATATATTTTTTACATGTTTTTTACATCAACACTATTTGTGATATATTTAACTAGAGGAGACATCTGTAGCTTTGGAGAATCCCCCATCCATTCTCCTTTTTCTGGTTAGAAGCATCTTCAGTTTCCTTTGGAAGACTCACTTCTACTCCACTGTGTGCAGCCTTCGTGGAAATACCAATAGGTGCTCTACCTAATTGCCGGGCATGGGAACTAGGTTAAATAAATGAGATTCTCTCTAGAATTTGAAATTAAATCAAATGATACCAAGTTAGAAGGAAAGGTTGGAGTGATTCATTCCTATAGCCCGCTAGTGAGCTATAGACTCCATAGCTTCTTTGTTCCCCTTCTATCTGGATTCTACATCTATATACTCATTTCTTTATTTAAGTGAGCCACCCCAAATCAACTTAGTGAATTCTCTTTCTGCTTCTGTTAAAAAACATTATATCCTGTTACTTACAAACAAAAAAAAATAGCTTATATGCCAATAAGAAATTCTGTACTAGAGATGAGTATATTATACATGTACACATGCACACAAATATATATATGCGCACACACAGAACTCATGTAAAAGAGAACAGAATTTATTGCTTTTTCTCTTTCATGTCCTTTTGGTCTCTTTGTTTTTTCTGGATATATACACTGAAGATGAGATATCCTACTTTAATTGTATAAGAAACAATTGGAAGAAGTGTTGATAGCTAGAAGAGAAGCGATTTTCTCGCCTCAGCCACCCAAAGTGTTAGGAATACAGGTGTTAGCCACCAAACCCAGCCCAGATAGAATATTTTACCCAGGAGCATAATGATCTTAATAAAGTGATTTTTTAGCCAGGCACAGTGGCTCACACCTGCAATCCTAGCACTTTGGGAGGCCAAGGCGGGTGGATCACTTGAGCTCAGGAGTTCAAGACCAGCCTAGGCAGCATGGCAGAACCCCATCTCTACAAAAAAAAAAAAAAAAAAAAAAAATTAGGTGTGATGTTGCGTCCCTGTAGTCCCAGTTACTTGGGACGCTGAGGCAGGAGGATCACTTGAGTCCAGGAAGTCGAGGCTGCAGTGAGCTGAGATTGCACCCCTGCAATGAGCTGAGATTGCACCACTGCATTCCAGGCTGGGTAACAAAGTGAGACACTCCATTAATTTTAAAAAAGAGAAAGTGATTTTTCTGAGTTATATACAAGCCTAATATTTTTAGAGCTCTTTTTCCTAAGGATAAAATCATGCAATGCAAATGAAAACACAATGCATGTATTAAATGCCTCTGGTTGCATTAACACCGAGGGCTTTTATATATATGTCTTTATTATTGCTCTTCTATTGTCATTTTAGAAAAGAATTTCTAACAGAGCCCTTCTAAAGGATACTTTTGGCTTAATGGTTATAACATTTGTGAAAGTGTTCCCAGGGTCAAATTGATTCAATTATTTTCATTTGGATAAAAGGAACAAATACTTTTGAGAGTCTACTATGTTGGTTCTTAACCCAAGTTGAATATTAGATGTGCCAGGGAGCTTTTTAAAATACATATTTCCAGAGCATTTAAAGTGCCCCTCCCCATCGCTGTGATTTTGATGTGTCTAATAAGTACTAAAGATCATGCCATGTGCTTTGTATATGATATTGTACTGCTGTAACAAACAGGATAGTGCAGCAATTAACAGACCAGGCTCTGAATCCAGACTTCATTTAAAAGCTGCTTCATCACAGATTAGCTAAGTAACCTGGAGCAATTTACTTAAGCACATTGTGTCTTCAGTTCCTCAGCTATAAAATAAGGACAGTATTAGTGCCTGCTTCATTCACTTGTGCCTTCTATGTAGTTAGCATTCATGATCGTGGACTATATAATAGCCAATTTTAAAACCTTATGGAAAACTGATGGCGATTACTATTATTTTCATTTGACATATGAAAAAACTGAGGTTTAAAGATGAGAAATAACTTTCCTAAGTTCATCTAGTTTGCTACCAAGCTAAGATTTGGTACATTAGCAATAATGGAGAACATATGATATAAAAAATGCTGGGGGAGTTTGGTCATGGTGGATTTGAAATGGTGGTGAAACAATTGAGTAGAGATGCCTAGTAATCAATTGCATCGTGTAGCTCTGGGCCTCCGCTGGGTGGCCAGTCACAGGAATATTCATTTGCAGTCTTTGACAAATAAATTGTGGTGGAATCCTTGAGTGTGAGTGTGCTGATTAAGGAATCATGTCTAGAGGACAGCTGAGGGCTGAGGACCTAGCATTTGAGAGCTCCAACATTTTATAGGACAAGTCGTCAGCGTCAAAATTAAAAGACTAAGAAGCCAAAGGCAATAGTAAACTCTGAGAAAGTACTATCATAAAGATTTAGAGAGAAAGGGGTTTCAGAAGGTCACATGCTGACGGGGAAATGTCAGTAGAGAGAAGGAGAGATGAGGGAAAAGGGAAGAAATAATTAATGAAGTAAGATCTTTTCGAAGTAGGTATAGGAGGGTGATTCACAGAGTAAAGAAGAAAGAATTTATCTTTCACTGATTGGAGAAAAGACGGAAAAAAAGAATACGAATGGATATGCACTTGCAGATGGAAGAGCAGAAAGATAATAGACTTTTAGCTAAATGACCTCAGTTTTCTCTGACTAGCTCTTTCAAAGTGAACGATTTCCAAATGAGTATGCAGTACCTGTGTATAACTGTGTATGTGTTTGTGACACACAAAGAAGTCAGAGATGTAAATATATTGAGGGCTTTGCTTAATGGGCTTATAAAACTTACCCACTTGAGTGAAAAAATGAGGCTATTAGTCAATGCTGAGATGGAGTATTTCATCTCTTTAAGATACTTAAGTGGTAGATGAAGAAAATGTAATATGTATATACAATGGAATACTATTCAGCCATAAAAAAGGAGGAGCTCCTGTCATATGTGACATCAATGAACCTGGTAGACATTATGTTAAGTGAAATAAGCCAGACACAAAAATAAGCCAGACACAAAAAGACAGATAGATACCACATGGTCTCACTTACACATGGGATCTTTAACAAATGTTGATCTCATAGAAGTAGTGAGTAAAATGGTGGTTACCAGAGGCTGGAGAGGGGAGGGGGAATGGGAAGATGGAGAGAGATGAGTCAATGGGTACAAAGTGACAGTTAGATAGAAGGAATAAGTTCTGGTGTTTTATTGCTCAGTAGGGTGGTTATAGTTAATAATAATGTATTGTATACTTGAAAATGCTAAGAAATTAAATCTTAAATGTTCTCACCAAGCACAAAAAAATGATAACTATGTGAAGTGATGGATATGTTAATACATTTGATTGTGGTAATCATTGAAAATGATGCAGATATCAACCCTATTACTAAGTTGCCAGGAGACAGTGGGTGGGGAAGCCTCTGGAACAACTTCACAAAACAGAAGCTGATTGCCACCCAAAATGAGATACACTGGAGAAGTTGCAAATTTAAAAAAGGAAGCCATCTACCAAAATGGATGTAACCACCTTTCATAGAACATATGTTTAAAAGAAAACATTTTATGTAGAAATATCTGAATGATGTGAGCAAATATTTGTTAATGGCCTCCCACACAAGGACTCAGTACATGGAAGAAGAAAGATTTGAACTTCTGACATTTTTTCTTGAGTTGTGCGGTTAGCTCATTTATCTTCTGAGGGCAGGAAGTGACTCATTCTCATCTTTATATTCCCCGAAGTGTTTAGGAAGCCCCTTGCTAATATTCTAATACACGTTTGTTATTTGAGAAAATGTGGGCTTTGTAAGCACACAGGCTTGAGGGCCTATGCTGATATCACTAAACACTAGACATATAAGTGTTTGCCACGTTACTTCAGCATTCTGATGTTGATTTCCTTCATTTCCAAATAACAATATATATGTTGAAAATTTGATGTAAGGAGCAAATAATATAACAATTGTGATATAATGCCTTAGCAGCTTTTAGCATAAAATCTAAGACGGATGGTACTGAATACACATTAGTTCTTTCTCTTTCTTTCCCTTTGTGTGTTTGTGTGTGTTTTTTTTTATACTTAACACTTGCTTTGCTGTGATAACCCTGTAACTTGCATTAATGGCTTTCTTCTCTGACTCTGGCTCAGCACATTCCTCCAGTATTCTCGATTTCCAGCTCCTGGTCCTGACCCTCACAGACTCCCTGTGCAGACATGATCCACTCTGACACCCTTCTCCCCAGTCCCTCATTTCCAGGACCCCTCATTTCAGAAGTTCTTCCACCACATTATCCTAACTTGCCCCATGCTTTTCTCTAATTCTGACCTACCTGGCTACTGACACTAGCTCCAGGTCCTTGCTGTAACTTCTCATTTCTCATACTTCTTGATGCATTATCTCATATCATGGCCATCTTCCTGGAAATTTTTCTTCACCATTGATTCTATTCCACATCTATGACTTTTCTCAAAGTGCAGTTCAAATCCACTTCCATAAAAGGCTCCATTCTCTTAGAAACAAGGAACAAACTAATCTTAGGTTGTTACCTGGAAGGTGGTCCATTCTCCTCAAGTCTTGCATGTGTCGTTTTCACTTGTGTAAGCTGCAGTGCACTGAGAAGGCAGCATGACCCACTGAGTCCTATGTGGACTTTGAAGTCTGGAAGATTTGGGATTGAATCCTGGGTCGACAAACCTGTATAACATTGGGTTAGTTACTTCGCCTATTTGTGCCTCCGTTTCCCTATCACTAAAGTGGAGATAAAACCTCATAGAGTCTCTCTGAGGATTAAATGAGATGATGCAGTAAAACATTTAGCAAAGTTTCTAGGACATAATAAGGCTTAATGCAATGCTTATTTTTGTTAACAGGCTTGTTTGTGTGTGTTTGTGTGTGTGTGTGGCTATGGTATATTACTTCCCAAATTACCTTGCATTTAATTGTCCATGATATTTAATCAATGTTGAATTTGTCATAATTTTTCAAAGAATAAGATGTTTCTTATGTCACTTGTAAATTTAACTTATATCTCTTTGAGTAAATATCTAATATGGTGCCATGCATATATTAGAGCTGAATTATTCTCTGATAGGTAAAAGAATTATCCAGTCTATATATGAATGCTATTTTTATTTCATCATGTCTAACCACTACCACTTAGAGCTCATAAAATGTACAACTATTAAAACCATACAGCTGAATCTTGGGACAAAATAAAAGTAGACTTTGGAAATAAGATTTAGTCACATCTGAATTTCATTTCATTTTGATAATGTCTGTACTCATTTCACTATTATTTTATTTGCTATTGTTGACATTTTGCAATAGTTTGTAACAAATTTAACAACCAAATTTTTAAAGCTTATTAAGATATATGTATACATATATACATACACAAACATATACATATATAAATATGTGTAAATATAGTTAAAATAATAATATCTAAAAATAACTTATAAACTTATTCACCTGAATCTGTGTTCATCCAAGCACCTGCTAAAAATGCAAGAGGACATTGCCATATACATGCATTATCACTGAGAGGTAAGTAGAAAAATGAAAGGAGTGTAATTTCCTACATATATACCACAGATTCCATCTATTATACCAATATTCTCACAAAAAAATTGTGCCTTATTATTCAGGTGCTGGTGTTTTAGAAAGAAAAGTTATGTATTTCCTAATAAAGTAGAGAGAGTTTTCTATGCAATATCTATAGCTATATAGTATGTGTACCTTGGTTCCATTTTCTGTCGTTCTTGGGCTAGTTGTTAATGAATGAACATATGCTCCTAATCTATTTTTACTGCATCAATAATTCCTATTTTACACTTTGAACTCCTGGAGGTCACAGTATAGAACCTACATGACAGGTAGTAATCGAGTTCCATTTTTATGGTAGTAAAAAGAAAAGGAGAAGGAAATATGAAGGGAAATAAGATATACTGTAATTGTTTATTAAGTGAATCAAATGGCAGAAAAACGGATGTTAAAAAGTAATGAAGAGCAAGCAACCATAAGCATAGTTCTCACTAACCCTCAGAGCTACAAAAATTTGTAGGTCATATAATTCGGTTCATTTGATGGGGAATAGCCTGTCCTTGCAATTGAATTTCAAAATCGGTCTTGACTCCAAAGACATGATGGATATGACAGGTTCAAAATGAGAAAGCTAATCGTTCCTAAGCATACACAGAGTTAATTGGAGACCCAAACTTCCCTACCTAACACTGCCCCCTTTATCCCTCTTCTATTGCACCTCCCCTCACAGCTCATCCCTTTCTTTCCTCTTTTTGAATCTATTCCAGGAGATTCTGGGTTAAAAGCCCTTCCTACAGGTATTTTTCTCTTGTCACTTGTCTTATCAAAGGGAAGCTATCTGTAGTGTTTGTCTCCTGAGGAGTCTTAGACAGCAGGTCTTGTCACTTGAATATGATTATGGGTTTGTTGGGGTACCCAAGTGTCCCAATTGGTGGCTGTGTCTAAGGAAAAGTAATACTAATTATTGTAATTTATCCAAATGTCTTAGAATCTGTACCTAATCACTATGCAACACAATAACATTTATGCATATCTTTAAGCGTGTCAGATTAATTTCATAAGACATTTGGTTTACTTTTTATATTGAACACAGATCATGCTCATTTTGTTTTTATGGCTTGTACACACCTGGCTCTGCATGAAATTTGAAATAATTAAAGGGAAAAATAATCAGAAGCCGAGTCCTGCTCTGAACTTAGGTAGCTAGTGACCTTGGGCAAAGCATTCAATTTCTTTGAGCATCAGCTTCCACAGTTTTAAAAAATAAGGTCCACATAAATTGTAAGGCTATTATGAAGTAAAGTAAGAAAATAGATATCAAGCATTGTACAAAACACAAATTTATCTGCAAGTGGAAGACTCCTGTAATACAAAATATCTGGAACTTAGTATTCATTCTTTCATTTATTCAACAATTTGTTTTCTTTATTTTTAATCAACAAAGAAAAATAGTATATATTTATGGTGTAAAACATAATGTTTTGATACATGTATACATTATGGAATGGCTAAATCAAGCTATTTGACATATGCATTACCTTACCTCACATACTTATTTTTTGTGTTGAGAACACTTTCAATCCACTCTTAGCAATTTTTAAGTATACAATATATAGTTATTAACTATAGTCGCCACAATATACAATGAATCTCTTGAACTTATTCCTCCTTTCTAACTGAAATTTTATACCATTTGCCCAACATCTCCTCAATCCTCTTCCTCCCAGCCTCTGCTAATCATAATTTTACTATTTCTATGAGTTCAACTTTATTAGCTCCCACATACGAGTAAGATCATGTGGTTTTGGCCTTTCTGTGCTTGGTTTCTTTCACATAACATAATGTCCTCCAAGTTCATCCATGTTGTTGCAAATGGCAGGACTTGTTTCTTTTTTTAAGGGTCAATAGTATTGTATATACATATCACATTTTTAAAATCTGTTCATCCATTGATGGACACCTAAGTTGATTCTATATCTTGGCTGTTGTGAATAATCTTTAGTGAATGTGGAAATGCAGGTATCTCTTTGATGTGCTGATTTCATTTCCTTTGGCTATATATCCAAAAGTGCGATTTCAGAAAAATATGGTAGTCTATTTTGAATTTTCTTAGGAATTTCCATGCTGTTTTCATAATGCTGGTAATAATTTATGTTCCCATCAACATGGAACAAGGATTCCCTTTTCTCCACATCCTTGTCAACACTTGTTATTCCTCATCTTTTGATAGTAGCTATTCTAACAGGTGTGAGGTAATATGTTATCATGGTTTTAATTTGCATTTCCCTGATAATCAATAATCATCAAATTTTTGATCACCTCTTCTCTGATAGACTATGTGCTTGGATTATGACTTAACAAAAAAAGTCATTGCCACATCTTCATGAAACTTAAAACATATATTTAAAGATTTACATGTTAAGCTTAACATCTCATCTTTAATAAATGCCAGAAATAAAAGGTATAAGGTGATATGATAAACAATAGTAGAATCTGGCTTAGGGAGACGCAAAATGTTCTCTGGAGAGGTGCTCATGGAAATAAGATCTAAAGGAAGATTAGAAGTCAACTGAAGAAAGAGTAGAACTTCCTCAACAAGGAAACAGGATATACAAACCCAGTGACTAATGAGAGAAAAATAAGTCTGAAGTATTGAAAATGAGGAGTATGGATGTAGAAATGAGCCTGGAGAAGAGGATGAAAACCAGACCTGCAAAATCAAAACAGTTTGGGATTTAATCTAAACGATCAATAAATACACACTTAGATATTTTAAGGAGGATGGCCAGTGGCATGATGATCAGAATTTTTTCTTTGAAGTTCATTCTAGCTGAATTTTGGAGAAATTCTAGAGGAAAACTATTGATGGGCCATGATCGATGGCCTATATTAAGAAATGAGCCCACAGAAAATATTTGTTTGACGTAAAATAGTCAAAGTGGACAGAAGATCATAGTACAACCAAATGTTTGTATGTCCTCTTGGCCTTCTCCCAGCACAGCATTCATCCTACCACCTGTGACTGTGTAATAAAAGACAGAAAAAAATCAACTTTCACTTCTAGGGAAATATTTGTACCCTGCAGGTGTTAAATACAATTATTGTTGCATTCATTGGTGTAACGCTAGTGGCTATAAAAAATAAACTTCACTATTTCATTGTTTTATTTATTTATATTTTTTCAGACTGGGCCTCACCCTGTTACCCCGGCTAGAGTGTAATGGCATGATCTCGACTCACTGTAGCCTCAATCTCCCTGAACTTAAGCGATCTTCCCACCTCAGCCTCTAGAGTAGCTGGGACTACAGGCATGTGCCAACATGCCCAGCTAACTTTTTTAGTTTGTTTGTTTGTTTGCTTGCTTGCTTGTTTGTTTGTAGAAATAGGTTCTCTCCTATGTTGCCCAGGCTGGTCTGGAACTCTTGGCCTCAAGTGATCCTCCCATCTCAGCCTCCCAAAATGCTGAGATTACAGGTGTAAGCCACCGCACCTAGCCTATTTCATTGTTTTGAACAAAATAGGTTTATTTTTCCCTCACATAACACTTCGGTGTAGGTGTCCTGAACTACAGGCATCTTTCCCCCATACTGTGATTCAAGACTTCAGGATTGTGCCATTCCTTTTTTTGCTGTGACTGTGTCATTCCCTAAGGTCTTATGGTCCTCTGATCCATGCAGAAGTAAAATTGAAAACAGAGAAGGCACAATGACCAACTAAGTGCTGTGGTCTAGAGGTGACACACATTGCTTTCACTTACATCCAGAACCAACCACATTGCTCCAAATAGAAGCAGGGGTGTAGGTCCAGTGGGAGGGGACAGTGAGATCTTCGCTGGGCAGCTTCTTTCCAAGCCCAGCTATAATAGAAGAAACAGCACAAATTATTGGTGGACATTTAGCTATTTTTGTCAAAACTAAAGTTTGACCATAAAAGAAGGCAAAACCTGTCCCAATCAGATTGGAGGATCAGCAAACTATGCATGAGCCAAATACAGCCTGTTGTTTGTTTTTTATATGCGATGAACTAAAAATGGTTTTTACATTTATAAATGGTGGGAAAAAGAAGAATATTTTCTGGCACATTAAAACTATATGAAGTTCAAATTTCAGGGGTTACAAATAAAGTTTTGTGGAGATACAGCTACACTCACTCATTTACATATTGTCTAGGACTATCTTCACGCTACAATGGCATAGTTGATTAGTTGTGACAGACAACATATGACCCACAAGCTCTTTACAGAAAAAGTTTTCTGACCTTTGTTTAGAACAATGCTTTAGTGCTAAAGAATTTATGTGCATTTAGCTAAAGCTCAACTTGTCAATGTTTTGAACCTCTAAAATATATTTAGTTGGAGTATTTTGCACAAAGCTTTTTTATTGCCACATCTTATTCTCTTATTGAATTATACTATACTGGACATTGTCTGCAGGTACTAATCACATATGTGGAACTGTGCCACCATTAAATTATGCATGTAAGATGCTTCAACATTGTCAAAGGCTGACCATGGCTCTGTGGCATGGACAATAATATAATGTTAATCTTTTTGAAATATGTATGTCAGAACCACAAAAGAAAACTACTTCAAGTTAGGTCCTTATGAAATTAAAACTACAGAAGATACTGACATCATTGCATAACAGAGCCTCACAGACCAGATAACTCCCATTAGAGAAGCTGCATTCGGTGTTGGTATCAAATAACTTTGAAGTGTTACAATAATAACGATTTTTAAGATCTGGATGAATGTAATCAGGAAACCTCTATATTTTACACATGATAAATTATTTGGCTCTTAGTTTGATCCCACTAAGCTGATTCTTGTGAATCATGTTTCCCTCTTAAAGAATGTATTTTACTATTTGATAAAACAGAGGGCGTCATCTGAGAGGGATTCAGTTTTCTACACGTTGCTAAATTATCAACAAAAATTAAAAAAAATTGAGAAAAATATATCTACTCTTGGCATACAAATGTATAGTGATAATTGGCATATGCTTCAGTGAGACCAACCAGAAAAGAGGGGAAGATATGTGCTTCTAAAGAAAATTCCTTTTTTCAGTATACTGAAGGACTTCCACCATTTAACCCCTCTGAGCCTTTATTTTCCAATCTGTAAAATGGGAATAAAATCATCTATTTACTAGCTGTGGTCCTAAATTTAACCATGCAAAGTGTTAAGCATCCTGTCTGGCAAATACTATAATGTTTAATTGTTAGTTTCTTATTTAGTCCACATTTCTTTCTGGGTTCCCACGATGGGTCAAATTGCTGTCTTTCATCATTTCAGAAACATTTATTCATTTCTAGATGTGTTAATTAATTTGCCAAAAAATAAAATCACTTTATCAATACTTGTCTAGACTCTATGGAAAGTCAGATATATTACAATTCTGGGAAGAACTTAAAAATAAATGAGGACACAGAAATTGCTACAAAATTTTTTAGCAACCGTATGAGGTTGGGTATAAACTATACACACATTAAACATAATTTAGAAAGATTCAAACTTTACAAATTTCATAGATTTAAAAAAATTTCATGGATTTGTAATTTACATGAATTTTATGGATTTCACATAAATCCCCAATGATTTACATTTCAGAAGTTATTTTCTGGAAGAGATAATATTATTTATGAAGGTTGAGGCCACAGACCAATCCACATGGGTCTAATTATTTTATTCTTTTTTTTCAACAAACATTTAACAAGCATCTACTGTGTGTAAGACACCAACGTAGTCACTGCAATACAACTGAGAAAAACGTGAAATAAAAAAGTGAGTCATTCACTTTTCAGAAGAAGATATACATGCAGCCAACAAGCATATGAATAAAAGCTCAATATTGCTGATCATTAGAGAAATGCGAATCGAAACCACAATGTGATACCCTCTTACACCAGTCACAGAGGTTATTATTAAAATGACAAAAAATAACAGGTGCTGGCAAGGTTGAAGAGAAAAGGGAACACTTTGTATACACTGTTGGGGGTAGTGTTAATTAGTTCAAGCATTGTGGAAAGCAGTGTGGCAATTCCCCAAAAAGCTAAAAACAGAGCTAACATTCAACCCACCAATTCCATTACTGGTTATATACCCAGAGGAATATAAATCATTCTACCATAAAGACACATGTATGTGAATGTTCATTGCAGCACTATTCATAATAGCAAAAATATGGTGTATTAGTCCATTTTTACACTGCTATAAAGTTACAATCTGAGACTGGGTGATTTATGAACAAAAGAGGTTTAATTGACTCACAGTTCTGCATGGCTTGGGAGGCCTCAGGAAACTTACAATTATGGCAGAAGGTGAAGGGGAAGCAAGGCATGTCTTACGTGGTGGCAGAAGAGAAAGAAGGTGAAGGGAAAACTGCCATTTTTAAAACCATCAGACCTCATGAGAACTCCCTCACTATCATAAGAACAGTGTCGGGGAAACTGCCTCCATGATCCAATCACCCCCCACCAGGTCCCTCCCTCAACATGTTGGAATTACAATTTGAGATGAGATTTGGGTGGGGACACAGAGCCAAATTATATCACATGGAGTCAACCTAAATGCCCATCAATGACAGATCGGATGAAGAAAATGTGGTACATACATAAGACAGAATACTATGCAGCCATAAAAAATGAGACAATGTCTTTTGTGGGAACATGGATGGAGCTTGAGGCCATTGTCCCTAGTTGCAGCCATAAAAAATGAGATAATGTCTTTTGTGGGAACATGGATGGAGCTTGAGGCCATTGTCCCTAGTAAACCAACACAGGAACAGAAAACTAAATACAACATGTTCTCACTCATAAGTCGGAGCTAAATGATGAGAACTCATCAACATAAAGAAGGAAACAACAGACACAGGGTCTACTTGAGGATGGAGGGTGAGAGGAGGGAGAGGAGTCGAAAAAATAACTATTGGGTACTAGGCTTAGTACCCGAATGATGAAATAATCTGTACAACAAACCTCTGTGACACAGTTTACCTATATAACAAACCTGTGCATGTACCCCTGAACCTAAAATAAAAGTTAAAAGAAGAGAGAAAGAAGTGAGTCATTATGTAAATTAACCTATAGACCCAACTAAATCATATATAGTTAGATAATGTAACAAGACCTAGAAAGATAAACAACGATGTCCTAAGAGTAAAGACAGCTGATGCACAATTTTGTATTTAGGGCTTTAGGAAAGCTATGAGAAAATAACATGTGAGCTAAGAAACAAAAGGTGAGTTGACTTAGCCAACTGAAGATTTGGGTTGTAGATATTTTCTCTTTGTCTTACCAAATTCACCCTTCTCTCTGCTCTGTGCAGCAGAAAGCTGACTCACATGGACTTTGTTAATGGGGTTGCCTTTACCTCTGACTTCAGGTTGAATTTGGCCAATGGATAAAGGATGTTATAGGATGGGAGAAAAATAAATTAGGTATTTATTTTCTGTTTTATTTATTTATTTATTTCTGTTTTATTAAGGCATGGGTTTTATTAAGCCTTTCTACTAAAGGCTATAACTCCTGTCAGTTGCCTTTCTCTGTACAGTTGTTTTTTCTAATTGTAGCAAAAATTCCCTCTTATTACCCTTTTAGGCCGAGGAGTAGTAACAGCCTCCCCACCCTTACTAGTCCAGAGGGACTTTAATGATAGCATAAGAGGAAGTACCGCAGGAGAACAAGACACTGGGAGAACAAATGGCTATGTTAATTGATCACTGTGACAGCAATAATGATTATAGTGATTATGACATCAGCTGAATGTTTCAGATGATCCTACAGAGATTACCTAAGAAAAAATTGAAGGCTGTGAATTTCTAACTCAAGATCTGAGCTAAAAATCATAAGCCTTAATGGCAGCTCTGAGAGACCTCTCATCTATTGTCATCACAGGGAAGATAACGGCTGCCAACCAAGCCCAAAACTTGATTGTTAAAGGGTTATATGATGGCAATACAGATTAGATGCTTAAATGCCCTGTGCTAAAATCAGGTTAGTAGTGGGAAGAAGGAGAACCGTTGAGTTAAATCTATTTTGATAGTGTCTCAGTCCATTCTGGTGGCTATAACAAAATATACTGGGTAATTTAAAAACTATTACCCAAGTTCTGGAGGCTGGGAAGTGCTAGATCCAGGCTCCAGCAGGTTCAGTACTTGGTGAGGGCTCACTCTGTTTCTAAGATGGTACTTTCTAGCTAGTCCTCACATGGTGAAAAGGTAAAAGTGCTCCCTCACTCAGGCCTCTTTTATAAGGGCACTAATCCCATTCATGAGGTCTCTGGTCTCATTACCTAATTACCTCCCAAAGGTTCCATCTCTTAATTCTATCACCTTGAGGGTTAGGTTTCAACATACAATTTTTGGGAACATTCAGATCAGGAAGGTTTGGAAACATAGCAGGTAGAAAATGTTACATGAAAACCCATAGAACTCTCCACCTTCCTCCTCTCTTTTCCTCTGTCAAGAAAAGTAAGCCAAATGCAATTTTGCATTCCTGGAGTAATTATAGAGGTTAGTAAAATCTTTAAATACTTTAAACATTCATGTAAGATCTATAATATTCCAATTTCTCATAGTTGTTTGTCTGGTTCACAAACCAAATGGGTCATGGAAAAATGAAAGTAGATTATTATAGACTTAATTAGGGGGAAATACCAATAACAAGTGAATTTTCTGCATGTGATGTCTTTAATGAAGGAAATCAGCCCAATCCCTGGCAGCTAGCATGCAGCTATTGACCTAATTAACCTGGAATTCTTTTTCTATACCTTTAAGCAAAGATAATCAAGAATTTGCCTTCACAGATACCACAGCATACATTTATGGTCTTGCCTCAAAGCTATGGCACCTCTCCCGTGGTGTCATAATATAGTCTTGAGGGCCCCTTGATCATCTTGGTATCCTACAGAACATAACCCTGGTCCATTACACTTGTGACATTTTGCTAACTGGATCTAATGAACAGGAAGGGCAAGCATTTTCGATGCTTTGGTGAGACATGTGCATGCCAGAAAGTAGAAAATAAGGCCTATAAAAATTCAGGAGAATATTATATTCTGAAGATCTAATAGTCCAAGGACTGTCAGTATATCCTCTTCTTAGTAAAAGACAAGTTGCTATATATTGTACTGAGAGCACACACACACAAACACACACACACACAAAAGTGCAATTCTTGGTAAGTTTCTCTGTGTTTGGGAAGCAACATAAACCATATATGTGAACCTGTACAGATTTCTAGTTTTTTTGTGTGCAAGCTTGCAAATTCACCACCCCTTCCTGCAATGACTGAACATAAGTCCCCTCCGAAGCTCATGTTGAAATTGAATCTCTAATGTGGCAGTATGGAGAGGTGGAGCCTTTAAAATGCTATTAGGTCCATTAATCCATTAACCCATTCTTATAAAGTCCCCAGTCCCACTTCCATGATAACCCATTAATTCAAGAATTAAGTAGTTCATGGGAACTTTAGAAGAAGAAGAAAGACCTGAGTGACCATGCTTATCCCCCTCACCCCTCACATGATTCCCTGTGCCACCTCAGGATGCTGCAGAAAGTTCTCAATAGCAACCAGGCTCTCACCAGATGTGCCCCCTTGACCTTGGACTTCTCATTTTCCAGAACTGTAAGAAATAGATTTTGTTTCTTACAAATTACCCAGTTTCAGGTATTCTGTCATAAGCAGCAGAAAACAGACTATGACACTCCCACAACCCACACATGTGACCTCATGGGAATTCCCTGTGACCAATAAATGGGGAAAGAAAAACAGGGCTATGGTTTATAGATAGACCTGCTTAATATGCTCATTTAAATCAGAAGTTGATAGTCACTGCAATGTAGTCCAACTCAGAGAAAGCCTTGAAATAAAATAGAGTGAGGAAATAGTTCCTGTGGTCAGAAATTGAGGTAGCACATCTGATTGCCTGTTTTACACAGAAAGATAGTCTCAGGTTCAGGACCATACTGATTTATAAATAGTGGCCACCAGGTTGTCTAAATGATTGGGAACATGGAAAGAATAAAATTTTAAGAGTGGTGTCTTCTGAGACAGTTTCAACAGAACTTCCTGGAAAGAGTACAAAGTGTGAAAATATTTTTTCCACATAAATGCCCACCAGAACAAATCCACTATAAAGAATGCTTTCAATAATCAGGTTGTCAGGGTGTTCTTTCCTGTGGCTATCTCAGTTAGCCTCATTCTCCTGCTTCCCCAGTGGTTGCTAAAATGACCTACATACAGAGTATTTGTGGGGAGTAAAGTTGAAGGCTATTCACATGTTCAACACCTTCTATTTCCCCTCATAAAGACTGATTTTGCTGCCACCATGCCAAATGGCCAACCTGCCACGAGAAATCTGATATGACACCATTCTCCAGCAGAGACTGGCCTGCTACCTGGTGACAGTTGATTACAATAAACTTTTCTATCATGGAAGAGACAGTGATTTGTTCTCACAGAGATAGACACACATTTTGGATGCATAAGTACCTTAACTGTTGACAGCACTTTTGCCGATACCACCCTTCCAAATACCTTATCATCTTCAGCCATGGTATACCACAGAAATAACCTTATAATGGGCTACATATATTACAGAAAAGGATGTGTAACAGTAGACTTCTGTTCACGTAACTGACTGGCCCTTGCCATATGCCATCATCACCCAGAAAACAGATGGCTAAACGGAATGGTGAAATGTACTGCTGAAGCCACAATTTGGGCACTGAGTAGAAAACAACATCATGGGAAACCAGGGATCTAACTAAAAGGATAAAGTATATTCCTAAACCAGCAGTTGATAGTTAGTGCCACTACCCTATAGCCAGAATTAACAGGTCTGGGAATCAAGTTATAGAGCTGAGAATGATTCCTCTCATTATTACTCCAAATAAACTGTTAGAGAAAGCTTTTCCTCCCTTTCTTCAAACTTAGATTCAGTAGTTCAGGTGGTATTAGAGCCAGCTAGAAGAATTCTTCCACCAGAAAACAGAGTTAGAGCCGAATTAAAGCTAAGATCACCTTCTGAACTTTTGGGGCTCTTTATGCCATGTAACAGACGAAAAGAGTGTCACTGCATTTGAATCTTATCTCAATAAAGCTCTTACATATTGGACAAAATTTCAGGGAATGCAATGACTCTAGGAATTTGCAGATTTCAGGGAAAATTCAATAAAATAAATAATAAATAAGTTATGGAAGCAGCATGTGTAAATGTCCCAAGATGGGAGAGAATCTGGCATAGTTTCAGAATGACCAAATCATTCAGAATCTGTTAGGCCATGGCAAGAAGTTTCAACGATATTCTAAATATAATAGATACTTATTTAAAGGTGGTTGATTTATCCCTGGCTACAACGTGGAAAATGGACTGAAGGTAGAAATTAGAATAGAAAAGAGGCTATTGTAATAGACAAGGCTCAAGATGATTAGTATTATCCTGGGGTATTAGCAGTAGTGGCATAGAAATAGATTAATTTGAAAATTACTTTGGATGTAAAAAAGTACAGGGCTTGGTAATGTATTGAATGTGCTTAAAGCTGAGAGAAAGGTAAAATAAAAATAACTGAAAATCTTCTGTTTAGTGTAACGATGTATGGTTGCTCCAACATCAGATAAGAGAACACTGGAGATGTAGTTTGTGGTGGAAGATTTAGAGAAAGAAGATCATGGATATTCAGGTAGGCCTATTGAATTCGAGCACCAAAGTTGGAGTAGACATGCCCAGAGAAAGGACATGAGTATGTGCACGTGATGAAGAAGAAAGAAAGGGATAGGGATAGAGAGACAGAGAGAGACCGAAGCTTGAGATCCCATTAAATATGGCGAAAAGCTAGGTTTTTTGTTTGGTTGGTTGGTTGGTTTTTGCAGTTTGGTTCCATATGTCTACAAATCTTTCCAATAATTCTTATTCTCCAGTTTGTACCTTTCCATTATTTGCAACCAAAGAATCCTGGAATAACAATCAAGATGTCTTTCCCTCACTAGTTCCTCAAAGTCAAAATATTCATATATCATTTGTAATAGGAATGTTTCAGTAACAAGTGACAAAAAATGAAATTAAGTTAAAAGTTCTAAAGTCAAAATGACTTTAAAATATAAAGGGAATATTAACCTATGTTACTGAAAAGTCAAAATGAGGCTTGATTTCCCACCTCAAATAAGATTTCCCAGGACCTTCTATCTCATGGTCATTCTACTCTGCTTCTCCATTAGCTGTATTACCACACTGCCCTGGTAGTCCCCTGAGAGTTCCAGAGTATTCCTGAATTTTTGCAAATCTTTGTAGCAACTCCAGATGTCAGACCCTCACAGAAAAGCTCTCAGGGAGGGAAGAGTCTCTTAACAGTAGTAGCTGCTGTATATGTCCTGGGAATCACTTCCTCTCATTGGCCTGAATTGGACCACAAGCCTTTGCTTGAAACAATAACTATGGCAACAAAGTTACAATACTCTGGACTGGCTTTAGGACAACAAATGCTCACCCCTAAAGCAAGTCATATATTCAGTCTTTCCCAAATTGCTTGATTACAAAAGTGGAGGGAGCAAATTTCTCCCTCAAATATAAAGATATTATTGGCTAATTTACATTCCCAACAGTATAAAAGCATTCCTATTTCTCCACAGCCTCACCAGCATCTATTGTTTCTTGATTTTTTTAATAATCGCCATTCTGACTGGTATGAGATGGTATTGCACTGTGGTTTTGATTTGCATTTCTCTAATGATCAGTGATGTTGAGCTTTTTTTCATATGTTTGTTGGCTGCATAAATGTCTTCTTTTGAGAAGTGTCTGTTCATATCCTTTGCCCACTTTTTGATGGGGCTGCTTTTCTTGTAAATTTGTTTAATTTCCTTGTAGATTCTGGATATTAGACCTTTGTCAGATGGGTAGATTGCAAAAATTTTCTCCCATACTGTAGGTTGCCTGTTAATTATTATGATAGTTTCTTTTGCTGTGCAGAAAGCTCTTTAGTTTAATTAGATCCCATTTGTCAATTTTGGCTTTTGTTGCAATTGCTTTTGGTGTTTCCATCATGAAGTCTTTGCCCATGCCTATGTCCTGAATGGTATTGCCTAGGTTTTCTTCTAGGGTTTTTATGGTTTTGGGTTTTACATTTAAGTCTTTAATCCATCTTGAGTTCATTTTTGTATATGGGGTAAGGAAGGAGGAGTCTAGTTTCAGTTTTCTGCATATGGCTAGCCAGTTTTCCCAGCACCATTTATTAAATAGGGAATCCTTTCCCCATTGCTTGTTTTTATCAGCTTTGTTGAAGATCAGATGGTTGTAGATGTGTGGTGTTATTTCTGAGGTCTCTGTTCTGTTCCATTGGTCTATATGTCTGTTTTGGTACCAGTACCATGCTGTTTTGGTTACTGTAGCCTTATAGTATAGTTTAAAGTCAGGTAGCATGGTGCATCTAGCTTTGTTCCTTTTGCTTAGGATTGCCTTGGCTATACGGGCTCTTTCAACCATTGTGGAAGACAGTGTGGCAATTCCTCAAGGACCTAGAACCAGAAATACCATTTGTCCCAGCAATCCCATTAGTGAGTGTATACCCAAAGGAATATAAATCCTTCCACTATAAAGACACATGTACACATATGTTAATTGCAGCACTGTTTACAATAGCAAAGACACAGAACCAACCCAAATGCCCATCAATGATAGACTGGATAAACAAAATGTGGTGCATATACGCCATGGAATACTATGCAGCCATAAAAAAGAATGAGATCATGTCCTTTGTAGGGACATGGATGAAGCTGGAAGCCATCATCCTCAGCAAACTAACACAAGAACAGAAAACCAAACACCACATGTTCTCACTCATAAGTGGGAGTTGAACAATGAGAACACATGGACACAGGAAGGGGAACAACACACACCGGGGACCGTTGTAGGGGGAGCAACGGGAGGGAGTGCATTAGGACAAACACCTAATGCATGAGGTGCTTAAATCCTGGATGACAGTTTGATAGGTGCAGCAAACCACCATGGCATATGTATACCTATGTAACAAACCTGCACATTCTGCCCATGCATCCTGGAACTTAAAGTAAAATAAAATAAAATAATAGTAATAATAAAAGATATTCTTGGCTTAAAAAAAATAGTAAGGGGAAGAGAGAATACATGCCAGAAAGGCAACAAAAAATACCCTTCAAAATGATTTCCAGGCACCATCCTATACTATGATATCAAAATCACTCTCTAAAGACCAGAAGTCTTATTGATTACCTTATATTATTTTCATCTTTGAATTAACAAAAAATAACAATAGAATATTTTTATTTCCCTATACTGCACAATGAATTAAAGCCTTGAAATTGTGATAATGAAAATTAGCATGCAAAGTCAGTGCACTGAATATATTGTCTGTTCCCATCTTTCATTCAAATTCCTTGCATATCTAAATATGCAAGGGTCACTCAGAAGTACCCATGCTAATCAAAAAGAAAAAACTATGGTGTAGCATGCTATAGATGGCCCCTTTTCCTGGATGACTAAACAGCATTTAAAGTTACTTGACTTCTTTATTGCAGCCAAAAACCTGCAGGTGTGTTAAAGGATTAGTGTTCCTAAGACAGATACAGAAAAATATTAGTGAAAATATGTTGATTTATCACACTCATCTATGAAAAATATAGTTTTCACATTTTTTTAATTAGTAGAATATTTGAAACTACTAATACTCCCAAATAAGTGCATTAATGAAATTGCTTTGTTTCTTAAAAGGGTGAAAGGAGGACTATTACAAATTGCACTCTTATCTTGGCTTTGTCTCTTTAAACGCACAAAGCATTCACACTTGCTTCCTTTGCGCCGTCAGATGAACAGAAAACTGTAAAACTAGACTATATAAAAATAGATCTTACTTTTAAATCATGTTATAGTCAAGTTTGTCATTAACAATTTTATAAAAATATACGATCATCATGTTTCATTGGCAAAAGTATGATATAAAAAGCACTGTATGCCAATTTTCAAATTTGTATTTATAAGTGCTATACTAGATCAAAAAAGGATTAACAGTAATGTACATCACTATAAATATTCTGTAACACTCTGCTCCAAATAACTATACCACTGCAATGCAGACTTTATAAATATATTCTGGTTCATCATTCATATGATTTAGTCAATAAATTGCATTTTTAAAAATAAGTTTATTAAAAGCACAAATTTTGTTACTCTTCTAAAGTCAAAATTAAATGCTACAATATTTCCTCCTATTAGTTTAAGGTATATTTCTGACTCATATTTACCCTGCTTTAGAGGAAAACTTTAATATGTGAAGTTTAAAGAATTCTATTTAAACTTTGCTGTCAAGTTACTTGGCTTGAACTATGAAATGTTACTGATTCTTCTAAACAATAACCACTCAAGGGAAGAATAAATGTGATCCACCAATGCTCTGTATATATAATAGAGAACCAACCAGGGCAGGAAAATAATAATGATAGTATAAAATTATTTCATTGGTCAAAATTACTAGGCAATCCTAATATTTGGATTCATATCACAAAGTAAACAGATGATTGACTAAAATATCTAACTTTCTCTATTCTGATGTCATAGTTTCCTGTAATTCCTTCAAAATATTTTAAACTGTTGCTATCACATTTCAATATTTAATCTACATAGAATTAATTATGGTGCTTGGTTGGGGACAGGGATTCACAATTTTTTCTTTCATATGTATAATCAAAGGTCTGAACACTGTTTGATCATTGGCCTATCCTTCACCACTGGTGGGCAATGTCTCCTTTGCCATATATCAAGTTTCCACCTGTGCATTGCCATATTTCATCTCCCTGTTCAGTTCCATAAGCTTAACTTTCCTAGAACAATGCACACTGTCTTTATTGTTTATGGGTTTATATCATTTATAGTTTATAATAAGTAGTTGTATATATTAGAGGAGCCTCCTTATATTGTATTTGTTTTTAAAAATTATCTTGACTATCTTAACCATTTGCACTTTCACATATTTTAAAATCATCTTGTCAAGTTACAAGGAGGAAAAAAAAAGTTGGGATTCTGATTGAAATTTTGCCCTATTTTGTCTTATTTTACTGGCTTAGATATCCAATTTTGAATGGGGGTTCGGGGAGTGAGATTTTTCACCATCATTTTGTTTTTTTTCATCACTAAGAATTAGGTTTGTAATTTCTTCTTGAGTCACCTAGCTATATGTCTCCAAAAAATTGAAAATTTTGCTTGTTTTCAATTTTAATGGCTTAAAATTTTTATATCTTCTTAAAAAAAAACCTGCTCTTCTGTTTCTGGGGTTATGACACTACTCTTTTCACTGTTAGTATTCTTTAATGGATTCTCTTTTTCTTTGTTGTTCTTACTCAGACTTGCCAGAGGGTGTCTATTTTATTAAACTCTTCAAAAAGTGAGTGTTTGGCTTTGTAGACTCTCTTTATTTCTTGTTTTTTCCTATTTAATTAATTTATTTTCTTATTGTTAGGATATCATTCTTTCTACTTAGAGTTTATTCTGTTGTTTTTCTAACTCCTCTAACTTTGGTACTTAGATTACCAGATTTCAAACTTTATTTATAATACAAATAATCAGGGTGTTAAAACTATCTTAAGTAATGGTTTACTTATATCCCCTACTGTTTAGAATGTAATGTTTTTGTGCATTTTCAGTTTAAAATATTTTCTAATGTCCAATATGGTTTTTTCTTAGGACCAGGAATGATTTGGAAGTGTATTTTATTATAATTTCTAAATAGATTTTAAGTTATCATTTTACATTTCTAAATTAAATACTTTTTTCATAAAGATAGGATCTCGCTTTGTTGCACAGGCTAGTGTCAAACTCCTGGCCTCAGGCGATCCTCTAGCCTCAGCTTCCCAAAGTGCTGGGATTACAGGCATGAGCCACTGCACCTGGCCTAAATACATTTTTAAAGAAAAGATAATATATTTAACAAAAAATTGATATTTTTTGATACCTGACTTATGTTCTAGATTATACTCAGTTCTTACAAATGATCCATGTGTATTGTGAAGAATATACATTCTCTAATTGTTGGGCATAGAGTTGTAGGTGCCCATTAGATCTGACTTGTTAATTGTGTTGTTCAAATCCTCCATGTCCTTACTAATGTTTTTGTCTGCTTTCTCTATTACATATTAAGAATAAGTTAAAGATTTCTTATGAATGTTAATCCATTAATTTCTCCTCATAATTTCATCCATTTTTTATATATATATATATATAAAATATATTACACCTACAACAAAACAGGTTTAAACTATATGGATCCACTTATACACAGATATTTTTTCAATAAATGCAGTTGAACTTCCTTAACTGTGGGTTCTGAATCAGCAACCAAATGATGATCAAAAATACAATATTTGTGGGTTACGAAACCCATGGATAGGAAGGCCCAACTTTTCCTTTATGCAGGTACTACAGGGCCAACTTCAGGACTTGATTATGCAAAGATTTTGGTATCTGCAAAGGTCCTGGAACCAAACCAATTTCCTGTGGATATTGAAGGAGAACTGTATATATAGATATAAAGACTGTGTTTTTAGGAACTTATAAATTTAGATTTTTTTTTGTATTTTCCTGTGAGAATTGTACCTTTCATCATTAAATATTGGCACTCTTTACCTCCCAAAAGGAAGTTTTTACTTTGAAGATAATTTTCTGTAATAGAGATCTATATATGTACATAGCTATACCAGGTTATTTTGTTTAGTATTTGCCTAACATACTTAACCTTTAAGTTGGAACTTTTATGTGTCTAATGCACAGGTATGTTTTAAAAATAGCATATACTTAGATTTTACTAATTATCTAAACTGAGAATATTTATATTTTGACCTGCATGTTTACTCCATTAACATTTATTGTGTTTAATAGTATATTTTGAGTTATTCCTACCACTTACTTGGTGCTTTATGTTTATCTGGCTATTTCTCTGCTTCTTTTTCTTTTCTCCTCTCCTGCTTGCTTTTGAATTTATCAGGCATTTTACATTCTATTTTCTCTCCACCAATGGCTAGGTAGTTATATAATACATGCATTTGGGTAGTATAAAACTAGCTTTTGTAACTAGTCTTCTTGTTTCAGTTGCTTAATACAATGTAAATGTGTTCCTTAGACACCTGTCAGCCCAATGCAAGTGTTCCTAATCAGCAAATGGCTTTTCTTTATAGGATAAAATAAGAATCAAGGTCCTTTCGCTCTTGTACCTTCATCATCCCCAGGATGTAGGTGATCTCTTCATTTAACAGAGTAAGAAGACTGAGTCCCTTCTTAAGAGCCATGGCCACTGGGTGACCAACATCATTACCTTTTATATTTTACTGGATAGAATAATAGTCTTTGGTGGACAGGCATCCCTCCCAGCATCAACTCTATACTATGTCTGAGAACAAATTCTTGGTGGATAGCTAGCCATGTCTACAATAGCATATTTAACCAAATCTGAAGTTTTCAAATCTCTACCTCTACCCAAACATTATAAGGTTTTCAGAATGTTTTAACTTTGGTCATTGCCTCCATTTTTACAAATTATCACTTTTTTCAGTATTTTAGTTTTTTAAATTTTATCAAATCACTTATTATTACTGTGTATTTAGTTTTATACAAATAGACCCCGTTTATAGCATTTTATCAATATTAGGTCATTTAAGCCTCATAGCCACCCCCTGAAGTTTTAGCACTTATGTAATAGGAATTATGTTCTCCTTATATTTTGGATATGAGAAGGTTGAAGTAGAAAGCAGTTAGTGAACTTGCCTTATGTCACCCAATTGTGACCCCCTAATTAAGTGGTAAAGCCAGGATTCAAAGCCAGTCAACCTGGCTCCAGAGGCCGCTCATGACTCTGCTTTATGCTGTCAATGGTTGTTTATATTTATCCACATGTCACTGTTCCTTGTTTAACTACACAGAGATTTCCCATGGCAAAACTATTCTGTATAGGATCAGAGAGTAAATATTCAAGCTTTGCAGACCATATGGTCTCTGTCACAATCTACTGTACTCTGCCTTTGTAACACAAAAGCCGCCAGAGTCAATAGATATGAGACCAGCACTTTGGGAGGCCAAGATGGGTGGATCACCTGAGGTCGGGAGTTCGAGACCAGCCTCACCAATATGGTGAAACCCCGTCTCTACTAAAAATACAAAAATTAGCCAGGCATGGTGACATGTGACTGTAGTCCCAGCTACTATGGAAGCTGAGACAAGAGAATTGCTTGAATCCAGGAGGCGGAGGATGCAGTGAGCCAAGATCGTGCCATTGCATTCCAGCCTGGGCAACACGGCCAGACTCCATCTCAAAAAAAAAAAAAAAAAAAAACAGAATGAGCATAACTCAAATAAACCTGCATTTGCTGATGCTGAAATTTACATTTCATGTAATATTCATGTACCACAAAATATTCATCTTTTGTTTTATTTCAACCATTTTAAAACATAAAAAACATTCTTAGAGGACTTCTTATTTCAGATGAGACATATCAAGAGTTTTAAAGTCATCACTCCCAACCTCATAACAAGTTAAAAAACTGAATATCAACAACTCCTTTTAGATCCATCAGAGAATTGAGGACACAGAACATACCACCACCTGGAAAACTAGAGAGGGAGGACAATATAAGAATCACAACTTACCAGGAGCTGCAGCAGGTAACTGGTAGGAACACTTAAATGGTAATTGACGAATTGATGGAGGTTGAGTGTGGACTAGCTTGAGAGTTAAAAATTCCTGGGGATCCAGTCTTAGGGAGATCCCTATACCTTTGTGAGTTTTATTTTCAGGGGCCCAGACTGGAGGAAAATCCTCTCCCATTTTTTGGCAGGAGGAGAGAAAAAGTAAACATTTTGAAATATGCCCAGAGCATTTCATTTTTCTTAACAAAGCCCTGGCCTCAAGGGAAACTACTGTAACAGGAATAAAAAGGAACATTACACAGTGATAAAGGGGTCATTCTCCAAGAAGACATTAAAATCCATAATGTGTGTGTGTATTGGTAGAAGTATGTACATACATATGTGTGTATGTCTGTATGTACACACAGTAATGTGTATGTATATGTATAGATATATATATGTGTCTGTCAATATTGTTTCATCAGTTTTAACCAATGTACCACATGAATATAAGAACTAATAATAGAACAAATTAGATCAGAGGTGGGAAAGCGTATATATAGGAACCCACTGTACTATCTCTTTGATTTTTCTCTAAATCTAATATTGTTATAAAATATAAAGTTATTTTTTTCAATATTCTTAGCTCACAGGAATTACAAAATCCATCTGTAGGTTGGATTCAATCTCTAAGCCATAGTTTCTTGACTTCTGATCTAAGAGATCTTCATTTCGAGGTCGGTTTTCATCTTTTTGAAGCATTTTGGAAATATCTTTGTGAGATATGGCACATTCTGTTGGTGGTAAACTCTATTTTTGTTTGTCTGAAAATTTTTCTATTTTATTCTTTCTTTGAATAAAGTTTAGCTAAGGAATGCAATTTTAGGTTGACAGCATGTTCTTTAAGTATTTTGAAGACACTATGCTCTGTCCTTCTTTTGTCTGTGAGAAATCTGCTGTAATTTGTCTTTTCTTTCCGACCACTTGTAATACCTCTTGTTTGTCTCTAATGTTCTATAGTCTCTGGGATAGGCCTGATTGTGTGTTCAAAAGGAGATTTCTTATTATTCCTGTTTGAATTTTGGGAAGGATTCTTGACACTGAAGTTTTCTATCTTTTAATAATTTTATATATTTTAATAATATATATATATAGCAGTCTTTATTTCTTCAAACATTCTTAGTTATCAAATCCTCATATTCTTGCTCCTAACCCTTTGACATTCACCCCTACATGCCAAAATCTGTTAGCTGGATCTTGCTATTCTCTGCCTGATTACTTTTTGCTTGATCCTAAGGGCACACTCAGCCCAGGCACAAAGAAAATTCAAAGGGTGAATGACCTAATGTTTCCAGAAGCATCCTTTATTTAATGATGGATAAGAAATTGATAAATAAGCATCCCCAGCTTCCTTGTATCTTAGTTAGGATAACTCTGAAGCATGTTCCACCTCTGCTAGCAACATTCCCAGTGATACTGAGATTCAATTGTCCACAGTAGAAACTCATTTGATGATATATCATCTACTGACTTCTTTCTCTTTTCTGTCTAATTTTCCCAATCCTTTACTGATATATTCTGGGACCATCTACCACATAAACTACTTGCATTTGAATCCTTCCCTTGCAGTTAGCTTCTGGAGGGAAACAAAAATTTTATTTTACATTCACCATTTGATATTCCCTTTACATGATACTCCTGAATGGTACATTTGCTGTGTTTTTTTTCCCTCTTGATTCATGCTTTTGTTGGCTTATTACTGTGTGTGTGTGTGTGTGTGTGTGTGTGTGTGTGTGTGTGTATGTGTGTGTTTCTTTTGTTGTTGTTTAATTGTGAATTTATGTTTTGCATAATTTATTTATGAGACTCTTGCAAGATTTGGGTTTTGAATTTATCTGGGTTCTCTTAAAAGAGATTTGTTCTTTGCTTTCATCAGGCTTGCCAGAGTGTTATGAACAAAATTATGTTAATTATTTTAACTTGAATTTCCCAAACAATTTGTCATAGTGTTTTATTTGAATCCAGAAGTGGTTAAGGGAGCCAAGTCTCCCTGGGTGCAATTGGTTGGGCCTGGTCTCCAGAGCTGCTACGGCTCCCATGGAAAGTGTAGTAATCATAACAGAGGCTGGCAGATAAGGTGGTGGCAGCTGTGCCTGGTACAGAGGCAGCAGCCAGGAGTCCCACGAGGAAGCAGCCACCAGGCTCCAGAGGTGAGAAAGATCAGCCAAATATGAGATTGTACATAAATTGTGTCCAGTGCATTGTGTCAAAGGTATGAATTGCAAGAGGGGAATTTTCTTCTATCTGGAGCCCAGGCTAATATAGACAACTCACCTTCCCCAACCCAGCCCCCTGGCCCCTAGCTCACCTTTTCTTTGAGGCAATAGGCTTTCAAGTGCCTGTCTTTTCCAGGGGGTCTCAGTTCCAAGCCTTCATCTTCCACAGTCCTAGGACATTTTCTCCATTAGGCGTTGGGCCATTATCACCCAACCCTGGCCCCAGTGCATCCGTAGTATTAACATAAGCCTAGAAATGTGTGTTTCAACTCTCTTTTCAGTTTGATTTCTGGCAATTTCTGCTGATTTCTCAGAAATTCCTCCTTGTATTTATTCAAAAGAGCTTTTTGATAGCAATTTCAGCTCTTGTACATGAGTCTTTTGGATTTCTATCACATTGTCAGGAAACAATAAATATCTCTTCTTTTGAAAATATTTATTGTTCTATAAATTTGTCTTAATTTTATAATTAGAAAAAATATTTAAAAGCATAAATAACTATACAAATACATACATATATGCCACCCAAGAACTATGAACCAAATTTACATGAATAGTGGTTAATTTGATCAGAAATGTTAACCTACAACCACGGTTCTTAACCTTGGCTGCACATTTAAATTGACTATAGGAACTATTAAGAAACCATAATGCCAGGATTTCACCCACAGGAGGTCTTATTTTACTGGTCTGAGGTGAAGCTCAAACACAGATATTTTCATGAACTACTCAGGTACTTCTGTAAGCATTTCTGGCTAAGAACCAGAAATAGTCTAGACCCATTAGAGAGACTCCTCTGTAAGGAAAGAGGAGTGATTAGACTTAGAAAGGACAGGTTCAAATAAGACACAGAACTTTACAACTCAACATCAGCATGAGTGCCCTGAATGTGAGATCCAGTACTCTCTACAACTAGTGACTCTGATCTCCTAACTAGGACCTCCAGTCTAAGCTTTGGAATCAACCCAGTTCCAAATCAGTTTCCTTTCTTACTCCTATAACTAAGTCTCTTCCTTATCTTCTATTTAATAAAATGAGTTTCCGACACCTTCCCTTCAAAACAGTTTTCTGCTTCAATAACCTGTGTTATAATAACTATTCCAGCACCCTCTACAATTGGAGCTCTATTTGTATGCTTGTTGTATGCCCTACAGATTCCTACATTGTTGTCATTAAGAGCGCTCAGATTTGAAGTATGACCAACATGGGTTTAACTCCCAGTTCTGTCACATACTAGTTCTGTGACCTTGGGTAACTAACCTGACTTCTGTATGTCTTTATCCATAAATGGCTATGGTAATACTGCCTGTGTTATAGAGCTGATATAATAAGAAAATGTGATACTGAATGTAAGTTTTTTATTATAACACCTGGCAGATGGTAAACTCAAAATGTCATTGTTAATGTATTATTATTATTATTTAGTATCCCTTCCAAAAACCCAATTTCCCATGCTGCCTCATCTCATTCAGGGTAACTCTCAGGCTAGTCACTTCATAGTGCTTGACTCAGGACACCCTAACACCATCCTCCCTCTACTCCTACCTGCTCTGGCATCACCAGGTACCCCCTGACTTAGACCACCCATTCATTTATCCACTCAGTGTTTATTGAGAGCCTAATGTGTGCTAAGACCTTTGCCAGAGCTAGAAATACATTGAGGAGAAAAAACTGTCATAGCCTGGAATGTCACTTCCCACATCTTACCTTATGTCCTGCATGGAGAGACAGAAATGTGTGAATTTTTAAAATGTCCCCCTAGCTACTGCTGAGTGATGCGTGCTCACCTCATCCCCCACCACACACACACACACACACACACAAACACACACATACACACACGTACACCGATTATTGGTCCAGCTGAACATTTTCTCCCATGGTGAGATGCTGGTCTTACCATGCAAACAGGTCTTTCCTTATCATCCCCACTAAGTTCTTTTAAGATCTTCTAAAATTCTAGGCACATAATTGGCATAATATAAAACATATTAAAATTTGCCCACATCATACAATAAATACATAGTATAGTAACTTTGTATAAGTTGGGCTAAGCTTCAGTGAAGCCAGAATTATTTTTTGAAGTCTCACACCTCATTGTAGCTCTTGAAATCTTGTACGCCCTTGACACTTTGCCTACACGCCATTACCTTTGCCCACTCACCTCATCACCATTTCAATTCTCCTTCTGCTCTGACTTAGTTTTCTGGAAAGGGGAAAAAAAGAAATGGGTAGATAAGTTGCTCATAGGAAAATTAGAAATATTCAAATTCTGTCTTCTTTGCAATTTTGTCCAAGTCTCAGATAGCAACTGATATCAAATGCGTATATGAAAATATGCACATATATTTAATAAAAGGGAAACCTACATTCCCTTGTCAGTCCAATCTAGTGGGAACAATTTTCAGCTTTTATATAGTGCTCAACATTGAAAAAGTATCTTCATTTACTTAACATTATAAACAAAATATAATTATAATCCCATATGATGGCAAAATTGAAAATCAGAGAAGGAATATATCTTGCCCAGGATAACACAGGCAGTAAAAGGAGAGCTATGATCTGACCGGTATGCAGATGTGCTGTCTGGGAATCCCGTTTCCTTATTCTGTGACCAACTTCCTGCATAATGCACAGTGATCCCAAATAGAACAGGGCACCTCCCTCGGAGGGAGCATATGCATATGTGTTCTTAAAGTACGTCTTCAGTCCTCTCAGAGCTTTGAGACTATATCCCTAAAATGCAAGCGTCTGCTGATTCTAAGCCCTGACTGAAGTGGAGCTGCACCCACATGTGCCTATTCAGCGCCAGGATGCTGTTTTACTGCTGCTCCCCTGTCTTTAGCAGCAATCTAAGAACAAGGACCTCTAATCCCATATCAAATTTGCACTGCATCAAGGTCAGTATCTCTTTTTACCAAAGTAGTGAATGCATTCTTCACAGTTTTAAACCAAATAATAACCATTCCATACAGACTGGGTCTGACTTCAACATTATTGCTTTTTTTTAAGGTCCATAACTGTCTTAAATTACTGTTCCTTCCAGCATCAGCCATGCTGTAAAATTTTCAGGGACAAGCCTTTACGCCTCCCACCTCTTCCTGCTTCATTGTCAGTGGCAATTTTAATTCATTTCATTTCTGTGTCACTGTCACTCCAACTGCTGTCTTCAGCTCTGTGTGGTGTCCTGAAGTTCAGTGTTAATGTAGAAACCTTTGCTTTAATAGAAAAATCATGTTATTTGACTTTTTCTTTAACATTAATAGAGAGTCAGCCAAGGCCAGCTCCAAAATTCCGCAAAATAAAATTATTTCCAAATGCTAACGGACCTTTCACTGTCTTTGAAAGAGTGCTAGTGAGGCAAGAATTACCATGTACCTGAAACAAATAAGAAAACAAGATTTTAGGGAATAAATGGACTGGTTTTTCTGAGGTCTGGCTTTAGTTTCTTGCTTTATCGCTGATTGGATGGACCTGTAATTTCAGAAGAACATCTTAATCTAAGGTTCTCCCTCTCTCCTTCTCGACCCCTTTGTAAAAATTGAGATACAGCTATTGCCAGTTATTTTCCACTCAGAGACGCTTTAAGTTTCAACCCAGTGGGGAAAAAAAAAACAAGGTACAAATTGTTACTGCTGACAATGGATCTGATCTTGTAGTGAGCTAAGATGAACAAAATGCTCTCTGGGGAAGAGAAAGGTTCACCTATGTGAGGTAAATGAATTCTTCCACAGCTCTAGGGAACAGTGAGATTGCTGTATGGTATACTGATGCCCCAAAGAGTTTATTATCTTTATCCTGTTTGTGGATAACTTGCCCAGACTTGATATAGAACCCAGTCAATAATAATGTCTTTTTTGGATTTACACAGAAAAACTGGATACTATGTTTACTATGTTTAGTACTTTTTTATTTTTGTATCAATAAGTACCTTGTAGCAGAGGCACAGAAAGAGGGGCAGCTATTTATCAGAGCCAACATCTGCCCCCTCCTTGTTCCCCACCACAGTCTAGGTTTGTGGGAAGATGGTTACCTGAGTTGGCACACAAAATTGAAAATAAGGAGTAAAGAGGAAGGAAACAGAATAAATGTTGATAGTAGCATTTTCCCATCCCCAGATATCTTTTCCTTATTTTCTGTCTCTGTATGACAAAGGCATTAGAAAGAAGGAAATGTACCTTCCCTAAGGAAGGTAGGGGATTTATGAAATTGTAATTATTTCTGGTCAACTGATAGAGTTTCTGGTAAAAAAAAAAAATGAAAGAGATGACTCATATGACTTATGGTCTTTACGTTCTGTGATACTTGAGTCACTGAAGTAGAACTGAATGAATTGATCCATATTAGAAATGGAGTCTTTCCTGGAAAATTCAGCTATATGACTCCTTTACCTCTGACCTGTATCTGAAATTGAAAACTTACCACTTCTGTCTTCGACCTCTCTTTTCTTGCTGGAAAATATGCTAAACAAATAATTACATCATGGTAACAATAGGCCAGGAAATTTCCAAGCATTTGGCAAATTGTAAATCAGTAACTGGTAGAATGGCTGATACTAAAGTTTTCCAGAGTCTCCAGGATAGTCTATCCTTTAACTCTGTAAGCAAATAGCTTTTCCTTTTCAGACTCCACAATTTCCACAGTAAAACTGAAATTCTAAGAAAAGCAAGGTAACATTTTTTCTGTAATCTTATAGATGTTATTTTTTTTGTTTGTTCTCTCAAGAAAAATTTAACCCCTATTAGACATATGTTGAAATTGTAGATTTCCCACTTCCTATCCCACTCATCTCGGAAGTGTGCCAATTCTCAGATGATACAAAAATTTTATACCGCTGGAAGTCTTCACTTTAAAGAGATTCAAATGTTCTTTATTATTTTATGGCCTTAACTTGAAAATACAATGCAATAGAAAAAAATAGCAGCTACCAAACATTGAAAATAATTATTTTTCTGTTAGGAATTGTTTTTGCACTAAAAACAAATAAGTGTAAAGAGAGATTGGGATTAATCCCCCAGGCTATTTTTAGCTACAGGTAACATAAAACTCCAACTAAAGTCATTTAAATTGCCGAAAATTAATTATATCCCATAACAAAAGCTTGACAGCAGGAAATTCTGGACTTAATTCAGCAACTTAACAATGTCCGATTTCTCTATGATTTTCTCTTGGTTTTCACTCATGGTCACAAGATGGCTCCAATGGCTCCAACTATCACTTCCATACACACAACATGTAAAGATAAAAAGCACAAGCTTTTATTAGGTGTCTCTTTTTAAGGGTAAAGAAAACCTTCTGAGGTACTCCCAGGAACCCTCTTTCTTTTATTTAACTGACCGCAGTGCAGCACATGACCATCTTTTGCTGACATGGGAATAAAATGATTATGATTGGCCTCAACATTTATTCCTCTAGTTTTGAGAGTGATCCAGGAAGCACTTAAGAACCCAATACTTGAATAAAATAAAGATTTTATTAAGAGGCCGGGCGTGGTGGCTCATGTCTGTGATCCCAGCACTTTGCGAGGCCGAGGTGGGTAGATCACCTGGGGTCAGGAGTTTGAGACCAGCCTGGCCAACATGGTGTAACCCTGTCTCTACTAAAAATACAAAAATTTGCTGGACGTGGTGATACGTGCCTGTAATCCCATCTACTCAAGAGGCTGAGGCAGGATAATTGCTTGAACTCGGGAGATGGAGGTTGCAATGAACCAAGATCACGCCACTGCACTCCAGCCTGGGTGACAGAGCGACACTCCATCTCGGGAAAAAAAAATATATATATATATTAAGAATAATGAGGATGGGAGCTATTTACCAAAGGAGGAAAACAACAAAGGATGGGGTAATACTCTAGAGCTGGTAACCACAGGAGGTGTCACCACATCTAAGGCATGAAGAGGCAGGAAAAGAAGAGAAAAGACCATGAAGCATGGGCCATCCAGCAAAAGCTGTAGCCTGCCACAGAGTGAGGCAGCCACATGTGACTCCACAGGGAGCAGCCAGGAGAATGAATTCCTCAACCTAACTGTACTCCCTGTCTCTCATCCCCCCTATAGACAGAGCCTAACCAGAAGCCAGAGAACATGGGAACTCAATGATGCATCCTGTATGTCAGCCTCCTGGGCGCAGAGCAGGATTGTAAAGCTTGAGGAAGCTGGAAGATGGCTCAGGAGAGACAGCAGCTCTCCATCACATTCATAGAGCACTTACCTCATGCTAGGAAGTATGATAAGTGATCTATATGCATAAAACAGGGATTTCACATGACAACTTCAACTGGGTAAATATGCTTTTCACCACGCCCCCAGGAAAGAAATAGCAACATTGTTTTTAAAGATCCTTTGAGGAGAAATTGCTTGGGAAATGCCAAGGCTGAGTGGAGAAAGTTTGTAAGCAGCGAGGCCAAATATTCTGAACCTGAAAGACGGGGAGATACCCCAAACCTGGGAAGGGGTGGGGGTTTTGACTGGTTTTGCAGGTAGTGAAGATCCACACCTAATTCAGTTTCTGCTCTCTCAGAAGATACAAGGCCTTGGAGTGAATGGCTGTGTGCTGTGCTAGGGGCACTAAAAGCTGAACCTCCCAGTCTTAGCAAAGGCCCCTACACCCAAGCTTGACACAGAACTAGCAGAGCCTCTGCTATTAGAGTTGAACTATAAGCATCTAATAGCAACTACCATGGGTTGAGGAGTTGAGAATTGTTTTCCTTCAAGACACAATATAAGACTCCTAGATTCTTTGGAAACAACTATCTGTGGCTAGAGGCAAAGAACAAATATGAATGATAATAGCTGTCTGACTATCCTGGTGAATGGCTGCTCATAGTGAGATTTAGTTTTTATTTAGAAGAATCATATGACATTTCTTACACCCAAGTGTGATAGGATAAAATCAATATCCTCAATACTTGTATCATCTGCTTTATCCTATAAAATTTGTGAAATAAGAATTACTTTCTCTATTTTATTGATAGTGAAAGAAAGATTTAAAGAGTCCAAATAACTTGTGTATGATCATTCCACTGAAAAGTGGCTGACTGGGACTTCCATTTGCCACAGTGTGCTCCAGAGCCTCTGTTCTCAATCACTATTCTATTATTACACAAAAGTGACTGGTATGGAAATGTGGTCATCTTCTCCAGGCATCATGGAGCATTCTGTACAACATACCAGGTAATTTCATTGGCTAATATTTGCTGCTACTGTACTTTAAGTAAATAGCAACACATTGAATCATTGTAAACATTATCCCACTTGATCCTTACATTTGATTCCTGCCAAGTAGCCAAAATGTTACAACCACCACCACCATTCATCACCATTTTACAGATGATGAAACCAAAGTTTTAAAAAATAAGGAAGGGAAAAAAGGAAGGAAGGAAGTAAAAAGAAAAAAAAGGAAAGGCTACCTAACTTGAGCAACTAGGAAAAGAAGCAAAATCTTTTGACTCCTAGTTCTGTATTCTAATGCCTCTCTGCTTTAAGCACCACAAATTTTAAAAAGCAAAAACCAAAACATTGGTTTCTCCTTCCTACAGCACAGTGATTCAGTGTTTGTGCAATGAGACTGAAAAGGCAAAGAGCTCTGTATATATCAGTGCGAGAATGCCAACAGACTGCTAATGGAAGTTAGAGAATGGGTAAATGTCAGACAAGGATCAGTGACTCTTTGAGGATCACTTACCTTTTCAATACAGATCAAAATCCTTAGTACAAACTACTAATATGCCACATGTGTCAGATTACCCCTCCATTCCATCAACAATATCAATGGGGTGGCCTATCTTCCTGTCCTGGTAGCACTACAACCCCAACCTTAAATACTGTATCTACGATGTAAGACTTTTCTTCTGGGCTGTGTTAGTGAAGCATGGCAAACATCTTTCTCTCTTCTTCTCTATTCCTTCTCTTCTTGGATTAATTATCTCAATTGATGCCATATTAAGTCTCACAATTTTCCAAGAGTAAAATTTGGTTAATCACCCTTGAAACTTATTTTCCATAATCCCTCAGAGCCAATCAGCCAGTATCAAGTCTATGCCCTCTCTGAAATGCACCTGAAATCAGATCCTTCTTATTCTTTCCCCACTACCATTATGGCTATCCCCTTAGTCCATGCTTCTATTTTTCTCCTGCCTGACCCTGGTAATAGACCCCTCTCTGATCTCTCTACCAGTAATCTCCCCACACTAATTTATTATATATGCTCCTACCAGAGTTATATTTATAAAAGAATGTTTTGATGACATCTGTCTCTTGCTTAAAAATGCATTCAGTGACATTCCCCTATTCATTAAAACTCAGTTCCTTGTCAGGGCCCGCAAGGCCTAAATGACCTGATTCCAACTTCCCTTACCAGCCCTTTCTCCCTCCTCTTCTACTCTAACACTACTAAATTCCTCTTAAGAACCTGATTGTATAATTTCTATGTCCTTACATATATACGTCATTTTTTTTGCTTTCACTTCCCTCTCTGCCTTACATTCTTCAACTTACGCCTTGAAATGAGCTTAAATATTCTGTCCTCCATGAATCCTTTCCTAACCACTTAGGCATGGTTAATTAGTCCTGTGTCAGGATTATAATATCACTTTGGCATTGGACTGGGGATAGCAGCTGGAGCTTAAGCTGTGTTCATGGTGGGATCCAGCTATATCCAGGCAAGGCTGGCAGCCTGGAGCGGAAAGATCTGTAGAAGCTATTTGCACTAGGAACGAGGGGCCTTGAAAGTATCAGGCCCAGACACTGACCAGAACCAGTTTTGTGAGAAGAAATGTTTTATGCACAAATGGGGTCTGTTCCTCAAATATTTCCCCGGGTCCACAATAGCCCTAAACTCCTATCTGAATCCTTGGGAATGAGGGCTGCAAAAAATATATATACTAAAAAACTATCTCATTGGGAGCTCAGTGGGCCACTAAAAACAGGAGCACAGATTGTTTGGGCACAGCCATGAAAAGCAAAAGGCACTTTCCTTAGGTTCATATAGAAGTAGTTTCATTACTGTTTGGATTCATTGAACTAGCTCTAGAAAGCTTGATGCAGCTTTAGAAATGGTCATGCTAGAAATGTTCATTGTCTGCCCCTCTGTGGGGGAAGTGAGGAGGGAAGAAGGGTTAGGCTGCAGAAACTCATCCCTGTGGCTATGGGACAAGAAGAGGTTTTAGCAGCAGGCATCCCAAAAGGGAAATAAAGCAAGATAAAAAAAAATGTGGAGATTGCCACATTTTAGTTCAAAAAACCATATTAATGAACCCAAATGAAATACACCTTAGAGACCTTCATCCATTCATTTACCACTTGTTCATGAGGGTCTACTCTGTGACTACATCCTACCAGGTCCCAAGGACATGGCAGAGAATAAGACAGACATAGGAAGGTGAAGGTAGATCATAAACCAGCCCACAAATAAAAACCAAAGGGCGTTTTAGGTATCCATGAGTTTAATAAAAAATTAAACACGTTGATGTGATTGAGAGCTGGAGTCAGTGTAGGTCTCACTGAGAAGATGCTACTAGAGCTGAGATTTGAAAAGCAAAAAAGAATCAGCCTTATGAAGATCCTGAGGGAAGAACATTCCAGGTAGCATTAACAGCAAGGGCACAGGCCTGAAGATCATAATAAGCTTGGCATTTCAAAAACCCAAGAGAAGGTCATAGGGGAAACCACAGTGTGTGAGCAAGTGAAAGAGTGGTAGAGGGTGATTCATGAAGATGAGTAGGCATTGAGTCATGGAGAAACTGTTAAACCACATCAGGCATTTGGACTTTATTCTGTGTGCAATAGGAAACTACTAGAAGGTTTTAGCTAGGAATTGCCATGATCTGAATTTTGTTTTTGTGGCTTCACCATAGTTGTTCTGTAGAGCCTGGAATGTGGAGGGAAGTGGCAGCAGAAGGGGAAGTGGAGAGATCAGTCTAGAGACTATGGCAGCACTTCAGGAAAATGATGGTGGGTGCTGAGACAAAGATAGCAGCACTGGAAACAGAAAAATACTTAGTTGACTTGGGACATACTTTGCAAATAACAGTAGACAGGATTTGCTGACATGTTGGATGTTGGGGTGGAGAAAAGAACAGAATTAAAAAGACTGCATGGGGCCGGGCACAATGGCTCACACCTGTAATCCCAGCACTTTGGGAGGCTGAGGTGGGCAGATCACTTGAGATCAGGAGTTTAAGACAAGCCTGGCTAACATAGTGAAACCCCATCTCTACTAAAAATACAAAACTTAGCTAGGTATGGTGGCTGGCACCTGTAATCCCAGCTACTCGGGAGGTTGAGGCAGGAGAATCACTTGAACCTGGGAGGCGGAGGTTGCAGTGAGCCGAGATCGTGCCATTGCACTCCAGCTTGGGTGACAGAATCCACCTCAAAAGAAAAAACAAAACAAAACAGAAACAGAAACAAACAAAAACAAATGAACAAACAAAACACTGCATGGTTTCTAGCTGAAGCAACACTTAGAGAAATGGCTAATTATTGAAAAGGGGAGAGAACTGGGAATAGGTTCAGGGAGAGGGCTATTTATTTTGTGACCTTTCAGAAATTCAGAGGAGATGTCAGGTAGGCAATTGGATTAAAAAACAGTCTGGAGGTCGGGAGAGAGGTCATGGCTACAGAGTTAAGTTCAGAAGCCATCAGAATATCAGTAATGGAAACAGTCCCAGAAATAAGTGAGGGAGATCTGGAGAAGCAAACGAAGGTTTCACAATCTCACGGAGTGTTATTTGCAAGATAATATTAATGATTTTTAGAGAGACTTAAGGGGATGCTTATCAAGAATGGCGTGAACTGTATAAGGCACCGAGCTTAAATAACAGAGATCTAAAGCCAGAAAAAAACTTGTCAAATCTGCACTTATCTTTTTTCTTCCTATAACTTCTCTAATCTGTGATTTTATAACTCCTGAATATCCTCCATGCCTTTCCTTGAAGATGCTGCTGTCATCTGCATTCCCTTTCACTTTCAGACTTCTGTGGCATCTCCTTTTGTGATTACAGTAATATCATCAGGATAGAGTTGAAAAAACTAGAATTTATTTATTTAATGAGTAATATTTGTGTGATTTGAGAAAGATATATGTAAAATGATGAAGTGTCATATTAGTGAGCTATTAGGTTGCTGCAAAACTAATTGCAGTTTTTGCCATTACTTTCAATGTGGAATTGGACAATAAGCAATTAAAAGTAATGGCAAAAACTGCAATTACTTTTGTGCCAGCCTAGTTTCTAGAATTAAAAAAAAGGTAAGGCAAAATTTTAGTAATCAAAAATTATCCTTGAAAATCTTCCAAATTGTCCATCTAAAGCAGAAACCTTTGTATATCAACCCTATACAGATACAAATTTCTCAAGAAGTCCAAAGAAGACTGATTTTGCTCCAGCATTAATACAAACTAGTTCTGTGGTCGAGTACCAGATAAAAGCTGTGGTTGTACCAAAGAATACTAGCAGGTAGAATTGAATTCATGAATGTTCCGAGTACGTATGAAATGAGTTCACATTATAACTAATACTAGTCTAAGCTTCTTTCTAGCCAGATATGTAGATTCTAAAGGGGGGTCTTCCAGTGGTAATGGAGGGGAGCTTTGTGCACTAGGTATCAAGGGTCCTAAGAACACAGAAATGAGACTGCTGAGAACATATGTTCCTGATTCAGGAGCAAAGAATGCATTTGCTTATTATGGAATATGAGTGGGGTAATGTGTAAGAATTTGCAAGCCACAACACAGGATTAATGTCAACTTTACTTATAATTTCCTAAAACAAATTATATGTGTTTTGAGTTCCTATTCCAAAAAGCTGGCAATAAATTCAATCTTTGTTATCACTGAGTTTGCTACACAGACTCTAAGATCTGCTACACAGACTCTGAGATCCCCAGAGCCAAGCCCAGTGCCTGTTTCCTGTTCATGAAGTTCATTGCCTGTATGCTCACTGTTCAAGTCAACAGGTGCTCTTTAAGAATGGGGACTCCAATATGTCTTTGTCAAGATCAAAGTATCCAAAATTTCCACTTGCACCACAGATTTCATCAAAGATTCCACAGCCACCCCAAGCAGATAAAATGTGCAATTCTTTTAGAAACTGTAAAGCCCAGGGCTGGCCTCCCCTTTGCCCCCACCCCTCTCCATAATGATGTTTCAACCTCCAAGCTTTGGCCTTGACTTCGCCTGCATTATGGCTCCTTGCAGCAAAGATCCAGTACAATATTGAGGTTGGGCTTTTAAAAACAAAACTAGTTTGTTTTTTTTGGCCCACAGTACAAAAGACTCCCAGACAGGGAATCACAAAGACTTGGTATATAGGAAGGAAAATACATGCAAAAGAAAGAAGGTTACAGTAAAAATTAATATTTTTATAGATTATCCTGCTACCATTTCTATGGTAGAGGGAAATGGCTTTACTGGATGGGGATTGCAAAGTATTCTGCAAATATGGAAAATAGATATAATCCATTAAAACCACAAACACGTACAGATCCAATGACTTGCTGCAAATTTAGTTCTTCAAGTCAGTCTTGAGTTGTCACATTGCTTATTCCCATTTCTAAAGGACACTGAATTCAAAAAGTCTTCTTAAACAAGTTAGAGGACATTGTTCTTACTACGTTATCCAAGAATACAAGAGGCTGCAGCTACCAAAAGACAGTACTGGGACTGGCAAGAAGTTAACCACATTTTCATGCTGAATTTGATGGAAAATTGGATGCATTCCAGTCTGTTTACAGTTTGGGTGGGAGGGACAGATTTGCCAATAGCACATTTAGCATGTTGCAGCATAGTTTATCTGTCTGCAAATCTGTCCATCCCACCAGACTATCTCTGCCTTGAGAAGTGGAATCCTGACACACTCATTTCCATAATTCCAGCAAGTCTTATGGTCTGGCATACAAAGGGCACTCAGTAAGTGAAGCCCACTACCATGATTGGGAAAAGGCTTTTTCCACTTAGTTTTCTGTTTGTCATGACACCCCTTCTGCAATTAAGGCCGTCATTTATTGCTTATACTCTACAATCCATTGACTCACTAGACTGGGGCCAATTTTTGGGAGCTCTTCATGACAAAGTCAGCCATGCTTCAGCCCCTTGGCTGTTCTCCCTGCAGAGCTATTCCAGAAGCTACAGAGGATGCTTTTTTATCTCAGACCTTCTGTTGCTCTCTGGTTGTCTCTGGTTAAAGAATTCTTCTATAATCCCATTAGGATCAGCTTTTCTCCGTCTGTTCCTTATCATGAATCATTATTAGATGAAAGACAAAAATCCTATCACTTTAGTTAACTGGGTCACTAAGAACCATATGAGTCCTGTGTTCCTGTTCTGAAAGCATAATTAAAGCCCTGACTAATTAGTATTAAAGTAACCTTAATTAACTAACCTAACTTACCACTAATCAAGGGAATGGGTCTTCCGAGAGATCGTGGATCATTTTCTAGTCAGTACACAATATAAGTTAATATACATACATACCCCTACGGATGCACTCATTAAAAAAAAAATTAAAACTCTTCATTGTTGGGAGTGTAAGTTGGAGGTTACTTGCTTACTTGCTTATTTATTTATACTCTGCCTCTTCCCACAAAGGATTGGACTCAGAGGACATTATCTTGCATTTGTACTGCAGAGCTCTTGCCATGATTATGAAACAAGAAGGTATTTAGCATGCTCTTTACTTGCTCTGGGTTATTAGTAAGCCCATGATAATTATGTTACCAAAGTAATGTAGAGGCTGCTGTATCTGATTTCCACATTACAGATAGTCCCTAGTCATCTATGTGACTTAGCTCGCATCACTTTACCTCCCTGGAACCCAGCTTCCTCATCTATATAATGAGGCCAGTTCAGTCATGCACCCCATAATGACATTTTGGTCAACAACAGACCACTTTTATGACAGTAATCCCGTAAGATTATAATGGAGCTGAAAAATTTCTATCGTCATGGTGATGCTGGTGTAAAGAAATGTACTGTGCTGCCAGCCAAAAATATAGGTTAGTACATAATACTTGATAATGATGATAAGCAACTGTGTTACTGGTTTATGTGTTTACTGTACTATACTTTTCATCATTATTTTAGCATATACTCCTACTACTTATTTTTTAAAAAGATAACTGCAAAAGATCCTCAGGCAGATCCTTCAGCAGGTGTTCCAGAAGAGGGCTTTTTTGTAAGGGATGACAGCTCCATGCATGTTATTGCCCCTGAAGATCTTCCAGTGGAATAAGACATGGAAGTGAAAGATAGTGATAATCATGATCCTGACCCTGTATACTCTTAGGTTGATGTGTGTATCTGTGTCTTAGTTTTCAACAACAACAAAAAAGCTTAAAAAGTATACAAAAAAAACCTTTGAAAATAGAAAAAAAGCTTAAAAAATAAGGATATAAAGAAATTTTTCCTTTTTTGTGAGACAGAGTCTGGTTCTGTTGCCCAGGCTAGAGTGCAGTGGTGCAATCTCGGCTCACTGCAACCTCCACCTCCTGGGTTCAAGTGATTCTCATGCCTCAGCCTCCAGAGTAGCTGGGATTACAGGCGTGTGCCACCATGCCCAGCTAATTTTTTGTATTTTTAATAGAGACAGGGTTTCACTGTGTTTGTCAGGCTGGTATGGAACTCCTGGCCTCCAGTGATCTGCCCACCTCAGCCTCACAAAGTGCTGGGATTACAGGCATGAGGTACCTCGCCAAGCCAGAAAATATTTTTGTACAGCTGTATAATGTGTTTGTGTTTTAAACTAAGTGTTATTACCAGAGTCAAAATGTTTTTAAAAAAGTAAAAGTTGATAAAGTTTAAAAGTTACAGTAAGCAAAGGTTCATGTATTATTAAAAAAGAATTTTGTAAATTTAGTGTCGCCTAAGTGTACAGTGTTTATAAAGCCCACAGTAGTGTTTAGTAATGCCCTAGGCTTTCACATTCACTCACCACTCACTCACTGATTCACCCAGAGCAACTTCCAGTCCCACAAACTCCATTCATGGTAAATGCCCCATACAGATGTATCATATTTTGTTTTTCATATTGCCTTTTAGTTGTTTGTTTGTTTGTTTGTTTTTGTTTAGACAGAGTCTATCTCTGTTGCCCAGGCTGGAGTGCAGTGACGCAATTATAACTCACTGTAGCCTCGCATTCCTGGGCTCAAGTGATCCTCCTATCTCAGCCTTCCAAGTAGCTAAGACTACAGGTACATGCCACCATGCCCAGCTAAGTTTTTTTTTTTTTTTTTTATATTATGTTTTGTAGAGATACAGCCCCACTATATTGTCCAGGCTGGCCTCAAACTCCTGGCCTCAAGCTATCTTCCCACCTTGGCCTCCCAAAGTGCTGGGATGGCAGGTGTGGTCCACCATGCCCGGCCAATATACCATCTTTTAACTGGACCTTTTCTATGTTTATATGTGTTTAGGCACACAAATACTTACCAATGTGTTACAATTGCCTACAGTATTCAGTACAGTAACATGCTATACAGGCTTGTAGCTTAACAGCAATAGGCTATATGTTATATAGCCTCAGTATGAAGCAGTCTATACAATCTAGGTTTGTGTCAGTGCACTCTATGATGTTCATGATGAAATTGTCTAACAATGCATTTCTCAGATAATTTCTTTGCATGATTGTATATTAAGGCCCCTCCCAACTTTTAGCATGCTCAGTTATTCTCTGAAAGTAAAATTTCTCTTGATCTCTAAGTCCTCTATCTTGCAAACCTAACAGATGTGATATCTATTCTCTAATACAGAGTCATTTTTTGTGACTGCTCTTAACTATCGGCCCTTTTGAGAGTTTATATCATACAGTCTCCACGACTGTCTAATGAGAAAGCAGAATAACAAAATGCTTTTTGCAACTAATTTCAGAAACACGGGAGAGGATCCAACAAAGTACCAATCTTATGCAGCTCTGATATTGTCACAGTAGTTTGCTAATCAAACATGAGCCGGGCAGGAGAGGGCCCACCTGCCCCGCACTAGGAATGTCAATCACCATCAGGTGATGGTCAGGCAGTTGTTAAACTATCTCTCTAAAATAAGAATTAGCCTCAGCCAGTGCCAAGGAAAAGCAGTCCCCCAATAGAAAAACCTGAGGCCAGGCATGGTGGCTTACGCCTATAATCCCAGCACTGGGAGACTGAGGCAGGTGGATCACCTGAGGTCAGGAGTTCGAGACCAGCCTGGCCAACATGGTGAAACACCGTCTTCTCTAAAAATACAAAATTAGCCGGGTGTGGTGTTGCATGTCTGTAATCCCAGCTACTTGGGAGGCTGAGGCAGGAGAATCACTTGAACCCAGGAGGTGGAAGTTGCAGTGAGCCAAGATTGCGCCGTTGCTCTGCAGCCTGTGCAACAAGAGCGAAACTCCATCTCAAAAAAAAAAAAGAAAAGAAAAAGAAAAAAGAAAAACCTGAAACTATTGATCAGCTTTCCAATAAGATCTCAGGAGTTGGGTGAGTGGGCTCAAGCATGTGCATTAAGGCAAAATGGTAGAGTTTAACTGATACATGTAACCTTACAGGAACACTTGACTGGTAAGAGGAAGAAAAGCCTCAAGAGAACATGCATACAACTCCAGTAAATGCCTGTGCATATGCCCCCACAACAAGCACTAGCAGGCCACTGTGCATGAGGACAGCCCATCCCAAGGGAAGAATCGGAAGAAGTAACACAAGACCCCTGAAGCATGCCAAACCCTAAGGGAAAGTCAACCTGTGCACTTGATCTTTCAAGTTGCCTGCTTGGCCCTCTTCGAAGTGCACTTTACTTCCTTTCATTTGTGAACCCCCAAGTATCTGAGACAGGTCTCAGTTAATTTAGAAAGTTTATTTTGCCAAGGTTGAGGGTGTGCGCCCGTTACACAGCCTCAGGAGGTCCTGACAACATGTGCCCAAGCGGGTCAGAACACAGTTTGGTTTTTATACATTTTAGGGAGACATGAGACATCAATCCACATATATAAGATGAATATTGGTTCTATCCAGAAAAAGCGGGACAATTCAACGCAAAGGCGGGACTACTTGAAGCGGGAGGGGGCTTCCAGGTCATAGGTAGATAAGAGAAAATTGTATTCTTTTGAGTTTCTGATTAGCCTTTCCAAAGGAGGCAATCAGATATGCATTTATCTCAGTGAGTAGAGGGGTGACTTTGAATAGAACGGGAGGCAGGTTGGCTCTAAGCAGTTCCCAGCTTGACTTTTCCCTTTAGCTTAGTGATTTGGGGGGCCCCAAGATTCATTTTCCTTTCACACATTCCTGTTCTAAAGCTTTTTAATAAACCTTCACTTCTGCTCTAAAACTTGCCTCCATCTCTCACTCTGTCTTATGGCCCTTGGTCAAATTCTTTCTTCTGAGGAGGCAAGAATTGAGGTGATTGCAGACCCATGCAGATTCACTGCCACTAACAGTATCTGAAGTACCACACTTCAGTTCTACAGTGTAAGATATTGTGCATTTATCTATCATTTGCCATTGATGTGAATGAGTTTTCAAGAACATATCCTTAGCAGGGATTGGGAGTTATAGGGAACCAAAGAAAACATTATGATACTGATGTGGACATACCACTGAAGGAGACCAAAGTAAAAACAAAGTGAACCAGCTTGATCAGCCTCTTAATAATTCTCATATTTCTCAGGGCAGGATGGGCTGTACAGCACCCCCCCCCCCCACCCCCCACTTCCTTGCATTTTCCATGATAAAGAATCTTTATCTGTTTTAACTCAGGAACTTGTATTGAAGGAAGTGGTATTATTCGCACTAGAACTAATGTTTGAAGGAGGCTATAAAATTTCCCATCCTAAAGAGGTTTAAGGATAAGTTAGTTTTGTTTTAGTCTGGGATTGTTTAAAAGAAATCTGCAAAAAGCCTGGGAGTGGGGATGCCTGTGGGCAGTTCTTCCAGCGCAGTGTTCCTCTGTTTCCTGATTGCAGGGAGCATTGAGTCATCATCTGACAGGCATAAATAATACTTGAGAAACATATCCTGTCTTTGAAAATAGATTCCATGAATTCTTCAAGTTGTGTTTTTGCATTTTTTTTTCTTTTTTTTTTGAGAAGGAGTCTTGCTCTGTCACCCAGGCTGTAGCGCAGTGGCGCGATCTTGGCTCACTGCAAGCTCCACCTCCCGGGTTCACACCATTCTCCTGCCTCAGCCTCCCGAGTAGCTGGGACTACAGGCGCCCGCCACCAACGCCCGGCTAATTTTTTGTATTTTTAGTGGAGATGGGGTTTCGCCTTGTTAGCCAGGATAGTCTTGATCTCCTGACCTTGTGATCCACCCGCCTTGGCCTCCCAAAGTGCTGGGATTACAGGCGTAAGCCACCGCGCCCGGCCTGCATTTTTACATTTTACATTTTATACTTTATCTTTCGTCACGTTTGAACAAAAAAGTGAGTGAGTAAATAAATGAACAGGTAAATTAAAGCATTTTCTTTATTTCCACCTAACTAAATACATCCATTTTACTGTTTTACTCATCTGTGTAACAAATGTGAAAAATACACAAGGAAGGGTTTTTTTTTTCCAGCATAGGCAATTCTTCAACTTTTATGTCCATAAGAATCACTCAGTAAACTTACTAAATGTGAAGATTCATGAGCCCCCTACCTAAAGATTCTGATTTAATAGATCAGCACTTTGGGATGCCGAGGCGAGTGGATCACAAGGTCAAGAGATCGAGACCAACCTGGCTAACACGGTGAAACCCCGTCTCTACTAAAAATACAAAAAATTAACCAGGCGTGGTGGTGGGCGCCTGTAGTCCCAGCTACTCGGGAGGCTGAGGCAGGAGAATGGCGTGAACCCGGGAGGCGAAGCTTGCAGTGAGCCGAGATCGCCCCACTGCACTCCAGCCTGGGCGACAGAGTGAGACTCCATCTCAACAACAACAACAAAAAAATAGATCAGGCATAAACACACAGGAATGTAAATGGTAATATCATACACACAAACTTCAAAGTTATGTCTGATGTGAGTGGTCCACAGGCCACACTTTGAGAAATATTGCTATCTAAGGGCTGTTGATTCTCTGGTCTATCATTCTGATATCAGAACCTTAAAAAATTGTGAGTTGCAATCATCCCACCTTTGGACCAGAGTCAGCCAAGTGGAAGCAAGCATTATCAAGTAAGAGAATTTCAGAGATTCGCCAAAGTGAGAAGGGACATTGCAATATCAAGACTTACTATAAAAATGTAGTAATCAAGACAGCATGATATTGACACAAAGGTTAATCGAACAATGGAAAAGAATGGAGGGTCAAGAAATAGATCGATACATGAGGAATTGATTTTTAATCAAGGTGTAAAACAATTTTCATTGGAGAATAGTCTTTTCAAAAAATGGTGCCAGAACAATTGGATATCCATATACCAAGTAAGTACTCCTATCCACAATATTGAAAAAGTAACTCAAAATGAATAATATACCTAAATGTTAAACCGAAAGCTATAGAACTTCAAGAAGAAAAGATAAAAGAAAATCTCTGTGATGGTATTTTAGAAAAAGAATTCCTAAATACAATACCAAAGTCACAATCCAAAAAACAAAAAGTGGTACATTGGATTTTATGAAAATTAAAAACTTCCCCTCTTCGAAAAACACTATTAAGAAAGTAAAAAAGACAAGCCACAGACCAAAAGATAATGTTTGTAAATCACAAACAAAGTGACTTGCAAATTACTTATCTGATAAAGGATGTGTATCTACAATATGTAAATAACTCTCAAGACGTAATTTGAAAAAAATCATTTAAAAAATGGACAAAAGATTTAAGTAGACACTTCATCAGCAAACATGTGTGGATAGCAAATAAGCACATAAAAAGATATTCAACATCATTTGTCACTAGGAAAATAAAAATTAATCACATTGAGATACTACTACATACCTATTAAAGTGGTTACAATTTAAAACACTGACCAAATATTCACAAGGACAGAAAAACTAGAATACTACTACACAATAAAAGTAATAAACTATTAATACATGCAACATGGATAAGTCACAAAATAACTATGCTGAATGAAAACAGCTGGACAAAAAAGAGTACACATTGTAAAGTTCTATTATACAAATTCTAGCAAATAAAATCCAATCCGTAATGACAGAAACTAGATTAGTAGTTTCCTGAAAATGGAAGAAGGTAGGGATAAAAAGGAAGAAGGCATTAAAAAGAGTCCCAAGCAATCCTTGGAGGTTGATGCCAATGGTCATTATCTTTCTGGTGGTAATAATTTCATATGTGTAGGATACATATGACAAAACTTATCAACTGTATTTGAAAATTATTGTATGTCAATTATATCTTAACATTGTTTAAACATTGATAGGTATTTAAGAATATAAGAAAAAGGAAAAATTCAGGAAATAGTAAACTCCAAAAAATTCAAAAAGTAATACAAGAAAGAAGCTATTATCACAGTACACTATTTGATTCACCAATGAATATTTCAATAACTATGGAAATATAAATCTGAATATTTATTTAACCCAAATTATGATAGGGCTTTTTCTAGAAAAAGGAAAAGGGAGACTTGGAACACGGATGGGTTGGAGGAACATCTAAGAGAGTTAATTATCTTAATAGACTATAACAAGAAGTCAAAAGATAACCATAAAACTACAAAATCAAGAAATATATGATATGCAGATTATTTAGAGACATAGCGGTAAGAATCAGAAGCAATGACTGAAAGAGTTGAAGCCATTTACTTCTTGAGAGGACTGGGGAATAGAAGTAGTAAGGAAAAGGACCACTGATTTTAGCACACACTCATATACACACAGGCACACACGTACATGTGTATATAACCTATGGTGCCATTTCATTTGACTTAACAAATAGATCATAGGCAATGCTGCGTGAATATTTTTCTATTTCTGTATAACCCAGACTTCATGATTGAATGGTAAACATGCCTTGGAAGTTAGAGAACACAAATTGCTCTGGATACAGTTTAGAGATATATCTCTCCTGGAGCCATTTGCTTACATCCCAAGGGTAATAAACAGAAACAACTTACCCCTTTCTTCCAGAGATATTTGCTTACAATCCAGAGTAATTCTCTCCCTTCTGCTGAGATTTGTTTACAGAGTAAAGTTTTGTCTCTCTTTCTAGTGGGAGAAGGGGTACATGTACCAGCTGCCCAATATAGCACTAAGTCTCATGATTTCAGGGTTTTTCTCCTGTGTGCCAAACCCTAGCACATGCACGTAAACATCTGGGCCTCATCAAGTTCCTTTGTGGAGAATTGGGGCACAGATAACCTTAAAACCACACAAGCATATTATCTCACAGTTTCTATGAATCAGAGGTTTGAGTATGGGTTGGTTGGATTCTCTGCTAGGGTCTCACCAGGCTGAAATCAAATGGTTACAATTTAAAAGACTGACCAAATCAAATATTCACAAGGACAGAAAAACTAGAATACTACTACACAATAAAAGTAATAAACTATTAATACATGCAACACAGATGAGTCATAAAATAACTATGCTGAATGAAAACAGCCAGAAAAAAAGAGTATAGATTGTAAAGTTCTATTATACAAATTATAGCAAATAAAATCCAATCTGTAGTGACAGAAAGTAGATTAGATGTAAGGTTTCAAGATCACTTTTAAGATAACTGGTTGTTGACAGTACTGAATTCCTTGCAGTTGTATGACTGAGTTCTTATTTTCTTGTTGGTTGCTGAACAAGAACCTCTCTCAGCTTCTAGAGACCACTCTCAGGTCTTTGCCACACAGCCCCCTCCATAAGCAGTTAATGAGGTAATTTGCTTCTTAAAGGCCAGCAAGGAAAATCTCCCTCATGCTTCTGATCTCTTTTTTTAAGAAGGGTCCAGTTCCTTGTAAGTACTTGCCTGAATAAGTCAGGTCCACCCAGAATAATGTCTCTTTTGATTAAATCAAACTCGACTAATTTTGGATGTTAATTACATCTGAAACTCATTTCATCTTTGTCTTATAATGTATTCTAACCATGGGAGTGAAATCCTTTATAGTCACAGTCTCAGTCACACTAAAGGGGAGAGGTTGATGCAGGCTGTGTATACTAGAGTACAAGGAATTGTGGGAGCCATCTTAGAGTTCTGGGTGCCACATTCTACGATTCAGCATACCTATAGACACAGGTCCAAAGAGGCAAGTACAAGGATGCTCATCACAACCTTGTTGGTAACATAAAAACTCATTACCTCCTGATATGTTCTGAATGTTTGTATCCCCACAAAATTTATATATTGAAACCGAATGCCAGTATGATAGCATTAAGAGATAGACATTTGGGAGGTGAATAAGTCATGAGGCCAAAGCTCTCATGAATGGGGATTGTGCCCTTATAGAAGCGGTTTGAGGGAGTTTGTTCTCCCCTTCCACCATGTGAGGATAGAGCAAGAAGGTGTCTGCCATCTTTGAAGCAGAGACTAGGCCCTCACCAGTACCCCCAATCTGTTGGAGCCTTTATCCTGGATTTCCCAGCCTCCAGAACTATAAGCAATAAATTTCCATTGTTATAAATTACCCAGTCTAAGGTATTTATTATAGCAGCCTTAAAGGAGTAAGAAAGCTGTCATCCAAACGTCCAAAATAAGAAACATATAAATAAAATGAGAAATATTTTTATGTTGGAACATGACATAAAAGTTCAGCAGGAAAAATAAATAGGTAGGTAAATTATATGCATCTTAACATGCATATTTCTTGTTTCACTGAATATGGCAGTGAATGAAATAATAAAGTTAGGGGAATTTGGAGGAATTATGGTGGATGGGAGGCAGGACTAGACTGCAGCTCTCATGCAAACAGAGCAGTGTGTGGAAACTCACATCATGAACTTTTGCTCCAGAACTACTGCAGGGATAAACCAGAAAAGCTGAGAGAACTCACAGACCCTATGAAGGAAGTAGATTGCTCCTGCAGGACCCAGGAGACATCTCAAATATTGTGGGTGCCCAAGCTGTGGAAATAGGAAAGAGGAATTGTCCATCCCTGAACACACACCCTCACTGGGGAACCTGAAGGTCTAGATCATGGGAAAAGATTCTGGCCTTACCTGGACCTGAGTCAATTTAGAGAGCCAAGGGAAATACAGGGTTAACGAAGCAGTGGGAAACGTCCTGTGGACTCTCTGGGTCTCCTGGGAAGCCATTTCTGCCTTGTCTCACAGGGTTCCCTAGGGAGGGCTGCCAGAGGAACTGGGAAAGGTTGACAGGGAAAAGACAGTCTCCACCTGAACTTTGTAACAATTCCACCCAAACACGAAGTCTCTTGGCCTGAGCTTGGGGGAGGGTGTGACTCTGGTGTGCAGACTCCACAGGTGGGGAAGCATGAAAGCCCTGCTTGCTTTTGCACCTGGGAGACTGGTAGCCTGGGCAAATTCTCAGCCCTGCTCATGCACTGCCTGGAAACAGACTTGGTGCTATTGGTGGGGGCACTGTGGGAGTGAGACCGGCCTTTTGCATTGTGTGGGAGCTGGGTGAGGCCTGTGACTGCCGGCTTTTTCCCACTTTTCTGTCAACCTGCATGACAAAGCAAAGGCAGCCATAGTCATCCTGAAAACATAACTCCTTTGACCTGGGAACCACATCCCCATCCCCCACAGCAGCTGTGGCAAGACCCACCCAAGCGGAGAGTCTGAGCTCAGACACGCCTAGCTCTGCCCCCACCTGATGGTCCTTCCCTACCCACCCTGGTCGCTGAAGACAAAGGGCATATACTCTTGGGAGTTCTAGGGCCCTACCCACTGCCTGACCCTCCCTATACTACCACAGCTGATGTTTTCTTGAAAGCACCACCTTCTAGCAGGAGGCCAACCAGCACAAATATAGTGCATTAAACAACAAAAGCTAAGGACCCTCGTAGAGTTCATTTTGTTCCTGACACCTGCAGATGGTACACATCACAGGACTCTGTGCAGACAACCCCCAGTACCAGCCCAGAGCCTGGTAGACCTGCTAGGTGACTAGATCCAGAAAAGAGATAACAATCACTACAGCTCAGCTCTCAGAAAGCCACATTCCTAGGAAAGCCAGGAGAGTACTACATCAAGGGAACACCTGTGGGACAAAAGAGTCAGAACAGCAGCCTTGAGCCCTAGACCTTCCCTCTGACAGAGCCTACCCAAATGAGAAGGACCCACAAAAACAATTCTGGTAACATGACAAAACAAGGTTCTTTAACAGCCCCCTAAAAAAATCACACTAGCTCACCAGCAATGGATCCAAACCAAGAAGAAATCCCTGATTTACCTGAAAAACAATCCAGAAGGTCAGTTATTAAGCTAATCAAGGAGGCACCAGAGAAAGGTAAAGTCTAATTTAAGGAAATCAAAAAAATGATACAAGAAATGAGGGAAGAAATCTTCAGTGAAATAGATAGCATAAATTAAAAACAATTAAAACTTCAGGAAATATTGACACTCTTAGAGAAATGCGAAATGTTCTGAAAAGTCTCAACAATAGAATCGAACAAGCAGGAGAAAGAGCTTCAGAGCTTGAAGACAAGGTTTTTGAATTAACTCAATCCAACAAAGTCAAAGATAAAGGAATAAGGCAAATGAAAAAAGCTTCCAAGAAGTTTGGGACTATGTTAAATGACCAAACCTAAGAATAACTGGCATTCCTGAGGAAGAAGAGAAATCTAAAAGTTTGGAAAACATCTTTGGGGGATTAATCAAGGAAAATTTCCCCAGTCTAGCTAGAGATCTAGACATCCAAAAACAAGAGGCTCAAAGAACACCTGGGAAAATCACTACAAAAAATCATCACCTGGGTACATTGTCATCAGGTTATCTAAAGTTAAGACAAAGGAAATAATATTAAGAGCTGTGAGGCAAAAGCATCAGGTAACCAAGGAAAACCTATCAGATTAACAGCAGATTTCTCAGCAGAAACCTTACAAGCTAGATTGGGGCCCTATCTTCAGCCTCCTTAAGCAGAACAATTATGAGCCAACAATTTTGTATTCAGCAAAACTAAGCTTCATAAATGAAGGAAAGATAACAGTCTTTTTCAGACAAACGAATGCTGAGAGAATTTGCTACTACCAATCCATCACTACAAGAACTGCTAAAAGGAGCTCTAAATCTTGAAACAAATTCTGGAAACACATCAAAATAGAACCTCTTTGAAGCATAAATCTCACAGAACCTACAAAACAAAAATACAATTAAAAAAAAAAAACCTAAGGTATACAGGCAACAAATAGCATGATGAATGGAATAGTACCTCACATCTCAATACTAACACTGAATGTAAATAGCCTAAATGTTCCATTTAAAACATATGGAATGGCAAAATGTATAAGAATTCACCAACCAAACTATCTGCTGCATTCAAGAGACTCATCTAACACATAAGGACGCAAATAAACTTAAGGTAAAAGAGTGGAAAAAGACATTCCATGCAAATGGACACCAAAAGCAAGCAGAGGTAGCTATTCTTATATCAGACAAAACAAACCTTAAAGCAACAGCAGTTAAAAAGAACAAAGAGGGACATTATATAATGATAAAAGACCTTGTCCAACAGGAAAATATCACAGTCCTAAATATATATGCACCTAACACTGGAGAACCCAAATTTATAAAACAATTACTACTAGACCTAAGAAATGAGACAGACACCAACACAGTAATAGTGGGGGACTTTAATACTGCACTGACAGCACTAAATAGGTCATCAAGACAGAAAGTCAATAAAGAAACAAAGGATTTAAAGTACACCCTGGAACAAATGGACTTAACAGATATTTACAGAATATTTTACACAACAACCACAGAATATACATTCTATCATCAGCACAAGGAACTTTCTCCAAGATAGACCATATGATAGGCCACAAAACCAGCCTCAATAAATTTTTTAAAAATTGAAACTACATCAAGTACTCTCAGACCATGGTAGAATAAAACTGGAAATCAACTCCAAAGGAACCTTCAAAACCATGTAAATACATGGAAATTAAATAACCTGATCTTGAATGATCATTTCATCAACAATGAAATCAAGATGGAAATTTAAAAATTCTTCAAACTGAACATCAATAGTGACACAACCTATGTAAACCTCTGGGATACAGCAAAGGTGGTGCTAAGAGGAAAGTTCCTATCCCTAAATGCCTATATTAAAAAGTCTGAAAGAGCACAAATAGACAATGTAAGGTCACATCTCAAGGAACTAGAGAAACAAGAACCAACCAAACCCAAATCCACCAGAAAAAAAGAAATAACCAAGATCAGAGCAGAACTAAGTGAAATTGAAACAAACAAACAAAATACAAAAGATAAATGAAACAAAAAGCTGATTCTTTGAAAAGATAAAAAACTGTCTTAGATAGCTCTTATTATTTTGAGATACGTCCCATCAATGCCTAATTTATTAAGAGTTTATAGCATGAAGCATTGTTGAATTTTGTCAAAGGCCTTTTCTGCATCTATTGAGATAATCATGTGGTTTTTGTCTTTGGTTCTGTTTATATCCTGGATTACATTTATTGATTTGCGTATATTGAACCAGCCTTGCATCCCAGGGATGAAGCCCACTTGATCATGGTGGATAAGCTTTTTGATGTGCTGCTGGATTCGGTTTGCCAGTATTTTATTGAGGATTTTTGCATCAATGTTCATTAAGGATATTGGTCTAAAATTGTCTTTTTTGGTTGTGTCTCTGCCCGGCTTTGGTATCAGGATGATGCTGGCCTCATAAAATGAGTTAGGGAGGATTCCCTGTTTTTCTATTGATTGGAATAGTTTCAGAAGGAATGGTACCAGTTCCTCCTTGTACCTCTGGTAGAATTCGGCTGTGAATCCATCTGGGCCCGGACTCTTTTTGGTTGGTAAGCTATTGATTATTGCCACAATTTCAGATCCTGTTATTGGTCTATTCAGAGAGTCAACTTCTTCCTGGTTTAGTCTTGGGAGGGTGTATGTGTCGAGGAATTTATCCATTTCATCTAGATTTTCTAGTTTATTTGCATAGAGGTGTTTGTAGTATTCTCTGATGGAAGTTTGTATTTCTGTGGGATCGGTGGTGATATCCCCTTTATCATTTTTTATTGCATCTATTTGATTCTTCTCTCTTTTCTTTGAATGGGCAAAAACTGGAAGCATTCCCTTTGAAATCTGGCACAAGACAGGGATGCCCTCTCTCACCACTCCTATTCAACATAGTGTTGGAAGTTCTGGTCAGGGAAATTAGGCAGGAGAAGGAAATAAAGGGTATTCAATTAGGAAAAGAGGAAGTCAAATTGTCCCTGTTTGCAGATGACATGATTGTATATCTAGAAAACCCCATTGTCTCAGCCCAAAATCTCCTTAAGCTGATAAGCAACTTCAGCAAAGTCTCAGGATACAAAATCAATGTACAAAAATCACAAGCATTCTTATACACCAATAACAGACAAACAGAGAGCCAAATCATGAGTGAACTCCCATTCACAATTGCTTCAAAGAGAATAAAATACCTAGGAATCCAACTTACAAGGGACGTGAAGGACCTCTTCAAGCAGAACTACAAACTACTTCTCAATGAAATAAAAGAGGATACAAAGAAATGGAAGAACATTCAATGCTCATGGATAGGAAGAACCAATATTGTGAAAATGGCCATACTGCCCAAGGTAATTTATAGATTCAATGCCATCCCCATCAAGCTACCAATGACTTTCTTCACAGAATTGGAAAAAACTACTTTAAAGTTCATATGGAACCAAAAAAGAGCCCGCATCACCAAGTCAATCCGAAGCCAAAAGAACAAAGCTGGAGGCATCACACTACCTGACTTCAAACTATACTACAAGGCTACAGTAACCAAAACAGCATGGTACTGGTACCAAAACAGAGATATAGATCAATGGAACAGAACAGAGCCCTCAGAAATAACGCTGAATATCTACAGCTATCTGATCTTTGACAAACCTGAGAAAAACAAGCAATGGGGAAAGGATTCCCTATTTAATAAATGGTGCTGGGAAAATTGGCTAGCCATATGTAGAAAGCTGAAACTGGATCCCTTCCTTACACCTTATACAGAAATTAATTCAAGATGGATTAAAGACTTAAACGTTAGAACTAAAACCATAAAAACCCTAGAAGAAAACCTAGGCATTACCATTCAGGACATAGGCATGGGCAAGGACTTCATGTCTAAAACACCAAAAGCAATGGCAACAAAAGCCAAAATTGACAAATGGGATCTAATTAAACTAAAGAGCTTCTGCACAGCAAAAGAAACTACCATCAGAGTGAACAGGCAACCTACAAAATGGGAGAAAATTTTCACAACCTACTCATCTGACAAAGGGCTAATATCCAGAATCTACAATGAACTCAAACAAATTTACAAGAAGAAAACAAACAACCCCATCAAAAAGTGGGTGAAGGACATGAACAGACACTTCTCAAAAGAAGACATTTATGCAGCCAAAAAACACATGAAAAAATGCTCACCATCACTGGCCATCAGAGAAATGCAAATCAAAACCACAATGAGATACCATCTCACACCAGTTAGAATGGCAGTCATTAAAATGTCAGGAAACAACAGGTGCTGGAGAGGATGTGGAGAAATAGGAACACTTTTACACTGTTGGTGGGACTGTAAACTAGTTCAACCATTGTGGAAGTCAGTGTGGCAATTCCTCAGGGATCTAGAACTAGAAATACCATTTGACCCAGCCATCCCATTACTGGGTATATAGCCAAAGGATTATAAATCATGCTGCTATAAAGACACATGCACACATATGTTTTTTGCGGCACTATTCACAATAGCAAAGACTTGGAACCAACCCAAATGTCCAACAATGATAGACTGGATTAAGAAAATGTGTCACATATACACCATGGAATACTATGCAGCCATAAAAAATAATGAGTTCATGTCCTTTGTAGGGACATGGATGAAATTGGAAATCATCATTCTCAGTAAACTGTCGCAAGAACAAAAAACCAAACACTGCATATTCTCACTCATAGGTGGGAACTGAACAATGAGAACACATGGACACAGGAAGGGGAACATCACACTCTGGGGACTGTTGTGGGGTGGGGGGAGGGGGGAGGGCTAGCTTTAGGAGATATTCCTAATGCTAAATGATGAGTTAATGGGTGCAGCACACCAGCATGGCACATGTATACATATGTAACTAAACTGCACATTGTGCACATGTACCCTAAAACTTAAAGTATAATAATAATAAAATAAAATAAAAGATAAAAAACTGATAGAGCATTACCAAGATTAATCAAGAAGAGAGACATTCCAAATACGCTGAATTAGAAACAAAAGGGAAGACATTAAAACTGAAGCCACAGATATACAAAAGATCATTCAAGATTACCATGAACACCTATACATGCATAAACTAGAAAACCTGGAGGAGATGAATAAATTCCTGAAATGTTACAACCCTTCTAGCTTAAATCAGGAAGAATTAGATACCCTGAACAGACCAATAACAAGCAGCAAGTTTGAAATGGTAATAAAAAAATTACCAATAAAAAAAAAGTCCAGGACCAGACAAATTCACAGCTGAATTATGTCAGACATTCAAAGAAGAATTCGTCCCAATCCTATTGACACTATTCCGCAAGATAGAGAAAGGGTATCCTCCCCAAATCATTCTATGAAGCCAGTATCACCCTAATACCAAAACCAGGAAAGGACAAAACCAAAAAAGAAAACTACGGACCAATATCCCTGATGAACATACATGCAAAAATTCTTTAAAAAATACTAGCTAACTGAATCCAGCAACATATTAAAAAGGTAAACCACCATGATCAAATGGGTTTCATAACAGGAATGCAGGGATGGTTTAACATATGCAAGTCACTAAATGTGCTACACCACATAAAGAGAATTATAAACAAAAATTACATGATCATCTCAATAAATACAGAAAAAGCATTTGACAAAATCCAGTGTCTCTTTATGATTAAAATTTTCAGCAAAATCAGCATACAAGAGACATATCTCAATATAATAAAAGCCATCTATGACAAACCCACAGCCAACATAATACTGAATGGGGAAATGTTGATAGCATTCCTTCTGAGAACTGAAAGAAGACAAGGATGCCCATTCTCACCACTTCTATTCAGCATAGTACTGGAAGACCTAGCCAAAGCTATTAGACAAGAGGAAGGAATAAAGGGCATCCAAATCAGTAAAGAGTAAGTCAAACTGTCACTATTTGCTGTTGATTTGATTATATACCTAGAAAACCCTAAAGATTCATTCAAAAAGCTGCTAGAACTAATAAAAGAATTCGGCAAAGTTTCAGTATACCAAATTAATGTACACAAATCGGTAACTCCTATACATCAACAGCAACAAAGCTGAGAATCAAATCAAGAACTCAACAGCTTTTACAATAGCTGCAAAAATAAAATAAATACTTAGGAATATACCTAATCAAGGACATGAAAGACCTATGCAAGGAAAACTACAAAAAACTACTGAAAGAAATCACAGAGGACAGAACGAAATGGAAACTCATCCCATGCTCATGGTTGGGTAGAATCAATATTGTGAAAATGGCCATACTGCCAAAAGCAATCTACAAATTCAGGCAATTCTCATCAAAATAACACCATCATTCATCATGGAACTAGAAAAAACAATCCTAAAATGTATATGGAACCAAAAAAGAGCCCTCATAGCGAAAGCGAGACTAAGCAAAAAGAACAAATCTGGAGGCATCACAGTGCCTGATTTCAGACTATACTATAAGGCCATAGCCACTATAACAGCATGGTACTGGTATAAAAAGAGGCCCATAGACCAATGGAACAGAATAGAGAACCCAGAAATAAAGCCAAATACTTACAGCCAACTGATCTTTGACAAAGCAAACAAAAACATAAAGTGGGGAAAGAACACCCTATTCAACCAATGGTGCTAGTATAATTGGCAAGCCACGTGTAGGAGAATGAAACTGGATCCTCATCTCTCACCTTATATAAAAATCAACTTGAGATGGATTAAGGACTTAAATCTAAGATGTGAAACTATAACAATTCTAGAAGATGACATTGGAAAAACCCTTCTAGAGCCTGGCTTAGGCAAGGATTTTATGACCAAGAACCCATAAGCAAATGCAATAAAAACAAGGATAAATAGATGGGACTAGCTGGGACTTAATTTAACTGAAGAGCTTTTGCACGGCAAAAGGAACAGTCAGCTGAGTAAACAGACAACCCACAGAGTCGAAGAAATCTTCACAATCTATACATCCAACAAAGGACTAATATCCAGAATCTACAAGGAACTCTAACAAATCAGCAAGAAAAAAACAATCCCTCAAAAAGGGGGCTAAGGACATGAGTAGACAATTCTCAAAAGAAGATATACAAATGACCAACAAGCACATAAAAAATGCTCAATATCACTAATGATCAGGGAAATGCAAATTAAAACCACAATGCACTACCAACTTACTCCTACAAGAATGGCCATAATCCAAAAATAAAAAAATAATGAATATTGTCATGGATGCATTGAAAAGGGAACATTTCTACACTGCTGGTAGGAATGTAAACCAGTACAACCACTACGGAAAACAGTGTGATGATTCCTTAAAGAACTGTAAGTAGAACTACCATTTGATCCAGCAATCCCACTACTGAGTATCTCCCAGAGGAAAAAGAGTCATCATATGAAAGACAGTTGTGCATGTATGTTTATAGCAGCACAATTTGCAATTGCAAAACTGTGGAACCAACCAAAATGCCCATCAATCAACAAGTGGATAAAGAAACTGTGGTAAATATATATGATGAAATTCTACTGAGTCATAAAAATGAATGAATTAGTGGCATTCACAGCAACCTTGTTGGGATTGGAGACTACTACTCTAAGTGAAGTAACTCCAGGAATGGAAACCCAAACATTGTATGTTCCAGATACCCCTGTTTCCCTAAAAACGTATGGAAATAAAAAATTTCTTAAAAAACATACTGTTTTTACCTTTGAATTAAACAAAAGGAAAAAGGTATATAAGGTTTTAAAATGCACACAACGCAAGAACAAATTGGGAAGACTGACACTACCCAACCTCAAAGCTTACTATGAAGCTAAAGTAATCAAGACAGTTTAGTACTGGCTAAAGACTAGACAAATAAATCAATGGGAAAGAATAGAGTCCAGAAATAGGCCCATATAAATATAGTCAACTGATTTTGACAAAGGAGTAAAGGCAATACAATGGAGCAAAGAGTAATTTTCAACAAATGGTGCTGAAACAATTGGACATCCACATGCAGAAAGAAAAAAAAATGAATCTAGACACAGACCTTACACCCTTTACAAAAATTAACTCTAAATGCATCATAGACCTAAATGTAAAGTATAAAATTATAAAGCTCTCAGAAGACAATGTAGGAGACTTTGATGACGTCAGGTATGGCAATAACTTTTTATATATTGTACCGAAGGCACAATTCATGAAAGAAATGATTAATAAGCTAGACCTCACTAAAATTAAAAACTTCTGCTCCGCAAAAGACAATGTTAAGAGACTAAGAAGACAAGCCACAGACTGGAAGGAATATCTGCAAAAGACACATCTGGTAAGACTGTTAACCAAAAAACACAAAAGACTCATTAAATTCAACAATAAGAAAGAAAAGAAACAACACAATTAAAAATGGGCCAAAGACCTTAAGAGACACCTCATTAAAGAAAATATACAGATGCTAAATAGCATCTCAAAAGATGATTTACACCCCATGTCACCAGGGAAATGCAAATTATAACAGCAATAAAATACCACTACACACCTATTCAAATGTCAAAAATATAGAACACTGACAACAACAAAGGCTGGTGAGGATATGGATCAACAGGAGCTCTCCTTCATTGCTAGTGGGAATATAAAATGGTACAGCTACTTTGGATAGCGTTCTGGTGGTTTCTAACAAAATTAAGTATACAGTTACTAGACAATCAATAATCACACTCCTTAGTACTTGCCCAAAGAAGTTGAAAACTTATGCCTACACAAAAACCTGCACACAAATGTTTATTGAAGCTTTATTTATCATTGCCAAAACTTGGAAGCAATCAAAAGGTTTTTAAAAAGGTGAATGGATAAAAAGATGGTATATCCAGACAATGAAATATTATCTGCACTAAAAGAAAACAAGTTATCAAGCCATGAAAACACGGAAGAATCTTAAAAGCATATTACTAAGTGAAAAAAGCCAACGTGAAAAGGGTATATATTGTGTAATTCCTACTACATGACATTCTGGAAAAGAGAAAATTACGAGACAATAAAAAGATCAGTGGTTGTTAGGGGATTGAGGCGGAGAGGGAGAGACAAATAGGCAGAGCACAGAGGATTTTTAGGAAAGTGCAACTAATCTGTATGATACTACAACGGTGGAAACATCATGATATATTTGTTCAAACCCATGGAATGTACAATACCAAGAGGGAACTCTAATGTCAACTACACACTTTGGAAGATAATGATGTGTCAATGTAGGTTCACCAATTGTAACAAACATACCACTCTCATAGGGGATGTTAATAATGTGGAAGTTGATGAACCTGTAGAGGACAGAAGGTATATGGGAAGTCTCTATACCTACCACTCAATTTTCTGTGACCCTGAAACTTCTCTAAAAATAGTCTATTAAAAATGCATGGAATGTAATACCTTATTTATAGATATGCAATGTTGTAGTAATCCTTTTTTTTTTATTTTCTATATTTCTGATGCTATGACACGATGGGGGCTCTGCTGACCCCGAAGAAACTGGCCCTCCTAGGGCTAGCTAGTTGCTAGAGACAGTAAAAGACTTTCCTGTGAGTGTACTTTTCCTTTGCAAACCAACCAATCCAGAGCCCAGACCCCCCACCGTCACCTCCTTTATATGGCCCCCATAGGGCTCTTTCACTCAGGGCCACCATTCCCCTGCCCTAATCACCCCAGGGCCTACCAGACAACTAGAGAAAACCCCTATACCCTTGAGCCAGCTGAAATTATTCAAATTAGTCAATGTTAAACCTATTCACCCTGCCTCACCTGTTTCTTTCTGCAGAACCCACAATAAAGACTTTGCCCGTGTTTTCCCCTAGCTCTCTCTGACTTCTGACTGACCTTGGTGCTTCCCCTTGTAGCCCCTGCATGGTGAGGTATAGCCCTCCCCTTGGGAACTGTAATAAACTATCCTTTCAATGGCAGTTGGGTCCTGATCTGTTGGCCTCACCATACCCAAATAATAATAAAACCTACATTTTAAAATAATTATTTATAAACATAGTATGTTAATGTATTTTTATAATGCATTGGCAGGATTTACACTAAATCTGTCAAATGGCTGACTCCAGGAATGAGAAGGGTTATGAGACTGGGGAGTTGGGAGATTAGAGGGTCACAACTTTACATGTAGGATTATGCTGTCATAAAACAGGAGACTTGAAGCAAATATAGCAAAATGTTAAGAACTACTCATTCTGTGTGGTGAGACAGAAGTGCTTATTATATGATTTTAAAATATTTATTTTTGAAAATAAAAATTATTTTTAAAAGAGTAATGTTACCTACAACATTCAAAAGATGTGGTAAAGATAATACTAAATAAAGAGCAAAGAGTATTCAGGAGATTCATATACAAGTTAGGATGCAATTTTCAAAACAAGTTCAGGCAAGAAATGCAGAGAAGAGACACAATAGCAGTAATGGTATTCCAGACACTCCAATTTATTCACAACTTGTTCAACACCCCTTCTCAGCTGGGTTAGTGTATCAGTTATCTGTTACCACAGTAATGCCGTGTAACAGCCATGACAGAAAACACAAAATCCCCCTGGCATATGGCAATAAACTCTTCTTACTCACAAGTCTTTAGGTTGACTAAGCATTTTATTGATCGAAGCTGAGCTCATCAAGACTTAGTTATGTGTCTATTGCCAGCTGTAGGGCAATTAAACAGTCAACCCTGGATGAACTTGCTCACAAGCGTGTGCCATCTTGCTCTATTCCACATGACTGCTCACCAGCAGGCTCATCCAGCCTTATTCTCATGGCAAAGTGAGAGCAGCAAGAGGCAACAAGAAGAAAAACACAGGGCCTCTAAAGACCTGGGCTCAGAACTGGCACACTGTTGGTTCCACACATGATTTATGCCAAGGCTAGTATAGACTCAGTGTCTTTAATGGAAGGAGTAAGCAAATCGAGACCATTGCCACCATCAATCCCACCTCAGTTGGACAAAAACTATCTTGGCGGATACTTTTTCCAGTTTACTTACTTCGTTCACTGTGAGAATTAAGAAGCCAGACAGAGCAGGGATTACCTCTATTTAGGGTTTGTTTGTTCGCTTTAAATAGATCCTTATGTGTTCCTGCTTGAGATCATTCCCTGATATGGGAGCATCCTTATCAGTTGACCTAGACCTTCCTAGAGTATTGTAACCTAAGAAAAGTAAGGCCCATATTCTTCAGAAATGCAGTCTGAAAAAAGCTAATGTCTCTGATTATTTACCTAAGAGAGGACAGAATTATATGCTGGGAAGGTTAAAGTCAGTGACAGGCCACCTTCCGGTCATGATGTCAATTATATTCTTGCCAGAATGCCTGTAAAGCCTTCTCAAAGGAGATCTTGAAAAACAAGGTGAAGAAATAACACATAAGACTATATTCCCGTTTTTAGGAAGTCACAATACACCTTAGTTTTATACACTGTTGGTTGGCAGACCAATACCCATTCCCTCTTCCTTTCTTAACTAAAAGAGCCTTGATTTTGCTTTAGGACAGCAATGCATCAATTAAAAATATTGCTTATTCCAGACTCACTTACAGCTAGTGATAGCTGCATGACCTATTATTTCCTGGCAGTGAGACATAAGCACAAGTTAACTAAGTGGACAACTGAGAAAAATATATTTCTTTCCAGAAATAAAGGAACATATTTCCTGTTCTCCACTTTCCACCCTGGACTCTTTCAGGTGTTTCCTGCCTAGAAGTGCAGCAGCCACCGTATGAGCATGAGAAAGAAAGCCCCACACTATGCCAGGGAGGCTGCAGGAGAATTCAGAAAGGAGACTGCGTACTGGAGGCATCCTGGAACTGACATTCCATTCTGGATGACTGTGTCTGCATTTATTTTTCTACATAAGAAAAATAAACTCCTACTTGTTTTTATCTTTGCAATCAGATCCCTGTCACATGCAGCCAAATGCAAATCTAAATAATTTGTGAGTTCTAAGAATTTCTGCACTGAAAGAAAAACCTTCCTAGCTAGATTTAGTCATTCCACAACATATGTATATTGTACACCATAAATATACACAATTTTATCTATCAATTTAAAAATAATATTAATAAAATAATAAAGATGTGAAAGACCTAAATAAATAAGGGGTAAAAAAGCTCAGTCCTTCCCAAACTTATTTGCACACAGCACTTTTTTTAAAAGTAATTTATTTTTACCTTCTATAGTATATGAACAATGCTTCACAGAATATCTGTTTGGAAAATTCCATTTTCTTTTGTGTTATATAACTTTTACCTTGAATGGCCTGTTTCCTGGTTAAAGTACTGCATTAATGAAATCAATGTGTGAAACAGATCTTTATATGGACAAATCATCTTGTAACACCAGCTATCTCAGAATAGACATCATTTGCTTATCCATGATCCCGTTCATCAAAAAATATTTATTGGTCACCTAATAGGTTCCGAACTTTGCTAGGTCCTGGGGATAGAAAGATAACTTAATCCAGTTCTCAAATCTTTGTTAGCTTAAGGTTAGTGTGACAAGACAATTATTTATAATGTATCTAAAATTCTCTGTTACCACAATTTAAGGACATTCCAAGCATCCAGGGCACACCATCATGATTCTCCTGATTCATGAATATTAACCTAACGCTGTCAGGTTCATGGGGAAAAAAACTGGATACTCAAGAAGGATTTGAGCCAACTATCCAACATTTACATATTTTTAAAAATTATTTTTATTGAGACATAATTGATGTACATATTTTCAGGGTACATGTGATAATCTGATACATTCATATAATCAAATCAGGGTAATTAGGATATCCATCACATTAAATGTTTAGCTTTTCTTTATGCTAGGAACATTCAAATTATTCTCTTCTAGCTATTTTGAAATGTTTAATAGACTAATGTTAACTATAGTCACCCTTCTGATCTATCAAACACCAGGTCTTATTTCTTCTATCTATTAGTAACTGTATAATTGTACCCATTAATAATCTCTCTTTATTCCCTCCTTTCCCACCCTTCCTGGCCTCTGGAAATCTATCTATCTCCATGAGCTCCACCTTTTTAGCTCACACATATGAGTGAGAACATGCTATATTTGTCTTTCTGTGCTTGGTGTATTTCACTTAACATAATGCCCTCCACTTCCATTCATGTTGCTGCAAATAACAGGATTTTATTCTTTTTATGGCTAGATAATATTGTTTATATACCACATTTTACTTATTCATTTATCCATTGATTGGCACTTAGGTTGATTCTATATTTTGGGCATTGTGAATAGTGCTGTAGTAAACATGGGGGTGCAGACATCTCTTTGATATATTGATTTCCTTTCTTTTGGAGTGGATCTCAACAGTCCCTTCAAGCCTCCACCAGGCAGTGTGAGGATGCCTAACATACCCAATACACAACCAGCAATAATGAAACCAACAGAGAAACATCCAGTTTATACGCTGATTGCAAAAAAACATGCATTGGCCCAAGCTGAACTTAAACACCAGGAAGAAGTAGAAAGAAAAGATGCAGAATTAGTCATCGGGAATGAGAAATGCAAAACCTCACTCAACATGGTAGAAAAAATAATTGGCCACTTCTTCTTAGCAATTTTCCTATAGAACCTTGTTTCTATCAGGATTTTTCTGTTGACATTCCTATAGAATTCCAAAAGACAGTAAAGCTTATATACTACTTGTGGATGTTCCATGCTGTAACACTATTTCTAAATATCTTCAGATGCTTGTCTTGGTTTTGTGTTGATTTTGCAAGAGTGGTTGATTTTAGTTTGAGTATCCTGTGGTTCTTGCTTTTTACTCCTTGTTAATTTGTCTGTTGGTACAGATCACTTTATGGAGCTTTCAGGAGTGGCAGTTCATTCAGACTCTTTGTATTCTTCTTCGTCTATATTTGTTAGTTTGCTGTACATGCATTCCAGGCATATGAAATTGGGGTAATTGTGGTTGAGTTTCAACCCTTACTGTTCTCAACCAAAATATTCCTATTGGAATCAGGATGATAATCACAGCAGCACTTTTCGCAGCATCAGCAGCCATCTCACTAGTTATGTTTTTAAAAGATGATGGCCTCCAGCTGCATCTATGTTGCTACAAAGGACATAATTTCATTTTGGGGGCTGTGTAATATTCCATGGTGTATACATACCACATTTTCTTTATCCAGTCTACCATTGATGGACATTTAGGTTGATTCCATGACTTTGCTATTGTGAATAGTGCTGCAAGAAACATACAAGTGCAGATGTCTTTTTGAAAAAAGAAGGTACTAATTAACATTCCCACTAATGGTGTACAAGGGTTCCCCTTTGTCTACATTCTCACCAGTATCTGCTATTCTCTGTCTTTTTTGTAAAAGTCATTCTAACTGGAGTGAGATGATATCTCATTGTGGTTTTGATTTGCAGTTCTCTGATAATTAGTGGTGGTGACCATTTTTTCATATATCTGTTAGCCATTTGTATGTCTTCTTTTGAGAAATGTGTTCAGATCTTTTGCCCATTTTTTATTCAATTATTTGGTTTTTTACTATTGAGTTGTTTGAGTGCCTTATATATTTTGGTTATTAATTCCTTGTCAGATGGATAGTTTGAAAACATTTTCTCTCATTCTGTAGGTTGTCTTTTCAGTTTTTGATTGTTTTCTTTGTTGTGCAGAAGCTTTTGAGCTTTATGTAATCCCATTTTAGTTTTGATTTTATTTCGTGTGCTTTTGAGGCTTACTCAAAATATCTTTGCCCAGATCAATGTTCTGGAGCATTTCTCCAGTGTTTTGTTCTAGTAGCTTCATAGCTTTTTTGTCTAGTAGTAGCTTTATTTTTAAATAAAAATATATTCTATGCCCATGGGTTGGAAGAATCAATATTGTTAAAATGACCATACTACCCAAAGCGATTTACAGATTCAGTGCAATCCCTACAAAAATACAAACGACATTCCTCACAGAAATAGAAAAAAAAGTACTAAAATTAATATGAAACCACAAAAGACCCCAAATAGCCAAAGACATCTTGAACGAAAAGAACAAAACTGGAGGCCTCACACTACCTGACAACAAATCAGCTGGTACTGCATAAAAACAATGGAACAGAATAGAGAGCCCAAATATCAATCCACACACTTACAGCCAACCCATTTTGGAAGAAAATACAATAAGGAGAGAGTAGCCTCTTCTATAAATGATGCTGAGAAAACTGGATAACCATATGCAAAAGAATAAAACTAGACTCTATGTCTCACCATATAGAAAAATCAAATCAAAATGAATCAATATTTACATCTTAACTCAGTCTTGATTTTCTTTAATTGCCCTCTACACGCAATGATTCATGTCAAAAGACAACAGCGGCAATTCTTTATGAAAACCCTAAGCATTAATGCCCTTGATAGAAGTGAAGAGACCTAATGTATAAAGAATAAGAGAAAGAAGTAATTATGACTAAACAGAGGTTCAAGTTCAAGGAAAGGATAACTTTGGTATTTTGAATAGGAGAGGGATAAGAAAGGGACATAAGAGTGACGTGTTGTCAGAATGCAGGGGAGTTTTTAATGGAAAGGCAGAAGATTAAAATACCAAAAAAAGTGGTTGGTTGATAGAGCAAAGTCTCAGAACACATAGAAGGCGTTGGAATAAAGAACAAAAACATGAAATTAACCTGAACAGAAAGAAGGCATCATCCTTCGATACCAGAGAAGGAGAGTGAAATGAAAGCGGATGTGGGTAGTGTGTGGTTGGAGGAGAGATTTATATGGGTTGAATTGTGTTCCCCCAAAATATATATTCAAGTCCTAGCCCCACTCCCTCAGAATGTGACCTATTCAGAAATCAGGCTGCTTCAGATGTAATTTGTGAAGATGATGTACTGGAGTTTGGTGGGCCCCTAATCCAATACAACTGCAATCTTTATAAAAGAGGGAAATTTGGACACACACACACACACACACACACACACACACACACACACACACAAAAGGAAGACAATGTGAAGACACATGAGGGATGATGGCCATGACAACTGAGGCAGAGATTGGAATGTTGCATTTGCAAACTAAAGAATGACCATGGATTGCCAAGAGCTTCCAGAAGCTAGGAAGAGGCAAGACAGAATTCTCCTCTACAAGTTTTAGAAGGAGCATGGCCCTGCTCATACCTTGATTTCAAGCTTCTAACCCCTAGAACTGTGACAGCATAAATTTCTGTTGTCATAGCCACCAAGGTTTTGGTTCTTGGTTATGGCAGCCTTAGGAAATGAGTACAAAGGTGTTGCAGAGATCACACTGTGGCCTTTATCTTACTGATGATGAAGTTAAAGGACTAGCACCAAGATTAAAAGGGAGCGTTGACTGTAGTGAAGTTCCAAACTAATACCTGAGGAGAATAAAAGTGGAAGCCAAGCATGAAGATATACAAATAAGTAATAAGGACTTGGCTGAAGTCAGTGACTATGAATTTATTACAACACTAATCTGATAAAAATTCCAGACACAAATATGAATTTAGTACATGATAAAGATATTTCAAATCAGTGCATATATGATGGATTGGTTATTCAATAGAATACGATTAACAATTTTGGGATAGAAAAATAAATATCTACAGGTGGAACTAACTGTCCCCTTGAATTAAAAATAATGTTAAAGAGTTGTTTATAATAATTGTTTTAAAAAGGGAAACAGCCTAAATATCAAATAAGGGAAAATATCATATAAATAACATCTGGTTGTTAACAAATTTTACACCATAATAATATATTCTTATTTTAAAACCAGAAAATGTCAATACATGCTATTGTCAACTATTACAATTTTATAAAATATATGTATATACATACACACATATACATAATGTGTCTATACATCTCTAAAGAAAATAAATGGTTATTGACTACTATCTCCATATGATAGAATTACAGGTATTCTTTCTATATGATGTGCTTTCAAATTATATACTTAATATTTGGCTTTAATTATTTATGGCTTTATTTAGAAAAGTACTGTAACAATGGTGGTTCTAGAATTTGAGGATCCTATGTAAGTTGTCAAAACAGCCCAATGTTTCAACTCTCTTTTTTCAAGAATCAAAAACAATTCCTGAGATGGAGATCAGAAGAGCCATGTTTAAAAGAATGGATGAAAACCAGATACCCAAGGAAACTACCGCAGGGAAATACATACCTGGGACCACGTGTATATACTAGACATCTGGTGCATCAGTTAAGAGCATTGCAAAGATAAATGCAATTTGGGGAGTAAATTGCCCATGAAAAATTTAGGCCATGTGAGGAATTTAAGATTTTGTGGTACAACTTGGTTTTGGTTTTAAGCTTGGAGACTGGCCGTGACCTGTTTTATGCCATGTGAGTTTGGTTTTTACCTGCTATGGTCTGAGTGAATGACCTTAAACTGTAGGTCATTTGGGATTTTGACCTTGTTCATTTCACATCTGCTTATGGTAGCACTATGCAGAGGTAAGAAGCTGTTACACAGACAGGGACTCCAGGCATCAGCCTATGTGCCGGGGAGAGGAAGGTGGGGAGAGGGGGCAAATTCAACGTACAGAAGTTGGCCACAATAGTCTCGTTTGATACAGGCCTTCTAGATGATAGGGATTTAAACTTATTTTTTAGTTTTTCTGTGTTTTGCAGTCAGGCTTGCAGTCCAGGATTATAAACTGATGCTAAGTTCTGTGGGAGCTTTAGTGTATGCAAGCTTCTAGCTTTAAAAATGTGTGCCAGGCATAGGAGACAATGTGGATAAGCTGCCTAAAATTCTATTTATTTTGTTCATCATTCAAGGCCAAGGGTGGTGCTGTGGAGGGAATAGGCTCTTGGACCCATGAAGCATATATCCATAATCTCATAAGAATTACTCCCAACACATGGCTTCAGGTTAATTCTGGATTTGTTATTTTGCATAGACTCTGATCACGGCTATAGCTTTAGATTTCAGAGACCCAATCTGAATGCAGGGTTCAAATAGTTTGTTCACATTCTCCTCTCTGAGTAGAACAATCCCACTCAAGTGATTGTCCCCCATCAAACAGGACTCATTCTCTTCTATTCCTGCCTGGTTCCCCATAATATGCCTCATTATTGCTATGTCTTCCCTTAGAAGTCTATTCCATTTATTTATCCAGCATGAAGTTCACCCAAAACTGTCATATTGATACTTCCCTTGTAATTCTTCCAGTATTTTCTACTGATCTTCCTACTCTTCTCTATAATCTGTCCAGAATGTTTGTAACTACTCAAAATAGCAGTCTCAGTCCTTAAGATAGTGGGTTCCCAATTGTCTATATTATGAATTTTTCACATTCAGCTTTAAGAGCTACTTCTCAACAGCTTTTTTTTGGATCCTGCTTCTCAGCATGGTCTACAGACAATTCAGTCTGCTCTCACATATCTTCCCCTCTCTTTCTACCCAAGATTTTTTTGGACCACTGCCACAGTTTCCGATCTAATAACAACAAAGCATCTTCCCCTTTTCTAATTCCTTTGTTAAGTATAGTTAGATTTGGGTATATATTATTTTCCCAGTTGTCTTTCCTGGTTGTAATATCTGCTTTTCCCCTTTAACTCTGTCCAGTCTTCTGATTTCTGCAATCTCAACTTTTGTTTTTAGGGAATTAGTTTCTTCCTATAGATAATTGTTTTTCAAGGAGGGTATAATTGATAACAGTGCAGGATAACTCCATTTCATCTATTATTTTGGTGAAACTGTCCTATATATTGCAAATGGTTTAGTATCCCTGGCCCCTGCTCACTAAATACCAGGAGCACTTTCTCAAATTCCACTATGGAAATCAAGAGTCCACAGCTATGTCTACATCATGATTTTTTTGTTGTTGTTGTGGTTGTTGGGGGAGTTTTTTGAAACAGAGTCTCGCTCTGTTGCCCAGGCTGGACTGCAGTGGCGCGATCTCGGCTCACTGCAACCTCCGCCTCCTGGATGGTTTCAAGCGATTCTCCTGCCTCCGCCTCCTGAGTAGCTAGGATTACAGGCACGTGCCACCACGCCCAGCTAATTTTTGTATTCTTAGTAGAGACGGGGTTTCACCATGTTGGCCAGGCTGATGATGAATTTTTGGTGAGTGGGTTCAAATGTGCCTGACCAGTGTGACACGGCCTGCTAATTCTGCCTGCTCCCAGCCCTAGAGAGTCCCAGGAGAGGCTGTGGAACACCGGAAAAGTGTTAACTAGCTCTACGCTTGCTCTGGAAAGGAAGAAGTAGGAGATCTAGAAAAACTGCTTCTGTAGCAATGCCAAAACCAAAGCCCACTTGGAATAGTTTGGGGAGAAAATGGGAAGTAAGGGTGATAAATGGAGATCAGCTTTCTTTTAAAAGGAGCGGAGCTGGAGCAGAAACTGAAGTGGGATGCAGGGTAAACAAGGGTTTTTTAAACAATGCAGATCAGAGAGTATGTTTGTATGTATGACACCAGCAGCTGCCTCAGAAAATTGTGGCCTCTTTCTCTCGTAACAGGATTTTTGAGAAAAGTTAACAAGAAAAATAATTTGCCCAAAGAAATATATATATATGTATGTTTGTGTGTATACATACACCTACTCATATATATGTAACTGCAATGGTGGGAAAGACTCTACATCTATAATATGTCACTTTCATATCCCTAGATTCAATGAAAATAGAAGTTGTGCTGAAAACAAAATATTCTGGAGAAAAAAAAGCAGATCAGTTTAAGTACAATTAAGCTCAAAAAAGTTTGAGTATTGTCTCAGTTGTGGAATGCAATCCAGAGAAAGCACAAATTTGTAGAATATTCCAGAAATGACGAGTATTTGAAATGTTTTATTTTGGTGCTTTCATTTTCTATAATGAAATGAGATAACAAATCCCTATTTGCGTCTTAGTATTCCAAAATAGCTAGCAAGAATAGAAAAATCTGACAGTTACTGAGAAAAAAAGAAAAAAAAAACATGAAAATAGCCAAATCTGTCCAATCTTGTATTTATCCATTCAGGCTATAAATGGTGTTATTGTTGAAAAGAAGTTAAAATTTCTTCAGAGAAAAACTTTTTTTTGGAGAAAATGGCATTCTTTGCTCACTAAATAAATGTGTGTAAAATTAATTTGATTCCCTTCTATTAATAACCAGTAAAAATATAATAGTGGATTATCATTCATTCATTCACTCTACAAATACTTTTAGGTCCCAGCATGGGCTAGATCCAGGGTGCAACACTGATGAAAACAGGCTCCAGCAAAAATGAGATGTATTTCTGCCCTCAAAGCACCGATAATCTTCATAAATTAAAATTATTATGAGGAACACAAACAGGCAATTCACACAAGAATAACAAATTGTCTAGAAATGTATATAAAATACTCATCCTCACTAGTAATCAATAAATGCAACTTTAAAATTACAGTAAGATACTGTTTTTCATCAACCAACTTAGAAAAGACTTTCTAATAATAATATTTAGGATTGGTGCATAAAAATAGGCCCTCTTATTAATTGTTACTTGGAGCATTAATTAGCAACATTTTTCTAGAATATAATCTGGCAACATGGATTAAAAGAATTAAAAGTTGTCATACTATATAGCACGAACCCACTTCCAGGAAATTCAGCTGAAAACCTAGATTACTGAAGTCTTTATAAATAAAGGAATGAGAATGTTCACCACACTACTATATATGTACCATGAAATGGAAGATTTATCAAAAAATATGGCACATTCTTATATACCATCTTACTAGTAAAAATTAGGTGGTAAAATAATACTGAATAAAATTAAGAACTTTATGATATAATTAGTAAAAAAAAGGAAACAATTAAAATTGGGTATAGCATAATGCCATTATAAATAATAAATGTGTATATACTGTAAAAAGATATATGTACACATGTAGAAGAAAATACAGTTGTCCCCCCTTATCCACGAGGAATATGCTCCAAGACCCCCAATGAATGTCCAAAACCTTAAATAGTAGCAAATGCTATATATACTATGTTTTTTTTTATACATACCTACCCATTATAAAGTTTAATTTATAAATTAGGCACAATAAAATATACTGTAATAAGAGTTATGTGAAGGTTCTCTCTCTCCCTCTCTCTCTCTTAATATCTTATTGCACTGTACTCACCTATTTTCAAGCCACAGTTGACCAGAGGTAACTGAAACCTTAGAAAGCAAAATTGTGGATAATGGAGGACTACTGTAAACTGAAAACAAAAAGGTGAAATGAGTTACAAGAGAAAAGAATACAGATCTTTTAAATGTTCTTCTTTTTGCTTCCTTATATATTCTATATTTTTCATACTGAACATGTAACACATCTTCAGTTAAAAAATAAATGTTTAATTAAGCAGCTTTAATCTCTCTATGGTTTGGACACAAACTTTGTGTGGTTTCTCAGATTTTATTGACTGCCTTGTATCTCTCTCTTAGTTGACTACCTGCCTTCATTGAATTGCTCTCTGCTCTTAAACTTGGATGTAATACTATACATTAGACTATGGGATTGGGCTTTCTGAGAAACTACTGAGGAGCCAGATGAAAAATAAGTATGATTCATGTTACAGCGTTAAAAAAAAAAACCTTGAAAACACTATGTTAAGTGAAAGAAGGCAGTCACAAAAAGTCATATATTATATGATTCTTTTTATATAAAATGGCCAGAATGAAAAAATGTATAGGAACAGAAAGGTTAATGGTTGTCACAGCTGGGGGAAAAGGAGAAAGGGAGTGACAAGTAATGGGCTTGGGGTTTCTTTTAGGGGTGATGAAAGCATTCTAAATTAGGAGATTTATGGTTTCAAAATGGCAATGTAGACACAGCTGGATTCATTCCCTAACACAGAAAACCAAAATATATATATATACAACACTGAGATTATCACCAGACTGCAACCTGTTTAGAGATAGGCAATCTAAAATTATGTAAATTGAGACAACCACAAGTCAAAATGTGGGGGAGATGGAGTTAAAGTGCATGATTGTTTTGTTTGGTTTGGTTTTTTGTTTGTTTGTCTTTACTCTTTTTTTGTAATCTAAGTTGTTATCTCTTTAAATAATTTATTATATTTATAAGATGTTTTATGTAACCCTATGGTAACTACAATGCAAAAACCTGTAATGGATACACTAAAAATAAAAAGCAACAAATTAAGACATACTACAACTAAGAAAATTACATAGCCACAAGGGATGACAGTAAGAAAGGAAGAAAAGAAGAAAGGAGTTATAAAACAACCAGAAAACCAGAAAAAAAAATGGTAGTACTAAGTCCTTACTTATCAATAATGACACTGAATGTAAATGAACTAAATTCTCTAATTAAAAGACATAGATGAGCATTTTTTTCACATTTTTGTTGGCTGCTTGTATGTCTTCTTTTAGAAGTCTCTATGCCTTTGCCCACTTCTTACTGGGGTTATTTGTTTTTTGCTTGCTCATTTAAGTTCCTTATATATTTTGGATATTAAGTTCTTCTCAGATGGATAGTTTGTGAATATTTTCTCCCATTCTGTAGGTTGTCTATTTACTCTATTGATGGTTTATTTTGCTGTGCATAAGCTCTTTAGTTTAATTAGGTCCCACTTATTAATTTTTGGCTTTGTTGCAATTGCTTTTTGGGACTTGGTCATAAATTCTTTGCCAAGGCCGATGTTGGGAAGGGTATTTCCTAGGTTTTCCTTTAAAACTTTTATAGTTTGAGTCTTACATTTAAATCTTTAATTCATCTTGAGTTAATCTTGAATTAAATCTTTAATTCATCTTGAGTATGTGGTGAAAGCTAAGGGTCTAGTTTCATTCTTCTGCACATGGCTTTCCAGTTATCCCAGCACCATTTGTTGAATAGGGAGTCCTTTGTTGCTTATGTTTTTCAGCCTTGTTGAAGATCAGATGATTATAGGTGTAGCTTTATTTCTGAGCTTTCTAATGGGTTTCATTGGTCTATGTGTCTGTTTGTGTACAAGTACCATGCTGTTAATCATCAGAGAAATGCAAATCAAAACCACAATGAGATACCATCTAACACCAGTCTGAATGGCTACTATTAAAAAGTCAAAAAGCAACAGATGCTGGCAAGGCTGTAGAGAAAAGGGAGGGCTTATACACTGTTGGTGGGAATGTAAATTAGTTCAGCCTCTGTGGAAAGCAGTTTGGAGATTTCTCAAATAACTCACAACAAAACTTGAGACCATTATATTAAGTGAAATAAGCCAAGCACAGAAAAAAAATTTCATGTTTAATCAAATATTGCATGTAATCACTCATGCGGGAACTGAAAAGGTGGATCTCATGAAGATAGAGAGTAGAGTCTCATGAAGATAGAAAGTAGATTGGTGGCTACCAGAAGCCAGGAAGGGTGGGAGAGGAGAGAATAAAGAGAGATTGATTAATTTGGTACAAATACACTGTTAGATAGAAGAAATAAGACTTGGTGTTCAATAGATCAGTAAGGTGACTGTAGTTAACACTAATCTATTATACATTTCAAAATAGCTAGAAGAGAATAATTTAAATGTTTCTAGCACAAAGAAAAGCTAAATATTTAATGTGATGGATATCCCAATTACCCTAATTTGATTATATGACTGTATCAAATTATCACATGTACCACAAAAATATGTACAGCTATTAAATAGCAATAGAAAACTAATTAATTAATTAATTTTAAAAAGGAAAAGCTACAACTTGCATATTGCAATTTAAGTAATAAAACAAGATAATCATTAAACTAAAAAAATAAAATTACATGGTGATGATGGTTGCAGAACTCTGTAAATAAAAACCATTGAATTCTACACTTTAAAATGGTGAATCTTGTGATATGTAATTAAACCTCATTAAAGCTCTTATTTAAAAAAAGGTTTGTTGTGAAGATCAAAGATGATAATCTATGTAAAATGTTGGACACAGTGCCTATTACATAGTCAGCACTCAATAAATATTAGCTATTAATATTCTAGAGTGACTGAATTTAGGAAGCTTTGTGTGACTCTAAAGTCACTGGGACAAAAATGGATGAGTCAACCGGCATTTGTAGAGAAGAAAATGATCACAAATCATGGTGTGTGGGGTCCTGTGTTCTATCGTGGCCATGGCAGCTTTGAAATCCCATCCCCATAAGGCCGGCTGAGTGGGGTATGTCTTGGTGACTGAGGGCAGGACAAAGGGCATTGTTCAGACCTGGAACATTTCTGGCCTGTTTTGCTCAGGTATGGTTAGGAACTTTCCAATGCCCTAAGGCTGAAAGAGACACATGCAGGCCTCACCAGAGCCAATCTTGATGACAAGAAACCATAAATGAGGGGAGAATTTCCCACTGAATATCAGATATTTTAACCAGGGTTATGAAGACAATTTCTACTACCAAGAGAGGAAAATGGGATTTAAGGAGAGAAGAACTACTTAAAAGCTGAGCTTTCTACACAATCTGGATCTACATAATGCAATAAAAAGTTTTAATGTTTTTGCAGTATGTTCTGAAGGAGCCACTTTACCATGGCAAGATGTTCTATTACATGCACAAGGCCCTGAAGGTGCACACACTGGATTATTTAGCTGTTGGATGTGTTCTCTTACTGAATTTCATCTTTTAAAAGAAGGAAGGAATGCATGAAGAAATACCTGTAAATGACTAAGAAAATAATTTTTTTAAGTTTTTTTGTCATAATTTGTGGGGCTTTTTTTCCCTTGACTTCTGAAGCTCCAAATTCACCCTCAACAGATGTGCTGTTGAATTCTGACATTAACAAAACCAAACCATTTTAAACCACTCACCAGTAAAATAAAAACTAAATATTTGCTTAGCATTCCCAGCATTTCTTTCATTGTGAAAACAATGAAAATATGGACAAATTAATTCTTAGTGGTACTCTATACAATAATTTAGTGCTAGGATTTATATTAGAAATGGGGTTTTCCCAAACTAAGTCTGTGGTTGACTGAATCAAAGATAAGCAAGATAATACAGTATGTTATAAAAAGTACCCTATAAATGTGAAAAGACCATAATAGTAAAAATATATTAGAATGATACTAACAATAATAAATAGTGCTAGCTTTCCAAAGATTCCAAAAATCAGAGTTTTGGGGATTGATAGTAGTGCCTGCCTAAAGAACACATGGCACTTGAATTCCAAATCAAAGGAGGTCATTGAAATTGCACTGATCACACACATGCATACACATTGATTTATTACATGTCTACAGATGTGTTTAACACCAACACATACTCCCAATTGTCAATGATCTTTGACTTTTCAGCCAAGTTTTATGGTGACCTGCCATATACCTGTCACTGCACTAGACATTGAAGGAAATAAGAAGATACCGAGTACAGGATGTCTGTCATTAAAGCTTGAAATCTCATAGAGAAGTTTCAACCAGAGCACTAGCCTCCGCATTCTGAAATCCAACGCCAGTGCCAAAAATAAGAGGAAGAGCTATGGTAACACTGACAGAGACTGGTTGGTGGAGTGGAGACTAGTGAAGAGTTTACAGGTAAAGAGGCATTTGAGCCAGCATTGTTGTAGTGAAAATGATGATGAGGGCCAGGTGCAATGGCTCATGCCTGTAATCCCAACACTTTAGGAAGCCGAGGCAGGCCGATCACTTGAGGTCAGGAGTTCAAGACCAGTCTGGACAACATGGTGAAACCCCATCTCTACTAAAAATTTTAAAAAATCCAAAAAAATACAAAAAAATTAGCTGGGCATGGTGGCGGGCGCCTGTAATCCCAGCTACTCAGGAGGCTGAGGCGTGAGAATCACCTGAACCCAGGAGGTGGAAGTTGCAGTGAGCCGACATGGAGCTGCTGCACTCCAGCCTGGGTGACAGAGCAAGACTCTGTAGCAAAAAAAAAAAAAAGAAAAGAAAAAAGAAAGAAAGAAAAGAAAAAGAAAGAAAGAGAAAGAAAAAGAAAGAAAGAAAGAAAGAAAGAAAGAAAGAAAGAAAGAAAGAAAGAAAGAGAGAAAGAAAGAAAGGAAAGAAAGAAAGGAAAGAAAGAAAGAAAGAAAGAAAGAAAGAAAGAAAGAAAGAAAGAAAGAAAGAAAGAAAGAAAGAAAGAAAGAAAGAGAAAGAAAGAAAGAAAATGACGATGAGCCAGGAGGAAAAAAAAAAAAGTAGTTCTGGTTCTGGTATTGCTCTCCATGTAGCCGTAATAATGTATAACTTTTCTGTTTTCTGGGCCTTCTAACTTACAAACTGAGAGAGTTGAACTAGATAATGCCAAGGTCATTTCAAATGTATCTATTAACAGTGACACATTCATTAGGTCATCCAATAGAGGAAGTTTTTTTTAATTGTTCAAAGCTGTCACCGGCATAGCAAGATGGAAAATCCCATTCAATGTGGGTGGGAGCGTCTTTATCAAAATTTTCTAGACCTAACTTAGGATAGGGTGGGGCAAAGGTGAGGGGTATTAATGTTAAGGAGAAACTAGCAAGGATTTTTTTCTAAGAAAATCACATAAGAATTAGATTTTGAGATTAAGTAGCAGTTGTCCGGATGAAGAGGAAGATAAGGGGGAAATTTTGCTGTTTAAAAGTTCATACGTGGGTGGGGTGCAGTGGCTCACACCTTTAATCTCAGTGCTTTGTGAGGCTGAGGTGGGAGGATCACTTGAGGCCAGGAGTTTAAGACCAGCCTGATCAACATAGTGAGATCCTGTCTCTATAAAAAAATAATAGCCAGGCATGGTGGTGTGCACCTGTAATCTCAGCTACGTGAGAGGCTGGGGTGGGAGGACTGCTTGACACCAGGAGGTCAATGCTGCAGTAAGCCATGATCATGTCACTGTACTCCAGTCTGGATGACATAGCAAGACCCCAAGTCAAAAAAAGAAAAAGTGCACATTGTTTATATGTACAGAGTAGTAAGAGAATATGCCCAAAAAGGAATGCAAGTAGCCTCATTAGGAAAGTGTAGAAGAGAATAAATAGTTATGTTTAATTGTTTACTTCTTATTTTTGTGAATACATAGGTATATATATTTATGGGGTACATGAGGTACTTGGATACAGGCATGCAATGCTTAATAATCACATGCAATTGCCTCTTGGCCTTTTTTGCCACGTTCTCTTAGACCTCTGTAAAAGCTATTTTTAAAATGAAAAAAATGACATAATTCGATTGGTGTCCTGGAAATATCACTTTGGTAGCAATATGAAGGAAGAACAGAAAGAACTAGAGTCAAGAGAAATTGAAGGCAAAGAGATCAGTCATGGAGCTCTCATGGTAATACAGTTAGAAACAAGGGATAGAATTAAATCAGTGACTATAGAGATAGGAGAGGGCAGCTATGTCAAATGACATACTACAGTATGTGTCAGAAGTCAGACATGGAACTGTTTAGAACCATAAGTGGGAGCTTTGCACGAGGAACAATACAGATAAAGAAGAGATGTGGCCACATCACCACATCCAACAACATGCTCCCACCTAAAAAGCAAAAAGAGTGAAATATTTAAGACTAAACTAACAAACACCATCTTTCCCTTCTTGCCCACACTTCCTTCTAAGCGAATCTACCTTCACCCTCATTGCCTTCTGAAATGGTGATTCTGTGTGGTCTTGCTTGTATCACAGCTGAGATGAGAGCTGTATACATGATTCAAGTGAACCAATAGGCTTCTTTTCTTTAGAATTTGTTCTAAGAAGTACAGAGGTTGGGGAGGTAGAGACTGTCATCCTTGGTCATATAGATTTAGAGCTGGAAGCCATTTTTATCCATGAATATACTGAGAGAAGCAGAGATAATAGGTTTAGGGAAAGAAGCATGAGAACCAGTAACTTGATGTTACAAGAAGAGACAAATGTCCACGGAGACTGAGAGAAGCCAAAGTTGTTTCTGATTTTCCAGTTCCTAGTCTAGGTTCAGCTCTATTCCTGGTAATTGAGTCCCTTGAATTTAGGCTCATGATTACTTGAGGTGGTGTAGATTAATATCTGTTTCTTTTTGTTTGATTGTTTTACTTTGCTTAATTTTTTACTTTTTATTTCTGCGGGTACATAGCTGTATATATTAATACGGTACATGAGATATTTTTTGACACAGGCATGCAATGTATAATAATCACCTCACGGTAAATGGAGTATCCATCTCCTTAATGTCTGTATCTTGAAACCAAACGATTACTAATTCCAGCACAACCTGATAGATTGCAAAGCAGATGGCCTCTTCTAAGAAAAATATAAAACTTGGTATTTCTAGAGCCTTGCCAAGAAGCACTCACCATGGTCCCCCTGAGAAACTATGTTCCAGCCAAATTTATAAATATCCAGTACTTTGGCACCTAGTATGTAATGAAAGAGAGATGGGCCAGCCTGCCCCAGAGTTAAGAGTGGGTATCGCTAATCTTCCTAAGGCAATCTAGTATAGTGGCCAAGAATGCAGGTTCTGGATATTAGTGCTTCAGTGTATGCATAATTTGCAAATATTTTCTTCCATTTTGTAGGTTGTCTGTTTACTGTATCGATAGTTTATTTTGCTGCTCAGAAACTCTTTAGTTTCATTAGGTTATATTTTTCTATTTTGGGGTTTTTTTTTTGTTATTGTTCATGGTGGTTTTTTTTGTTTGTTTGTTTACAATTGCTTTTGAGGTCTTAATCATAAATATTTTGCCTAGGCCAATGTCCAGAAGAGTTTTCCCTAGGTTTTCTTATAGGATTTTTATAATTTCAGTTCTTACATTTAAGTCTTTAATCCATCATGAGTTAATTTTTCTGTATGATGAGCGATAGGGGTCTACATTCATTCTTCTGCATATGGCTATCCAATTTTTCCAGCACTATTTGTTGAATAGGGTGTTTTTTCTCCATTATGTATTTTTGTGGACTTTTTGCCAATGATCAGTTGGTTGTAGGTACATGGCTTTTATTTCTTGGTTCTGTATTATGTTCCATTGATCTATGTGTCTATTTCTATACCAGTACCATACTGCTTTGGTTACTTAAAATAACCTTATTGTAGAATTTGAAGTCAGGTAATGTGATGCCTCCACCTTTGTTCTTTTTGCTCAGGACTTCTTTGGCTATTTGGGCTCTTTTTTGGTTCCATATGAATTTTAAGATTGTTTTTTCTAATTCTGTGTAAAATGGTGTTGGTTATTTAATAGAAATTGCATTGAATCTGTATATTGCTTTGGGTAATATGATCATTTTAACAACACTGACTCTTCTAATCCATGAGCATGGGATGTTTTCCTATTTGTGTCATCTACAACTTCTTTCATCAGTGTTTTTTAGTTCTTCTTATAGCGATCTTTCACCCCCTTGGTTAAATGTATTTCTACGTATTTTTATACAAAGAACATAAACAACTCAGCAAGAGAAAAACAAGTGACCCTACTAAAAAGTGAGCAAAGAGCATGAACAGACATTTCTCAAAAGAAGACACACAAGCAGCCAACAAACATGTGGAAAAAATGCTCAACATCACTAATCGTCAGAGAAATGCAAGTTAAAGCCAAATGAGTTATCATCTCATACCAGTCGGTGTGACTATTAGTAAAAAGTTAAAAAACAGATGTTAGCAAGGATGCAAAGAAAGGGGAATGCTTAGACACTGTTGGTGGGAATGTAAATTTGCACAATCCCTATGAAAAACAGTATGGAGATTTTTCAAAGAACTAAAAGTAGAACTACCATTTGACCCAGCAATCCCATTATTGAGTATCTACCCAAAGGAAAAGAAATTGTACGCTCTTGTATGTTTATGGCAGCCCTATACACAATAGCAAAGTCTTGGAATGAACCTGTGTCCATCAATGGATGACTGGTTAAAGAAAATGTGGTACATATACACTATGGAATACTACTCAGACATAAAAAAGAATAAAATAATATCTTTTGCAGCATCATGAATGGAGCTGGAGGCCATTATCCCAAGTGAAATAACTCAGAAACAAAAAAATCAAATACCGCATATTCTCACGTGTAAGTGGGAGCTAAACAATGGGTACACATGGACATACATAGGGAAATAATAGACACTGGGGACTCCAAAAGCAGGGAGAATAAGAGGAAGGTAAGAGTAAAAAATTTACCTATTGAGTCCAACATTCACTATTCAGGTAATGAAAACACTAGAAATCCAAACCATTATGCAATATATCTGTGTAACATACCTTCATATGTATCCTCTGAAGAATCTATAAAAATAATATAATGCAGGCTCTGATAGTAAACTACCTTAGTTTGCATCCTAGTTCTCCCTCTTGACTTCATGGCCTTGGTCAAGTCATGTACTTCCCCTGTGCCTGAGATTATTCATCTGAAAATAGGGATAACAATAGTATCTACCCCAAAAAATGTGTGAGGATGAAATGAGATCATGTACGTAAAACAGGTAAATAGTTCTTTGTACATGTAAGTACTCAAGAAATGCTAGTCATTATAATTTTTTATTATTATGTTATTCTCCTTTTCTTATCAGCCACCAAATCCTTTTAATTTTGTCTCCTAAATATCTGTCACATCCATGCAATCATTTCCACCAAGATTGCTACTATACTAGCCTAAGTTACTGGTAGTGCTCACCACAGTGCTTTACACTCACCAGTTATCCCTGGTTTCAGTGTTACCCACCTCAAATCAATCTATATACAAAGCTAGAATAATCCTCCTGCAATTCAAATGAATGAATGTCTCCCCTTCTTGAAAGCCTCAATGACTCCTCATTGGCCTCAGAATAAAGTCCTATCCCTTCACAGTATGTAAGGCCCTTCATGATGTGAATGATGCTTAGCTATTCAGCCTCATCTCTTGCCATTTATTCTCTCTGATACAGTTTCTACCCTTGGAGAATTCTTCTGCAAGACCTTGCTACACTATGAAACACTCTTTCCTCTTTCTTCTCTTGCCTACCTTCCGCTTATCATTGAGTTGTCACCTTAGATATCATTTCCTCTGAGAATGTCCTTTGATACCATACAATTTGTCTTCATCTTCTACCACAGTGTAAGCAATTTAAGTTGAGCAAGGTATATCGTTCAACATTTTTGATGTTTAATATAGTGCTTGACACTATTTTTTAAGTGAATGAATAGGTGGATGGATGGACAAATGAATGTATGCAACTTTGTAGTGCATGAAACTAGTTGCAGTATGGGAAGTTATGTCTGGAGGGAGTTCAACTATGAAGCCAGGTTAATATATCTAAAACTGAGTTTTCAATCCAAGCAACAAGATTGAGGGAGGGCCAAGGAGGGAATCAAAGCAGAGAATCCAAAGAGCAGGTGTAAGGAAACACCAAGGAAGGATTCATGAGGTGGAGTAGAGCAGCTCATGGTAACTTTTCATGGGATCCCTAAGCTGGCTTGCACTGGCTTGTGTTCATTCAAAGGAAGTCTAGTATAATAGATAATAAGCAATGAGAAGGGATTGAAGGATATTTAAGAGAAAAATGCATGATCAACTTCATTTTGGAGAAAAACTGCATTTTTTTTCAGCATTATAGAAGGTGGTTTGCAGGGACAAGATTGTTGGTAGGGACACCAATTAAGAGATCATGTCAACAACTGAGTGATAATGACAATCTGAACGAAGACAGTAAAGATGAGAAAGGGGAGCAGATTAGGGCAACTATGACCAAACACATATTAGACATATTCAAAATATTATTAAGATTTAGTTTGCAGAGGGAGTTATAGAAACTAGTTTTAAAAGGCATAACAAATGTATGAAAGTATAGGGTAATTTGTGAATCCTGTGAATTTTAAGTTTGGATTTGAGACAGGCGAAACCATCACCTCTTCAACCTCGTGAAACTACAATATCAATATTTAAGGGAAAAAAAAAGACTCTAGATGAATTTGCAAACAAAGTTTTCCTAGACCCAAAGCAGGACTACGACACTGGGATACATGCTTTTAGTTTGTGTCTGTTTGCCCTAAGCCTTCCTACCAATCCCTTCCAACTCTCAGTACCTGATGGTTATGGGCTCTTGTTTGAAGTGCAACAGCTCTGTCACCCACACGGAGTGTGACCAAGGACAGATCATGAAAGCTGCCAGCTTTCCATTTCACTGAAGTTGGCACGCCTTTCATGCTTACTGACCACAATGCTGCCATCGTGCCCTGGGTGAGAAGACACCTTCCCCTGGAAAGTGATCAGTAAAAGAAAAATGTGTTTCAGTTGTCTCTAAAAGCAGGGAGCTAATTCATCTTGCTCTGATGCCACTTTCCTTTTCCAATTTTTAAACAAATGATTTTTGACAGAAACACTAGTTGAAGTCTCATAGTTAAAATTCTTTCCCAAATTATCTAACACCTGTTGGGAAGATTATCTCAGAAGTTTACATAGTGAGACTTGAACATAAAACGTCAAAGGATGCCTCACATTTTCTGCTCTCTACTTGTCCTCTGTCCTATCAACGTCTCCTTTAAAAAAGAAAACAAAAAGGTCTTGAGGCTAGAATAGAGGGTAATCACAGTTTTTGAGCCAGGGAAAGAAGGGCATTGAGAGGAGAAATCATGCTAGGTGGCTGGAGCCCTCTGAGATGTCACAGGACCTCTGCGAGGTGAGAAGCCAAGCGGTGAGAGCTTGTGCTAACCTGCCTGACAGCCAAGGTCTTGTTCCTTTCAAAGTAATCTCCCCTGAGCACTCCAAGACAGGCTGGCTTAGGCAGACTCAATCCAATTTAATGGATGATTTGACAATGGAAAATTGAGGGAAGAAGGAAATGATACATGCCAGATATCAGTCCAGGCGAAGCTGAATGGGTCTGATGCCTCCCATTCATTTACCAAGTGGGAAGTGCCTGAATGAGCAAGTGTTCAGTGTGGGGGCAAATTTTAGCAGAGTGTCTGGGGAGAAGAAATGTCCCTTTATCCTCTAGCCCTTTGTAGAGTATCCAGAATTTGAGGGGCACTGCTTGGAAATCTCTGACAGTCAGTCTGTCTCTGCCCAATTTGACATTCTTCTTTTAGAACCTGCCTTTTCCCGGGTAGGTGTGGGAATATCATTTTTTTTTTTTTTTTTTTTTGAGGCAGAGTCTTGCTCTGCCACCCAGGCTGGGGTGCAATGGCGTGATCTCAGCTCACTGCAACCTCAGCCTCCCAGGCTCAAGCGATTCTCGTGCCTCAGCCTCCTGAGTAGCTGGGATTACAGGCAAACACACCCACACCTAGCTAATTTTTGTATTTTTAGTAGAGATAGGGTTTTGCCAAGTTGGCCAGGCTGGTTTCGAACTCCTGACCTCGGGTAGGGAATATCAGTATTTGTGGCCTCAGCTCTTATCTCTTCTCAGTACCAGATGTCTCTATGGCGTACCCTCCTCCTCCTCCTCCATTTCTGCTTATGCTTAGCACCATCCAGCTCTAATTCACAGTTGATAATTCCCAAGTTCCATTAGTAATGAATGAGCTTAATTTGGCAGCCTTGGAACCTCTATTCTTGTGTATTCTTATGGGCATCCCTTCTGGGCACATCACAACCCAGTGGACTCAAGCCAACCCCCTCCTTAAAGCATGTCCTTTACTGTCCACACACTGGTTGGCATTCCAGTCTGTCAACCTATATTAACATAAATAGAGAGAGAAATGGATTAACTAGTTGTAGCTTTAACTGCTCTTTATCACTTCTGTATGATTGCTCACTGCCATGCTACAGAGGTAGAACAGATGTTGGTGTTTCCTTTTAAGAACTAGATAGACTAGCGAAGGTCTGCATAGTATCCTGGGAAGCCTAAGGATTCGTTTTAGAGGTCCTAATGACTCTCATGGTGCTGTAACATACTCATCTCGAACCTATCACTGTATACCTCTGCTTTCACAACAGCATCAGAGGCCCTCTTGGCATGCTTTGTTGTGTTTCAGTGGCATCAACAGGAGGAGGATCTGATTTTCCTTCAGAAAGGCAATCATTCATCATTTGCTGTCCTAAGGCAGTGTTTGGCCAACTGCCCTCCCTATTGACAGCTGGAATGCTGATTAGAAATAGACCATTCCACAGTCTGGCCAGGAACCTACTCAAATGGACAATTTCCCCATTCTCATTTATAGAATAGGTAATAACAATATCTAACACTGATGAGCACTTACTGTATGCTAGAACAGCTAGATGGTTTGCACAAATTCTCTCATTTAATCCTCACGATTAAATAAATAAGTAGATATTTATCCCCAATTTATACATAAAGAAACTAACCAGTTAAATAATTTCCCCAAGATAAGGGAATTATCATAGGTCTCAAATATAAGTTGTATCTACTTTTGCAGCCTCAGTTATACTTCTCTAAAAGTATCCTTTCTATTACAGAAGACAGAGAGATGTTTTCCACATGGACCTTTGCTTGTCCCTTTTCAGCGCAACGGCCATCTCCGATTTTGCACTCCTGGTTTCCCACTCCAGTAAATTTTTCTCTATTCAGTGCCAAAATTATCTCTGGGACTTTTTGTTACATATTTCCCAAGGAGTTTTTGTCATGCTGTAAAGATCAGACTTTTCAATAAAGTTTCCAGTTTCCCAAAAGCAATGAGTCAGACCCAAAAATCATGTAAAGTGTCATTTCTACTTAGTGATCACTATTAGATAGTTTTCTATTTTGGTACCATGTTTCACTCAGTTCCTGTTACTTGCAACCCCAAAGAAAGAAACTTCTTTGAATTTTTGTTGTCGTTGTTACCTAGAGGATAGGAAGCTATTTCTGTTCACGAATAAAGAATGATTTTTAATATCAGATTTAGCATGGTATAATTCAGCGACTATTATTTCTCTGTGTCTATGATATGCGAGACATGGTACTTGATGGTGGGCAGAATCCACAGAGGAAGAAAACACACACCAGCTGAGAACCTGTGGGAAAAAATATACATCAAACATATTAATAGAAATCATCTTTTGTAGGTTGCTTCATGATAAGATATCAATTTACATATGAAAAAAACCATGGCAAAATGTGCATGTTACGCACTCTCCAGAACATCGGTTAATTCTTTCTTTAAATTTTTTTTAATTATTATGGGTTCTACCACAGCAAGGTATAAGTATAAAGAGAAGTTAGGAAAAGTAATCTAAACTCAAAATTGCAGTGCAAATTTGCCTTTTCAATCAAATAGCTTCAAATTTCTAATGTAAACTCCTTAGTCATATTAGGCAAACACAAAAGCCTGTTAACAAATTATAGAGTTCTACTTAATCATATTATCTCACTTTAACTATATGTGATTTCTTACTAATGATTGATTCTAAATATTTTTTAAGTCACGTTATTAATGGTCACAATATTTTGAGTTCTAAACATCTATTTTAAAAGATACATGAGGTATCAGCAGTCTCCACATTCGTCTCACCATTAAAACTCATATTTAATTAAATTTTGGGGTGCTTTAGAAAATATGAATACTTGAAAATTACTAAATTGGCTTGAAGTTGCATTATGATTAACTGCAGGAACAATGATTACATGTCAGAGATCAAATCTAGTAATGATATAACCTTTTTGTAACATTAATAACCATATTCATAAATTCATTATATTTATATATGTAGAAAATAACAAGACTTTTCTATAAGGAGAGCTATGAAACAGTCCCCCAGATTTAGCATTAAGTGGCTAAACAGTGTACATAACAGTGTATAGTGTACCATCATTTTTTAAATAAAAGGATATAGATACATATACTATGCATGATGTGTATAAATATATAAATATATATACACATCTCATATATTATATACATGTTATTTATCCCATGGCATCCAGTGAGACTTCTCTAATCACATTCTTGTTTTTTTTATTTCTGAGAATTTCACTAGAAGCCCAGGCTCTCCTGCTTCAATTAGCACCTTCCCGGTGTTTCTATAGTTTTAGGTGATTTTTCAAGCCTTTGCTTAGTGGCTTTCATCAGGAGACATCTGCTAAGCCTTAGCTTCAGGGAATGAAATACTTTGCCATACTGAGAAGTGTCCCTTCCAACAACTCAGGGGCTAGAATCAATGCAAGAAAACTCTCTCACGTCGCTCTTCAAAACCTGAAGAAATCCTTCAGGGCGATAACACAGGCATCAGTAGGTGCTGAGGGGTGTTTGGCTGTTTACCCTCAAAGTTGCGATCTCCACTTGACTTACTCATTATTATGGGTCCTAGAGAAGTTGAGGGGGGTGTGGCTAGAGTCGCCTCAGGTGTCTGAAGGGCAAATATATGCTATCACCTGCTTTTGCTGAAAATGTAAAGATTATGTTATCTTCTGTGGCTAGACTCATATTTCACTCTCACAATCATCTAGTGATGGGAGAGGCATGGGAAATACGGCTCGCATAAAGCCTTGGAGGGAGGCTGCCAAATGTGTGGGAAGGGGCAGTTGAAAGCACAAAGATCTTGGAGAGGGCACGAAGTTAGGGTAAAACTTGTTCATGCCACTCACTCATGCTGTGGCTGTATTTGTACCTAGAGTTGAAACAGCTCCAGAATTTCTTATTCGGAAGGGCTTCACAGCAGCTATCTGCAGAAAGTGGATGGAGAGATGGACTTGAGCTAAAACCGCAGTGGATAACAAGCCTAATGTTTTCACTTGTTTTTATGTTTATTTTTTTACTTATGTTAAATGACTTGATATATTATCCTAGAAGCACACAATTGTTATTAAGATTGGGTATTTATTTGGGGGTATAAGGCACCTGAGAGATTGTAGGAAAGATAAAAACCGTTACCCAGCCACACTGGCATATCCACTAGGCAGTATGGCTTGCAGAAGCATAGATCAGAGCAGAGCTGGCAGCAAGAGCTGCCACTTCTGAGGCAGCTGCCAGGTCACTGCACCTGCCAGGTGCAGGTAACTTGTTCTTCAAATGGAAATTTTCATCCTCAAGTGTAGAGTCGCCATAATGTCCCTTGATGTCATATCTAGAACAATACAGTTGAACCCTCAAAAGAGAGCAGAAAAAACAGATGGAGTGACCACATTTCCTGAAGTTGCTTCAACTAGATGAAGTGTATCTGTGATTACAGCTCTCACAGTGTCCACATACACCAAAAAATTATTTTCTATATAATTCTCAGCTTTAATTAGCTTTAATGCAGCATACTAATTTACATATCAAATTTATATATCAGCTGTTTTTACTTCTCCTATTTAGCAGATTATAATTCACTACATCAGAGATCAGCAGCTACTTCCCATCAGTTGATTGGCTCATGTTCAAAAATAGCTGATGTCATAATCCCTAAAATGAAAAGGAAGACTGTCAGTGTCTTAGGCTGGATTCCCCAAAAGCAGATCTAGCGATAAGGATCTGAGCACAAGTAGTTCATTTGGGTGGTAATCTTAGGAAGCCCCAGTAGAGAAACAGGGAACTAAAACGTAGAAGGGAAGGGAGACCATGACATGTGCATTATAGCTGGCTGCAGTTGAGGCTCAGCCCCACTAGGCACTGCGAGAGACAACGTAGAGCATGCCTCAGAGTTATCCACTGCTGAGGGACAAGGAGGCTGCGTTTTTAATCCCCTAACCCTCATCTGTCATGGGCTACAGCCTGCCCTCAGTGGCACTTCAGACCTGTCAAGATAAAACGCCTAGGAGGAGCATAGCAGTATCTTGCAGTAGACACCATTGATGTGTAATGGAACAGTGGGAGTTGAAAGAATATGGGCAGGCCACAACAGCATCTGCCATAGTAAGTGTCTCAGAATGGTCCAGCTGTTGTCAGCCCAATAACCCCAGAAGTGCAGCCTAGAGGAGAGCGGGTTAAGCAGCATTTAAAACTTCTGGGCCGCAGTTGCTGCTTCCCCTTAATCTGACCAGATAGCTATTTCTATAAAATTCCTGTATAACCTCTTGATGCTAAAGATTAAAAAAAGAAAAAAAAAACTAAAAACAAGATGTTAATTGGCTTCAACTATGTGTGTCCAATCTCATTTTTCTCACTGACAGTTTGGGGTGGGATGGGGCACACGTTATACCTGGGTACCTGAGAATGGGCTCTAGGGGGGAAGCAGGCCAATGGGAAATCCTCATCCAAAAATGGAGCTTAGAGTTCACAAGCCCAAGCCAGAAGGGTACACATGCCTTAAAGCCCAACTGTACACAAAATCAAAAGCTAAGGAGGTCAGTTAAGAAGTAAGGGCTGGGCGCAGTGGCTCACCCCTGTAATCCCAGCACTTTGGGAGGCCAAGGTGGGCGGATCACGAGGTCAGGAGATCCAGACCATCCTGGCTAACATGGTGAAACCCCATCTCTACTAAAAATACAAAAAATTAGCCAGGCATGGTGGTAGGCACCTGTAGTCCCAGCTACTCTGGAGGCTGAGGCAGGAGAATGGCCTGAACCCAGGAGGTGGAGCTTGCAGTGAGCCGAGATCGCACCACTGCACTCCAGCCTGGGCAACAGAGCGAAACTCTGTCTCAAAAAAAAAAAAAATAGAAGAAGAAGAAGAAGTAAGGTCATGGCCGGGCGCGGTGGCTCACAGCTGTAATCCCAGCACTTTGGGAGGCCAGGGCGGGCGGGTCACGTGGTCAGCAGTTCAAGACCAGCCTGACCAACATGGTGAAACCCTGTCTCTACTAAAAATAGAAAAATTAGCTGGGCTTAGTGGCGGGTGCCCGTAATCCCAGCTACTCGGGAGGCTGAGGCAGAAGAGTCGCTTGAACCCAGGAGGCGGAGGCTACAGTGAGCTGAGATCTTGCCATTGCACTCTAGCCTGGGTGACAAGAGCAAGACTCCGGGAAAAAAAAAAAAAGAAAAAAAGAAAAAAAAGAAGTAAGGTCACCAAAGCCAATAGGCCTAAAGGCAGACCTAAAACTAGCTGCCTCAATCAAAGTAAAGTTAGATGCCACAACAAATAAACCCCTAATTCTCAGTGGTGTAACGTGAGAACTATTTCTCCTTCATGTAAAATCCACTACTCTTCCCACATATGACTCATGTTCCTTCTGTCTGTGGCTTCATCACTTACAAGTGGCTTGGATCTGCTGGATCCTCTAATTCTGGCTGACAGATCGGAAAAATAGAGGGTGAAAGACTAAGTGTGAAAGTATTACATGACAGGTCTGGAAATGGCACGCATTTCTTTGGCCTGGAAACCACTGGCAACAACTTAGTCACACTTCCCTCACGTAAATGCAGGGGGACTGGGAAACATAGATCCTGATTTAGAAGGAACTTCCTAGGAAAATCTCTGTACTGCGGAAGGGGAGCATGCTCTGGTAGAGAGTTAGTCATCTCTACCGCACAAGCCAAATCTAAACAGCTCAATAAGACAGGCATTACTGGAAGTGGAGCTCAGCAAGCTTGGACAAAATAAACCATGTGCCAATTCTTAAGCCAGCCAGAGACCAGATGCCTCTGGCATAGACATCCCTGCCAGTTAGGGCAAGATCCAGTTGATTAAGATACCGGAGTGGAATGAGCAATATGGGAAAACTGATCAATCAGAGAAAAAAAATCCCAGCATGAAAGCCACGATTTTTCCCCCTCCATTCCTCTCATCCAGAGATGGGCTGCCTGGCACAAAATTCAATCCGAATTTGAATTCTACTTAATATCAGCAATAGAATTTTTCATTGGCCTTGTTCTGCATTCAGTGATAAAAGCAGCACACAATTATTTTCGATTGGACCAATGAGATTGTGCTGAGAAGTCTCTGAAGACTGTCTGCTGAGTGCCAGTTGTTAATGAATCCCATTTGTCTTTCTTGATTAAGTCTGCTATTACCCCCGTTTAGTCCTGTCACCAACCCTTTAGCAAGAATTTTCATATCACTGTTTAGATGAGAAATTAGCCTATAAGAGCAGCACTCATCAATCAGGAGACAGTTTATTTAATACAGTTTACAGTTTATGAGTTCAAAAACTGTAGCCTCATACATTAGAAATGGATCCCTGTCCTAGACAGACAATCAGGGGGTTCAGTTCACTTGACAGGCATGGAGAAATGACTTTGAATGTGAGATATGCACTTAGAGAAGGGCTGCAGTATCACACGCCTGCAGCAGAGTATCAGGAGGCTTTCACTTCTGATTAGGAAATCCCCTTTGGTTTAAGCAAGTGCTTCATTTTAATACTTAACCATGCCTCCCTACAACACTGTGACCAGAAAATTCAAAATGAAATTTTAGAATAGAATCACTTCTTTGTGATACCAAATCTTTATTCTGGATTGCTATATCATTAAAACAGTTCGTGAAGAATATTTATCTGCTTCTTGAAATCATAAAGAGCAAGATATCCATGAAAATCTTCCTTTTGCAAAGAGTAGTGAGTGGCATTTCCTTTCAGTCACCAAAAGTAAAAAATTGCAGGAAAAAAGCCCCAGATCTTTGGCATTAACTGTATAGCTACATGACCATACAAAATGGATGATTTTGGCCCCCAGGAGAATTTTAGGAAGCCCAAATTGGCAGAATTTGTTGGTTATTTGATTGTATCAAAGACTGTGGCTGTTTTAAGTATTCTATTTCACATTATAAAGTATTGAACAAGCTAGATTTATGGAATTGCTTTCCATAATATTATTTCATTTGGGGCTATCATTTTAAATTCATTTTACCTATGACTCACTTTATTTTCCAAATCAATACTTTACCAACACAGTGTCATTTGTATATATGGTTAAGCTTAGAGAGGCCATAATTAGCAGACATTTACTAGTCACCCTCAACTCTGGCCCCCAGTTGGCCTTAAATCATAAATATTTTTTCTCAACTTTTTCATTTCAGAGGGTACATGTACATGTTTGCTACATGGATAAATTGCATGTCACTGAAGTTTGTAATACAAATGATCCCGTCACCCAGGTAGCGAGCATAGTACCTGATAGGTGGTTTTTTGATCCTTGCTCCTCTCTCTGCCTTCCCCGCTAGAAGGCTCCAGCATTGTTTCCATCTTTATGTCCGTGTGTATTCACTGTTGATCTCCCGCTTATAAGGGAGAACATGCAGCATTTGGTTTTCTATTCCTGCATTAAATTTTAAATCTAAGGCCGGGCACTGTAATCCCAGCACTTTGGGAGGCCGAGGTGGGCGGATCACGAGGTTAGGAGTTCGAGAACAGCCTGGCCAACATGGTGAAACCTTGTCTCTACTAAAGATACAAAAAATTAGCCGGGCGTGGTGGTGTGTGCCTGTAGTCCCAGCTACTCGGGAGGCTGAGGCAGGAGAATCGTTTGAACCTGGGAGGCAGAGGTTGCAATGAATCATGCCATTGCACTCCAGCCTAGGCAACAGGGTGAGACTCCGTCTCAAAAAAAAAGGCAGTATAATTTTCTTTTCAGACCAATATCTTTTATTTCTAGACTGAGGTATGTTACGCCAAAGTGTTGCGTTTCTGTTGTTGGTGAAGAATTATTTCAGTCTCAATGACTACAGAAATAATTGTTGGCTTTGCAAAATGACCCACCTCCTGGGATGACTTTAAATGAAAAGACTGTTCAAAATTCAATTACACAGTCATGTTTACCAGTGAAAATATTCCTGTTCATCCTCATGATTATAGCAATGGTCATACCTGTTTATCCATTCTAACAGAAGACTGGTTCCCAGCGCTCTCCGTCCAATCAGTTTGTCTTAGCATTATTAGCATGCTTTCCAGCTGCAAAGAAAAGAGACGACCACCAGATAATTCTTTTTATGTGCGAACACGTAACAAGAATCCAAAGAAAACAAAATGGTGGTATCATGAAGACGCTTGTTGATGCCACTGTTATGATCCTCCTACAGAAGATAGTCCTATTGAGAAAATGAGCACTTTGATCATTCAGTCTTTGACTGGAAGTGACCTATAGGCAATGAAGACTACATCCTTTTACTGCATTTTTACTTGTGTGCATTCTGGGCACATTTTGATCGCTGATTCAGTCCAGGCAACTGACATGCTTTTATTAGTCATACAGTATTAATCCAGGTGTCAGGGAATGTCAAATATAATTCCATTTTTATTTTTATTTTTTAAGCTTTTGGAAAAGCTCCAGGTCCTCACGTATTGTGCAATAACAATGACTTCCTTGGCGGTTTTGGTACGTTTATTGCCGGCAATGGACGTTGTAACAGGAACAATTTTCATTAACTCCTGCCACTCAAGGATTAATGCATGATAGGGCCTATGAAATGAACTTATCAGTTACAGTGGGAATATAAATAAAGTGAGGGATCCAACATTACTCTAAAAGCCTCCCCAACTGTTTATATTTGGATTCTGTGCACTGTGATCCTAAGGTTAACAGCATGAATAATCATGCATCTTTAAAGGACTGTAATGAAAGATCACTGCTTATTTATTTAATAGTTTATATCTGCTGTCAAGTTGACATGGAAGATTTTCAAGTAACACTGGCAGAGAGGTACACTATGTTATCCCTATGGTGAAAATAAATTCATTTGTTGTATATAGTTCCTCAATCTCTGAAGTAAAGGTATGAGTAATATAGGGTATGAATGGTTTAATCAAGGCTTTATTTTGGAAGTAAGAAAAATGGCAGTGATGATAAATTAGTGCAGTCCATAATTTGGCCTTGTTATTTGTACATTAAAGATTTTTTTCCAAGTAGGTTACACTTTGTTAACTTCCTGCTAGCCGTCAGCATGAGCCCTACTGCCTAAACACTATTTCATTTATTTATGTTTGGAAAATGCATAAACATTTTTGTTTGCAATCTTGTTTCTTTTGTTATAAGTCAAGTTTGAATGTTAAAATACTTTTATTGAAAAACTTTTGTTAAGTTTTGTCTTGTAAACTTTCTTTACTTGTAAGTATCATCTTATCCTTTAATCCTGTACCCAAAAATAAGAAATACATTTTTGACAGAGGCTTAATGTTTTAATGAAAGAGTGTGGACATTTTTATTTTAAAATTTAGGCAAAAATCGCTATCAAATGGTATGTTTGCTTATTTGTCTCACACAGCCATATAGGTTTTCCTGGAGTGTTTTGTTTTGTTGTTGTTGAAAAGACTTTGCTTACAGCTAGATAAAATTTGCTATAGAAAAAAAACTGTTGAAAGGTCCGATTCTCAGTACCATGTGAGTTAATAATACTACAACTAAGTTCTTTTTAAAAAGTGATTCATGTATTTTTGTAAATTACCTTTTCACATATGCAAAATCTGTTCCTACTACAATGTTATTTTTACTCATGCCTTATTGTTGCACTCTTTTTGAAATACCCTGCAGTGAATTTATGAATCAATTTGGGCTTAAAACTAAAAGCCAGCTGGCTGAAACATTTGAAATATGTACCCCAGTAAAACCATTCAATCAATAATTGGTAAATAATACTTTAAAATTGTTTTTAATCTGTATAGATGACATTTTGTAGCTTTGTATGTGTTGTTAATTAAGGGCATATAATTTTACACTCTAAAAGTATAATTGCTGAACTCATGGGTGGGTAGACTTCAAAAATATGTCTGCTATAGAAATAACTTGAAAAAAAATAAAGCCGTGGCCAACCACCAAATTGTGGACACTGTTTATATACTGCTAGTTAACAATTGCCACTTTTAAAAAATTATAACATTTTTGCTCTATCTTGACTAGATATACATAAATTCTCACAGTATCTCTGTCAGTTTTATTAGCTGGCCTGTTTAACCAAGACAGAAAGTCTTTGAATTTCTCATAGTTTTAAAATGCTTTTAATATGAAAAATTGCAGCTGCAAATTATGTATTTTCATATTTTACATAACTGCTCTACACTACTGTTTGACCTGATCTTTTTCCGGGGGTTAGAGAGAAATCTCTCTCCATATTGCTGGTCCTCTTACCGAAATGCTTTTATAAAGAAATGACTGGTGACATTTATTCACCAAAGGAATTAATGTACTGGGTCAAAGATTAACAATGCTATACTATACAGTAATTGAGTTTTTTATAACAATATTTTAACATACCTCTCTCTCTACATACAAATACCATGAAGTAAACTAAATGAAACAAAGGAATGTAGGGGAAAATGAAATAATTTTGGTACATCTTATGGCTTAAAGAGAAGAAAGTAAGATGAAATATCCTAAAATATAGGAGCACAAACATTCAAAATTCATAATCAGATTAACAGCACTCTCTTGAATCTGGGAATCATTAAAAACTCCCTGCACTTAGATTTAATTTATATGTAAGTTACATTATTAAAAGTCATAAGGCATTTATCTGAGTCATTGCTCTACAGAGGGCAATTAATGAATGGCTTGTAATAATAAAAAGAATACTTCGGCTGGGCACGGTGGCTCACGCCGAGGCAGGTGGATCACTTGAGGTTGGGAGTTCAAGACCAGCCTGACCAACATGGAGAAACCCCATCTCTACTAAAAATACAAAATTACCCGGGTACGATGGTGCATGCCTGTATCCCCAGCTACTCAGGAGGCTGAGGCAGGAGAATCGCTTGAACCCCGGAGGCAGAGGTTGAAGTGAGCTGAGATTGCGCCATTGCACTCCAGCCTGGGCAACAAGAGCGAAACTCCGTCTCAAAAAAAAAAAAAAAGAAAAAAGAATATTTCTCTGTAATGTATAAGGTATTGTTGAAAGACAACTAGAATATCAAGAAAATGTATATAGGAATATGCTGCTTGCCTCCTCCTTCCCTCGTGGGGCACTGTTTGCTACATAGACCTACAGAATTAGACTTTCATACTTAGAAGATAATGTATACTCTTCTTTTTTATTTATTTATTTTTAGGTCATTCTTCTGGTTTGCCAAATTCTATTAAGATGGTGATACATTCACTTCCTTATTTATGCATGCTTAGATCATTGAAAATCGTGGCCTTCTGATTTTTTTTTTTTTTTGGTCAAGTAGGGATTAATGCCATAAGTTTTAAAGAGAAGGATTGTTTTCAGTTTTTAAGATAATTTTTAAAAAATACATTTTATGGTTGTTCTCTTAAGGAATTAATATTCACTTCTGAAGGACTTACTTGTAATATGTAATATGTAATTTATCATTTTAGCCAGCAGGGAAATAAAGCATTTTTAATCCCCAGAAGAAAGCGCTGGAAATAGCTTTTATATAGTCAACAGTTCACCTGGAGAAAGATCTTAATCCTTGTTGTTTAGACTAGGAATATCAATATTTGGTATAAAGTAACTAGAGTAGTTTATTACTTTTTCCCTTATGAAATTTTAAATATATGCAAATATATATATCATTAGACTCCTGTGGTGGATAATTTCTTCAGATTCTAAAACAGGTGTCTAGTGACTGCTTAATTATTTCCAAATCACATCAAAGATGAATTGGTAAATAATGGGTATGAGTAGTGATATGAAAATGGTTACGTAACTACCTATTACTTGTGTCTGGTAATCAAGTCTTATTTTTTAAAAGACTATTGTTTTTGAGAATTGAGATATTTAAAACTCATTATAACTTATTCCTAAAAATAGAAGAGAAGAGGAGGTACTGTGTATTCAAAAAATTTTTTAAATAAAGAATTCAGTGTCACAAAAAAAAGAATTAACCAGTCTTTATTTAAATTGCTTTGTTTCACATAAAGAATATATGATCATTGTAAAGAGGAAATAAAATGACATAGAAGTATGTGAAGTAAAAAGCCAATCTCTATCAATTCTTCCTACCCACTCACCAAGCGTAAGCACTTTTAATGTTGATGTGTATCCTTTCAACCACTTCTATGCATGTGTAAACACGATTTATAATGCTTAGCGAAAAATGAGATGATACAACATATGTTGTCCTATAACTTCCTTTATTTATACAACATATATCATGAACAATCTTTCATTTCAATATATTTATATAAATCATGTTCTTCTTATTGGCTGCTAAATGCATATGCATACTTTACTAAGCTACTTCTCTATTGAAAGGCATTTAGGTGGTCTCCAACATTTTTGGCTAAAACATAAACTGCATTGGTCATTTTTGAACTTTTTCCCTTGACCATTTGTGTGCAGTTAAGATTTATGGAATAATAGGCTATGTATTTGTAAACTTTAAGTATTACAGACAAATTTCTCCCCAAAATAAAATAGAACTTAACACCTTATAAAATTTGGCTTTTTCCAAGCTGATGTTCGAGATAAATTTATCTAACTCACGCTTGATGGATATTGAAATGCAGCATGAAACAAAAATATAAGTAAAAACACACACATTAACTCAATGGCTTATATTTTTCTACCATGCCATACTAAAATATTCTGTATCTGTCTGAATCTAAGAATAATTCATATCAATATTTTGAGAGACTGAACAATGTTCACAATACTTTGGAAAATGAAAAGAAGCAAATCAAAGAGTATATTCAGTTTTGAACCTACCTATCTATTACTAGCAGGATAAATTCAGCTATATTGCATAATAAATTAGCCTGGAAATTCCACTGGTCTAACATAATGATTAATTTTTTACTTATACTCTATGTATGTTTCAGGTTATCAACGATCTTTGTTCTACATAGTCCCTTGGGGACTCAAGATGACAGAGCCTCATCTTTTAGTTGCATATTCTAGAACACATGGTTTCCTCAGTCACTATGGCAGGAGAAGAGTGACTAGAGAACTATGCGTGGACATATTTGGTTCTATACTGTCACTACAAAATAAGCTCACATTTTCTTTAGTTAAAAAATTGTAACTCTGAAGCCTTCTGGCCAGGGGCTGTTGTCTTTAGCAGTACTACCTCCATGCCAGTGGTGGATCATCAGTATTTCTGATATTAATGCTGAAACTCTGCACTGTGCAAAAATGGAAACTGAATTGGCCATCTTCTTTGGCTGGTCCTATTCTTGTCTCTTGCTACCACCATTACTGACCTCAGTCAATTGACCTAGGCCTGTAGTCATTTCTCTAGAAATGAGGTAATATACGCCCTCTCTCAAAATCACATTCAGAAAGGTTTTTTATAGCAACCTAGTTATTGTCATCCTTTAGAAATAAAGCACTTTCAGTTTAATTCACAGGGTGACTTGGCTAGCAGAGGGTTCCAGCCACATTCCCTTCCAGAGTTCTATGATCTACAGATAAGCCTACAAACCACCCCATCCATTATGGTGAGTTCTCTATTAGGGCTATTACCCTGTTTCTGCCTCTAACATTAATTAGTCTGGCAGACAACCTCAAAGGAAAAATTAGAAGCTATATACCTGTCCTTTTCCCTGAATACTAATAGATGGCCTCCCTCCATCCTACATCCTCCAAAGACCAAGTGGTTAAATGTATTGTTGTTAATATAAAAAAAAAAAAACCCTTCTTATTTTTTTCTCTCATTAACACTGGTTTCTGCACATGTCCAGAAGCTGACCACTATTACTATGAATGGAAATCTTTAGACTAGACAGTATTTCATAAGCATCTCATTGTATGCAAACAGAGACAGAATACTATAATATTTTAGGTCAAGAAATATGAAATTTCAAAAATTAAATAAGTAAAAATAAAAAATAAGAAATTAATAAAAATCTTGATTGATTAGTTTTAAATAACCATATGAATTATTTTTTATTTTTAATATCTCTTCAATTTTATGTTTAAAAATTGCACACCTGGCTGGTCTCAGATTTTATTGTTCCTCATATGTCCTGTTACAATATATTGGGTAACTTGTTTTTTTAAAAGCTTTCCTAAATTGTTCAATACATTTCAAAGTCAGAAGTGAGCATAAAATTCATAACCAGATTTGGTCAAATAATCTATGGTTGTGTAGAGACTTATTGCTATTTAAACAAAGGGAAAAAATGGAAACTCTTTAAAGAGCAAACAGTAGGTTAAAATAAGTGTGGCTTTTCTCCCAGTAAGAAATTTCTGAAAATTCCTGTTGTTGGCCAGGTTGTGCTGCAGATGTTCCGACTTACCACAGAGATTTCTTAAGACAGATGCCAAAAATTTGGTATGAAAATAAAAGTGAGATTTACACTCAAACAGCCCAAGGATTCCTCATCATCCAGGATTCTGTGTGGTTGTATTATTTCATTACTCACATCTCCTGAAAATTTATTCAAAAACAATTCTTAGAAGATAGTAGATGTCTCATTCAGTGCTTGCCATTAAATTACTAAAAAAAAAAACAAAAACAAAAACAAAAAATTGTGAGTGCTGCCTTCAAGAAGCTCACACTTGTTTAGAAACAACCACAGTGAACTAGTTTAAAAAACAAAAATAAAAAAGTAAAAGGAATAGGTCTCCCAAGAATAAGTCTTGACCTTTTCAATACTACTTCCATGGCAGATGTTCCTTCCAGCTGTGAATGTTGGTATTGATCATTATGAGAACATGACACTGAATATAGGTCAGTGGCAGGATTTGTTGCCACATCAGGAGATAAATGACTTGCTGGACAGAATCTGATCGAGGTAGAATGGATTGTGAAAACTCTCATGCTGGGCTGCACATAAGGTTTTGAAACTAGAAAGCAGATAAAACAAGGCAGGCAGAGAGACAGGGCAAAGAGCAGGGATTACAGAGGGCACATAGCAGGTGAGGCGAGCACACAATACAGTTTTCTGACAGCAGATGAATTTCCAGTGGGGCCCGGGGACCCACTGATCTTTCTCACTGATTTATTCATTAGGTGGAAAAAATGTGGGTTAAGCTTTAAGACTTCAAATTTGTTCAGATACTAGAAACGGAATATTCAGAATATAGATTCTTAACCAAGGTACAAAATCTAGTCATTGAGTCACTTTGGTTTCACCAGTCTTTTCCTTCTTTCCCTGTAGGAACTTCCAATTGCTTCCTAAAGCCAAAACTAACAAGTTCTGGCCATGAACTATTAATGCTAAAACAGCCCAGCATAGGGACAACCACAGTAGATGGAAAGTCAGAAATCTTGGGTGCTAATTTTTGTTCTGTTTGTAATTTGCAGTATAACGTAACCAACATCACTTAACATCTTTGGGCCTCAGTTTTCTCATCTTTAAAATGAGAATCTCTGAGATTATCCCAGTTCTAATATTTCTGCTAGTTTCTGTGGTTCTATTTTACCTATTTCACCTGTCAGCAAATAAAAAGCAAATTTTACTTGCTGATACTGATACATTTTTACTACTTACATTTCGTGAATATTTGATAGTAAATGGATTGGAAAAATGACAGTTGCAGAAGATTTGTTCTTAGAGTTATTGGAATATCATTACTAAATCTAGGGCTCTTACCAAAGCAAACTATGACAATTACTTCTAAGTCTTCCTTTTGGAGTCACTCACAAATGAACACATTTTTGTTTAATGGAAAACAAGGACATTTTAATTGCCTGAGCTAGATACTTCTATTTGTTTTACGTCTGCAGTCAGAACCAGACCCTTGTGGATAATGTTAAAAGATGGATATTCTTTTCCCTGAGCTTTCTTTTTTTTATGTAAATTATAACAATTGCTTCGGGAATTGGGCATTTGGACAAGCCATAAAATAATCAACATTTTAATGCCGTTTTGTGGCAACCCAGGACTCTTTGAATTAGTGGCTAGATTAACTATTCACAGGTGTAAGCGTTCCATTCCTACCTTGCTTTAATAGTCCTGATCATTGGGGGAATAAATTCTCTTGGTTGGTTTGAAGGCTTATCAAAATAATTTCTTGAATGTGAATAAGTGACTCCAGCACTCATAACTAGGTTTTCCTTAAGTCTAATGCTATTTCTACACTCCTCAAAATAAAAGTAGAAAAGTGAATCATTTATCATCCGTTACTATAAAAGAACTATTCCAAACACAAATCATTTAGCTGCATTTACCAAATTGTGCGTGAGTGTTTATGTATGTTTCTAACCAGTCTTAAGTTTGTTTTTACCGTAAAACTTTCCAGGCAGGTGTTAAAAACCATATTTCAATAAAACTACCTTCAGAAATACCTGCAAACACATGCTATGGCTCATTTAAACAACAAATGTCTTGGGTTTGGTTTTGGTCACTGCTTTGGAGTTTCAAATCAAATCTCCAATAAGGCAGGCCCCAGCTCAACATTAAGTTGATGCATTTCTTTCCATCTCTCTTTTGTCTTAATTATTTTAAATCTCTTCTGCCACTTTAACATTTCAAACTCAACTGTTTTATGACTGTGAAATATTTTCACAATATATTATGCTAATGGGCCTAATTAATTCCCAGGGAAACTTTCCTGTGGACTGTGATATGTATATGATAAAGCCACCAGTTCTCAATGGTGAGAACTTGATGTTTCAAACTTGATGTTTATAACTGCTGCTGTATAATTTGTTTTCCTATGTCAGAAAGCTAGTGAGCATATTTTAATGGCCCCGATGCGTCTTTGTTCTTCATCAAACTGCTATTTACCGTAGTGTATGACCTGCTTACCATCCAGGCAAATATAAGAAACTCAGTAATTAATTATCATGGCTGTGAGTCTGTCTGGAGAAGAAATGACTATTGACAGTAAGAAAATCCTAGTAAAGTACCCTGCCCACCCTGATTTCCCAACTTAAGGGACTCAAAATGCAGAAATTTTTGAAAAGATATAGCAAAGTGGAGAAGCCCCTGATAATTCAACTTGAAATTCTTTATAATAAACCCTTCTTATTCCCAGAAGTATAATCCAAACTGTGATTCTCAGCATTGCCAATTCCTACTGCACTCCAGGAAAGATATCAGATGACTAAGTTCTGCAGGGCTAATGATACTTTGAAAAACAAATGCTCTAGTTGGATCTGAGAAGCTGTAGAAAATAGGTAGCATAAATTCTCTCAAGAATATAATGAGCTCTAGGTCTTCCAAAGAATTCAGCCCAATGTGGCCAAAACCTTACTGGAGTGATTCCAGGAGACGGTTCGAATCTTGGCTCTGGTATTCAAGGAATATAGAATATTTAATCTTTTTAACTTTATTTTCCTAAGCTTGACATAACAGTATCTACCTTCAAAGGCTGTTAATGAGCTAACAAGCAAAAGCTTAACAATTTATGACACAAAGTAGGCACTTGATGTATGTTATTTCCCTCTTCTCCAAAAGCCTTTTCAGCTCCTCCACTTCGAAGGGTCTTTCCTTTCTTTGTGCTTAGCGGAATTTCTTTTCTGCACATTGCATTTTGGCACACAATCAGGCACTGCCTGATAGCAGCAGCCCTTTATTTTAGGTGACTATGTATTTTCTTCTTGAAAACAAGCTAATTTCTTTGAATTCGAGTGCCCCATATTATCCTTTTGTGGACTGCCCACCGCTCATCCCCACAACAATATCTGGTACAGCTTGCTGATAGATACTGGTGGAACTGAACTAAAAATGTTCCTCATACTTTTCTCCTCCTCTAGATAGTTTTTACTATTATTTAATGCCTGCAATTATAGCCCACATTAAGTTTAAAAATATAAGGTATACCCTTGTATAATCATAAATTGTAGACAATTGAGTATCACTAAATTAAAACAGCAACTATATATTTGCAAACAATTACATCAACAGCATAGGGCACTATTAATGACTTATGGAGCAGCCAACAATAGTGGCACAATTACTGCCTTCTCAATAGACTTTCTTTTTTATTTTTAATTTTTTTATTTCAATAGGTTTTCGGGGAACACGTGGTGTTTAGTTACATGAATACATTTTTTAGTGGTGATTAAAGAGTTTTTGGTGCACCCATCACCCAAGCAGTGAACACTGTACCCAATGTGTAGTCTATTATCCCTTGCCACCCCCCACCCTTTCCCCCAAGTCCCCAAAGTCCAATGTATCATTCTTATGCCTTTGTGTCCTCATAGCTTAGCTCCCACATATGAGTGAGAACATACAATGTTTAGTTTTCCATTCCTGTGTTACCTCACAATAATAGTCTCCAATTCCATCCAGGTTGCTGCAAATGCTATTATTTCATTCCTTTTAAAGGCTAAGTAGAGTTTTATGGTGTATATATATATATCACATTTTCTTTATCCACTCAGTGATTGATGGGCATTTGGGCTGGTTCCATATTTTTGCACTTCCAATTTGTGCAGCTATAAACATGTGTGCAAGTATCTTTTTCGTATGACTTCTTTTCCCCTTGGTAGATACCCAGTAGTGGGATTGCTGGATCTACTTTTAGTTCTTTAAGGAATTGCCATGCTGTTTTCCATAGTGGTTGTACTAGTTTACATTCCCACCAACAGTGTGAAAGTGCTCTCTTTTCAGCGCATCCATGCCAATATCTATTATTTTTTGGTTTTTTCATTATGGCCATTCTTGCAGGAGGAAAGTGGTATTGCATTGTGGTTTTGATTTGCATTTCCCTGATAATTAGTGATGTTCAGCATTTTTCCATATGCTTGTTAGCCATTTGTTTATCTTATTTTGAGAATTGTCTATTCATGTCCTTAGCCCACTTTTTCATGGGATTGTTTATTTTTTCTTGCTGATTTGTTTGAGTTCTTTGTTGATTCTAGATATTAGTTCTTTGTCGGATGTATAGATTGTGAAGATTTTCTTTCACTCTGTGGGTTGGCTGTTAATTCTACTAATTATTTATTTTGCTGTGCAGAAGCTCTTTAGTTTAATTAAGTCCCATCTATTTATCTTGGTTTTTGTTGCATTTGCTTTTGGGTTCTTGGTCATGAAGTCTTTGCCTAAGCCAATGTCTAAAAGTGTTTTTCCTGTGTTATCTTCTAGAATCTTTATGGTTTCAGGTCTTAGATTTAAGCCTTTGATCCATCTTGATTTGATTTTTGTATAAGGTGAGAGATGAGAACCCAGTTTCATTCCTCTACATGTGGCTTGCCAATTATACCAGCATCACTGGTTGAATAGGGTGTGCTTTCTCCACTTTATGTTTTTGTTTGCTTTGTCAAAGATCAGTTGGCTGTAAATATTTGGCTTTATTTCAGGATTCTGTATTCTGTTACATTGGTCTATGTGCATATTTTATATCAGTTACATGCTGTTATGGTGACTAAAACTTTATAGCATAGTTTGAAGTCGGGTAATGTGATGCCTCCAGATTTGTTCCTTTTGCTTAGTCTTGCTTTGGCTATTAGGGCTCTCTTTTGGTTCCAAATGAATTTTAGGATTGTTTTTTATAGCTCTGTGACAAATGATGCTGGTATTTTGATGGGAATTGCATTGAATTTGTAGATTGCTTTTGGCAGTATGGCCATTTTCACAATATTGATTCTACCCACCCATGAACACAAGATGTGTTTCTATTTGTTTGTGTCATCTATGATTTTCTTCAGCAGCGTTTTATAGTTTTCCTTATAGAGGTCTTTCACGTCCTCGGTTAGGTATATTCCTAAGTATTTTATTTTTTTGCAGCTATTGTGAAAAGGGTCGAGTTCTTGATTTGATTCTCAGTATGGTCGCTGTTGGTGTATAGCAGAGCTACTGATCTGTGTACATTAATTTTGTATTCTGAAACTTCACTGAATTCATTTATCAGTTCCAGGAGCTTTTTGGATGAATCTTTAGGGTTTTCTAGGTATACAATCATATCATCAGCAAACAGTGATAGTTTGACTTCCTCTTTATGGATTTGGATGCCCTTTATTTCTTTCTCTTGTCTGAGTGCTTTGGCTAGGACTTCCAGTACTATGTTGAATAGAAATGGTGAAAGTGGGCATCCTTGTCTTGTTCCGGTTCTTGGAGGGGATGCTTTCGACTTTTCCCCATTCAGTATAATGTTGGCTTGTGGGTTTGTCATAGATGGCTTTTATTACCTTAAGGTATGTCCTTTCTATGCTTATTTTGCTGAGGGTTTTAATCATAAAGGGATGCTGGATTTTGTCAAATGTTCTTTCTGTGTCTATTGAGATGATCATGTGATGTTTAAAAATATTTTGTTTTATGTTGTGTATCACATTTATTGACTTGCATATGTTAAACCATCCCTGCGTCCCTAGTATGAAACCCACTTGATCATCTTTTTGATATGTTGTTGAATTCAGTTTGCTAGTATTTTGTTGAGGGGTTTTGCATGTATGTTCATCAGGGATATTGGTCTGTAGTTTTCTTTTTTTTTTTTGTCCTTCCCTGGTTTTGGTATTAGGATGATACTGACTTCACAGAATCATTTAGGGAGGATTCCTTCTTTCTCTATCCTATGGAATAGTGTCAATAGGATTGGTACCAATTCTTCTTTGAATGTCTGATAGAATTTAGCTGTGAATCTGTCTGGTGCTGGGCTTTTTTTTGTTGGTAACTTTTTATTACCGTTTCAATCTCACTGCTTGTTATTGGTCTGTTCAGAGATTCAGATGTCTTCCTGGTTTAATCTAGGAGGGTTGTATATTTCCTGGAATATATCCATTTCCTCTAGGTTTTCTATTTTATATGCACAAATATGTTCATAGTAGCCTTGAATAATCTTTTGTATTTCTGTGATATCAGTTGTAATATCCCCCATTTTGTTTCTAATTGAGCTTATTTGGATCGTCTCTCTCCTTTTCTTGGTTAATCTTGCTAATGGTCTATCCATTTTATCTGCCTTTTCAAAGAATCAGCTTTTTGTTTCATTTAGCTGTTGTATTGTTTTGTTTCAATTTCATTTAGTTCTGCTCTGATCTTTGTTATTTCTTTTCTTCTCTTGGGTTTGGGTTTGGATTGTTCTTGTTTCTCCAGTTTTGTGAGGTGTAACTATAGATTGTCTATTTGTGCTCTTTCAGACTTTTTCATGTAGACATTTAATCCTATGAGCTTTCCTCTTAGCACCACTTTTGCTGTATTCTCGAGGATTTTTTAGGTTGTGTAATTATTATTGTTCAGTTCGAAGAATCTTTTCATTTCCATCTTGATTTCATTGTTGACGCAATTATCATTCAGGAGCAGGTTATTTAATTTCCATGTGTTTGCCTGGTTTTGAGGGTTCCTTTTGGAGTTGATTTCCAATTTTATTCCACTATGATCGGAGAGGGTACTTGATATAATTTTGATTTTCTTGAATTTACTGAGACTTGTTTTGTGGTCTATTATATGGTCTATCTTGGAGTAAGTTCCATGTGTTGATGAATAGAATGTATATTCTGCAGTTGTTAAGTAGAATGTTCTGTAAGTATCTGTTAAGTCATTTGTTGTAAGGTATAGTTTAAGTCCATTGTTCCTTTGTTGACTTTCTGTCTTGATGACCTGTCTAGTGCTGTTAGTGGAGTATTAAAGTCCCCCACTTATTATTGTGTTGCCATCTATCTCATTTCTTAGGTCTACTAGTAATTGTTTTATAAATTTGGGAGCTCCAATATTAGGTGCATATATATTTAGAATTGTGATATTTTCCTGTTGGACTAGTTCTTTTATCATTATATAGTGTCCCTCTTTGTCTTTTTTAACTGCTATTGCTTTAAAGTTTGTTTTGTCTTATATAAGAATAGCTACTCCTGCACTTTTGGTGTCCATTTGCATGGAATGTCTTTTTCCCTCCCTTTACCTTAAGTTTTTGTGAGTCTTTATGTGTTAGGCGAATCTCCTGAAGACAGCAGAAACTTGGTGAGTGAGTTCTTATCCATTCTACCTGCCATTCTTCATCTTTTAAGTGGAGCATTTAGGCCATGTACATTCAATGTTAATATTGTGATATGAGATATTATTCTCTTCATCGTGCCACTTGTTGCCTGAATGCCTTGTGAGTTTTTTTTTGTTGTGTTGTTATATAGGTCCTGTGAGATTTATGCCATAAGAAGGCTCTATTTTGGTGTATTTTGAGGAATTCCTTCAAGATTTAGAGCTCCTTTTAGCAGTTCTTGTAGTGATGGCTTTGCAGTGGCGAATTCTGTTAGCATTTGCTTGTCTGGAAAAGACTGTTATCTTTCCTTCATTTATGAAGTTTAGTTTGGCTGGATACAAAATTCCTGGCTCATAATTGCTTTGTCGAAGGAGGCTAAACATAGGACCCCAATCCCTTCTAGCTTGTAGGGTTTCTGCTTAGAAATCTGCTGTTAATCTGATAGGTTTTTCCCTTATAGGTTACCTGATATTTTTGCCTCACAGCTCTTAAGATTCTTTCCTTTATCTTGACTTTAGATAATCTGATGACTATGTGCCTAGGCAATGATCTTTTTGTAATGAATTTCCCAGGTGTTCTTTGAGCTTCTTGTATTTGGATGTTTAGATCTCTAGCAAGGCTGGGGACTTTTTCCTCAATTATTCCCTTAAATATGTTTTCCAAACATTTAGATTTCGGTTCTTCCTCAGGAACACCAATTATTCTTAGGTTTGGATGTTTAACATAGTCCCAAACTTATTGGAGGCTTTGTTCATTATCTTTCATTCTTTTTTCTTTGTCTTTAATGGATTGGGTTAATTTGAAAGCCTTGTCTTCAAACTCTGAAGTTTTTTGTCTTTTCTTTTTATTATTATACTTTAAGTTCTAGGGTACATGTGCACAATGTGCAGATTTGTTACATATGTATAAATGTGCCATGTTGGTGTGCTGTACCCCTTAACTCGTCATTTACATTAGGTGTATCACCTAATGCTATCCTTCCCCCCTCACCCCACCCCACAACAGGCCCCAGATGTGATGTTCCCCACCCTGTGTCCAAGTGTTCTCATTGTTCAGTTCCCATCCATGAGAGAGAATATGCAGTGTTTGGTTTTCTGCCCTTGCGATAGTTTGCTCAGAATGATGGTTTCCAGCTTCATCCATGTCCCTACAAAGGACATGAACTCACCCCTTTTTTATGGCTGCATATATTCCATAGTGTATATGTGCCACATTTTCTTAATCCAGTCTATCATTGATGGACATTTGGGTTGGTTCCAAGTCTCTGCTATTGTGAATACTGCCACAATAAACATACGTGTGCATGTGTCTTTATGGCAGCATGATTCATAATCCTTTGGGTATATACCCAGTAATGGGATGCCCGGGTCAAGTGGTATTTCTAGTTCTAGATCCTTGAGGAATTGCCACACTGTCTTCCACAATGGCTGAACTAGTTTACAGTCCCACCAACAGTGTAAAAGTGTTCCTATTTCTCCACATCCTCTCCAGCATCTGTTGTTTCCTGACTTTTTAATGATCACCATTCTAACTGGTGTGAGATGGTATCTCACTGTGGTTTTGATTTGCATTTCTCTGATGGCCAGTGAGGATGAGCATTTTTTCACGTGTCTGTTGGCTGCATAAATGTCTTCTTTCGAGAAGTGTCTGTTCATACCCTTTGGCCACTTTTTGATTGGGTTGTTTGGTTTTTTTCTTGTAAATTTGTTTAAGTTCTTTGTAGATTCTGGATATTAGCCCTTTGTCAGATGGGTAGATTGCAAAAATTTTCTCCCATTCTGTAGGTTGCATGTTCACTCTGATGGTAGTTTCTTTTGCTGTGCAGAAGCTCTTTAGTTTAATTAGATCCCATTTGTCAATTTTGGCTTTTGTTGCCATTGCTTTTGGTGTTTTAGACATGAAGTCCTTGCCCATGCCTATGTCCTGAATGGTAATGCCTAGGTTTTCTTCTAGGGTTTTTATGGTTTTAGGTCTAACATTTAAATCTTTAATCCATCTTGAATTAATTTTTGTATAAGGTGTAAGGAAGGGATCCAGTTTCAGCTTTCTACATATGGCTAGCCAGTTTTCCCAGCACCATTTATTAAATAGGGAATCCTTTCCCCATTTCTTGTTTTTGTCAGGTTTGTCAAAGATCAGATGGTTGTAGATGTATGATATTATTTCTGAGGGCTCTATTCTGTTCCCTTGGTCTATATCTCTGTTTTGGTACCAGTACCATGCTGTTTTGCTTACGGTAGCTTTGTAGTATAGTTTCAAGTCAGGTAACATGATGCCTCCAGCTTTGTTCTTTTTGCTTAGGATTGTCTTGGCAATGCAGGCTCTTTTTTGGTTCCATATGAACTTTAAAGTAGTTTTTTCCAATTCTGTGAAGAAGGTTATTGGTAGCTTGGTGGAGATGGCATTGAATCTACAAATTACCTTGGGCAGTATGGCCATTTTCACAATATTGATTCTTCCTATCCATGAGCATGGAATATTCTTCCATTTGTTTGTGTCCTCTTTTATTTTGTTGAGCAGTGGTTTGTAGTTCTCTTTGAAGAGGTCCTTCACATCCCTTGTAAGTTGGATTTGTAGGTATTTTATTATCTTTGAAGCAATTGTGAATGGGGGTTCACTCATGATTTGGCTCTCTGTTTGTCTGTTATTGGTATATAGGAATGCTTGTGATTTTTGCACATTGATTTTGTATCCTGAGACTTTGCTGAAGTTGCTTATCAGCTTAAGGAGATTTTGGGCTGAGACAATGGGGTTTTCTAAATATACAATCATGTCATCTGCAAACAGGGTCAAAACAGAAGTCAAAAAAAATTTGACTTCCTCTTTTCCTAATTGAATACCGCTTATTTCTTTCTCTTCACTGATTGCCCTGGCCAGAACTTCCAACACTATGTTGAATAGGAGTGGTGAGAGAGGGCATCCCTGTCTTGTGACAGTTTTCAAAGGAATGCTTCCAGTTTTTGCCCATTCAGTATGATATTGGCTGTGGGTTTGTCATAAATAGCTCTTATTATTTTGAGATATGTCCCATCAATACCTAGTTTATTGAGGGTTTATAGCATGAAGGGCTGTTGAATTTTGTTGAAGGCCTTTTCTGCATCAATTGAGATAATTATTTGGTTTTTGTCTTTGGTTTTGTTTATATGATGGATTACATTTATTGATTTGCATATGTTGAACCAGCCTTGCATCCCCAGGATGAGACCCACTTGATCATGTTGGATAAGCCTCTTGATGTGCTACTGGATTCAGCTTGCCAGTATTTTATTGAGGATTTTTGCATCGATGTTCACCATGGATATTGGTCTAAAATTTTCTTTTTTTGTTGTGTCTCTGCCGGTCTTTGGTATCAGGATGATGTTGGCCTCATAAAATGAATTAGGGAGGATTCCCTCTTTTTCTGTTGATTGGAATAGTTTCAGAGGGAATGTTACCAGCTCCTCTTTGTACCTCTGGTAGAATTTGGCTGTGAATCCTTCTGGTCCTGGACTTTTTTTGGTTGGTAGGCTATTAATTATTGCCTCAATTTCAGAGCCTGTTTTGGTCTATTCAGAGATTCAACTTCTTCCTGGTTTAGTCTTGGGAGAGTGTATGTGTCCAGGAATTTATCCATTTCTTCTAGATTTTCTAGTTTATTTGCGTAGAGTTGTTTATAATATTCTCTGATGGTGGTTTGTATTTCTGTGGGATCAGTGGTGATAGCCCCTTTATCACTTTTTATTGCATCTATTTGATTCTTCTCTCTTTTCTTCTTTATTAGTCTTGCTGGCAGTCTATCAATTTTGTTGATCTTTTCAAAAAACCAGCTCCTAGATTCATTGATTTTTTGAAGGGTTTTTTGTGTCTCTATTTCCTTCAGTTCTACTCTGATCTTACTTATTTCTTGTTTTCTGCTAGCTTTTGAATGTGTTTGCTCTTGCTTCTCTAGTTCTTTTAATTGTGATGTTAGGGTGTCAATTTTAGATATTTCTTGCTTTCTCTTGTGGGCACTTAGTGCTATAAATTTCCCTCTACACACTGCTTTAAATGTGTCCCAGAGATTTTGGTACGTTGTGTCTTTGTTCTCATTGGTTTCAAAGAACATTTTTATTTCTGCCTTCATTTCATTATTTACCCAGTAGTCATTCAGGAGCAGGTTGTTCAGTTTCCATGTAGTTGAGCAGTTTTGAGTGAGTTTCTTAATCCTGAGTTCTAGTTTGATTGCACTGTGGTCTGAGAGATAGTTTGTTATAATTTCTGTTATTTTACATTTGCTGAGGAGTGCTTTACTTCCAACTATGTGGTCAGTTTTGTAATAAGTACAGCGTTGTGCTGAGAAGAATGTATATTCTTTTGATTTGGAGTGGAGAGTTCTGTAGATGTCTATTAGATCCACTTGGTGCAGAGCTGAGTTCAATTCCTGGATATCCTTTTAACTTTCTGTCTTATGAATCTGTCTAATGTTGACAGTGGGGTGTTAAAGTGTCCCATTATTATTGTGTGGGAGTCTAAGTCTCTTTGTAAGTCTCTAAGGACTTACTTTATGAATCTGGGTGCTCCTGTATTGGGTGCATATATATTTAGGATAGTTAGCTCTTCTTGTTGAATTGATCCCTTTACGATTATGTAATGGCCTTCTTTGTCTCTTTTGATCGTTGTTGGTTTAAAGTCTGTTTTATCGGAGACTAGGATTGTAACCCCTCCTTTTATTTTGTTTTCCATTTGCTTGGTAAGTCTTCCTCCATCCCTTTATTTTGAGCTTATTTGTGTCTCTGCACGTGAGATGGGTCTCCTGAATACAGCACACTGATGGGCCTTGCCTCTTTATCCAATTTGCCAGTCTGTGTCTTTTTATTGGAGCATTTAGCCCATTTACATTTAAGGTTAATATTGTTATGTGTGAATTTGATCCTGTCGTTAAGATGTTAGCTGGTTATTTTGCTCATTAGCTGATGCAGTTTCTTCCTAGCATTGATGGTCTTTACAATTTGGCATGTTTTTGCAGTGGCTGGTACTGGTGGTTCCTTTCCATGTTTAGTGCTTCCTTCAGGAGCTGTTGTAAGGCAGGCCTGGTGGCGACAAAATCTCTCAGCATTTGCTTGTCTGTAAAGGATTTTATTTCTCCTTCACTTATGAAGCTTAGTTTGGCTGCATATGAAATTCTGGGTTGAAAATTCTTTTCTTTAAGAATGTTGAATATTGGCCCCTACTCTCTTCTGGCTTGTAGGGTTTCTGCCGAGAGATCCGCTGTTAGTCTGATGGGCTTCCCTTTGAGGGTAACCCGACCTTTCTCTCTGGCTGCCCTTAACATTTTTTCCTTCATTTCAACTTTGGTGAATCTGACAATTATGTGTCTTGGAGTTACTCTTCTCGAGGAGTATCTTTGTGGTGTTCTCTGTATTTCTTGAATTTGAATGTTGGCCTGCCTTGCTGGGTTGGGGAAGTTCTCCTGGATAATATCCTGCAGAGTGTTTTCCAACTTGGTTCCATTCTCCCCATCACTTTCAGGTACACCAGTCAGACGTAGATTTGGTCTTTTCACATAGTCACATATTTCTTAGAGGCTTTGTTCATTTCTTTTTACTCTTTTTTCTCTAAAATTCTCTTCTGCTTCATTTCATTCATTTTACCTTCAATCACTAATACTCTTTCTTCCACTTGATCAAATCAGCTACTGAAGCTTGTGCATGCATCACGTAGTTCTTGTGTTATGGTTTTCAGCTCCATCAGGTCATTTAAGGACTTCTCTGCACTGCTTATTCTAGTTAGCCATTCGTCTAATCTTTTTTCAAGGTTTTTAGCTTCTTTGCGATGGGTTCCAATATCCTCCTTTGGCTCAGAGAAGTTTATTACTGATCATCTGAAGCCTTCTCCTCTCAACTCGTCAAAGTCATTCTCTGTCCAGCTTTGTTCCGTTGCTGGCAAGGAGCTGCTTTCCTTTGGAGGAGAAGAAGCGCTCTGATTTTTAGAATTTCCAGCTTTTCTGCTCTGGTTTCTCCCCATCTTTGTGGTTTTATCTACCTTTGGTCTTTGATGATGGTGACGTACAGATGGAGTTTTGGTGTGGATGTCCTTTCTGTTTGTTAGTTTTCCTTCTAACAGTCAGGACCATCAGCTGCTGGTCTGTTGGAATTTGCTGGAGGTCCACTCCAGACCCTGTTTTCCTGGGTATCACCAGCGGAGGCTGCAGAACAGCAAATATTACAGAACGGCAGATGTTGCTGCCTATTCCTGCCTCTGGAAGCTTCGTCTCAGAGCGGCACCCGGCTGTATGAGCTATCAGTCGGCCCGTACTAGGAGGTGTCTCCCAGTTAGGCTACTAGGGGTCAGGGACCCACTTGAGGAGGCAGACTGTCTGTTCTCAGATCTCAAACTCCATACTGGGAGAACCACTACTCTCTTCAAAGCTGTCAGACAGGGACGTTTAAGTCTGCAGAAGTTTCTGCTGCATTTTGTTCAGCTATGCCCTGTCTCCAGAAGTGGAGTCTACAGAGGCAGGCAGGCCTTCTTGCGCTGTGGTGGGCTCCACCCAGTTTTAGCTTCCCTGCCCACAGCTTTGTTTACCTACTCAAGTCTCAGCAATGGCGGACACCCTCCCCCACACCACCCCGAGCCTCACTGCTGCCCTGCAGTTGGATCTCAGGCTGCTGTGCTAGCAGTGACCGAGGCTTCATGGGCATGGGACCCTCCGAGCCAGATGCAGGATATAATCTCCTGGTGTGCCGTTTGCTAAGGCCATTGGAAAAGCGCAGTATTAGGGTGGGAGTGTCCTGATTTTCCAGGTGCTGTCTGTCACAGCTTTGCTTGGCTAGGGAAGGGAATTCCCTGACCCCTTGCGCTTCCCAGGTGAGGCAATGCCCCACCCTGCTCTGTGGACTGCACCAACTGTCTGATAAGCCCCAGTGAGATGAACCCTGTACCTCAGTTGGAAATGCAGAAATCACCCATCTTCTGCCTCACTCACCCTGGGAGCTGCAGACTGGAGCTGTTCCTATTTGGCCATCTTGGATCTTTTTCCAACTCTGAAGTTCTTTCTTTTACTTGTTCAATTCTATTACTGAGACTTTCCAGTGCATTTTGCATTTCTCTAAGTGTGTTCTTAATTTCCAGAAGTTGTGATTGTTATTTATTTATGCTGTCGATTTCACTGAAGATTTATTCCTTCATATCCTGTATCATGTTTTTGATTTCTTTAAGTTGGACTTCACCTTTCTCTGGTGCCTCCTTGATTAGCTTAATAACTGACCTCCTGAATTCTTTTTCTGGCAATTCAGAAATTTCATCTTGGCTTGGATCCATTGCTGGTGAGCTGGTATGATCTTTTGGGGGTGTTAAGGAAACTCGTTCTGTCATATTACCAGAATTGTTTTTCTGGTTCTTTCTCATTTGGGTAAAGTATGCCAGAGGGAAGATCTGGGACTCAAGCACTGCTATTCAGGTTATTTTGTCCCATGGGGTGTTCCGTTGATGTGGTGTTCTCTCTCCTCCCTAGGAATGGGGCTTCCTGAGAGTGAAACTATAGTGATTGTTTTTTTCTTCTGGGTCTAGCCATCCAGCGGAACTACTGGGCTCCAGCCTGGTACTGGGGAGTGTCTGCAGAGTCCTGTGATGTTATTTGTCTTCAGGTCTTGCAGCCATGGATACCAGCACCTGCTCCGGTGGAGGCAGCAGGGGAATGAGGTGGATTCTGTGAGGGGCCTTGGTTGTGTGTTTGTTTAGTGTGCTGGTTTCGTGTTGGTTGGCCTCCATCAAGGAGGTGATGCTTTCAAGAGTGCATCAGCTGTGGTCAGTTTTTCAGCATCTCAGGGAGCCTGCAGGGGTGATTCAGTTCCTTCAAAGGGTCTGTGGATTCTCTAGAGTCTCCTGGTATGTTCCTGCCGTTGTTCTTGGAGAAAAAGTTCACAATGTGAGTCTCCACACACTGCTCTGTCTGTCCAAGGGGGAGCTGCAACCTAGTCCTGCCTCCTATCTGCCATCTTAATCCTCAATAGACTTCCTACAAAGCCAAACATTCTCTTTGCTCTTTGTTCAAAATATTACTCAATTTTTCTAGATAGGTTAACAGACCTACCTAAAAAGATGAAAGTGTGTATGAGGTACCAGTGCCTCTGCTAACTTATTTAAACAAACTCCCCCAAAACAGTTTTCTACTACACTTCCCATAATGCCAACACGTTTGGGCACTCTGACACCAAACAGCTACTACTGAAACCAGGCCCTGGAGTTTAGGATACTAACTCTGAGTTGGACACCTGAGTTATGTGCAACATGTTGGCTTAGTTTGGACACCAACTAACTGGACCCACATTTGGGCATGCTAGTGGTAGGGCTAGTTAGGGATTATTTCAAGAATGGGTCTATCTACATAAGGGGTTCCCACTCCCAACACTTGGCAAACATCACCAACAATCTCCACATTTCCAATTCGAATAGACACTTCAGTTTTAATCCTACCCTAGCAGAGATGGCTATCCATCAAAAATGTGTGCCCCATCTCCCAGATTTAGAATAGTTTCTGTGAAGTGGCTGCCAGCCAAGAACTACATACTCAGCCTCCCTTGCATCTAGAGGACCCATGTGTTTGTTAGTCCTCTCCTATAGAATTTGTGTGGAAGTAATGTGTGATACCTCAGGTCAATGCGGTTCAGAAGAAAGTGTGCAGCACCTTCGCTTTACCCATCTGCTAGACAGATAGCAAGAATTCCAAAAAGCTAGGGGATGGCCAAGCCATATAATGGATAGAGTCTGCATCTTTGAATTACCAGGAGGAGGAAAGCTGACTGATAATCAGAATTATTCAACTTGAATAATTAGGGTTAATAACTTAGTGTGTTATGTTACAACACTTTGGGTATTTGTTACAGCACCTTATGTTACCCTAATTAATATATGTATTAATTAATATGGTAATTAATACCTCTCTGCTGCATTTTACACTGTTGATTGTGTCTTCCTTGACATTTGCTACTGCCTGTAGTGATTCTATCCTCTTTGACCACTTACTTACTCCACACCAACCTTCTATCTTGAATCCTTTTTCTCTGCCTCTCTTTTAAAGTTGGCATTCTCCATCCTTAGTCCGCTGCCTGCATTGCTCCTGCTACACAATCCCATTACAACTTTAAAGCATATTGTTCACTTCCGAATTTTATCACTTGCCTAATTTTTAGCCTGTAATTTGTTCCCATCCTTCCTGTAACCCCAATTCATTCCCTACTTTATTCTCAGTAACTGGCACCATCATTCTGTCAGAAAAGAGCACTGCAAATCATCCCAGACTCCTATTCTTTTCTCATTTTCTATATTCAGTGCTTTACCAAGTCTGGAAAACTTTACCTCCTAAGTAATTTATAGATCCATGCTGTCATCCCTACCCTAAATAACATTGTCCTAGTTCAGACTCATCATTTCTCACTTAGGCCACTCCAGAACACAGTGGCTAGTCACACAAATTTTGAAATTAGGTAGACCTTCATTCAAGTCTCAGACTTGCAACTAATTCTTAGCTGTGTGATCTGGTAGAGGATAACTAATCTAAATTCACTTCTTCCCACTTGTAATGGTAAATACTAATAGTATTAATAGTAAGTAGTAAATACTAATAGTACTTTCCAAATGGGCTGTTATAAGCAGTGAAGGAAATCAGGTAGAGAGGCCTGAAGACAGCCTGGCCATAGAGTAGAGCACCATAATGTTAGTTATTATGGAGATTCAGTGCTTCCAAACTCACCTCCATGAATCCACTCCCCATAAGACAGTGATCTCTCTAAAATACAAATTCTGCCATCTTTCAATCCTGCCAAGAGGACAGAAAACCAAAATTGGGTATAAGAAATACAGATAGCTTTGAGAGGAATCAGAAACTGATTAGGGTGATACTTGATGGTCATCTTGCTAAAAATGCCTATAGGAAAATATATAAATTGGATGAATTTGCCTTTGTGAGTAAATTAAATTTATTTTTAAAATACCCTTTATTTCCCTTTATCTCCTCTGGATTGGATCTGTACATTAAAACTCAAGTACTAAATTAGTCACTATCTAAATTTAGCATAAACTATACTTACTGCATAATTGCCAACTCATTTGTTTACTTACAGAACATGCTTAACGGCTTAAAAATAGGAAATTAAAATTAACCAAAATGTTTTGTAAGAGAACATAATATGAAGAAAACTCTAAGTATAGGACATTTTAATTTGCATTCCCATTCTTTCCACACTCATCTCAGCTCAGTAATATTTTCCTCTCCTTAAAAAAAAAATCTCATTTACAAGGTACCCTACATAGACAATGCGAACGTTTGGATGACAAAAGATACACGGGTTATTAGAGAAGAAAGAACCAAAGAGGTATAAAAGCATGAGTGACTACACATCTACCAAATGCCTGACAATGGGAACGTTCTCCACATGTGTTGTCTCATTTAATTCTCAAAATGAAAATCAAATTAAAAAGAAACCCTAAGATTTATGTATGTACCATGTACCATGAGAAATATAGACAGCTGACTGGAACAACACAGGTTTGAACTGTGTGGGCCCACTTACACGCAGACTATCTTCCACTTCTGCCACCTCTGAGACATCAAGACCAAACCCTCCTCCTCCTCCTCCTCATTCTATTCAACATGAAGACAATGATATTTATGATGATTATTATTTTTTTTGAGACAGAATCTTGCTCTGTCATCCAGGCTGGAGTGCACTGGTGTGATCTCAGCTCGCTGCAACCTCCACCTCCCAGGTTCAAGGGATTCTCCTGCCTCAGCCTCCAGAGTAGCTGGGATTACAGGTGCACACGACTATGCCCGGCTAATTTTTGTATTTTTGGTAGAGACGGGGTTTTCACCATGTTGGCCAGGCTGGTCTCAAACTCCTGAGCTCAAATGATCAGCCTGCCTCAGCCTGCCAAAGTGCTGGGATCACAAGCATGAGCCACTGCGCCTGGCTGATGATGACTGACCTCCACTTCATGAATATTAAATAAATTTTCTCTTTCTTATGATTTTCTTAATAACATTTTTTCTCTAGCTTAATTTACTTTAAGAATATACTATATGCTTATATATACTACATACAACATACACAATATGTGTTAATTGATTGTTTATATTATTGGTAAGGCCTCTGGTCAACAGTAGACTATCAGTAGTTAACTTTTGGGGGTGCCAAAAGCTATACATGAAGTTCTACTGTGCAGGAAGTCAGCAACCCAAGCACCCACCTTGTTCAAAAGTCAACTATAACTCCTGTTTTACAGAAAAGAACCTAAAGACCCAGTGAAGTTAGCTACTTGCCTGAACTCATACAGGAAAAGTATTTATTTGCCAGGGACTTGCTTGTACTTTTATGTGACACCAAAGTCCAAAGTCCAGTTTTATACTATTATATCCTAGATCTCCAAACTATTTAAAGGGTCTATAAAACTAGGTATTTGACTATTCTTTACACTTCTATTATTGTATGTGAACAAAAAGAAAGTACAGGTTTTGGATACCCACTTTTCACATTGTCACATGGTTCACATCTGCATGGGAGCTGTGAAATCTAGAAACTTCTCTGGGGAAGAAACCAGCCAGAAAAGGCACAGAAGCACAAAGAATACACATGTCCCTGTGGGATCATCCTCCATTCCTCAGCCCTTCCCACTTAATGAATTAAACATCCCCTAGTTTCCTGTAATTTAGGCTTCAGGCTTTTTGGAGAATAAATTCATATTCTTCTCTTTCCGTGCCATAGTGAGAAGGAGTTCTCTAAAGCAGCAGAAAACGAGTGATTGGTGAATAATTTTTCTTAATCAGATTCTTTCTGCAACACTGATCTCATTATTTGTTCACCAGACAAGTACCTACCAAATCTATTCACAATTTTTTTTAAATTACACAGATAGTAGTATTGAACTATGCCTTAATTAGGGCAGCCAAGAATGTTTTGTATAATTAACTGGGCTTTGTTTACAATTGTTTCCTTGTGTTAGAATGCTTTCTCTGTGTAATTGGGCCGATGCTAATAGTAACACCCACCTTTTATTGTCATAGGAGAGAAACTGCAGGACACGCAGAAGAAACAAAACCATACCTGAGACAGCAAACAAAAAGAATGAGACACAGGCTCTCTTTCTACTCTCTGTTTTGCCTCAGGATGAACACAGTCTCCCTAACCTCTGACCTCATCTACTGCAGCTCCTGACATCTGGGTTCCTTTATCCCCTCAAGTGAAAATTCTTCGTTCACTTTTGGAAAATGGAGTGATGCCTTTTCTCAGTGTGATCCACTCTCCAATCTCCCAGGCTCTGCTATGTGCCCTGGGAGGCTGATCTGTTTGGAAGACAGCAACATCCTTTGACTTACCATTGAGTTTACCCAATAGGGAACCCTAGCAAGAGATGTGGAAGGAGGAAGGCAGGGAGGGAAGGGGAGAGGAGTGACAGATGGAAAGGCGAGAGGAAGAAAAGTAACATCTCAGTATTAGTCCCTTAGATCCTTCCAAGCAGTTATCATGGGTAGACTGTGTCCAATCTGTAAGCCAAATGTCTTAGCTCCTATAAACAGCCTTCTCCAAATAGCCACCCCTGTCTGTCACTCAGGCAATCACTGTCTCCTCTTATCACCTATCTCCAAAGTTAGTAAGAGAATATTGCCATTATACTTTCCCAAGGTATGGCATGAACTCTTGTAGTTGCACTACACCTTACCAAAGCTTTGTAAATAGTCCCTACTAAACTCTCCACATGTTATAATTTGACTGTGACCTCTATTCCTTGCTAGAATTCAAGTTAGTAAGGTTGACACAGCCTGAATTTGTAACACCATGTACTTCTATCCATGCACATGCCCTTAAGTTCCAGAAGAGTACAGGAGTGATAGGATTCTCAGTTGTAAGGAATGTGGGAATTCTCTCAATGAGTAATTAAGCAACAGTATTCAAGGAACTAGGGTGTCGCTGTGCAGACTTAGAAGCCTTGCTTTTGTGAAGCCCTTAGCCAAATACAATTGTCTAGATCATGCTGCTGAACAAGCACAGGAATTTTATAAATACTGACAGAGTTTTTTTCCTGTAAATTTTGCTAACTGTGGTTTGTGTGCTATTAACATAAGAATCTAAATACTCTGTCAATTCTCACCATGTTCCTTCTGCTTGATATTTCAGATACAGTTTCTTAGAAAGAAAGTTCAAAGAAAAAAGAAATAGGATAGAAATAAGGATAACTAAACTCTATTAAATACACCACGTTTTTTATCTCTCTAGGGTATGGGGCAATTTGCTATGTACCTAGGTTCCTACCTTCAGGCATCCCTTAGCGCAGTGGAGTAGACAGATTGTTATACGGTATAAAAGAGAGAAAATTGTATTTTCCTTTGAGTAGTAAAAGTAGTCTTAATGGCTTGACAGAGAGAGAAAGGCAAATCTGAAAGGATCAAATCAGGTGTATTAAGAAAAGAATAGGAATTACAGAAAGAATAACAGTGTCAAGGATAAGGAGGCATTAAAAAAAATAAAACAGGGCCAGGCGCGGTGGCTCATGCCTGTAATTCCAGCACTTTGGGAGGCCGAGGTGGGCAGATCACCTGAGATCCGGAGTTCAGGACCAGCCTGACCAACATAGAGAAACCCCATCTCTACTAAAAATACAAAAAACTTAGCTGGGCATGGTGGAGCATGCCTGTAACCTCAGCTACTCAGGAGACTGAGGCAGGAGAATCACTTGAACCTGGAAGGCGGAGGTTGCGGTGAGCCAAGATCGCACCATTGCACTCCAGCCTGGGCAACTCGGTCCCAAAAAATAAATAAATAAAAATAAATAAATAAATAAATAAAACAATTGGAATGTAAAAGAAATCTGTAATCCCAGCACTTTGACAGGCTGAGACAGGATGATCACTTGAGGCCAGAAGTTCAATTTCTGCCTGGGCAACATAGCAAGACTCCACTTCTTTAAAAAAAGAAAAAAAAGAAAGAAAATATATTATTTGTGGTCCTTATATGCTCGTTTCAAAAAAGGGCATATTAGGACCACAAAAACATGAGAAACCTAATTAAACAGACATGTAGGCCCAGACCAAGTTAAAGTCAAAAACAACTTTTTTGAAAGGACTAGATAAATTAGTAAAACTCGACAAGGCTGAACAATGGGAAATAAAAGAAAGCAGAAATTGGAAAAAGGGGACAGAAGACAAAATAGGGACAGAAATAAAATTTTTCTATAGGCATTAAAAAGATAAAAAAACTATTAAAAATTGTATCTAATAAATTATGTAATTTATGTGAAATGAACAAGTTAGCTTTTTCACAACGGGTTTGCTGCCAGAACACAGGTGTCGTGAAAACTACCCCTAAAAGCCAAAATGGGAAAAGAAAAGACTCATATCAACATTGTCGTCATTGGACACGTAGATTCGGGCAAGTCCACCACTTCTGGCCATCTGATCTACAAATGCGGTGGCATCGACAAAAGAACAATTGAAAAATTGCAGAAAGAGGCTGCTGAGATGGGAAAGGGCTCCTTCAAGTATGCCTGAGTCTTGGATAAACTGAAAGCTGAGCGTGAACGTGGTATCACCATTGATATCTCCTTGTGGAAATTTGAGACCAGCAAGTACTATGTGACTATCATTGATGCCCCAGGACACAGAGACTTCATCAAAAACATGATTACAGGGACATCTCAGGCTGGTTGTGCTGTCCTAATTGTTGCTGCTGGTGTTGGTGAATTTGAAGCTGGTATCTCCAAGAATGGGCAGACCCGAGAGCATGCCCTTCTGGCATATACACTGGGTGTGAAACAACTAATTGTTGATGTTAACAAAATGGATTCCACTGAGCCACCCTACAGCCAGAAGAGATATGAGGAAATTGTTAAGGAAATCAGCACTTACATTAAGAAAATTGGCTACAACCCCAACACAGTAGCATTTGTGCCAATTTCTGGTTAGAATGGTGACAACATGCTGGAGCCAAGTGCTAACATGCCTTGGTTCAAGGGATGGAAAGTCACCCATAAGGATGGCAATGCCAGTGGAACCATGCTGCTTGAGGCTCTGGACTGCATCCTACCACCAACTCGTCCAACTGACAAGCCCTTGCGCCTGCCTCTCCAGGATGTCTACAAAATTGGTGGTATTGGTACTGTTCTTGTTGGCCGAGTGGAGACTGGTATTCTCAAACCTGGTATGGTGGTCACCTTTGCTCCAGTCAGCGTTACAACAGAAGTAAAATCTGTCGAAATGCACCATGAAGCTTTGAATGAAGCTCTTCCTGGGGACAATATGGGCTTCAATGTCAAGAATGTGTCTGTCAAGGATGTTCATCGTGGCAACGTTGCTGGTGACAGCAAAAATGACCCACCAATGGAAGCAGCTGGCTTCACTGCTCAGGTGATTATCCTGAACCATCCGGGCCAAATAAGCTCTGGCTATGCACCTGTATTGGATTGCCACACAGCTCACATTGCATGCAAGTTTGCTGAGCTGAAGGAAAAGATTGATCGCCGTTCTGGTAAAAAGCTGGAAGATGGCCCTAAATTCTTGAAGTCTGGTGATGCTGCCATTGCTGATATGGTTCCTGGCAAGCCCATGTGTGTTGAGAGCTTCTCAGACTATCCACCTTTGGGTCGCTTTACTGTTCATGATATGAGACAGACACTTGCGGTGGGTGTCATCAAAGCAGTGGACAAGAAGGCTGCTGGAGCTGGCAAGGTCACCAAGTCTGCCCAGAAAGCTCAGAAGGCTAAATGAATATTATCCCTAATACCTGCCACCCCACTCTTAATCAGTGGTGGAAGAACGGTCTCAGAACTGTTTGTTTCAATTGGCCATTTAAGTTTAGTAGTAAAAGACTGGTTAATGATAATAATGCAACATAAAACCTTCAGAAGGAAAGGAGAATGTTTTGTGGACCACTTTGGTTTTCTTTTTCGCATGCAGCAGTTTTAAGTTATTAGTTTTTAAAATCAGTACTTTTTAAATGGAAACAACTTGACCAAAAATTTGTCACAGAATTTTGAGACCCATTAAAAAAGTTTAATGAGAAAAAAAAAAAAGAAATGAACAAGTTACTTGAAAATATAATTTATAAAAATGATACAAAAATAAGTAGAACACCTGAATTGTCTAATTCTATTTAAGAAATTTATTTTATACTGGAAAAATCTTCCCGCAGGGAAATCTCCAAGCCAAGAGAGATTTACTGGGGATATTTCTAGACAGTTAAAGAAGAAATAACACTAACTTTACACAAATTCCTCAAGAAATATTTTTAAAAGAAGGGTACCGTTTCCAACTTATTTTATAAGTTCCTCATAGCTTTGATAACAGAACTGAACAAAGATATGACAAAAAAGGAAACTGACAGGCCAATAGCTCTCATAAAGAAAGATACACAATCTTAAAATTATCAAAGTAAAACCAGTGATCTAAAAGATAATATATCATATCCAAGTGGTTTCATTTGAAAAATGAAGTTTGTTTACAAATACTCAAAAATCAATTAATTTAAATTTCTATAATAAAACAAAAAGGAACAAAATTACATGATAATTTCATTAGATTCAGGAAAAGCATTTGATGAAATGCAACACATATTTATGCTTTAAAAAATAACTTTTAGGAAATAAGAAATGCAAAGGAACTTTCTTACTCTGACAAAATCTATGTCTAAAAAGACTTAAACAAATATTCTACTTAATGGTAAAAGACTGAAAGCAATTACCTTGAGATACTGAATGAGTCAAGGATACAATGTCTAAATGTAAGTGCAATGAGAGATGAAAAAAATAAGAGCTTAAAGATAAGTAAAAAATCTTTCATTCAGAAGTTACACAATATTGAACATAGAAATTCAAAAATAATCTTCATAAGTAAACTATTAGACATATTAGGTAAAATTAGTAGAGTAAATATATAAACACTATATTTCTGCATACTAGCTAAAAAAGAAAATAAATTTTAATGGTACTATTAATAATAGTATCAGAAACACAATATTTATAAAAATAAATTCAACTAAATTATGTAAGACCTCTACACATAAAATTACAAAGCATTGTTGGGAGAAATTTTAAAAGCCCGAAATAAATAAAGGGATATACCATGGTCATTGATTAGAAGTTTCAGTGTCGTAGAGATGTTAGTCCTTCCTAGATTGATTCAGTTCAATCCTAATCAAATTTTCAGCATGTTTTTGTGTTAGAATGTAGGAAAATTCAACATATTAATTCTTAAATATATATGAAACTTCAAAGGACTAAGAAAATCAAGACAATTTTGTTTGTTTGTTTTGAGGCAGGGTCTCACTCTGTCGCCAAGGCTGGAGTGCAATGGCGTGGTCACGGCTGACCGTAACCCTGACCTCCCATGCTCAGGTGATCCTTTTACCTCAGTCTCCCAGGTGGCTGGGACTACAGGGGCATGCTACTGTGCCTGATTTATTTTTGTATTTTTTGTAGAGACAGGGTTTTACTATGTTGGAGACCACACTGGTCTCCAACTCTTGGGCTCAAGCAGTCTGCCTGCCTTGGTCTACCAAATTGCCAAGTGTGAGCCACAGTGCCCAGCCCCAGGACAATTTTGAAGCAAAAAAAGATTTATTATAATGTTACAACAATTAAGATAATATGATGTATAAACACGATAATCAATTAATCCAGTGAAACAGTACTGAGTCCCAAAAGGAATCACATGTTTGCAGTTCACTGAAAGCTGGCAAAGCTGATACTACAACCCAGTAAATAAGGAACACTCTTCCCAGGCACGGTGGCTCATGTCTGTAATCACAGCACTTTGGGAGGCCAACGCAGGTGGATCACCTGAAGTCAGGTGTTTGAGACCAGCCTGGCCAACATGGCGAAATCCTGTCCCTACTAAAAATACAAAAATTAGCTGGCCGTGGTGGTGCTGCCTGTAATCCCAGCTACTCAGCCAGCTGAGGCAGGAGAATCACTTGAACCCAGAAGGCAGAGGTTGCAGTGAGCTGAGATCATGCCACTGCACTCCAGCCTGGGCGACAGAGTGAGACTCCACCTCAAAAAAAAAAAAAAAAACTCTTTATAATAAGTTGTGGTAGGTCATATGAGATTGGGTATTTATATAAAAATATTTATCTATCTTAACCCCATGCTTATACTACCACAAAAGTCAATAGCAGATGATCGCAGACACAAATGGAAGGCTAAAATACAAACACTTCTGGAAAATAATATAAGATAATATTTTATGATGTTGAGGTAGGCAAAGATTTCTTAAACAGAACATAAAAAGTGCTACTCAAAAAGGAAAAGACTGATACATTACATTTAAGTTTAGAACATCCATTTATTAAATGCACTAGAAGAGAAGAAAAATTCAAGTCATAGAATGAGAGAAGGTATTTCCAAAACATATATCCAACAAATAACTCATACCTGGAATATATTTTTTGAAAACTGCTACTTGTCAATAAAGCAAATACAGACAAACCAATATAAAAATAAGCAAAACATTTCAAAAAATGATATGCAAATAGCAGTAAGTATATGACAAGATACTCCACTTTGACAGTTATCAAGGAAATGAAAATTAAAACCACTATGAAGTACCTCTATATTCTCACCAGAATAACTAAAATAAAAGGGACTGATTTATCAAGGATTTGGAGGAACTGGCGCTCCCATAAACTGCTGGTGGGTGTGCTAATTGACAGAACCACCTTGGAAACAGGTACCGTCAACTAAAGTCAATCACATATATAGCTTGCAATTCAGTAATTCTAGTTTTAGGGATTTACTCCTGAAAAATAGATGCATATGTGCAGAATAGATATATAACAGTGTTCCTAGCAGCACCATTCATAATAGTCAAAACTTGCAAACAATTCAGAGTATTCATTGGCAGTAGAATCGATAAATAAATTGTGGTATTGGCCGGGCATGGTGGCTCACACTTGTAATCTCAGCACTTTGGGTAACCTAGGCGGGCAGATCACCTAAGGTCAAGAGTTCAGGACCAGCCCGGCCAACACCGTGAAACTCCGTCTCTACCAAAAATACAAAAAATTAGCAGAGCATGGTGGCGCATGCCTGTAATCCTAGCTACTCAGGAGGCTGAAGTAGGAGAATCACTTGAACCTGGAAGGTGGAGGTTGCAGTGAGCCGAGATCATGCCACTGCACTCCAGCCTGGGCAACAGACTCTGTCTCAAAAAAAATGTGGTATAATCATACAATCATGTACTAGAAAGCAATGAAAATATATGAAATATTGCCTCAAGTTTTCCTTGAGTGGCTGAATTTGATTTAGGTTCTTGTCTCCTCCTATGTTTATCACCCTGTGTATGCTACCATAATAGAACCTGTTAGAATAGACACTTTAGTAGTCACTGGTCCACCAGCTATATTCTAGGATAAGCTGCAAACAATTTTTTTTGTGGTCAAGAGCTTTATCTTATATGACTTTGTATTTATAGAGTCAAACTTAGCCAGTGCCCAATGAATTATTATTGAATAAATGAGTAACCAGATAAATTTTTAAAAAAGAAATATTGCCTCATGCACTAACATGATTAATTTTAATTATAATATTATGTTTTACAAACATAAGATTGAGCAAAGAAGTCAGAAACCAAAAAGAGCATTGTATTATTTAATTATATTAAGTTCAAGAAACCGGCAAAACTAATCTATGTGGATGAAAGTCAGTATGGTAGTTTTTTTGGAGCAATGATTGGGAAAGTGTATAAGGAGTGCTTCTGTTGTGATGGTCATAGATTATTTCACGATCTAGATAGTTTTAAATAAACATGTTCATATTGTGACAATTCACTAAGCTGATGATTTATTCAGTTTACCGTGTGCAAATATTTTTGAATAGATGAGTAATTAATTTATCTATTAAATAGAATAGATAAATGAATCAATTAATATGTAAATAAAGAATTGGCTCAGCCAAAAAAGAGCCAATTGTAAATATTATGATAAAATCAAGAGATGAGTGAATTTCAAGAAAGAGTGGACGGTTAACAGTGCCTATTGCTGAAAAGTTAAAAGGCAGTTTTTTTAAGGACACTGTCTGTGATAATGAGGAGGATATTGCCTCTCTCTGGATACGCATCAGTTTTGAGGGGTTCCAGATTTAGGATGAGATGGTCTCACTCTCACACTACTGATTGCTGGTCTAAAGGGGGTGACAGTGTTTATGATAAAGAGGTTTATTGGTACTGTTAAGTGTTTGGGGTTTGGATTTGGGGCAGGGGGTTTCTCTGTTTTTTGTGGAGTTTTTAAATGAAATTAACCAATAAAATTAACCCAATAGTTCATTGTTCTTTTAAATAGACACAGTCCCAAAAAAGTCTAATTAAAACGTATCTAGGCCAGGTGTGGTGGCTCACCCTGTAACCCCAGTACTTTGAGAGGCAGAGGCAGAAGAATCACCCAAGAGTTCAAGACCAGCCTGGGCAAGATTGTGAGATACTCTAGCTACAAAAAAAAAAAAAAAAAAAAAAAATTTAAACATTAGCCAGGTTTGGTGGTGCACTTCTGTGGTCCTAGCTGCTCAAGAGGCTGAGGCAGAAGAATCCCTTGAGCCTGGAGGATACAGTGAGCTGGACTGATATAGTGAGCTGTACTGATATAGTGAGCTGTGAGTGGCCATTGCACTCCTGCACACCAGCCTGGGTGAGAGAGCAAGAACCTGTCTCTAAGGAAAATAAAAAATGTATCTAATATGTTTTCTAATTTTGGTAAATGGAATAACTCTTACATTGCCATTCTTATTTTACATGTGTTCAAGAAGGAATAAAAAGTATGGCTGCATTGCAATTCAACACAAGCCAGTCAACTTGGTTAACTTTAGCTAACATTTTATAGCTCTATTTCCTTATTTCATAAGAGTAAGGTCATAAACTAGCTTTATAATCAGCTGAGCAAATCTCCCCATTACTAATGGAGTTAAGATGACAGCATTTCTGTTAGTTTGTTCCATGAAAATCTTATAGATGAGCCCAAAATCTCCAAAGTTCTTTATGCACTGATGGTTATCCCTAAGCTTTGTTTCTTTGACAAATATATATGGAGTGCCCAACATGTGTCCTGGGAAGCTAAAACACATTTACTGACATTAATATCCTCTTGAGAAAGTTCTAGAAATGTTAAGCAACAATTACTTTGCATTGTGCTCTCTTTATATAACTACTTCATTCTCTCAATACCCAAATTTCTTTCTAAATGGAGGGAGGTAGAGTAAAATTTTATCCTAAGATTTGAGTATATGTGTATATACACAAATATATTTGTGTATGTGTTATTCAAAAGGACTCAGTTCACACTTTGAAACCAAACCACTGCAATAGGTAAAAAGTAACTTTAATTCTATTCTGAAAAGAACCTCTTCTTTAAACATAGGCATAATTTAATCATTGATACCATGAATGGACATTTGATGGTTGCTTATAAACAATGCATAATTGTATAATAATTCACTAGTGTATTTAAGAGCACAATTTTTTAAAGGATGTATTCTTAGGTCACACAGGTCTGAATTGGGTTCTCAGAGCTATTGCCTTCTAGTTATGTGACCTTGGCAAATTCTTTCATATCTGAAAGCCTCAGGGTTTTTTTCATATGTTAAATGAAAATCATAACCACCTTAAACATTGTTAGGAGAAATTCACAATATAAGGTATAAAAAGCTTTTAGTAGAGTGTTGGTAATATAGTAAGTACTAAATAAATGAAAGCTATTCAAAAGACTTGTAATTGTTCTTAGATGTATTTTTAAATTAACTATTTTTTAGAAAAGCTTTAGGTTCACAGGTAAATTGAGGGGAAGGTACATAGATTTCCCATATATCTTGTGGCTCCACATACTGATAGCCTCTCCCACTATCAACATCCCCCTTCAAAGTGGTACACTTGTTACAATTAATGGACCTACGTCGGCACGTCATTATCAGCCAAAGTCCATAATTTGCATTGGGGTTTACTACTTGTGTTATATAATCTGTGGCTTTGGACAGATGTATAATGACATGTGGCCACCATTATAGTATCATACAGAATAGTTTCACTGCCCCAAAATTCCTCTGTGCTCTGCCTATGCGTCTCTGACAAATCCCTGAGAACAGATATTTTTTACGTTTTTTTAAATTGTTACCATAGTTTTGCCTTTTTAACAATGTCATTTAGTAGGAAATCGTGTAGTATATACTGTTTTCAGATTGGTTTTTTCATTTGGTAATATGCATTTAAAGTTCTTTCATGTCTATTTATGGCTTGACATTTAGCACTAAATCATATCCATTGTCTGCACGTGCCACCTGCTCAAGGATATCTTGGTTGCTTCCAAGTTTTGGAAATTATGCATAAAGCTGCTATAGACATCCACGTGCATGTTTTTGTGTGGACATAAGTTTTCAGCCATTTAGGTAAATACCAAGGAGGGCAGTTACTGGATTGCATGCTAAGAGCATATTTAGTTTTGTAAGAAACTGCCAAGCTGTCTTCTAAAGTGGCTATACCATTTTCTATTCCCACGAGCAATGAAAGTTCCTGTTGCTCCACATCCTCATTAGCATTTGGTGTGGTCAGTGTTTTGGATTTTGGCCTGTCTAAAATGTATATCAGTGGTATCTCGTTGTTTTTTTAATTTGCATTTTCCTAATGATATATGATGTGGAGCATCTTTTCATATGTTCATTTAGCATCTGTATATTTTCTTCGGTGAGTTGTCTATTAAAGACTTTAGCCCATTTTTAATTGGGTTTTTCATTATCTTATTGTGGAGTTTTAAGAGTTCTTTGTATATTTTAAATAACAGTCTTTTATAAGATATACTTTTTAAATATTTCTATCAATCAGTGGCTTGTCTCTTTGTTCTTTTGGCAGGGGGTCTTTTATTTTTGCATAGCATGAGTCCTAAATTTAATAAAGTTCAGCTTATTATTCATTTCTTTTTCTTTCTTTCTTTCTTCTTTTTTTTTGGAGATGGAGTCTCACACTGTCGCCTGGGCTGGAGTACAGTGGCGCGATCTTGGCTTACTGCAACCTCCACCTCCAGGGTTCAAGTGATTCTCCAGCCTCAGCCTCCCAAGTAGCTGGGATTACAGGTGTCTGCCACCATGCCCAGCTAATTTTTTGTATTTTTAGTGGAGATGGGGTTTCACCATGCAGGCCAGGCTGGTCTCAAACTCCTGACCTTGTGATTTGCCTGCCTTGGCCTCCCAAAGTGCTGGGATTACAGGTGTGAGCCACCGTGCCCGGTCATTATTCATTTCTTTTGTGGTTTCTGCCTTCAGTCTTATATTTAAAAAGTCATTGCCAAGCCCAACATTATGTATATTTTCTCTTGTGTTATCTCTTAGGAGTTTTATGATCTTGCATTTTACATTTAGGTCTATGATCCATTTAGAGTTAATTTTTGTGAAGGGTGCCAGGTCTGTGTCTGGTTTGTTTTTTTCATGTGAATTTTCCATTGTTCCAGCACCATTTGTTGAAACAACTATCTTTGTTCCATTAATTGCCTTTTCTCCTTTTTCAAAGATTAGTTGACTATATTTATGTGGATCTATTTCTGGGTTCTCCATTCTGTTTTATTGATCTATTCGTTTATTCTCTCACCAATATTACACAATCTTGATTATTGTAGCTTTATATTAAGTCTTGATAAAGGATAGTGTCAGTCTTCCAACTTTGTTCTTCTCCTTAAATATTGTGATGGCTAGTCTGAGTCTTTTGCCTCTTCAGATAAACTTTAGTTTAAATTTGTCAGTATCTACAAAACAATTTGCTGGAATTTGTTTGGAATTGCATTAAATTTATAGGTCATTTTGGGAAGAACTGACATCTTGACTATATTGATTCTTCCTTTCCATGAACATAGAATATCTCTCTATTTATTTAGTTATTTGATTTCTTGCATCAACATGTTTTTGTTTGTTTGTTTTTTTTGAGATAGAATCTTGTTCTGTTGCCCAGGCTGGTGTGCAGTGGCATGGTTTCAACTCACTACAACCTCTGCCTCCTGGGTTCAAGCGATTCTCGTGCCTCAGCCTCCCAAGTAGCAGGGATGACAGGTGTGCACCACCATGCCTCACTAATTTTCCTATTTTTAGAAGAGACAGTGTTTCACCATGTTGGCCAGGCTGGTCTCGAACTACTAACCTTAAGTGATCCTCGGCCTTGAACTCCCAAAGTTCTGGGATTACAGGCAAGAGCCACCACGCCCAGGCTTCATCAGTGTTTTCAGGGGTCCTCATATAGATAATGAATATGTTTTCATTAGATTTATAGTGGTTGATTCTTGTGTGTTAACCTTATATGCTGCAACTTTGCTATATTAGTTTTTAATTCCAGGAATTTTTTAATTATTTTGGGTTTTCTATATAGACTATCATGTCACTACTAACAAAGGCAGTTTTATTTCTTCCTTTCCTATCAGTATATCTTTTATATCATTTTCTTTCCTTCTGGCATCAGCTAAGAATTTTAGTATGATGTTGAAAAATAGTGGTGAGAGGGGACATCTTTGCCTTGCTCCTGATCTTAGTGAGAAAGTTTTGTATGTCTCAGCATTAAATAAGTTGTTAGCTGTGGATTTTTTGTAGATATTTCTTACCAAATTGAGGAAATCCCCCTCTACTTCTAGTTTACTAAGAGTTTCCAGCATTAATCCATGTTGAATTTTTTTCAAAAGCGTTTTTGCATTTATTGATATAATTATGTGACGTTTTTTCTTTAGCCTGTGCATGTGATAGATTTTGAAATTTTGAACCAGATTTGCAGATTTATGATAAGACCAATTTGGTCATAGTGTATAACTTTTTTTATACATTGTTGGATTTTATTTGCTAATATTTTATTAAGAAATTTTATAACTATGTTCATGAAGGATATTAGTATGTTGTTTTCTTTTCTTATAATAACTTTGTCTAGTTTTGGTATTAGGGTAATACTGGCCTCATAGAATGAGTTTTTAAGTATATTCCTCTGCTTCTATCTTCCAGAAGAGATTATAGAGAATTGGTACATTTTTTTCCTTAAATGTTTGGCATTTGGTTCACCAGTGAACCATTAATACCTGATGTCTTCCGTTTTAGAAGTCTTTTAATTATTGATTTGATTTCCTTAATAGATATGGTCCTATGAGAGTGTCTATTTTTCCTTGGGTGACTTTTGGCAGATTGTTTCTTTGAAGGAATTGATCACTTTCATCTAGATTATAATATTTGTGGCATAGAGTTTTTCAAAGTATTATTTTATTATCCTTTCAATGTCCATGAGATCTGTAATGATGCTTCTTCCTCATTTCTAATATTAGTTATTCGTGTTATCTCCCTATTTTTCTTAATTAGGCTTGCCAGAGGCTTATCAATTTTACTGACTTTTTCCAAAGAACCAGTTTTTGGTTTTGTTGATTTTCTCCATTGATTTCCTATTTCAATTTTATTGATTTTTTCTAATTTTTATTATTTCTTTTCTTCTTATTATTCCGGACTTAATTTGCTCTTCTTTTTCTAGTTTCCTAAAATGGAAGCTTAGATTATTGATTTTTAGATCTTTCTGTTTTATAACATATACATTCAATGCTATAAATTTCTTACTAAGCACTATTTTTACTGCATCACAAATTTTGATAAGTTGTGTTTTCATTTTCACAGTTCTTTGATATTCTGTTCTATTTTTTTTCAGTCGTTTCTTTTCTCTTTTTCAGTTTTGGAAGTTTCTACTGAAATATCCTCAAGCTCAAAAAGAATTTTTTTACCTGTAGCTAATCTCATAAGCACATCAAAGGTATTCTTCATTTCTGTTACAATGTTTTTCATCTCTAGCATTTCTTTTTGAATCTTTCTTAGAGTTTCCATCTGTCTGCTTACATTGCCCATTTGTTCTTGAATAATATTTACTTTATCCATTAAAGCAAATGCCATATTAATCATAGTTGATTTAAATTTCCAGTCTAACAATTCCAACATCCTGAGCATACCAAGCATCCCGGCTATGATGCTTGGTCTATCTCCTCAAACTGTGGTTTTTGTCATTTAGTATGTCTTATATTTTTTCTTTGATAGTCAAACATGGTGTACTGGGTCTGGGTAAAAGGAACTTAAGATATTTTTAAAATTTATCCTCAGATAACTAAAATGTCAATAAATATTTATATCCTGTGATTATCCATATGCAAATTAGTTATATATGAAGAGTCAAGACCAAGTTCGAGTCGTACAAATACAAGAAATTGATAAAAAAATTAATCATTCAAAGAAGAAAAAAGGTAAGTATTACTTCAAACTGGAGTTTGCTGGACTGCATCTATAAGCAACCCTAAACCACATGGAAAGGGAATTCCTCAATAATTTCATACTTTATGAAAATTAAATGCAGTTATATCTCAGTTTTTCATCTTTATTGTGTCCCCTATTTTGAAAGCTTGTGAGTCCTAATTATTCATTGACAATTTTTATGGTGCAAATAAAGATAGAATTAAAGAAAGAACAAAAAAGAAAACTGCTTTTAAGCTTAACCCAACCTGCCTTTGTGTGACATTAATGTCGCAGCCACTCACAGTCTTGTAATTCGACTTTTTGTCCTGGTTCCCTGATGCCTAGAATAGTGTCCATTGCCCAAGAAATGCCAATTTTATGTGGTCATAGGTAGTATTTTCTCATTTTGTCTAAAGTAGAAATTGAGCAAGATGAAAAAGGCAGTCCCTAGGTAGAGATATTGAGGTGCATACCAGGCTCTTTTAACTTACTTTCTGTTCTCTCGTTGACTCCTTGGATCAATTTATTTAATTTTACTTTATAGCAATATTTACAGAAAGACTATTACAGCTATTGCTACTTTATATTCATATCCAAGTTACCTATAAATGTTCCTTTTAGATTTTTCTGATGTTCTTTGGGAAAGAAATAGTCAGGGGATGGTTTCTGTATTTAAACAAAATTGATTCCTATACAAAGGAAAAAATTGTCTAAAAGAATATGCAACATTTGAAAAAAGTAATGAAGAAAATTAAATAAAACCTACTTTGGTACCACTGAGTATTTTAAGTAAAACTGAATCAGATGGTTTGGCTGAAAAAAAGGCTCAATTTATATGTTTCAGAAACTCACCTTATTGTTTGGGGTCACCAATATTAACAGAAAACAACGAAAAGGAGCTTTGATTATATACCTACTGGCAGTTATCAGCATACACATGTCACAGCTCAAGAAAGCTATTGTTTTTTAAATGATAAATTTCTGCTATTTTGGTAACTTCTGTTTATTTTTTTCTGGATTTAAAAAAAAATGTTGCGTCTTGTTGCGGTGGCTCATGCCTATAATCTTAGCACTTTGGGAGGCAAGAGATTGGACAGACTGCTCGAGTCCACCTGGGCTTTGAGACCACCCTGGGTTACATGCAAAACCCTGTCCCTACCAAAAAAAAAAAAAAAAAAAAGAAAAGAAAAAAAAGGAAAAAATTAGCCAGGCATGATGGCACATGCCTGTAAATACAGCTACTCAGGAGGCTGAGGTGGGGGGGATAGCTTGAGCCCAGGAAGCAGAGGTTGCAGTGAGCTGAGATCGTGCCACCGCACTCCATACTGGGAGACCGAGTGAGATCCTGTCTCAAAAAACAAACAAACAAACAATTGTTGCAACAAAGACAACTTGAAAAAAATCAAGAAGCCCATTAAATGATCTATTATTTTATGTAAGTTATCAAAAAACAGACCGGGAGCAGTGGCTTACCCCTGTAATCCTAGCACTTTGGGAGACTGATGAGAGTGGATCGCTCGAGCCCAGTAGTTCAAGACCAGCCTGAACAACAAAGCAAAACCCCACTTCTACCAAAAAAAAAAAAAAAAAAATTAGCCGGGCATGCATTTGTGGTCCCAGGTACTCTGAAGGCTGAGGTGGGAGGATCACCTAAGATGGGGAGGTCATTGCTGCAGTGAGCTGATATGGAGCTACTGCACTGCAGCCTGCAGCCTGCAGCCTGGATGACAGAGGCTACAGAGGGAGACCCCGTCTCAAAAAAAAAAAAATCTATTTGTTTCTCTAAAGTTACTGATCTGATGGGTGTTTTGCCATTATGCAAACAAAGCCTAAATGGAGTAGATTGTAATAGCTGATTGTGAAGTCAGTAATCATTCAATAAATTGCCTTGGTGATTGGGGCCGAATCATTCACTCATTCATTTATTCAGTAAGTATTATTGACTATCTAGATATGCCAGGTATTGTACTACAGAATGACAATTTGGTATGGAAGTTCCTTGAGAGAAGAATTGTTTTTTTCTACCCTAGCATGTCTGATATCTTGTACAGAGCCTCATATTGACCCTGGGTAACAATTGTTATTATTGCTTTCATAATTACTTTTGTGGCTGTTGATTCTGATAATACATAAGATAAGAAAGTGGCTTAACAATGAAATTCAATAAATCTTTATGTTTTATACAATTGGGGAAAATGTATCTGTAAATGGAATTTCTTGTACCAGTAGCAAAAAAAAAAAAAAGTCCAAATAAAAGTTTTTCATATGGCAATGCCTCACTGAAAAGAGGCTACATCATTCTGTAAGTTAAAAAAAATTATTAGCACCACATTCTGGAAATACTGCCTTGCTCATTATATCAAAAAATTTCTGGTTCTTTTAATCACTGCTAAAATGCTAACAGCTCCCTTTAATGCCTAGTCAATAAGCAGATTAAAACATAAATGCCACTAAATATGCTTTAAATATCAGCTCCATTGAAATATTTCTAAGTTCTGTATCCTCTTAAAATAATCCCCATTCAAAATTGAGAGGAAATGTCATCCATATGAGTTTCTTCAGAATTTAAGCTCTGATTAAACAAGGAATTATGTACTATAGCTTTGGAAATCGGATAATTAAAGAAGCACCAGACTCTTTGTTGATGACATTTTTGAGCCTAAAAAGTTTTCATCGATGCTACAGTGAAATTTTATATTTAAGTAATGTTGCACATGATGAGTACATTTCTAACCCCAATTAAGCTAGCTACCTTAAGAGGGAACTGTGAAGAAAGGAAAAGATGCAAAATTATACCAGAAAAGCCAACTACCCTGGCTACAGAGCTGCAAAAAGGCCATCTGCTCTGACTAGGTCTTAGTAGAGAAAGGAAGAGAAGCATAAAATTATAATGAAATAACTGTAACTTTCAGGGAAATAATGGTCTGCTAAAGAAATTGAATTGACTCAAAGGTGAATCGATGGACTCTCTCCCAATATTCATTTATTCTCCATTGTCCAATGTGATATACAAAGAGGAAGTCATTCGTAGACCTCAGAATAAATCTGATTCTTTCTTAGGTGAATGTAGACAAAAAACGATCCAAATATATATTCACATCTGATGCAGAGTAAGGGAGATTTGGCATCATTTTTCCTATTATCAGAGCCGTTGGGAGTACTTTCACTAAAAAATCCATCTTTGTCCTTTTATAAGTTATAAGAAAGGGGAAAAATTATTTTCCTCTTCCCTCCTGGGTTCTATGGCTGGCTGGACCCCTCAAAATTAAAACAAAAGAGATATTAACAAGAAGAAAGCAAGCAGAATTTATTAACATGACAAGCAAGCATAAATGCTGAGAAAGTCAGTGATGAGCAACACAAAGGGGTAGTTAAAACTTGGGGTATATATAGGATTTTAACAAAGAAGAGTAAATTTGCAGAGAAGAGATAAACAAAACAAAACAAAGGTTTTAGGCCTGTAGGAACTGCATATTGTAGGAAGGTAAATATATGGGGGAGTAAGGTAAGGTTGTGCAGGTCCATCTTGGTGCCAACTTTCCATCTTCTTCATAGCTGTAAAACTTCCACAGGAGAGGAGATTGCTCTTATTTCTTAGGAGTTGCTTTTTGTTGTTATTGTTTTGTTTTATTTTTGTTTTTGCTTTTTTGAGACAGGTTCTTGTTCTGTCTCCCAGGCTGGAGTGCAGTGGCACGATCTCAGCTCACAGCATCCTCGACCTCCTGGGCTCAGGTGATTCTTTCACCCCAGCCTCCCCAACAGCTGGGACTACAGGCCTGTGCCACTATGCCTGGCTACTTTCTCTATTGTTTTGTACAGACAGTTGTCCAGGCTGGTCTCTAACTCCTGAGCTCAAGAAATCCTCCCACCTTGCCCTCCCAAAGTGCTAAGATTACAGGCATGAGCCACCGTGCCTGGCCAGTTTCTGCTTTTAGAGAAGAGAAGCTCCAAGAACACTTCTTTCTGAATCTGTTGATCTCATTTGCCTGTAGCTCAAAATAATACTTACGTCAAATGGAATATTTTGGGGTGGCATTTGGGGTGGTCCTCCATGTAGTCTAATCATAATATTTTATTCCAATAACCAAGGTCATATTACAAGGCCCTAAAATATACATTTTACTAATGTCTTTCAAATGTTACATATTCAGTTTCAGCTTAATAATCAACCCACTGATATTTGCCAGTATTTGCATCTTGCAGATGTGCAACACACCTACATTCTTCTTAGTAACTTCCTTTATTAAGAAAGCATATTACTTATACTTAATCCTATTGAAAGCCCAGAATCCAAACTGTAATATTTGAAATTGCCCACATTGCTTTTCTTTTAAGCCTACTTTTTTTTTCATAGTATTCTCTTTCTCCCACCAAATGCAGAAACTCATTATTTCTCCCATTAAAATGATGAAGAGGTTTATCATGTTCAATCATAGATAATAGTGTTCAAAGTTGGAGGTCACCAGAGATCATATCTTTGTTCATTTTGCAAATGAAGAAATGAGCTACAGGTAGGTTAAGTGTAGTTGGATAAGAATTGTATTGCTTGTACAACCTCAAACTACCATTAAGATAGAAACATTCCCACTCAGAGGTGTTCCTAGAAGGGAAAGACAAAACATCACTGGAGTTGCAACCCAAGAAAGCCTATCCGAGCGGATGAGAGGAAACAGAAGTCCAGCCTAGTTTCACCCACCACACTCCTTCCTGAGGAACTGTGCTGGTCCAAACCTTTTGCTAGTTTGCACTAAGATACCATATAGCCTGGCATGTGGTCCTGATCCTTATTAAGGTACCTTTTGAAGAAACTTGATTGAAAGGCTAAGAAGGAGCTTTAGAAGTCTCCTGAAAGCAATGACATCTGGGATTTCTGAAACTGAATTCGTTGAACCTGATAGCAACTCCATAGGAAAGGTCACACAGGTTTGGGTGAGAAATACATGATTTGCAAATGTCAGCTAAGATTTGGATAAGCATCTGGCTTTTGGTTATGTATTTGAAAATGAATAAACACTGAAATCTGGAAGATTCATACTCACTGGACCTAATCCACCCAGGATTTAACAGCCAGAAAAGAAATGTTGGTTATGGCATGAATTCCATAAACTTTTATGTAATTTACACACAAAAACAAAGCAGCACATATGTGTATGTCTGTATACATATGTAAACATGTCTATACATAATCCACACACACAAATATGTGTATGTTTCTATGCATTTCATGTATATATGCATGTAGGTTTGTCTGTGTGTGTGTGTCTGTGTGTGTGTGTGTGTGTGTGTGTGTGTGCATGTGTTTAAATATTCCGAAGCTTTGGGCCAGTTGGCCATGCATTCAGTTTCTCTTGGAAAAGATTTGCTTCATATCTAATAGAAATATACAATCTGGTTAAATGTTGCTGGTAAAATGTCTAACACATGGGTGGATTGAGATTGTGAACAAGTGGAGAATACTAAAGCAGCCTGATGGAGATAGACCCTTTGAAGGGAGGCCAGGAAACATTTCATTCCAAAGAGAAGGGATACGCATCTATTGTTTCTCCAGCTGGCTAAGCAACGGCAGGGATGTTTCCTACTAAACAGCCTCATTAACATAAGCATAACTACAGGGTAAGTTTTCAAGCTCATTCCAAGTAAATTCAAAGGAGGGGTGGGGGAAGAAAGATGCCGTTAATATGCACAACTCATGCAGACAATGATATGAAGCTAATTCATTTCATCATATTATCACCATAGCATATTAACTTAAAAGAAATAATAAGACAACATGGAAATGTTTGCATATTAGAGAGAATTCTCGTTGTACCCTATTAGCACCATATCTTATTAGTATTGCATTAGGCTACCATACTGCAATGCTAAAATGATGAAATCCCACTGTGAAAACTGATATTGAATTCTTGTAATGTTTCAGAATCATTTTTAGCACTGCATATAAATAATTCATGTGAGCAGATCTAATGAATTGATGGAAGAAAAAAAACATCCCTTGGCATTGTGAGCGTATTTATGAATGTAAAGTCACGAGCAAGACGCTTTCTCATGGAAGGTGGGCAAGGGCTGAAGTGTGACATCTCTTCCAGAGCCGGTTATTAATATAATGAGGATTTCTAGGTCAAGTCCAGTTGAAATATTCCTGAAATATTTCCTTCTAGGAAAGGTGGCACAATACTGGTTGGCACTCTCCTGTCCTTTCTGAATGTAGATTGCAGATTAACTGGGGTAGGCACCCTAGTTTAGAGACACTGGCTGCACAGCATCAAAATTCAATAAACTGAGAACCCAAGTGAAGTAGTGTCTTTTGTACTTCCAATGTCTTTGATGAACCCTTGTCAAACTGTGTTATACCTATCTGATTCCTCATCTGTCTTCACCATTGTCCTGCACACTTCTCGAAGTCAGGGATCATAATTTATTCATATTTGTAATCCTAATCCCTAGCACAAAGCACGTCCTTGAATACGTACCCAATAAATATTGAATGAATGGATGGATGAATGAATATATTTATTCAATTCCAAAGATTCCAATTAAAAAGTTGGAATAAATGTGGGAGTAGGTCATTTACATTTAAATCTGATTGTTTTGCTAAATTTAAATCTTTATTTGCAATGTTGAATTCAGTCAAAGCAGTTTCAGTTTAGAAAGGCATTCTAATTCAATGGAATTCTTCCAGAGTTAGATGCAATTGTTTAAGTTCCTGCTTTAGATTAATGGCTTTTTGGTTTCTCATACTACATATTGCATATTGGTGTCAGCGTGCTTGCAGAGAAGTAATCCTAATGCAATTTCAACTCCCCAGGATGGAGGTTTCCTGCAAAGGGAGCTGTTGTGTAACATGTATTCCCCTATGTAGAAATATCGCTGGCAGTTACCGTGAATTGCAGGGCAGAAGCCAATGACCTGTTTTCGGTACTCGGTGTAGCTGGCTGTGGGCACTGTGATTCTTTGCTACTGCTCTCCGGAGTTCACTACACTTAAGCTCCAGATCCCTCATGGCCTATTTCGTGCTTTCTGCTCAACGAATGGATCACACATAGCCCCTAGTTCCAGGCCTTCTTTCTACACAGTTAACTTGTTTCAAAATTAAAGAAACTGAGAAGGAATAATGAATAGATTTTCCTGGAAGAAAAAACTAGATTTATTTTTCATCTCGAAGAGAATAATTTAACATGAGATTGAAGGAGACCACCTCACAGTCCAACACAGGCCCCAGTGAGTTCATGCATGTGCTTGCAAACACACACACACGTATTAGCTCTTCAACTATTGTTGTGAGTATTCATCAAGACTCAAAGTCATTCACTCACAAGATTATCTTTTTCACTGTGTCAAAAGTCTAGAGAGTGAGTTAGAAATAGCCTCATAAACAATGGCTATGTGGCTCAATGAAAAGTCACTTGTTCTCTGGTAGACAGCTTGCCACAGCAAGGCTAGGTGCAAAGGCACTAGAAAGAAGTCCCATGGGTGCTTTTTCATGCTTTTCCTGCTTTTAACTTTTAAGGATCTCATGTGGTGGGCTCTCTCAGAAGTCAACATGCAGAGAAGTAAAAGGTTCTTTATGCAGATGGACAGTCATTGAAGGAAACAGAGGTCCAAATGGAAAACAAGTGTTCCCGTGCCGCTCAGATGAGTTAAAAAGGCCAGTATTTCTCCTTCTTCTTTCCCATCCACTGAGGATTTGTACATAGGTAAATAGGCTGAGTTAGATGATGCGGTAATGTAGGAGTAGCATTGAGACTTGTTGATAAGGCGCAAGACAGAAAATGAAAACTCACAATTTTTATTTTACCAACAAAAGCCATTCTCTAACTGTGCACCTCAAAGTACAACTGCAGATGTGAATCATAGTTGAAAGTAAGAGTTAGAATTAAGGAAATGATAGCAAGATTATATGATAGCCTTAAGAAACAATTTGTTCTGTTTTGCTGATGGATGATCTGAGTTTCTCTGCAAACCTTCTGTGCTTCACAGATCACTGCAGGTAACATGCTGGAGTTGTTTCTTGGCTGTTAATACACAAGGCAGAAAATTCTAGTTGTGAGGTTTAAAAGACTCAGGTTTTCTCTTTTGTTGTTTGGATAAACAGTGTTGTGAAGGCATTTTCTCCTGCTTTTCATTTCCATGTACTTGAGCACCTGCTAAGTGGAGCATGCATTCGTTATTTTGTTTCATCCCCATTTTACAGATTAGGAAACTGAAACTCAGAGAAGTTAAATAATTTACCCAGAGTAACAGAGCTTTGTTGAGGAGATAAAAATAGATACAAGTCAAGGTTTATTTGATTCCAGAGCCTATGCTCTTAGGTCTTTTTTCAGAGCACTTACAAATAAGGTCTACACAAGCAGCAGCAGATTCAAAATCTAAAACATGTCTGATATTGATGAGGTAAATGGCAATTTCTCATCTAGACTCAGTTGAAGACTAGTCTGAGCCTAGGCTATTTCCATTATTCTGTAAAGAATTATAAAATGAATGAAATATGTGTGGGGGTCTCCCTAGTCTCAAGAAGGTATGGAGAGGGGAGAAGAGGGAGGAGAAAACATTGATAAAGCTAGAATACTCTCTCCAATTAAAGTGATATCCTACTAAGGTATCCTTGGACTCCTGTCCTAAGTGGATCCCAAGAAAACCTACGTCCTTTATTAGGAGGTAGCCTAGTATGGGAAAGAGCATGGATTTACTGACACAGACAAAAATTGCTTTACATCTCAACTTTGGTGAGAACTAAATGTATGGCTTTGGACAACTGTCTTAGTTTCTCCAAATTCCTAATCTGTAAAACAGCGATAATACCTAACTCATAGAGCTATAAAAAATAAATGAGGTAATCATAGAACCTGGTATGTAGTGGTACTCAGTAATTGTTAATTCCTTTTCTTTCATCACCCACCTAGAAGCTGACCTAAGTCCAAGCACAGAGGATGCCTTCTCCTACCCTGCACTCCCTACACTTAAGCCTATAAATTTTCCAAACAGCTGTGGGTCTCATATGCATTTTTCAGTCCAAAATCATATCTCCACCATGGTCTTAGAATTCCTACAGGATTGAAAGCCAAGTTCAATGTGTAGACTTCCACTCTCGAGTGGTATCATGTGCCCAGCTGGAGGGCATCACCTAAGCTTACAGTATTGTTTACAGTAAAACATTCTTACAATAAATATCTCACCAGGAGGCATAAATCCCAATGGTGTCTTTCTCAATGTATCTATTCCGTAAAGTGACCAATTCTCTTTTTTCCATTTCAGCTAATTTCAGTTCTTCCAATTTATAAACAAAATCCTACATTGAACAAAATCCAATCACCTTAGCAAGGTTTCATAGCTGCCTTAGAGGTTGGTTCTTTCATGGACCAGTCAATAAAATGTGCCCCAGGTCATCATGCGTCAAGCCAGCACTGGGATGACCTGGTCCAGGAGCCTTAGAGAATATGAGCTAATGTGGAAATTTAAGTTGTGTGTTAGAAACCAATAGGGCCCCAAACCTGGTCAGAAATGTATCCTTTCCTTGCTGTTACAAAGACTCTTAGGGCAGGCTTTGTGTGCCCTTCCTTCACTGCATGAGCCAGGTCTCTCAAGAGAGCCAAATATTAAGTGTGTACTTCAGAGTGAGTGCTGAAGTGCCGCTATATCTCTGAAATCCAAAAATTAGCTAAGGGATACTCAGGCAGCCTATAAGGCAATGGGCAGTGCAAGCCTCCCTCCTATATTTCTGGCTCACTAAAAAGTTATTCTAAAATAATACACTAACTCATAAGTGAATAAAGTTAAATATGACAATTCCAGACTATCATGGCAACCACAAAGTTTCAAAATGCCTCTTTAAAGGCTTATTAAATCTCTCTTCTTAATTAAGCCTTTCCTTAGAGAAGTCTGGTACCTGTATTATTTCTCTGAGCTAATACAATATTTAGGACACTTTTCTTGTAAAATCTGAACTAGCAGGGTGACCCTACACATCATCACAATTTCTCAAGGTATTTCACCTTTCAATTAACTGAGACAGATCTATCTTCATCACAGCAAGAAATTCTGCTTTTAATTGGATGTATGATTAATACAGTAGCTAAAATATGGAATTATCACCCCAGATTGTTTACATTTGCAATAACAGTTTCAACTAAATGTCTTCAGAAAATGTCAAATTGATTTCTGACATAACAAAATACATACAATGGCTAACAATGTATTCATTAATATCTTGTGTTTCCATCGTGTCATTATTGGTTCTAATAATACCTAATTGCAATAATAAATACCTAATTTGGGGGAGTTATTTATTTTATTTTCTTTTTTTTTTTTTTTATTGATCATTCTTGGGTGTTTCTCACAGAGGGGGATTTGGCAGGGTCATAGGACAATAGTGGAGGGAGGGTCAGCAGATAAACAAGTGAACAAAGGTCTCTGGTTTTCCTATGCAGAGGACCCTGCCGCCTTCCGCAGTGTTTGTGTCCCTGGGTACTTGAGGTTAGGGAGTGGTGATGACTCTTAACAAGCATGCTGCCTTCAAGCATCTGTTTAACAAAGCACATCTTGCACCACCCTTAATCCATTTAACCCTGAGTGGACACAGCACATGTTTCAGAGAGCACAGGGTTGGGGGTAGGGTCACCGATCAACAGGATCACAAGGCAGAAGAATTTTTCTTAGTACAGAACAAAATGAAGTCTCCCGCGTCTACCTCTTTCTACACAGACATGGCAACCATCCGATTTCTCAATCCTCTCCCCGCCTTTCCCCCCTTTCTATTCCACAAAACCGCCATTGTCATCATGGCCCGTTCTCAATGAGCTGTTGGGTACGCCTCCCAGACGGGGTGGTGGCTGGGCAGAGGGGCTCCTCACTTCCCAGTAGGGGCGGCCGGGCAGAGGTGCCCCTCACCTCCCAGACGGGGCAGCTGGCCGGGCGGGGGGCTGACCCCCCCACCTCCCTCCCGGACGGGGCGGCTGGCCTGGAGGGGGCTGACCCCCACCTCCCTCCCGGATGGGGGGGCTGCCGGGCAGAGACGCTCCTCACTTCCCAGACGGGGTGGCTGCCGGGCGGAGGGGCTCCTCACTTCTCATATGGGGCGGTTGCCAGGCGGAGGGTCTCCTCACTTCTCAGACGGGGGGGCAGGGCAGAGACGCTCCTCACCTCCCAGACGGGGTCGCGGCCGGGTAGAGGTGCTCCTCACATCCCAGACGGGGCGGCGGGGCAGAGGCGCTCCCCACATCTTAGACAATGGGCGGCCAGGCAGAGACACTCCTCACTTCCTAGATGGGATGGCGGCCAGGCAGAGACGCTCCTCACTTTCCACACTGGGTAGCCAGGCAGAAGGGCTCCTCACGTCCCAGACGATGGGCGGCCAGGCAGAGACACTCCTCACTTCCCAGACGGGGTGGCGGCCGGGCAGAGGCTGCAATCTTGGCACTTTGGGAGGCCAAGGCAGGCGGCTGGGAGGTGGAGGTTGTAGCGAGCCGAGATCACGCCACTGCACTCCAGCCTGGGCACCATTGAGCACTGAGTGAACCAGACTCCGTCTGCAATCCCGGCACCTCGGGAGGCCAAGGCTGGCGGATCACTCGCGGTTCAGAGCTGGAGACCAGCCCGGCCAACACAGCGAAACCCCGTCTCCACCAAAAAAATACGAAAACCAGTCAGGCGTGGTGGCGCGCGCCTGCAATCGCAGGCACTCGGCAGGCTGAGGCAGGAGAATCAGGCAGGGAGGTTGCAGTGAGCCGAGATGGCAGCAGTACAGTCCAGCTTCGGCTCGGCATCAGTGGGAGACCGTGGAAAGAGAGGGAGAGGGAGACCGTGGGGAGAGGGAGAGGGGGGAGAGGGAGAGGGAAAGGGAGAGGGAGAGGGAGAGGGAGAGCGAGAGTGAGAGCTAGAGCTAAAGCATTTATTTTCTAATTAGATATTTTTCACATTTCTATTCCATAATTATTCATGAGTAATTATTATTAGTCACAAAATAGAATTATCGTTAAGCCTGTATGAACTGAATCCAGCTTCTTATAGAAAACAAGAATTAAACTTTTCCTGCTTTATGTTCTAATTAACTTTTTTCTCTATTTTGTAGAATTGCTCTAAACAGTGTTGAAAGAAAATGTAAAGTCAAGGCTGATAACTCAAGATACTTTTATAACTATAAATTTGCTATAGGGAAGTTTAAAGAATCACATAATTGGGGTTTTGTTCTCATACCCCCACGTGGAACCAAATAAGTTTTCATCAAAAGACTCTTGTTTTGTCAGGGGTTTGCTGCTGTGTACTCATATGTTCAGGTACTCAGCCAACAGCCACAGCCACAAAGCCTTTCTGGATCTGGCCTTCAGTCTCAGCTCTTTCAGCATCTCCTTCTTACTGGCCCATATAATGCCACACCCCATCTACATAGAACGTCTACCTGTTGACAATAGGCCTTTCTACTTTCCTGCTTGTGTATATATTGTCCTTTTTTCCTGGAATGAACTCCCTTGTTTTTCAATCTCAAGGAGTCATACTTATGAATTCAAGTAACCATTTCCCCATGATATTTTCCAGAGGCTCTTATGGAAACTTTGTTCTATTCTTCATACAGTATAAATTTACCTTTACCACTATCACATATTACGCTGGACTTTATCCCATTTCTTGACTATGTCTCCCATTGAATTACAAGCCTCTGAAGGAAGCTACAGGTGTATTTTTTTTTCCTTGCCCTGGAAAGTCATGGGAATAAACACCACTTTCAAGATTTAACCAGTAAGGAGTAGGAGCCGGTAAATAAATACTTCACTCTTCCATGTCTTGGGCAGACATGACATTGTACCTGATACCCCAGAAGGTCCCCAGTGGAATGAAGCCCCAGTTGCCCATGGGAAAAATCAATTCAACCTTGATTTTCTCTCTTTCCTGTCTTTATTCTTCCCAATCCCTTATTCCTTTTTCCCTGGTGAGTCAGTTTTGTATTGCTGCTGTAACAAATTACCACAAATTCAGTGGCTTAAGACAACACAGACAGACTCTCTTACTATTCTGGAAGTCAGAAGTCCTCCATCAGTTTCACTGTATAACATCAAGGTGTCTGCAGGGCTGGTTTCTTCAGGAGACACTCAGAGAGAACCTGTTTCCTTGCCTTTGCTAGCTTCTGGAGGCCATCTGCATTCCTTGGCACATGACAGTTCCTCAAATCACTCTGTCAAAATTACAACAAATTTAGTTTAAAGATGTCAGTCAGTTTTCTTTGAGACTCTAGAATTGGGCAACATTTTATTCTTTGAAATAAAATAAGTGTCTAAATGAGTAGAACATAGGAGATTGGCTTTGTAGACCAAAAAAAAAAAAAAAAAGGTTGAAGAAAGCAGAAATAAAGAGCAAAAAGTGGATTGGTCATGTCAAACTTAACTTTCCTTATAAGGCAGGGACAACGGGAGAATGGAAAGCTAACCAATTGGTTAACCAGACTACTTTAAGTCAAGATTTGAAACCAAGGGAACTTAATTATCTTGTAGACCAAAACCAGCATTTTGGGAAATTAGGCTGTTAGATTTCTCATCTGATTTCTGGGAAGGCCAGGTGACAACTCGGATTTAGTTTGACGAGGTGGGACTCAGTATGAGTGATTTCATTTTGACTTTTAGTCTGGTCTGTTGGGGCTTAGAGTAGGAACTTAGTCCAAAACAATGACCTATAATCTTTACTGAACAATTCCAACCTCTTGCTTTAATTAACATATCTCATACTTCCTCCTTTGTCCTTCTTGCCTCCCTCTCTTTTAAAGGCCCTTGTGATTGCATTTAAAGCCCACCTAGATAACCCAGGAAAATCTTTCCACTTAGTCATACCTGGAAAGTCCCTTTTGCCATGTAAGGAAGGAGATTCTGTGCATAGCTTGATGAAGGGGTTGGTGGGGGTTGGGGGGGGTGGCAATTATTCAACCTACCACATCTAGGATCACTTTCAAAACTAGTTTACCACAAGCATGCACATATTTCAAGCTATTTGAGGGAAATCCAAGCTAAGACAGAATCCAAAGGAAATGAACTACTCAAGATGGGAGTAGTTCTTATTATTAAAGGCTACTCATCAACAAGATGTGATTTAGAAAACTGTACCAAGTTTACAATGAGAAGATCATTGGTAGACTTGATGAGAACACTTTCAAAGGGTAACTGCTAAATTGCACTGGATTCATAGTCAATTCTCAGTTACCCAAACATACAAAGGCAAAGAAGGTTCAATATCAGTCTATGCTTTTCCAGAAATCATGGGTATATACAGATATAAAACTAGATCTATGTCATCACAGGATGCACTAGTTATAAAGCTTAAAGTTTGTTTTTCAGGAAAGTCTTCCCTAACCTAGTTGACCTCCTTCCTGCTTACTAGGTGCTTTCAGAACTCCCCATATTTTCCCTCTCCTCAAGCACATTATCCTGTGTGATGATGTAATTAGGATCTGTCTTCCCCCAGTGACTGAAGCTCTGCCATGGTAGAAACCATGTTTTCCTGGTTCACTTTTCATCCCCAGCTTTTCACATGTTCCTACCACAGAGTAAATGCTCAAGGGATATTTATTACATAAAAGAAAGAGTCCCTAAAATCTGTAACTGTGACTAAAATGAAATGACAATTCATATGTTATTAGGCAGTGCTAGAAGAGATGGAGATCTGGCCAGAATGTCAGGTAGAGCCCTAGATTCTGCATTTCTTGTCAAGTTTCCTGGTGATGTTGATGCTTCTTGTCCTCTGACACACATTTGATGAGAATCCTAGTCCAATGGTTCTAAATCCTACATGCACATTAGAAAGCATCTTGGGAGCTTTGAAAATACTTACCAAAGTCGATCCCCATGCACAGAGAGTCTGTTTTAATTGACAGGGAGGTGGAGTTCCAGTATTAGTTTGTTGTCATTGTATTGTTTTGTTTTGTAAGATCCTTAGATTATTCTAATGAGTAGCCAAGGCTAAGAGCCACTGGTCTAGTCCAAATTCTCTTTTAACCGAGGAAAAACTGAGGTACAGAAAGAATAGGCTAAAGCCCAAGGCTAAGCAGTGAGGTCCTGGCAAAATTGGGATTAGAACCCCACACACCTCCTGACTCCCATTGCAATGCTTTCTGATGCACAATGAATTCAGGAACAATGGGGGAGACACTTTTGCATTTAGACACAGCCTCAGTGATCCCAGGGAGTGAGTCGGTGAGAGATGACTCAGATGTGAATTCCCCGCTGACTCCCATTTTCATCCCCTTGGGCAGTGTGTAGGAGAGGTATAACTGCATGAAGAGAGCATTGTCAAAGAAAATATCCTGGCTGATCTATTTTAGTTAAAACAGCTTTTTCCCCCCAGGTACTGTGAGATTGCTTGTCTGTCAGGGTGTTGGCCTTGAGCAGGAGCTGGGCACCAGGGAAGGTGTTTTCAGTGGAGGGAGAAAATAGAAATAAAAAGGAGGGCTAAGCCACAGGGTGCTGGGAGCAGAGGGAGTGAGCGCTGTCTGCTCAGCGGTGTGTTCTTCATTGCAAATATCTCTGGGCTAAAGCCGATCCTCTGCTTTCACAGCGCCAGTTGAAATTAGCATTTCTCACGTCCCAGGATTTGTCTATCGTTATTCAGAGTATCGCAGTAAACTCATCCAGTTCTTCTGAAATTGTGTTATGAGTTTATGCTCTTTTAAAAATTCAGGCTGCTCTCTGGAAGAAGCGGGTGAATCTGAATAACAAATAACATATACCAGAATCCAAATGTCAGGACCTGGGTCTGTCCCTAAAGAGCAGAGGCTAATGGCAGTGAAAAAGGGCTGCAGAGGTATCTGGGCATAGCTAAAGGATGATTCTAGGTGTCAACGGCAACAGAGTGGAAAGAGGGAGGTTCTAATGAGGGCGGTAGGAAACCAGCGGGAAAAACTGGAAAAGTAAAATTGCTGGTTATTTGTGAGAAGGAGGGTAAGTTTCCCCAGACTGATTCAAAACTCTTAACTTGAGGAAGATGGCTTGTCTCTCAAGTTAGTCATTTCTTGGCATAGTGGTAGCCACCTTGACTATGGGCATTTCAGTGAATTCCCTGTCTTTCTTGCTTAATGGTAGGTGTCATGGGTGTGCCACTTCCTGACAGATTTTGTTTACAGGATCCTCTATTCCAAAATTTTAATGTACCTGCCAATCACCCAGGGATTTTGTTGTGATGTAGATTCTGATTTACTGGGTCTGGGGTGAGGCCTGAGTTTTTACATTTCTAGAAATTTCCTCGGGTGATGCTAAAGCAGCAAGTGGTTATCTTTCTCCCGCCCTTACAGCCTTCCTCCACACTAGGCCACATGTGGGATTGGGCATGCCAGTACTGTGGTGGGGTGGTAGGGACCGCTCAGAGACATAGCTAGGGGGCACCTGGAAGGCCACAGTAGGAAGGAAGCATGCCCTGCAGGGCTTGGCTTGGCCCACACATTTCACTAAGGGACACTTCTTCCTCGGTTTTGGTCACACTTTACCCTAACATGCAGGAGACTTAATGCAATCAAAGCCCAGAAAGGAGAACATTGATCTTGTCCACAATTTTCCTTCCCACCCTCAAACACACCCACTGACCCAGAGGGCCTTCATGGTTCCCCTCAGCTTGATTAAAGGGAATCATTAAAGCCCTGGTGGTCAGTGGGTGTCTAACAAAGCTTTAGACGGTCTTCTTCAAGGCCCCCGACCTCTTTCTTAGAGCATTTACTTTAGAAACCTTGTAAATTCTTTTTCCACCCCTTTGAGATGTAAATCTTTTAAAACTCCTCTTGCCAGTTTTACAACCCAAGAATGTCTTTCTCAAAGGCCCAGGAGCCATCTCTTTCAAGTGTAAACATCAAGGGAAATATATTTGCCCCGCCCTCCCAGTTTCTGTGGGAGGATAGGAGCCCAACTTCCTAGGGTACTTGCTCCCAGTTGTAAAACTACCCCTTGCCATGAAGATATGAGAGAAAGTTTACTTTTCCTTTGGCCAAGGCAGTTAGCAAGCACAGATGGCCTAGGAATGCCCCCACACCAGCTCCTAAAAACTCAGGCTTTCTTTGAGAAGAGTTGAGTTCATGAAGACTATTCTTGTCTCTATCCCTTATTGCAGTAGCCTTTACTAATCTTCCTTGACTGTTTTGTTCCATGCAATTTTGCTTTGACAACACACAAATCACGAAATTTATTATTTGTTTATGTATGTATGTATGTATGTATGTACGTATTTTCTGGGGAAATGGAACCTCAGAGAAGGCAAATGGCTTGTCTACTTGTTCCAGTTCGTTGGGCATTGGTGACAGATCTTTAATTATGTGTACTTTTCCCCCTCCATTCTGTTCTCAAGACTGGAGGCAAAGTGTCCTGACAATGAAGTCTCTTCACTATTCAATGGAAACAGAGAAAGACAGTGTAACTCAAGGAGTTTATGTTAAAATCTGAACTATATATACTACATAGCATATGTATTCAAATCAAGAGACAATAAAATGACCAACACAATTTCTTTAATTTTCTTTTTACTGATGACTACTTTATGCATCTTAATGTGCATTTGCTTTTTTCTGTGTTCCTAGTCATGCTTTATTACCTGGAGGAGCCCTTTAGTTTGTCTAAAGGGAACTCAGAAAATGATTCTTGGAAGAGTGCTTGGGGAAAGTGAACACTCTGGGAGATATGTCCAATTGTATGGAAAAACGTGGAGAATTTTGTCATTAGTATGTTGGAGGAAAGAGAATAAAAAAAGATGTCTGACTTAAAAGAAGAATGTTTAAGAATAAAGTAAATATCCACCTACTGATTAGAAAGACCTAAGGTGAACCATCATGTCTGATGTATCTGAAAGTAACATCTAGAAATGGTTAGGCAAAAGGGATCAAAATAACCACAGCTAATGTGCATCTGGGAAGGCAGGCATATTAATGTGGGTAGATGTATCCATACATGTGACAGCCTGTGTTGGAATGTGACAATGCCTATGTGTCCACAGTGTCTGGACAGATGACCACTGCACACATTAAGAGAGCTGTTTAATGCACTTCAAAACCAGAAACTGAAATGTCAACACACTTTCAAAAAAGATTTTTAGTGATGCAAATTGCAGATTGCCCCCTGACTTGCTCTAAGCAGAATAAACAAAGCAATAAACCCATTAGAAGGTACTTGTGAGACATTTAGGTTTTAAGAGCCTTGCTCTGTTGACTATGAAAATAGAACTAGTTTCTACTTGGAAAAGGTTTTTGTTATTCTGTTTAGTTTATATCACAGCTAACAACCTTAGTAGCTTTGAAAAAAATCATGATTATTCCCTGCTTTCCAGTAGGACCCAACAGGCAGGTAACTATTTATGAAAGGTACTATGTGTCACTTTAATGTATGCATTCATATGTAGGTTTGCTATTTGATTTGTTCTTATTTCAACCATCAGACAGTCACAGAGCCACAGCACTGATGAGGTTCAGGACACTCCCTGCAAAATACGACTATAGAAAACCAGAATATGCCACACAAAATATGCTTTTTTGGCATACGGATTATTTTGAGCTGGTTATTTTAAGAAACTGCAGACATAGGAGAAGCTTTGAGAAGTTGCCCTTTCGTAGGCAAAATTTACATCTATCAAGAAAATCTCCGTTTGTGAGTGTGTCTCCCACTCTGCACCAGCAAGTGAGGGAAGATTAAATCACTAGAGAGTCTCAGTCAATGGAAAATAAAGTCGGGGACTTCAATCTTCATAATAAACCTTACCGTTGCTTTATGGTTAACCAAGCTTTTCCCTACCTTCTTCTTTCTTTGTTTCAGGGAACATGGCATTTAAGCCTGACGTGTAAGACAATTATTTGAGATCTGGAGATGCACTCAGTTCTCTTAGTTATCTTCCACGTATAAAAGAAATATACATGTTATTAAACTTCTATTTGTTTTTCTCTTTTAAATCTGTTTCTTGTTACAGGGAGTCCCACCTACGCTCTCATGAAGGGTAGAGGAGAAAATTATTTTTTTTCCCCTACAACACCATCTCCTCTAAGCTCCATATCAAATCTGTTGCTCTTCCCAGGGAATTTCAGTCTTGCTCAAGGATTAGAAAAGCAAAGGTGTGGGTTTCCCCATCCTCTTCAGTTGGAAAGTTAAGTGGATGCCCTTCATATTTCCAGTGGAATTCACAGCAACAGGTTTAAGGGAATCCTTTTCTATTTGCTGAGCTGAATCAGACACCATGTCTAGGACCCTAGCTGTATCAGTAAATTAGTCAAAAATCATGAAAAAGAAAAAGTTGGATTAATATATTGATATAATCAATTGCTTTTGGAAACTGAAAGCACAATGTAGTCAGAGTATTGTGATGGCCTCAGTTTCACTATTTGTATCTGTAGGAGACTAACACCTAACTCACTGAATCTTTGTGGGAATAAAATAAGCTATAGGGAGAGAGCTCTTACGCAGTGCCTGGCACATGGGTAATTCAGTAAATGAAAGCAGTGAATGCAAAGTGGAATTTCAACAGCAACATTTGAAACTCATGCCAATCTGTGGCCTTGCCTTACCACACTTAAGTCTAAACTGCATTGTCCTTTGGCTTGCGTGTTTTGTAAACCTTCTTGGATTGGCTCTAGTGCAACAGTGAGATTCCAGGGTGAAAAGCTTCTAGAAGTCACACACCCTTGAGGGCAAAAAGTGTCAGTTACGATAATCATCCTTGTCAGCACAGCAGGATCCCTGTCGCACACATCTGCCTGAGTGCAGTGCTTGGGACAGCATTAGACAAGTATCATTTTGTCAATTAACCTTTTTCCATTCTTAGTTTATTAGGGCTCAGCAAATGCATTTACTAAACAGAGAGGGCTTTTACTTTTTTGACACGGTACTTGCAGCTTTGAACACAGCCTACCTGCACTTTCCCCTGACAACAGACTCAGTTGCACCTCTCTGGCATATTGGATAACCTTGTGTCACACTGCATAATAAAATCATTTTAATTTATGGAAGGCGTCGGTTTATTTAACATAAAGAGCAGTAGATGTCACGGTGTTTAACTCAGCTTTTCATATCCGATGGGTATGAGAAAGCAGTGATGTAGATGTTGCCGGTGATAGTGACTACTTACTCCGCTCTACGTTAACCCCCTCAACCCTCCTTATCGAGTCTGTGAGACAGGTGCCACGATGCACACATGTCTCAGATATACCTAATTTAAAAAGTAAAATAAACTGTAATCTCCTAGCTGTTTCTTCTGTCTTAATAAATACACTCCCCTGAAGTCTTCTAATGAATATATAATAACAGATACTGTTTTACTAGCCTTTGTGATGTGCTAAGTTATGCTAAAGATGTTGCTTTCATCATTGTTGTTTCAATCCCCACAATAACCCTCTGAGTTAGATATTATTACCTCTATTTTAAAAATGAGGAAACTATTAAAAGCGTCACAACTGGACAGGGATAAAGCCAAGATTGGAGCCAGTTGTCCTAACCATTATAACCTACACTACCTTCAATCCATGCCATGGCTTGGATCAGATCTCCCATTCTATAAAAATATAAATAGGAAAGGTTGTGATTTTTCCACTAAATAACCTGAATTTTAATTGAATGTGATATCAACTAAGAGGGAAAGCCATAGTTAATAGACTTAATTAAGAATAAATTTAAGGCGGGGGGAGGGGGGAGGGATAGCATTGGGAGATATACCTAATGCTAGGTGACGAGTTAGTGGGTGCAGCGCACCAGCATGGCACATGCATAGATATGTAACTAACCTGCACATTGTGCACATGTACCCTAAAACTTAAAGTATAATAATAATAAATTTTAAAAAAAGAATAAATTTAAATTTATACAGATTTTAAAAAAAGAATAAATTTGGTTTTACAGTACTATTTGGGAGGGAATGACAACATTGGGCATAATATTAAAATGTGTAAAATTCTTTTTTTTTTGAGACAGAGTCTCGCTCTGTCGCCCAGGCTGGAGTGCAGTGGCGCGATCTCGGCTCACTGCAAGCTCCGCCTCCCGGGTTCACGCCATTCCCCTGCCTCAGCCTCCCGAGTAGCTGGGACTACAGGCGCCCGCTACCACGCCCGGCTAATTTTTTGTATTTTTAGTAGAGACGGGGTTTCACCGTGTTAGCCAGGATGGTCTCGATCTCCTGACCTCGTGATCCGCCCGCCTCGGCCTCCCAAAGTGCTGGGATTACAGGCGTGAGCCACCGCGCCCGGCCTAAAATTCTTGAAGCACAACATACTTACTAGGGTGAGGAAATTAATTTAATTTAATTAATTTTTTTTTTTTTGAGATGGAGTCTCCCTCTGTCACCCAGGCTGGAGTGCAGTGGCACCATCTTGGCTCATTGCGACTTCCGCCTCTCAGGTTCAAGCGATTCTCCTGTCTCAGCCTCTCAAGTAGCTGGGACTACAGGTGCACATCACCACACCCGGCTAATTTTTGTATTTTTAGTAGAGATGAGGTTTTGCCATGTTGACCAGGTTGGTCTCAAACTCCTGACCTCAGGTGATCCACCTGTCTCGGCCTCCCAAAGTGCTGGGATTACAGATATGAGCCGCTGCGCCTTGCCTAAAGTTATTTTATACATATAATTAATATAAGGGGGAAAAAACTTTGAAGGTAAGCAAATAGCTACTAATTTAATCTCCTTGTTATAAAAGATGGTGTCAACTTGAAATTCTTCTCCATCTTTTCCAGCCAGAAAGCCCATATCTCTCTATATCTCCTTTCCTTTCTCCCTATTTGGAATTCCCTATCCCATTACCAACAGTCCATTCCTTTCCACTTCTATTCCATCCCTTTTCCCTGGATTGGTGCTCAGGTCACCTATCTATTGCTGTGGCCATATTTAATACTTCCTTCATACTTTCTCCCACCACTCTGTCTACCTTACCACCAGGTTTCCTCTTCCCTTTCCTACTGTCACATTTATGTCTCAAGTATCCCTATCCTCCCATTGGCAGGTAGTTACTTCTCTCATCCCCTCTCTCCATTTATACCCCTGCTGAATTAGAGCCTTAATTTGAAACTAAAATTTGGTAAAGTCTGAGAAAAAAGCATACACTGTCTTATTTTATTTTCATTTTCCTGCTTCTTAATTTTTAAAAATAAGTTAATCACTGAAAATTTGAGAAAATTAAGTAACTTATGCTGTTATTATAGAAAGAACACCAAAATGATGTTCTGTGAGATTTTGTGCTCTTTGTGGCTTCTGCAGCAACAGTTAACAAATGAATCTCCCTGTTCTAGCTGTGTTGACCTCATCAGTGATTCTGTTAAGACAAACAAGGAGTCAAATGGGAAGACATTTAATTTTGAGGTCCATAAGGAAAAAAAATGCTCAAAAACATTAATGTTTGCCAAATAGACTAAATCAGAAGGGAAATAAGGAAAGTATTTTTTATGATTAGAAAAAATATAAACCATGGAGAATAAAAGTGGAAGCTATAGGAAAGAAGTTCTTATAATCCTAGCTTTGGATGTTACTGCAAATGATTCTAATCACCAAGTTATCATTATTAGTATTATTATTGTTATTACCCATAATAAACATGTGCTGGCTGCCAACAGGATGCCAGGCTCTGCACAAGAGAGAATTAGGCTCAGTCCCTGCAGAGCAGGCTTACAACAGATTATAATTGCAATAGAAAATCATATTAATAGCAATTCAATATTTTATTAGAAAAATAATATTGTTTCCCTCCTCTCTCTGGGTTTTCTATCATCAAGTAGAATACTGACTCTGAGAATGATGTTTCCTAGACCACAAAGCTAATAAATCTCCCACTAAGAATTTCCTCTCTGTAGTTTCCCACCATCAAACACTTCTTGCTTCTGCTTTCATATGATCAAGAGGGACCATTCTACATCTGTTTGGTTTTCTACCTTTCGGATCAAGTAGATTCTCTGGTTTAGTCGAGCTGACTGATTTTACAACAGTTGCCTTAAGCAGTGATTTTCAAACTGCTGGTTGCAGCCCATTGATGAGTCTTGAAATCCATTTAGAGATTTGCACCAAGATTTTAATAAAAGTAATAGGTCATAAAAGAATAGAATAGAAAAAAAAATCCAAATATATTACATTTAGTAACAGTATTGTTTCCTGAACTTTTGTTTTACTTTTATGTGTTTGTTATGTGTATAGTTTTAGTAGGTTGTGAAATTAAAGGTACTGGGCCACAATCAAAAAAAAATTTAAAGCACTAAAGATATGAAGATATGCTTTCTGCTTAATTTGAAGTTCAGGCTACCACCCAAGCCACAACCATAGCAGACAGCGAATGCAATTTCCAAAAGAATCCAACTCTTCCTTATACTACATGTAAAATCAACCAATATTTACTATGGTTACAGTGACTTTATATCCAAGAATTAATTCTAATCTCAAATATTTATTTCTATTGCCATTATAAATACATGCAGACTCGTTAAACCCCAAGTCCCTAAGTCCTGACTATCAGTTTATAAAATACACTCAGCACATGATGTCATTTATAAAGCTACTTGTTTATTCTGTATTTTCTCTGGCTATCACAGGCCTGCCTCTCCCACACAATTTTTTGATGACCTTCACTTGGAATGGCCAGAACCAGCTAATGCAAACCCTGCTGAACCTACAGTAGAAGTTGCTCCTCTCCTCCCCGGCCTCAGTCTCCACCCACTCACAAAAGAAGGCTTTCCAGTCTCCATTCTAGGACTTAGCCTTATAACACATATTACAAGTAAAGTTCCCACTTGCCTCCAGCAGAAAAGTCACATCATGTATCACATCTTCTTGGTAAGACTGCCTTCCTTTGCTTTCGTTTTATCTTGAACTGCTATGCTTTTCCTGCAGCTATAATATTAGACCTTTTTTAAATTGTATAGGTTAAGTACTAGGTTTCTAGGCTTTTATACACTTTCCTCTGATTGTTTTAATTTAATCAAAGTAAAAACATTTGAACTGGGAGTGGGGAGAAGGATGCACGACTGAATTATCATGATAATCTTCTAGTAAAGACTCCGCGGGAGACTGAGAAGCTGGGAGAGCAAAATATGCAGCAAGTGCCATTAGGATAAAGAGGCTTGCCTGGTGATATTTCAACAAAGACAAACACAGCTTCAAAAGAGCTTTCACAGAGCCGCAACTCCACCAATGCTTCTACTTGTTCATCCTAAGCAGACTTTTCTCCTGCTCATGGAAAAGTCCCCTGAAATTTTTACATTCCCACCTCACAAAAATATCATGATGAGATGGTTGGACATAAACATAAAAGAGTTATATTTCTGCTGTGAAGAAAACTAATTATTGAGAAATTTATTTACTTACAGTGAATAAATTTACTCCCATCAACCATCCTAAAGGACATAAAGGTGGCCAGCAGTGTAAAATGCAATGCAAGGTAAGGTACTTAAGAATAGCCGGGCGCAGTGGCTCATGCCTGTAATCCCAGCACTTTGGGAGGCCGAGGCGGGCGGATCACAAAGTCAGGAGATCGAGACCATCCTGGCTGACACGGTGAAACCCCGTCTCTACTAAAAATACAAAAAATTAGCCGGGCGTGGTGGCGGGCACCTGTAGTCCCAGCTACTCGGGAGGCTGAGGCAGGAGAATGGCGTGAACCCGGGAGGCAGAGCTTGCAGTGAGCAGAGATTGCGCCACTGCACTCCAGCCTGGGTGACAGAGCGAGACTCCATCTCAAAAAAAAAAAAAAAAGAATAGAACAGAAGCAGAGAGATAGATGCTTTCAGTCACTCGTGTTGAGCAAATTATAGCAATTGAATATTATATTTGAATGTAAATTTTCTGACAACTACGGAAACCCAAAAATCATCTGAATACCTATAATCTTCCCTGGAATTGAGCCCAAGCGGAAATGTACCATACGGTCCATGTTTAAGGGGCACTCAGTGTGGCCTGGGCGTAAGGTCACCTGGTTCTACTCATGACCCTGCCTCTAATTTACTGTGTTGCCCTTGATAAGTAGTTTCACCTTTAAATTATTTATCTAGGTGATGGGACAATAGAGAAGAAGCTTGGGACTAGAGAATTACAGAGGTCCTGTTAAGTATCAAAAATTCTTATTGTAGGAGATGTGGATAGATTTGAAGAAGTAGGACTATTTTGAACCAAGAGCTGTATTAACCACTAAACAGTACAGAAGTTGAAAAATAGCATTTGTATAAAATTAGTCAGTTGTTCTTTTCCCATAAGGAAGTGACAGAGCCATCCTTTTATTCACAATTCTAACATCCATTGCTTAATTACAAAATATGGTACAGAATCACTCCCAGTACACAATCAGTCATAAATTCTACTTGCTCGATCTGTTGAATTTATCTAGCTGTTTCTCTCCCTATTTCAACCATGTATTGCACAGTTTCCTACCCTGTCTTCCTGTCTTCAGTTTTAGCCCCCTTACTCATTTGCCACATTGCTACCAGGGTGATTTTTAGATGATGGATGTCTTTCATAGTCTCTTCAGTGACTTCTCAGCACCAGCTCCCCATTTAAAGTCCCCATGACTTTGACCCCACTTACTTCTCTAGGCTTACATCTCTGCACAGTCTTCTTAAATCCTAATGCTTCATTCAGCCGTTCAAAACTACTCACAGATCCCCCATGACCCATGCCTTCATGCCATTGCACATCCTGTTTCCTCCTTGAAATATCTTTCTTTTCCCATATCACTTCCCCAGTTCACTTGGTAAAAGCTTCCTTATCTTTTGAGAATCTATTAAATTGTTGCATTTTCTATGAAACATAGAAGTTAACTGGCATTCTCTCTAGAATTTTAATGAGTCTTTCCTCTTTGCCTCACTATTCCTTGCACAAGTTCTATCATAGCACTCATGACATGTTATTGTTTATATGTCTGTTTTTCTTCCTCAATCTTTGTCACCAGAAGGCATAAAACAATTACTATTTTTATAATTGGCACTTAAGGAATGTTTGTGGAATAAATGAATATTGGAAGGTTGAGTATTCTCCCTAATTTCTAACCTTAAAAAATTCAAACAGAATTCTTATTTGTCTTTTCTCTATTATTCATTATTTCAGTCTATCCCCATACTGACTCCTCTCATCATAGCATCTTTGGTGCCCCTCACCCATCTCACTGGTGGTGTTATCCAGGATGTCCTATTTAATTCAATAACTTACTTCCCCTCACCTTCTTTTGACTTATTTTTTATCTGACTCATCCATATTCTGTAGTCCTACTTTGTATGTTTCTCACCTGACAGATTTCTCTTAACAATTTTTTATGTGTCTGTTAAATACTTTGCTCATTTCTAGCACTCCACAAATACTAAATGTACCTGTTAAAAAGCAACGATGTCTGCTAAATCGATATCTAGAGGTACCTTCTTAACAAAACAAAACAAAAGCAGTATAATATAATAGTTAACAAAGACAATACAGCACAGCAGATTGGTTAATGGGCAAGGCTCTGCAGTCAGACAGTCCAGGGTTTGAGTTCTGCTTCCAGCCCGAATTCATTAGGTGACTGACCTTCGGCAAGTTGCTTAATTTCTGAACTGGATTGTTCTTCTGTGAAAGAGGATAATCATGTCTACTTGTTTGCATGATTTTGAGTACTAAGCAAAATTATTCAGCTGAATGTGTAGCCAAGAGCAAGGGCAAATAATTAATAAATGATGGCTGTTATTATTATAGATTACTGATTATTGTTATCGATTGTTATTATTGATTCAATGCACCACTGCTGCTACACTGAAAAGTATATGGAGACAGTTTTCCCTTTGGGTTTGGGGTGTGGGCCAAAGTGTGCTTATGAAACTGGTTTTCATTTTTTATACAGTCAGTCATGCACGACATAACTATGTTTGAGTCAATGAGGGGCCACATATAAAACAGTGGTCCCATAAGATTATAATGGAGCTGAAAAAGTCTGATTGCTTGGTGATGTCATAGTCGTCATAATGTCGTAGTGCAACACATTACTCACATGTTTGCGGCGATGCTGATGTAAACAAACCTTCTGAACTGCCAGTCATATAAAAGTCTAGCACATACAATTATATAGAATACATGATAATAATGAAAGTAAACAGCTATGTTACTGGTTTATGTGTTTATTGTACTATACTTTTGTCATTATTTTAGAGTGTACTCCTTTTACTGATTAAAAAAAATTAAGTGTAAAAGAGCCTCAGGTAGGTCCTTCAGGAGACATTTCAGAAGAAGGAAGGCATTGTTATGATAGGAGAGGACAGCTCTATGTGTGTTATTGCCCCTGAAAACCTTCCAGTGGGACAAGATGCGGAGGTGGAAGATAGTGATATTGATGATCTTGATTTTGTGTACTCTTAGGCTAATGTGTGTGTGTTTGTGTCTTAGCTTTTAACAAAAAAGTTTAAAAAGTAAATAAATAATTTTTAAAATAGAATAAAGCTTATAGAATAAAGATATAAAGAAGAAAATATTTTTGAAAAACTGTGCAATGTGTTTGTGTTTTAAGCTGTATTGTTGTAAAAGAGTAAAAAGTTTATAAAATTAAAAAGTTGCAGTAAGCTAAAGTTAATTCATTATTGAAGAAATAAAAATATTGTTTTACAAATTTAGTGCAGCCTAACTACACATGTGTAGAAAGTCTATAGTAGTGTGCAGAAATGTCCTAGACCTTCACATTCACTCACCACTCACTCATTGACTCATCCAGAGTAACTTCCAGTCCTACTAACTCCATTCATGGTAAATGCCCTATACAAGCATGCCATTTTTTAGTGGGTTTTTTTTTTTTTTTTTTTTTGAGACAGAGTCTCCCTCTGTCACCCAGGCTGGAGTGCAATGGTGCAATCTCAGCTCAGGGCAACCTCCGCCTCTCAGGTTCAAAGCGATTCTCCTGCTTCAGCCTCCAGAGTAGCTGGGGTTACAGCTACTCTTACTGTACTTTTTCTATGTTTTTATGTGTTTGGATACTCAAATACTTACTGTTTTGTTACAACTGCCTGCAGTGTTCAGTACAGTAAGGTGCTGTACTGTACAGGTTTGTAGCCTAGGAGAAATAGGCTGTACCATACAGCCGAGGTGTGTGTAGGCTATACCATGTAGGTTTCTGTTACTGCACTCCATGATGTTTGCAGAATGACAAAATTGCCTAACGACACATTTCTTAGATGGCATCCATGTCGCTGATGTATGACTATTAAGATAAGAGGCTCACTGAGAATCTTCGCTGTTGGTCTGTTTTTTAGCAAGGGTTTATGCCAATAGATGATCATTCTGCAGAATTCCACTTGGAATCCATACTGACTCCAACCCCAAATCAGAAGCCCCGGTATAACACTTAGCCTCAAAAGCCAAGCTATGAAAAGACCATGGGCAAACTGGAAAGCAGCAGCAGCATTTCTGGTGTCATTGTCATTGCAGTTGTTGTTTTTATTATTATTCTCCTTTTTTTCCAATAAAAAGCTGAGAATCACTAAATAAAAAAAAAGACTCTGTAGCCTCAATAATGTGATAAATGCCATTTGCACAGTCTTACTGTCGACCCAGGTAACAGCTTGTGACTTTGTCTTGGACAAAGGAAATCACTCTCTTTGATGAACACTTTGGGATGATTTCAGCTTCCAATATTCTCTTCCTCTTAGACAGCTACTGTAACAAAAGCCTGTAGGGAGAGCTAAAGCTTCGCCTGTTTACAATACCCACACACTGGCTCTCTATTTTAATTTTAAAAAACAAACTCAGAGCTCAAATCACTCTCATATTTAATATTTTGCCTTAAAATAGCTGTCTATTTTATTTTGCTTTTTAAATTAAAACGGCTTTATATGACAGGCAGCAGAAAAGAGAGAGACTGAAATGGTGATTCAGGAAGGAGTGGCTTTAACAACAGAAGCTCATTTGTTCCCCTTTTGAGGAAAAGAATGTGGTAACAGCTATGGCATTGTTGTTTCTGGCATGCCAGCTATAGCCCAGAACAGGACTACATGCCATTAATTTCAATAATTCCTGTATGTTTTTGAGGAAACACACACACACATACACACACACTCACGCACTGTCTTACTTTAAATAAATTCTACAATAAGCCACCTGTTCATTAAATATGATTACACAAATGTGATTTAAAATACTTACTGAGTTTTCCCTTGAATTCTCTTTTTAAAGAGAAATTGGAAGTCACCTGTAGATTCCAGACCATGTTGTTACCCCTTTATGGCTTCTTTCCAAACTCAAAATCAGTGGCACAATTGCCAGCCTGGGTTCAAGCCTTCCCTACCTTCTGAATAAGTTACCAACCAGTGAAACAGTACACAAAAGCACCTGCAAATCACATAACTTGGTCAATCACTTCAAAACCTCTCTCTGGCTTTTTGCAGGCTGGGCTTCACGTTGCCTGGCGCAGCATGCTGGTTGTGTTCAGCCATTATGCAATGATGTTCTATGTTGCCAGTAAACCATGGCTTTATGCCACCGTTCAGTATAGCAGCTCCATTTAGCTTCATTTATTGGATTTTTAAATCCTCTTATACAGTAGGTGTTGATCTCTCCTGAAGTTGTGATTACAGCTCTAACTATTGACACTTCGATCACAGCCAATCCCTCCATTCTTTGCCCTCGTGCTGACATGAAATGGTAGTTCTTCCAACTCTGTAGTCTCTGATTCTTCAGCCCCCACCCCACACACTTGGCCACACGAACATAATAAGGAGTACATATATGCTGATTACTTCATTCTCTTAGCAATTTGGAATCCTTACATTGCCTTCTCTTGCTGTGTTGCTTCTCTACAGAGACGGGAACTGTGGCGCTAAGTCTGACCACACACAGGGCTCTAGGATCCATTTACATCTAAAATGCTGCCTCTTTTCCATTCAAAAATTTGGTTTCTGACATTATCCACCTGGAATGTTGTCTACTAAGTTATTGAAATAATTGTGAGTGAGCACTTGTTTAGAAGAGATTCTACCTTTCTGTTTGTTGTCTAGTCTCAGGGATAAGATTTGCTGGATTTGCAAATTCCAGCACTTTGAGTGTAATGGGAACGAACTGACACTGAAAATCACAACGTCCAAGTTTGAATATCAGTTTAGCAATCAGTTAACTGTGTGATGAGTAAGTCACTCAACTTCTCTGAGCCTCAGCTACCTCATTTGTAAAATGAGAACTCAACTTTCTTCATAGCCTTATTGTGAGGCTTTAAATGAGAAAATATGTGTGGAAGTATCTGACACAGAGCAGATTGTCAGTTAGTTTTTATTTCATTTTCAGTTTTGCCCTTTGCTCTCTCAGGTTCACTAGACCAATTGTTGCCCATGAAAGACGAGACAATCATTCTGTCATATTTCTTCACCTTAGTGTAGGTCAGATTAAGGAGTCTGATCTTATCATGCTGCTAGTCTGACTTGTGTTACCCCTACTGGTCTTGTCTTGGTGCCTGGAATTCTCCTAGAATATACTCCCGTTAGTGGAAGCAATGATTCAGTGATAATGAACCCTGATGGATGTTTAACCTCTTACTTAGCTAATTAAGGAACTTTCAGCTCTAACATATATTTACATTGGTCTTAAAATATACTACTCCATTCGCAGGTTCTAATTCTTAGGAAAAAGAAAAGAGAAAAATATATATATATACTGCTCCAAGTAGGTCCAGGATATATGTAGAACAATCCTATAGAATTCTTACTGAAGAAATATATAAACCTTGTATATAAGCATTCTATACCTTTGGCAAAGGAAGAACTATTTAATGTAACATAATTTATAGAAAAAAATACCTAGAAGGCTACAAGTAGATGGGGCAGCTCCATTCCCTTTTGACAGTTAAGTAGATAATTGTCTTTTGGTTTGAAAGGACTAAATCAGTAGAGGACAATTCATATACTAATTGTACAAAGCACTAAGTTTGCTGTTGCTTTCTTCTTGCTTTTGAAATGTGGAAAAGACAAACAAGGAACCATTAAGAGAGACAGAGAACCCATAAGAAATTAGGTAACTGATTGTCAAAGTTCCTTGCTGTGACTTTCCTAGACACGAAAGCTGAAGTCTCATGAAAAGCAATTTATAGGCCAGGAGTGGTGGCTCACACCTATAATCCCAGCACTTTAGGAGGCCGAGGCAGGAGGATCATTTGAGGTCTGGAGTTCGAGACCACCCTGACTAACGTGGTGAAACCCTGTCTCTACTAAAAACACAAAAACATTAGCCAGGCATGGTGGTGCATGAGGATGAGGCAGGAGAATTTCTTGAACCCAGGGGGTGGAGGTTGCAGTGAGCCGAGATTGCGCCACTGCACTCCACCCGGGGCAACAGAGTGAGACTGTCTCAAAAAAAAAAAAAAAAAAAAAAGGATTTTATAAAGTATTAATGTTTATTATATAAGAGATTGGGGAATTATGTGTGGGGTGCTCAGTGTCTGAATGGTGAAATGCCTAAGAGATTCTGATATCAAATTAAACAAGTGGCTGTATTACAGGACCTTGAAGAATCTTTAATATGCTATTGTATGTTGTGGAACATCAAGAACTCAACTAAGTGTTCTGGTTTTACAAATGTAATTCTCCTCAGAACTTGTTTTTCAGAGAGCATATCAAAGGACTAGCATTCAATGAATACTTTCTGCTTTGAGAGACTCTGCCATAATGTGAAAGTCCGATCAATAGTGGCCAAGAGAAAGATTTTCTATACAAAACTAGCCTAAATTACCGCACTTCATAAGATTCAGGATATCTTTTATCCAAGATAGAAGCAAAGGTAAGCTCTAAAAAACAAAAAACAAAAAACAAAAAAAATCCAGGCCATGCATGCTGGCTCACGCCTGTAATCCCAGCATTTTGGGAGGCCGAGGCAGGTGGGTCACCTGAGGTCAGGAGTTCAAGACCAGCCTGGCCAACATGGTGAAATCCCATCTTTATTAAAAATATAAAAATTAGCCTCATATGGTAGTGGGCTCCTGTAATCCCCTCAGGAGGTTGAGGCTGGAGAATCACTTAAACCCAGGAAGTGGAGGTTGCAGTGAGCCGAGATCATGCCATTGCACTCCAGTTTGGGCAACAGAGTGAGACTCTACCTCAAATAACAATAAAAAAAGGAATCCAAAGTATCAAAATCTAGAGTCACTGTTAATGTATTTGGTGCTTGGTACTAATTTAGTGATTATAAGGGCCCAACAAAAAGACCCATAGTTAAAGTACTAGAGCAGATTTCACAAGATCAGCATTCTGGCCAAAGACCTGTTCCAACCAGCCACCAAATTATAACCATAGGCATGCCAATTAACAGCTCTATGTCTTAATTCCCTTATCTATAAGATGAAGTTGAAGTTTCCAGAATCTAGATGAAGGTTAAGCACCCTTCAGTTATATCATTCATAGAATTGCATCTCAGAGTTGGGAGGCTCCTCTTAGACAGGTAATGAATCATCCAGGTAATGAATTCCTGTTGCTGTCCCCAAGAGGTGAACATCAAGCTCTATTTAGACCTTTTAGGGCAGGAAGCTCACATTCTTGCAAGGAAGTCCATTCTGCTTTGGACAGATCTAGCTGCAAGGAAATTAGAACTGTTCCTTATTTTGAATGAAATCTCTTTCTATAACTTCCCTTCATTTGTCCTTATTTAATTGTCTGATGTCATAAAGAATTAGTCTGAACCTTTAAAAATGTGCAGGCAGTTATCACCTTCCATAAGTAAGTTCTTCTCTAGCATACATATTCCTAGTTTCTTTAACCATTCTTCTGACATAGTTTAGTTTTCCTCAACACACTGTCTTTTGAATATGCTATGGTTTTTCGATGTCTACATAAATTATGGTACCTCAAATGGAGTAAAATACCAGGCATGTGTTTTTTGTGACCAATTTAAAAGAGAACAATATCCTCACTTCCACGTTTCCCAACATTATATGTATATAATGTGTATATAGATGGCTTTGGCATTTGCTATGTGTGCTAGGCACTGTGTAACATGCTTTACAGACGATGACACATTTAATTCTCACAATAAACCTGTGAGGTAGGTACTTTGGTCATTCCCATTGTTTTAGATGAGGAAACTACAATCTAGTCTTCACCAGTGCCCCTCAAACTTTAATGTGCACAAAAGTCATGTGTGGTTTTTATTAAAATTTAGATTCTAATTTAGTAGGCTATCTGTGGGTCCTAAAGTTCTGCATGCGCCAAGGTGATATTGATGCTGCTGGTCCAGGGATCATAATTAAAGTAGGAAGAGTCTATATAGTGTGATAAAATTATATGAAATGACAAAACAGAAAAGCATTAAGCTCCAGCAGCAAGAAGCATTTTTAATGACGTTATAGATATAGAAAGTTTCAGAGAATTTATGTTTATTTGGAGAAACTTTTTTTAGCTTAGACCCTAATCAGGAAGATTTTCCTATACTAAGAACTGGCTTATAAAACCCTTTCTACCACTGAAGTATAAAATAATAACAACTGACATTTCTTAAGTACTTGCCATATGTCAGATCCTCTTCTGAGAAACTTCAACATCTCACATCATTTCATGCTTCCCACAACCCTGTGAGGTAAATCCTAACATTACCTTGTTTAAAAAATGAGAAAACCTGGGCAAAAAGAAGAGCAAAACTAACCCCTCTTTGTTTTTGGTCAGAGGAAATAGAAAGATTAAGTAACTACACTGAGATCACACAGCTAGTACGTGGCAGAGGGGGATGCAGAGCTGCCTGACTCCTGACACCAGACACCTGACACCAGCGTCCAATTGCCTAACTAGGAAGCTGCACCACTTCACATTTCATCTCCTGGAGAATAAAGGCGGCAGTGCAAGAGATTCAGGGAACGGAGAAATTGCAGGGGCAAGTGAGTAGAAAAAGGTCACTTCCCCAGTTTAATGGTAGCTGTGAAGCAGGCATTTCCCTAATATTGAAGAAATCAACCTTCAACACACTGTTAAATTCTACAATAGAGGCAATATTAAGAGTACATAGTACTCTGATAGTACACTCTGATCAAGTACATAGAGACTACAGATTTTCTGTAACTAATAATGACTTTAATGTTTAAAATACCAGATCTAGCTCAGACCCTGTGCTAGATACCATCTTATACATGTGAGTGCTGTCCTCTGTGAGCTCACAGTCCACCTGGGGAGTCACCGATAAACAAATAACTCGCTAGTACATTATAAACACTGTCACGGTAACAATGGAGCAGACAAGGTAGATAACGAAAAGCTACAGTGGAGACAGTCATCAGGTGATTTGAGTCTAAAGAGAATTCTGGCAGAACAAACCATGAGAGCAAAGTCAAGGATGACCTAATGTGACTTTTTCTTAGTTGTAACAATACATAGGATGGTTTTTAATCAAATGTTTGCTCCATAGGTGTGATTCATTTTAATGATTCTCAAATTTATGATCCTAAGAAAACACTACCCTTAGGTAAAGTCAACTCTTAATTGTAATTTTGATTTTCCTTGTATTTTTTCTTAAACCAGTTGGCATCTACTTTGGCTGATTATTAAGAAATATCAAACAGATATTAAGGAAACCATTAAAGGTAGATGTTTGAGCCTAGTTTAATAACTTGGATAGTAAAATTATCCCAAGATTCTTTCCACCACTGAATTAGCATAAATCAATTTTCATATTACTGCCAAACGCCATAGTTTTCAGGAGCTATGCAGTGCAAACAAGTGTATTTTGCCTGATAAGAATTACTAAAGTCACGTGTTTTGATCAACTTTATATTTTATGTTTTAAAAGTCAGGTGCGTATCTTAGGCAATCATTCATGGCGAAAGTGGACTTGTCTTACACATCAGTAATACAAGCAAATTCAAGACACACAATAGTGTAAGTAACTAAAATAAAATAATTTAAGTTGAGGAATTTATTTTTGCAAGTATGTGAAGGAGAGATTGGTCAAGGAGCCCCATGTGAATTGCAGGCCCAGCATATGGCTTGTGGTTTAGACACTGTGACAAAGTCATTTTCCACCAGCTTGTACCAGTGTAGCTCATTTTGAGAAAATATCCAGGGGTAGCAGAGAAACTTCCAGTGCTGAAAACTCTACAATTCTTAGTTTTCTAAGACATAGCAAATATCATTTGAATAGAAATGTTATAGCTATCTGTTTGGCAAGAAGGGAAAGTAAAGAATCAAAAGAGAGAAGAAGCAAAAAAATGATTGGCAAATCTTGCGATCTCATCACTTTTTTTTTTTTTTGCAATGGAATCTTGCTCTGTTGCCCAGGCTGGAGTTCAGTGGGGCGATCTCAGCTCACTGCAGCTTCTGCCTCCCAGGTTTAAGTGATTTTCGTGCCTCAGCCTCCTGAGTAGCTGTGATTACAGGTGCCCGCCACCACACCCAGCTAATTTTTGTAGTTTTAGTAAGAGATGGGGTTTCACCATGTTGGCCAGGCTGCTCTCGATCTCCTGACCTCAAGTGATTTGCCTATCTGGGCCTCCCAAAGCTCTAGGATTACAGGCGTGAGCCACCACACCCGGCATATCTCACCACTTTTTAGGAACAGCCTTCTGTAGCTTCTTGTGCTACTTCAGAGTTATACTGCACCTGAACAGTGGGCACATTCCTACGTATTGAAGGTGTCTGTTTATTTATCCAGTAGGTTTCCCTGAATCATTGATTGTCACTCTGGTAGATGCTGGGGAAATAAATGCCTCATGCCATCTACCAAAGGAGCTAACGTTTGTAGCAGAGAAAGACAAACTTGCAAAGAAAGGTAACTAGTAAAGCATTGTAGTGTGGAGTAGAGTTGGAACAAAGGAGAAGAGCCATTTTTACCCGAGACCAAGTGAAGAGGGAGAAGAAATGTTTCTTTTGGGAGAGAAGTGACCTCTGATCAGAATACGAAAAAAGAGAGCAGAATTTTAAGCAGACTAAAAGGAAAGAATTTTTTTAGAAGGAAATAAAAGAAGGATTTACAAAGGCACAGGTATTGGAAAGAATAGAGTTTATTCAGGAAAACACAAATAATTTGGTGTGGCTGGAGCTTAAGGTGGTACTCCTTGCTACACATCTATTTCCCGTAGTGGCTGTTTGGAGACAAGGAGATGAAATTGAGTTCTATTGCAGTAGTTGAAATAGATGATGAATGTCAGAATGGAGTGGAGAGGAGATGGCAAGGAGGACTAGATGGCTGTGACTAGAGCTGAGCCAACTTTAGTCACAGACTGTCAATTGGGAGTGAGGCAGAAGAACACTATGAGGATGACTTCCAGGATTCAGTTTAGGAGTGCATAAATGGTGATGCCAATTGATATGTATCCAATTTTGGAAATTTCTATTATTGGTCTTCTGATGAGCTTCCTTCAAATCAAAGAGAGGATATTGGTTAGGAAGGAATTCATTGTATTATTTTGTTCAAGTAAATTGGAACTATTTGAATGATTTCTCATAGTCTTTGGGCTAAAATTAGATACTGTATGCTGTTTTATTGTACCACATTATTATAATATTCCCTCTCATTTGGGACGTGGCAATTGCTTTAGAAACAGCATGGAAAAATAAATCATAAGGAGTTAAAAATGTAAGAGAGAAGCATCAAGTTATTAGGCAAGTCTTTGAGAAGATAAATGGTTTGTGAGGGAAATGTAATTAACAGGTTACACTGTATATGTTTGCAAAATGCCTATGATGCATGAAAACGTTTTTGTCTACTTAATTTTCCTAAGATTGTGTGTTTATATTTAAATTAATTAAATGCAAACAGGCTTGTGCTCTAGGTAATTTTGTAGTAACTGATATGTGCAGTCAAATCAGTGGAATGTAGTTAAAAATGGCTAACCCAAAAGCTTGCGGCCCCAAAAGCCATCCTCAGTGGTTAGGGCCTGAAGACAGTTGTTCCACAGAGTAAGCTACTGTCCTTAAAGGGAAAGAATCTTGAAGCCTCAGTGTGTAGCAGCCAGAGCCTTCCCATACAAAGGGAGATTTGCAGCTTATTAAGGCTTCCCAAGAACATAAGCACCTTGAGAGCAGAGATATCCATCTCTTTTGTTCACTGATATATCCCAAGTGCTTAGAAAACACTACATGTCCAATAAGTATTTGCTTGATTAGAAAGTCGCTGAATAAATGCCTCAGCAACCTAACAGCATAATATGAGAGCAAAGATTTGGTCTCAGAGTCCTGGATTTTAACCCTCATTGGTAATGTGATATTGAGTAATTCACTTAATGTTTCAAGACTATTTTCTCACCAGTAAATAATGGGGACAATAGTTAGGAAAATGAGTTTACAACAGAGAGTTTATGTGAAAGCACATCACAAACATTAAAGGACTGATGTATTCAGTTACCGTCTTAGGGGCAGAGATTCTACTTATGCATCACTAATTAATTCTCAGTCCCCAGTGCTTATGTATTATTTGTTTTCCATTCTCCTGACACACAATCAGTCCATAGTAAATGTTTATTAATTTGACTTAAATTCACTATGGCTGGTCCATCTTACATTGGAGAATAGGGGAGAAAGCAAGTTGGCATGAATGGTAAGAAATCATTGCCAGAAAGTATCTGGAGTTGGCTTGTTGGGGTTTCTAAGATCTAGGTTTTTTTCTCAGTCTGGTACCTCTCTCAACCTGCTTTTTAGGATCATTTTCAATCAGGACAATTCTTCCCCCTACATCCATATAAAATTACTATATTATGTAGCAGACTGACCTAAACCCATTGGCTCTTTGCAGCACAGTTCTGTTGCTGACCAAATGGTACCTCATTTGAAAATGTCATCTACAAATACCATGTATAGATATGGCCATATACATGTCTCCACTGGAATAGAAAAGTATACATATACTTGAGTAAGTCTCTGTCTCATGGACAGACTACTTTTCAAAATTTCACTTGTAAGAATTCTATTCAAGAATTTATTCAACAAACATTAAGCCCTAGTTGTGTTACGGCCTCTGTGTTGAGCATTGGGAAAGAAAGATCCCCAGTAGGTCATCCCTGCCATCTCTGGCTACTCATTTTCTATACAAAAGGAGAACAAGGAGAAAGTTATATGGTAATATGAGCGAAAGATGCCTTGGTGGCAATGCAGATTTGAAGGAGGCCTTGGAAGAGTGAGATATTGACAGGTCTGCATGATTATTTGGATATGATGGAGTCGATGGAGTAGGTATACTCTAAGATGGCTTTGTGGATTTATGGCTTCAGTCAGTGGGTGAATGGTTTGATTGTTATGAAGAGACACCAAAAGGATAAGTAGTTTTAAGGCAGAAAATAATTATTGTAATTATGTAATTCTTTTAATTACTTAGCATGACTCTGGAGTTCAACAAATAGTACCTCATCAGTATCTTGCACTCAATATGTATTAAATGAATAAATCAGTGAATTGAATCCCTGCCTTGACACTTACTAGCTGTGAGACTTTGAGCAAGTCACATAACCTCTTTAAGTCTCTTATTTTTCAAACATAGAGACAATAATACCAACTTCATTAGGTAATTAATTATTTATACAAATAGAGTGAAAGACTGTATGTAAAGTGCTTGGCACAGGTAGTACCAGGTATATACTAAGATCTCAATAAGCAGTGACTGCTTTCATTAATCCCTGTCTCTTTGGGATTATGTCACTCATACAGGGCAGAGAAAAAAAAATGGACAGATGTGAATAATTGGTAATGATATTAATAGTATTAGCATATTTTTTATAATTGTTGACTGAACCTCTCACTGACACAGAACATATAGCTTTAGTTTATTTTTGGGGGACATAGTAACCTGATAAACTGAGTCCAGCACTCTCTACGTTGGGATCTGGTTTAAATCCCTGTCAACACTCAACACTCTACCAGCCCAGTCCCTATGCACCTTTTCTTTGCCTTTCCCACAAGATGGCTAGCTCAATGACAAATGATTAGAAGAAATCAAGGCAAGAAAAATTAAGAACAGACTCCCACCAGCCTATTAAACTTTAATATTGTGTGTAAGGGCAGACCACACAGTCAACATAATCATATGCGTAGTACATGTGAATATGCAAAAACATGTAAATCATACCACTTTAAATGCAAATATATGCATGGCCTTTTTTATTATCTATGCCACTTGAATATGACCCTCAGGATAACCTTAGTGGAAACTACTGTGCTAGGTACCATTTTTTAACTAAATCACTGATCTGAGATTTTCCTATAAAGGAATTCAGGAATGAAAAAGAAATGTTTTACAGTTCACATCTGTGTGGGTTAAACCACCTGCTATGATTCTGTAGATTGTTTTCCTTTTACTGCTTTGTACTATTAGTTGATTTTTATGTGTACATGTTTTCTCTCCAGCCACCCCCAACCCCAGATTGCAAGTTCCTTGAAAGAAAGCACTGTGTATTCTAATCCATTATGTCCTATTATAACCCTGGCAGATCAGGTTTTCAAAAATGAAGGGAGCTCCCTCCTCCATGAAATGATATCATCTTATCTGTTCCTCATTGTTCGTCCCAGTCTCCATACCCCCTAACTTCCACATTTCTATCCTTTTTTCACCTTGCTAGTCCTTCTTGGTCTCCTACTCTCCCTTCCCTGTGGACTGTGCTTTTGTCTCTCTTCCTTGGCTCGGCACACTCATGGATAGTCTGCTTTGTAGAAACCCTCTGCCTTCAGATGGATCCCCAAAACATCTCTCCCTGCACCCTGGCCTCCGAAGTAATCTCCCACCAGTTCTCCACTAATCTCACTTTGGAGTATACTCATCCACGGTTTTGAATCCTCCTTTTCAGATTCTACGCCCAGAGTCTTTCTATGCAGTTTGAAACCATCCAGATACCTAGAGTTTTAAGGGCTTACATAATATCATGTTCCTTCAGTAGTATTATTGTTGGCCCCCATAGTCACCCAAAATAGCCTGCATACTCCTCAGGTGTACCCTAACAATAAGACCTCCCACAACTCTTTCCCACAACCACATCTCACACTGTGGTAGAGTGGGATGCCCTACTTATAGGTAATAAAAATTGCTAAGCTTAATGCCCTGTCCAGTGGCTCCTTAAACTGCTGTGGGGTTTTACCATCCTTATTTCCTTTTTTCTTTATTGTTGTAATGTCTTCATTTCATCCGGGAACTCTTCGTTTCCAAGTTAAAGTTTATTGACTGCTACTTCATTCCCAGGTACCTGCCTAAACACCAGGTCTGTCTGTGCTAAACTTGTCAATGGTTTTTCTTGGTTTAGGCATATACTACCTGCTCAAATAGCTTCTAAGGTCCTCTGGGAAATGAGCAATTCATTTCTGTTCTGTCAGCACAAATCTATAGAGGATAGTTTACAACCGTGTTGCCGCTTTTTAGGGAAATAGCTCTTTTAAGGAACAGCTCTATTACATATGCCAGGGAGGTCCAAGGTACTTTCTGAAAGACTGCTTGTTTCTATTTTTAAAAACCCTTTTCTATACAGTAGGGGTCAGCAAACTTTTTCTGTAAAGGGCCTGATGTTAGTATTTTAAAATTTGTTGGCCATCCAATCCCTCTGACAACTGTTCAACTCAGCCACTGTTATGCAGAAGTATCCATACACGGTACCTAAATAAATTGATGTAGACTGCATTAAAGTAAAAGGAAGAAAGAAAGGAAAAGAGGAAGGGAGGAAAGTAGGAAGACTGGAGAATTTGAGGGGGAGGGTAAAGGGCCTTGCTTTAATCTGGCAAATAATACATAATATAGCAATACTTTGATATCCAAAGGTGATCTATTCTTTCTGTGTCTATACAAGCCAGTATTGTGGAGAAGAAAAGCAATGAGTGGTTAGGATTAAAATACCCATTTATTATATTTTCATCAATTAGAGATCTGGCTCCTCATTCATAAATTGAATCTGGTTTTTGACCTACATGATGGGAATAATAGTACCTGCATTGCTGGGTTGTTATAAAATACAGCACTTTGTAATCTATATAGAAAGCTTTAAAAGGAAGCCTTTCATATTATTATCATTCAGATATATAAAATCATCAATAAACTAATCAGCCTAATGAAACAATTATCTTATTTAGCAAAATATACCATTTGGCTCAACACTGCAGTTTAAGGAAATTATTTGGTGACATATTTGGGAATCACAAAGTAAATCATGTAAAGCCCTCCAGCAATGCTTCTTTACTAAAGCAAAACTGGTATTTAAAATGACCCACTGATTAGCCAACAAGACTTTGTCATACAATATGAATCAAAATTAATGGGAACAGCTCATTTTAAAATTAAAATTTTTTCTGATTATAAAATGTATTAATTTATATAAATTATGAATTTTAGGAAAATACAGGAAATAAACAAAGAAGAAATTAAAGATCATATTTATGATAACCTAGAGATAACAATTTTTAATACCTTGATTTTTTTATTTTCTATGATTTATGGAAACTATACAATGTCTTTGTATTTAATTGAGCTCATACTTAATATATTAAAGCTCTGTAAACTGTTCTTTCCCTTAACCAAAACAAAAAAATTTTTTTCTCATTTCTTTAAATGTTACATGAAAAGATTTTACATGCCTTTATACTATGTAATCCAATAGATATGCCCTACTTTATTTAACTAATTATGAATTTAAGATATTTAGATTACTTCCAATCTTCCAGTATCACATGTAATGTAGTCATAAACTTCTTGTTACATATATTTTGCCTATGTTTATGACTATTTATTCAAAGATTAAAATTCTGTATATAGAATTAAAGTTCAAATATATGTATGTGTATGTATACACATCTGCATTACCTCCAAAATAGTTTTAATAATTTAACTTCATTTTTCAAAACCCTGCCAGCACTAGGTTTTATATTTTCATCAAATTAACAAGTGACAGTGGTATCATATTATCTTAATTTACATTCATTTTAGCATTAGCATGGTTAAATGCATTTTCATAAATTGATTGGTTATTTGCAATTTTTTAGTGAATTTCTACATTTCTATTGAGTTGTTCATGTTTTAAGATATTTTTAAAGAAGCTGAGAATCTTTATAATTAATTTTTTACCAGTCATACATTACAAATTTTTTTATTTGACATTTGCGTTTTAAATTTATTTATATCATTTAACATATGGACAGTTTGTGTTTATACTTTTTTTTTTTTTTTTTTGAGACAGAGTCTCGCTCTGTTGCCCAGGCTGGAGTGCAGTGGTGTGATCTGGGCTCACTGCAACCTCTGCTTCCGGGGTTCAAGCGATTCTCCTGCCTCAGCTTCCAGAGTAGCTGGGATTACAGGCACCTGCCACCATGCCCAGCTAATTTTTGTATTTTTAGTAGAGACGGGGTTTCACCATGCCGCCAGGCTGGTCTCGAACTCCCAACCTCAGGTGATCCACCCGCCTCAGCCTCCCAAAGTGCTGGGATTATAGGCATGAGCCACTACACCCGGCCTATTCTTTTTATATAATCAAATAGCGCACTCTTTGCCTTTATGGTCTCTATAGTTGTCTTATGCTTAAGCATAAATTTGCCAACCAGATTTCAAACTAATTTTTGCTGAGTTTCTTCCTTTCTTCATTTATTTATTTATGTATTTATTTTAGATTTTATTATTTCATCCACCTAGAATTTATCTCAGTGTGTGCCATGACATGGGAATGTAATTTTATGGTTTCAAAAAATTAAACAAATATTCTCAAACCACTGATTTAAAATGTTACCCTTATTTATATTCATACATGCACAAATAAAAGCACAAACATACAGGGCTTTCTCATACTTTGTCTATATTTGTGCCATCACTTGGTTTTAATTACTATGATTTTAGGATGCACTAAAATGTATCTGATGGTGTAAGTCACTTCTTGGTCATCTTTTCCAAAATTTTCATGATTGTTCTTTTGCAACAATGAATAGTGCATCATCTTGGGTCGGTTAACACCAGACACCACTATCATCTCAAGGCCTGAAGGTACAAAAAGGGCTGTGTAGAGAAGCCATCCTGACAATAAAGGGTTTATTCAGTCCACAGTGATCTTTGAAGGAGGCAGGGTTGTGTGATCTCAGAGACCAAATCACATGCCCCTTTACCAACTAAGATGGATTCTAAAGTCAAAGAAACCAAGTTACCTATGGGTAGAGGGTTCAGGGCCTGGATAGCATGGCAAATTTCTAAATTCCTATGGCCAAACTTCCTAAAAACAGAAGTTTATAACACACAGGAGAGGGCTGCCTTTTTGGTAAACTAAAACAGTTTTCCTTTTCACCATCTGAGATAACATTTTCATGGGAAGGGAGGTAATTGATGCTAAAGAGCCCTGATTGGATTACTGTTAGCTTGTGTGAATCCAGGTGGACTAGGAAAATCCTGGAAGAACATCACTATGAGAGACCTTTTTCCCTTCCCGCCTTCCCTCCTTTTTTTCTTCTTTTCTTCTTTCTTTAACATTACCTTGCAGGTTTTCTCTCTTCTTTATTTTTTAATTTATTCCCTTCATATCCACTTTCCTTCTTTTCCCCAAAGGCAATAATTGTCATTTGTTTCTGTATCTTTTTCAAGTGTTTATATGTGTCTCTAGGAAATGTGTATTTATTTATAGGCATGTATTGTTAATTTACACAAATTCTATTGTGAGATGTAAACTTCATTCTTTCTTGCTTTTGTTTCACTCCATGAAAGGTTTTTAAAATTTGTCCGTATTATTGTGAGTACACATCTCCACATCATTCATTGATTCTAACCTGTATGGATTTCTATGGATGCAGTCACAACATTTATGTATCCTTTCCTCCAGTGAAGGATAACTAGATTACTTCCAGCTTCTCAACATCACAAACAATGCTTCAAGTGGAAACAAATGAGGATGTTTCCATTTATTTTTCTGTATAGAGTAGAATCCACTGGTCATAAGAGATACCTTTATTTAATTTGGTTAGGTATTGCCAGTTTGATACATATAGCTAAATTATTCTGTAATTCAACCAGCAGTGGATTACAGAATAATTTAGTCAGTGTGTATCAAACTGCAGTGTTTGAGTATACCTATATTTTTTTCCTCCCACCAACACTTAGCAGTATCAGCTACTGTTTTATCTATGTGACAGGTCTTCAGGGATATGTTATTGTTATTTTAATTTGCATTCATCTAATTACTAGTGATTTTGAATATCTCTTCATAAGTTTATTGGTCCTTTGGGTTTGCTCTTCTATGAATTGCCATTACATATATCCCTGGATCGTTTTCCTATCGGGGTTCATATCCACTTCTTTATTCATATGAGGCTCATGTATATTCTAGATATTAGTCTCAATGGTGTTCAACACTGAATACAAATCTTTAATGTGATGTAATCAAATATAGCAATTTTCCACCTCATGATTCTGAAGTATTGGACTTTTCCACAGTTACAGTACTGAGATAGTCTACCCTATTCTTTTCTATTAGCTTTATGATTTTCACATTTATATAATTAATCCATCTGGAGTCCCTCTTCATACCTCATGTTCTATGTTTCCTTATATATTAAGACATTTTTTCCCAACACTATCTGCAATCTATCCCTTTTCCACTAATACCTTGGGCTCCTACTATTGTATATTAATGTTCCATATATATATGACCCTGCTTCTGAACTCTCCAGACTTCCATTGGTCTACTTTCCTTTGCAACAGATTCTATAACCGTAGCTTGATTACCTAATAATAATTGATTTTTAAAAAGTCTCATCTGTTTGTGCTTCTTTTTCAAGTAGACTTTCCTTCTATTTACTTTTCCATATGAATTTTAAAATCTTTGTGCTTCTTTTTCAAGTAGACTTTCATTCTATTTACTTTTCCATATGAATTTTAAAATAAGTTTAATGAATTTCTACTATTAAGTTTATTCAAGAAATTATATACATTTTACGTTTCTTTCTTTTCTTTTCTTTTCTTTTTTTTTCAAGACAGGATCTGTCACTTTGTCGCCCAGGCTGGAGTGTAGTGGTGTGAACTCAGCTCACTGCAACCTGAGGCTCCCAGGCTCAAGCAATTCTCCCACCTCAGCCTGCCAAGGAGCTGGGACTACAGGCGCATGCCACCAAGGCTGGCTAAATTTTGTATTTTTTTGTAAAGATGAGGTCTCACTGTGCTGCCCAAGCTGGTCTCAAACTCTTGAGCTCAAACCATCCTCCCACCTCGGACTCCCTGAGTGCTGGATTACAGACATGAGCCACCATGCTCAGCCTAGATTTTACATTTCTAAAGTAACTAAGGCTTCATTTATATTGCATTCTAAGGATCAATAATGTATATAAACATTTTTACTTTTTCCAATATTTGTTTTGTATCTGACCTTGTTATTGAATTCTGTTTTTGATAGTTTTTCAGTTGATTTCATTGGATTTCCCACATAGAGAATTCATATCGTATGAAAATCTCTTCTTTTATAATACTTATTCATTTGAATTTTTTTTCTTGACATGTTGCATTGGCTAGAGCTTCCTGAAAAATAGTGAATAATAGCAATGGCAGTAGACATCCTTGTCTTGTTTCTTATTTACCAGGGATGCTTCAGAAATTTTTCCATTAAGTATGATAGACATTCTCTACCATATTAAATAAATAATCTTCCATTATTAATTTACCAAAAAATAGCATAATAAATGCAATTTCAATGCTCTCAAATGTATTTTTGTCATTTATGTATCGAGGTACAGTCTTTTTCCTCTCATTTATTAATCTAACTGCTATTCTAATAAATTTCCTATTATTGAGCACAGCTTCCATTTCTGGAATAAATCTAACTTAATCATGGGCTAACATACTTTATTATACAAATAATTTCAATTCACAATATGTATTTTAATTAGAATTTTCTAAAATTTTGATACTAATCTTAATATTTTATTGGGATGAAATAAATATCAAAAATGAATTAAAAAGCTACATCTTGAAATTGTGAAAAACTTTGTTCATAAAACCATTTGCGCTTGGCATATTTTTGCAAGTATTTATTTGACAACTTTCAAAATTGTAGTCTATTGAGACTTTCCATTTATTTAATCAATTTGTTACTTTATTTTACTAAATAATTATGCACTTAATCCAGATTTTAAAGTCGAGATTGCACATAATAGCCTGGATTTTGTTTTGTGAAATCTTCCAGTGTCTTTGATGGCTCATCTTTTCCTTCTCTTCTTCTAGAATTATGTACTTGTTTTCCTGTTTTCTTGATTTGAAAAGCTGCAGAGAGTTTTCTTTATAAATCATTGTCTGCTTTTCAACTACTAGCGCTTGTGTTTATTTTTCAAATCTACAATTTTTGGTGTTTAACAGTTTCTGCTTTTATTTTATTACTTTCTTTCTAATTTCCTTATGTTTGTTTGATTGTTTTTCACCTTCATGAGTTAAAGGTTTAGATCCAATATTTTCATTCATTCTTATTTAATAATGAGTGAATTTAAATAAGTAAGATGCCTGTGATTGCAGCTCTAACTAGATAGATCCCATATATTTTGATATATGCTACTCACACAATATCTATTTTCTAATCATTGAAAATGCAGCTTTGTTTCTTGCTTTAACCCCACAATTATTTAGAAAAATTGTGGTGGTTCGTTAATTCCCAAAGTGCTGGAGCAAGGGAGTAGCTTAATACATTTATAATTCACTCCTTGCACTGTGGTCAGACAATGAGCCCTGTGCACTTTTTGCTACTTTGCATATGTTTAAGGAGTTTTTGGTCTAATATACTTTGAAATGTTTAAAAATATTCATTGCCCATCTGAATAGAAGATATTACCTATGCTTAAGAAAACAGAACATTAGTTATATTTGCTAAATCATCTGTTTTCAAGCCATTTAAATCCTTTACATCCTTATTTGTTTTTTGCCTGTTAATTTTTCAAGTATAGTGAGATATTTCTGTTGACTATAATGATGACATATAATGATGATTTTTCAATATGAAATTACTCTCTTTATTCCATTTAAGGCTCTTTTGCATTAAAAACTCCTTTAATAATAGCATTTCTATCCTTGTTTCTGTTTGTTTTCATTTACTTTAAATATTTTTGCCAATTCTGTTTTTAATTTTCTGAGTTACTTAGGGTGCAGGGGAGATCACTCTTACAGATAGCATAGATTTGGTTTTACTTTTTGGTTCTACACTTTTAAAATTTTGTATGTTTTTATAAACAGGGTTACTAAAATTATATTTACTGACATAATTAACATGGCTGGTCTGAATTATCTCACAGTCACATTTTATACCTTTTATGATTCCTTTGCTCTTTGTTTTCTGGTATTTTTTAATTTCAGGTTTTTTTTCTTTAGATTTATTTAAAACATTATTTTATAAAATGAGACTATATGTACTTAAGTCATAAACTTGTGAGGTTTTAATTACCTATTTGTAAAAAGCATATTGAACAGTACCTGATGCATTAAATATGTCCAGGAAGTGTTTAATTTCTTATTATCATTCATCATCATCAATATCATCATTATTCTGGTATTTAGAGTTATCAAAGAAAATTCAGAGACCTACTTGACTTTTATGGATTTCTAAGTATCTAAAAGGATAACTCTGGAAATCATTTTGAGTTTTGAAATTCCTAAGTTTCCCAATAATATGCCTTGTTGCTTTTCTCTTCTAATTAATTTCGCTAAACACATGTTAAGGTCTCTAATTCCACTGATTTCCTTCTTTAGTTTCAAAAACTCACCTCCTTTTTAGCCCTAATCATTGCTTCTTTTTCTTTTGTTTCCTTCTTCTTCAAGAATATGAAATATTGTCAGGGCATGGTGGCTTACACCTGTAATCCCAGCACTGTGGGAGGCTGAGGTGTGAGGATCACTTGAGCCCAGAAGTTCAAGGCCAGGCTGAGCAACATAGCAAGACCCTGTCTCTGCAAAACTAAAAATATTAGCTGGACCTGGTGGTGCATGCCTGTGCCTGTGGTCTCAGCTACTTGGGAGGTTGAGGTGGAAAGATTGCTTGGGCCAGGGAGGTGGAAGCTGCACTGAGCCGTGATTGCACCACCGTACCCCAGCCTGGAAGACTGTAAGAGACTCTGTTTCAAAAAATAAAAAATAAAATATCTGTATGTTGGATTTCTTTACTTTCTAAATCCACTATTTTTTTCCTTTTTTCTAAGTTTTGTAAAATCACTTTAATTAACTGCCACATCTGACTTGATTTTCTCCAGTGTTGGCTCTGCCTGCTTCTAGTACACATTTCCATTTGTCTATTACAGTACTATTATATTATTTTCTTGTCTTGTTATTTATGCACATAAGACAGTTTCTATTCTCTCTATCTCTTGTCTGTCATCTTATCTTTCATTTCCTCTTTCCTTATAGTTCATGGTTTCTAGAATTTTATGGGATGCATGAAGTAGATTTTATACATTTACTTCTGCTTCATTTAAAAAAAAATTGTCTTTAAAAAAGTTCCTCTGCTCTTAAGTACTATCTTTTACTTATTCTTCTATGAAAGAAAAACTTTTTTGTTACCCTTTACTATTTATCTTTGAGTGACAATTTGACTCTCCTAACCTCTTATTTGCCTAAGAGCAGAAGTGTGGATTGCTCTCCCAATCTCCATTTTATCTTCTTGGTCAGAAAACTTTGTCCAAACCTTGTGCTAGAGTGCAGATGGAAGCACTACATATTAAGATCCAACAGCCAGAGGAATTGTGAGAAAGTGTTTGTCTGAGCCCTGGGAAGTCCATGCCACAGTCTCCAAGCAGATGTGTAGCAGAACTGCCATGCTTTGTTGTATCCAGCTTTCAGTTTGTTCCATTCTCCATGCTATTTACCTTGTGTAGATGTCCAGGCCTTCTTGCTGGTGTTGCCTTCCACGTCAGGGGAAATAGTCACTGTTATTCAGCTAGAAACCTTGATACTATAGAGTGTGCTGTACTGTATCATCTGTGCTGTGCCCACTTGCATAAACCTCATGACCTCCCAATGCAGCCACATCTAAATGTATAAGCCTTTTTAAAGAAAAAGAGATTCTGAGGAAAATGCTTCCATCTGTTTCATGGTCCACTAACTACATTTAGTAGGTGTTAGTTAGGTTCTACTAGGTACTTCACTCTTGTCTGGAACATTTTCCTGCTTTGTTATAGAGGAGAGCTGTATATCAACCCACAATGACTCGTTTTAGTTTTATCCCATCTATGTTATCACTAGTTCACTCAGAGTACCTGACAGGAAAAGGGCAAATACTCTTTAGTCTCCAGTATTGATGTAGATTGTCCTTTTTAAAAAATTTTTATTGCATTTTATTTTTTGGTCATTTCAACATTATTTCAACAGGCTTCTCAAGTGGAACTGTGAGGGCAGCTAGAGAAGAAAGTTTAATACAGTGGTCAAGTTGCTGTAGAGCCTCAGAGTACAGAAAAGCAAATATATACTGTTTATATTGCAAAAGTCTGAAATTTCTTGACAACAATCTAAGAATTTTGCTATTAACAGAATTGATGCCCATGAAATCTACACTTACATTCACACACATCACCTTGTTAGGATATGAAAAGTGGCACCATCTTAACAGGATATTCAGAAAACTTCAACATAAATCTCACAGAAGGGCATGGCAAATCACATCACCTGGCATTAGAGTTTACTTTATAATCATGACAAACAAGCCTGGGAACTGGGCTGTGTTCAGAGGGCTCGTGGGAAGGTATTTGAGGATACTGCAGCCTTTTGCACAGAATTAGAAAATGGCTAAGATTGCCAGATGGGAGTCAATACTGGCTCTGCTCTGTCAGTCAGTAAAGATACCGACAGTGAGGCTTTTTGCCACTGTGTGGCGGCCACCACGCACTTCTCAAGATTATAATGATTACACAGATGGCATCCACAGAAGCTACATGCTGAATGTGCTGCATATATCCTTTGGAGAGAAATCTTCCACCAACTCTGAAAGGGGCATTAGAAGCCTCTCATAAGGAACTAGACTTTGCCACAAGAAGCTGAAAGCATTTATACCACAAGAACATTCTAACTATAGGAATTGGTCAAGAGAGACTGAGATATTCACCATGGGTTCCATCTTAAACCACTCACTTTAAACATTATTTTGGCTCTAAGGAAATATTTCTAATTGAGTACATAATCCCAAAAGAGGTTCTTAAGACAATTACAAACAGACTCTTTGAAGGAAGCATAAATGCTTTTGGCTATATCGACCAAAAAAAGGGAGGGGAGAGATGACATATTGAAGACTTTAAAAATTTAACATCCCTTCCCAAAATGCCTAATCCACACCTAGCAAGTAATTTTCTTACCTGACAGAAGCTGACCTAGCCATTTTGGACCAGTATAACAGCTGTCCAAAATGCTGAATTGTTGGAGCTCAACAATTCTCTGGCCTCATCCTCTGTAAAAGATTTTAGAATTGTGAAGGGAACAAGTTAAGTGATATATGGCAATCTTATAAATACATCCATAACTCTAAAATGTCTCCAAGTCTGAATATCTCAAATGGCCTAGCTCCCATTAGTCAATTGCCTTAGCACCTCAAGTGTATTACAGCCTCACAATTCTTTCAGCACCATCTATTATTTTACTTATCATTGACATGAAATTACCTTTGCAGAATTCAACACATGAACATTTTAGTTTACTGTCAGGTGGAATGTGTTTGCTGAATGTAGCATTAAACGTGATGTCTACTTTAAACTTTCTCATAATTTGTTGTATTCAGCAAGTTGAACAAATGGTGAATATGTGGAGAACTGACTTATTCTATTTGGGTGCTCAAAAAATCAAGATAATCCAGGCTCAAAGTCTTCGCTGAACTGGGGCAGAGGAGCAATTCCCTTGAATGCTGCCAGGAAACTGGCTGCCATAGACACACACTACTCCTAAGGTAAGGACAAATATAAGGCTCCTTCTTTGCCAAGAATGCAAATAAAGGGCTTATCCCTGTTACATTTCCCATGAGTTGTTGTTGATGTCCTGACAGTTGTCTGTTGACACTTCCAGAAAGTAAAGGAGGGGGACCACACTCTCCTTTCCTTTCTTGTGTTAATAGACACCTTTAATACTCTTCAGAACATTATCTCATTTAATTCTCACAGCAATTCAGTGAAGTAGATTCTATTATTAATGCTATTTCATAGGTGAAAAGTTTAGCTATGTAGAGATTAAATAACTTGTCCAAGGTTACATAGCTTATAAATGGTAAAGCCTGGGATTTAAACTGAATCCTTTGGGCCAGAGGTCACATTCTTAATTCCTCTGCTCTGCTGCCAGTTGATGCAGGTGTCCTACCACTCAAGGAACCCTTGAGGCACAAAGCGGTAGATACTAAGAGCCAGTAACAAGCGTGCACTTCCATTTCTCACTTACTCAGGCACGAGCTATGTGTTCATATATTGCTTCTCTCTATCTCATCCATCTGCCCCTCCTAAGACCTGGTCCTGGCTTTCTTCTAAGTCTTCCCTGGTATCACTGCCAGGCATGAGTCAAGACCTCTTCTCCAGATACTTAGGTCAATGGAGAAAGATAGCTGTTCCTGTCTGGCTCCAAACCTTTTTGACTTTAGGAGATCATATGTTAGTGGTTTGCTTCATGTATGCAACTGGAAACCTCCTTGGCTCAGCCAAATATTTTTCTTAACTCTGAAGCCCCACCTGTTATTCAGTCTCCTTAAACTGAATTCCAATATAATCCACTTTTCCTGAAAGGTCTCTCTCTCTTTCCCACACCCCACCCTGTTGTCTTCACTCTCACCACCTAATCTGGTTTCTTTTCTATTTTGTCTCTCCTATCCGTTCTCCTAATCCTTTTCAAATTGCTGTTTTCTCAGGCCCTTAACCCAGGCTCAACTCCTCCTGGCTCCTTTAAGACTCCTTTTCCCTTCCTTCTGTAAACACACAGGTTTACTGAAAAATTTTCTTTCCTTTCTAACTGCTTCAGCAACCTCCTGACAACTGTCCAGGTAGCGCATTCCATTGTCTCTACTCGCCCCAGCAGGAGAGATCACATCTCTCTTTCAGGGCTTCCTGTCACTTAATAAATATCCCTGAAATATCTCTGGGCATGTTTAAAGGCAGCCATCATCTGGCTCTGGTAAAGTCCATCAGCAAACATTCTTAGAAATGTTAGAATCATTTCTATTTGATAACATTGACTTCACTTTTCCAGAACTTTTAATCCATACTCACCATTTACATATGGATGCTACTCCATTTGTTCATTTGTTCCTGAGCAAGTCTATGGAGCAATTATCTCATAAAATTGAACTTTCATACAAATATTCTAGTGTTACAATGCATCATAAACAATACATTTTTTAGCCAAGGTTTGATGGATAAGGCAAATAAACATATCCTGGTTTTCGAAAGTTTGCTTATTTGTTGTTAACAAAGTATGGTCTAATCATAGCTACAGACACAGAGGACAGGACACATTCCCAGCAGCAGGAAATAGATAGGAGAAAGTCCAGGCAGATGGCAAATCTGCATCAGGGGAGAGTCAGCAGTGAGCAACAGGTGTGCTGGCAGAGAAGACAAATACAGCATCAGGAGCCAGGTTGGCAGCAGACAGAGTCAATATCAGAGAAATCTGACAACAGGTAAAGGAAGCCAACCACGGCACTAAAGTTCAGGTCTATAAAATAACTCAGGTGGCAAAACAGGATCACGGTAGTGGAGGATACAGGATTCTAGGCAGCAGAACCATGGATTTTTTTCTAATTATTGGAATTGGGATTCAAGATAGAGTTTTGTTCACAACTCTAGGGTAGAAAGTGAAAGGTGGTAGCTATGGTAGAAAGTCAGAAAGATAGCTAAGGTAGAAAGACTAACCAGAGCCTGAGCCACTGACTCATTGCCTTCCACTCTAATTCTACCCACCAGTAGATTTAGAATAAAATTAAATTTCCAGGCTGGGTGCAGTGGCTCAGCCTCTAATCCCAGCACTTTGGGAGAATCGTTTGAGCTCAGGAGTTCGAGACCAGCCTGAGCAACATGACCAAACCTCATCTCTATTAAAAATCTATATATATACAAAAATTAGCCAGGCAAGGTGGCACACATCTGTAGTCCCAGCTACTCAAGAGGCTGAGGTGGGAAAGATCACTTGAGCCCAAGAACTCAAGGCTGCAGTGAACCATGATCACTGCACTCTAGCCTGGATGACAGAGTGAGACTGTGTCTCAAAAAAAAAAAAAAAAAAAAACAAGAAAAGCAAAAACTTCCAGATGAGAGCCAAGCAGCCCAGCTCTATAATTCAAGGCAAAAAAGCCCATCAGATGGTTACCAGGTGAACCACAGGTGGTCAAAATGTGATGAAAGGTGCAGGGTGCGATGGCTTATACCTGTAATCCCAGCACTTTAGGAGGCCGAGGCGGGAGGATCACTTGAGGTGAGGAGTTCAAGACCAGCCTGGCCAACATGGTGAAACCCTGTCTCTACTAAAAATACAAAAAATTAGCCAGGCATGGTGGTACATGCTTGTAGTCCCAGCCATTCAGGAAGCTGAGGCAGGAGAATCATTTGATCCCAGGAGGTGGAGGTTACGGTAAGCTGAGATCATGCCATTACACTCCACCCTGGGCCACAAGAGCAAAACTCTGTCTCAAAAAAAAAAAAAAAAAAAGTGATGAAGGGTATAGGATCAGCAGCTTGGGCAACTTCTGGGACTACTGGGTTGTCTCCTTATCCTTTGTAAGAGTTTGTCTGACACAGATTCCAGCCTCGCAATGGAGACCTGCCTGCCCATAGGCTGTGTCCCAGGTGCACCTGCTTCACGAACCCTTAAGTCCAAGGCATAAAGACTTCTTTATAAGCCCTAGAAAGAAGCAAACTAAAACTAAAAATGTTAGAGCATCCTGGTGGCTAAAATTTGCCCTGAGAGGATCATCTCACATGCATTTGACAGAAAAGGCAAATTAAGAATATGGAATATTTTAGACATGCAGGGCAGAGAGAGCAACATGACTTCCAGAATGCCTTTTGGTCAGTGTGGGCACACAATAAATACTTGTACATTAATTGATCTTGCCATTATCTTTAGGTATCCAGAGAAGTAGGAACTTGCTTCCAACCATGTGCTTGACCACTCTTCTTCATCCAGTAGCCAAAATATGATTAATGCTCACCTCAGTATATTATCTGGTAATATTCAAGAGTTGGGTGATACTGTAAAGGAATAATTCCCTGAAAGCAGGGATACCTGCTCTAGAGATTTCCTGACTATAATGTCTACAACTCAAAACACAAAATATCTACTGTCTGGGAAGTTGTCCAGATTTTCAATGCTGGCAAGTTTCTGAGTTACCCAGAAAAACACTTTTGTTTAAATACAAAGAATGGTGTGTATAGGTGTGTACCATCTATTTGAATGTGAGTTGTTTCAGAATTTAAATACATTTTTAATGACTATTGCATGTATGCTTCTCAATGAAACCGCTTTTGCCAAATAAATCGTGTCCTAATAGAGCGTGGCAGAAATTTGTCCTTTTTGCTGTCATGAGTAGTTTTGGAGGCCCTCATTTTCACAGCTACAGAGCAAATACTGATACCACTCTGCCATTCATGCATACACAGGGTGACCAATAAATGCCTGAAATGCTTTGACTTTGACTGTCCAAGCAGGAGGTAGAAAGAAGTAATCAATTTCATTTAGAGTTGTGAGTATCATTTTGGCATCAAAATGACAAATGATCCTTCTCCATGTGTGAAGCATGCTGGAGTTAGTGGGCTATGTACCAGGGCTATAAAAACTTGGAAATGTCAACGGCATTTCCAAGCATCTGCTCTCTCTAGCCCCACATTTCTGGGCAACTGCAAAAATTCTTCAGGATGATGCATTCAAGCCCCAGTTCTCCAGCAGAATCTGTCAGGAGAAATTTTAAATTTACATCAAAGAAATTAGGTGAATCATCCTACTCTCCCCTGTTACTGCTCCATGGGGGTCTCTGGGATGAAATGAAATTGTGGTTACATTTCCAAATGGGTTATAAACCCAATACAACTCTCCTTAGAGACTCACAACTTATACTTCCCCATTTCCTGATACAGTATTGCATCTCTAAAGCTACGCTATACACACTCCATATAGCAGTGAGCCTCAGGGAAAAAGCAAAAATAGGGAAGAGAATTCTGACGATGGATGGTTGATAGCTTAGTGGACCTTATTAAACGCAAACACACACGCACATGTGCATGCACACGCTCACACACACACAATCTTCAGCCCTGCACCACTGATCACTGTTTCCTGGATAACTCTGTCGCATTATGTGCTGATATAATGGCATGCTAGCAAATAGCTAAATAACAGTTCTCCACCCCTGACAGGGAATTTACTCCCTGTGAAGGCTCCTTTATTTTTGTGACTACTGAGCTTTAAATGGGGCTTTCCCTTCAAAGCTTTCAAAGAGGATATTTTTTTTTTTTGCAGTGACACCCTGAATTGAACTTGAATTTTTAACCAAGTTTTTCACCAGATACTTATGTTAGCCAGAGGATTTCCAGGTGGAGACAGACTCATCCTATTTTGGTAAGACCTGCTCTTGCCTCATCCCAGAAACAATGGTGAGAACCCCAAAATGGCAAACTCTGGCCAACTTTATCATGCTCTAATTCAGCTTCCAGGGAATTACCAGGATATGCATAGCCTTGGTCTAGGTACTTTTAAAAAACAGGCAATAACCAAGAAATAAACACATTGACTAAGTGCACACGTCACTGAGATGATTGCTAATTTAGAAATACACTTCTAGCAACTCATTTTCTCCTACTGTTTCCAGGCATAGTACCAGCAAGAAATTAATTGCCTAGGAGAAGGGGGGAAAATGTAAGTAAAACAAAATCAGATAAACTTCTCTTAAAAATAATAGCACATATGGATTTTTAAGAACATTTTAAGGTTGCCCAGTTAACAGAGTAGTCAGGCTCTACTTCAGCAGTGTGAGACCAAAGTCATTACACCAAACACGCATTTCCCAGTCTGTGGCAGTGGCTCCTCTCTGGCAGTTTCTGTGATATATGCACGTTTCTACTCATCATGAAGTGTTTGATTAATGTTCGGTTCATCTTTCTTCTTTCTCACTAATAGACCAAAATATTTCTCATCAAGGAATAAATGATCAGACTACAGATACAAGTGGCTTTTGAGAAGTCCATTTATAATGCAGCACTTCCAGCAAGAAATCCTTGATTTAAAAAAAGAAGAAAAACTAAAATTGATGTATTTAGTCTTTTACAATTCTCTCCCACTTCTCCTCTTGGAGGGAGTTTTTTGGGTGGTAAAGTGGACAGGAAAAAGAGGGACAGAAAGCAAAGTAGCATTTACTGAGAACTTACAATGTGTCAGGCCCCACACTGAGCACTGAATTGTGTGTTATGTCATTTAATTCCCATACCACTCTTTCATAGCCAGCATCATTATCCCCATTTTACTCATGAGTAAACTGAGTTTTACTGATGTAATCCAGGGTCATGCAGCCAGCAGGTGATAAGAACCAGTTTTCAAACCATGATACATCTGACTATAAAATCCATGCCATCAACACCCCAATAGTATTGAGTGTCCACACACTGAACACAGAGACAAAACATGTAATCCTGTCATTAGAAATGTATATTGTAGACCAACTCCTATAAAAATATGCAGTCTGCTTCCTGATTAGCTGAATTACGGATGCAGAGCATTCACACAGTTATTTTAAAGGATAATAATCAACCTGTGGCTTATCTAGCCACAAGAGCCTTAGAGCCCCAAAGAGACAAGAGGTCATCAAGCCGAATGTCAGAAGTTTTTAACTCACAAGATTAATGCTGACATTTACATAAGATGTCGTAGAAAACTAGCACCTGTCTTCACTTCATCCATTAGGAGGAATAATCACCAAGTTTTAGTCAGTGAATGCAGGCAGCAATGGTATGAAGGCCACACGTGGGGGCCAAGGTGGGGAACACAGGTTGGAGCAGGTACAGTGACCAACCCAGCCGGGAGAAGAGTGTAACTGACAGGTGTACTGAAATGACACCAGATTGAGATTCAGGAGCTGTTAATTCCAGTTCTCACTCTTACTTGTGGTAAGATTCTAGATGGGTCACTTAACCTCACTCTTTCATTTCCTCATCTCTTAAATAAGAATTTTATATTAACTATCACCAAGGTTTCCTGCAGATCTTTTTATACTTTTAAGTCCATGTTCAACAAAGTGGAAGTAGGAGAGAGTACAGAGTGGGAGCAAGACTATACTGAAGTTCAGGATTGCATTCCAACAAAGAACACGGAAAAAACGTCAAAGTCCCATTTTTCCAGGCCAAAGGGTCAAAGCAAAGAGTAAGCAAATCCAAGCAAAAGATAGCACAACACTACAAGATACCAGCAGTAAAAAAAATCTATGGAACAGTCCATTAAGTTTTAATCTCAGGCTTTCTTCCTTAAGAAACTGAAAACTAATTCTGAATAGCGGCCAACCTGAGGTTGGCAGGTGGAAGGAAGGAGTATGCCTGGTTAGAATGAGAGGCCTTCTGAAAGAAAAGTTTCTAACCAACCCCTTCATAGTGACACACTACATTATTGTTTCTAAATATTATTTTGACAAGCATTTCCTAGCATTTAGTATTGGTATCAGTTCTGTTAGCAAATCCCATATTCTTAAAGAAGCAGAAGTAAAGAAATCAATAAACCACAGAGACATTTTAATAACATCTTTCTAAGAAAGGAATTTGGGTTCTTAGGTTTTTTTCCCCTGAGGGAGATTGGTTTAATTGACTCACAGTAATAACGGCTTGATTCATGAAGAATTTTTTTTTAATTTGCACTATATTTTAAACCGGTTTTGCTAATGGCTACCACCCCCACTTGCCCAGCTTTAAATAACATAACCTAGCCAAGTGATTTTTTAAAAGTGGTTTTATTTATTTTATGTTTGTGAGGAAGATCGGTAGGTAATGTGGGGGTTTCTTCCGATCAGTAAGTAGTGTAATGCTAACTGCCTTCAATATCAAGTAGGATAGTGCTTTTACCTATGGGAAGAAATATATATGTATGTGTATGTGTGTGTTTATGTACGATCCCATATTTATATGTATATAATATATATACTATATTTCACATATGTGTGTATATATATCATCCCAAACGCTTTGATGTTTAACCTAAGAGTGAAATAGGGAATTCTGGGTTTAGGGGTACAGTTCATAAATACATATGTACAAGAATGAACTCTGTAACATTGATTTTAATAAAGAGTTACTCTTGGCCAGGCACTGTGGCTCACGCCTGTAATCCCAGCACTTTGAGAGGCCCAGGTGGGTGGATCACGAGGCCAAGAGATCAAGACTATCTTGGCCAACATGGGGAAACCTCGTCTCTCTGAAAAATACAAAAATTAGCTGGGCGTGGTGGCGCATGCCTGTAATCCCAGCTACTTGGGGGGCTGAGGCACGAGAAGCACTTGAACCCAGGAGACAGAGGTTGCAGTGAGCCAAGATTGTGCCACTGCACTCCAGCTTGGTGACAGAACAAGACTCTGTCTTGAAAAAAAAAAAAAGTGACTCTTAACAACTCAAATATTAATTAAATATAGGTTAGTTAAACTATTATTCAGACTTATAGCAAAATACTATACAGTTAAAAAAATTAAAGGTGAATTTACATGTATGGACATAAAAAGACAATCCAAATCTATCAATAAGTGACAACCATATTGCAGCACAGTTCTATGTCTATGTTCCTGTATCAGTATACATAGAGAAGAAAGCTAGAAGCTCATGCATCATACTCTTCTTAGTAGTTCTCCCTGGGGATGGGACTTTCATTTTCTATATATTTTCTGTTATATGCAAATTGGTTGCAACTTTATATTACCATTAGAATCATTAAAAAATTTAAAGGGAAAACAATATGTAAGTAAGCTGCCCATTGACATGTACACTCCTCTCTCAATGCCTTTTTTTTGTTGTTGTTGTTGAGACAGAGTCTTGCTCCATTGCCCAGGCTAGAGTGCAGTGGCGCAATCTTGGTTCACTGCAACCTCTGCCTCCTGGGTTTAAGCAATTCACCTGCCTCTACCTCCCAAGTAGCTGGGACTACAGGAGCCCACCACCATGCCCAGCTAATTTTTGTATTTTTAGTAGAGATTAGGTTTCACCATGTTGGCCAGGCTGGTCTCAGACATCCTGACCTCAAGCGATCCACCCACCTAGGCCTCCCAAAGTGCTGGGATTACAGGCATGAGCCACCGCACCTGGCCTCTCAATGTCTTAAGTTAAGCATTAGGGCACAGTTTGGCAGGATGCCATTTGTCTTATTTCAGAGAACTAATTATGTTTTTAATTTTTATAAGGTGTCTAACACATGTATCACTCAGAGTAATATGATGATGATGATGATGATGATGACTGACAGGAATGAACACATTCTATCAAAGAGGAGTCAGGATAGGAAACTTTGATTGATAAAATCTGGTTTATGTTTAATCTTCAGCAGTACCAAATATTTCATGACTCATAACTCCAACTAACACAATTTTTTATTTATTAATGAATACAAAAAAAGGGGTAGAGGAGCTGTTAGAAACTTCTATGATGATGTGAAATAAGATAATACTTAACCACTTCACATAGTGTTTCAAGGTCAATTAATATCTGTTGCCTTATTGTAGGCATTATCCTAGGCACTTTAAATCATAAGGTTTTGTGTTTTTAATGTATTCCACAAATGGAAAAGAATAGATTGCATTCAGAAAAGTCCAACCTGGGCCAGGCATGGTGGCTGACACCTATAATCCCAGCACTTTCAGAGGCCAAGGCAGACAGATAGTTTGAACCCAGGAGTCAACACCAGCCTGGACAACACGGGGAGACCCTGTCTCTACAGAAAAATATTTAAAGAATTAGCAGGGCATGGTGGCATGCTCCTGTAGTCCCACCTACTCAGGAGGCTGAGGTAGGAGGATCACCTGAGCCTGGGGACATTGAGATTGCAGTGAGCCGTGATACTGAAGCAGCATCATTGTTTGGGGTAAATACCCGGGGTTTGTTTTCTTGTGCCAAGAAGATCAGGGACACTAGAAATATATGGGTGGGTTAAGAAGCAAAAAGTTTAATAGGCAGAAGAAAGGAGAGAGGAAAGCAGCTCTCTCTCTCTCTCTCTTGCGACAGAGAGGCTTCCAAAAGGAGAAAGTCCGTCTGTGGTGGACCATAGATTTTATAGGCAGGCTTGAGGAGGTGGTGTCTGATTTACGTAGGGCCCACAGATAGGTTCAACCAGCTGTGATGTTTACGTAGCGCATGGGGAAGGCTGCCCACCCCACCCTAATCTTATTATGCAAATGGACTTTCCACTTGGCCAGTGCAGTCTTCTCTGCTCCTTACTGTACACGTGGCTGTCAAGGAGAAGAGAAGAAGGAGCTGCCATTTTGAACATGTCTAGTCCCAGGTAGCTTATTCCTACTGGCACAGCTGCCGGCATTCGCCTGCACAAGCTTCCAGCTTGCTTGTCTATGTCTGCAGCTCGATTTTACAGTCTGCTCTTTGTTAGAAAAGAAAATGATTTGGGGGCTGCTTTTCATTAAAAGGAAAACCTTACCGAGGACTTCCGTACCCTCACTATCTGCCTAAGTAATTTCTTCTTAACAACTCCTGTATCAGCGCCACTGCAACTCCAGCTTGGACAACAGGCTGGAGACCCTGTCTCCAAAAATGAAAAAACAAAACAAGAGTCCAATATGGAAGTCAGTCAGGGGGCCTGAATTCTTAGACTCAAATGTGCTTCTGACAGACACGCTGGGTGAGTCTGGTCAACCCACTTACCCTCTCTGGGTTTCAATTTTCTCATTAGACTGCCTTTTGTCTACATTTTCTTCCACTGAGTCTATTTGACACCACAGGTAATAAGTGTGAACTGCCTGTATTGGTTTTTGTTGTTGTTGTTGTTGTTTTGAGACGGAGTCTCGCTCTGCCGCCCAGGCTGGAGTGCAGTCGTGCGATCTCGGCTCGCTGCAAGCTCTGCCTCCCGGGTTCACGCCATTCTCCTGCTTCAGCCTCCCGAGTAGCTGGGATTATAGGCACCCGCCATCACGCCCGGCTAATTTTTTTGTAATTTTAGTAGAGACGGGGTTTCACTAGTTAGCCAGGATGGTCTCGATCTCCTGACCTCGTGATCCGCCCTCCTCGGCCTCCCAAAGTGCTGGGATTACAGGCGTGAGCCACCGTGCCGGGCCAACTGCCTGTATTGTTGACTGCTGTACCTCCAGCAACTAGAATGAGGTTTAGTACATAGAAGATGTTTAATTCTGTTGAAAGGGCAAATTCCTTAGTGGTGTGCTCTGAGGTTTTATATGTGTGGCTTTTGCTTTTAGCATAACTTTGAGTAACAGTGGAGAGGAGAAAATAAAGATCAGGATCAGTTTCTTGGACAAGAGAACGTCCTTGCCTAAAAACCAAAACCAAACAGTTCAAAAAAAAAAAAACTATTGCAAAGCCCTCACTGGGTCTTGTTCTGCTTCAGAAATCTTGCAAGCCCTGCAGTGCGCCTGCTGGGAAGGTTATACAAAGCAGAGCCCACTCACAGAGGCCCAGAGTCGAATCATTGGCCCCCTCCCCCTTTGCATTCCTTGCCTTCCTCTTTTACTGTCGCTGAAACCTGCCCTATAAATCAGATTTAATTATCTATAAAATTTGGTGTAGAAAAGGATTTACTCATTAAAAATGTTCATCAACTTGCTACCCACGTTCCAGACTAATAGAAGCGGAAAAGGAACACCATGGAAACACCAGACGGGCTGGAGAGATAAGCAAGCTTTGAAATACCTGAACCTCGGTTAAATAGCAAGTTCCAGTTTCTGTATTTGCCTTCTAAAATATCATGTCAGGAATAAGTAAATGTCACCAAATAATCAACCTGTTTCGCTATCTTTTCTTTTTTGGTTACTTGCTTCAACAGGTTTTTAAAAATGGGTTTTCTTAGTTTACCTCCTTTGCCTGTGTGATACCCAAGATATTCTCCCCAGTGGTGTGTGTGTTTGCAAAATGTCATAATCCTCTCTACAGCCAAACACAACGGCTCGCATTTAGTCACAGAGTGAGGAGCAGTTAATTAATGAGAGCCAAGGGAGGCAGTGAGGAAACATTGGAGAAAAACGTAGCCAGAGGAAGATCAGAGGGGAAATGTCTGAAGTCAGTCCAAGATAAATCTTCAGTCCTTAGGGAAAGCCCTGGGGTAGATGATGTGGGCTGCCAACCAAGTTGGATTTTGTGTGTGTATGTGTGTGTGTGTGTGTGTGTGTAGCAGGGGGAGCAGTTGTTTGTTCTTTTTGTTTGTTTGTTAAAGTGTGGAAGCAGGGACTGTAGGAACTTGGGGAGAAAGAATGTTAGAGTAGCTTCAACAAGGCAAAGCTTCTATCTAAAATTGCACATTAATTTCCATGAAACTCTTCATTCGTGAAAAGGCAAAGATCTAAAACTTTTTCTCCTTTCTAGCACATGACAGGATTTTTGTCGTGACTTTCCTAAATTCTCACTGTGCCAAGCAAGCAAGAAAGTGCCCACAGGAGTGGGAGGGAAAAGACACATGGGATGGCAGCAAGGAAACCTGCCTAGAGGAGCCAGCCATCCCGTCTGTCCCCTCACTTCCTTCCAGAGAGAACGTCTTTCCTTGACAGCGCCTGCCTCCTGTCATTTCATCCCAACACTTTGCCCAGCCCGGGAAATCTGGATTTTCTTTTTAAAGAAAGATGTCTAGAGAGAAAAATAGAAAATGAACAGCCAATAGAAAGTGCAACAGAGCTTGTTGATTTGGTTCTGTCAGATGCCCCAAGTGTTCGTGGTAAGGCCCATTTTTTATTTCTAGAGACTTGTTTCATTTCACTTGCTGTATTCTTCTTTCTTCTGTGTGCCTTACTGTATATGTTCTTTTGTTGTTTGTCCCTAGGACCTCTTTCTGAGCCTTCCATTCGTGATTTATCTAATCTCATGAATTCACCAAAACTGACCCAAATTAGGGGTTGTGCATGTTTTAACTAAGTTTGGGGAAAACAGGTTGCTCCAATTGCTATCCAGTCATTAATAGGATGGGTTCTTGTTCTCAGCTCACATAAGATCTTTGAAGACTCATGCTCTTAGCTGGGCGCAGTGGCTCACTACTATAATCCCAGCACTTTGGGAGGCTGAGGCGGGTGGATCACTTGAGGTCAGGAGTTCGAGACCAGCCTGGCCAACATGGTGAAATCTCATCTCTACTAAAAATACAAAAAAAAAATTAGCCAGGCATGGCAGTACATGCTTGTAATCCCAGCTACTCGGGAGGTTGAGGCACGAGAATCACTTGAACTCAGGAGGCAGAGGTTGCAATGAGCCAGTGAGCCAAGATCACACTACTGCACTCCAGCCTGGGCAACAGAGTGAGACTCAAGAAAGCCAAAAAAAAAAAAAAAAAAGACACATTCTTGACCATACAACTGTAAGATTTCACAGATACACCACCCAGACTGATGGTCTGACTGAGTAAGGAGGCTTGGTCTTGGCCCAGTGTTTGCCCCAGGAGACTGTGGGGTTAAAAAAAAATAAATTATATGATAGGTTGTGCTTTGTGATATTCCCCCTGAGCCATTGTTTTGTTAATACACAGCAACTATTTACATATATGACTCACCTAGACTGAGCAGCTCATAGACAGGCATCTTGTCTTATTCACAAACTCTAAGACAGTGCCTAGCCTGTAGAGGGATTTCAATAATTTTAAATGAACGAATAAACAAATAGCCTTTTCAATGTTAGAGCTACAGAACCATCTGATTCAAACACAAAAGCAAAAATTTTTAAACCTGTAGCAGTTTGACCTTTTGAGTTTACCCTTTTACTAAGACTATAAGACACCATGAGCGATGGCCCTGGTATTTTCCATGAGCACTGTGCTCTCTATCTCTTGCTGTTCCTATTTTGTCATTATCCTTGCTCCTAATCCAAATAACCATAAGAATACACCTACTCAAATCACTATGCTGTCAGTAAAGAGAATCTGTGGCTTTCATTCAAATGAATAACTACTGAATCTGAAATTCTGTGCCACTGAACTTTTACTGGCAGTGTGAGTGCATGTATTGGGAGTGGGGGTGGAGCAAAGAGTTGCAAATGAGGGAAAGGAGGAGTGTGAGAAGAAGGGAAGCAAAGAGGATGGAAACGTCTTGTTGTTCATTCAATCACGATTCATCATTTACTTACTCTAAGCCAAGTAATGGGCTATGTTCTTGCCAAATAATGGTAAACAGGACATAGTCCCTCTTCTCAAAGAACCTAAAATCTACTAGGGGCTGCTGTATATCAACCTGATAGCCTTACTGATTTCACTGCCCCAAAAATTATACTATGTAAGTGATTGTTAGGCCTTGGGCTCTTCTAGTGTGGAGGGTAACTGATAATGGATGAAACCTCCCAGAACTTGAACTATGAGCTATTAGCTTATGCATTGTTGAGCACTATGGTCACTCTTCCATGCCAATAGGCTTGCTGCCACTGCCCAAGTGAATACCAAATATACTCCACAGGAAGTGGGGGAATCTAATGAAATCTAATACGGGGTCAGCTAGAAACAGTAAGCAGCCATCCTTGTCTTTCCAAATTATGCATATACAGCAGTTGTCATGCATAGGCAGAAAGGCCTGACACCTCTGAAGAAGCCTAAAGCCCATCCTGTCCTAGAAAATACCCTCAAACCAGCCACAAAATTCTTTTTCTTTTTCCTTTTCCCTTTTTTATTTTTTAAACTAGGGATGGAGTCTCACTGTGTTACTCAGGCTGGTCTCAAACTCCTGGGATCAAGTGATGCTCCCTTGAGTCTCCTGAGTAGCTGGATCTAAAAGCGAGTGCCACCATGCCCTGCCAACTACAAAATTCTTAATGACCCCCCGAGAAAGCCATTTTCGCCAGATTAAGTCATCAGATGCTTGGAAATTAAAAAAAAAAAATCCATGATCAAATCTTACTCATTATCAGGAATTAATGTATTTAATTAATCCATTACCCTCTCCCCTCTCTCCTCTTAACCCCTGCCTTTATCCCCACCCATTCCCACCTCTGTCTCTGCTCCAGTAGCTGTAAATCCAAGACTGGGAAGTGGAGTGGGATGGCAGTGATTAATCCCTTATTGGGGAAGAACATCTGTTTTGTTCAGAAGGCTTACAGGTATCTCAGAGGGGAGCCTTGCTTTGGTTGTGGGGATCTGGAAAGAAAACATAAAGAAAGGAAAAGAAATACTGAAAACAATTTTTCCCCACATCACAATTTTGTGAGCTACCTGATCTGCAAGCAATAACTCTTCTCCTACTCAAATCTCAACTTTGGTTCAGAGCTTGCTAGAGTGTCTGCTACAGACACAAAACCCCCATTAAGATGCTTGACAATCTAACCCATGCCATTTTTCTCTCAGAAGCAGCTATACTAAGTGACATTCAAACGTTGGTAATGAGGAGACATCTGCATATACACTGGTTTTGAAACATCAAGCACTGGAGAAGTTATGAGCTGTCAATCACTTTAGCTGTCCTCCACCCTGTGTTTATTCAGAAATAATTTTCAAGGCTGCAGAAAGTGTTGTTACTAACTGATGAGCAAGTTTGAACACTGAAAATGAAGAATGATTGATGTTCTTTTAGGTAAGCTGGAAAACTCTCCATCCACTAGAGGCAGCCACAGCTCGGGATGCTGATAAAGTTCTGACACAGGGAGTGAGTGATGAGTGGTGTGTAAAAGTTCTGACACAGGGAGTGAGTGATGAGTGGTGTGTAACGTGCTGAAAACAGGAAGCTCTGACAACAATGTGAAGAGGAACCTTCTGAACACAAATTCTATGGCTCCAAATAAGCAAGTTAATAGTCCTGATATCTTGACTTGATCTACAGAAGAAACCCCACTCAGGATAACTTTTACTTTTCTGGTGGAAGAGACAATAAGAATAAAGACTCACTAAACGGTAATAAAATCCTCTTTGACTTACTAATTGGTTGGTAATTTTGAAATTTTCTAATCTGAATGTTTAACTCCAAATAGTTTTCATCCTGTCATATGTTACAGTATTAACAGTTATAGAAAAAGAACAGGAATTATTAGAAACATTAAAACTATTCAAATCTAGGAAATGTGGATCTTAGGATTTGTGTCAGGAAACCAACAACCTTAGGATGTGCCCCACAGTTGGCTTTCCTGAACCGTGATCCCAGAATGCAAGAAGTCAACCCAATACAAATCCATGCTTTCTGACAATGGCAGAAAATTTTTTGGCCATTGTCCATTGACTGACTCACAAGCTGTGACAATGTCCCACCATTACACTCCACCGACTCCCCCGCAAGGCTGTCACCTGTCTTTACCTGCAGCAGCTGCATATATGCACACATTTAATAACACTTAGTGGGGGCATGTTCTGTTCTAGAAACGGTGCCTGCTCCAAAGATACGGTGGTGAACAAAATAAAAATGCTCCCTGTCTCTATGGAACTCAGAGTCTAGCAGAAGACAAAGACACAATGTGAAATACACATTTCAATAAGTGCTATGAAAGATAGGTTGTACAGTGATATGAAAGGGAATAACAAAGGGATGCAAAAGAGTTATGAAAGGCCTCTCTGAGGAAGTCATGTTTAAGCTGAAAGGTGAAGGTTGCCTATAAGAAGGTCAGGCAAAAGACAGGGTGTGTGAGTGGGGAAACATTCTAGGCAGAGGTAACAGCATATGCAAGACCCCATGGAAGATTAGAAAAAGGAAACAGCACCAAGATATGACCTATTTTCCTTAGATGACTGAGGGAATTCAAATTCAATGAATACCTTCTTTATCTTAAAAGCTAAAGCCTTTACATTTATTATAAATAGGGATTTCTATAAATCCTGTCAACTCCCACTTATCCTGTATTCTCAATCCTGTATTTATTCACCAACATCTTTGAGCTGTTTTCTCTGGCCTTATCCTTATTCTTTCTAAGGTATATCTATCTTTTTTAGCAACCCCGATAATTAGATAGGATAATCTGTTGAGATATTAATTTGTGATTTGTATTTCTGATTTGTGCTATAGAAGACTTGAAGGATTAGAAGGGACTTTCCTCCTACTTCCTTCACTGGAAAGACAACCAGGCCTTTATCTTCTAAGATCTTTTTTCTATTTTCAAGCAATTAACAGTTTATTTTTGTATCAGAACATCCTGTCCCATCCCTCAAGATCTGTTGCGCAAAATGTAGGCCCATCGGGAGGAAGAAAGTTGAGGAGAGGGGTGATTTGCCTTGCTGGCAACTTATTGACATGTCTTTGCCATGCTCCTACTCAGGAAATTAGATCCCATGACCTATAAAATTCAGTCAAAACTGCAGCTAAACTCACACCCTCTGCTATATTGGACCTGAAGTCTCTGCAGCCATTCTCCTCTATTGCCACATTCATCCCCCGTACCAAGTCGTACCCCATCAATTCTGCCTGTCCCATAATTCATCTCAAGCTTATTTTCTTCTATGCTGTTTCCCTTTCCCACTTTTTAATTTCACCCTTATTTTAATCTCTCATTTTCCTGTTGTTTCATAGTGAAACCACTTTGCAAAATTATAACTGAGGAAACTATGACAGTGAAAGACATCAGACCTAACTGATTCCATCTTGCTTCTAACGTTTAAGCTGTCCTTGTTCTTTCCTGGGCATAGGCCAAACTAACTTTGGGAAGGAATTCAGTTCATGGTTTGACTCTGAAACAAATTGGAACCAGCCCTTTCCTGAAAAACCCCGTTTCTTCCTTGGAGACCAGTCTGCCTTTGCAGGACTAACAACTTAGCTACAACATTAGAAATCACAGTTTAGGGGTCATGCAGTCTCTGGTTCCAAGAGTTTGAACCTCCCGAAATTGCTCCTGGGGATAATATCGGTATTGTGAAACCTAAGATCAGTGCTTAAGACCCTGCACTGGATGGATCAGCTGACACCACCCAGAGTGGTAATCTGGCTCAACCAGTTCTGCCATCCCTCCCAAGAACAGAAAACAGCAAAAAACAAACAAACAAACAAACAAACAAAAAAAACTCACTTCGACTCCCACTGCCCCCCATGATTCCATCTCCAACCTGACCAATCAGCACTCCCCACTTCCCAAGCCCCTACCTGCCAAATTATCTTTAAAAACACTTATCATCAAATGGCTCAGGGAGAATGATTTGAGTAATAATAAAACTCTGGTCTCCCGCACAGCTGGCTCTTCCTGATTTACTCTTTCTCCATTGCAATTCCCCTGTCTTGATAAATCGGCTCTGTCTAGGCTGCGGGCAAGGTGAACCCATTGGGCGGTTACAATGGTACTTATTGCCTATACCATGCATGTAGTTATTAATTACATCCTCTTGTGTATAAAACAATTAGAGAACAATGTATGCACTTTTTCTCCTTAACTAATTTGTAGAATGCTTAATTACAGAGATGAATTCTTACACTCCCTTGAATCTCTTCCAATTCCTAGTGCAAAGCTGAATCTGTGGCAAGCGCTCAAAAATAAAGAATTTAAATCAAATAAAATCATTTGGCATCCAGTCTATGTGCAATGCCATGCTGGATGCTATGAAGATTTGTAAAGGACATATCAGCCTGCCCAACTCCTTCTCCTCTCTCCAGCCTCAGTTTACATAGACTAGTTTTCTCTTGGTAGCTTCCCAACTCTAAGCACAGATTAGATGTTCCTCCTACATGTCACTAAAGTAACCTGTACTCCCCATAATACATCACTTTACATAGTGAGACACTTCATGCAAAAGCTCATTTATTCATCTTTTCCTCCAGGCTAATCTCCACGAGAATGTAGGGCCACATTTGACTTATTCATCATTTACACCAGTGCCTGGCTGTCCCATGGTAGACACTCAGGAAATATTTGTTGAATAAATAAATGAAAAATTTACTGACCTCAAGGCATAAATGATCTAGTTATTGAAACAGAAGAAATGTTTAAATACTTATGTGATGCATATGTATACTAATTATATATGTTCATGTTTACTAATGCATCTGTATAATCATTCATCTCTAAGGCTAACTATTGCAGTTTCAACATACTTTTGGTATGGTAAGAGCTCCTCATAATGGCAGTTAGCTTGGTAATTGATAAGCTGTGTGGCTGAAAACAGTAATTATTAACACAATATTCAAATTTGTAGATTCACCCTAGGTAATAGCAGATCACAAAACTTAGCCAGGTGTTTCCCTCAGGCCCTCACACACTCACCTTTCATTATTCTTGTCTTCTTGACCATTCTTTATTCCTCATTAAGGCCACCTCACAAATGAAACTCACCCTTGAGTTAGGTAAAAACGCTCATAAGCATAATTTTCATCCCTGTGTTTCTGTGAGTCCAAAGAGTTTTGTAAAGACTGAATTAAGTGGAGAAGGTTTTATGAGCCACCATAATCTTTTCTCTACTTCTACTCCAGGCTACATTAAAATCTACATTCCAAAAGCATAAGTACTGAATGTAGTTTAAAATATTTCCTGTATAAGCAAGCCCTCTCACCATTTAACTCTAACTCTAAGACACTCCCTCATTTATGCCTGGATTATAGATGTCAACCATTGAATATTGCCTGATATTTTCTGTCTATCAAGAGTGGATTATCACTTGAAATGTATTAATTCCCTCCTTGGGGTTTCAAGGTTAGATAGAAGATTTGAGTGGCATAGCATTGTATTCATTTATTCTTTTATTGAGCAAATATTTAAGGAACTGCTACTATGTGCCAGGCACTGTACTAACAACCAAGAATTTAACAGTGGGCAAAAAAATCCCACATTTTCTTCCCAAAGTTTTTACTTTAAAGCAGAGAGACAGAAATCCATTTTCTCTTGGCCTAGGATCTTTTACACAGTTGCTTAAGTTCCTCAGTATCTGATATGGTTTGGCTGTGTCCCCACCCAAATCTTATCTTGAATTCCCACGTGTTGTGGGAGGGACCTGGTGAAAGGTAATTGAATAATGGGGGCAGGTCTTCCCATGCTCTTCACGTGATAGTGAATACGTCTCATGAGATCTAATGGTTTTTAAAACAGGAGTTTCCCTACATAAGCTCTCTCTTTGCCTGCTGCCATCCACATAAGATGTGACTTGCTCCTCCTTGCCTTTCACCATGATTGTGAGGCCTCCCCAGCCATGTGGAACTGTAAGTCCAATTAAAGCTCTTTCTTTTGTTAATTGCCTAGTCTTGGGTGTGTTTTTATCAGCAGTGTGAAAACAGGCTAGTACAGTAAATTGGTACCAGGAGTGGGGTGCAGCTGAAATGCATCTGAAAATGCAGAAGCGACTTTAGAACTGGGTAACAGGCAGAGGTTGGAACAATTTGGAGGGCTCAAAATAAGATAGCAAAATGTGGGAAAGTTTGGAACTCTCTAGAGACTTGTTGAATGGCTATGATCAAAATGCTGATGATGATATGGACAATGAAATACAGGCTGAGTTGATCTCAGTTGGAGATGAGGAACTTGTTGGGAATTGGAGCAAACGTGACTCTTGTTATGCTTTAGCAAAGAGACTGGCAGCATTTTGCCCCTGCCCTAGAGATTTGTGGAACTTTGAACTTGAGAGAGATGATTTAGGGTATCTGGCAGAAGAAATTTCTAAGCAGCAAACCATTCAAGAGGTAACTTGGGTGCTGTTAAAGGCATTCAGTTGTATAAAGGAAGCAGAGCATAGCAGTTCAGAAAATTTGCAGCCTGACAATGTGATAGAAAAGAAAAACCCACTTTCTGAGGAGAAATTCAAGCCAGCTGCATAAATTTGCATAAATAAAGGGGAGTCAAATGTTAATACCGAAGACAATGGGGAAAATGTCTCCAGGACATGTCAGAGGTCTTCACAGAAGCCCCTCCCATCAGAGGCCTGGAGGCCTATGAGAAAATGGTTTTGTGGGTCAGGCCCAGGGTCCCCATGCTGTGTGCAGCCTAGGGACTTTGTGCCCTGCATCTCAGCTGCTCCAGCTGTGGCTGAAAGGAGCCAGTGTAGAGTTCAGGCCATGGTTTCAGAGGGTGTAAGCCCCAAACCTTGGCAGTTTCCACATGGTGTTGACCCTGTGAGTACATAAAATTCAAGAATTGGGGTTTGCATTGTGGAAGTCAGTGTGGCGATTCCTCAGGGATCTAGAACTGGAAATACCATTTGACCCAGCCATCCCATTACTGGGTATATACCCAAAGGACTATAAATCATGCTGCTATAAAGACACATGCACATGTATGTTTATTGCGGCATTATTCACAATAGCAAAGACTTGGAACCAACCCAAATGTCCAACAATAATAGACTGGATTAAGAAAATGTGGCACATATACACCATGGAATACTATGCAGCCATAAAAAATGATGAGTTCATGTCCTTTGTAGGGACATGGATGAAATTGGAAAACATCATTCTCAGTAAACTATCGCAAGAACAAAAAACCAAACACCGCATATTTTCACTCATAGGTGGGAATTGAACAATGAGATCACATGGACACAGGAAGGGGAACATCACACTCTGGGGACTGTTGTAGGGTGGGGTGAGGGGGGAGGGATAGCATTGGGAGATATACCTAATGGTAAATGACGAGTTAGTGGGTGCAGTGCACCAGCATGGCACATGTATACATATGTAACTAACCTGCACAATGTGCACATGTACCCTAAAACTTAAAGTATAATAATAAAAAAAAAAAAGAATTGGGGTTTGGGAACCTCTGCCTGGATTTCAGAAGATGTATGGAAATGCCTGGATTCCCAGGGAGAAGTTTGCTGAAGGGGTGGGGCACTCATGGATAACCTCTGCTAGGGAAGTACAGAAGGCAAATGTGGGGTTGAAGCTCCCACACAAAGTCCCCACTGGGGTGATCCCTTGTGGAGCTGTGAGAAGAGGACCATCATCCTCCAGACCCCAGAATGGTATATCCACCAAAAGCTTGCACCGTGCACCTGGAAAAGTTGCAGATGCTCAACACCAGCCTGTGAAACCAGCTAGGAGGGAGGCTGTACCCTGCAAAGCCACAGGGGTGGAGCTGCCTAAGACCATGGGAACCCACCTCTTGCATCAGCATGATCTGGATATGAGACATGGAGTCAAAGGAGATCATTTTGAGGCTTTAAGATTTGACTGCCCTGCTGGATTTTGGACTTGCATGGGGCCTGTAGACCCTTTGTTTTGGCCAATTTCTCCCATTTGGAATGGCTGTATTTACCCAATGCCTGTATCCCCATTGTACCTAGGAAGTAACTAACCTGCTTTTGATTTTACAGGCTCATAGGCAGAAGGGAATTTCCTTGTCTCAGATGAGACTTTGGACTGTGGACTTTTGAGTTAATGCTGAAATGAGTTAAGACTTTGGGGTACTGTTGGGAAGGCATGATTGTGTTTTGAAATATAAGGATGTGAGATTTGGGAAGGGCAACGGGTGGAATGATATGGTTTGGCTGTGAACCCACCCACACCTCATCTCGAACTCCCACTATTGTGGGAGGGACCTGGTGTGAGGTAATTGAATCATGGGGGTAGGTATTGCCTGTGCTGTTCTCATGATAGTGAATAAGTCACATGAGATATGATGGTCTTTAAAATGGGAGTTTTCCCACACAAGTTCTCTCTTTGCCTGCCGCCATCCACGTAAGATGTGACTTGCTCCTCCTTGCCTTTCACCATGATTGTGAGGCCTCCCCAGCCATGTGGAACTGTAAGTCTAATTAAACCTCTTCCTTTTGTAAATTGCCCAGTCTCGGATACGTTTTTTTCAGCAGCATGAAAACAGATGAATACAATATCTAAATAATTATGAATGTGAATGTGAGGCTTCAGGTACCAAATGAAATGTTATCATTATTTCTGAATTTCTCTAGCTTACTTTCTGTATCATTAGTTTGGAATATCTTTCACACACTGTTAGTCATAATTTCTATATCTGTTTTATTTATCTGAAGAGATTATAAACTCCTGGAGGACAGCAGCCTCATTGTGTCATGAAAAGCCTTTCAGGCAAGAGGAAAATGCTTCTTATTTTGAAGTTTTTATTTAGGACTTCTTTTCAGGAGCCATTCTGAAGATGCCTACTGCAACTGTAATACATCAAGAGGGGTTCATTCTGATTGAATGAATTATTTTTTATGAACTATAAAAATAAAAATGGGGAGGCTTATTTCCAACTGATCTTATTAAATTCCATTCTCAGACTTTCAAAATGTTTCAACATTAAATGGAAAAGATCTATACATTTTGGTGAGTATCAATGAAGAATCATCTAAAAGAAAATATAAAATAAGGAGTACTCATAGTCCAGTGGAAAGACTTCAGGATCATGATAGGGGAAATGTGTAAGCCGGAGATCAGACCCCAGAGATTTTATTTGTTCATTCAGCAAGATGGTCTGCTTGGACCAGACTTCAGGGAAGATCAAGATGAGGTCTCTGCCCTCGCACAACTAACAGTTTAGTGAGTTGCCAATATAGCAACGCTACCTCAACGGATGCACACGCCATGGCAGTAATGACACAGAGCAAGTGCTCTAGACCTTCAACACCTGGGACATTTCATATCCAACCTATTGAAGAAGGGGTGGTTTTTAACAACTACATCATAGAGAATATTCCAAGCCATTCCTTGATTGGGAAACAAGTGCTCTCAGCTGTAAAGAAGGATGAATTAATTATTTATGGTTAAAACTAGTCCATCCAAAAGGTCAGTTTTACTGATTGTTCTCTCTTTTGTTGAGGAAGAATTGTTAAAATATTATTGTGACATACAAATATTTTAAACTATGGTTTTTAAACTGTGCTCCTAGGATCCCTAAATTTTTCAGATGTGCCTCCGGGGACCCTGTGTGGTAGCAGGTTAGGGTTACGAAGAGGTCTACCCTAGTCTTGCCACCCCTTCTTCAACTTAAGAAGCTCCATTTAATGTTTTAGGATTATGGGGTGGGGGGGGCTTAATTTTACAGTTTAATATGAAATGGGTTTTCTTTGGTGGTGGGGGGACTCTGCAGCTTTTTTACAGTGTATAAACTAGTGGTTTAAAAAATGGAAAAGTCAGATATAAGCACGTGTTTTACCTATTTCTATTTGAGAAGCATATTGAATTTCGATGACGTACAGCACAGGATGCACGGGGAAGTTTTCTGTTTTTTGTTTTTTTGGCCTTCATTTACGCAAGTTAGTGTCATGAAGATTACTTCTCTAGTAGGTCAGGGTGCTAAATGATACTGTGGAATAAACATTTAGGAAATGCAAAGCTACTTGTCAAAGTAACTTAATATCATTACTTAGTTTTCTCCAGGAAGATCCAATGGAACTGGACATCACTGTCAAATACCATTTCCTAGCACTGGCAGTAGAGCCCATATTGAAGTAAAACATATACCAATTTTGACAGGAAGCCTACATATATAGAGTGTTTATGTAAGATAAAGATGTGTTCATTTCCAAAGGTAGTTTAAAATTCAACCAAACTAAAATACCATATGATATGGTTTGGATCTGTGTCCCCACCCAAATCTCATCTTGAATTGTACCCCCATAATTCCCACGTGTTGTGGGAGGGACCCGGTGGAAGATAATTTGAATCATGGGGGTGGTTTCCCCATACTGTTCTCATGATAGTGAGTAAGTCTCATCAGATCTGATGGTTTTATCAGGGGTTTCCGCTTTTGCATCTTTCTCATTTTCTCTTGCCACAGTCACGTTAGAAGTGCCTCTCACCTCCCGCCATGATTCCAAGGCCTCCCCAACCATGTGGAACTGTAAGTCCAATTAAACCTCTTTTTCTTCCCAGTCTCAGGTATGTCTTTTTCAGCAGCATGAAAATGGAATAATACACAGTACTATTCATTATTTCAATTCTTTTAAAATTATTACTATTTTATTTTTTTAATTGGCAGATAAAATTTTATGTATTCATTCACACACAACATGATGTTTTGAAGTATACATACATTGTGGATTAATTAATTTTAGCTAATCAACTTATGGATTACCTCACATAGTTATGATTTTTGTGGTAAGAACAGTTAGCATCCACTCTCAAATATATCAGACACAGAAAGTTAAATACTGCATGCTGTCACTTATAAGTGGAAACAATAGTGTGTAAACATGGACATAGAAAGTAGAATAATAGACACTGGAGATTCAGAAAGGTGGGAAGGTGGGACGGGGGTGAGGAATGAGAAGTTACATAATGGATACAATGTTCACTATTTTTCTGTGTGTCCAATCTTTTCACTTCCTGGGTCACACTGGAGGAAGAGGAAGCATTGTCTTGGGCCCCACATAAAATACACTAACACTAACAATAGCCGATGAGCTAAAAAAAAAAAAAAAAATCTCCAAAAAAGAATTTCATAATGTTGTTGACGAACTTCTGCTGGCCCACATTCAAAACCATCCTGGGCCACATGTAGCCTGCGGGCTGAGGGTTGGACAAGCTCAATTTAGATGATGTTTACACCAAAAGCCCAGACTTCATCATTATGCACTATATCCATGTAACAAACTGCACTTATACCCCTGAAAGCTATAAAAATAAGAAATAAAATTTTAAAATCCACTCTCTTAGCATTTTTCAAAAATACAATATATCGCTCTTAACTATAGTCACCATGTCGTACATTATTTAAATTCTCTCATGCATTTTTACTCCCTTCCAGTGCCCACTGTGAACTATTGCTACAGGGGAATTTAGATGTGTAATTGCCATTAACAATATGACAGAAATAGCAACTGTGTAACTAATTCCCCACATTGTATGTATCTTCTGCTCACACTACATAGAACATTTTTCCTCATGATTCTGAAAGTAAGTAAGCAGCACACCACCCCCTTGAAAAGTGGAGCAAATTCAGAAATTCTTGTGATTGTGTTGGGTCAAGTCTTGGTCATTATGTGTGCTGTGTGCCGTGTGCTGCGTGCTGTGTGCTGGAGTCATTATCTTTACGTACACGCAGGATACTAATGCTGACATCTAATTATCGTTATAAAACTGATTAACTCTCAATAAGGTCAGCATAAAGCAGAGAAATACATCTTTATGCAATCTATTAGGTCATTTGTTTAATAAATTAAAATACTTAAGGAAGGAAAATCAGTCTGGCATTTTCTTCAGTCAATTCTCTTTGGCAGATGACTGAATTGCAGAGAAATTCAAAGAGTGGAGGCAACACTACATTAAAAGCTCCATAATCAAAACAGAGAGCATAAAAACACTTGAGCATTGTCTAATGGACAATTTATCATCCAAACAGATGCATTCATTAAGGGAAAAATTACCTTCAAATATCAGTAAAATAAATTGGGCCTATTCTGATTTCTTGTTTTTGCAGCAAGAGTGTTCCAAACTATGGAAACAAGTATATAAAAGACGCTTCAGTGCAGGAGCAGGACATTTTGGGCATTTAAGTTTATTGTGCAAAGCTGTTTGAACTGCTTGAAGATGGTAAATCAAGCAAATATGGAACATTCCAACTGATAATGTCTTTCTGGGCCAATTATTTCTCTTCTACATTTCAAAGACAGGGACTGTTTTGTTATTTCATGGCTATTGTTATTATTAATGCTACCACTACTACTAATAAGAAATCATTTTCTGCTTTGCCTTAGCAACATGGACTCCAATCACTCACCATAGGCTCCACTTCTGTGGCAGGAAAACATCTCTCAAGCACAGAGCCAAAAGATTGGCCCCTCACGCTGTCTCTCCTTATGTGAATTCTTGGTGCTAAGCTCACAGTCAGATGGCAGAGGGAATCACTCTGTACAGTTGGTGGCCTGAGTCTTGTGCTCCATCAATTTGCATTACTGCTCAGAAATTAACACCAAGCAGCAGCGCTGTCATTGCCTTAAGACCATAATCCAGCCACAAATGGAATAAAAAACTTTCATAAATAAACAGGCTAAGCAGTAGCTCACTGAGTTGTGGCCCTCAGGCATGTGCAAAGCTCATCTTTTCCCTGTGGTTGAACTTACAGACAGCTGCTCTAAACTTACTGGCACTGACGGTAGTAGTGACAATAATGGCTGTTGTTTACAGAGCATCTACTATGTGCCAAGCACTGTTCTTGTGTTGTCTCTAATCCTCAAAACAAATCTGCCTATGGATGTTATTATGATTTTACAGATGAGAAACTGAGGTTCAAACTCAGATGCCTGAAGTCTTTCCACTACATACACTGCTTCTCTGCTTATCGAGCCCCAACCGTAAACATTTTCTACATGTTGATTAATAGGCTACTGAACATTTGGGTCATTTTATTTTGCACATGATAAAATGGAGGCAGTAATAGGTAAAGTGTACACCATCAGTTTGAAGCTGACCAATTAAAGTTTGGATAACCCACATGAAGTTTTGGTACATTGAGCCAGTCTGCTTCTATGGAGAGGGAGGCGTTGTAGTGACAACAGCAAGGACTTTAATGTTAATCTGACCTAAGGTTACATCTGATTCTGTGATCTTTGGGAAATTAGTTAATTTTTCTGATCTTTATTTTTTCATGTATGAAATAATTACAATAGCTAAAATTTATTGAGCATTTACAATGTACGAAAAACTTTTTGAAGTCTCATTATTTATAATATCTAAATTCATTTAATCTTCAAAACTTTTCTAAGTCTCTTATAATATCTAAATTCATTTAATCCAGGGTGATAATGGCTAGGAAGTGCCAGAAGAGATGTTGCAACTCATATATTCTGACTCTAAATCCCAGGGTTATGGCTGTCTTACACGTCCCAGCCTCACCAGGCTGTTTGAAAGATCGGTGGTTATATACAGTATATGAAATACATGTTCACAGGCATTATGGCTTATTGAGACTGTAGCCATATTTTAAAAACTTTTAAATGCCAATATATCACACATAATAATAATAACTACATCATGGTAGTTGTTTAGAGCAAGCTGACTTTGTAAATGAGTCCAAGAATATGCCACAAATTTGCTGTATTAAAGAAACAACAAGCTCCCTAGAAGTCTTTATTCAAAATGTATATATCAATGAGATAAAATGGTAAGTTCTTGAGAGAAGAAGCAGTGTCTTAAGTATGTTGTTAGCCTAGGAACAGTACTTTGCATTTAGAAAACACTCTGAAAATTGACTCAAGTTGTATTGCACAAGGAAAAAAATAAGCATAAGCATTGTGTTTATAGTTTAGTCATCTGGGGATGCAAAGATGAATTTGACATGACTCTTGTCCCTGGGGAATCCATGATCCAGTAATAGTAAAAATATAGATAAGGAAGTAAAATACAAACTTGAAGTGACATAGCTGTGATATGGAGGTCTATATAGGAAGGAGTGGCTTACTCTGCCCAGGAATGTTGAAGAAGACCTCTTCAAGGAGGAAATTTTTAAGAACTGTCATGAAAGATGATTAGAAAATATCTAAGTAGACAAAGAGGACTCTGTGCGCAACATAAATGCAGCTCAAGATGTCAAAATTTACAAATGACAATTTTAGGTTATAGATTGGACTCTGCAACCAAGTGTATACATTATTGGAGTAGAAGATGCATAATAATTAGTGGGGAGCCAGTATGAGGTTCTAAAATTGACACTAGAAAGGTAAACTGTGGTCATTTTTAAAGAGGTTTTATGACATGCTTAATATAAGGCGCTTATATTCCAACTATAGGCATCATGGATGTAGACAGGGCAGTGGGACTCATTAGAAATAATGATGAGAATGAAGTGAGAAAGGCCCAGCAAGGCTCGTGGCTGCCACTCTTCACCACTTTATATTCTCCCTCAGTGGACAAATTACTACCAGTTCAATTTCAATCAGTATTTCAAAATTTTTCATTTACTTATTTCTATTTTAATTTAATATTTATTATTTATTTTTGAAACAGGATCTCACTCTGTCACTCGCTGCAGCCTCAATCTCTCCCACTTAAGCAATCCTCAAACTTCAGCCTCCTTAGTAGCTGAGACCACAGACTTGACTAGTTTGTTGTTGTTATTGTTGTTGTTGTTGTTGCAGAAATGGGGTCTCACTATGTTGCCCAGGCTGGTGTTGAACTCCTGGGCTCAAGGGATCCTCCTGCCTCAGCTCCCAATGTGCTGGGATTACAGGTGTGAGTCACTGTGCCCAGTTTCTTATTTTAATTTTAAATTTACCAGTAACAAAAAAATCCATGAAGTAGTCAAAATAGAGCTATATGTGCTTTCTTCTACACAAACTCTCTTCTTGCTCATCATACCTTCCTATCCAGTCTCTTGGGCATAGGTGTCTTGTTGATAGGGGGATGACAGAAGACGAGATATAATATGCATTTTCATGATAACCAAGATTTGATTGGGAATGACTAGGTTAGGGTAGCATATGCAAATCGAACACCCTAATAGTCCCATGAGGAAAAGCCTAAGGACTAGTCTTATTTCTCCTACAAGCAGAATTATAGCCCCTGGTTTATGGATTTACTAGCTGTGTAATAATTGGGCACGTTTCTCACTTCTCTGGGCTTTACTTTCTATATCTGCATAATGAGGGGCTGGACTGGATGATATCTAACATATATCATGGCTCAAACATTCTCTGAGGTAGCTGTGGTCATGAAGAATTTCAAAATCTCAGTGCCTTAACACACACACAGAAGTTTCTTTCTCACACCCTGCTACATATCCCTCATGGGTAGTCTTTGGAGATTCTACTCAGCAGAGTCACTAGTACCCAAGCTAATGGCATTTAATAGTCGCACCGCCTGAAACATGTGATCTCTCATTGCTAGGGCAGAGAGAAAGAGGGCGCTGAAGGATTTTGCATAGACAACTAATTTCCACTTACAGCCTACTGTCCAGAGCTAGTCACAAAGCTCTCTTTCCTGCAAAGAGGCCAAGAAGTGCAGTTCTTCCTGTGCTCAGATGGAGAGGACAACAGGAAACGAACAAGCACTTGAATTCTCTAGTATCTGGAGCAAGCAGAAGGAATGACATCAGGGCATCTAGAACATCCTGTGCTCCCAGGCTCTCTGGTAAAGAGATTGTAGAGTGGGTGAACAATGGTAGCTAGCAAGGCACAGTGAAGAGAATTTTTCCTCCTTTCTCTACAGTCCTCTTAAGGGAAAAAAATTCAAACCATCTGAAATAATTATAGCACTAGCTCTTACTTTGAAGAGCAGCACACTGCCAGTCCGTATTTGGTTTGTTTTAGAAGGTTCATGATTTAAAACAAGCAGGTAATTTCCACTGAAGATTTTTTTTAGGTTCCTTATACCTAAAGTCCATTTCTAAACTTGAAGGGTTTATTCAGCCTAAGAGCCAAATCACATTTTAGCAACAGCTACGTTGCATAACGCGAAATGCTTTGATTTCTCCCATCTAAGTTGAAAAAGTTGTCACAAAACACCAACAGATTCAAAACAGCTCTCAAAATGACTTTTGTTAAAGGCAGATTCCTGAACTATTCATCTGTGTTAAAATGCATTTTGCCTTGAATCATATGTCATGTTGCCAGCAAAGAGTTGTTTCCATGCCAACTCGTTTGCAACACGAGGGAAAAAAATCAAAGCTACTAACATCTGGAAGATGTCAGTACTGATGTAAGCCACTTATAATGAAAAACACAGGACTGTGAGTGCCTGCCAAAGAGACCCTATATAAGGGGGTAAAATTTTATAATATAATTGCCTAACAATGTATTACTATTCCTTTTCTGGCTGTTTTCTTGATCTAAACACTATTCCAGAAAAGGCTTGCAGAAAGGAAAAATTAATATGCTTCATATGCAGTGTTTTTCTTACAAAGCTAGCACATCTTTCTGACATGAGTCTTTTAACAAGCCACTTAATTTTATGCATAGTCTTAAAAGTGGGACACAAAACAAATTGTTTCATTTTCTACACCTTTTCCAGCTATGGTCCTGCAAAGTCTCTTTTTAAATAGTCTATCAGTGAGATAAATGAGACCCGGGGTCTCAACAATGAATTGCATGACCAGCAGTTCCTACATACTTATTTCTTTTTCTATATAGTTCTGCTTTCCTTTGTCTGTGTGTGTGTTTTTGCCAGCAGGTGTGCACTTCTGTGCATCTACCTCTACAAATCGTTAAATAAAATGGATTAGTTTCTTTACGTCCTAAATGATAAATAATGTCACAGGCCAGAGTGGCTTCTCAGAAGTGCCATCCAAAGGTCAAAGAACCTAAGAACACTAAATTTTGAGATGACACCGAATACTGTTAGAACAGCTCAGATCTTTCACAAGTGGCAAGGCCTCACTGACTACACTTACTTGATAATGGAAAAGCATGGGGGTTTTGTGTCATGACTTAAAAATGGAATATAAGTTTGTAGTAAACTTTAGCAGATAGTAAGCACAGAGAGGTTCATGTGAACAGAAATCATTTGTATTCCTTCCCCAGGCTTACTCAGGCAGGACTTCAGTTTCCTCTTGTCCTCCAAATACTTCTAGTTGTCTGCAGAGCATGCCTCATTCATGCACTCAGGAAAACTCTGCTCAGCTGTACTGTCAACAGTTCTTTTTCTCTTCTCCTGCTTTGCTCACTTTCATCCCTAGCAGGTGCCATCTCCTGCCAGACACCAGATCTGCCACCCAGCATTGCTGCTCCTACCAACAGGTTAGGGTTTCGATGAGCCAAAGCTGCACAAGTGTCTATTTCAAGGTGGGGAGGAATTTCCTGGTGGATGTTTTTCTCCAATGAGATTCTACTCAGTGTTACTTCTTGTCAGAATATTTGGTGAAACAATTTTTAAATTTTTATTTTTATTTCAATAGTTTTGCCAGTTATATTAGTCTTTTTTCACACTGCTGATAAAGATATCCCCGAGACTGGGCAATTTACAAAAGAAAGAGGTTTAATGGACTCACAGTTCCACATGGCTGAGGAGGCCTCACAATCATGGCAGACAGTGAAAGTCACGTCTCACATTGCAGCAGACAAGAGAAGAGAGCTTGTGCAGGGAAATTCTCCTTTGTATAACCATCAGATCTCGTGAGACTTATTCTCTATCACGAGAACAGCATGGGAAAGACCTGTCCCCATGATTCAATTACCTCCCACCAGGTCCCTCCCACAACTTGTGGGAATTCAAGATGAGATTTGGGTGGGGCACACTCAAACCATATCAGGGGTACAGGTGGATTTTGGTTACATGGATAAGTTGTTTAGTGGTGATTTCTGAGTTTTTGGTTCACCCACCACCTGCGCAGTGTACACGGTGCCCAATATGCAGTCTTTTATCCCTCATCACCCCCATCCTTCACCCTGAGACCCCAGAGTTTATTGTATCATTCCTATGCCTTTACCTCCTCACAGCTTAGCTTCCACTTATAAGTGAGAACATAAGATATTTGGTTTTCCATTCCTGAATTACTTCACTTAGAATAATGGCCTCCAGCTCCATCCAAGTTGCTGCAAAAACCATTATTTTATTCCGTTTTATGGCTGAGTAGTATTTCATGTTGTATAAATATCACATTTTCTTTATTGTTGGTTGATGGGCATTTAGGTTAGTTCCATATTTTTGCAATTGCGAGTTATGCTGCTATAAACATGTGTGTGCAAGTGTCTTTTTCATATAATGACTTATTTTCCTTTGGGTAGGTACCCAGTAGTGAGATTGCTGGATCCAATAGTAGCTCTACTTTTAGTTCTTTAAGAAATCTCCATACTGTTTTCCATAGTGGTTGTACTAGTTTACATTCCCACCAACAGTGTAAAAGTGTCCCTTTTCACCATATCCACACCAATATCTATTATTTTTTGACTTTTTAATTATGGCCAGTTTTGCAGGAGTCGGGTATTACCTCATTGTGGTTTTAATTTGCCTTTTCCTGATAATTAGTAGTATGGTGAAACAATTTCTAAGGGGGAAAAAAAAAACCCTGCTACTTTCCATAGAACTCATATATGATTCCAGTGGAACCTGCGCCTGTGCTAATCCATGAGATAGATTCCCAGTGATAGTCACTATACTGCATCACCCTGCTGCCCTGACACTGCCGACATTTTCAGATTCCCTTTCTGAGTCAACCTACTCTTTTCTGCATTCCCTTCATTTTAAATAAATTCTTTACCAAAAATCTTAACAATCCCTCTTGTGAAAAGCTGTCTAGCAGGCCCAGCCCATCAATTCACAAAACATACCCAGATAGGTCTAAATGGCAGCTTAACTGCTAGATGGGAATCAGCTACAAAGTGCTTAGGACATCTTTTGCTTTTCAAAGGCCCAAAGTCTTTTGAGTCATTTTCAGAAAGGAATTTTCCTAGGAACAGCCTGGGATTTTTCCTTCAGGCCCTCCACCCTGTGCTCTCACCAGAAATGAAAATGGATTGTGTACATGCTTCCAGGTGTTCTCAATATTAATACTTTTTTTTTCTTGCTAGAAAGATCAGCAGTCCCTCAAGCTATTCTGTATTCTTAACATATTGACTTTCCTGATCCCTCGCTCACAGGTGAATTCTAGCCGGAGTTCTAGCTAGTTCTAGTTTCTTCCACAACTCGCAGGCTCAGCCCTGTCTTAGGCTTCGGGGTTATGGCTGCTGTTATTGTTGAATGAGAGCTAGTGGGTTATAGAGCCCTCATTCCATAACCCAAGTGACTCTGCATCATGCCATTTATTCTAAAATCACTTCTGTTCCACATCTGAAACCAAGTCTCCAGCTCGCAGCTCTACATCATATCTATGCGGCCCTTCTCCATCCCTTTTTCCTCTCAGAAATCCTCCTACTAAGTGTGTGCAGGCAGGCCATCTAGACAGACATCCACTACCTTCTCTTCACCACGCTGAGTCTGTCCCCACTGTCTGCCCCCACACCACCACCTATCCCCTCTGTTAGGTCTTGCTGAGTTCCTAACACGCCCTCTGAAACATCTGCCCCACCTGCTGCTAAGTTTTCACCGCCCCACTGCCCGTTCTCAGGGCTGTGCCTACTTTCCAGTTTCCAGCCTCCATATCTAGTTCCTCCCACTGCTGATTGAGCTCAGAATACAGGTTCAGACCATGAAGTCCCTTGCATTCCAACCTAGATATTCTCCTACTCTTAGCTGATTAAAGCATGGAGTACTTTAGAGAAGCCAGATCTAGAAGAAAGATCACAGAAATCATTGGGCCACCTTCAGCTGACAAAAGGCTTTATTTCATCCACGTGATGTTTTAAAAATATTTGTGTCAATCATGAAATTTAATAAATCTCACACAAAACCCCTGGTTTTTGGTTTCTTGTGAGAAACCAGAAGCTCTTACACTATGCTCAAATTGTCCTATGGTGACACTCAGCTGACGCTGAGCAGGTTCTCTTCCAAAGGACAAATGTCCGCCAGCATATAGTCATCAGTGCTCCCTATGGCACAAAGGTTATTTAACATCACCCTGGCACTTACGGTTTTCTAATAGTAGAGAAAGATCTCTCTGTGCCCCTGTCTCTATCAAAAGTAGGAAAATAAGAGAAGTCCATGTATTTGAAGAAACATGCAAGAGAGAGACTATTGTGCCTCTGTGTGTGTGTGTGTAGGAATAGTCTTATGTGTTTAATAAGTAGAATGTGTAAGTATCGATGTTTTTATTTAAAACCCTGTCCACGTCAGCCATTTACATTTATCTTGATTCAGCCCCTGCCCTGAAAGATTGATAGAGCATCTGCAACCAAGTCAGTCTCTATAAATATTTCAAATAAATAGCAACCTATGCATAGTAATTTAAGGACCAATGAAAGTTGGTGTATTCATCGAGAATCTCCTGAACCTCTGGGTCATGCTTTATTCCACTTCCTCACCAATAGCACAGGTGCAATTGCCACTATTAGAGTCACATTTTAAATATGGAAACAAGAAGCTACAAATTAAAAGCAAATTTATTGTTTGAAGATAGCTTCTAGTCCTTCATTTATTAAACTCCTTCAACTAATATGTATTAAGCTTCTGTATGTACTTGGCACGGCATTGTGCACTTTATGTAATTGTATTTGCTGTCATTCATGGAGGGCCTACTGTATACTGGGGGTTCTACAAATCCCTTTCCAGATACTATATTATTTCTAATCCTCCAAGGTAGCAATTATTTGCATCTTACAGTAAAGAAAGTGGTGCTCAGAAAGCTAAACAACTGGCTGGGAACAGTGGCTTATGCCTGTAATCACAGCACTTTTGGAGGCCAAGGCAGGAGCATCACTTAAACCCAGAATTTTGAGACCAGCCTGGAAAATATAGCAAGACCTCGTCTCTACAAAATAATAATAATAAGCTAGACATGGTGGAGCCCACCTGTAGTCTCAGCTATTCAGGAGGCTGAGGTGGGAGAATTGCTTGAGCCCAGGAGGTCGAGGCTGCAGTGAGTCATTATTCCACCACCGCACTCCAGACTGGGCAGCAGAGCAAGACCCTGTTTCAAAAAAAAAAAAAAAGAAAGAAAAGAAAAGAAAAAAAAAGCTAACACTAAACAACTGGCCTATGGACACACCTTGTGTGTGGGATACCAAGACTCAAACCCAGGCCAGTCTAAATTCAAATGGAGATGGAGAATGGAGTCATCTGAGAATTGTTTGCTTAGATGGGTAAGTCTTTTTATATTGCTTAAAGCTGAATATTATACACCATGAACAGCAAAGATGACTTAGTATGAAACTCTACCATTCCCCCAAATAACCTAGAAGAGATTCGCCTACAGACAGGAACAATGGACTCACCCAACAAGACCCAGCATGTTTGTATTAAAGCCTTTATGTTTAATTTCTAAAATATCCTCAGCACTTTACAATATGAAACGCAGCTAATATTTTGTTGTAACCTGACTTCAGACTGCGTTCTCCATTGCAGGACTTCACTTAGCCTTCCATAATTTTATGATCAGATCTTACAAAAACTTTAACCTCTACATGTTAATAAATAGCAACAAAAATTCATATGTAGTGGCACAATGAAAAAAAGTAATAAAGCTGTTCATTACCCTTGACTCTTCTGCTCCTTTACCCTTGTTTTCCCTCTGCACGTGGTCAGAAATTGAATTGATATTGAATTTGCTTCACTTGTGTAATACTATTCATACACGCTTTTGTAATTCATTCACTTCACTCACATTTCACCTTTTGTCATTTCAATCACTTTAAATCTGCTTTGGCCTTCTTCACATTCAGTCTCCTAAGTTCCTGGGCATGAGTAGAGGATTTATTAACTTTACTTTCTGGGTTTCTGGTTACAGTAGGAATAATCTCATCAGGCGACAGGTTTAGATATTGACAACACTGCTAAAATAGCCCTGAAATAAAGTCTCAAGAGAAGATAGATGCCAGCCTTTCCTGGGCTGGACTTTCCCAAGAAGGCACACAATCAGAAAGTGTGGCCTTGTAGCCTTCAATGACAGTGTAAGAAGTGGCTAAATATGTGGGTTCTATAATCAGACAGACAGAGTTTGCATCTTGGAGTGCCAGTTCCTACCACAGGAACTTGAGCAAGTTACTCAGTCTCTGTGCGCCTCCATTTCCTCATCTGCAAAATGCATATAGTATCAATCACATAGGATTGTTTTGAGGATTAAATGGGGATATCTACATCAACCATTTACTCAGATGTGTTCAATAATATGCATTATTATTATTATGGTAGAGCTATGAAGGTGTAGAACTAATTTCCTCTCTTTCAGCATAGTCTGAAGAAAACATGAAAAAGGCATAAAAATAACACTACTTAACAAAGTAAAGAGTATATAAAGAATAACAACCAAAAAAACAAGCCTCATATAAAGTAATTATTTATTCAGGCCAACAGTCTAATGCCAAGAGTTGCCTTTAGTGAAAAAGGCTGGCTGCCCTTCAATATCATCTTCAAATGTTAACAACACTGAATATTAATAAATTTCCTTTAGCGAATAATGAATCCAGCCTTCCTTAACTAAATTCAAGTTCTTTGAGGGCGATCTTTATATTTGTCTTGTACAACTCTGGGATAATAGTATTCCTAGGGCCTGCTATTTGCTGTGAAAAGGGCAGAATATTTTACTCCTCTAGTTCTTAAATTTTAGAAATTTAATGAATGAATCACAATTTTATAGACTTATCAGTAGCCTACTTTCCCTTTCTCTTTGCACACAGAAGAGTGCTAATTTCTCAGTCTTGGGTGTAAAGGCAAAGCTGGTGACCAAAGACTTGATGTAACAAAACAGTCCGAGACCCAGGCCATGTCATAGAAAAGACATAGTTGACTTCCTGGGATCAAAAACGATAAGAGCACTGGCATGGGTCTGACTGATCCAGTCCTGCTTACAGTAGGGATAACAGATGAGGAGACACTGAATCCAGGTAAGCTTCAGATTTAAGCCAGGTTTAGCAAACTGGGTAGATTAAAAGAATCTGGGTGGAAAATTCTAAAGGCAGCTGGTTGCTCTGGCAAAGATAGAAAGTAAAGGAAATTTGATTATCTGGAGGCAACCTTGGTGTTTTTCATCTTAAGAAACCAGCGACTGTTACTGCAGGCCTGAATCTTAAAACACAGAAGTGATCTCCTCATTCATTCAGGATCACTGACACCTACATGTGTGGATAAAGCTACATGTGCCAACCAGACCCAAGGATCCTTTGCCAGCCAGACCTAAGAATCCTCTTATGAATCTAGTCCAATAGAGGCTGCCCTATTGGAGTCCTTATATTACATTTATCAAAATCTTCCCTTGTTATGCATGTTATAGGTGTTGCTCTGATAGCAAATGCCTTCAGACGAGGCCATAATAATAGACATTTTTGTTTGGTCTTATCAGGAAACTATTCCAGCACCTTTATCAAACAAAACTGCCCATCTCTCACCCCTTTCCAGGTCAGTTATTGCTTTTTAGAAGTGTAGGGACCAGAACGTGTTCTTCAAGGGTAACATTATACTTTCTATTTTCATTCTAATACCCTGCTTGGCGATGCCAAGAACACTCTGACCTTTTTTTTTTTTTTTTTTCCCCTTACTGCTACAGAGTCTTAAAGACCTGAGACTCCATGGTCTCTTAGAAGCAGTTCAATCCAGCCACTATTTATTGAGCATTTACAGAGGATAAAAAAGAAGCAAAAGGCTCAGTCTTGGCAAAAAGCTCAAGTAGATACTATACTCATGAAGCCATAAACTTATGAACATCTTATATAAAAAACAGCAACATATTATTAGGTGCCAGACACTAGATTGCAAATATTTCAGAAATTTAAAAGAATCCAGGTGCTTTTAAAGCAAATATGTTGCTGGGATATAATAATGGTAATGTAATTCTTCCATAAATGGGACATATGTAATAGAACGAATTCAGTGATTACTTTTCTATTAGTTGTGGTTCAATGGTAAGATATTTGCCCAAGATCTTATTGCACATTCTCAAGGGACATACACAGGAGGAACATTCAGGCAAATACAGATTAATATTAATAAGAAGCCTCGGTGCTCCTGGCCATTAACAGGTAGGCCGTCTCACATATAAGCTGGAGGAATTTCTTCTAAATCACTGGCCTAAGGCCTAGGCCAGAGATGGCAAATACATAGCATAAGGATTCTTCTGCTTCCTGAGACAAATAACAGTCTTTTTCTCGCTGAGCCCAAAAATGGCCACAGAAATTTTCTCAAGTCAGCGCTGTTGTTGACCATCACCAAAAATCAGAAATTGGCCTTGTAGACCTGTTTGTCAACCTGACCTGCTATCTAAGCATGGCTTAACTCATATTTCAGCCTGAGTAAAGAGGTAAAACCTCTACCCATGTCCTAATAAATTCTTGGGATGCTTTCTATCTTTATGATTCTAACAATCTTGAATCAGTAATAATTGCAGACACTTATTTATGGAAGACCTTCATTTCTAAATAAAAGTGGAAGACATGGGTATAGTTTTGGTTTAACATGCCAGCTGTGTCAAGAAATACATAGTATGCTCTGATAATAGAAAATGTGTTTCTTGAGTAACTGTATATTAAAAGCACACTGTATTAGGGTTCTCCAGAGAAACAGAACTGATATAATTACACAGAGAGAAAGAAATTTGTTTTAAGGAATTGGTTCATGTGATTATGGACAAGTTCAGTATCTATAGGGTAGGCCAACAGGCTAGAGACCCAAGAAGAGCTGATGTGGCGCTTCAAGTCCTAAAGCTGTCTGTCAGTCTGGAGACCCAGGAAGAGTCCATGTGGTAGTTTAAACCCAAAATTCATCTACTGACAAAATTCCTTCCTGCTCAGGGGAGGTCAATCTTTGTTCTGTAAGGCCTTCAACTGATTGGCTGAGGCCCATCCACATTATGTGTGCTTCACTGAAAGTCCACCCAGTTAAAATGTTAATTTCATCCAAAAAACATCCTCACAAAAAACATTCAGAATAATGTTTGATCAAATACCTGGGCATTATGACCTAGTCAAGTTGACACATAAAATTAATCATAGGCTGTTATAAATATGAATTACTAAATGAATTATAAATTAATGTGAAAATAGTATTAGTTATTTCCAATTCATAATCCGCAAAATCTGAAATCACCTAGTATGAATGAAGTGTCTTCACAGCCACTTGGATGATTTGGTGAGGGTGTCCTCCACCCTGGAACTTTGCTTTCGGCAAAGCTTTCATTCTTTTGGGCAACAGTGGCCCATATCAAAGACTATGAAATTTAAACTTAACAATTGCAAGAGAGTAATATTATCTGAAATTTTACAGTTGATGTATCCAAACAAGAAAGTTTATTTATAAATCCTGTAGTAAATGCCATCAAAAGAAAAAAAAATCCTATCATCAAAGTAGCAAACTCATGCAGTCTCATTGCCAAATAGCGTTAAAAAAATAAAACTTCAAACAGTATGGAAAATCATTTTTTTATTATACTGACTTTTTGTGTTTTCTTTTAAATGCTAATATATAAAAATACTGTCAAGAATCGAATCCAGAATATAAAATAACTCCTCCAAATTAATGTTTAAAAAGCAACCTAATAGAAAAAAATGGTAAAAGATGTAACAATGAAAAAATCTACTAGTGTTCAGAGAAGTGCAAATTTCCACTATGAGATAACACTTCACATCAGAAATATTGTCAAAAATTTAAAATCCTGGTATCATCAGATGTTGGAGAGAAAATGGAGCAACAGGAATCGTTCTGTACAATGAAACCGCATTGGAGAACAATTTAACCACATCAAGCAAAGTGGAAGCTGCATGTACCTTCTGGCCAAGGAATTCCAATTCTAAGAAATTCATGCACACGTGCACAAAAGGATATACTAAAATATTTGTAGTAGTATTTTTTTTTTCATGATAGCCAATAGACTCCTACTCTTGGGAATAGGAGAATGAGTAAATAAGTTGTGGCATATTCACGGTTTTTTTAATCTCAAAAATATTTTGTTAATGAAAAAGGTAATTGCATAAGAAAGATTTTTAAAATACATGACAACACTCTACATTATTAATGTACAGACTGGAAGTAAGAAAATAATAAACATTCAATTAACCAGGGAGAGAAAGGAAAAAAAAATGAATCAGGATGGGGTTTAAAGAAGCTTCAATTAAAACTGATTTTTTTTTTTTAAATTTTAAAAAGAAACTGAGTAGGTGCAGTGGCTCATGCCTGTAATCCTAGCACTTTGGGAGGCTGAGACTGAAGGATCACTTGTGCCCAGGTGTTCAAAACCAGCCTGGGCAACTTAGCAAGGCCCCATTTCTTTTTTTTTTTTTTTTTTTTTTTTTTTTGAGGCAGAGTCTTGCTCTGTTGCCCAGGTTGGAGTGCAGTGGTGCTATCTCGGCTCACTGCAACTTCCATCTCCCAGGTTCATGCCATTCTGCCTCAGCCTCCCGAGTAGCTGAGACTACAGGCACCCGCAACCACGCCCCGCTAATGGGGTTTCACCGTGTTAGCCAGGATGGTCTCGATTTCCTGACCTTGTGATCCGCCCGTCTCGGCCTCCCAAAGTGCTGGGATTACAGGCGTGAGCCACTGCGCCCGGCCCCACAGCAAGGCCCCATTTCTACAAAAAATAAAGAAATTAGTCAGACATGGTGATGTGTGCCTATAGTCCTAGGTACTTGGGAGGCTGAGGTGGGAAGATTGTTTGAGCCAGAGAGGTTGAGGCTGCAGTGAGCTGTCATTGTGCCACTGCACTTCAGCCTTGGTGGCAGTGTGAGACTCTTCCTCTAAAAAAAGAAAGAAAGAAAGGAAAGATAGGAAGGGAGGGAGGGAGGGAAAGAAAGAAAGAAAACTGAAGTAAATGTGGCAAACTGTTACCATATGTTGAGTCTGGGTAGTGGGTACACATGTGATTATTCAAATTTCTCTAGATTTTCTGCTATTTGAAATATTGTATACTTATTTTCCAAATAATTTTTAAAGCATAAGACTTTTCTTCTGGGTTTATTTGTTTTGTATAGTTAAGACAACTTTTACAAAAGAAGTAAATACAGAAAAATGTAACTGTATGGGAAATCTTTCAAATCAAGCCTTGGGTTCAGGACAGAAAATGTCATTTCTGACCTTCTCGGAATGAGGCAACAGTATCTTCTCTTCCACAGAGCTCTATTCTTTCCAGAACCAAGGACCTCTTTTTTGTATTTGTTTTAGTTTTTCAAACCTCTGCCTGTAAAATTACTTACTTTTTCCCTTCATCACCAGTGACTGTGGAAGGGATTTCCTCACATCCTTTCCACAGCTCCTGTGGCTCTCTGCATGACTTCAGTCCCATGAGTGTTGGGTTGATATCAATGGCCAGCATTTGACTAGATAGGCAGTAAGAAAATTTGGATTCCAGGTGTAAGATTTTACTGCTCTGTGGACTATTTTCCTAGCTATTCATGTTTTGGGATTATATATAGATGCCTCAATTCCCACAAGTGTAATGTGGAAATGATGCCATTTCTAACTGTAGAGGAGTACTTGTACATTAATACAATAAGAAGAATAAATTTTCTGCAAGAGCACCAAACAAGCCAATCTGCTTCTTAATCTTACTCATTAATCCCTGACCTTGTTCAATCCATTCCTTTGATTCATCCATTAATTCATTCAATGAACAAATTTTCATTTCGTACCTACAACATGCAAAAAATAGATAAGAACTCAGGAATTCTCAAACATGCCATGTCATTCTTTTTACACAATATATGAGCTAATGGAAAACATACAAACTCTTCAGAAGGAATGAAAGGTGTTTGATCTGAGAGGACACTTCAAACACATAGAGTAGACTCTAAGACCACATGCAGTTATAGGTGGGAACAAATTTAAAAGCTGACAGAAGGCGTTGTCCAAAGCACAAGTAAAAAACAATGTTGTAGATGACAGGACAGCACATTTCATTCTTTGCTATATAGCTGTGGCATTCAGGCTTTGTGATTTAATAAACCAATAAAATTTCCCTCCCAAATTATACATGGTGGCCAAATTTTATTTTCCGAATATTGTCATTAAACTAACAACGAACCAAATCTTGCCATAGTCTATCATCAAATTTAATTAGAAGAAAGTACATAATTATAGAGTAAAAACAGTCCTTTCAGTGGATGAACTATTATTTTTCTCATTTTGCTATGATTTGAAAAACCCTACTATAGTGTCGTAGAATGATGTAGTTTCATTGATTTAATAAATACGTTGACTTCCTACCATGTTCCAGAAATTCTTCTAGGCATTTGTAGTACATCGTGAACAAAATGAAGATTCTTGCCCTCATTCTAAATTATGAAAAAGAAATAAAGTTTATGATGATGGTTAATTTAGCCTGAAATAAAAAACCTGCTCTTCATGTTGAATTATAGAATTTTCTACTAAAATTAAATGCAGATCTTACATTAAAGCAAACAAACCTGCTCCTTTTTGTAAAATACAATGGGACTTTACTAAAATTAAAGGGAAATTTTGATGCTTCATTTCAAGTTAAGCAGTAAGTTTAAGGTGGAAAACAGAAAACTACGTTCAGTTGGCTGAATATAGAAGTAGAAGTTTATTTTGATAATATTAAAATCTGCACTATTATCTTGTCCTTTTTTAGTGAATATATGCATATTCCTGGCCAAGCAGTTTTTTGGTTGTTTGTTTATTTGTTTTTTGACATTGGATCTCACTCTGTTGCCCAGGCTAGATTACAGTGGTGCCACCTCAGCTCACTGCAGCCTGGACCTCCCCAGCTCAAGGAATCTTCCCACCTCACGCCCTGAGATTATAGCCACGCACCACCACACCAGGCTAATTTTTTGTATTTTTTGTAAAGATGGGGTTTTACCATGTTGTTCAGGGTGGTCTTGAACTCCTGAGCTTAAGGGATCCACCCGCCTTGGCCTCCCAAAGGGCTAGGATTACAGGCATGAGCCATGGTGCCTGGCCTGGCTGAACAATTTTAATAACACAATTATATTAGCATCTTTATTAAACCTGGGATAGGCTACTTTCTGATGTACCATATGATAACAAATTTTTTTCATTATTATTATTCTCAATTTACCTTTTGGTCAAATTGGAACCTTATTTTTTATTAGTCGTATCTATTTCCTAAGGTTTTGAACATATTAAAATCTGCACTATGTTGTTACCTGATTATCTTCATATGTATTTCATTTGTTACAATTAATCTTGAGTCAATTTATACTTGCTTTTCTAAAAATTATCGGGTTTGACATATGCAATCTACCAAAGTACATCTATCAGAATTTCCTTAGCGTCTTTAAAGTGTATAGATTTTCAATTAACTGATACGTTGTGTGAGTTAAGAATACGCCTAGGTATTCAGCAGTCCCTGAGTACTCAGCTTGCACTTGTCAATAAAACTTTTCTCTACCTATACTTCATTCAGAGGTGATATCCCCATTTCTCCAGTGTTGAGTCTCAATACTTTTCCTTGGTCTTAAACCAAAGTTATACTCTTATACGCCAACAGCAGCCAGAATGGTAATAGAATCATGACCTGAACAGCCTGAAAAGGTAGTAGGAAATGTTGGAGGCTAAGGTATATCCAGAGTGCATATGCCCTTGTAAAGATATTCCAGTATGTATTGTTTTCTTTTAAGCATGTGTATGGCCAAATCAAACACATCTGCAGACATGGCCTGCAGGCCTGCACTTTGCAGCTTGTCTTAAACATTATTTGCCTAGATTACTATAATATACTTGGCATAAGTCATCCTGACATAAATCCCCAGTTTCCAATTATTGTTACATGAAATGAGTACTATTAAGTAACCAATAAAGATGTATTTTATTGTTCTGGTACTATCCCAGTTACTATGATTAATCAAAAAAAAGGTATGGCATCTTTCCCTAAGGAATGGGAATAGAAAGGAGCAATTATTTGGCACCTGCTATGTGTAAAGCATGATACAAATATAAAAGAATACATTTCTGTAGTTTAGTGGTTATCACGTTTGCCTAAAAAATAAAAAAGAAATGATTTTTTTTAATCTATACAACTTCACAAGTACCTATTATTCATTGTAGTTATCCGTTCATTCAATACATATTTATTAAGTATGACAATATGGTTAAGGACTGGAATCTTAAAGGTGAAGGTAATGAAAAGCAGAAAGATCAGGAAATGTATCCAAGGTCAAGGATTGAGCCTCTTACCTTTCTTAGTCCAATGCCCATGATCTTCCCCGCAACCTGCCTTTTCGAAAGAAGAACAGATAAGTATGAGCTCCAGTAAATCTGACATGGTTTTGAATTCTACTCCAGCACTTTACAGCTACATCTCTTTCTGTGTTGTACTTCTCACTGTCTCTCTCAGAGTATTGTGGCAATGGAAAGGGCTTTATAAACAGTCCTGGCTTTCTGATGGATAGAGAAAAACTTCCAAGCTGAATTCAAACTGAAATTGTTTTCCCACTGTGCAAAAGACATTGATTCTATGATACTTCTTATGTAGCCATATGAAAAAACCCCCTGCCTTCGGAGACTAGTGTTTTGCTATTTAGCTATTTGCTATTCTAGCATATGTGTGTTTCACTGATAAATATGTAACCTAGGAAGTTTTCTTTTATTTGTATATGTGACTCTATATAATGTTTATTATCAGCAAAGAGCTGGCCATTGTTCAACATGAATAAAAATCCCCAATAGTTTTCAAGATTATTGTTTGGTGATTAATATAATCGATTCAGCTGTTTTATCAGAGATGTATATATATTTTGGAGTACACCAACTATTAGCTATCAATTGAATGGGTTCATTTGTACCTTACCCTGGTATGCTGTTAACTAAAGACCAAAAATTATTTAAAAACAGAGGCTGGAACTCCTTTCACTTATTTACTTATTTTTAAATTTTCCACAGCAGAGGGAGAAGAGTTAAATGAATGAGTGGGGGTGTAGGTGAAGAGGCTAGTCCTTCTCTACATGGTCTCTAAATCTGAGCAAGTCATTTTTTAAGGGAAGCCCATATCTTAGGGATTCATTTTTGCTCTCATTTGACAAATTTCAAATGTTTTAGGATGTGATGTAGTGTCCTGGCATTCAATCAAGGTTTGATGGATGGTGAAAAGAGGGTGTATGTCTGGAACAGAATACTTGTAATTGGATACTGTATTATTATTAGTAAAGTTCTTTGGCCTAGACATTAAAGAAAATGAATACACATAAAAATATTAATTCCAAAGTGTCATTTTAGAAAGTTACCTAAAAACTTTGTCTAAGAGAAAGGACGATATACTGCTATTTTACCTGCTAGGGGAATTTACTAGTACCTACACTTGAATTTTTATCAGTCATTACTTTCTTGATCATACTTTTATTTCTTAACATAGCATTCTGTTCATGTCCTCAAGAATACATTTCATCTGGTTTATATTGAGCTAATTGGCAATTTTACTCCGTATTGACCTTATTTCTCATCTGCAGCCATTATTTGCAACTACCTCTCTTTGAACTCTAAGTTGTTTGGATAGTGACCCTGATTTTGTCTATTAGCCTTTCACATAGAAAGAAATTGACATCATTGTGCTGGGGAAAGTATAACTGCTCTCTGCCCCTTGTCATTCCTGTAGGCCTCACACAATGCACTTGATTCATTTTTTGTTCTTGTTTTGCCTCTGCAGAGCGAAGCTGTAAAAACTGATTTGCCCTGAGCTGATTGAGCACCAACACTGCCAGGAACTTTCAGATCTTCTATTGCATTTAGCTTTGATCCCATACTAGGCTTTACATCTTTTTTTCTTTACGTATACTGCAGCTATACTGATGTACATAGCTTCTTCCAAAATACGCTAAGCAATTTCGCCAAGATAATAACTAATATTATTGAGTGCTTATCACAACTCAAGCACTATTCCTGGATTACTCCATTTAATCTTTACAACAACCCGAAGGGGTAGGTATTATTATTATTATCATCCCCATTTTACTGATGAGAAACCATGTTCTTAACGCTGCTATGCTTGCAGGGCTCCTATTTCAAGCCATCATGCCTTTACACACATTCCTTCTGCTTATCAGCTGAAACTGCCCTTATTCCCCCTCCACAGCCTTGCAAACTTCTATTTATCCTTTAAGGCCCATTTCAGATGCTTTGTCTGTGAACTCTTTTTAAATCTACTTCACAGATTTGATCATTACCTTTTTTGGACCAAAACTATAGCAACTACAAAATTTAGTATTGCCCATCTCTCACTTCACAGCAATTTTTTTTTTTTTTTTTTTTTTTAACGAGACAGGGCTTGCTATGTCACCCAGGCTGGAGTGCAGTGGCATGATTATAGCTCACTGCATCCTCAACCTCCCAGGCTCAAGCAATCCTCCTGCCTCAGCCTCTTGTGTAGCTAAAACTACAGGGGCATGCCACCAGGTCCAGCTAATTTTTAAATCTTTTATAAAGGTCTCACTGTGTTGCCCAGGCTTGTCTCAAACTTCTGAGCTCAAGCAGTCCTCCTGCCTCAGCCTGTAGGCCTCCCAAAGTGCTATGATTACAGGTGTGAGCCACTGCACAAGGCCAGCAATTTTTTTTTTTAACATATCTGCTTCCCTTAACAAATTGTAATGACCTTGAGAGCAGGAACTTTAAATCCCTGTCTTCTACACCTAATTCCTGGCCCATCTCAGAGTTAATCTCTATCTACTGCTTTGCTTCTTGACTATTAATCATAATTTCCTGGTTAAAAAAATTTTTTGGTATGTCTAGCAATTTTTGATTGAATACTGAATCGTTGCTAACACATTGTAGGAACTCAATTCTGTCATTTTCTTTGGAAGATTATTGATTCTTATGTTATCAGTCAGTTCTATTGCGTTTGATCACTATGTACTACAGCAACCTTGGTTTGTTATTAAGATCCATGAAAAACCTAATGTGTTTCACAAATGTCTTTAACTTGCCAGGACTGAACATCCAAACTGAACTTTGTCTCCTCTGAAGATCTCGTTGAATCACAATTTTAGGTTTTGTTAAGGAGGGTCTAGTTTAGGCCTTACTTGAAGTTGTTCCCCTTACTCCTAAAGTACAGCTTTTGTGTGTCTTAGCTGCATGCAAGGGTGTTAGCAGGAAAGTATTGAGTGATCTCTCCACTCTGGCAGGGCCAGAATTCCAGTGTTCTCAGGCACGCTTTTCCCACAGATGCTCACCCACTGGTGTCTCTGTTTTTCTTTCTAGTGATCCTGAAGTGGTCCCACTCTCCATATATATAACCCAGTCATCAGCCACAAATCCACAGGGGATCCCACACAGAAACTTCTGGGTCCTACTCTGCACAGTTCCCAATTTCTGATGCCCTACCCTGTAGATTCCAGCCATTTCAGTTGACCCAAACGTTGATCTTGGTCTCCTCAGCTGAATGAGGCCACAGTGCTCTACTCAGACTCGAGCTCTTCACACCATGCTCAGGGAATTGTCTCCAGGCAGAAGGTAGGGCAGTCATGAGGCTCATCTCTTGTTTTCCTCTTCCCTAGGGTGGCAAGTGTTGTGTCAACTATTGTCCAATGAAAATAGTTGTTTCATATATTTTGCCCAGTTTTAAAGTCACTTATGTCAGGAAAGATAGTCTAGTATCATTGATAACAGCATAGACAGAAACAGAAATCTCTCTTTTTAGCCAGGCTTTGTGGCTTCCACTTGTAATCCCAGTGTTTTGTGAGGCCAGGGAGGGAGGATTGCTTGAGGCCAGGAGTTCAAGACCAGCCTGAGCAACATAGTGAGATCCCATCTCTACGAAAAAAAAAAAAAAAAGAAATCTCTCTTATTTATCTTTATAACCCAGACACTTATAAGTGTCCAGCAAACTGTGTCCCCACTAATCAATAAGTCTTTATGTAAGAAAGTATTGAATGAGTGATACCTTTTAATGAGCTATACTCTTCTAGCTAGGTAATGTTTTTATTATCCCATGAGATCACCAAAATAGATTTTTATTCTGACATAAAATTAATTTGCTGAAATTAATTGGAGGGGGGTAAGAAGACAATTTTCTCTGCTAGTCTTCAGTTGCTTCCATTTATTTATAACTAACACAATTTTCTAGTCCTTTGATGGTAGACAGATAAATACTTAGGCAAATTAAAGCAAAAATCTAGGTTAACAACAGTGCCTCAGAGAAGGGAATTCTCTGCTAATGTAATTTTCCCACCTAGTGAGGGTTAACAGAAGATTCTTTCTGTTTTGATACTTATTGTTGAAAATGTGTATGAAATAAAAGAATTCATTTTCCTTTAGAAGATGTAGTCTTTGAACAACCAGCAAATTTGAGATAGATGAATTTTTCTACAATAACTCTGAATACCACTCCACTCTGTTCAGTCCAGACAATCCCTAAGTCCAGACAATACCTAATACCATATTCAGGTAGAGGAAAATCTCCAGGTAACTCTCCTAAATTATGGCTACACCAAATTCTGATCGTTCCCAATACGGCAAATGCATAGGACTCCACCCCCAACTTCACGTGTGATTCCAGAAACAAATGAATATTCTTTCACAACACCTCCTATAAGAAAGACACTGACTCAACCCCAGCTATTTGTAGAGCAACTTAAGGGAACACATGCCCTTTCTCTGTTTCATGCCATGATCAGAGGAAAACCAATATGCAAACCATCAGTGAAATCTCTAATGATGCAGAGCCACAGTTGAAGGAATCCTGGACCGATGTCTGAGAAATATCTCCAGAATGCTGCGTTTTCTTTCTTCTCAGTCACATTCCTTGAAAACAAGGAAACCAACCAGTCACTTTCTTGGTTGAGGAATCAGCTTATTATCTTTCCTTTATTTATTTATTTCTTTAAAGTTATACCACTTGGGATTTATTTGACTTCTCAGATCTGTGAATTGTATCTTTCACCACTTCTGAACAATGTTAATTATTATTTTCTTTAAATATGACCTCTGCTACCCTTTCTTTCTCTTCTTGTGCTCCATTCTCCATTATTGTTTATCTCTCTCTTTTCTATTTTCTGTCTTTTTATATTTCCTGAATGCATTCTGAATAATTTCTTTTGACCTTCCTTCTAGCTTATTCATTTTCTCTTTAGCTGATTTAAACTGCTGTCAAGCCAATCCATTGAGCTCTTTTATTTACGATAGTGTTATTCCAAGTGTGGTCTTCAGGCCAGCAGCACTAGTATCATCTGAGAGCTTGTTAGAAATGAAAATTCTTAGAACTGACCTCAGAACAACTAAACAGGAGTAGGGCCCATAGGAATCTATGTTTTGACAAGCTATCCAGTTAATTTTTATGCATGCTAATCTAGAAGAAGCAATGATTTACAGTATTATATTTCTAAATTTATAAATTGAATTTGATTCTTTTTAAGATATGCTTTGTAATCTCTTGTTTTCTGTTTTCTAGAATATCTTTGTCTTCTTTAGGCATATTTGTTTTCTGTTTCAATATTTGAAATCTTAGAGGACCTGTTTCTGCTTTATCTAATTTCTGAATATCTCATGCATGATGACATGTTTCCTTTTGTACTTAATGGTTTTTTTTTTTTTTCAATTGAAAAATGCTAAAGCTACTGGTGGATATACTTTGAAGTCTGGGCTGAAAGCGCATTCTCCTCCGGAGATAATCTGCATTTTCTTATGCCAAGTGTGTAGAGATACTTCATGTTTGCAAGTGTTTTGGACCGCTCATGTGGGCTACCAATCCATTTGAGGGCTGGCTAGTGGTTAAAACTTCTCAGAGGCAATTTGTTTTCCCCCTTCATCTGATTAGCTTGATAATGAATGTCCACTCAGTCTCCAATGGCAGGATGAAAAGGAGATATTCCTTCTGATTGCACTGAGGATGTTGCTCCCGGACTTTTTTTATGGGGAGATTGTCTCTTTTTAGGCTTCCTGCCTGTATGAGCCTGAGGCTTAGTCAGCCATTGCCCAGGCCCAGGAGGCAACACAGTTCAAAGCTGAATGTCATCAACTTTAGCAAATGACCTCAAGATAAAAGTGGCATCAATGTTTAAATAACTTTTATTTAGACTTTATTCTAATGAATTATTACTATTTTGTCAGCAATTTCATGCATTTAAGATTTTATGTGTTTTATATACATATATGAATTGTCCATATATTATTCATATATATACATGTATATAAAAGATACACACACACACACACACACACACAGTGGCGTGCTAGAGCTGGCTTATGCTGGATCCTGAGATTGAATTGTTAACATTTCTATCCAAATGTGCATTCAGTGATGTCATCTTTGAACCTTAAAATCAGCTATAGAGAGAGAATTTACACCATAATATTCAACAGCAACAACAACAAATTAAGGCTTTTTTGTTTCTAGAAATCTGATTAAGCGTTTGACCCAAACAGCAATACACATATACAGTCCCATGTTTTCACTTGCATTCTTCAGGAGGATTAGTCTGGCTACCTAATAAATGAAACTCTTTTCTCTCTCTTCTCTCTATTGCAGATTTTGCTTTCCCTAGGGATTCATTGTTTATACTCAAGACACATGCCGATTTGCTTTCGCTTTTTTTTGTTCTTCATACAACCGTGAATAAATGTTCCAAATAATTTAACTTCAGATCAAGACTATCCTTTTGGTGCTCCAATAATTTAACTATAGACCTCAGAAATACCCTGCAAAGTTGTTATTGTTATTTCTCTATTTTATAGATGAAGAAACTGAAGCCCAGAAAGATTATGTAACTTGATGAAGTTTACATACCTAGAAAGGGCTAGAACTGAGCTCCAAATGCAGATCTATCTAATTCTAAAGCCATGCTGCCTCAACTGACTGTATCTTTTCAATTAGTCAAATGGAGTGGTCTCCCAAAATTATTTCCTTCCTTAGTCATCCTTTCCTCCTTTGTAGTCTTTATAATAGCTACCATTTCTTTCCTTCAGTTATAAAAGGATCAGTTCTCAAAATATGTTCATGCAAAATAAAAGGGAAGTGGGGAACTGAACCTTCTTTTTCTGGTGATAAAATATTTCTGGATACTAAGTTATAAAGTAGCTTGATAATTGTTGTGAAATCAGGAATACATTCATTGATCTTTGTCTCTGTTTCTGGCACCAGGTTCCTAAAACTCATGGAATTTCCTAAGTGGTAAGAGAGTCTTTTGTTATTCATAAGGAGTCTCTTTCAATCACACCTAAGTTTATGCTAATGAGGTGACTTAGGGCGGGAATCCTAGGTAGCATCAAGGTGGTGCTAGCCACTAGAAAGACCAAACCATTAGAGAGAAGTGAAACTGCTCCTATAAACTTTACAGAATTAATCAGGGAAGAAGGGAGGGAGAGAAAGAAAACAAACCAAGCTTGCAGCACACTAAGCATTAATCACTAGGCCAGCTGGCTCACTGACCTGCTTCCTCATGGTTGTTTGGTGACTGTTTCATCAGAATCATGTAGACCCTGTCACAGGATCATAGTTCCCCTTGACTGCTCTATTATAACAACCTGAACATTGTGAAACTTTAAGTTTTGCCTTTGCAATATTTTTTCAATCCTGCATACCAGTGAAACTACTGATGCCCGCTGGTCTGAAGAATTCCCCAAGAAGCTGACTCACGAAAAAACGCATTTTCTACATCCAGATGATTTCATCCCCCTTACCTAACTAATCAACAACTCCAATTTTCTAGCCCCTCACCCACCATGGTCCTCTTAAAAGTCCTGGCCCAGAACTCCTCAGGGGGACAGATTTCAGGGTCTCCTCCCATCTCCTCACTCAGCACCATGCAATTATTAAATCCTTTCTCTGCTGCAAAGCCTGCTATCTCAGTGTAATTGGTCTGTTACTGCAGGGGTCATACAAACCTATGGATCCTATAACAATAGGAATTTTCAGACCTACACCTGACCTCCAGGGAAAGGAGGGGCTGAAGATTGAGTGCTATAAAAGCTCTTAAACAAGAAGGTTAGGAGAGCTTCCAGGTTGGTGAACATACTAAGGTGCCCAGAAAGGTCATGAAATCTCTGTACCACTTCTCCTGTCATATTTTGCCTTCTGCCTCACTTTCATTTGGCTGTTCTTGAGTTATATCCTTTATAATAAGCCAGAAAATGTGGATAAAGTATTTTTTCTAGGTTCTGTGACCCATTCTAATAATTATCAAACATGAGGAGAAGGTCATTGGAACCGCCAATTTATAGTCAGTCAATAAGAAGTGCAGGTGGTTCAAGACTTGCAGCTGGCATCTCTAGTAGGGTGGTCTTGTAAGACTGAGCTGCTTCAATTTGTGGGATCTGGAGCTAGCTCTAGGTAGATAGTAACAGAATTGAATTGAATTATTAGACACCCAGTTGATGTTTAAAATATTAGAAGACTAGTTGTTGGTGTCAACAAGCGTCCTAGAATTTTGAATGCTGTATTCTTTTTTTTTCCTTTATCTTTCTTTTTTTTTTTTTTTTTTCTGAGATGGGGTTTCACTCAGTTACCAAAGCTGGAGTGCAGAGGCATGATCATAGCTCACTATTACCTCAAACTCCAGGGCTCAAGGGATCCTCCCACCTCAGCCTCCCAAGTAGACACTACCATGTCTGACTAATTTTTTTTTTTTTTGAAGCAGAGTCTCACTCTGTCGCCCAGGCTGGAGTGCACTGGTGTGATCTCCACTCACTGCAACCTCCGCCTCTCAGGTTCAAGCGATTCTCCTGCCTCAGCCTCCCGAGTAGCTGGGATTACAGGTGCGTGCCACCATGCCTGGCTAATTTTTGTATTTTTAGTAGAGACAGGGTTTCACCATGTTGGTCAGGCTGATCTCAATCTCCTGACCTCGTGATCCACCCACCTTGGCCTCCCAAAGTGCTGGGATTACAGGCATGAGCCACCATGCCCGGCCTGGATGCCGTATTCTTAATGAAGGACTTACCATCAAATAATATGTAAATATGGATAATAATCTTTCTTAAAAGCAAATGTATCAACATAAGAGTTCATAAAAACTTAAAATACTAAAATATTATAAATCTGCAGCATAAATTATTATTGAAGAGACAGCATTATTTAATAAAGCAAATTAACATCTCGTAAAATATCCAATCTTTCTGTTTCATGAATTTAACCTGAAACTAATATTCTGCCATGTAAACATTATTAAACTTTCAGTCTTTGCCTTCTAGGACTTTAGAAGAACTTCAGCTATTGGTAGTATTGGGGCTTAAAAAATGATACATCAAAATATGGTGTCTTGGATGCTGAATGCTTTGAATTAAGGGAAATTAAAAGACCTCAGAAATAAGCCTCAGAACCAAGGTCTTTCTCTGATCTTCCTCCCAAGCCCTGCACCTGTCTCTCTGATCCTCTTTCTTTTCTGATGCACCAGGAAGGACTCTCTCTGGAATTCCCTTATATCACTAGGAAAACCTTTTTCCAAAAGAAATGCAATTGTCTTAAGACCCCCTCCCTAGGAATCTCATCAAATAAACAGGAAAATTTTAACACCAGAAAAGAGAAGACACTGAGAGTCTTCACTGTGCTCAGACACACTTTTTATGTGTTCTTCTGAGACAGCTCAAAAAGATTACCTGGAAAACTTTATCTGCATAATAAGACAACCTTTGTTCACAGTGAAGTTTCACTCCTCACCTTCCCACCACTTCCCCCAAAGCTCAGAGGAACTTTGTCCCAGGCCACTGTTCTTTAAGCTCATTCATTTCCCGGCAAAATTATTTACTTCTACACTTCGATCTCCCCTTGCCCTATAAAGAAGTGCATATAAGCATCTGAACATCATTGGATTAAGGAGTAATCATACTCTTGTGATTCCCTTGTGCTTATGCACATAAAATAAATTCATATGCCTTTTTCTCCTATTAATTTGTCTATTATCAGTCATTTCTGTGAACAATCAGAGAGGTGAAAATGGAGGCTTGGTTTTCGCCCCCACTGTAGAAGTCTCTGAGTCCATCATAGATTAGATAAGTGTGGTAATAGGATAACTCAAAGAATCTGAACGTTGCTTTTACTTAAACATTTATTTTAATCATTGGTACTATAACCCTATAGCTTCTTTTTATTATCAATGCAGAGCATGTCAGATCTGTCCCGTTCTTTTGTGAGCTTCACATGCAAAGTAGTATTATTATCCTGATGCTATTAAAAATATATACTCTGAGTTTCAAACAATCAACTGAGAGATGAGCTTTGGAACATACCAATATTGAGCTGCCAATATTGAGATAAAGAAGGAAGAAGCAGTTTATCCAAATGCATACTGAAATCACTCGTGTATGAGTGTCTTGGCTTGAAAATTATCCCCACCTGTTTTTTTAAAGATAATAGACTCTGGTTAACAGGAATTACTGCTGAACTGAAATTTTACTATACTTTGAAATACTGCAACTGGAGCTAATATTTTTAAAAACTATGCTAAGATCACACATTTTTTCTCTCCTTAGACTCTTAAAGGATATTATTTCCCTACCCATGTTTTAATATTTGACCTTTGCTAGGTGATAAATCAATCTAACGATCTTGGGACTGTCAATTGAGTCTGGACTTGCATTTACTTGAATACTCTTCAAATCTCTTTTTAGTTTATAAGTATTTCTGCTAAGAATAAAACATCCTTTTGGTTCTTTAATTGAAGTTTTTACCTGGATTCACATTTTTTTTTTCAAAATTTTGTTTAACTTCTATCATCTTTGGAATTCAAGAGAATTATTTGTATCTCTACTAATCTACTTAATTTGTGAATTTGCTACATTTAAAAAGATAAATTGGGGGCCGGGGGGGTGGGTGGCTCACACCTGTAATCCCAGCACTTTGGGAGGCCGAGGCGGGCGGATCACCAGAGGTCGGGAGTTCGAGACCAGCCTGACCAACCCTGTCTCTACTAAAAATACAAAATTAGCCGGGCGTGGTGGTGCATGCCTGTAGTCTCAGCTACTCAGGAGGCTGAGGCAGGAGAATCGCTTGAACCTGGGAGGTGGAGGCTGCAGTGAGCCGAGATTGTGCCATTGCACTCCAGCCTGGGCAACAAGAGCAAAACTCCGTCAAAAAAAAAAAAGATAAATTGGGCCCGGCACGGTGGCTCGTTGCACTCTAGCCTGGTGACAGAGCGAGACTCCATCTCAAAAAAAAAAAAAAAAAAAAAAAGATGAACTGATGGAACTCAAGATAACTTATCATGTTATGATTCCAGAGTTGTATTTCTGGCTCTTTGTCTTTTTCATCTTTTTCACATTTGTTCCTTCCAGCTGGTGTCTGAGGCTTCTGTCTTTGCTCTTACAATCAAGGTCAGACAGACTTACTAGCTCTCTGAACTTGTCCCTTTAGGTTTTCTTCATAGATATCTTTATCTTTTCTTTCTCATCTTATAGCTAATGATATTTCACCTCTGATTTCTTGGATTTTTTCATGTAACTTTATCTATTGGTCACCTACATTATGTGCAAAGAAAAATAGCTAATATTAAGAATATAGGGAAGATTTTCTATTTACCTAATCAGTTTTTACCTATTAGATTCAAACTAAAGATTGTGAGTTGCCTCTGCCTACAGTCTCATAATTTGGTGGGCCCAATTCAACCCAGATATAGCGTTAGTCATTCATAAGTTATACCATTACAAAACTGAATGAAAATATTGTCATAAAATTGAATGATTTATCATCAGTTGGATCCTTCTTCTGTTTTTTTTTTTAGACAGAGTTTTGCTCTTGTTGCCCAGGCTGGAGTGCAACAGTGTGATCATGACTCACTGCAACCTCCGCCTCCTGAGTTCAAGCAGTTCTCCTGCCTTAGCCTCCCGAGTAGCTGGGATTACAAGCATGCACCCCATGCCCAGCTAATGTTGTACTTTTAGTAGAGATGGGGTTTCTCCATGTTGGTCAGGCTGGTCTCAAACTCCCAGTCTCAGGTGATCCGCCTGCCTTGGCCTCCCAACATGCTGGGATTACAGGAATGAGCCACCACGCCTGGCCTACCATCTGGATTCTTCTAATGAGAGAACTGAAGCTTTCATCATAATAGGATGCTTACTATCAATTGACCATTCTTAAATTTCAGAATTAAATGTATACAAATAAAGTATCTATTATGGTTCTGACAGCTGTTTTCCTTTTCTTTGCTTATTTTAGTTCAACTGTTGGCATGACCTAATGATAGGTTTTCTCAATATTAAAAGTTGACACCTTTTAGATCTTTGGGTACCTACTGATATTTGTTCACTTTTGAATTTAATTGTCATCATTATGCTGATAAAATCAAATATAATTTGACTTCCCCACTTTTATTTTTTTTATTATTATTATTTACTTATTTTTTTTTAAGAGACAAGGTCTTGCTATGTTGCCCAGGCTAGTCTTGAACTCCTCAGCTCAAGCAATACTCCCACCTCAGCCTCCCAAAGTGCTAGGATTATAGGCATGAGCTACCATGCCCAGCCTATCTGCTCTTAAATGCTATAATTATAATTTTCTGTCACTGACCATATTTTATTTCTGAATAAATTCTTGGCAATTTTCTTTGTTCTTTAAGTGTAATTTTAGATATGAATCAGGAATGTTTCTCAAGACCACCCAGAAAATAGCCTGATTAATATCTAGTCCTTCAAGTGTTTAAAATATTTAGTAAATTGATAACAATTGTTTTATTCTTTATTTATTATTTAATTATTAAAATTATATCCCCTGAAAGTTTCTAGTTGAAGTAATTGAGATGTTTAGATGCAATATCAGAATTATATTAATAGCAGTAACTTTTATTGAGTGCTTATAATGTGGCAATAACCCTACAGATATTTCATTCTTAAAAAAAAAAAAACAGTGTGGTTTACAGATAAGGAAGTTGCCTAAAGCTCATAGAGATTACTTAACTTGCTCAAATTCAGCTAGTATACGTAAGATTCATAATCTGAACCTGGATTTGTGCAACTCCAAAGCCTGTATTTTTTTTCTCTATTCTGCATTACTTCTTCATTATACAGGTGAGCTGTCTCTTCAGTGATCATATTGTCTGATTAATATCTCACCTCTCATCTCATTTTTACTCTACAGATTTTTAATGTATGGTAGAACTAATGAACTTGGTACAGCAAATCCATGTATTTAGTGTCTGCATGACTGATCTATATTAGATCACTAGACTGTCAGATCACTAGACAGTTGCTAAAACCATGGCCATTAGTACATATTGTAAAGATAACTGAAATAAATGAATCAGCTCTGAGATGCGGGCATAAGTTATGGGCCCAAGATATTGCCCAGACTATGAGGATGATGAAATTCAGAGTACTAAGCTTGGGGTCACAAGCTTGAATTGAGATTCTGCTCCACCACTTACTAGACAAGTGACATTTCACAGCCCACTTAACCTCTCTGAGCCTCCTTTTTCACATCTGTTAAGTCAAAGTATAGGGATACTGACCTCATAGTGTTGTCAAGAAGATTAAATGAGATAATGTGTGCAAAAGGTTATTACTTTCTGAAGAACACTCTATAAATTCAGGCTATAATCATTATTTTATTAGAGCAGCATTCACCGATAAATTCTTGATACTGAGACTACTTGGGAAAAAGAGAAAATATGTTGCATATTACTGTTCTATTATTTAAATCTCTTCACACTTGGACTCCTACATTGCTTTACAGTCTGGATCGTGCTTAACTTTCTGTTTGCAACTTAACATCCTGCAAATGATGTATCACTTGCTTTACCATCTGTGTCTTCTGCAAAATCTAGGTTACATTACAGTATTTTTGTGTACTTCATGTCCTACTAAGATTTGACTAAATATTTTGGGGATCTTCTAATGCATGTTTAAGTCTTAATTCTTCCATCTATGATATTCCTCAGTATCTTGGTATGAATGAGAAGAAATATATTAATTAATCAATATAGTTAATAAGCTTTTGACTGTGACATATGCTGAATACAATCAAGTCCTGGAGGGCAACACATAAAGCATGTTACAAGTCTGTTACAATTTGTATGATTTATGTATATAAATAGTAGGTCATAATCTTCATTTAAAGAAATCACATATTTATAAAACAAAATAAGGCAGCATTTAATATTACTTCCATCATCAGCAGTTGTGTTTGAAACTTTCCTACTGTACTATATAATTAGAATAATCTGTTATTGTATTTACAGAGAAAAACTTCATACAAGAAATTTCAAAGTAAGATGGAAATAAGATAGGGTGCTACTTTTTTTAAATGGCCTACTTTTTCTTTTATTCCAAGTAAAATACACAATGAACAATAATTCAGAGGGCAATTTGATGGTCCATTGACAAATTTTAATGGGTCCATTTTCCATGGAAAGTATACAGAGTTGAAATATACAAAATCTCTCTGTGTGTTTTAATTAGTGAGACTTGATAGTATTCATTATAATAAATTATTTCAGCTGTAATATTAAAACAAAGATGTAGCACACAAAGCAAAATTGAACAAAGGTCCAAATGGGATATTATTAAAATGTCAAAGTGAGTAAGCAGATGGAGTTTGTATGGCTCAATGGATTAGCCACCAGGCTCCATTACCTTGGAGACTCTACTGAAACCCAGTCTCAGTAGAATGATCAGAAAGTAAAAATAAAGGGTATATGCAGAACAGATAAATAATTTTGTTTGTATTTCCATCGAAAACACAGAGGTGGTTTTTTTTCTTTAATCACAAGACTACATGAAGATTATAATACTGCTACATTCGTTTTTTTCAGAGATTTATTTTTCCGCTCTAAGTTTGTGTAAAAGAAAATAAAGGGAAAGATTGGAAAGTATGCAGATTTGTCATGCTCTTCACATAACAGAGCACGTGCAGTGCAGTAGCTGGATCAAAGTGTGCACTCTCTCTAATGGAGCTTCAGCACAATGCACAAGCCTATGGGGAGGCACCATCCAAAGCAGGGACTTTGTAACAATCCCATAAAGAAGAAATTAAAATTGTTTACTTTCTTTCATCTTGGTCAGCTCCCTAAAGCAATTACTAGTGTCTACTCTTTCAGAGACAAATTGAAATGTAGGCATTCACATTTCTTCCACATTTTGGCAAATCACCTTAACTTTTAGTGTGACTCTATGGTTTAGCACACATCAAGCCTCATGGTCTGTATTAATTGGTAAGTTAAAATTTAGAATATGAACCTAAATTTAGAACATAACAACCTCAGGAAAAAAATTGGAATTGTTAGAAAGTCCTTTTCCTAGATCGAATAAAAGTGTTACTCTGATATTTTCATGATAAAAAGGAAGTAATTGCATGTTACATACTACAGTTGTGAAGTGTGCTTTCTAAAGGATGACTTTTGGTAAGAGCTCAGAACTGTTTGGGTGGCACTGTACTACATAAGATAAACACTTGCTGAATGCAGATTCCCCCACAGAAGTAGCTCCTGAGACAGCAGCTGCAGTGTAATTGTGAACCAATCATTACTCTGGAGTCGGAAGTCACAGCAAGCTAAAAGAGTAATATGACACAACCTAATCTACTCAGGGTACTATTGATATGCATAAATATATATGCAAATACATATATACATATGTGTGTGTGTGTATATATATATATATACATATGTGTGTGTATGTATATATATATATATACATATGTGTGTGTATATATATACACACACACACACACACACACACACACACACAATAGATAAGCCCTGGCTTTATTAAAATTTAGTCTGGTCTTTGAGAAATTTTTCGAATCTACTAGTGCTAAATGCTAAGTACATGTGTGTGTATTTACACACACACACAGATATACAGATACAGATACATATAATTCTAAATACATATGACAATATATATAATCAAGATATTGCAATAAAGAACTAAATTGGAAGTACAACAGGAGTCTTATTGCTACACTGTGCCAATTATATTACCACATTGTTTCCTCCCTGCAAGACTGATAAGAATCTACAAGCGCCCAGAGCCCGAGGGATTTGAACATGCCTGGTGAAAATTGGAAATCAATAGGAGTCTATAATCGCAAGCAAATGGCATCATTTTCATTGGGGTGAGAGATGGCAGGCATCACAGAGCTCATATGAAAGCTGCTGCACACAGGGCTAAAATGCCAAAATTATACCCTCTCTCCTCAGTGTACCTTGAGTGTTCCTAAGTTGAAAATGCCTGATTTTTTGCTTGTTTGTTTGGTTGGTTGGCTGATTTATTGGCTGCTTTTTTTTTTTTAAACATGACTCTTACAAAAGAAAGAAAACCATTCTTAAATTTTCTTTAATTAAAGAATACAAAATAAAAGCAAATCATTCTTTAATTTTAGGCAACACTAATGTCAAACCTCTGTACTAAACTTGTGCTAATTAGATAAGGAATTTTTTTCTGAATTCACTGGGAATGGCATAGAATTTGTTTTCTGAATTTGGCATCTCTGTTTATCTGCACTCTTGCTACCAAGTGTGCAAATATTTCCAGGCTTTCTATCAACTCACCACAAATTCATCTCAAAACTGGCTTGAGGTGAATGCCGTTTCCAAAGTGAAGAGGTAATTTAGTCTCCAGGGTCATTTGGTTCTGCACCTCATTCGAGCAAAGTCTACCAATTCAATGTGAAAATGAGAATTACCATCCACTAGGGGCCAAGCTAAACCAAACATTTAATTTTATTGTAAATATCTATTTTGTCCCAGTTGCAAATACAAGTCTCTTTTTTTCTCCTTGATTTTTAGCCCATTACATGATGTGTCCAATTCAAAATTATCCCTGAGCTCTAGCTCAGACAGAAAGCCACATTTCAGCAATATGAATATGCAGTCATTATGAAAGACATGAAAGTATCTACCCACAGAAAGGCAAGTGGTGCACTCGATGTCAGCCTCCTCTAAACACCAAAGGAGATGTCACTTTTCAGACAGCATTGCCTTTAAAAGATTTCCAAAATGTTAACCCATGGTAACAACACAATATTCATGGCTATTCTGTTCCCTTTCTAGGCAAAGGAAGATGTGCTAAATTTGACGGGTGCTGAGCTGTTTTCAAGAAAATGCCTAGCCAAATGTCGATTTATTTCCAATATTTTTGAAAATATAAAATGTGCTATGATGCCACCTTGTTAATGGAAAGTGAGTAAAAGTTTTAAATGCTTCCCACGTGAGATGACAATTACATGGTTGAATTTAAGGGCACTTTTGAGGTTGAGGTGTTCTAACTTGAAGATTCTATAAATCAGCATTAATTGTTTTCTGAGAAATTGGGAATTAACGTGTTCAATGAGGTATAGGTTACTGGTTGCCAATATCCTGCAGTCCACAAAATTCAGATTTAAGAGAAAATGACCCTGTCTAAAAATTGACTTTTTCTACTATTTCTACATTTCTTTATGTAATTTAGTTTATTATAAGGAAAGAGTGGCTCAAAATAGAAATGAAACAAAAAAAGAATAGCTAGTGCAATGTTTTACATGAATAACACGGAAAATACATATTTGTTTATTGAAAGGCATATGCAGTTTTCCATAGAGTTTAATATGTACACTATCTTTTAGCATCTTGGACTTATGCAACATGATTTCTCCTTTAAAGAAAGCTGCCTCTCCCTGACATGAATTCAGAAATATTTGCTCAAGTGTACAAATTCTATAAGCAGAAGGCTGGTCTTTAGCATAAGCAGAACGGACATCTACTTATGTACTATGATTTGGTAAGAATCCAAGGACTCCTCTCCCAAGGCTTTTGGAAATGACTTGATTTCCCGCTCTGGGTTTATCGTCGTATTCTCTCACAGAAATTCTTGCCTCAATTGTACTAGTTATTTGGTGACTGTTTTACTTCACAAAGCTCTGTGTTTGCATCTTTACATTTTCCAAGCTATATGTGTACACCAGAAAAGTCATTATTCTAAGTGTTTTTTTGTGTGTGTGACTTTCTTCTAATATTGTACATACATTGAAACTTTGCTTTATGGTAATAAGTAATAAAAATATAGACTTTGGAACAAATCAAATTTAAAAAATAAGTATAATAAGATGTTCTAATGGAAAGGGAAGAGTATAGGGCAAGAGATTGTTTTACATTTCCGTTCATAAGTTTTTGGCAGAGACCAACAAAGGCCAAATGTACCCAGCATACCCATTGGCTGGGAGGATTTCCACAGGGTCAAGTAAGGAAATCCAAACATGTTAGATAAGTTTTTTTAAATTTTCACCATTGTAATAGGTGTTTTTGTTTTTATTTTTGAGACAGAGTCTCATTCTGTCGCCCAGGCTGGAGTGCAGTGACGGGATCTCGGCTCACTGCAAGCTCCGCCTCCCGGGTTCACGCCATTCTCCTGCCTCAGCCTCCAGAGTAGCTGGGACTACAGGCGCCCGCCACCAGGCCTGGCTAATTTTTTTGTATTTTTAGTAGAGATGGGGTTTCACCGTGTTAGCCAGGATGGTCTCTACCTCCTGACCTCGTGGTCCGCCCGCCTCGGCCTCCCAAAGTGCTGGGATTACAGGCGTGAGCCACCGCTCCCAGCCTAGGTGTTTGTTTTGTAGGTACTACTGCAATATGAAGTATCACTTCAAAACATACCACATAGAAAATAATTTATTTTAACTTCATTTTACTTAATATTTATAACCTAATCACCATTTTATGAACTTGCTTACAAAAGTCTGTACCTTCAAATCTACAAAATACAAGTTTACTACAATGAGCATTTAAAATGTTATAAGTGTTTTCATCTACATTTCCTGTTCATGCAAATACTTCCAATGGGCAGCAATATTTACAAACATGCATTAAACTGCACAACATGATGTCTTCTGTTAAAACCTTTATACAGTGTCTTGGGGAGCTTAACCAGGAAAATGCTTATAGCTGTAATCCAACTCTGAATACTGCTGATAAGGTTATCAATACTAAATCTTTGAAGAGTTTGATAGAGTTGAGTTGAAAGCTTGTCTTAAACACTTTATTAGTGGTCACTTATATAAAACATAGTCAGCAAGGTAACATTATAAAATACAGTTTCACGGCCGGGCGCCGTGGCTCACACCTGTAACCCAGCACTTTGGGAGGCCGAGGCAGGCGGATCTCGAGGTCAGGAGATCGAGACCACAGTGAAACCCCGTCTCTACTAAAAATACAAAAAATTAGCCAGGCGAGGTGGCGGGCGCCTGTAGTCCCAGCTACTCGGGAGGCTGAGGCAGGAGAATGGCGGGAACCCCGAAGGCGGAGCTTTCAGTGAGCCCAGACCACGCCACTGCACTCCAGCCTGGGTGACAGAGCGAGACTCCATCTCAAAAAAAATAAATAAATAAAATAAAATACAGTTTCACTACAAATATAAATTGGCAGTCGGATTTGTGTTTTTGGCAGAAAAAAACATGTCTAACTTTTTAAATGAATATAGTTTAAATTATTCTGGGAAATTAGACAAAATAATTTCATTTTTATTTAAACACTATGTAAAAGGTAATCAAAAAAGAAAACCAAATTTTTTAATCTGGAAAAAAAGCTGTTTGTTATTATTGTCTTTCAAGATAATAAGAGTGGTTTTCTACAGTTAAAGTAGAGCTATTATACCCAGAGATGTGGAGTTTACGAATTTTGACTATAAACTTGATGACTGTATTTATCTTATATACAGAAACTTGCTGCACTGAGCAACACACGATTTTCTACTACCATGATAGCGTTCATTTTAATGTTCATATGCAGAAAAAATGAAACAGTAGCCACTGATAATGAATTGTATACTCTAGAGCCATCTGGTGATTTGTGCCTTGGGTTAAGAGTTATTGGGTTGTCATCCAGTTATCGAATATCTTCTTATTTTTCTTCATCTTTTTGCTGTTCAGCTCAAGGACATTCATCACCCCGTGGGTGGTCCCTTGCTAAGACTTCACCTGCTCTGCAGTATGCTCTGTCTCTTCTCCCCAGCCCTACCAGGCTGCTTCCTTCCTCTTGGCTCTAGTACTGTCCCATCCTCTGCTCACTGATGGTGTCATCTTTGGTGATCATATGAGAGGCAGGAGTCCCTACTGTGGGCCTTGAGAATGATGTCTGGACCAGGGTCTGAGGACTGATCCCCCAAAGAGGTGGGGGCCCCTTAGAGCCTACATAGCTATTCTCCCAGCTTCAAACCGGCCTCTAGTCATCTTCCTTGTTGAAGACCATGGCCATCCCCTTCTCTGAGGTCCTGTCATGCCCCCACCACTTTCTCCAAGAGTAGGTGCAACCTAGATGGACTAAGGATGAGTCTGAAAGTACGTCAGAGAAAGGGAGTAAGTGGGGTGGGCCTTGAACAGTGGAGGCAGGGGACTCTAGGCAGCAGTTGTGAATGAAGGGCAGGAGATTTGGTGTGTGTTTAAATGACCAGCAGGACCAGACCAGAGCTGCAGTTGGGTTCTGGGCATCAGGTAGGACTGTGTGCAACATGTCCCCATCAAGAAAAAATATGGGGTTTCTAAGGGTATGTATGTGTGTATTTATCTTTCTGGGCTGAGGGCTCAGGGACATTTGGGTGAGGTACTCTCTCACCAGCAGTCACCTATCCCACCCTCATCCCCACAGCCAGCTGGTCCCATTCCCCACTCAGCCTTCCTTCCTAGTCACTGAGCCTCAGAGGCCTCCAGCCAATAAGAGAATGAGGCTCCAAGGGTTCTTCACCTCCTCCTCTCTCCTGGATATCTTCCTCCTTCTCCCCAGTCCTGCCCTGCTCCTGACTGGGCTCCTCCACACATCACAGCCACTGTAGGATTCCTCAGAAAGCATTCACAGGAAATCACTCCTCCCCTGCTCCCTGGCCCCTGCTTTATTTCTATTGATGACTCCCAGACTGGTGTACCCTTCTCTTCACAAACACTGACCTCAGATGCTCCACTCATGCCCCAGACCTTGTGCCTCCGGCCTGTGGTTTCCCTCTATGGCCACTCATTGTGTCCCCCATCCTCACAGTGCTGATGGTTTCCTCTCCCTACCCCTGCCCCTCCCTGTCCCCGTTCTTCACCCAGAGGGCTGGAAGAAATTTGATCCCTTCCCTTCCACGTTGTACTCTTTCCTCCTTCCCCACTGTGGCCACTAAATTATGTATATTTTGTGGAAAGAACTCTGTATTGCAGGGGATGAAGGGGCCTACTCTGTTTTCCTATCTCTGTGTATAAACATACTATAGACCATTACAATAAAGTCACTTAGGTTGAATTTTCCACCAGCTCAACAAGGTAAGGGATTGAATTTGAAGTTACGTGAATTTTTTTTTAAGTAAGTTAATATAATACTTCTTGCCCTCTTGAATTTGAGGACGAAGTTCAGGGTCTCTACATATGGGAGCCAGGAAAGATTTCTTTTCACATAAGAAGATAAGTTCTAGGAGGGAAGGAACACATTTGTCTTATGTATCATTTCCACAGGGCATAAAGTAGGCAGTAAATTAATAGCATTTAAATAAATGAGTGACTAGATAAACACATTAGTGCAAATGTCATTATTAGTTAGTTATTATTCAGCAGAAGGCACAGAGGAAGAACAAATAAGTTTTAAGTCCAGAAAAGAAAATTTCCCAAACACCGGAGGACCAGAGACAAATGACCAACATATGGCAACCTGAGGATACAAACATGCTCTGTTACACAGAGGGCTGATAGAGGAGTAGGCACTTGGTGTTGGATGGGGGGTGGTAGGGGTGTGGGACATTGAGTAAGAATGACAAAGACAAATTTGTTCCCAACCTTATCAAATTGAAGGAAGAAAGCGTTGGAAACCTATTGCTGTGAAAGGGGACCTTTGAGCCTTTTAAGAGAAACATCTTAGAAAACTTTTGCAGCCATATTGAAGTCAATCTCTCCAGCTGCAAATTTCTCTTCAGCCCCCGTTTTTCCATTTTTTTGCCCTGTTCCTCTTTTAAGCAAATATGAGCTCAAAGTGAAATGGGAGAGTTCCCTGACCCCCCTCACAGGACGTGTGACAGGGATGTGGTTCTTCTGTTCATGCGCTCGAATCCCTTACAGGAGGGGGAGCATGCAAACAGTCAGGTACAGGAGCTATGGCGAGTGATTTTGGGCTCCGGCCCCATGGTAATGTCTAGGGGTGGGTGCCTGCGACTCCCAAGGTCCAAATGGGTGTGTGTCACAGTGTGCTCTTTTAGCCTTGCCATCTGCCAATGTTAAACAGTTCAGTGGACCCTCTGCCTTTTCACGAGGGAAGAGGGCCAGTGTGACAGCTTTCTGTATCCTGAGATCTTGTCCAGTGTCCAGGAAAATTCAGGTCACACATGGACTTGAAGGATGGTGAATTTGGGGGTTTTACTGGGTGGTGGTGGCTCTCAGTGGGATGGATGGGGAGCTGGAAAGGGGATGGAATGGAAAAATTATATTCCTTTGGAGTCTGGCCACCCAGAAGCCTATCTCTTCTCCCACCATCCCCAGTCAAGCTCCTCTCGACGTTCAGACGCTTCTTCTCTTCTCTCCTCTGTCATTCTTCTGCTCTTCTGTTAATCTGTTTGTGGAGCCTAGGGTTTGGGGTTTATATGGGTACAGAATAGGGGAACATAGCAGGCGAAAAGGCAACTTTTGAGTGTGCAAACAGGAATACCTGTTCCCATTTAGGGCCATGGGTTTCCAGGCTTGAGGGTGGGGCCTTTACCAGGAACCACTGTCTTCTACCCAGTATTTCCCTGTCTCTTGTCCACATCAAAAGGCTCTCCATCATGCACCTGGAATCTAGCTAGGCAGCTGGTAACCCGGAAGGCTTCTAGGAAAAGCCCAGAAGGGAGGCCAACTAGAGACAGCTTTTCAGTCTTTCCTACCATCCAGTCCTGATGTGGCCTGCTAGAAAAACTTTTCTCACAACTGCTAGCCAGTGGAGACAGAAACTTTCCCAGAACTTACAATAAGAGGTCACATGCAGGTCAGGTCCTAAAATAATCTGGAAAAGTACCTACCACAGAGGTGATTTTCCTCCTTTCCATGAACTCAGACACTCCCCCATTCTTCCCTCTACATCCTTCCTAGGGAAACTCAACAATATCTTCTCTTTCATGACAGAGCAACAAATGATCAAATGATCAAATAATTCATAAGACAAGCTCAATTGCAATACCTCAATTGCAATGAGGTATAATTAAAAGGTGCCACACATTTACCAACTGGCTCACCTGTAGCCCAGCATATGGGAAAAATCCTTCACTTTGCTGAATGTATCGAGCCGCCTGCTGAGAAAACCGTGTCAGCCTGACAGTACCTGACTTAATTACTTCGAACTTAAAATAATTAATAAGTCCCTCATTTTCCAACAGGAAAGCACTTAATGCTGTTCAATAAAATAATTCATAGCCTACATAACTTGCTGCAGCCAGGAGGTTTTTTTTTTTTTTTCCTGTAACTTTGGGTAATTTATCCACTACACATTTGGAATGATGTTTTCTCACTGAGCCTCCCACAGGTATGTGAGTTTTGATCATTACATTTCTTCTAGTAAACCCAGTCTTCCTCAAATGCACCAGGGAGAGCCTGGCTTTCACCTCTTCCTCCCTCTTGCTAATCCTTCTGAGTCCTGGGCTTCATTGTAAATGGTCTGAAGAGTCTTTTAGCCTCAAAGCCTAAATATTTGCTTAAAATAAATGTAGAAACAGGTATAGGGAGGTGGTTGAGTGAAAGGAAAAATGTGTGCCCAGGAAACAAATGCAAAAGAAGAGAGCACAATAGTAAAACGATGATGAAGGATGTATAAAATGAACCTGAATTTCACCTTCTTCTGGTAGGCCTTCATTTGGTATCTTTGCAGGTGCCTGCTTGAGGTAATGTGGATGCACAAGGCAGTGAATCTAATTTTTGAAACTGTTTAAAGAGAGGTTTTTTAGTCTGTAAGCACATTTCTTTTAAGGGGAGAAATTGTCTTTCAATATGCCTAGTGGAGAGGAACAAAGAAAGCTGTGGTTTCCCAAAGGTCCTATCTTTGATTTCTGCCCTAAAAAGAATGTTTATTCCATTCTAAGTAGATCACTTTTAATGGCAAATTTACTGTTAGAAGTTCTGTAAGACTATTCCATAAATGGGTTAAAGACAGAGTGGGACGGGGGAAGGAGGACAAGAATAAAAAGCTAAAATGTTTGCTCTTTGTGAAAGCAAAACCTTTGCCAGGAGACTCTAGGTGCCAGTACACTGGTTCTCAAACTTAAGTGTGTGCATGATAACCACCTTGGACCTTGAGAAAATGCTCAGTGCTAGGAAGTAATATCGACAGAGACTCTGATTCAACAAATCTGTAATGAGACTTGGGAATCTGCATTTTTGAAGACTCAAATGATCAGATGTGATCAATGGTCTACACTTTGAGAAACACTGCTGTTATCAGCAATGCAGGAGTTGAGAGTTGCCCTAAAGGACCTGAGAACTTGAGAAGTTGCTACTAAGGAGAAGCAACTGAAATTAACAAACAGTTACTATTATCAAATGTCCTTAAGTTAAAGCCGAAGTTTTCTGTGCCCCTTCCAGTAAAATAAGCTGTATATAAGTCACTGGTCAGGGGCAGAAGGCAGTGACATTAAAATTTTTCCCTTAAACTTGATTTGTTTCAAAATCCTCCTTGCTCCTTTGATGGAAAAAAAAAATCTTAAATAAGTGGGGGAAAGGTCTCACTTTGTATTCCAAACAATATTGTTTTAAAGTCGTAATTAGACATCCTTATTGGTGCACAGAACTTCTCCCTGGAAAAAGGATCCCTACTGCCCTTTCCTTTGATAGAAATTCTATCCTCACGGGGGCTTTACTGAAAACTGTGAGAAAAACTTCTTCATGCCCACCACTTTGTAAGCCACCCCAGCAGTGGATTCATGAAGCTGTTCACACAAATGAGGAATCCCATCTTAAAGAGAGGGATGAAAGCACTGAGGGCAATATTGGAATATGGCTGGGCATTGTTTTAGACAGAGAGTAAGGGGAATGGAACTCTTTGGTCCCACTCTCTTGATACCCTTTTCATTATGATCAAAATATCAAAGTACAAACTCTTGCCCAAAGAGGAGAGAAATCTCTAATTTTGACAGATCTATAATAATAATGATGAGTTTGCATCAAACTCTCCAGATAACCAAAAGTTACTCCTTATTATAGCCTGGTGTATAACACCAAGGCTTTGGCATCAAGCAGCTCAGGTTTGAAGCCCAAATCTTCCCTTCACTGTCTGTATGATTCAAGATATGTCATTTACTTCTCTGAAGGCCAGTTTCCTTATCTATAAAATAGAGATAATAATAAGTCTTATTTCACAGTGTTGTTATGAGGATTAAATGAGATAGCTTGATAGAGTGGTTGGTACAGGGAAAAAAATGTTTTCATTGTGAGTTATTCTCACTCCCCTATAAATCCATAAGGGCAGTAGTGTGGCTCTACTGTTTGTCACTGTAATCCCAGCATAGACTCTGGTTTCATAAATACTTTTGGAATAAAGAAAAGAAGGAAGAAAGGAAGAAGAAAGAAAAGAAGGAAGGAAGGAAGGACAGATTTGAAAAAGCAACTAATTCCAAGGCAAAAAAGTGACAAGTGTTCAGAAATCATAGGTTGTCTTAGACTATGGTACAGTAAAAATAATATATAAAAACATATGTCTTGCTCCCAAAAAGTCTTTTGCAGGTCCAAGCAGTGAGTCGGGATCTGTCCAAATTCCATCTGGTGGCACTGGCCTCTCAACATGAGTTTTCCAAGGTAACTGCGACAAGAGAAAGGAGTTCTGGAGAGCCGTGCCCAGAGAGTGACTGTATCACCCCTGTTCGGGTCCATTGGCTAGAACCCATCACATGACCTACCCAGCTGTGGGGCAGTGGGAGATGGAGTGTGCCATGCTCCAAAGGACAACAAAGAGGGCCAAACACAGGGGAGCACTAGCAATGTCTACCACAGCCTGTGTCCCGGCATCTAAGTCTAAGGAAAGGCAGTTGGCAAAGGGTATATAGGAAAACATTCTGAAAAGACACAACAAAAATAAATATGTTAAATAATCTTTTTTTTTCCTTACAATATCATGGGATTTTCATCTGGTGTCTGATATTTTCAGGTGTATAAGAGAACTCTCAAGGAAGTATAATACAGTGCGAACTCAGTTAAACCTTTTATTCCCTCTCTTTCTCTTTCTCTCTCTCTCAGATGCAGGCAAACACACAAATGACAAAACACACAATGTCTATTTTTTCTATTCAGGCAGAAGTCCTCTCCATCCACGATAACCCAGACCCTAGGAGGAGAAAGAGAGGAGAGATGCAAATGCTTGTTGATATCTAATTATTGAGAAGCATCAAGAGATATTAGGAATGGGTGGATATATATCTCTGGCATGTTAACTGTCCTGAAAAAAAGCCTTAATTTTCATTCCACTGGATAAACAAAGCATGGCAGCTTTGACTTTGAACTGCCAATTGACTTGGACCAGATCCGTACATCTAGGACAATTAAATTATGGCAGAGTTATTCCTTTTGGTAACCTAAACACTCAATGGAGATAGATGCACAATTAATTCACTAAAATTTTTCAGTATCCAAATCTGGCCAGAACAACCCAGATGTAATTTGCTCACAGTACATCTTGACAATGTTACATAACTTGAGCTTGTAGGATTCTTGGACTAGAACTATTTCTTTTTTGGGTCATAAATTTCTGTGCAGTTTATCACAACTTTTAGTGCCTTAGAATTAAGGTACTGTAGTTTAATGCCATGTAAAGTGTTTTAGTTAGCTTCACTATGGTGAAAAATCAACTTCCAAAGTATCAGCAACTTACAACAGACATGTTACATATTGGCAGCCATAGTCAACTGCTGTGGCTTTGTTTAATCTTTTCTTTCCAGGACTGAGATTAAAGTCAGGGTTGTGTTTCAGATTAGGAGCAGCTCCTTTTTGAGATATGCCATTCTCAAGAGGAGAGAAAAAAGTAAGAATGTTGCTAGAAACACACAATGCCTCTCAGATGTAGCATGAGTCATGTCCACTCACAGGTCATTGGCTAAAATTAGTCACATGGCCAAGAATAGAGAAGTATACATATTCCCTTCCCTCAGGACACACTGCAAGGTACATGGCCACAAGCAGGAAGTACAATCCTCATATAGGAAAAGGAGGGAATATTTGTAACAATATAATCTCCCAAAATACTGAATCTTTCTCATCTTAATATCCCTAGGGCCTAGCACAGGTGTCCAATGAATATTTATTAAATTGCATTGAATATTCATTGTATTGAATGAATATATCATTTCAGCATAAGTCAGTCATCTGAAAGAACAAGTATTTTATCATTATGTCTATCACCACTATTATCATCAAATGGCATTTTTTAATTAGCCATGTATACCTAGTACTTATCTGAGCATTCTACAGGTAACAATAGATTTTATTGATTACTTTTAGTAGTATAACAATCTAAAGAGAAAAATAATGGCAAATAATTCTTAAAAAGACATTAGCATACATTTTCATTAACACAAACTCACAATTTTCTTTTTGAAAATACTGTTGATAATGCCAATCAAATCCTGATAAAAGTAGAATTCATTTTTCTAAAACTTGACTTTGGTATTTAAAATTGTATTTCTTCTGCTAGAAATATTCTGAAGGAATGCCAGAAATAATGGGTGAAGATATGAATGATTCTTCTCCACAATGGATGCAGAAATTAAAAGTTATCTCAAATTTGTTGATTCTGAAGGCAGCCACTGAAATAGTTACAGGTTGAAGTACAAAATGAAGATTGCATGCTCAGGCTGGATGAACTCAAAATATAATAAAAGTTTGGGATACATTTGAACAGGGGCTGGTTATGCTGCTTTTGGATAAGCGTTGAGGCAAAATGAAATTCTGAGACTCTGCCAGCCCCCTCTTAAGAATCTGGGTATAGAGGCTACGCTACAGCACATTCACTATCACAGAAATCACTCATTTTAATTTGCATCCATTTCAGGAGTTGGTCACGGGCAAATTCACACATCCAGAAACTAGCTTTTCCTCAAAGATACCAGTATACTACACATTACATTACAAGAATCAGGACTAATACCTTTATCCTGTAAAACAATGCAGTCCCCTCCTAATTGCAACTGGAAATTGTACCAAAGTTATCATTTGTGCTCAGTGAGTTTGTGAATTAATTCATTATGCTGTTAAAATCCCAGCGTCTCTTATCACCTGCCGCTTTAAACACTCTGGTTGCATTAACAGCGCTGCCCCGTCAGCTGCCAACTGCAGGAGCTGGAGGCAGCTAAGAGGTGAATCCTTGAACTGAGAAATTCCACCTAGGGGAGGAGATGCAGCTTTGACTTGCAAACAGGGCCCAGGAATCCAGCAGAGCTATCTGGAGAACCACCTGAATCATCGATCCATAAAACCATCATGAAAGTCAATGTCTCTTCCAGCACAGATCAGAGTCAGGCTTAGATAAAATGCTGTCGGTAATGATAACCCTGTTCTCTGACCGTGGACAAGACTAAGGGATCAGTTGTGCCTTATTTTGAGGAAACCTTGTGCAAATACTAACTTGAAAATAATAGGCAGAAAAGCCACGCACCCCTTGTTTTGAAATAGTTTTCTACATATATGTGACTTGTACATTTAAAGGTTGATGTTACCTTTGAGGAAATAAGCCAGTATTGCTGATTAAAATAATATTTATTTTCTACAGTGCCACCATAAGCCTCCTACATTTGCCTGGCTGCCAACCTATAATTAATTTGCTAGTGTGCACTGCCTGTCCCGAGATTTCCACAGAGCCACACCAGTATTTCTCATTAAAATGAATCCTGAAGGCACTTTGTTATTGTTTAGTCTCAGAGAAATATTGACAGTGGTTTTCTTTTTCCCTCCATCAACGTCATCGTTTTATAAACACTAAACGCAAAATAATTTTTTGCACACCTTTGAAGTATTCCTTATCAATAATTCATTCAGAATCACAAAGGAGCAAAATAGCTGGGTGGTCGAAACTGTAGCAATGCTAGGAACATCACGTCTGCTTTTAAATCATCATATTATTGAGTTAAAGCTTCATTGAAGGCACAGTAACATCCACAAGCCCGTTGGTTTCTCTTTGTGCTCAATTCAGCTGTGCCTTTTAAGTCAGCTTTAGGGGGTTGTTTCACCAGTATTCCAGATGACAGCACTAGGGGGTGGGCACTCTCGCCTCCATTTTCGTTTAAGATGCCTCCTGAAAGAGCAGAGCACCTGTGTCATGTTCTGCCTCTGCCTCGTATCGTGGATAATTATCTCTTAATATTGAGGTTTGGTTTGCCTGATTTTTATACTATGCCCACCAGGAAGGAATTACTCATACTCTCTGAATTCAATGCAGAGTCAAATCTATTGCCACTACTAAATAAATGTTAAATAATAAGAATCATATGGTGCTGCTATGAAGAATATCTGTTTAAGAAAAGAAGAATAAAATTGAAACCTATTACACATGTGCCAATGATATCCTCTACAGGATTCAGATATAAAATATCAGACTCTCCATTTTCCTTTTAGTGTTGGATGAAAAGGCCACGCTATTTAATTATTCCAACTATAGGTTAAAGAAAACAGCCATTAGCTCTTTTGTTAAAACATTCTTCTACTCTCCTCATTGATTTGAAAGTTAATGCCAGTGGTTTTCTATGTCACGGCATTGAGTTTTAAAATTACTGAACCTTATTCCTGAAGTCTAAAGTGATGGCAAACCATTACAGAGACTGCATATCACAAACTAAGATATATCTTCTTGAGATTGTTAGACATGTTAGAGCTAATGTTACTTTAGAAACTATAAAAAGGGAAATAAAAATGATGGCTAAGGAATCCTGCTTATAAACTAAACCTGAATGGTTATCTCTTGGCACACTCAGAAACCCATTTAAACTTTCTCTGGAGATTAAATGAACACCCTTCTGTATGTCTACTCACTACCCAAAAGCAATGAAATCTTATTTAACCTGAGATAAATCTCTAATGTCACTTTAACCTCTCGTCCACAAGAAAACATAGCATTGTGCAAAATTATTGAATTAAAAACACCAATCACATTCTTATAATTTGATTTCTTGACTTCAACAAAATCTCTTACAGTTTTTTCTTTTTGACTTCTTAGCAACAGTCAAAACTTTCTAGCTAATTTCATTTAACTCGATTGGGAAACAAACTTTTTCAGAACTTTTAGAAACTGACGGCCAAAGAAAACTAAAGCCAGATCAACCTTTCACAAGTAAAGCTATAAATGAAAGCTCATCTCCTCAACTGTTTATTTAGTTCTGGGTTCTCAGCAATGGCAGATGGTACTTGGGATATACCTAATACCAGGCTTAAGAAAAGCAAGGTTTTATTCTATTTCATCATGTATAGAAACAAAAAACTGTAGGGTGCTGTGGAGTGTGCCTGTAGTTCCAGCTACTGAAGAGGCTGAACCAGAAGGATTGCTTGAGTCCAGGAGTTTAGCACACTAAGACTCTAGCGCACCAGGACTCTAGTGCACTAAGCTGATTGAGTGTCCACACTAAGTTTGGCATCAATATGGTGACCTAGGAGAAGGGGACCACAGTTTGCCTAAGGAGAGGTGAACAGGCCCAAGTCAGAAACCAAGCAGGTCAAAACTCCCATGCTGATTAGTAGTGGGATCAGGCCTGTGGACAGCCACTGGGCTCCAGCCTGGGCAACATAGTGAGACTCTGTCTCCAAAGAGAGAGAAAGAAACATAAAAAACTCAGCCAGATTTCACAAACTGAGAAATATGAATAGATTAAAATGGTGTATTATATTAACTCAAGAATAAGAGACCGGCTGGGTGCGGTGGCTCATACCTGTAATCCCAGCACTTTGGGAGGCTAAGGCAGGTGGATCATAAGGTCAGGAGTTCGAGACCAGCCTGACCAACATGGTGAAACCCCATCTCTACTAAAAATACAAAAATTAGCCGGGTGTTGGTGGTGCATGCCTGTAATCCCAGCTACTCAAGAGGCTGAGGCAGGAGAATCTCTTGAACCCGGGAGGCAGAGGTTGCAGTGAGCCGAGATCATGCCACTGCACTCCAGTCTGGGTGACAGAGCGAGACTCCATCTCAAAAAAAAAAAAAAAAAAGAATGAGACTAATGGTGATCAATCATAATGGTCTACAAAGTAAGCTAAGACTAATACATCTCATTTTTTTTTATGAGATAACATTCTGGCATAGAAAGACATATATTGATCAAATTCTCACAATATCCTCAAAGATAATAATGTATTAAATAATTATTAGCCATTAATAATTATTAGCCAATAATTAGTAGTTATTAATAATAGAGACTATTCATTGAATATTTACCATGTCAGGTACTATTCTAGAGGAAATTTTGTATATGTTATATATGTATTTGTTTGTGTATATATGCATATAAATTATATATGTTATATATGTATGTGTTTGTGTATATATGCATATAAAATCTCAGTATGTTCAATAATCATTTGAGATTGGTATTACTATCCCAATTTTTTAGTGAAGGAAATGAAGCTGAAAAATATTTTATAACAGCTGGGTGCAGTGGCTCATACCTGTAGTCCCAGCACTGTGGGACTCTGCTCAGAAGCCGAGGCTCCCCCTTGCCCACGTGGTGAGGTGGAGGGGTGTACTTCCCTTCCTTTATCAGCTTATTCCACTGCTTCCTGATGGTACTCACACATCTCATCATTTTCTGCCAAAGTATACACTCTATGAAATAGTCGTATTCTATTCTGCACTCTTTCTCTCCCCAAATACCACCAATTCCATGTGCACATTCTCTCCATTCTTTTTCAAAAGGATGGTGTCGAGCAGGAATCTTGTAGGGCTGTTCAGCACTTTGGATTGTCAACCACCCATCTGTGTTAAGGCCAAACCTTTTCTGCACGTCCAAGAAAGGCATGGCGTTCTGATGCTCGTGCCCTTGTCTCTTCTCTGGCCGCTGCTTCAGGACGATTCTACTTTTCAAATTTTTATATGACACAAACCTGAAAAGAATAGTTCACTAATATCTTAGATTGCTAAATCCATTTTGACAAAGAGCTCAACACACAGGAATAATGTACCCAAATTAGATACATTTAATATAGACAAGCCTAAAGGGGATGACTTACTCTAATCTTGGTTTCAGTAAGAAAAAAAAATTTACAGATTTTAGTTAACCACAGACAGCACAATAATGCTGCCCCCAAATTAATGATCAGGTGCCTTACTACCCAGATGGAGGAAAACAGTTCTCTCATTGAACTTTGTAACTGTCAGGTAATATCTACAACATGAAAAGTCTCCAGAATGTGAGACAGCTTGTGAGGGTGGGCCTCTTGGAGAGGGCTTGGACAGGGGCCTCTTGCAGTTTTCATCCGGGTTAGAGCATAGCAGGTTCAGCTGGGGAACTTTTCTGAAAGTACCCAGGCCAGGGCAGCCTCCTTCTGATAGCCTCCACCCACCCTGGATAGTGCCATGCCTATCTGATATGATAGATCTGTTCAGAGGCATCAGCTGATATATTTTAAAAATGCTTCCCCAGTGATTCCAGTACATTACTATATACTTTGCATCTTATACTCCCCCAAACCTTTCCCAATATCCCAAGTAAAAGCCATTTATCTACCAAAGCTACAAAGTAGAAATAGTTACTAAAAATTGCATAGTGGGAGAAAAATGTCAATTTATCTTTGTATACAGTGACCAGAATTGAGCAACATATTAGCTTAAATATCTTGGCATAAAATCAATAATTTCAATAATTGAGAAGCCAGGGTTTAAACATTGTAATAACATGTTTAAAAGCTTAAAAGCTAAGATTTTTAGAGCTAGACAGATTGAGAGATCTTTTTTTTTTAATGTCTGCATTGTTCTTTGTCAGTTTTTTGTTTTGTTTTTTGTTTCTGTTTGTTTGTTTGTTTGAGACAGGGTCTCGCTCTGTTGCCCAGGCTGGAGTGCAGTGGCACAATCATGGCTTAATGCAGCCTCAACCTCCTGGGCTTAAGCAATCCTCCTATCTCATTCTCCCAAGTAGTTGGGACTTCAGGTGCACATCACCATGCCCAACTAATTTTTGTATTTTTAGCAGAGACGAGATTTTGCCGTCTTGAGACCAGGCTAGTCTCAAACTCCTGGGCTCAAGTGATCTGCACACTAGGATTACAAGTATGAGCCACCGCACCCAGCCCCTTTACAAGGATTTTGACCTTGGTAAGGTTAGTGACGTCAGTGATCTCAGCCTCTCTAAACCTCAGGTTTCTCATCTGCAAAATGAGACAGTAATCGTTCCTCAACTTGAATCTCAGCTTCATCACTTCTAGCTATACAGCCTTGGGTAGATGCTTAACCTCTCTGTGTCTTAATTTCTTCATCTGCAAAATGGCACAACAATAGGATCTACTTCATAAGGCTTAGAGAGGAATAAATGAGTTAATATATGCAAAATATTTAAATGATGTATGGCTTACAGTTAACCTTCAACAAATCATAGCTATTATTTACCCTCTCTTCACAATGGAGATTATATAAACTGCCCTATCTATTTTATAGGACTCTTAGAAGAATCATATAATGTGGTGAGTGAAGAATTATTTTCCAAACTGAAACTCCAACTGAATGTTAGCTAGTATTTGAATCAGGCATAAATTCACAAACTTTTGTATAAACTTAGAATTTAATATTTCTAGTTTGTGTAGTTAACTCATTTACCAGGCATGTTTGGGCACTTGCAATGAATTCCAAAATGATTTGATAAAAATTTTACATATGTATTGAAAATACATACTAAGACATTTATATTTTCAGAAAACTTCAGGAACAAATCAAAAGTTGTAAATTTCAAAACAATTTTTTTAACAACCTCCCTTTCAGGGCTTCAACATTGAAAGCAAACAACTGATTCTGGTTTTGTTTCTGTTTTCCCAATCATACCTGAAATTGTTTTTAATTGACTTTACTTACTAACCTTAGAAAAACGAAATCACTGGTTCACAGAAAGTAACAACTCTGAGATTCCAAAACCACTGCCAGCAGAGATCTTTTGCTAGCCATCATTAGCTGAAACGTCTTCTAAAACATGGCTTTGAGTTGCACTTTTAAAATCAATCTTGCTATGTTTTAAGCTTCTACAATGAATATCTCTGTGTTTGCTGTTTAATAAACAGTATTTTGAATTCATGTTTGAATTCTCTTTAGAATTTCAACAAAAAACCAACTACATTAGTTGATTGTTTGTTTTGCTTTCTTTTCTTCTGTTTCACATACACAGTTCAAAAGCCAACATTCCACTGATACAACTAAAATTCATGCGGGCTAATATTATCAAATTATTATACATATAGAACGGCTTTCTAAACTTAGCAAAAAAAAGAAGTCTTGTATCAAATCATCCTTAAAGGACTTGTTTTCATTTTTTATCATAGTACCCAACCAATGAAAAGTCATGCTGTCGCAAAATTTATTGGATTTACTGAACTGTGTCTTCAAAGAAAAGGTTGTTTTATGAAGGAAAGGAACTAGCTTTTCATTTTCCTGATCAGAAGATTATCTAGTTTGAAGTCAACTGTTATCTCAAAATAAATGAGAAGCGGCAATATAAGCTAAGTGAAAACCCAGGAGACAATGCTTGCTTTGAACTGTAAGTGGAGGCAGCATTATACAATGTGTAAATGCCTGGCAAGACCATCAAACACGGGTCTCCTTCAGCGCAATGAAGCATGGTAAATTCACACCCTATTTGATAACCACCAAAGCCTCAAAAAAGGAAATTTGTTTTCAGATGCTCCAGGGTGTTGATGATGCCCTTAATTTCACAGAAACCAAAAAAAAGAAGCTATGAAAGGAAACTTTTTTGTTGTCTGTCAGTTGTACAAGTCCAGTTACATTGCTCAAAATTATCTCCTACTAGATTACAAATAATAATAATCAACTGGTCATTGGGAAAGGAAGTAGGTATTTAACGAATATTACCATCAAAGACCTCTTAAGTGGACAATTTAAAGCAAAGAGCAATCATGAAGACTCATAAAGACAAAAGGCTCATAAATACTTTTTTTTTAACCACAGAAGGTAGGTATTTGAGATGTTTAGTCTACTTTTTAAACAATTTTCACATAGTCACTCTGGGGTCACCTATTGCTAGAAAATGAAAGTTTAGACTATCTTAAAGACAGACTGCGTCATTTAGATTTGCCAACTCTTTACTACCATAAGAATAAGTCTAGTTATTCTTGAAAAGGAAGGAAAAGAAGAGAAAAATCACAGCTACTCCAAATCCATATATCCTACTTCTTCCTATAGCCATTATAAGAGCCTGCCTTTTAAACTGCTGAAGTTATCCCCAAAAGTTAGATCATGCGGCTTTACAAAAAAAAAAAAGTCTTTAAAATTGTCTTTTTCTTTTATAAAGGCAAAATGCCCATTGAAAAAAGAATCCTATGGCTCCATTCCCAAAAAAAAGGAGATAGTATCCTGAATGCAGAATATATCCACTCTAAAGCTTAAACCAGAATAACTTTGAAATTTTCCCCAAATAACTTTTCAAAGAAAGAAGAAAAGCTAGAATTACATATACACTCCTCAGTAAACAAGAGAATAATCTTTCTGCTGAAGGTAAAAATACTCTGTGATTGGGTCCAATTTAAACTTGGACTTCCAACAACATTTTGGCTCCAGGAAATAATATGTTAAAATGGAAAGAATGCCAATTTAAGACATCAACATTTAATTCTCATTACCAAAATTATAATCATAGGAGGGACAGCTTCTAAAATTAGAACCCAAAATAACTATTGAGCTGAACTCATCTTCAAAGGCAGAACTAAGCATTTAATTAGGCTATTTCTGCAAGGAAAGAGCTGGTAAATCAATATAATCTAATAAGCTTTTGGCCAGGGCAAGGGAAGAGTGATCACAATTGCTTGCCATGTGTTTACTCTTCAGGCCTTTTTTTGGGCAAGTTCCACTAAAGAACAATACAATCACAGGGGAAGGAGCAGAGAGAATTTTTTTAATGGAAGAATTCTGGCTTCAGGACACTATTTCATGTATCGAAGATATATAAACCTTCTTTGGAAATTCTCCCTAACAATATAGTTTGAGCTTCATACCTTTGATAAATGGCTGTTTTTTCTCCAACCTACTAAACAGAGAGAACAGGATGACCTGAACATTCATGGTTTTAAAGTACAGCACGTGAATCTGTGAAAGTTAGCAGCTTTTCTGATTTGATTCACTATAGCACAAAGAGGAACTGGCTTACATTGCAACCAGAGGAAAATATTTTTAACTTTAAATAACTCACTTAGCTTTGTCTCATTTTTACTGTTTGTAAAACAAAAGAGTTAGGTTTAATATTTGCTAATCTTGGCCGGGCGCGATGGCTCACGCCTGTAATCCCAGCACTTTGGGAGGCCGAGACGGGTGGATCACGAGGTCAGGAGATCAATACCATCCTGGCTAACACAGTGAAACCCCGTCTCTACTAAAAATACAAAAAAATTAGCCGGGCGTGGTGGCGGGCGCCTGTAGTCCCAGCTACTCGAGAGGCTGAGGCAGAAGAATGGCGTGAACCCGGGAGGCGGAGCTTACAGTGAGCCGAGATCCCGCCACTGAACTCCAGCTTGGGCGACAGAGCGAGACTTCGGCTCAAAAAAAAAAAAAAAATTTTTTTTGCTAATCTTTTTTGCTCATAGGAGTTTGGTTTATATATATGATATATATCATATATATGCGTATTATATAAAGCAAATATATAGATAAAGAAAAAATTATTCTGACACTTATTAAAACAGTAAGAAAGACTTTATTCAAGGCTATTGCAATGTCAAGACTATTACAGCAGAGGTGAGAGATCAGACTCAACTCACTGATTGTATAGCAAAACAAATGGAAATTTACAGCCATCAATCAAAATAAGGAGGTCAATGAATGAAAAATTACTAAGAGGAGATATGAATGGTAGGGGGGATTTTTTGCTACACCAACCTAACAGGATTTTTGCTGAAGGCAGGTCGGGGTGATCAGATATTAAGAATTTGATCAGATTTTAGCCTGGGAAATTCTCCCTAACCTGACTCAGCAGGATTCTTGCTACAAGTGGGCTGTGCAGACCCAACAAAAACAGGGACCAAGGTCAACACCTAGTAGAGAAGAGGGCTCAGAGGAACATGACTAAAGTTTGGTCAGGGAGAGAGTCTTTGTCAGTTCTTCTTGTTCAAAGAAAGAAGAGACATTTTTCTTTCCTCTGAACAATATAAATTTATTTATACTTCTTTTGTTCATTAAGCACCAGCTAAACCATCTGGTGGGACTTGGTAGTAAAGAATATTTGCTGGATAGCACAAACCATCAGACACTTAATGAGGAGAAATTCTATGAAAATAAAAAGAAAAAACAAGATTAGTGGTTGGAGCAGTCTACAAGCCCAGTTTCTAAGTCCATAGTGCAACCAGTCAAAAAAATTTCTAGATGTTGGGCTTTAAATGGTAAAGTGAGGACAGAAGCGACAATCCAGCAGATTTCCTGGTTTGAAGCTTGAACGTCTTTGGTGGTACCATAGACATCAGTGTCATAGCCATGGTTATATCCCAAGCAGAGCATGGGAGAGTCTAACTTCAGCTCACCAGGCTTTTTGGATAGTCCCAATAAGGATCTGAGCAGTCAGGTTTGGGTTCTGTCATAAGCCTTTCCATGCGTCTCTGAAACAGTTCCTTTTTATTGAAAACAAAGCAGTCTGACCTGTAGTTGATTGCAAGCACTTTCAGGAAAGCATCAGAGTAAAATAATAACTATCTATGATGACTTAGATAAGACTTGCAGTGGCCATAGTTAAAGAGTTTATGAGAGTTCATTTGACAAGGAAATTTGGTTATTTCTATAGCATGCAACATTTCAGAATAATAACTGGCATTGTGACTAATAAAATTATACTGACTAGACATATCATAGACAGCTAGGTTATTGACAAGTTTCTAAGAACTATACAATTTCTAACATATTTGTATTAATATCATGTATCCACACAAATATGAATGGTTAACCTAGGGAAGAATAAGAATCTCTTCTTATTTGACAATGTTTCTCATGCAATTTAACATATACAATAAACCTCATTTTAAAAAAAATATTTCTCCTTTTACAAGGTGAAAGAATAAATCCTTTGAGACTTTCCAGGGGCCCTATGTAAAAACTCAAAATTATTAGGATTTTATTTGAGGAAAGAAACATATCAAAAGTGTCAAAATCTTGAACCCTTGACTAAATAAGATCCTAAGTCACTGTGAAACAGTACTTAACTACCTATTTAACCAAAGTGACAATACAAGACTTCAAAAGTAACTATAGGAGGTAACACAATTGTAAAAAAATCTTAGTTCTTTTATTTTGTTTATTTATATTTATGTATTTATTTAGACAAGGTCTTACTCTGTCACCAGGCTAGAGTGCAGTGGCATGATCTTGGCTCACTGCAACCTCCGCCTCCCGGGTTCAAGCAATTCTCCTGCCTCAGCCTCCCAAGTAACTGGGATTACAAGCACCCACCACTATGCCTGGCTAATTTTGTATTTTTAGTAGAGATAGGTTTCACCATGTTGGCCAGGCTGGTCTCGAACTCCTGACCCCAAGTGATCCGCCCGCCTCAGCCTCCCAAAGTGCTGGGATTACAGGTGTGAGCCACTGCACCTGACCAATCTTAGCTCTTTTAAAAGTGAGAAACTTGGGCGGGCGCCGTGGCTCACACCTGTAATCCCAGCACTTTGGCAGGCTGAAGTGGGCGGATCATCTGAGGTCAGCCTGACCAACATGGTGAAACCTTGTCTCTACTAAAAACATAAAATTAGGCAGGTGTGATGGTGCATACCTGTAGTCCTAGCTACTCAGGAGGCTGAGGAAGGAGAATTGCTTGAATCCAGGAGGTGGAGGTTGTAGTGAGCTGAGATTGCACCATTGCACTCCAGCCTGGGCCATAGAGTGAAACTCCCCCTCAAAAAAAAAAAAAAAAAAAAAAAAAAAAGTGAGAAACTTGGTTCTCTTAAATAGTCAAGGGCATGATAAAAGTTAACAAAAAAACACAAGAAATTATTCTGACAAGGCACAAAATGTTTGTTTCCTGGGTAGATTACTCAAAAGGTAGAGAAAAACCTTTTATAATATAATATTAAGAGCAGACCAATATTCTAAAAAAACTTCATCCAAGAAAACCTTATAAATAAGTCCATCAAATTTTAGTTTGACCATGTGAGATCACTTTTCTGTAAACCTTCTACAACTTAATAATAAATTTAAACTTATTTTTATCAGTCAGTGTTTTAGTAATTTATCTTATAAATTAATAATAAATATTTATTACATAATTTACTTTAGCATAGGTCAAAGATTGCACATTACTAAAATGATATTAGAAACTATTTTTAGTTTATAGATACTATAAAACATAATTATTGTTCAAAAGTCTCCTCATAAAACTTTTATTCCACTTATGTCAACTTAATACATGTTCTTAAAAAATTATGCTTAGATTGTTCATGAAAATTTTATGAGACATTAAACAAAGCTAGTCATCATTTTGAGTCATTTCCCTGTTAACTATTTTTATAATACATGCATGTTAGGAAAGTATCAAAATAATCACAATAGAAAAAACCTTAAAAATTAAATACATGTGCCTATGTTTTATTTACTACTGTGCTTTGATATATATATTGAGCCATTTATATTCATTTTTACTGCATCTTTACTTGTCCACTTGTTCTTAGGTTGAATTTATAGTTTTTATAATCTTAAATATCTAGTAGCTATAATATCACCTTATTTGACTAGTAAGCCCAAGTAGGATAAAAATAAGTGCTCATATTATACTTTATTCTGATAACTCACAAGGCATGCCTATTTTTATTAAACCAACAAAACCAAACTAGTTGTATTAGTCCATTTTACATTGCTATAAAGGAATACCTGAGGCTGGGTAATTTATAAAGAAAAGAGGTTTATTTTGGCTCACAGTTCTGCAGACTGCACAAGAAACATAGTGCTGGCATCTGCTGCTGGTGAGGCCTCAGGAAGCTTCCACTCAAGGTGAAAGGGAAGGGAAGCCAACACGTCAGATGATGAGAGAGGGAGCAAGAGAGAGGAGAGGTCCCAGTCTCTTTAACAATCAAATCTTGGGTGAACTCATTATTGTGGTAAGGGTACCAACCCATTCATGAGGGATCTGTTGACACGACCAAACACCTCCCACCAAACCCAGACTCCAACACTGGGGGCCACATTTCAACATAAGATTTTGAAGGGGACAAATATCCAAACTATATCAGTAGTCCTACTCAAATCACTTAAATTTGAAAAACATTCGGATTAATTTCCATATTTCTTGAGTTGTAAGAGTATTTCCTTTCTAATACATAATTACTTAGCCTTCAGCCAATTTGAACAGTTTCTTTAAGGAATTTTATAAATAAACTTGTTAATACCATCAGGAGGAAGAAAAATATCACATATACATAACCTACCTACATGCACATATAAACATACAGGCAGACACAAATGGAGACCTCAGACATTTCATTCTAAAATTTTAGCCATGATGCAGGTAAACACAATAATACAAAACTCACTGGTTTATGTATGATAGTTGGCTCTCATCTTTTTCTGAATTGTGTTTTTGGCAAATGAAAAAAATTAAGATGACCTGCCTAATATGACAACTAGTTCTTTTTACCACTATTTATAGAGGAAACTCAAGATTTTCATTTGCTTTGATATGTAATCTTATGGAGGCTGTAGACTAAATTTTGGGTATTGGACCTTTGGGAAATACCAAGTGATTGGTTGTTTCCAAAGTCCATCTGAGGAGGTAAAATATTGAGCCTGTTTTAAATTAACCTTTTTTTCTCTCTCTCTCTTTTAAGCTTCAGGTGGCTGTGTTGGGGGCTCCTAAATCCCTTGAGAGCCCCCTATGGGAACAAGGGACCTCAAGTTCAAGTGACTGTAGGGAGTTGAGCAGCTGGACTGGAGAGGGAAAAGTCTGGAAGGAGCACACAGAGAAATAGAGGATGTAGGGTCTTTAAAGAGGGTCATATCAAAGGATTCAAGAAAGCTGATGGGAAGATTGAAGGTAGTAAAGGAAAAAAAGAAGAAAAGAGAAGAGGTCTTAAATGAGCTTAAATGTGGGTAGGTAATAAGTGAATGAAGTTCCAAATTATCCTTAACGAAATTATGCAAACAAGAAAGGAAGCAGACAGAGTTGGTGGAGCATATCATTAGGAGGGTTTGAGGAGGTGGTTGAGTTTTAGTAGACTGAGAATTTCCTATGGGAGAAACAGGATGAAATAGAATAAAGAAGCCTCAGAAAAAAAAATTTTCTAGCCGAGGAGTCAAGGAGTGAATCTCCACTTGAAATAAGGAGGCAGGAAGAACTTCCAGCCTAGGAGATAACCTTTCAGACAAAGATAGCATACTCGGAGTCTTAAGAATCAAAACCTGTCCTTTCTGTGCTTCAATGGACAGTGGTCTGGAGCACTGGCTCCAGAGTGGGACTCACTAAGGCTTCCTGAAAGACATCAAAGATGTGCAGTTGGGGTCTTGAGTGAGAGACCTGGGGGTTCAATCAGCAATCTGATCCCATCCAAGGTTGGGCATTGTAACTGTTAAAGACAATCTCAGCCAGACAGTAGTCAGAGAAGTTAAAACAGATTTTATTAATAAAATATTGCAATAGGGGAAAATAGGATAGAACTGAATACAGCAAAGACAAATGGAGATTCACAGCCAACAAGCAGAATGAGGAGGTCAGTGAATGGAAAATTACTACAAGAAGTCATCAAGGGTGGAAGGATTCTTTCTAAACCAATTTAATAAAATTATTGCTGAAGGCAAGCCAGGGTGATAAGATATCAAGGCTGGGGGATGAAAAGCTTGATCAGATATTGAGGGTGAGACTTTCTCCCTAAATTGATTCAGCAGGATTCTTGCTACAAGTGGGCTATGCAAACCCAGCAAAGACAGGGACCAAAGTCAGGGCCCTAGAGAAGAGGGCTCAGAGGAGCCTGACTAAGTTTGGTCAGGGAGTCTTTGTCAATATGTAGATTGGGGCACTAAGGCAGGCAGGAGATTGGAATTAAAAGAAGCGACTACACTTCAGCATTAGAAACACATCAGGATGCCTCCATATGAGAGGTGGCAGATAAAGCAAATGTTTTTTCAAGCACCTGAACAGTGGACAAAAATTTGAGCTAATTCAAAAGTCTAAACTGGATGCAGAACTGAATCCATTAAAGTCTGAAATCACAGCTAACTAAGCGACAGCACAGCAGTGTCAGGGAACAGAAAAGTGTTCCTGTTCTGATAGTTAATGGGTTCAAAAGGAAGTCTGAGGGGTGTTGAAAGATACATTATGCACATTAACGTTTTAAAGAGTTTACTTGAGTAGACAATGATTTAGGAATCAGGTGGCTCCAAACAGAAGTGTTTCAGAGGCTCAGCCCAAGGGCACAAGAGGAAGGCTTTTATGATCAGAAGCAAGGCCAAGAAATTATTCAATTCGTTAAAGTGCAACAGCAACCTTATTTCCATCGTTCCACTAGGAAGTCACTAGTTAGAGGTTAGTGGTTTCTGATTGGTTAAGCTTAAGTTTTGTTTTTCTAGAATAGCTATACTAAATTGGGTTTCAGTTTGCTTAAGTAGAAACCCAGAGCCCTGGAGCTGCTTCAATCTAATGCTCTCCCAATTAATTTAAGGCAATGATGGAAACATTTTTATTTTTTATTTTTTGAGACAGGATCTCACTCTGTTGCCCAGGCTGGGGTTCAGTGGTACAATCAATCATCGCTCAGGCTGGAGTGCAGTGGTACAATCATGGCTCACTGCAGCCTTGACCCCTGGGCTCAAGCAATCCTCCCACTTCAGCCCCTGAGCAGCTGGGACACAGGTGCATGCCAACACACCAGCTAATTTTTAAATTTTTTTTTAGAGATGGGATCTCACTATGTTGCCCAGGCTGGTCTCAAAATCCTAGACTTGGCTGGGCAGAGTGGCTCACTCCTGTAATCCCAGCACTTTGGGAGGCTGAGGAGGGTGGATCACGAGGTTGAGAGATTGAGACCACTTTGGCCAAGATGGTGAAACCCCGTCTCTACTAAAAATACAAAAAATTAGTTGGGCGTGCTAATGTGCACCTGTAGTCCCAGCTACTTGGGAGGCTGAGGCAGGAGAATCGCTTGAACCCAGGAGGCAGAGGTTGCAGTGAGCCGAAATCATGCCACTGCACTTCAGCCTGGTGACAGAGTGAGACTCTGTCTCAAAAAATAAAAAAATAAAAATAAAAAATCCTAGGCTCAAGTGATCCACCTGCCTTAGCCTCCCAAAGTGCCACAGTTACAGGCATAAACTGCCACACCAGGCCAGAAGGAAACTTTTGCTATCTTTTCTATGTTCTGTGAAAAAAAAAAAAAAAAAATGATCAAAAGCTCTTAAGATTACTTCTGGGCAGAGATTAGATGAAGGGAGGAGGCTAAACAGCCTCCACTGTGTCTCTGCACTTAGACCTTCCCCCTTTTCCAGCCACATTCTCCTACTTCTGATATCCGTCCCACCTCCAGGTCTGCCCCTAGGGGCCGCTGTCACAGAGAAACAGCTGTGGTTGTGTTTCTTATATTACTTCATTGGAGTTACTGCTACATGAGGACAAACGTAGAGTGCAGCTCACTGGGTGGCAAATGCTGCATCTTGAGCCAGACTCACCAGAAATAAATCAGTCTCCAACTTCACGCTACACCTGATTTGAAACACAAATTCCAGCTTTAGCAGTCTTAAAATTGTACTTGTCATGGGCCTTCAAGGACTGTCTAGTCCAGAGTTACTCAAACTCTATTGAGCACAAGAATTACTGGGCTACTTTTCAAAATTGCAAATTAATAAGTCCTACTCCCAGAAATTCTGATTAGGTCAGTCTTGGTTGGTACTCTGGAATATGCATTTGTAATCAGTCTTCCAGGAATATGCATTTTTAAGAAGGCTTCCAGGAGATTTGGATGAGTTCTCTGAGAAATCCTGCCTAGTTAAAATTACAAATGTCAAAAACTCCTTTGAATTCCAATAATCTGTTATCTAGATCAAATTGAAAGTATTAGACCTATTACAGGTATTACAGGACAGTGCAAAATTGAGGAGTGAAAAATCACATGAGAATAAATCCAACTAGGGTATCTCTAAACCATGAAAATGTGGGAATACAATTTACTTAGAAACCTCTTTTATAAAATGTAAGTTTTGAGAGTTTTTCTTAAACCAAAACCTCTTGCCATAATTGCAGGGAAGGAATGTTGCTGCAAAGCCAACAATTGAAACCTCCGCTATGTACCACGATAGTAAGGTTCCTGATCCACCACAGCCAAATGTATTTTTCAACTCCCCAAATTAAGATAATCTATAAAGAAATGTTCATTTATTAGCAACTTGTGTTTGACAGTTTATTTCATGTCAGCCTCCAGCTTTCCTTTGCAAGCTTATTTGCATAATGTGTTATTATGTCTAAATGGAAAACTAAATGCCTCCATGTGGTCTTTAAATGACAAGTGCTTGTCAGCTTCATGCAATATTCAGAAGTAATAGATCCAAATCACAACAGCACTCACTGAGATGTTAAAAAAAACTTGTTGTGTATCCTTCCTTGACAAATTTACACTTTGGTACGGAATTGTCAATTAGACATTCCATGTGTTAAACAGTTTAGTTCAACTGTGAAGGAATTTACTGTAGCTTTATTCTACAGTGTTCTAAGTAATTACAATTCACATTACAATTTTTTTCATTATTTCAAAGCAGCTCAAGAAATAATCTCCAAATGACCTTGGCAAGATAGCTCCAAGAACTTCCGTTTAATTATTTTAGAATATATGAGAGTTTATGACAATGTTTTTAAGAACTCTGAAAAATCCATTGTGGGACTCTAAAAATGTTTTGGCCTTAAACTTCATGTTTTAGGATCAGCAAAATGGTGCTAATTTTTGGTATTTAACAAGAAACACACTATTCTAGAGGAGTTTTTACTGCATCAGGTTTTTTTTCCCCACATATATTTAGAATAGTTCTCATTTTAACATACTGATTTAACATTAACATTTAATTTAACATTCACACCAACAACTGAATCCATGAAACTTCCTCCATGTAAGTCACTGAAAAGAAGTAATTTTGTCTCAAGGCCCTTTTTCACTGGGAGACAACAGAGAAGAGAATGTAGCTACGAAAGAGACATTAATGCGGCTTCTCCAGCTCCATGCTATCTTCCTCCCCTCCCACTTGGATGGTGCTACAAGAAGAGCCCAAGCCTGAGGTTGTAGATGACTCTTAGTAAACCCAGTCCTGGAAGATTCCTAGAAAAGAGAAACATACAAAGGTAGTAGAGGCTTAGGACCCCTGGGTTAGAGAGCCCAAGGATCTTAACCAAGAGGAAGCAGAACTGCGGCTCCCTTGGGGAGACAAGATTGACCCAGACTCTAAAGAATTGTAAAAGAAGGACGCCTGGTTTAATCTACAGGCATCACTCAGACGCTCTCCATAAACCGAATGGCCAGGAATGCAATGAGAAAACTGACAATCTGACTGATTTCCCCAGCAGATCCCTCAGGACTTAGCTGATTTGGGACTTAGAGTGATGAGAGTCTGCACCCCAAGTGCCAATCGGTGGGAAATGTGCTTTTAGGGCTGTTTGACCCTCATCCTGACCCTAGGAAGTGATGATGTATTCAATAGGTTTTGTTTGGAAGGTCTGGAGACTGGTGATGGATGGCAAATGAGTGGGCAGAAGCTGACCTCAGAATAACAACAAGGACTCAGTGAATCCAAATAATAGCCTATTGAAGTCAGTTCCTAAGAGACTCAAAATGTAGCCACAGAGAAAGAATTCAAAACAGTTGTGATGAAAAGTAAGCAGTTGGAGAGACTGATTTATAAAGGAGGAAAATAATGGATCCAGAACTGTGGGAATTATGGTACGTTAAATACAGAAGGTACCTTCAAAATATGTTAGTCCAGTCTGCTTATTTCACAGATAACAAAAGAGAGGTCCAGAAAAGTGAGTTGCACAATGATTTACCCAGCTTCTTAACAGCAGAGTTGGATCTGGATTTGGATCATGTAGTCAGCGGTTGTGGTTGCTTTTACCATGCCTTGTTGGTGAAAATATCAGGTTACCCAGGCCCTCTCCAATGCTTTAGTCACAAATTAAAATAGACTTAATGGACAGACAATAAATCCAATCCTGTCTCGTTTACTGTCCAAGATGTTCTTGGCAGTTTATATTCTCTTATTTTATTAATATTAATATTATTATGTGTTATAAACATAGTATCAACAAAAAATGGTCTATTCCAAATGGTGAGTGAAATTGCTCTTTTTTCAGAATCTTGTCAAACGCATCTGATTACAGTACATGTCTGTTCTATTCTCCCTTTAGCAGAACAAGAACATAAGATTAGTTTATTAAAAAATCAGCCAAAAAATCAATAGTTATTTTTTTGCACCCACTTCACTCATTCATTCAACAGAAACATATTTAGACCTATTACATGCCAGGCATTGTTCTAGACACTGGAGATACAGCAGTGAATAAAACATGAGGCATCTCTACATTTATAGTGCTTATGCTCTAGAGAAAGAGACAGTGAGTACACAAAATAATTAATAATATATCTCAGGGTCGGGCATGGGGGCTCATGCCTGTAATCCCAGCACTTTGGGAGGCTGAGGTGGGTGGATTGCTTGAGCCCAGGAGTTTGAGACCAGCCTGGGCAACATGGCAAAACCCTGTCTCTACAAAAAAATACAAAAATTAACCAGGTGTGGTGGTGTATGCCCATAGTCCCAGCTACTTTAGAGGCTGAGGAGGGAGGATGGCTTGAGCCCAGGAGGCAGAGGTTGCAGTGAGCCAAGTTCACACCACTGCACTCCAACCTGAGTGACAAAGTGAGACCCTGTCTCTAAAATAAAATAAAATAATCTCGGAAGTCGTAAGTGTAGAAAAATGAAGCCAACTAAGAGTACAGGAGCACTACGCTATTTTGTGATTACTACTCCATAAATTACTTGGCTATAAAGGCAAGGCTAACACATTGAAGAGTTTCAGAGATCTAAAACTGCATTTCACACTATGTGTCCTGTATAATATTAATTCTGTCAGATAATAACAAGTGTTTTATGCAAAAAAAAAAAAATCCTATGGTCAAATAGCCTCATGAAATCTTAAAGTAAAATAAATGTATTTCTGTACAGTTTATCAGAGGGTATAGAATGCTACTATGTGCTGGAGCTTTATAATGTAAGAATATTAGGATATTACATGGAGCATTTCCCTGTTTTGACTGTAGAACTTGCTAAACAAATTGTCTGTAGAAAGCATTTGGGCAAAAAACTGAGTACTGTCAATTTTGATAAAATAGGGGTTGTAGCTGTATATCTGCAAATACTTGTGCTGTATAGACAAATCTTTAGTGACCCAAATATCCATTGTGTTTAATAACATGGAGGATTCAATGCTGAATTTAAAGAAGTGATTGAGGCATCTTACTTTGAGTACTGCTAGCTGAGGAAACACCTGTTGCACATCTGCACTAAGGTAAAAAACATGTTCTTTTTAATTGCAAAATATATAGTTAACCTGTAAAAGCATGAGATGGACATTGGAAAAAGGAAAGCTTCTATGGTCCATACAAAATGCTTACATTTGTCTGGATCCCATACAAGACAGTGTCTATAAAGACACCAAGTAACTAAGTCTATCTTGGTGACACATAGTACAAATGTCTGGTAAATGGTACACAATAAATTTGAGGAAAAAAATGAATGAATCAATCAATTAACAAGGGTATGACACAGCATTCCATATCATCGTGCTTACCTTCTCCTGGAGTAAACATGTTGCAATATTCTTTTTTTATGATTGAGACTAAATTCATCTAACATAAAATTTACCACTTTAAAGTATACAATTCAATGGCATTTAGTATATTCAAAATGTTATATAACCATCTCTCTATGAAGTTCCAAAATATTTTTGTTACTCCAAAAGGACAATCCATACCCATCAAGCAGTTCCTCCTCATTCTTTCTTACTCCTAGACCCTGGCAACAACCAATCTGTTTTCTATCTCTATGGATTTTACCTATTCTAGATATTGCATAAATGGAAACATTCAATATGTAGTGTTATCTGTCTGGCTTCTCATGCTTAGCATGTTTTCGTGTATCAATACTTTATCCCTTTCTATGGATGAATAACATTCCGTTGTATGTACATACTGCAATTTGTTCATCCAGTCCTTCACTGATAGACATTTGACCTGTTTCTTCCTTTTGGCTGTTGTGAATAGGGCCGCTATGAACATGCCTATACATGGATTTAAGTAACTCCTTTCCATTATTTTGGATATGTACCTAGGAGTGAATTGGCTGCATCATTTGGAAATTCTATGTTAAACTTTTTGAGCAACCACTAGCAATACTCTTGATAACAAAAAAAGAAAGAAAAGAAATCAGAATCCCAAAGCCTAGCTAAAATCCTGCTATTGCCTATTTAGAAAGAAAAATAAATAGAGTGAGTCTGAGACAAAAGTCTTAAGTAGGTAATTGTCTTTGTATTCCCTTCTTTTGGGCATGTGGTTTGTTTTGTTGTTGTGTTGTTTGAGACAGAGTCTTACTCTGTTGTTGTTGCGTTCTTTGAGACAGAGTCTTGCTCTGTTGCCCAGGCTGGAGTGCAGTGGTGTGATCTCGGCTCACTGCAACCTCCGCCTCCCCAGTTCAAGTGATTCTCCTGCCTCAGCTTCCCGAGTAGCTGGGACTACAGGCACATGCCACCACACCCAGCTAATTTTTGTATTCTTAGTAGAGACAGGGTTTCGCCATGTTGGCAAAGCTGGTCTCGAACTCCTGACCTCAAGTGAACCGCCTGCCTCGGCCTCCCTAAATGCTGGGATTGCAGATGTGAGCCACCACACTGGGTCTGGCATGTGTTTTACTTTCCCATAATTCATTCATTCTTTCCAATTTAGTAGTCCCATGTTTTCTCTCCACCCCAACCCCAACAAGTCTTCCCTTCATTTACACATTATCGTCAATTTAAGTTGCTATGTTACTTATTTGTGTTATCACTACTCTCGCTAGCCTATAAGATCCTTGAGAACAGGGACTTTTCCTGCTTACTCCTATTTTCCAAAGACCTTAGATGATGACTGGCACATAGTGCATACTTAGTAAATATCCATGGCCTGATTTCTCTAATTATGGAACACAAATAGCTTGTGCTTGTTAAAACAACTTTAGGCATCAAGAAACTGTTGAACATCTACACTAAAGTGAAAAAATGTTCTTTTTAATTATAAAATATATAGTCAACTATACAGGTGTCTAGGTGGGAGATAGTTATTTAAAGGGGAAGTAATCACGATACATAACCTAGGCAGCCATTTACTCTAACTATGCACAGCCAGTCCTGCAAGGAGACACTGCAGGCCCTCTGGGGAAGAACAGCCATCCAGTCTACTCCTAATAATCTGCAGCAGTCAATTGCAAAGTTTGGAATCTTCCAAGTTTGATTTAAAGGAGAAATGATGGAGCCTGCTATTCTCTAAAGTGACAGTGATTTATATGTGTAGCTCCCCAGGTATCACACAGAAAATGAACCCCAGGATGTCTGAAGCTAACAGAAATAAAAAGCTTTCTAATGCATCTGTACATAAGCTATCAACTAGATTTGATTACCTGGAGAGATGGCAATCAGCCTGTTTTTCAAGTAAAAGAAAAGTGAAAGGTAATATAAAATTATATAAATACTGCTATTCATTTTTTAATTTATTGTAAAACTGGGGAGAGAACAAATACAATCCTTCACCCTTCTTGGGCATCCTTATTTGGAAATAATTATGCATGTAAAGATTGGTTGCAACCTTCAAGGCAACTGTGGTGGATTTCAATGGTTGATAAGGTCCAGTGGTAATAAAATGAAGCAAGACCCTCAAGACAACTTGGTGGGGGGCAATTATGACCCATTACTGTGTGAATCACACACTGTGATTAAACTCATAGGAGGCACTCAGCATCCGCACTTGTTGTGAAAAGGGCCCTGATTAGCATTTGTACTATGCATTTTGGTAATCAGAAATCATTATAGAGAATGCAACATTAAATGAAGGAATATGGCAATCTCCCATGCATTAAATAGGCTAATTTTTAAAAAGAAATGACTTTATATCTAAAGCAAATAACATCATTTCTTTTCCTACAAAGCATTAACATTTGGTCAGATGCTCTTTACTATATTTCTATAAGTATTGCCCCAGCGAACATTTGATTAGCAAATTCTCCACTCTGCATGATATAGAGGCTGTTTTCATTTAAATGTTGATATGTAAGAGCTATTTTTGCTATGTGTCTTTAGTCTTGTAGCGAGCTAAATGATGAATTAAACTAGCCAGAGATAGAAACAGCAAGTCTTAAATTCTTAAATTATCCCAACAAATTAGGTCAAGATTCAAGAAGGCTTCTGACAGAGGCATAAGGAATATTTTCATTCCATAAAATATTAACAATGATGAAAGCTGCTGATATAATATTTTTGGCATGTTTTGACATTTGATCTATTTTTACTTCAAGAGATTTGGATCTACCCATTGTATTACAGTCTTAGACAATTGTATCGTACTATTTTGTGTATGAATTTTAAAAGGCTTTGTCATCGTTTTATAAGTAAACACACTCTGAGGAGTCCATTTTGCAGTCAAATCTCCCACCCACAAGTACTCAATTCCATTTATTTTAATTGTATAGATTCCTTTGCAAAATGTTAGGAAAAGAGGCACTGACAGGATTGATTGAATGAAACAATCAAACTTTGCATTTACCCAATGGAAACTTTAAATACTTTATTGTTAGCAGGCAAAATTTGAACTAATTTTTTTTTTTTTTTTGAGACGGAGTCTTGCTCTGTCACACAGGCTGGAGTGCAGTGGCACGATCTCGGCTCACTGCAACCTCTGCCTCTGAGGTTCAAGCGATTCTCCTGCCTCAGCCTCCTGAGTAGCTGGGATTACAGGCACATGCTACCACGCCCAACTAATTTTTTTGTATTTTCAGTAGAGACGGGGTTTCACCACATTGGTCAGGCTGGTCTCGAACTCCTGGCCTTATGATCCACCCATCTCGGCCTTCCAAAGTGCTAGGATTACAGGTGTGAACTACAGCACTCAGCGTGAACTAATTATTAAATGAGCGTTTACTCAGGATTTTATGTCATATGATTAGAATAACTTTTAACTTTAACTACAATTTAACCAAATTAATTTACCGAAATCCTAATTGCTGTCTTTTAAAATACCCCTTCTGTGGCAACCATTTGGATTGATTAACCAAATGTTGGCTAAAAATAATTACCCTGTATTTCAAAGTCCATTAGACAATAGCTAAGGAACTTCATTAACATTTATTATAAGATCAAAATATGATTATCCATTTGCCTTTGCATTAACTGATATTATTCTAAAATTATTATTTTAATTTTATTTATAAATTATTATTTTAGAGGAGGGAGGAGCCAAGATGGCTGAATAGGAACAGCTCTGGTCTACAGCTACCAGCGTGAGCGACGCAGAAGACGGGTGATTTCTGCATTTCCATCTGAGGTACCAGGTTCATCTCACTAGGGAGTGCCAGACAGTGGGCGCAGGTCAGTGGGTGCGCGCACCATGCGTGAGCCAAAGCAGGGCGAGGCATTGCCTCACTTGGGAAGCGCAAGGGGTCAGGGAGTTCCCTTTCCGAGTCAAAGAAAGGGGTGACGTACGCACCTGGAAAATCGGGTCATTCCCACCCGAATATTGTGCTTTTCAGACCGGCTTAAAAAACGGCGCACCACGAGATTATATCCCGCACCTGGCTCGGAGGGTCCTACGCCCACGGAGTCTCGCTGATTGCTAGCACAGCAGTCTGAGATCAAACTGCAAGGCCGCAGCGAGGCTGGGGGAGGGGGGCCCACCATTGCCCAGGCTTGCTTAGGTAAACAAAGCAGCCAGGAAGCTCGAACTGGGTGGAGCCCACCACAGCTCAAGGAGGCCTGCCTGCCTCTGTAGGCTCCACCTCTGGGGGCAGGGCACAGACAAACAAAAAGACAGCAGTAACCTCTGCAGACTTAAATGTCCCTGTCTGACAGCTTTGAAGAGAGAAGTGGTTCTCCCAGCACGCAGCTGGAGATCTGAGAACGGGCAGACTGCCTCCTCAAGTGGGTCCCTGACCCCTGACCCCCGAGCAGCCTAACTAGGAGGCACCCCCCAGCAGGGGCACACTGACATCTCACACGGCAGGGTATTCCAACAGACCTGCAGCTGAGGGTCCTTTCTGTTAGAAGGAAAACTAACAAACAGAAAGGACATCCACACCAAAAACCCATCTGTACATCACCATCATCAAAGACCAAAAGTAGATAAAACCACAAAGATGGGGAAAAAGCAGAACAGAAAAACTGGAAACTCTAAAATGCAGAGCGCCTCTCCTCCTCCAAAGGAACGTAGTTCCTCACCAGCAATGGAACAAAGCTGGATGGAGAATGACTTTGATGAGCTGAGAGAAGAAGGCTTCAGATGATCAAATTACTCTGAGCTACAGGAGGACATTCAAACCAAAGGCAAAGAAGTTGAAAACTTTGAAAAAAATTTAGAAGAATGTATAACTAGAATAACCAATACAGAGAAGTGCTTAAAGGAGCTGATGGAGCTGAAAACCAAGGCTCGAGAACTACATGAAGAATGCAGAAGCCTCAGGAGCCGATGCGATCAACTGGAAGAAAGGGTATCAGCAATGGAAGATGAAATGAATGAAATGAAGCGAGAAAAAAGAATAAAAAGAAATGAGCAAAGCCTCCAAGAAATATGGGACTATGTGAAAAGACCAAATCTACGTCTGATTGGTATACCTGAAAGTGATGGGGAGAATGGAACCAAGTTGGAAAACACTCTACAGGATATTATCCAGGAGAACTTCCCCAATCTAGCAAGGCAGGCCAACGTTCAGATTCAGGAAATACAGAGAACTCCACAAAGATACTCCTCGAGAAGAGCAGCTCCAAGACACATAATTGTCAGATTCACCAAAGTTGAAATGAAGGAAAAAATGTTAAGGGCAGCCAGAGAGAAAGGTCGGGTTACCCTCAAAGGGAAGCCCATCAGACTAACAGCGGATCTCTCGGCAGAAACCCTACAAGCCAGAAGAGAGTGGGGGCCAATATTCAACATTCTTAAAGAAAAGAATTTTCAACCCAAAATTTCATATCCAGCCAAACTAAGCTTCATAAGTAAAGGAGAAATAAAATACTTTACAGACAAGCAAATGCTGAGAGATTTTGTCACCACCAGGCCTGCCATAAAAGAGCTCCTGAAGGAAGTGCTAAACATGGAAAGGAACAACCGGTACCAGCCACTGCAAAATCATGCCAAAATGTAAAGACCATCGAGACCAGGAAGAAACTGCATCAACTAACGAGCAAAATCACCAGCTAACATCACAATGACAGGATAAAATTCACACATAACAATATTAACTTTAAATGTAAATGGACTAAATGCTCCAATTAAAAGACACAGACTGGCAAATTGGATAAAGAGTCAAGACCCATCAGTGTGCTGTATTCAGGAAACCCATCTCACGTACAGAGACACACATAGGCTCAAAATAAAAGGATGGAGGAAGATCTACCAAGCAAATGGAAAACAAAAAAAGGCAGGGGTTGCAATCCTAGTCTCTGATAAAACAGACTTTAAACCAACAAAGATCAAAAGAGACAAAGAGGCCATTACATAATGGTAAAGGGATCAATTCAACAAGAAGAGCTAACTATCCTAAATATATATGCACCCAATACAGGAGCACACAGATTCATAAAGCAAGTCCTGAGTGACCTACAAAGAGACTTAGACTCCCACACATTAATAATGGGAGACTTTAACACCCCACTGTCAACATTAGACAGATCAACGAGACAGAAAGTCAACAAGGATACCCAGGAATTGAACTCAGCTCTGCACCAAGCGGACCTAATAGATATCTACAGAACTCTCCACCCCAAATCAACAGAATATACATTTTTTTCAGCACCACACCACACCTATTCCAAAATTGACCACATAGTTGGAAGTAAAGCTCTCCTCAGCAAATGTAAAAGAACAGAGATTATAACAAACTATCTCTCAGACCACAGTGCAATCAAACTAGAACTCAGGATTAAGAATCTCACTCAAAACCGCTCAACTACATGGAAACTGAACAACCTGCTCCTGAATGACTACTGGATACATAACGAAATGAAGGCAGAAATAAAGATGTTCTTTGAAACCAACGAGAACAAAGACACAACATACCAGAATCTCTGGGATGCATTCAAAGCAGTGTGTAGAGGGAAATTTATAGCACTAAATGCCCACAAGAGAAAGCAGGAAAGATCCAAAATTGACAACCTAACATCACAATTAAAAGAACTAGAAAAGCAAGAGCAAACACATTCAAAAGCTAGCAGAAGGCAAGAAATAACTAAAATCAGAGCAGAACTGAAGGAAATAGAGACACAAAAAACCCTTCAAAAAATTAATGAATCCAGGAGGTGGTTTTTTGAAAGGATCAACAAAATTGATAGACTGCTAGCAAGACTAATAAAGAAAAAAAGAAGAATCAAATAGACACAATAAAAAATGATAAAGGGGATATCACCACCGATCCCACAGAAATACAAACTACCATCAGAGAATACTACAAACACCTCTACGCAAATAAACTAGAAAATCTAGAAGAAATAGATAAATTCCTCGACACATACACTCTCCCAAGACTAAACCAGGAAGAAGTTGAATCTCTGAATAGACCAGTAACAGGAGCTGAAATTGTGGCAATAATCAATAGTTTACCAACCAAAAAGAGTCCAGGACCAGATGGATTCACAGCCGAATTCTACCAGAGGTACAAGGAGGAACTGGTACCATTCCTTCTGAAACTATTCCAATCAATAGAAAAAGAGGGAATCCTCCCTAACTCATTTTATGAGGCCAGCATCATTCTGATACCAAAGCCGGGCAGAGACACAAACAAAAAAGAGAATTTTAGACCAATATCCTTAATGAACATTGATGCAAAAATCCTCAATAAAATACTGGCAAAACGAATCCAGCAGCACATCAAAAAGCTTATCCACCATGATCAAGTGGGCTTCATCCCTGGGATGCAAGGCTGGTTCAATATACACAAATCAATAAATGTAATCCAGCATATAAACAGAACCAAAGACAAAAACCACATGATTATCTCAATAGATGCAGAAAAAGCCTTTGACAAAATTCAACAACCCTTCATGCTAAAAACTCTCAATAAATTAGGTATTGATGGGACGTATTTCAAAATAATAAGAGCTATCTATGACAAACCCACAGCCAATATCATACTGAATGGGCAAAAGCTGGAACCATTCCCTTTGAAAACTGGCATAAGACAGGGATGCCCTCTCTCACCACTCCTATTCAACATAGTGTTGGAAGTTCTGGCCAGGGCAATCAGGCAGGAGAAGGAAATAAAGGGTATTCAATTAGGAAAAGAGGAAGTCAAATTGTCCCTGTTTGCAGACGACATGATTGTATATCTAGAAAACCCCATTGTCTCAGCCCAAAATCTCCTTAAGCTGATAAGCAACTTCAGCAAAGTCTCAGGATACAAAATCAATGTACAAAAATCACAAGCATTCTTATACACCAATAACAGACAAACAGAGAGCCAAATCATGAGTGAACTCCCATTCACAATTACTTCAAAGAGAATAAAATACCTAGGAATCCAACTTACAAGGGATGTGAAGGACCTCTTCAAGGAGAACTACAAACCACTGCTCAACAAAATAAAAGAGGATACAAACAAATGGAAGAACATTCCATGCTCATGGGTAGGAAGAATCAATATCGTGAAAATGGCCATACTGCCCAAGGTAATTTACAGTTTCAATGCCATCCCCATCAAGCTACCAATGACTTTCTTCACAGAATTGGAAAAAACTACTTTAAAGTTCATATGGAACTAAAAAAAGAGCCCGCATCACCAAAGCAATCCTAAGCCAAAAGAACAAAGCTGGAGGCATCACACTACCTGACTTCAAACTATACTACAAGGCTACAGTAACCAAAACAGCATGGTACTTGTACCAAAACAGAGATATAGATCAATGGAACAGAACAGAGCCCTCAGAAATAATGCCGCATATCTACAACTATCTGATCTTTGACAAACCTGAGAAAAACAAGCAATGGGGAAAGGACTCCCTATTTAATAAATGGTGCTGGGAAAACTGGCTAGCCATATGTAGAAAGCTGAAACTGGATCCCTTCCTTACACCTTATACAAAAATCAGTTCAAGATGGATGAAAGACTTAAACATTAGACCTAAAACCGTAAAAACCCTAGAAGAAAACCTAGGCATCACCATTCAGGACATACGCATGGGCAAGGACTTCATGTCCAAAACACCAAAAGCAATGGCAACAAAAGCCAAAATTGACAAATGGGATCTAATTAAACTAAAGAGCTTCTGCGCAGCAAAAGAAACTACCATCAGAGTGAACAGGCAACCTACAAAATGGGAGAAAATTTTCGCAACCTACTCATCTGACAAAGGGCTAATCTCCAGAATCTACAATGAACTCAAACAAATTTACAAGAAAAAAACAAACAACCCCATCAAAAAGTGGGCGAAGGACATGAACAGACACTTCTCAAAAGAAGATATTTATGCAGCCAAAAAACACATGAAAAAATGCTCACCATCACTGGCCATCAGAGAAATGCAAATCAAAACCACAATGAGATACCATCTCACACCAGTTAGAATGGCAATCATTAAAAAGTCAGGAAACAATAGGTGTTGGAGAGGATGTGGAGAAATAGGAACACTTTTACACTGTTGGTGGGACTGTAAACTAGTTCAACCATTGTGGAAGTCAGTGTGGCAATTCCTCAGGGATCTAGAACTAGAAATACCATTTGACCCAGCCATCCCATTACTGGGTATATACCCAAAAGACTATAAATCATGCTGCCATAAAGACACATGCACACATATGTTTATTGCAGCATTATTCACAAAAGCAAAGACTTGGAACCAACCCAAATGTCCAACAATGATAGACTGGATTAAGAAAATGTGTCACATATACACCATGGAATACTATGCAGCCATAAAAAATGATGAGTTCATGTCCTTTGTAGGGACATGGATGAAATTGGAAATCATCATTCTCAGTAAACTATCACAAGAACAAAAAACCAAACACCGCATATTCTCACTCATAGGTGGGAACTGAACAATGAGATCACATGGTCACAGGAAGGGGAATATCACACTCTGGGAACTGTGGTGGGGTGGGGGGACGGGGGAGGGATAGCATTGGGAGATATATCTAATGGTACATGACGAGTTAGTGGGTGCAGCACACCAGCATGGCACATGTATACATATGTAACTAACCTGCACAATGTGCACATGTACCCTAAAACTTAAAGTATAATAATAATTAAAAAAATATTATTTTAGAATAATATCAGTTAAAGCAAAGCAAAGACAAATGGATTATCATCATATCCATTTGCAGTAATGCAGCGTTCATGAAAATGAATTCAGTGCCATATTCCAAATTACAATAACTTTTGATTATTTTTTATGGAGATGTTTGTACTGACCCTTCAGCATGACATTACCGCAATGTGTTTTCCCATGTTCTATCTATACCCTATATCTCTGTCCCGCTTTGTGACCAGAAGCATATTTTTGCAAATCTGTCTGGCATTACAACTGTGGTCATTCATGTAAAACAGAAAGCTGGTGGCATAGGCCTACACTGAGATGCCATAGCTTTGAGAAAAAGAAAAGAGAACAAAATTAGTGAATTTCACTATTTATCATTTATAAATTCTTATAAATTTTTTAAATAATTAAACCTGGAGTCACATTTTAAGAGCTAAAGAAAGCACCACATATAAGAATGCAACATAGAACATGTGAATGTAGTCAAATCACCAAGTACAATAATAGTCATCCCCCTTGATTCTCAAATTTAGCTCATTTAGAAATCCCATTTGTCTCATAGTCAACATGATTTCAATGAGGAACATTATTTGAGTTCATAGAATGACAATGCTAAGTTCAAAAGTATATTGTGAGACAGAGTTGTGTGTTTCACTCAGCAGAAAAAAACACTAAATTTTTTTTGCTTGGAAAGGTCCTGACCTGGCATTATTATATAATAGGGGTTTCATTGATGATGGATCTTTAGGTTGAAATGTTTTGCTGAAGTTAAGAGGAGAAGTGTAAAAGAATATGAAATTGTCTGTTTATTTTTGTGAAGAAAGAACCACAGGATACTTTGGGTTTTCAAGGTCAGGGTGAATGGGAAAATGAGGAGATAAACTTCAGCAAAACCATCACGGATGGGCTAAACTGGAAGAGGAGATCCTCTAGTGCCCTTTACAGTCAAGACCATTTGGGATGCTCACATTACCAAAAAATAGAGATCTCCTGAACTGCCTGAGCAGACATTGAAATTAATATTTATTTGCTGAATATTGTAGTACTAGACATTGTACCAGGTACTATGCATTTACAAAAATATAAGTAAAAGTTTCACCTTCAAGGAGCTTGCAATTGAGTTAGTGAAATCCTACATAACATGATATGCCAGAATAAATCACCTCTCATGAGCTGAGATTAAGGGGCCTAACATCCTCCCCCTTACATGTCAGGGACTGTGCTAACCACTTTTCTGTAGATTAATTCCTTTAATTTCCACAATTCTGTGAGAGGGTTACCTAAATTATCTTCATTTTACAGGTAAGACTTAAAATTGTAGAATTCCTTAAATTTCAAATCTTTTTTTTTTAATACTTTAAGTTCTAGGGTACATGTGCACAATGTGCAAGTTTGTTACATGTATATACATGTGCCCTGTTGGCTTGCTGCACCCATTAACTCATCATTTACATTAGGTATTACTACCAATGCTATCCCTCCCCCACCTCCCAACCCCATGACAGGCCCTGGTGTGTGATGTTCCCCACCCTGTGCCCAAGTGTTCTCATTCCCACCTATGAATGAGAACATGTCATCTTTGGTTTTCTGTCCTTGTGATAGTTTGCTCAGAATGATGGTCTCCAGCTGCATCCACGTCCCTGCAAAATACATGAACTTGTCGTTTTTTAGGGCTGCATAGTATTCCGCGGTGTATATGTGCCACATTTTCTTAATCCAGTCTATCATTGATGGACATTTAGGTTGGTTCCAAGTCTTTGCTATTGTGAGTAGTGCTGCAAAAAACATATGTGTGCATGTGTCTTTATAGTACCATGATTTATAATCCTTTGGGTATATACCCAGTAAGGGGATGGCTGGGTCAAATGGCATTTCTAGTTCTAGATCCTTGATGAATTTCCACACTGTCTTCCACAATGGTTCAATTAGTTTATACTCCCACCAACAGTGTAAAAGTGTTCCTATTTCTCCACATCTTCTCTAGCATCTCTTGTTTCCTGACTTTTTAATGATCGCCATTCTAACCAGTGTGAGATGGTATCTCATTGTGGTTTTGATTTGCATTTCTCTGATGACCAGTGATGATGAGCATTTTTTCATGTGTCTGTTGGCTGCATAAATGTCTTCTTTTGAAAAGTGTCTGTTCATATCCTTTGCCCACTTTTTGATTGGATTGTTTGATTTTTTCTTGTAAATTTGTTTAAGTTCTTTGTAGATTCTGGATATTAGCCCTTTGTCACATGGGAAGATTGCAAAAATGTTCTCCCATTCTGTAGGTTGCCTGTTCACTCTGATGGTAGTTTCTTTTGCTGTGCAGAAGCTCTTTAGTTTAATTAGATCCCATTTGTCTATGTTGACTTTTGTTGCCATTGCTTTTGGTGTTTTAGTTATGAAGTCCTTACCCATGCCTGTGTCTTAAATGGTATTGCCTAGGTTTTCTTCTAGGGTTTTTATGGCTTTAGGTCTAACATTTAAGTCTTTCATCCATCTTGAATTGATTTTTGTATAAGGTGTAAGGAAGGGATCCAGTTTCAGCTTTCTACATATGGCTAGCCAGTTTTCCCAGCACCATTTATTAAATAGGGAATCCTTTCCCCATTTCTTCTTTTTTGTCAGGTTTGTCAAAGATCAGATGGTTGTAGATGTGTGGTGTTATTTCTGAGGGCTCTGTTCTGTTCCATTGGCCTATATCTCTGTTTTGGTACCAGTACCATGCTGTTTTGGTTACTGTAGCCTTGTAGCATAGTTTGAAGTCAGGTAGTGTGATGCCTCCAACTTTGTTTTCTATGCTTAGGATTGTCTTGGCAATGCAGGCTGTTTTTTGGTTCCATATGAACTTTAAAGTAGTTTTTTCCAATTCTGTGAAGAAAGTCATTGGTAGCTTGATGGGGATGGCATTGAATCTATAAATTCCCTTGGGCAGTATGTCCATTTTCACAATATTGATTCTTCCTATCCATGAGCATGGGATATTCTTCCATTTGTTTGTGTCCTCTTTTATTTCGTTGAGCAGTGGTTTGTAGTTCTCCTTCAAGAGGTCCTTCACATCCCTTGTAAGTTGGATTCCTAGGTATTTTATTCTCTTTGTAGCAATTGTGAATGGGAGCCCTAGGTATTTTATTCTCTTTGTAGCAATTGTGAATGGGAGTTCACTCATGATTTGGCTCTTTGTCTGTTACTGGTGTATAAGAATGCTTGTGATTTTTGCACATTGATTTTATATCCTGAGATTTTGCTGAAGTTGCTTATCAGCTTAAAGAGATTTGGGGCTGGGACAATGGGGTTTTCTAAATATACAATCATGACATCTGCAAACAGGACAATTTGGCTTCCTCTTTTCCTAATTGCATACCCTTTATTTCTTTCTCTTGCCTGATTGCCCTGGCCAGAACTTCCAACACTATGTTGAATAGGAGTGGTGAGAGAGGGCATCCCTGTCTTGTGCCAGTTTTCAAAGGGAATGCTTCCAGTTTTTGCCCATTCAGTATGATATTGGCTGTGGGCTTATCATAAATAGTTCTTATTATTTTGAGATATGTTCCATCAATACATAGTTTATTGAGAGTTTTTAGCATGAAGGGCTGTTGAATTTTATTGAAGGCCTTTGCTCCATCTATTGAGATAACCATGTGATTTTTGTCATTGGTTCTGTTTAAGTGATGGATTATATTTATTGATTTACATATATTGAACCAGCCTTGCATCCCATGGATGAAGCCAACTTGATCTTGGTGGGTAAACTTTTTGATGTGCTGCCAGATTTGGTTTGCCAGTATTATATTGAGGATTTTCACATCAATGTTGATCAGGGATATTGGTCTAAAATTCTCTTTTTTTGTTGTGTCTCTGCCAGGCTTTGATATCAGGATGATGCTGGCCTCATAAAATGAGTTAGGAAGGATTCCCTGTTTTTCTATTAACTGGAATAGTTTCAGAAGGAATGGTACCAGCTCCTCTTTGTACCTCTGGAAGAATTTGGCTGTGAATCCATGTGGTCCTGGACTTTCTTTTGTTGGTAGGCTATTAATTATTGCCTCAATTTCACAGCCTGTTATTGGTCGATTCAGGGATTCAACTTCTTTCTGGTTTAGTCTTAAGAGGGTGTATGTGTCCAGTAATTTATCCATTTCTTCCAGATTTTCTAGTTTATATGGGTAGAGGTGTTTATAGTATTCTCTGATGGTAGTTTGTATTTCTGTGGGATTGGTGGTGATATCCCCTTTATCATTTTTTATTACATCTATTTGATTCCTCTCTCTTTTCTTCTTTATTAGTCTTGCAGTTGATCAATTTTGTTGATCTTTTCAAAAAACTAGCTCCTGGATTCATTGATTTTTTGAAGGGTTTCTTTGTGTCTCTATCTCCTTCAGTTCTGCTCTGGTCTTAGCTATTTCCTGCCTTCTGCTACCTTTTGAATTCGTTTGGTCTTGCTTCTCTAGTTCTTTTAATTGTAATGTTAGGGTGTCAATTTTAGATCTTTCCTGCTTTCTCTTGTGGGCATTTATAAATTTATAATTTTCCCTCTACACACTGCTTTAAATGTGTCCCAGACATTCTAGTATGTTGTGTCTTCATTCTTATTGGTTTCAAAGGACATCTTTATTTCTGTCTTCATTTTGTTATTTACCCAGCAGTCATTCAGGAGCAAGTTATTCAGTTTCCACATTGTTGTGTGGTTTTGAGTGAGTTTCTTAATCCTGAGTTCTAATTTGATTGCACTGTGGTCTGAGAGACAGTTTGTTGTGATTTCTGTTCTTTTACATTTGCTGAGGAGTGCTTTACTTCCAACTATGTGGTCAATTTTAGAATAAGTGTGATGTGGTGCTGAGAAGAATGTATATTCTGTTGATTTGGGGTGGAGAGAGAGTTCTGTAGGTGTCTATTAGGTCCACTTGGTACAGAGCTGAGTTCAAGTCCTGGATATCATTGTTAACCTTCTGTCTCATTGATCCATCTAATATTGACAGTGGGATGTTAAAGTCTCCCATTATTATTGTGTGGGAGTTTAAGTCTCTTTGTAGGTCTGCTTTATGAATCTGGGTGCTCCTGTATTGGGTGCATATATATTTAGGATATTTAGCTCTTCTTGTTGAATTGATCCCTTTACCATTATGTAATGGCCTTCTTTGTCTCTTTTGATCTTTGTTGGTTTAAAGTCTGTTTTATCAGAGACTAGGATTGCAACTCCTGCTTTCTTTTGCTTTCCATTTGCTTGGTAGATCTTCTTCCATCCCTTTATTTTGAGCCTATGTGTGTCTCTGCATGTGAGATGGGTCTCCTGAATACAGCCCACTGATGAGTCTTGACTCTTTATCCAAATTGCCAGTCTATGTCTTTTAATTGGGGTATTTAGCCCATTTACATTTAAGGTTAATATTGTTATGTGTGAATTTGATCCTGTCATTATGATGTTAGCTGGTTATTTTGCCCATTAGTTGATGCAGTTTCTTCCTAGCATCGATAGTCTTTACAATCTGACATGTTTTTGCAGCAGCTGGTACTGGTTGTTCCTTTCCATGTTTAGTGCTTCCTTCAGGAGCTGTTTTTTTTTGTTTGTTTGTTTTTTGTTTTTTGTTTTGAGATGGAGTCTTTCTCTGTCACACAGGCTGGAGTGCAGTGGCACCATCAGGAGCTCTTTTAAGGCAGGCCTGGTGGTGACGAAATCTCTCAGCATTTGCTTGTCTGTAAAGGATTTTATTTCTCCTTCACTTATGAAGCTTAGTTTGGCTGGATATGAAGTTCTGGGTTGAAAATTCTTTTCTTTAAGAATGTTGAATATTGGCTCCCACTCTCTTCTAGCTTGTAGAGTTTCTGCTGAGAGATGTGCTGTTAGTCTGATGTACTTCCCTTTGTCAGTAACCCGACCTTTCTCTCTGGTTGCTCTTAACATTTTTTCCTTCATTTCAACCTTCATGAATCTGACAATTATGTTTCTTGGGGTTGCTCTTCTGGAGGAGTATCTTTGTGGTGTTCTCTGTATTTCCTGAATTTGAATGTTGGTCTGCCTCACTAGGTTGGGGAAGTTCCCCTGGAAAATATCCTGAAGAGTATTTTCCAGCTTAGTCCTATTCTCCCCGTCACTTTCAGGTACATCAATGAAACGTAGATTTGGTCTTTTCACATACTCCCGTATTTCTTGGAGGCTTTGTTCATTTCTTTTTAATGTTTTTTCTCTAAACTACTCTTCTTGCTTCATTTCATTCATTTGATCTTCAATCACTGATACCCTCTCTTCCACTTGATTGAATCAGCTACTGAAGCTTGTGCATGCATCATATAGTTCTCGTGCCATGATTTTCAGCTCCATCAGGTCATTTAAGGTCTTCTCTACACGTTTATTCTAGTTAGCCATTCTTCTAATCTTTTTTTCAAGGTTTTTAGCTTCTCTGCAATGGGTTCGAACATCCTCCTTTAGCTCAGAGAACTTTGTTATTACTGACTTTCTGAAGCCTACTTCTGTCAACTCATCATAGTCATTCTCTGTCCAGCTTCGTTCCATTGCTGGTGAGGAGTTGCGTTCCTTTGGAGGAAAAGAGGCGCTCGGATTTTTAGAATTTTCAGCTTTTCTGCTCTGGTTTCTCCCCATCTTTGTGGTTTTATCTACCTTTGGTCTTCGATGGTGGTGACATACAGATGGGGTTTTGGTGTGGATGTCCTTTCTGTTTGTTAGTTTTCCTGCTAAGAGTCAGGTCCCTCAGCTGCAGGTCTGTTGGAGTTTGCTGGAGGTCCACTCCAGACCCTGTTTGCCTGGGTATAACCAGCAGAGGCTGCAGAACAGCAAATATTGCAGAACAGCAAATATCGCTGCCTGATCCTTCCTCTGGAAGCTTCATCTCAGAGGGGCACCCACCTGTATGAGGTGTCAGTTGGCCCCTACTGGGAGGTGTCTCCAAATTAGGCTACAAGAGGTCAGGGACCCACTTGAGGAGGCACTCTGTCCATTCTCTGAGCTCAAACACTGTGCTGGGAGAACCACTGCTCCCTTCAGAGCTGTCAGACAGGGACTTTTAAGTCTGCAGAAGTTTCTGCTGCCTTTTGTTCAGCTATGCCCTGCCCCCAGAGGTGGAGTCTACAGAGGCAGGTGGGCCTTGTTGAGCTGCAATGGGCTCCACCCAGTTTGAGCTTCCCTGGGGCCGCTTTGTTTACCTGCTTAAGCCTCAGCAATGGCAGACGCCCCTCCCCCAGCCAGGCTTGCTGCCTCACAGTTTGATCTCAGACTCGCAGTGAGCAAGGCTCTGTGGACGTGGGACCCTATGAGCCAGGCACGGGATATAATCTCTTGGTGTGCCATTTGCTAAGACTATTGGAAAAGCACAGTGTTTAGGTGGCAGTGTCCTGATTTTCCTGGTACAGTCTGTCACTGCTTCTCTTGGCTAGGAAAGGGAAATCCCCCAACCCCTTGCACTTCCTGAGTGAGGTGATGCCCCGCCCTGCTTCAGCTCACCCTCCATGGGCTGCACCCACTGTCCAACCAGTTCCAATGAGATGAACCAGGTACCTCAGTTGGAATTGCAGAAATCACCAGTCTTCTGCATCGATCGCACTGGGAGTTGCAGACTAGAGCTGCTCCTATTCAGCCATCTTGGAACGGACTAAATTCCAAATCTTAAGCCACACCCTTAGCCAATCTTGGGCTGGATTTCAGAAGCTCCTAGTGTTGCCTGCATTCTAAATCCCTCTGCTTCCATGAAGTCATATAAACCACTCATTAGTCAGATTATAACTTAGAAAAGAGTAGCAAGTAAAAATCTGAAAGAGTTGACATTTGTCCTTAAAACTTGAGTTATTTGAAGAGATTGTTCTAGGTTCTTCAGATCCAGCAATATCTCTGTTACGAAATGGCAGAACTGTTGTCCTCTAGACTGGTAGCTATTAAATGTGACTGGTTCCTTCTACTATGTAGGCTTAATGTTCCGGTGTCTCCATTGGAATGTGGCTTTCAGCCATTTATTTGCCTCTGTTCTTGAAGGGACAATTCACAGAAATCTCATCCCAATCCCAAGTCTCTGGTGAGCCACAGGCCGATTTGGCACTCCTGCACTTCTTCACTGGGGTGTGTTAAGCCCCCTACTTTGGGTCCCTTACTTGTTACCTGCCAGCCATGCAGAGGCAAGCTGTGGGGAAGATGGAGTTTAAGCTTACCTATCTGGCCACTTCCCACTAATGATGTTGCACCATAGCTTTGAGCCATGCTGGAAAAGAGTGGTGGTGGTGAAGAGAGTGTGTACTGTGTATGTGTGGCATGTGTGCCCACATGCACTTCTCCAGTCTAAAAGCTTACAGTCTCTCCCTTGCATGCCTAGGAAATACGCCTTGTTTCATATTTCCTTCGGAAAATAAATCACTAGCTAAGATGGACTGCTCCAGTGCCTAGGTTCCTGCCCCAGCAGTATCCAAGCTGTATACCCTGGGGTAAGTCACCTCATGTCTCTGTGCTCCAATTTCCTCATCTGTAAAATGGGTACTATAATAATCTTTTCCTCCTCATAGTTACTCTAAGAATTAAATAAGTTTAAAAAGGTATGGTGCTTGTATTAGGGTTCTCTAAAGGGACAGAACTAAGAGGACTTATGTATATATGAAAGGGAGTTTATTAAGAAGAATTGACTCACACGATCACAATGTAAGGTCCCACGGTAGGCCATCTACAAGCTAAGGAGCAAGGAAACCAGTGGTGCATCAGTCCGAGTCCCAAATCTCAAAAGCCAACAGTGCAGCCTTGAATCTGTGACCAAAGGCCCGAGAGTCCCTAGCAAACCACTTGTGTAAGTCCAAGATTTCAAAATCTGAAGAACTTGGAGTCTGATATTTGAGTGCAGGAAGCATTCAGCACAGGAGAAGGATGAAGACTGGAAGACTCAGCAGGTCAGCTCTTTCCACCTTCTCCTGCCTGCCTTATTCTAGCCTTGCTGGCAGCTGTTTAGATGGTGCCCACCCAGACTGAGGGTGGGTCTGCCTCTCTCAGTCCACTGACTCAAATGTTAATCTTTTTTGGCAACATCCTCATAGACACACCCAGGACCAATTCTTTGCATACTTCAATCCAATCAAGTTGGCACTCAATATTAACCATCACGATGCTCAGAGCTGTGTCTGGCCCATGGTAAGCAATATAAGAACTTATTGTTTTTGTGGTTGTTTCTGTTACTAATTCTGTTTCTCCTTTCCCTATCTTCTTCTAATCATTTTCTACCAGGACCAAATAGGGCAGGCTTTGGACTCTCTACTTCCTACACATCATACCTCTCTTCTGTCTGAGGCAAAAATCTTTAGTTCTAAGTGAAACAGGATTTGTCTCTCTATATCAGGAAGCAGTCTCTACCTTTTGAACATTCCATGCTTGGTCTTTATATCTCTCTTGGCATACCCTGACTCTTGAAACTATAGCCTCCTACAAAGTCCTATTTGGGAATCAGAGCTGAATACTAACCATTTTTCTTGGTATTCCTTTTCTAACATCACCATGTCCCCTTTCCAAAGCAGGTAAATATCTTGGCCTGATTAGATCAGTCAATAAAAATACTCTGAAGCATAAATCTTATTATTGTATTTCAAATGATCATTTCCAGTGCATTTTGAAGGGAAGAAATTATAATGTTTTTCAACCCTCAAAAGATCATAGTTGAGACACTCTTCTAACACAAAAGACCAATAAACAAGAGAAAAACAAGCAAGTTTAATAATATGTGTCACACCCATCATGTGAGAGACAAGTAAGTTTTTCAGGAAAGTAACTCTTCCAAAGCAGTGGGTTAGGAGCCTTCCTTAAATAGTATTTTAACACAGAGCAATGCATTTTCGAGCAGTAATAAGACAAAGGAGGGAGTAGCTTCAGACTCCCCAAAGCAGGAAGTCTATGGAAGGCAGCAGAGTTTGCTCCCAGATTCCTCTAGCCATGCTGGTGTCAACTTTGAACAGATAACAGCTGTCTCCAGCAAAGGAGGATTTATATTCTGTCTTTAGGCAAGCAGAAGAAAGACAGAAGCCCCCCTGCATTTTTTTCACAGAAATTTTTATGGCCTGCCATAGGTGAGAAAGGACAGCTCAGATAGCCGTTTCTGTAACTGCTGCTTCCCAATTGCCTCTAGATTAAAAATGTATCTGTCACAGAGGCATGCTTGGGGGTGAAATAGCCTGGCTTCCTTCAACATACAGTATGTTATTTAAGACCCTTTAAGGCATTGAGTGCTCTAAATGTTAGGTACATCAGAAACACTAGTGAAATTTTCAAAAAAATGATATCCAATATGCATCCAAATATATTAAATTAGCATCCCCAAGGAAAGGACCTGATCATCAAAGCTTAAAAAACAATCTTTCTTAGGTAATTCTGATCTACAATTAGGATTAAAAGCCAGTGCTTTTGAATAATAGAAAAGTGCATAAAAATATTTGAGTGAGAAAAAGTTGAACCTAAATTCTAATTCACATAGTACTTATTAGCTGAATGACCTTGGTGAAATTTAATTTCCATAAGCCTCCTTTTTCATCTACAAAATAGGAGTAAAATTTGTGTAGGAGAGAAAATATTTATTTTCCTTTTCCATCACTAGGTTCATGGCTGAGGCACCTATAACAAAAGACAGGTTAACAAGAGAAAAGTGATATGATTTGGATTTGTGTCCCTTCCCAAGTCTCATGTTGAATTATAATCCCCAGTGTTGGAGGTAGGGCCTGGTGAGAGGTGATTGGATCAAGGGTGGTCCTTCATGAATGGTTTGGCCCAGTCTTGGTGCTGTTCTAATGATAGTGAATGAGCAAGCTATCACAAGATTTGGTTGTTTAAAAGTGTTCAGTACCTGTCCCCTCACTTTCTCTTCCTCCTACTCCAGCCGTGTAATGTTTCCTCAATCTTCATAGGATCATAGTTGAGACACCCTTCTAACACAAAAGACTGATTAACAAGAGAAAAACAAGCAAGTTTAATAATATGTGCCACCTCCATCATGTGGGAGACAAGTAAGTCTTTCCAGAAAGTACAAAAAAAATTTTTTTTTTTTAGTAGAGACGGGTTTCACCATGTTGGCTAGTCTGGTCTCGAACTCCTGACCTCAGGTGATCCACCCATCTAGGCCTCCCAAAGGGCTGGGATTGCAGGTGTGAGCCATGGCACCTGGCCTTTTTTTTTTTTTTAATTACATCTGAGAGCAGAGGCTTTATTTACAATGATATTCAAACAGGATTTAGCAAAGGATACCTCCTCCTGCTCGTATCTTAGCAGCATGGGTTGTACTTCATAACAGAAAAGAGAAATATCCTGGGAGCAGGAAGTTCCATGCCTTGCTTCTGCTTTGCCATCTGTCATGACTGAAAGCTCCCTGAGGCCTCCTCAGAAGCAGATGCTACCACGCTTCCTGAACAGCCTACAGAACCATGAGCCAGCTAAACCTCTTTTCTTCTAAGTTACCCAATCTCAGGTATTTCTTTATAGCAGTGTGTGGATGGACTAATACAAAAAGCATACTGGCCCCAGGAGAGGCCAGTCCCTCCCTGCCAGAAAGATTGGGGTTTGTTTGTTCGTGTTTTTTTTTTGTTGTTGTTGGTTTCCTTTGTAAAAGATGTCAAAACAGCATACTATACAGAAAACTTTAAATGTGTATATAATACAATAAGAACTTTAAGTTACATAGTCACACATCAGACTATTTTCTCATATAATTTGAGAGATGCCTTGAAACACGGTTATGTATAAATGAGACTGATTTGACTGACTCCTCATATAGTCATTGTCTACGATTATGTACTAAATCAGCTAATTTCCAGTGCTAAGAAGTGATTTGTGTGTATTTCTCTGCTGAAAAGTTATGAAAACTCTTCCAATTAGGAGTCATTTTACATATGCCTTGTTTTATAAATACCTATCTTTCTTTTATTGCTGGTATTATTATTACCCTATGACTATTGGTGTGGGGTGGGAAGGATTCTTGTTTTGTCAGGAGCTCCAAGAAATGAGACCATCATTTCTCCCCATGGGATGGGAGTGGTCAGGACTCCAAGCCTTGGGACCGAGCTGAAGATCCTATCTCACTGACTGCTCCACCTTTTCCTTATTCAGACAGGTTCTGTCAAAGCTGCTGCTGCTGTTCAAGGGTGACAGAACATGACCTCCACAGAGCACAGGAGAATTCAAGACGAATTGAAATTTCAGGTAATTTATAGAAATGTAACAAACATTTTTTGCTGATAAAGAGGATCTCACTCATGATCAGAGCCATTAATCTCTAAGACCTAACTGAACAAAAAGTTTTATTCACCTAAAATGTAATATTCTATTAGTGGTGGAGAAAATATTTACATTTGTGAAAATGGTAGATACAGAAATCATCTGAACTTCAGTTATTGAAAATACACACATTTATTGAATAATGACTAGATCCAATGACCTGGACTAGATATTGTAAGGAATGGAACAATACTCAAGACATGGTGTTTGCCCTCAAAATACTTGCAATCTAAAAAGGAAAAGACCAAGTATGCAGGGTAGGATCATCTATATTTTCATCAGTATAGGAAGACCTGTAGACCCCTAGACTCTACCTCCCTTATCCTTACTTCTCTGTACAAAAGCTCCAACTCACTTTCCAAAATTCCCTTCCTCTTTGAAAGCCTCTCCAGATCTTCCAAACATGGAGTCACACCCTGCTTGATACTCTTCCAACAACTTGTATTTACTTCTCCAAGAGTGCCCATTAAATTACACAGGTTGGGGCTGGGCACAGTGGCTCATGCCTGTAATCCCAGCACTTTGGGAGGCTGAGGTGGGTGGATCACGTGGTCAGGAGTTCGTGACCAACCTGGCCAATATGATGAGACCCCCGCCTCTACTAAAAATACAAAAATTAGCCGGGTGTGGTGGCGGGTGCCTGTAATCCCAGCTACTCGGGAGGCTGAGGCAGAGAATTGCTGGAACCTGATGTCACACGCATCCGTGTGAAGAGACCACCAAACAGGCTTTTTGTGAGCAACAAGTCTGTTTATTTCACCTGGGTGCAGGCAAGCTGAGTCTGAAAAGAGAGTCAGCGAAGGGAGATAGGGGTGGGGCCATTTTGTAGGATTTGGGTAGGTAATGGAAAATTACAGTCAAAGGGGGTTGTTCTTCGGCGGGCAGGGGTGGGAGTCACAAGGTGCTTAGTGGGGGAGCTTCTGAGCCAGGAGAAGGAATTTCACAAGGTAATGTCATCAGTTAAGGCAGGAACTGGCCATTTTCACTTCTTTTGTGATTCTTCATTTGCTTCAGGCCATCTGGATGTATACGTGCAGGTCACAGGGATATGATGGCTTAGCTTGGGCTCAGAGGCCTGACACCTGAGAGGCAGAGGTTACAGTCAGCTGAGATCACCCCACTGCACTCCAGCCTGGATGACAGAGCGAGACTCCACCTAAAAAAAAAAAAAAAATTTACACAGGTTGAACATCCCTTACTCGAAAATCTGAAATCTGAAATGCTCCAAAATGCAAAACGCTTTGAACACTAACATGATGCCACAAGTGGAAAATTTCACGCCTGACCTAATGTGATGGGTTGTAGTACAAACACAGGTGCGTAACATACAGTTTATCCAGCATCCCCAAAGAAAAAAACAAAATTACCTTCGGGTTACATATGTGATATAACTTGGATCTTTCTCCTCGCCGAAATTTCACAACGAATTGTTAGAGGTGGAGCCTGGGGGAAGGTGATTGTATCATGAGGGTGATGTCTGATGAATGGTTCAGCACCATCCTCTTGGTGTTCTCGTGATAGTGAGTCAGTTCTCGCAAGATCTGGCTGTTTAAAAGTGCATAGCACCTCCTCCCTTGCTTTCTCTCTTCCTCCTGCTCTGGCCATGTGAAATGTCTGCTCCCCCTTCAACTGCAACCATAATTGTAAGTTTTCTGAGGCATCTCCAGAAGCCAAGCAGATGCCACTATGCTTCCTGTACAGCCTGCAGAACCGTGAGCTAATTAAACCTCTTTTCTTTGTAAATTACCCAGTCTCGGGTATTTCTTTATAGCAACGTGAGGATGGACTAATACAGTATGTAAGGTATTATATGAAACATAAACGAATTTCCCATTGAGTCCCATTCTGAAAATATCTCATTACATATGCACAAATATTCCAAAGTTCAAAAAAATTCAGCATTCAAAACACTCTGGTCCCATACATTTTGGATAAGGGATACACAACATTTATTGCAGTGTCTGTTGCCCCTTTCACACTCCTCCAATAAGAGCATGAGCTCTTCAAGTTGAAATCATCCTTTGAGTAATCTTTTCCCCTCCTGCAAGCTCACAGTTGCCTTACAGCACACGTTTTGGTACAGGGTCCCATTGTAACTGTTAAATAGATGAAGGCATAGATTATTGAATGAATTGAAGACAGATGAAAATGTACAAGTACAGGTTTCCACCCAGTGTGACAGATCTTAGTCTTAGTTTTGTTCTGCTTAAATATCAATGGTGTTTTGTTTGTACCTCAGGTGTCCCAATTTCTAAGCACAACAAATTACCCCTGCCTGGATTGCCTTAGCTGGCCAAGTGGAGAAGAACATGCCAGCTGCCCTCCAAAATTTTATCCAAGAACAGAGCTGAAGCAAAACCAACTTCTCAGAACTGGAAGGAGTTTGTACTAGAGAGAACAGTTTACCGATAACTTCAGTTTTTAAATGATTCACATTGGCTACAATAGCCAAAAAATAGTGGACTCCACCAAGGCACTTGTGCTGAAAGCTTGGATTTCAAGCTGAGAGAATTAAAGTGTTCAAATTTCAATGTTGGTTGGCTTGACATTTTTCTACCTGAATGTTTTGGCTATTCAGCGAACAGCTTGCATAGCCTGTATGGTTACCATGGAGCCCATGGTAGACTGAATACCGCTTAAATCTTCTAAATCCTCCTGTTAAAGGATTTTATCCCACTCTCTGCTTCTTCCAACAAAATAAAATTTGAATGGTGGCAGTCAGTAGGTGACTCAGAACAAGTTATTGATTTTCAGTTTCTCAACTTATAAAACAGAGATGTGATTTCTTATTTTATAACATTTTGCTAAGTATCTTATCAGTAATTAGGTTTTGATATCTATAAAATACACTGAATTCCTTAGAATTAATGCTCTCTGGTGTTTCTAATTTGAAAAAAAACCTTAAAATATCTATAATGAAATACACAAATAATATCTGGTAATTCTGCTAAATGTGTAATTTTTAAAATATTTTTAATTTCAAAAATAAATAAATTAGAAAGTAACACCTTGATTTCTTTCTCTCAGGACTAGAAAGACAGTTCTGTGTTGTTATTGCAGTTCTTTCTTTTGCCTTAATCATTGATTCATCTTTAATTTATCAGGCAGCATTTTCCCAAGGGATCTAAGACACTTTATTTTTAGTGTAAGAGATTTGTAATTTTTTTCTCTCTGTTTTAAAAAATATGCAATTATCCACACATAAACTAATAAGAAATGTCATACTGGTACACATCTCAGCTTTACTGGCTAGAGAATTCTGTCCCTATAAACAGTATAAACAAATGGTTTGTGGGAGGGCATGTTTGCCCTCCATTATGTTAACTGTAGAATGTCAAGACATTTTCTCCAGAGCTTGTTGGGAATCTATCAGCCATGCAGGTACCTAAATGTTTTTAAATACATTTATTTCAACCTATACTGAATGTCGAAGTAATACATTTCCATAATTTTAATATCCATTATGTAAAATTCTAGTTCCATTTCCTTGTTTTACATTTTTCTTCTTTTAAATCTCAAAGGATGCCCCCATTCTAGTTCCACAGGAGTCAGTGAACAAGTCCGTGTGAATTACCCTTTGCAGATCTTTCATATTATGAATTTTGATTAAAACCCTTTTTACCTTTGGACTGAAATGTTCTACTTATTTCTTTCATAGTCAGTGTCATTAATGACCTGATAAATATCAAGACATTAGCCCTTTTCAGTTTCCATTCTTTTTACTTCTCCACTCCATATGACATTGTTGACCATATTCAGCTCATATTCTTTCTACCTTGGCTCCTATGACATGCCACATTACCTCAGTGTTTGCTTTGCTATTCATTCTTCATCCTGTAAATATTCTCTTTTTCTCTTCTTGGCTCCAGTTCTTCCTTCATGTGATCTAAGTTTAGGACTGTACCACCTTTCTTCTCAGCTACCTATTCTCTCCCAGACCTCCTTTAAAATTAACTTCAGCAGTCAATCTGAAATGTGTCTGAAGTCCTGAATCAAAAATTAAGAATTTGGGGTTAAAATAATGTAGGTACATTATTTTATAATTTTTCCTTATGTCTATACTAAAAAAAATAATGAAACACTTCACAGCCTTACCAGCCTCAGTAAGTCTTTCCAAAGTTTGTGCATATAAGTTTGTCTTTCCATATTTGGTCAAGCTCTCTGCAGAATTTGAAACTTTATTACCCTCTTTTTCTGTTTCATTTACAAATGTGTGAAACAAAATAAATTCCAACCTCAGTCTTTGGGGGGGTTAATAATTTATATATCCCCAAGGTACAGTTTATTTCTAACAATCATAAATGCAATATTTAGCAACCTTCATTTGTTATTTAATTGATTTTCTTGATCATGTGAACACTAAAATGCAGACCTCTCTTAAGTTGATCCAATCTCTCTAGAGACGCCCCCTTTTCTTCAGTGTTCTGATTCTACTGAATCATTACACTATAGTTTACTTCACATAGGAACTTAACACACACAAACACATACACTGGGACCTATAGGAGGGTAGAGGGTGGGAAGAAGGAGAGGATCAGGAAAAATAATTAATGAGTACCAGGCTTTATGCCTGGGTGATTAAATAATCTGTACAGTAAGCCCCCATGACACAAGTTTACCTCTATAACAAACTGCAAATGTACCGCTGAACTTAAAATAAAAGTAAAAAAACAAACAAAAAAAAGACACAGAAAAAAAACCTCTTATTTAACTTATTTTGTATACACTTGAAGTCTGTTATAAGAAAACAAGGAAAGACATTAACAACATAGATAGTAATTACAAAATTTCTTCTAAAAATGTTAATGACATTACTATATCATTAAATATTAACAATAAATACAATTTAATGTACTTATACTCAATTTTACTTATATTAATACAAAAATAACCAATCTACATTAACTGTTCAACTCACTCTTGTAAAGCAGGACGATGGGGCATGTAATGCATGGCATGTGGGAGGAAGTTTGAACATTCATGAATTTCAAAGTTACCTTATACCTGTCTCCAAAACCACTTAAATAATTTTGTCTTTTTTTCAGGAAGGAAAAGCTGTTAACATTTGATGCAGTAATTGTTTGGGGTTTTTTTTTTCTTTGTTTCGTTTTTTGAGACTGAGTCTCAATCTGCCGCCCAGGCTGGAGTGCAGTGGTGCGATGTGGGCTCACTGCAAGCTCCGCCTCCCGGGTTCATGCGATTCTCCTGCTTCATTCAGCCTCCAGTGTAGCTGGGATTACAGGCATGCGCCACCACACCTGGCTAGTTTTTGTAATTTTAGTAGAGATGGGGCTTCACCATGTTGGCCAGGCTGGTCTCGAACTCTTGACCTCAAGTGATCCACCCACCTTGGCCTCCCAAAGTGCTAGGATTACAGGCATAAGCCACTGCACACACCCCCATGCAGTAATTGTTATTGCCTGCAAAACTGGTTTTATATTTGTGTTATTTCCATCTCTTTTTCTCCCCTATTCCAAATCCTAATTACAACTTAATTTGCTAGGAGTTGTATTAGTCAAGTTTCACCAGAGAAACAGAAACAATCGGATGATAAGGTGTGCACGTGTGTGTGTGTGTGTGTGTGTGTGATTTATAATAAAGAAATGGCTCATGAGATTATGGAGGCTGAGCAGTCCCACTATCTGTACCCTATGAGCCGGGTACTCAGGAAAGCCAGTGGGGTACTTCTGGGAACTGAAGGGCTAATGGCATACATCCCAGTCAAAGGCAGGAGAAGACTGATGTCTCAGCTCAGTCAGGCAGAAGGAACGAATTTCCCCTTTTTCTACGTTTTTCTATTCAGGCCCTCCATAGATCAATGAGGCCCACTCACATTGAGGAGGGCAGTCTACTTTACTGAGTCCAATTCCAATTCTGATGTTGTCCAAATACACCTTCACAAACATCTCCAGAAATAATGTTTAATCTGGGTATCCTGTGTTCCAGTCAAGTTGACACATAAAATTAGCCATCATATGGGAGCTAAATAATGAGAACACATGGACACAAAGAAGGGAACAACAGACACTAGGGCCTTTGAAGGTAGAGGGTGGGAGGAGGGAGAGGATTAGAAATAAATGCCTATCAAGTACTGTGCTTATTAGCTAGGTGATTAAATAATCTGTACACCAGACCCCCAGGACATGAGTTTACCTATATAACAAACTTGCGCATGTACCCCTGAAACTAAAAGTTAAATAAAAAAACTAACCATTTAATAAATTAAAAAATTAACCATCACAGAGATATACCAGGAAATACAATATTTTTATGTTTTTCATTATTGTTAAGCAATAACAATAGTATTCCCAATTAAAATCCTAGTAGTTATGTGTATTTGTGCACACACACATGCATGCACATGTGTGTATTGATAAGCTGATTCTAAAATTTAATTTGAAATGCACATGGACAAAAGCAATAATAATTTTTAAAAAGAACAAAGTTAATGGTCTTACACTATCAGATATGAAGATTTATTATGAAGTTACAATAATTTAAACAGTAAAATTGGTACAAGAATAGAGAGATGGATTAGAATATAGAATTAAGAAAAAGACTCATCTCTACACAGCCAGTTTTTATTTACTAATAACAAAGGTACCACTGCAATGCACTGAAGAAAGAGTGATCATTTCAATACATGGTGCTAGGTTAATTTACATTCATATAGGTATAAGTGAACGTTGACCTTCATATCATACAGAAAAATTAGTTTCATATGGGTCCTACACTTAAATGTGAAGAATAAAACAATAAAGCTTATAGAAGTAAATATAGAAGAATATCTTTTTCTTATTTATTTATTTATTTATTTATTTTGAGACAGAGTCTCGCTCTGTCACCCAGGCTGGAGTGCAGCTAGCTGCACAATCTCAGCTCACTGTAACCTCCGCTTCCCAGGTTCAAATGATTCTCCTGCCTCAGCCTCCTGAGTAGCTGGGATTACAGGTGTGAGCCACCTGCCCAACTAATTTTTGTATTTTTAGTAGAGACAGGGTTTCACCATGTTGGCCAGGCTGGTCTTGAACTCCTGACCTCAAGTGATCCATCCACCTCGACCTCCCAAAGTGCTAGGATTACAGGTATGAGCCACCGCGTCCAGCCTAGAAGAATATTTTTATGTCCTCAGAGAAGACAATGCTTTTTTAAACAAAACACAAAAAGCACTAATCATAAAAAAGAAATGGGCAAATAGGACTTCATTGACATTGAGAACTTCTGCTTTTTGAGTCACCATTAAGAGATTAGAAATTCAAGACACGGTGAGAGAAAATATTTGTAATACATACATCTGATGAAAACTCATATCCAGAATATATAATGAATTCCTACAAATCAAATAATAAAAGATAGAAAACTCAATTTTAAAACATGGGCAACATACTTGAACTAGCACTTTATAAAACAGGATATACAAAGAGCCAATAAATGTATGAAAATGTGCTCAATATCGTTAGTCATCAAGGAGATGCCAGCTGAAACCACAACAGATATTATGTCATACCCACCAAAATAGCTAAAATGAGATTGGAAATACAAAGTATTGATGTGAATCTAGAGCAATCAGAACTCTGACTGTGCTGACGGAAACGTAAATCAGTACAGCCACTTTGTAAAACATTTAGGCAATATCTACTAGAGCTAAACATATGCCAGTCATATGACACAGCAATACTATTCCTAGATATACTTGATAGAAATGAGCATATATGTCCACCAGAACATATGTCGAGAATGTTTATATTAGTTTTATTATAATGGCCAAAAATTAGAAAAAATACAACACCATACAACTATATGTCCATCAATAGTAGAATAGATAAATAAATTGTGATATGGTCACATAAGGAAACACTATGTAGCAATAAAAAAATACACAGTAGCTACTTGTAATAATATGAATTAATTTTTTAGACCTAATGTTGAACTAACAAAAGACTTTCTATGAAGTTCAAGATCAGGCAAAACTACCCAACAGAGATTAGTGACTGCTTTTTGGCAGGAGGATATCTACTTGAAGAAGACACAAGAGAACCTTCTGAGGTACTGGAAATGGTCTGCATTTTGGTCTGGGTGATGATTACCTGAGTGTACCATATTTTTAAAATTCATCAAGCTATATGCTTAAGATTTGAATACTTTACTGCAAATGTGTTATATTCATAAATAGGGGGAGAAAAAAAAGAGAATGGGCACGAAAGAGGCAAAGGGATTGAAGGGAAAGAATGACGTAAAGCAGGAGTAGAAACAATCATGAAAACTCATGAATTCAACCTGCTACAAAATAGTTGCATTTATGAGACTATAGATATTTTCTTCATAGAACCATCACAGACAGCCTTATTTAGATTGGCTTTAATAAGAAAAAAGACAATTTAACATGAAAAACATTTTTTTCTTCTTTGATTAAAAAAAGTGAAGTCACAAAGCATACCCTAACTTTCCATATGCTTTAATTTGCTGTAATCTGTGTTTATATTGAAAGGATTTTATAATTTTAAAAATTTTAATATTACCACATGTATCGAGCTGTTAACTCTTTTACCATAATTAGAATAGCTGAATTCACAGCCACAAAGGTCAGAGGGTATATTTACACATATATAAAGCATGTCATTAAGTAAAAAATTTGCAAATTTTAAATGATTAGCTTTTTTATTTATTAAATTATGCCGCTTTCTAGAATTGAACATCTATCTGTGTTTTTATTCAAATCTATTCATTATACCAATGTCAATATTAAATCAAATACAGATAAACTAATATATCTATTGAATATTAGTTATAACACTAAAAGTGGACTTTTAGCACACTATTAGTGTATTATGCTTTGGAGAATATGTAAATTATTTGAATGGCATTGTTTATTTAATATGATACACGTCTTTTTTTTTTTTTTTTTGAGACAAAGTTTTGCTCTTGTTGCCCAGGCTGGAGTGCAATGGTGCGATCTCGGCTCATTGCAACCTCTGCCTCCTGGGTTCAAGCGATTCTTCTGCCTCAGCCTCCCGAGTAGCTGGGATTACAGGTGCCCGCCACTACACCTGGCTAATTTTTGTACTTTTAGTAGAGACAGGGTTTCACTATGTTGGCCAGGCTGGTCTCAAACTCCTGACCTCAAGCGATCCACCCGCCTCGGCCTCCCAAAGTGCTGGGATTACAGGCATGAGCCACCACGCCCAACCCCAACCACATCTAACTGAGTTCTCCCTTTAATAATTTACAAGCAGTTACATTAAACATTTGTACATGGATATCTGAAAATAAACAGTAAAGTTTTATTCATAAGGAATGAATATAATATATATAGTTTTAAAACAAGTAGTTTGAATGTAAGGTAGCAAGAGTAGTCAATTACATCTAATCTCTATCCTTAATTTTTTTTTCAATTTCTTAGGAAGAACAATGTGGCCATTCAATACAATAGTGCAGACTCTGACTGTCTTTGTTCTGGATTATCTTTTTAAGCATGTTTGTATGGCAAACAGCCTTAAAAGAGATAGTGTCTCCCTATGGAACAGAGAGCAGGTTTGTTTACTGTCCAGTATAACAAAGATAATGTCTCCCTCCAAAGCAAAGGTCTGGCAGGTTTGCTTTCATTCTAGTACAAAAGATCAGGGTCCCCAGAGTTCAGAGTTCTTCACCTGTGACACAACCCCACTGCATATACAGCATCTACCTGGGTCTCTCACATCACACAGGAAACAAACAAATGCCTACATAAATCTCATGTTAATTTCTGTGCCATGAATAACAGTCCTTTGTCCCTGATCCAGGAGTCTTGTGTTTCTGTTTTTTAGGGTTTTTTTTTTCTAGCAAAATCATTCCAGCAAAATTGTGTTTCTGTCTTTTGTCCGTATCCATGAACCTGGGGTAGTCTCCCTGGCTGGCTTACAAGCCTGGGTATTGACAACCTATAGCTTTTTAAAATAGGCATTATACAATCAAGGATAAGCTGTTTTTCCCAGGCTTTGCCTTCATCTAGTCATAGAATTAGACCAGAGCAGAGTTCACATTATCATTTCAAAGGATTTGATAAGGGGTGCCAGGCTCTGCAGCCAAATGCAGTTATCTCTAATACTGGTCAAACTGATCAGACCAACCAAAACATATCCTGACATCTTACCTTTTCTAATGCTGGCCCCACTAATAGCTGCCCATGCCACTCATTTGCCTAAATACTTCTACTTCCTGATGTTTCTAGGATAAAATCATAAGTGTGGCACATGGAGCTATAATTAGTATGGGCAAAATCTTCCTAGCCTCATTTTCTTTTCCTTCCTCTGCCAGACCTCCTGCTTCATTAAACTTTTCTCTATTCCTTAGATGTCACCAATCTTCTCACTACTAGGAGGTTCTGCCTGTGCTTTCCTTTCCCTTAGAATGCCCTGTTCTAGGCAGTTGGCCAGAAATACATACTGAGAGACTTCTATGGGCCAGTAAGCCTGCTCAATGTAGACAAGACAAAAAGTGCCTGTCTGCATGGAGGATACAATTTGGGAAATCCTCTCGTTTAGTGAACTCTGCTTTGTCCTTTAAGAACTAGCGCAGGGCCGGGTGCAGTGGCTTACACCTGTAATCCCAGCACTTTGGGAAGCTGAGGCAGGTGAATCCCCTGAGGTCAGAAGTTCGAGACCAGCCTGGTCAACATGGTGAAACCCAGTCTGTACTAAAAATACAAAAAATTAGCCGGGCGTGGTGGCGCGTGCCCGTAATCCCAGCTACTAGGGAGAATGAGGCAGGAGAATCGCTTGAACCTGGGAGGCGGAGGTTGCAGTGAGCCAAGATCATGCCACTGCACTCCAGCCTGGGCGACAGAGCAAGACTCCATGTAAATAAATAAATAAATAAATAAATAAATAAATAAAGAACTAGCATTTGCCATGTGTACCTGATTGCTCTTTCCCCATGCTTCCACGTGATATTTCACCCATATCACTGCTTAACTCTGTGTATCGAAGAACGGACCACATATCTCATTTATTTTCTACTGGCATTACCTACCTCAGTGCCTGGCTCATACTCAGGACTTAATAAATGTTTGAGGTAGAATGGAAGAAGGAATGAATGAATGAAAAAAAAAGAATATATATAGATACTGTACACTGTTTAGTCGGCTCCCAGGCTGAGGATCTGTGGCTCTGAGTAAGAAAAGATTAGGATAGGTTTTCCTTTGTTTGTTTTTGTTTTGTTTTGTTTTGTTTTGTTTTGTTGAGACAAGGCCTGGCTCTGTCACCCTAGCTGGAGTGTGGTGGCACAATCATGACTAACTGCAGCCTCAAACTTCTGGGCTCAGGCAATCAAACTCCCTGCCTTAGCCTCCTAAGTAGCTAGGACTACATGCACACGCCAGCATGCTGGGCCAACTTTTTAATATCATTATTATTTTTTTTGTAGAGGTGGCCTCGCTGGCCCAGGCTGGTCTCTAACTCCTGAGCTCAGGTGATCTTCCTGCCTCAGTCCCCTGAAGTGTTAGGATTACAGGTGTGAGCCACTCTGCAGGCCTAGGATAGGTTTGACTCATGTTTTATTTTGTTTATTTGTAGCCTGTGGCCTAAATGACTTAAGGCATGGTTCAAAGCCCAGAGGCAAAGATCCGTCTCAGCACAAGTCTTTACTTTTTACCCAGAGAGTTACAGATAACCTGTGATTAGGAACTACAGCCTTATAGAAAGGAAAGGCCATGTGATTTAACAGAAGCTAATTAAAGGCTGTGCCAGTGGTACAGGTGCCCTGGGATTCCAGAATATAATGCATACCAAGACATGAATGAAACTGTAAAGAGATGAAGAAAAGTGGAGGGTTTTTTGGTTTGTTTTTGTTTTCCTTGGAATTTCTCTCTGGAAAAATACTATAAAAGGTTGAGAAGAATTTTTTAATGTGTTGTTGTGGGAGATGAATTGTTAGTAAAGTAGCTGATAAATATTACCAACTTTCTCAGAAAATGGAACCTATGCACCATAGTGCTTTGGTTTTTATGAGAGATACATCAGTTTGAAGGCAAAAGAGGAAAAGCTGAGCACTACTATTAGAGATCTTTCTTCTTCCTCCCTCCTCCCCTGCCAACTGTCAGCCTCTCTGCTAAATAAATAGTCCAAGAACGTCTGTTTGGTGGTGTAGGTGGAGAGGAGCAAAGCAGGTGTTTTATTCTGGCCTTGTGCTTTGGCGTGACATAGACCTTAATTTGAGTAAAGGGGTTTAACCTCTCCAGGCAAGACCAGCTACAAAATTTGTAGGACCCAGTGCAAGACAAAAACATGGGGCCCCTTGTTAAAAAAATTATTGAAAATTTCAATATGGCAACAGCAAAGCATTAAACCAAGAGTGGGGGCCCCTCTAAGTGTGGGGCTCTGTGCGACTGCAGAGTTCCACAGTCATCATACTAGCCCTGCCTCTAGGCTTCATATTCCCTATGTAAAAATTGTTGATAAAAATGACTCATTTGAAGAGCACTTGTGAGGGTTGCATGAGGCACATGGTAAAAAGTGCCCAGCTTATTGTAAGCATTCAGTAATTATTGACTCTCTTCTTCCCCTCCCTCGCCTCTCCTTGTCTGCCTTCCCCCACACTCTTCATTGTAATACAGATAATACATTAAATACACCTCTGCTATTGGTTAAATTAACTGTCAAAGAAACAAATATAAGGTACATGTGGATAATGTTAGAGATAATTTTCTATAGTAACAAAGATCGTACAGGATGTTGAAATCCATGAATTATCTCAAATAATCTCCTAAGCCATAACATAAAACTTCTCCCCATCAATTACTTTTTAATGAGAATTAATAGGAATCAATTTCTCTAGTGCCATATTTTACAATTACACAATATAGTGCTGGAATTAGAATAAAGATCTCTTCTTAGTTCGATTTCATATACATTAGAACACTCTCCTTCAGTTATCTTAAAATTCACTGCACACTCACAAAATGGTATCTCTTCTGTATGTGTATTTTTAACAGACTATAAATCACAAGAATTGGTTTTATTTTGTTTATTTTTTATGGTCAGTCCAGACAATAGCAGATATACACTGCATACCAAGTGTTCTGAATATAAAACTGAAGTATTTTATATGAAGTTCCCTCCTGAAAATATTGAGAAAATGCCAAAGTGTCTGTTATGTAAATTAAATATCAGCCTTGGGCAGCTTTGAGTTATGGGTCATTCACATTATACAGTAAAATGTTTTACTTTCTCTTAACTAGCACAAATTCCCTCTAGACCTAAAGTAAGAGTCTCTCACAATCACTTGTTAAGTACAGAAAATGCAAATGACAATGCCTCTTAAATCCAGTCATGTCACAAAAGAATACATATTTTACAACATTGAAAATTATATTTTCACATTAGTTTTCCAATGTTTTTGTCTTAATCGTCAAAAGAGTCGATGATGCTTTTCTTTAAAAATTTTTATGCCTAGGAAATACATGTTATAAACTAAAATTAAATTTTAACAGAATAAGAAAATATCCCATGTATATTATAAACATGCTCATCATTTCAGTTTATAACATAAACATATACCAAGAGATTAACTCTCTTATCTCCATAGAATGTAATCAAAACATTATGTATTTATAATATATTCATATTATTACATAACATATAATTTATATTTAAAATGAAAGTAATATAATTTACATTAAAAATATAAACTATATTAGATATCATACCACTATATGTTACATATACAATAAAATAACTTAAATATAAATATATAAATATTCCAGTAATGTATGTGTACCTAAGAAGAATAAAAGACTATTGATTTTTTTCTACCTATTACTCACCAGAATTTAAATAGCCCCCAAAGTCTAGAAGTCTTTTGCTCTCCTCTGGTGTTGTTATATAACGAAGTCTTTTTTGGCAACTTTGCCCCAAGCAGGAGTTCAGTAGTGTAAGAGCTACCCAAAAACCTACAAATATAAATGCAATCTTATCAGTATATAATTTAAAGTGAGGATAATAATTCCTATTCTGCCTACCTCTGAATGTTGTGATGAGGATCGATGAAGATAAAATGTAAGAAAGCTTTCCTCAAGCTCTAAAGCTTTTTATGAGTATGTGGGAATACAGTAAAAGGGTGATAATGACATTCCTAAATATTGTCAAACACCACTTATTAAATGCATACCTGCACTGTTTCAAGTATAAACTGCTACACTAAAACAGTGGCACCAACACTGTGGTTTCAAGTTAGAATGCTACGACTTACTTTAGAAACTGTGAACCCCTCATGGAATAAAATGGTACTTTTACCGAGTACCCAAATAAATGTTTGTTACTAATGTAAATGGATGAAAAAATATGTTTTGTTTTTACTTATAATGTAGAGCTAGTAAGGTAGCTTTTATCATGGACTAGTTAATTTAACAATTTATTTTTTATCAAAAAAAACCTCTCTGCTATATCATAGTGATTTTTTCTCCATGTTTCTGAATGACCTATGATACTCTTTTATAAAAATAATTTAAAATATATTTCTAATAATTTGTATTTGCTTTTAAACTTTTTAACTAAAAATATCCGTTTAAGAAAACGTAAATATTTCCTAGGCCAGCACCAAAATTTTGTATCGTATGTGTACCATGTTAAATACTTTAATGAAAGTACTTTGAATATGTATGTATGTGTGTGTTTGTGTGTATACACGTGTGTGTATATAAAAAACACATTTAAGTAGTAAGATAAAAACACATTTAAGTAGAAAGATAATAACTGTATGTGCATATATATAAACATACATACACATATATACACACAGTTGTGTACACTTGTATATGTATGTGTGTATATATATACACATACATACACAAGTATGTACAACTGATTTTTTACAAAAGTGTTGTAAAAGGTTCATAGAGCAATGAAACAGTATAGAGAAAAAAGAAATAAATCCATACAAGTGTGCACAACTGATTTTTTACAAAGGTGTTTTGTGTGTGTTGTGTGTATATATATTTCTTATAGTTAAACACTCCCTTACCACACAACCCAGCAATTGTATAATATATATACACACGCAACACACACACAGTCATTATCTTGCTACTTAAATATGTTTTTATTATCTTTTTATTATCATATGTATATACACATACACACACATATAGTTATTATCTTACTACTTAAACATGTTTTCCATGACTTTGGTTTTTTTATTCAAAATAGAAAAAATTTTGCATTTTAGGGTATTTTCCATTTTCTTCTCTGTCAGACTGTTTTAACATTTTGTAACAAAGGTGATCTAAATGAGAGGAAAATTACTGCCATTTTCTTGCTACTTCTGATATTTAGATTCTGCTTAGCATTTTTCCATATAAATATATATTTAACAGAGTGCTTATTCTCAAAAGTTTTTACCCTTAAATCGGCATCTAACTTCAATGATTAATTAGATTCATGATTTCTGGGGGATGTTCCAGTCTTGATGTTCCCTAATGGGATGACTCTGCTTGGGCTTTGCAATTGGATTTTGACAACCCAAACAGAAAATGCTGCTGCTTTAGAAAATCACACTTGGACTTTCTGCCTTAAAATCTCAAGTCTTGGGATTGGTCATCTGCTGACCACAAGACTAATCACTGTGAGATACTTTAATTTTTGAATGACAAACAAGTGCTATAGCAGAAAGAGAAATAGGGGAGGACTTATTGTGTATTAAGTGTCTACAATACTAAAAATCATATTAAGTGACTTATATTAAGTGTTTATTTAAAGAGAATGAACCCCCCAAATGTCTCAGATACAGAACACACACTACCAGAGACTTATTTCACAACTGAATGTAAATACAGATTATATATTAACATATATGGCAATACTATAGAGTGAGTTCTTACCTAAAACATTTCAAATAATAAAGAATTATGTCTGCATTAATCAAGACAGTATAGTATTAGAAGTGAGTTAAACGCATAGATCAATGGAACAGTACAGAGAAACAAGAAATAAAACCATACAAGTGTGCACAACTGATTTTTTTAGAAAGGTCCAAAAGTAATTCAATGAAGAAAAGACATTCTTTCCAATAAATATTGTCATAACAAATGGACATAAATAGGCAAAAACAAGAACCTTGACTGAAACCTCACCTTTTTAAAAACTATTAACTCAAAATAGATGATAAATCTAAGTGTAAAATGAAATACTATAAAACTTTTAGAAGAAAACAGAGAGGAAAATATTTGTGACCTAGTATTAGACAAACAGTTCTGAGATATGACACTAAAAGCAAAGGAAAAAAATCAATAAACTAGACTTCATAAAAATTTCAGACTTTTGCTCTGTGAATGACCCTGTTAAGAAGATAGGAAGACAAACCACTGACTAGAAAAAAATATTTGCAAATCACATATCTGAAAAAGGACTTATATGACCAATATGTAAAGAACTCTCTCAACTGAACAATAAAAGAACAAGCAGTCCAATTAAGAAACGGGCAAAAGATTCTAAGACAATTTACCAAAGAGGGCAGAAGAAAAACAAGAACATGAGATGTTCAATATTATCAGCCCTTAGGGAAATGCAAATTAAAGCCACAATAAGCTATCATTATGTACCTAACAGAAGGACTAAAATGAAAAGTACTAATAATACCAAGTGCTGGCAAGAATGTAAAGCTACTAGATCTCATATCAATTGCAGGAGAATGTAAAATGGAACAACTACTCCGAAAAGCAGTTGGGCATTTTCTTATAGTTAAACACACACTTACCACACAACCCAGCAATTGCAATCTTAGATACTTGTCGTAGAGAAATCAACACTATGTCCACATAAAAATGAAATACTTATATAAGTTTTCTTTGAAGTAGCCAAAAGCTGGAAATAACTCAAATGTTCTTCTGTGGGTGAATAGATAAACAAACTGTCCATAGAGTGAAAGCCACTCAGCAATAGGCAGAAATGAATTATTAGCACAGCAACATAGATGGATTTTCAGGGCATTATGCTGAGCTAAAGATACAAGTCTCAAAAGGTTACACTCTACAGGATTCCATTTCTATAACACTCAGTGACAAAAGTATAGTGATAAAGAGCAAATCAGTAGTTGTCATAGGTTAGGATTGGAGAGAGGGTGTGACAATGAAGGGTTAGCATGAGGGACTTTCTTTGTAGTGACAACAGTTTGGTAGCCTTTTAGTAGAGGTAGTCATGTAACTCTATACATGTGATAAAATTTCATAGAACCATAAGCACCAAAAAAAATAAGGAAATGCAATCTGAACAAGCTCTGCAGTTTTAGCTGGTAATACTATACCATGACAATTTCCTGGTTTGACAATTTAGTATGGTTATTTAATATGTTATTGGAGAAATCTGGATGAAGGATGCATAGGAAGTCTTTGTACTATTTTTAAACTTCTTGTCAGTCTTATTTCAAAATAAGTTTTTTTTAAGAATGATGTGCCTGAAATATAAATATACTTCCACCTGCAACTTCAAGTCCATGTGAATATCTACACTGGTTAAAAACAAAAACAAAAACAAAACAACTAAAACTTAGACACTTATTAAATATTCAGATCCGTAAAACAATAGATCTGTAAAGAACCTGGATTTCCAAGTGATTTATCTAATAATAAAGTCTTCTACAAACAAAATTTTACAAAATAGGGGAAAACATAATGATTCATGGGGGAAATTAAGGCCTGGCAAATGCTTTGAAGTGAAAGGAGAGAATGAGAAGATTTGAAGCTAATATCAGAGCCTATCATTGGAGATAACTTCACGGAAAATAGAAGAAAATTAGAGTAATTAGGAAAAGTTTAGCAATGAGCTTGATTAAACATTGAATTTTATTTAGTGAGGTTAAAGCCAAAGATTACAGTTTTGACCTCAAATTACTGTTTCTATCATTTATTATTATTTTAAGTTAATAACTGAACTACTTTGGAATTTAAAGTCCTGACTCTTTTTGTAATGCATTGTCTATTTCATAAAAACTTCAAACTTGAAGTTTTAAAATTGTGCCATTATTCTTCTCTAAAAACTTTTCTCAAAATTCAAGAAAGTAGCTTTGCAATGTACTCTGCAATCATTGTAGTGTCTTCATTCAAATAAGTTGTTTACATATTGTTTTAGCATCTTGGAAATATAATTGGCCTTGGCTCATGATTTCAAATGATTCTCTTAGCTAAAAAGAGTAAATTCCTTCAAAGTTACAATAGGGAATAAGGTACAATCTCTCTAGATGACTTTTTTCTCCTGAAGCAGATTTGTTAAAATTCTACATCCTGCCTGTAAATTAAAGATTAAGGTAATGACATAAGAAAATTGGGTATTTGCAATATGGAAGACAAGGATCAGTTCTTGGATGAATATTCAATGCACCGGATTATAGACACTGATGCAGCCACCATTGCAGCAAATGGACTGCAACTACATATTTTGAATTATTGAAGCAGTGGCTTGAAACTATTCAGTAGATCAGATGTATTGCCTTCCTTCATGAGATTGATGAGAATTCAGCTCTGCTCGCCACACTCCAGTGCGAAGGACTGGAGGGCATTTAGCATGCTGATAAAGGTCAAAGTAAGACTGTATCAGTTTGTGAACCTAAAAATTCCAAACTCCTCGCCACCCATTAAAATGAATGAAGAAGTGCTGTGTTTTGATGTGTGGCATCCCAAAGACCTGCTTGAGGCATAAAAGGAAGAAACTATTGCGCTTAGACCAGGAAACGCTTGTTTGTGACCTTCCAGAGCATGTAAAGGAGCACAGTTTTGTGCACTGTCTTGTTCCTGAAACATTATCATCTCAAAAGTTCTATTCAGCTTAAATAATGGAGATTCCAACAGAGAAAATACATTACTATATTTGGCCCTTCCTTTTGGCAGATGTTCCAGAAACAAAACAGCGAAGTGATTTTGCTATTTGAATTGATTGTGAAATGGATTTTTCATGCAAAAGGCTTGAGTCAGATTCCACTGTAGGCAAAAGTCTGCAAGTTTAAGCAAAACACTAATTATCCAGAATACTAGTCTTTGGAGAAAATATTTGTACTAGTGACCAAATATATTTAACTCTTAAGTCAGGTTTAACTCTTTGATTGAACCGCAACTCCAAATTGTATGGCGTGGTTTAGTATATGAGGAGTACCCTTGGTCAGACCTGTTAAGTGATTGTTCTTCAAGCTGAAGTGGTGGGAATTTGATAAAATGGAAATTTTTTTCCCTGCTGATTTACTTCTTATTAGCATGTAAGATTAATCAGGACAATAATTGTACCACTCTTTCCCACGATTTTTCCTTCTCCTCTGATTCCCTCTACCATAAAATATCACAAAGAGCTTGACACAGTTATTGAATAATTTTGCTTCTGGAAGAAGGAAATGTGATATTGGAATTTATATCTGAAATACAATTTTTTTCCTTAGAGTTTATGTCTGAAGTTTTTTCCCTTAAAATTTATATTTGAAATTTTTTCTACTATCCTCAGCTAAATTAGATAAAACGTTCAAAATGAAAATCTTCTTTGAGACCCCATGATTGGGCAATCTCCTGGAGAAAAGAAGAGCAGTGTTTATTATTAGTAACTTAAAATGCCCATGATACCCAAAAGGGGTGAGTTCTTCAATTAGTTTCCTGCTCCATTCTTTTTAATTAATATTTGATGCCTATGTAAGAATATATGTAACATAAATTATTCATGAGGTACAGTAAATAGAACAGTTATAAAGCTACCTATCAACTTAAGAACATTACCAACAATGTCACATCTGTGTGTTCTTTCCTGTTCCATTTCTCTGTCTTCCTATGCACCAAGAGGTAACCATTATTCTGAAACTTGTATGTATCCTTTCCTTGCTTTTTCCTCCCTTGGTTTTTACCACAGATTTATTTAGGGATAAATGTTCTGTTTGATTTCTTGGTTTTGGAGATTTGTAAAGATGGTAGCCTACCGTACGCAGTCTTCTGTAATTTACTTTCCTCAAGCACCAGTTTGTTTCAAAAATCCACCATGTTGTTGCATATTACTGTAGGTCATTCATTTTCACTACTGCATAGAATGACATTGTGTAAACATTTCCACAATTTATGAACCATTATCCTGTCAACAGACATTTGGGACTTTCTAACTAACACTAGTTATCCAAGTCTTTATTCTCTCACATTCAAGGTTGAGTAATCCTGAGAATCCTGACTACCAATAAGTGAAAAATTTCTTTCATTTAGAACAGGGTTAGCCCTTTGATAAATTATAGCCCTTTGTGAGGAATAATCTAGGAAGGTTCCTTGGGTCCTTCTATAATGATATACACAGCCCTTTAGTAAGCGATGTTATTGGCTCCAATATTTATTCCTTTCCTTTTTTGTATGCAGGTTTTGTAACACTCTATCTTGCTTTATGTTTACTTTAGGTGCACATAAGTTTTGGAGTCTTGGAAGGAGAGATATTTTTTCTAATGGAAAGAGTTTGTATTTTGGATTAAGTCATATCTGGATTTAAATCCTGATTCTATCACTTTTTTTTTTTTTTTTTTTGAGATGGACTTTCACTCCTGTTGCCCAGGCTGGAGTGCAATAGCGAGATCTCAATGCACTGCAACCTCTGCCTCCCAGGTTCAAGCGATTCTCCTGCCTCAGCCTCCCAAGTAGCTGGGATTACAGGCATGTGCCACCACACCTAGCTAATTTTGTATTTTTAGTAGAAATGGGGTTTCACCATGTTGGCCAGGCTGGTCTTGAACTCCTGACCTCAGGTGATCTGCCTGCCTAGGCCTCCCAAAGTGCTGGGATTACAGGCTTGAGCCACTGCGCCCGGTCAATTCTAACACTTTCTGTCAATGAGAACTTGGACAATTAATTTAACTTTCCTGTGTTTCAGTTTATTCTTTGATAAAATGGAAACAATAATACATATTCATAAGATTGATGCTATTATTAAATAGGATAATATATTAATGCCTAGCATGATGTCTGGCACATAAAAGGCACTTAAAAGTGTTTATGAAAAAAAAGGATAAAAGAATGAATAAGCAAAGGGGTGAGTAAATACCCACAGAGCAAAGAGGGTAACATAAATGTATGAATCAGGTGTAAGAAAATACTTAGTGGTAAACCCTATTTTAATGAGGGAACACACGCCCCTGAGTCACAGGACTGTCACATTATACACAAGTGGTGCCCTCTGGAGCTGTACAGCCTTGCTTTAAGACATTTATGTGCCTCTTTAAAAATATAATATGGTTAAACAAAACATATCTGCAGGTAATTGGCCTGAGTGACAATTATTTGGCCCCTGGTTTATAGCATCCTTACCTGGGGATATAGAAATTATCTAATATGTGATTAAAATGAAGCTAATGTCTTTTGTGTGCCTACTATGTGCCATGTGCCCCTCTAGGACAAAGAAAATGGGAAAGCACTGATGGAGAAAACCTCATCCCTTTTCTTAGGAACCTAAAATTCACACCTTCTCTTGTGGGATACAGTTTCCTAACACTTTCAGTTTGCTTGGGGTGTTCCTCCTTGTCTCAGATATGCTTTGTGGAGTCAGTCCAGGCTGAAGGGCTTTGAACACCTAAGGTAGCCTTCAAAACAGCAAAGCACATATGCTTATAAAACAAAATAAATTTGCCAGCTTCTCCAAGCAGGGGTATACTTGATATTTGTTTCTATTTCCCTTTTCATTCTTCCTGTCCTACAGCCCTTTCCTAGTGTTTCCTATTTCTTTCATTTTTCCCCCAAAGCTCTACTCCCTAAAACAAAGGTGTTCTGGGCAGCCCATGTCTAATCCCCTTTCCTCTCCTCTACCTAGGAACAACCCTAAAGAAACAATTATTTTTGTTTGACTGACTGATAGAGTTCAAGCTATGTTTGTCTTATACAGATTATCTATGGCATTAGTAAGATGAAATCTTTCTCTTTCACACCATTATTAATTCAAATAAGTTACGGCCAACCACACAGAATTTAAAATACGGCTGAGTATATTTCAAAGGCCAAGATTTAATGAAAAAAAAATATTGGCTGTATCCTACCAGATTCTGACTTGTAAAGTACACATTGAACATGAAGAATATTGGTCATTCTTGCCTCTTTTCACCCTTTTTAAACCCTGATCTTATATGCGTTGCCCACTGTGGCTGTTAGGTGATGGTTCTAGGCCTGTCGTCAATCTGGTCTGGTTTCCTCACATGCCAGAATGATTTTGTTTTACTTTGCCTTAATAATCTCCATGGGGGAAAACTACCATACATTGCCTGGCAGTTTTACATAACACCACTGACAATTTCCTTTTCTCATCACTACTAGGGATATCTGAAATACAGAACAAGCATTGTCTGACCTGTCCATTTTGTAGCATTCTTATGACCAGGTTAATAAAAAAGCATAACTAAATATTGTATAATAGATGACATATAAAAGTTGCAAAATTCCAACCTTTGAGGAATGCTATGCTTCATTCATGGCTGCAGAAATGAAGGGTTCTAGTCTGGCTTTTCCACTGCCCTCTGAGGCATGCCTTCTGATACTGTACTGATTCTTTCCCTTCTAGTTCCTAATTATGTGAGCATCACCTTTAGTCTTTCCAGAACCATAGGCAACCTTTCTGCTCTATAGTTATTCTCGGTTTTATGCTTCATCATCTGGATTACTATGATATCCACCAGGAATAGTTTTTAGCCTTTGATGAGCAGATAAGATAAAAGTCATTTTCTTTCTAAGAACAAGTATGTTCACATCATTTCTCTTTTGTATTGCTAGTATCTTGGCTGCTCACTATAGTGGCATGCTTCACCAGGAAGAGTTCAGCTTCTACTCTTTATGCCCTCAGGATACTCTGTCCAGCGTTTGAGAGCTAAAGAGCAAAAGCCATCCACTGATATTCAATTCTGAATCAGAATGCATTTAACTAAAATTAAAAGAAAACATTACCGATAGTGGCTTAAAGAGATAAGAGTTTATTTTTTAACCATAAATTCCGAGTCTGGAAGTCTGGCACATCTCTAGAAGGCCATCAAAGGCCTAGGCTCATTCTTTCTGCTGTGTGTGTACTTAGCATGTAGCTTTTGTTCTCAAATTGACAAAATGGATACTGCACCTCCATATATCGTGCCTGTGTTCCAGGCAGAAAGAAAGCAGAAGAACGTGTCTTCTCACAGGGTTTGTCACCTGGGCTTCCCTTCCTCAAAAGTCTCTGTTTACATTATCATTCACCAAAACTGTGTCTTTTGGTCAATCCAACCTATAACCATGGTTGGTAAATCAAGTATTTTAATTTTCCAACCCTTAAAATAAAAGAAACAAATTTACATATTATCCTTTCCATTGAAGGTTAAATCAGAGAATTTTTCTGAAAATTTAAGAAAATTGTATTCATGAAATGTATATACTGCTATGAATATCTGTTGCATTTTATTACGGTTTTGACTAGGGTCCTTAAGGCACTACATAAGTAACTCTGAAATAATAAACATTTTGCAGAATAACTAAGTTCCTAAAGATCATACTGCAGAGTCAAAAGTATTTGAAATAAGTAAGAGAAAATGAGAGAGAGGGGACAATAGAAAAAGAAGCATATTAATAAATGGAGATAGAAGAAAGAAAATAATCAAATATGAAGACAATAAGTTAACGACCATGCTAAGTGTTCGTTTCTCAAAATCAAAGTCAACTTGCATTCAATCTTATCTTCCCAGACTGGAGACTAAGTATGGGGTCTGTCTTATTCTCCACTCAATTGCTAGCATCTAACTTAGTTGATGAGGATGCTGCAGGGAGAGAAAAAAAATCCAGATGTTCCAGTGCCTTCATAAAAACATATGTGTAATAATTTTTAAATAAAGAAAAAATTCATCTTATTATACTACATAAAAATATTAGACCACAAGCTAAAAAATTAACGTTTTCTCTCTTTTCTGTATCTGAGGAATTCAAAACAACTAACAGATGTACTCAGAGGAAATTTGGTTAGCAATATACTATTTATAGAAATTAGGCTGAGTGCAGTGGCTACGCCTGTAATCCCAACACCATGGGAGGCTGAGGGAGGTGGAATGCCCTGAGCTCAAGAGTTCAATACCAAACTGGGCAACATGGCAAAACCCTGTCTCTACCAAAAATACAAATAATAATAATAATAATAATTTGCCAGGCATGGTGGCATGTGCCTGTAGTCCCGGCTACTTGGGAGGCTGAGGTGGGAGGATTGCTTGAGCCTGGGAGATGGAGGTTGCAGTGAGCTAAGATCGCAGATTGCACCACTGCACTCCAGCCTGGGCAACAGAGTGAGATGCTGTCTCAAAAAAAAAAAAAAAGAAAAGAAAAGAAAAAGAAAACATAAATTAAAACAATAGAATAATCTTTTGTTCATTCTCTATTTTTCTCCCTTCTTTTTTTACCCTCTCTATCTGCTTTATTATTTATTCACACATACACGAATACACACACATACATAAATACACACACAAATTAAGTTCAAATAATATTTCTCTACAGTGTTTCAATACAATAATACACATTTTAATTACAAATATGTATATTTGTAAATAAAAGTAAAATATAAGAACATTAGAGCATATAGTTAAACAAAAATTTTCTTTTTTAATTTTTTTTATTATACTGTAAGTTCTAGGGTACATGTGCACAACGTGCAGGTTTGTTACATATGTATACATGTGCCATGTTGGTGTGCTGCACCCATTAACTAGTCATTTACATTAGGTATCTCTCCTAATGCTATCCCTCCCCGCTTCCCCCACCCCACAACAGGCCCCGGTGTGTGATGTTCCCTTTCCTGTGTCCAAGTGTTCTCATTGAAACGAAAATTTTCAAATGTTTCCCTTTAGTTCTTACATGTTTAAAAATTCAGACAAGATAGAATAGTAATAACTAGTAATAACATACTCCAATGTTCATTCTCTCCTTTGTCCTAGGTCATATCTTTATGCATAAACATACACATACAATTTGCCACATACTTGTAATGCAGCCTTGAAATAGTTGCAAAAAAATGTAATTTCCACTTAAGGTTTATGTCTCCAATATCTTAGCACTATATTAATAGCTTTTACTCTCAATCACACTTCAAACTCTACATTTAATATTTGTACATATACAATGACTCCACAATGGTGAATATGTTTTTAAGCTTACAATATGCTTACATCATAATTAACACATTTAATAAAAATCCCATAAATAGTATCTAATGTTTTATTACAGTAGGATAGTCACATTTAAAGTCACATTTTAAATTCATGAATTAATTTGACATATTTTTTGAGCACCTGCTATGCACCAGATATTATGATTGCCTCTTTTCTTCTCTGTAGCCCATTCTGTAAAGACTGGAGACTAAGTATGGGGTCTGTCTTATTCTCCACTCAATTGCTATCATCTAACTTAGTGTCTGGCACATAGTGAGTGTTGAATAAACATTTGTTGAATGCATGAATTGGCCTTCATCTTAAAAACCTGTTTCTGTTTTCTGGACTACTTCTTAGTCATTGTGAATCTAAATCCTTCTTTCCAAAAAAGTAATTCTTTTCCTTATAGCAGAATTTCAGACTTGAATGATGATTCCATTTATTTCCCAGCCTGCTACACATATGCCAAACTGCTTGAGGCAGTACTTGAGTAAATTCTTAAGGCATCTCTCTTGCTCTTCCAATTCACCTGTACCTGAATCGAGACGACTAGACATCAAGTTCTTGGCTATCTTCTCAGAGACATTCTGTTATGGAGACCTAGACTTTTAAATAGAAGCAATACTTAATCACTAAAAAGGCTGCACAATCCAAATTATCCTCCCCACAGTGGGCAAAACTTCCTTGAACAATCTTTTCAGGCTCCTTTCTTTTAAAAGGGTAAATTCCCATAATTTAAAAGTAAATAGGTTTATCAGATTGCTTTCTTCTCTGAGAGCAAATACCCAGGGCATGTTGTGATGACGAAGAATTTCCACATAGTTCTCAGAGATTTTTGATCCATCTTGCCCATCCACATTTAACAGTAAGCCACAATATTTTATATAAACTGTTTTGTAAGGTTAGTGGTCATATAAAATGAGTCTGGTGAATGTTTTCTTTCTGAGAAAATAATTCTGTATGTGAAAACACATTTAATGGATTTTGAAAGTTACAATTGTGACATACTGAGAATGTACAAGTTTCTGCTGTATGTTATACATAATTTATTAATGGCTTTGTGAATCATTTCAGAAAGTATTACAGAGTAAAAAGTTAAAAATATATCACAAATGTCTAACTTCATAGTTAGAACCAACTGTCAACCCACCGTAACCTAGGGGCCTAATTTTATGACAAATTATTAAGTTAATAGAGTATGAATTATCTCTCATCAAAAACCATTCCAGATCACCAAACTTCTAAATGGTTCCTAGAGCTACCTGCTCCCTCATATAATTCATGGGAACCCATATTTTTAAATGCTTATAAATGTTTTCAGAAGCTGTGAATTCTAATCTTGTTCTGTCACTAACTTACTTTGTAATCCTATGTTGCTTTTTTCCCCCAAGTTTTCTTCCCACTAAAAACCAGATATTAGTATAATACTTTTCTACAAGGATATTGTGAGATTTGACTAATTAATATATGTAGAACATTCTGGAAAACTCGGAGAAGAGTTATTTGGTACATATAAAATATTATACTAAAGTTTTGAAACTGATTTAATTATACAACAATGCACATTTCCAAAATGGGTATTTTGGCACTATATTCTCTGTACCAATATTGCAATCTGAAATAATTACAGCTGCTTTACTTTCCAAAAAAGGGCAAATTTTTCTTAGGCTACACAATGCAACCTCTTTTTTTAGCTATGACTGAAATGATAGCTTTAGTGGTTTTCTATTGGGAACCAAAAGTCATATATAACAAATTCAGTAAGAGTGAGGAGAATGACTGCCACAGTTGGTCTGGGCTATGGGTGTTTATGATGATATACAGACACCATTAATGGTGCATTACTGTTCTAGGTGTGGTCTCACCATGGTTCTACATAGAGAGCCAAATTTGAATTTAAAGCAAAACTTGATGTAATAATGTCTATGCAGAAAAAGGCAACAATCTTAAGGGGTGGGAAAAACTCTGAATGTCATAATGACAACCCTAAATTTTCTTTTGTTTGTTCCACCAAACTGAAAGCAATAACAAGTCATCATCAACCTATTATGTGTTAAGTCCCATAACTTGTCAGCTACTAAAATAATTGTCCAACCACTTAAATATTTCCACTATGTGCCAGCAAGCAATGACAGTGTCAAATTTCCCTGAAATGTAGAATTTATGATCCTAGAATCCACTTCGTTTTTGCACTGAATCCCTCTGGCATATATATTCAAAACTCTATTTCTAATAACAGAATTATTTGAACTCATACTGCCTGTCACCTGTTATTCTCAAAGTACTTTGCTAATAATAAATAATTTGTGAAATTTGTCTCTGCGCTGGGTATTACCACTTCTGTTTCAGCAGCATGTCCCTGACGTTGATCCTGTTTGTTATTGCCAAGGTATGTGATTAGAGGAATTGGTAGTGGAACTGGAGACCAAGGCCAGATTGCAAGGTGGGTGGCTGGTGGTTCTGCTGCTTCTTTGTGCTGCACTTGTGGAAAACAACAACAACAACAACAACACTTCCAGCCATGGTTCCACACAAGAATCCATTTCAAAGTCTGACTCCCTAGCAAGACAGCAGGTGCCATGAAGCCCAGTACAGCAGCAGCAGGCCTAGGACAAAAAAAAACGCCCCAATCTACACCTGTTCATAGCTCCTTTAACCTGCACTTGATTCACTGCTCTTGCTGTAATGCTTTTTTAGTTCCCTTCATTCAAAAAGCCAACAGAAGTCCAGCATGACCATTTGCTTTGTCTGAGATGGTCAAGTAGAAATTGTAACAATGTTACAGCATTGGCATTAGGGGTAGTATGTCTTGCTTGTCTGCTTGTGTGTGTGTGTGTGTGTGTGTGTGTGTGTGTTTTAACCTATTTGTTGTAATAACACTATGGAAAAATAAAGTTTAAAAAGATAACAAATATATAAGAGGAAGCATAGGATGATCAAGTGATCCCCACAAAACAACTTAATGAAGATTTTTTATTTTGGGTGTTATTAAAACACAAGCTCTTGGTTGATGTTTCCCTTTTTCTTTGGTTAAACCTCTGATGCTATGCACCTAAGAATCATTAGTTTACTATTACTATCTATTCGTAAGTATTTGTAGATAATGCCTGGGCAACATTATCACTATTAGATTTGTTTTAACTAATTTTTAAGTCACTTGGCCATTTTTTTTAAACTTTCATTAGCAATTTGTGCAAATAAACAAATATGAGTCTTGTATGGAGACAGTTTTCCAGATTTTGTGATGTCAGTTGTTATAAGCAAATTCAGAGGCTCCAAAATATTAGTCCTGAAATGGAGTCTTTCTTTTTTTACTCAAAATGTGAAAGATGCTGGAGTAATTGTATTAGGTTGATGTAAAAGTAATCACGATTTTTGCCATTACTTTCACTGGCAGAAACCGCAATTACTTTTGCACCGATGTAATAGATTGTTCAAATTGTCAAGTATAACTTCTGAGCTCACATTTTTATATTCTTCATTCCCCATTTCCACATAGTGAACGTTAAAAGTGGAAAGATCGGATTCCGTTGCAAGATGGCCAAATAGGAAGAGCTCTGGTCTGCAGCTCCCAGCATGATCGACTCAGAAGACAGGTGATTTCTGCATTTCCAACTGAGGTACCTGGTTCATCTCACTGGGACTGGTTGGACAGTGGGTGCAGCCCATAGAGGGTGAGCTGAAGAAGGGCGGGGCATCGCCTCACCCGGGAAGCGCAAGGGGTCGGGGGATTTCCCTTTCCTAGGCAAGGGAAGCCGTGAGAGATGGCACCTGGAAAAATGGACACTCCTGCCCAAATACCGTGCTTTTCCAACTGTCTTAGCAAATGGCACACAAGGAGATTATATCCTGCACATGGCTCAGCAGATCCCAAGCCCACAGAGCCTTGCTTACTGCTAGCACAGCAGTCTGAGATCAACCTGCGAGGCAGCAGCCTGGCAGGGGGAGGGGCATTTGCCATTACTGAGGCTTGAGTAGGTAAACAAAGCAGCCCCAGGGAAGCTCGAACTGGGTGGAGCCCACTGCAGCTCATCAAGACCTGCTGGCTCTGTAGCCTCCAACTCTGCAGGCAGGGCATAGCTGAACAAAAGGCAGCAGAAATATCTGCAAACTTAAACATCCCTGACAGTTCTGAAGACAGCGGTGGTTCTCCCAGCATGGTGTTTGAGCTTGGAGAACGGATAGACTGCCTCCTCAACTGGGTCCCTGACCCCCATGTAGCCTAACTGGGAGACACCTCCCAGTAGGGGCTGACTGACACCTCATACAGGCAGGTGCCCCTCTGGGACAAAGCTTCCAGAGGAAGGATCAGGCAGCAATATTTGCTGTTCTGCAATATTTTCTGTCCTGCAATATTTTCTGTTCTGCAGACTCTGCTGGTGATACGCAGGCAAACAGGGTCTGGAGTGGACCTCCAGCAAACTCCAACAGACCTGCAGCTGAGGGACCTGACTCTTAGAAGGAAAACTAACAAACAGAAAGGAATAGCAACAACATCAACAAAAAGGACACTCACACCAAAACCTCAACTGTAGGTCACCAACATCAAAGACCAAAGATAGATAAAACCAAAAAGATGTGGAGAAACCAGAGCAGAAAAGCTAAAAATTCTAAAAACCAGAGATCCTCTTCTCCAAAGAATCACAGATCCTTGCCAGCAATGGAACAAAGCTGGATGGAGAATGACTTTGATGAGTTGACGGAAGTAGGCTTCAGAAGGTTGGTAATAACATACTTCTCCGAGCTAAAGGAGGATGTTCAAACCCATTGCAAGGAAGCTAAAAACCTTGAAAAAAGATTAGATGAATGGCTAACTAGAATAAACAGTGTAGAGAAGACCCTAAAGAACCTGTGGAGCTGAAAACCATGGCATGAGAACTGCATGACACATGCACAAGCTTCAGTAGCCAATTCAATCAAGTGGAAGAATGGGTATCAGTGATTGAAGATCAAATTAATGAAATAAAGTGAGAAGAGAAGTTTAGAGAAAAAAGAGTAAAAAGAAACTAACAAAGCCTCCAAGAAATATGGGACTATGTGAAAAGACCAAATCTACGTTTCATTGATGTACCTGAAAGTGATGGGGAGAATGGAACCAAGTTGGAAAACACCCTTCAGGATATTATCCAGGAGAATTTCCCCAACCTAGCAAGGCAGGTAAACATTCAAAATCAGGAAATACAGAGAACACCACAAAGATACTCCTTGAGCAGAGCAACCCCAAGACACATAATTGTCAGATTCACCAAAGTTGAAACGATGGAAAAATTGTTAAGGGCAGCCAGAGAGAAAGGTCGGGTTACCCACAAAGGGAAGCCCATCACACTAACAGCAGTTCTCTCAGCAGAAACTCTACAAGCCAGAAGAGAGAGGGGGCCAACATTCAACATTCTTAAAGAAAGGAATTTTCAACCCAGAATTTCATATCCAGCCAAACTAAGCTTCATAAGTGAAGGAGAAATAAAATCCTTTACAGACAAGCAAATGCTGAGTGCTTTTTTTAACCACCGGGCCTGCCTTACAAGAGCTCCTAGAGGAAGCACTAAACATGGAAAGGAGCAACCGGTACCAGCCACTGCAAAAACATGCCAAATTGTAAAGACCATCAATGCTAGGAAGAAACTGCATCAACTAATGAGCAAAATAACCAGCTAACATCATAATGACAGGATCAAATTCACACACAACAATATTAACCTTAAATGTAAATGGGCTAAATACCCCAATTAAAAGATAGACTGGCAATTTGGATAAAGAGTCAAGACCCATCAGTGTGCTGTATTCAGGAGACCCATATCACATGCAGAGACACACATAGGCTCAAAATAAAAGGATGGATGAAGATCTACCAAGCAAATGGAAAGCAAAAAAAAACCAGGAGTTGCAATCCTAGTCTCTGATAAAACAGACTTTAAACCAATAAAGATCAAAAGAGACAAAGAAGGCCATTACATAATGGTAAAGGGATCAATTCAACAAGAAGAGCTAGCTATCCTAAATATATATGCACCCAATACAGGAGCACCCAGATTCATAAAGCAAGTCCTTAGAGACCTACAAAGAGACTTAAACTCCCACACAATACTAATGGGAGACTTTAACACCCCACTGTCAACATTAGACAGATTGAGACAGAAGGTTAACAAGGATATCCAGGACTTGAACTCAGCTCTGCACCAAGCGGACCTAACAGACATCTACAGAATTTTTCACCCCAAGTCAACAGAATGTACATTCTTCTCAGTACCACGTCGCACTTATTCTAAAATTGACCACAGAATTGGAAGTAAAGCATTCCTTAGCAAATGTAAAAGAACAGAAATCACAACAACCTGTTTCTCAGACCACAGTGCAATCAAATTAGAACTCAGGATTAAGAAACTCACTCAAAACCACACAACTACATGGAAACTGAATAACTTGCTCCTGAGTGACTACTGGGTACAATCAAATGAAGGCACAAATAAAGACATTCTTTGAAACCAGTGAGAACAAAGACACATGTACCAGAATCTCTGGGACACATTTAAAGCAGTGTGTAGAGGGAAATTTATAGCACTAAATGCCCACAAGAGAAAGCAGGAAAGATCCAAAATCGACAACCTAACATCACAATTAAAAGAACTAGAGAAGCAAGAGCAAACGAATTCAAAAGTTAGCAGAAGGCAAGAAATAACTAAGATCAGAGCAGAACTAAAGGAGATAGAGACACACAAAACCCTTCAAAAAATCAAAGAATCTAGGAGCTGGTTTTTTGAAAAGATCAACAAAATTGATAGACTGCTAGCAAGACTAATAAAGAAGAAAAGAGAGAAGAATCAAATAGAAGCAATAAAAAATGATAAAGGGGATATCACCACCAATCCCACAGAAATACAAACTACCATCAGAAAATACTATAAACACCTCTATGCAAATAAACTAGAAAATCTAGAAGAACTGGATAAATTCCTCAACACATACACCCTCCCAAGACTAAACCAGGAAGAAGTTGAATCTCTGAATAGACCAATAACAGGCTCGGAAATTCAGGCAATAATTAAGAGCCTACCAACCAAAAAAAGTCCAGGACCAGATGGATTCACTGCCAAATTCTACCAGAGGTACAAAGAGGAGCTGGTATCATTCCTTCTGAAACTATTCCAATCAATAGAAAAAGAGAGAATCCTCCCTAATTCATTTTATGAGGGCAGCATCATCCTGATGCCAAAGCCTGGCAGAGACACAACAAAAAAAGAGAATTTTAGACCAATATCATGATGAACATTGATGCAAAAATCCTCAATAAAATACTGGCAAACTGAATCCAGAAGCATATCAAAAAGCTTATCCACCATGATCAAGTCAGCTTTATCCTTCAGATGCAAGGCTGGTTCAACATATGCAAATCAATAAACATAATCCATCACATAAACAGAACCAATGACACAAACCACATGATTATATCAATAGATGCAGAAAAGGCCTCAACAATATTTAACAGCCCTTCATGCTAAAAACTCTCAATAAATTAGATATTGATGGAAAGTATCTCAAAATAATAAGAGCTACCTATGACAAACCCACAGCCAATATCATAATGAATGGGCAAGAACTGGAAGCATTCCCTTTGAAAACTGGCACAAGACAGGGATGCCCTCTCTCACCACTCCTATTCAACATAGTGTTGGAAGTTTTGGCCAGGGCAATCAGGCAAGAGAAAGAAATAAAGGGTATGCAATTAGGAAAAGAGGAAGTCAAATTGTCCCTGTTTGCAGATGACATGATTGTATATCTAGAAAACCCCATAGTCTCAGCCCCAAATCTCCTTAAGCTGATAAGCAGCTTCAACAAAGTCTCAGGATACAAAATCAATGTGTAAAAATCACAAGCATTCCTGTACACCAATAGCAGACAAACAGAGAGCCTAATCATGAGTGAACAACCATTCACAATTGCTAAAAGACAATAAAATACCTAGGAATCCAACTTACAAGGGATGTGAAGGACCTCTTCAAGGAGAACTACAAACTACTGCTCAATGAAATAAAAGGGGATACAAACAAATGGAAGAACATCCCATGCTCATGGGTAGGAAGAATCAATATCGTGAAAATGGCCATACTGCCCAAGGTAATTTGTAGATTCAGTGCCATCCCCATCAAGCTACCAATGACTTTCTTCACAGAATTGGAAAAAACTACTTTAAAGTTCATATGGAACCAAAAAAGAGCCCGCATCGCCAAGTCAATCCTAAACCAAAAGAACAAAGCTGGAGACTTCACGCTCCAACTATACTACAAGGCTACAGTAACCAAAACAGCATGGTACTGGTACCAAAACAGAAATATAGACCAATGGAACAGAACAGAGCCCTCAGAAATAATCCGGCATATCTACAACTATCTGATCTTTCACAAACCTGACAAAAACAAGAAATAGGGAAAGGATTCCCTATTTAATAAATGGTGCTGGGAAAACTGGCTAGCCATATGTAGAAAGCTGAAACTGGATCCCTTCCTTACACCTTATACAAAAATTAATTCAAGATGGATGAAAGACTTAAATGTTAGACCTAAAACCACAAAAACCCTAGAAGAAAACCTATGCAATACCATTTAGGACATAGGCATGGGCAAGGACTTCATGTCTAAAACACCAAAAGCAATGGCAACAAAAGCCAAAATAGACAAAAGGGATCTAATTAAACTAAAGAGCTTCTGCACAGCAAAAGAAACTACCATCAGGTGAACAGGCAACCTACAGAATGGGAGAAAATTTTTGCAATCTTCCCATCTGACAAAGGGCTAGTATCCAGAATCTACAATGAACACAAACAAATTTACAAGAAAAAAACAAACAACCCCATCAAAAAGTGGGCAAAAGGTATGTCTTCTTTTCAAAAGAAGACATTTATGCAGCCAAAGACACATGAAAAAATCTTCATCATCACTGGACATCAGAGAAATGCAAATCAAAACCACAGTGAGATACCATCTCACACCAGTTAGAATGGCGATCATTAAAAAGTCAGGAAACAACAGGTGCTGGAGAGGATGTGGAGAAACAGGAACACTTTTACACCGTTGGTGGGACTGTAAACTAGTTCAACCATTATGGAAGTCAGTGTGGCGATTTCTCAGGGATCTAGAACTAGGAATACCATTTGACCCAGACATTCCATTACTGGGTATATACCCAAAGGATTATAAAACATGCTGTTATAAAGACACATGCACACTATGTTTATTGCAGCACTATTCACAATAGCAAAGACTTGGAACCAACCCAAATGTCCAACAATGATAGACTGGATTAAGAAAATGTGGCACATATACACCATGGAATACTATGCAGCCATAAAAAATGATGAGTTCATGTCCTTTGTAGGGACATGGATGAAGCTGGAAACCATCATTCTCAGCAAACTATCACAAGGACAAAAAACCAAACACTGCATGTTCTCATTCATAGGTGGGAATTGAACAATGAGAACATATGGACACAGGAAGGGGAACATCACACAGTGGGGCCTGTTGTGGGGTGGGGGGAGGGGGGAAGGATAGCATTAGGAGATATACCTAATGTTAAATGACAAGTTAATGGGTGCAGCACACCAACATGGCACATGTATACATATGTAACAAACCTGCACGTTGTGCACATGTACCCTAAAACTTAAAGTATAATTAAAAAAAAGAGACGAGGAGGGTGAGGGAGGGAGAGAAGAAAAGAAATGAGAGAAAGAAGGAAGGAAAATGAGAGAGCAGATGCATTATTAGTGGAAGACAAAGGAAGAAATGGTGTCATTAAGGTGATAATAGCATGAATAAAGGTATAAATCCATATTGAAAAGGCTTGGGTTTCAACAGAATACTTTTTTTTTTTTTAGATAAGGTCTCACTCTGTTTCTCAGGCTGGGGAGCACTAGCATGATCACAGCTCACTGCAGCCTTGGCCCCCAGGCTCAAGCAATCCTCATGCCTCAGCCTCTCAAGTAGCTGGGACTACAGGCATGTGCTACCATGCCTGGCTAATTTTTGTATTTTTTTTATAGAAATGAAGTTTCACCATCTTGCCCAGGCTGGTCTCAAACTCCTGGGCTCAAGTGAACAGGCTGAAATTTTAAAAAAGACGTATGTGGAGAAAAAAAATTATGAAGTACAAAAACATCAAAGATTAAGAAAAGATTCTAGAATGTTGCAGACAGAAAAAGCAGGTGCTTGAAAACAAAGTGAGAATAACATTTGCATCAGTAACTCTGGATATTAGGCCTAAAAAAAAGTCTAAAATTGAAAACTAGAGTTCTAAACCTGGTCAAGGATTGGATGCATGCAAGAACTTTAAAAGTTTACCACCCATATGTATTTTTATAAAACTACAGGAATATGCATTCCATACACACACACAAAATCTTAGAAAGAGTTAGAAATGTGCTTAAAGGAACTGTGGAATTAAGACAGGCTATAAAAGTAAGAAAATCAACCTGCACATCCTGCACATGTACCCTGGAACATAAAATAAAAATAAAAATTAAAAAAAAAAAGAAAATCACAGATGGCAGATCTACAGTGAGACTAGAAATTACTGGTCCACATTGATTCAGAAGTCAAGCTGCCTCTGTAAAGCATCACTTTAAAAAAATAAAAGTCGGTTCTTTTTAACAAAAATATGACTCCAAAATGTGGATTTCCACTCTCAATATAGAAAAACAAAGGCAATTAGAAACTCCAGAAAACACACAAGGCTATACAAGAAAGCCAGGTTTTAAAATGAAAAAAAAAAAAAGTACCATGATTTTCAGTTGTTTATGTTTTGTAAAAAAATAACTCATCTGGCCCAACTTCAGAACATTCCATTTTGAGCAGCACAGTTTTAGCCACCTACAATTATATTTTCTTCTCTACAGGTGAATCACACAATTCAGATACCAGCATCTGATGTTTTATAATTATTATAAATACTGTTTTTCAGTTTATAATTTTTAAAATTTTATTTCGTTTACGGGGTCTTTCTCATTCACCCAGGCTGGAGTGCAGTGGCATGATCATAGCTCACTGCAAACTCCAATTCCTAGCCTCAAACAATCTTCCCAACTCAGCCCTTCCAGTAGCTAGGACTACAGGCACACACTGCCACACCAGCTAATTTTTTATTTTTTCTAGAAACAGGGTCTTGCTATGTGGCCCAGGCTGGTCTCAAACTCCTGGCCTCAAGTGATCTTCTCACCTTTGGCCTTTCCAAGTGCCGGGATTATAGGCAGAAACCACTGTGCCTGGTCAAGTTTATAATTTTTAGATTCAGCCTATTGTCAAAGATCATAAAATCTTTGATTATAGTTATTTGATGATTCTAATTAAATAACCCCTTATAATGTTAAATAAACGATAAAAATGACAAGTGGAAGATGGCATGAGGAGAGGCAGAGGGACAAGTAAGGGAGATAATTCCCCATATTATATGAAGGGAACTGAATAGATTCTATCTAAAGATGATGAATCAAGAAATAGAATATTAAAATTATGACAATAACCACTAGAGTAATTAAAATAATAAATACAGTGAGGGAGGAAGAGAGATAGCAATTAAATGGTAGTGTAACTGTGATTACTTTCTGTTTGCAACAGTGATTTAGCTAATATTATCTAAGTCAAAAGCTAATAGTTTTTGATTTAGAGAAGATATATTATTTAGAGACATAATGGTAACTTTAGAAGAAACAATTTTAATAATAAGTAAATAGTCATATGAAAATTATGAAATTCTTGGTACCAAGGTGACACCCTGGCTAAAAGGTGTTAACTAGTTAAGAGAGAAGCTAAGGCTGGGCGAGGTGGCTCACGCCTGTAATCTCAGCACTTTGGGAGGCCATGGTAGGCAGATTACTTGAGGCCAGGAATTTGAGACCAGCCTGGCCAACACAGTGAAATCCTGTGTCTACCAAAAATACAAAAATTAGCTGGGCATGGTGGTGCATGCCAATAATCCCAGCTAATTGGGTGGCTGAGGCAGGAGAATTGCTTGAGCCCAGGAGGCAGAGGTTGCAGTGAGCCAAGATCACGCCACTGCACTCCAGCCTGGGTGACAGAGCAAGACACTGTCAAAAGAACAGAAAGAAAAAAGAGAAAAGTTAATTGGTTTTCATGTAATCTGGATAAAAAATAATAAAGTATGATTACAAATTAAAAGTATATATTCTTAAAAGAACGAAGTGTGTAAGTTGTGTAAATTAATTTTTATTGTGAATTTTATTTAAAAAATAAAAGTTGGTTCTATTTAACAAAAATTCCTTAGTTCAACTAAAAGACAAGAAATTTCAGATTAAGATGAATAAATAAAATTTTAGGTGTATTTAAACAAACACATTAGTTTTGCTGCATGACAACCAAAATATCTCAGTGGCACTCAACGATTAGCTTTTAATTATTATTTTTATTTTGCTTATTGTAGGAAAACAGCCTGTTGCATGGCAACGAGTAATGCCACCTTGAAGTAAAACCACCATGATGACCAATGGTTGACTCCTACATACCATGGTCTTCCCATAGCATAGATAACCCCTCATAAACATATTGATCTAATCTCTTTCTTATGGTCACAAGTTTCACAAGAAAGTCTAAGGTGTGAGTAGCTACGCATGCTTTACCAAAAAGCTTGCTATATAAAGGATGTTCTCTGGAGGGCAAGGGCAAGGGCACATCACCTCTTGGCTGCCTGAGACATTGCTTCTGTTCATAAGTCCCTATTAAATGTATTAAAAGAAACTGCATTTATCAGCCTTTTTCTTCATCTTCTCAACTTCTTAGCCTTTTGAGGGTAGGTTTGCATACACCTGATCACAGTGGAACGTTTAAAGATCCGCAGGTTGGCTTAGACAGACAACTTAGTTTCTAGATCAGCTGCAGTGACTCAGCTGTACAGTCTCATTCACAAGCCCAAGCTGACTGGGACAGCAGCTATCTGAAAAATGCTTTTCTCATGGTAAAGACTGGAAGTTTTTGCAGGGATGAGTGAAAACACTTTCTGCCTCTTCAGATCTGGGTCTGATTTCAACATCAATGAGGCATGCAATGTACTCTTATCATGAAGCTGGAAACAGGAATAAATTTTTGCTAAACAACAATCAAAGCTACCACATACAAATAGAAGAAATTATTTCTTTCTATGACCATGGCTGATTTCATTCAGAAATGCATTTTAGGATGTCATTATTCCAACCACAGATTTTACCTATATTTGTTTCTCAGATGCAAAAAGGCCACAAAAAGGCTTACAAGTAAAGCCACCAGTAAAACCAAGTTAATAAAGCAATACATAACCAAGCCATAATTTATCATCTCTCAATAAGCAGACACTGAAGAAAACCACGTGGTAAATTATTCTCAGAAATAAAAAGTATCACTTGATCATTTTCTCACCACACATACTTATGTATATATTATATTAATTCTAGAAGTGTATATCATCATTTGTGTGATAGGAATATGTATAATTCATGATTTGTGTAACTGAGATATGTGTAACATTGATAGAAAATGCTTGCTTTGTTTTGTTAAATAGCAGCATCATTTGAAATATTGAAAATAAATTGGCACATTGGACACAGCATAATCTAGTGAAGGTTTTAAAAGTAACAACAGTTTTCAAAACTAATTTCTTAGTATATATTTGGAAGTTCTCTAAATATAGGAAATCTAACCAAAAAATTTAGTATGTTATGATTTATCTTGTTTTCGTTGACCTCAACTGAAAGGCAAAATGTTAAGTTTTTATTTATTTTTAAGACTATTTTTTAGAGGAATTTTAGATTCACAGCAAAATTGAGAGGGAAGTACAAAGTTTTCCGATAGATTCCTGCCTGCCCCCTTACATGTAATAGCCTGTCTCATCATCAGCCTTCCCACCAGAGTGGTACATTTGCTGAAACCAATGAAAGTCTACTGACACATCATAATTACCCAAAGTTCATATTTACATTAGGGTTGACTTGTGATGTGTACATACTGTGAATTAGGACAAATGTATAATAACATGTATCCATATATATAATATAGAGTATTTTCACTGCCCTAAAAATACCCTGTGCTCTACCTATTCATCTCTCCTCCCACCTCCAACCACTAGCAACCACTGATCTTTTTACTGTCTCCATAGTTTTTACCTTTTCCAGAATGTCATATAGTTGGAATTACACAGTATGTAGACTTTCAGATTGGCTTCTTTCACCTAATGCATTTAATAGTTCCTCCATGTCTTTTCATGGCTTAGTAATTCATTTCCATTTAGCACTTAATAGTCTTGGGTTGCCTGGATGTACCCCTGTTTATTTATCCATTAACCTACTGAAAAACATCTCAGTTGCATCTAAGTTTTGGCAATTATAAATGAAGCTGCTATAAACATCCATGTGCAGATTTTTGTTTAGACATAAGTTTTTTCTTTGAATAAACACCAAGTAGCACAATTGCTGGATCATATAAGAGTATGTTTTGTTTTGTAAGAAATTACCAAGTTGTCTTCCAAAGTTGTACCCACCATCAATGAATGAGAGTTCCTGCTGCTCCACATCCTCACCAGCATTTGATGTTATCAACTTCCCAGAGTTTAGGCATTCTAAAAGGTATATAGTATAATAGTATCTAGTTGTTGCTCTAATTTGCATTTATCTGATGGCATATGTGGAACACTTTTTCACATGCTTATTTGACACCTGTATATATGGTCTCTGGCGTGTGTGTGTGTGTGTGTGTATGTGTGTGTATTTGAGACAGAGCCTCATTCTGTCACCCAGGCTGGAGTGCAGTGACAATCTCAGCTCACTGCAACCTATGCCCCCTGGATTCAAACAATTCTCATGCCTCTGCCTCCCAAGTAGCTGGGATTACAGGTGCACACCACCATTCCTGGCTAATTTTTGTATTTTTAGTAGAGATAGGGTTTCACCATGTTGGCCAGGCTAGTCTCAAGCTCCTGGCCTCAAGTGATCCATCCTCCTCGGCCTCCCAAAATGCTGGGATTACAGGCATGAGCCACAGTGCCAGCTGGCCCTTTTTTTTTTTTTTTTTTTTTGAGACAGAGTTTCGTTCTGTCGTCCAGGCTGGAGTGCGGTGGCATAATTTCAGCTCACTGCAAACTCCGCCTCTCGAGTTCGAGCGATTCTCCCGCCTCAGCCTTTCCAGTATCTGGGATTACAGGCGCCCGCCATCACGCCCGGCTAATTTTTGTATTTTTTTAGTAGAGATCGGGTTTCACCATGTTGGCCAGGTTGGTCTCAAACTCCTGACCTCAGATGATCCACCCGCCTCGGCCTCCCAAAGTGCTGTAATCCCTGCTGGCCCATTTTTTAATTGCATTTTTTGTTTGTTATTGTTGAGTTTTAAGAGTTATTTGTATATTTTAAATAGCAGTCCTCTATCAGATCTTTTTTGTGCAAATATTTTCTCCAAGTCTGTGGCTTGTCTTCGGATTCTCTTGACATTGCCTTTGTCAGATAGAAGATTTTAATGGATTCCAGCTTATCAATTTTTTTAATTGATTCTGTCTTTGATGTCATATCTAAACACTCATTGTTAATCCTAGGGTTACCTAGGTTTTCTATTACATTATCATCCAGGAGTTTTACAATTTTGCATTTTATGTTTAGGTCTATGACCCCTTTAGAATTAAATTTTGTGAAGGGTGTAAGGTTTGTGTCTAGATTTATTTTTTGCATGTGATTGTTCAGTCGTTCCAACATCATTTGTTTAAAAAACTATCTTTGGTCCATTGCATTGCCTTTGTTTCTTTGTCAAAGGTCAATTAACTATATTTATGTGCCTATTTCTGGGTTCCCTATACTGTTCCATTGTTCTATTTGTCTGTTCTTTCAACAATACCATACTGTCTGGATTACTGGATTCTTTATGGTATGTCTTGATGACAGGTAATATCAGTCCTCCAACTTTATTCTTTTCCTTCAAAATTGTATGGCTCTTCTATGTCTTTTACCTTTTCAGTAATCTTTAGAATCAATTTATCAAAAGCCATAGAATAATTTGGTGTGATTTTGACTGGGATTGAATCTGCAGATTAAATTGGAAAGAACTGACATCTTGATAATATTGGTCTTCCTACCCATGAACACAGAATATCTCTATTAAGTTCTTCTTTTATTTCACTCTTAAGTGTTTTATAGTATTCCTCATGTAGACCATGTACCTAATTTTGTAAGATTTATACCTATGTATTTCATTTTTGAGGGTACTAATGTAAATAGAATAGTGTTTTTCATTTCAAATTCCATTTGTTCATTGCAAGTGTATAGGAATGTAACTGAGTTTTGTATATTAATCTTGTATTATGCAACCTTGCTATAATTGCTTATTAATTCCAGGAGTCTTTTTTTTTGGTTGATCCCTTCAGATTTTCTACATAGACATAATTATGTCATCTGCAAACAAAGATAGTTACATTTCTATTTTTCCAATAAGTATACCTTTTATTTCCTGTTCTTGTCTAATTGCAATAGCTAGAACTTCAAGTACAATATTAAAAAGGAGTGGTTACAGGGGACGTTTTGGGCTTATACTTGATCTTAGTGAGAGAATTTCATGTTTCTCACCATTAAGTACAATGTTAGCTTTAGCTTTTTCTATGTTTATTGGTATGATCATGTGATTTTTCTTTTTTAGCTTGATGATATGATGAATATATTAATTGATTTTGAATGCTGAACGAGCCTTGTGTACCTGGGATAAATCCCAGTTGGATGCGTGTATAATTATTTTTATGCATTGTTGAATTGAATTTGTTAATATTTTGTTAAAGATTTGTTCACCTATGTTCATGAGAGATATTGCTCTGTAGTTTTGTGTTTTTGTGTGTGTGTAATGTCTTTTTCTAATTTTGTTATTAGAGTAATGATGGCCTCATATAATGAATCAGGAAGTATTCCTTCCTCTGCTTCTATCTTCTGAAAACGATTGTAGAGAATTGGTAATTTCTTCATTAAATGCTTTGTAGAATTCACCAGTGAACCTATCTGGCTCTTGTATCTTCTGCGTTGGAAGGCTATTAATTATTAATTCCATTTCTTTAATAGCTATACTCCTATTCAGATTTCCTATTCTTGTGTGAGTAGATTATGTCTTTCAAGGACCAGGTCCATATCATCTAGGCTATCAACAGTGTGGCCTTATAGGTGTTTATAGTATTCCCTTCTTATCCTTTTAATGTCCATGAGATCTGTAGTCAAGTCTCCTCTTTCACTTTTAATATTAGTAATTTGTATCCTTTTCTGTTAGTATGCCTACAGAATTATCTATTTTATTGCTCTTTTCAAAGAAATAGCTTTTGATTTTGTTGACTTTTCTCTAATTAATTTCCTGTTTTCAGTTTCATTGATTTCTGCTCCAATTTTTGTTTTCTTTCTTCTTCTTACTTTGAATTTAATTTGCTCTTCTTTTTCTAATTTTCTAAGATGAAAATAGGTTATTAATTTTAAAGCTTTCTTCTTTTCTAATATATGCATTTAATGGTATTAATTTCCTTCTATGCACTGCTTTCACTGTATTTTCATTTTCACTTGGTACAAAATGCTTTTAAATTTCTCCTTGACTCATGTGTTATTTAGAAATGTGTTGCTAATGTCCACCTTTTCAGGCATTTTTCTGTTATTGGTTTCAAATTTAATTCCACTGCAGTCTGAAAGCAAACATTATATGATTTCCATTATTTTTAGATTTGTTCTTTTAAATTTAAACAAATTTGTTTAAATTTGTTTTATCAATCACACAGAATGTGGTCTATCTTGGTGAATGCTCCATGTGAGCTTAAGAAGAATGTGCAGTCTGCTGTCAATAGGTGTCAGTTATATCTAGTTGAATCTTTTGAGTGTTGCTGAGTTCAACCACATCCTTTATGATTTTCTGCTTGCTGGATCTATCCATTTCTGATATAGGGGTGTTAATGTCTTCAACTGTAATAATGGAGTCACCTATTCTTGTTGCAGTTTTATCAGTTTTTGCCTCACATAGTTTGACACTCTTGTTAGTTGCATATATGGTAAGGATTTGTATGTCTTCTTAGAAAATTGACCCCTTTATCATTGAGTAATACGATTCTTTATTCTTTATTCCTGATACTTTCCTTACCTTAAAGTCTACTCTGTCTGAAATTAATACAGTTTCTCCTGCTTTCTTTTAATTTTTGTTAGCATGGTATATTTTTTCTACATCCCTTGTACTTTAAAGCCATATGTACTTTTATTTTATTTTTTATATTTTATTTTATTTGTTTTTTGAGACAGCATCTTGCTCTGTCACCCAGGCTGGAATGCAGTGGCATGATCTCAGCTCAGTGCCACTTCTGCCTCCCAGGTTCAAGCAATTCTCCCTGACTCAGCCTCCCAAGTAGCTGGGAATACAGGTGCCTGCCATTGCGCCCAGCTATTTTTTTAAATATATTTTTAGTAGAGATGGGGTTTCACCATGTTGGCCACGCTGTTCTCGAACTCCTGACCTCAGGTGATCTGCCTGCCTCAGCCTCCCAAAGTGGTGGGATTACAGGTGTGAGCCACCACACCCGGCCCATATGTGCTTTTATATTTAAAGTGGGATTCTATTTCAAAAACAAATAAATGGCTTTCTTGTAGACAACATAAAGTTTTTTCTCAACTCTGACAATCTCTTTTATTTATTTATTTTTATTTTTAATTTTTGTGTGTACATACTAGATGTATATGATTATGGGGTATATGGGATATTTTGATACAGGCATACAATGTGTAATAATCACATCAAGATAAGTGGGGTATCCATCACCTCAAGCTTTTATCCTTTGTGTTTCATATAATCCATTTATGCTATTTTAGTATAAACAATGCAATTATCAACAATTTATAAACAATCTAATTATATTATGTGATTTTTAAAATGTACAATTAAATTATTATTGACCATACTAGATCTTATTCATTCTTTCTATTTTCTGGTAACCATTAATTATACCCACTTCTCCCTAACCCATTACCATTCACAGCCTCTGTTAACCATTCTTCTACTCTCTATCTCCATGAATTCAATTGTTTTAATTTTTAGCTCCCACAAATAAGTGAGAACATGTAAAATTTATCTGTCTGTGCTTGGCTTATTTCACTTAATAAAGGGACCTCCAGCTCCATCCATATTGTTGCAAATGAGAGTTCTCATTATTTTTTATGGCAGAACAGTACTCCATTGTGTATATGTACCATGTTTTCTTTATATATTAGTCTGTTGATGGACACTTTGGTTGCTTCCAAATCATGGCTATTGTGAATAGTACTGCAATATACATGAGAATGCAGGTATTGCTTTCATATACTGATGTCCTTTCTTTGGGGTATGCCTAGCAGTAAAATTGCTGTATCATATGATAGCTCTATTTTTAGTTTATTGAGGAACCTCCAAACTGTTCTCCGCAGTGAGTGTACTAATTTACATTCCTATCAACGGTGTACAAGTGTTCTGTTTTCTCCACATCATCATCAGTGTTTGTTACTACCTGTCTTTTGAATAAAAGCCATTTTAATTCAGGTGAGATGATATTTCACTGTAGTTTTGACTTCCATTTCTCTAACAATCAATGATGTTGAGCACCTTTTCATATACCTGTTTGACATTTATATGTCTTCTTTTGAGAAATGTCTGTTCTAACTTTTTGCCCATTTTTAACTGAATTATTAGATTTTTTTTCCAATAAGAGTTGTTTGAGCTCCTTATATATTTCTGGTTATTAATCTCTTGCCAGATGGGTAATTTTCAAAAGTTTTCTCCTATTCTGTAGGTTGTCTCTTCATTTTGTTGATTGTTTTCTTTGCTGTGCAGAAACTTTTTAGCTTGATACAATCTTTGTCCATTTTGCTTTGGTTGCCTGTGCTTGTGGGGTATTACTCAAGAAATCCTTGCCCAGTCCAATGTTCTGGAGAGTTTCCCCAATGTTTTATTTTAGTAATTTAATAGTTTAATATTTTAGATTTAAGCCTTTAATCCATTTTGATTTGAATTTTGTATTTGGTGAGAGATAGGGGTCTACTTTTATTCTTCTGCATATGGTCATTCAGTTTTCCCAGCACTATTTATTGAAGAGACTGTCCTTTCCCCAGTGTATGTTCTTGAAACCTTTGTCAAAATGAGTTTATTGTAGATGTATGGATCTGTTTTTAGATTCTGTATTGGTCTGTGTGTTGGTCTGTTCCCTTGGTCCGTGTGTCTGTTTTTACAGCAGTACCACACTGTTTTAGTTACTACACCTCTGTAGTATAATTTGAAGTCAGTAATACAATTGTTCTAGTTCTGGTCTATTTGTTCAATGCAGCTTGGCTATTTTGAGCCTTCTGTTGTTCCATTGAATTTTAGGATCTTTTTTTCTATTTATGTGAAGAATATCATGGTATTTTGATAGGGATTACTTTGAATCTGTAGACTGCTTTGGGTGGTACAGACAGTTTAACAATATTGATTCTTTCAATCCATGAACATGGAATATTTTTCCATTTGTTGTGTCCTTTCTATCTCTTTCATCAATGTTTTATAGTTTTCATTGTAGAGATCTTTCACTTTGTGGTGGTTAATACTGAGTGTCAACTTGATTGGATTGAAGGATGCAAAGTATTGCTCCTGGGTGTGTCTGTGAAAGTGTTACCAAAGGAGATTAACATTTGAGTCAGTGGACTGGGAAAGACGGACTGGGAAAGGCAGACCCACGCTCAATCTGGGTAGGCACAATCTAATCAGCTGCCAGCATGGCCGGAATAAAAACAGGCAGAAGAACATGGAGAGATTAGACTGGCCTAGCCTCCCAGCCTACATCTTTCTCCTGTGCTGGATGCTTCCTGCCCTCGAACATCGAACTCCAAGTTCTTCAGCTTTGGGACTCAGACTGGCTTCCTCACTCTTCAGCTTGCAGATGGCCTATTGTGGGACCTTGTGATTGTGTAAGTTAGTACCCCGTAATAAACTCCCCTTTATATATACGTCTATCCTATTAGTTCTGTCCCTCTAGAGAACCTTGACTAATACACACTTCTTTGGTTAAATCAATTTCTAGGTATTAATTTTAGTGGCTATTGTAAATGGGATTGCTTTTTTATTTCTTTTTCACATTGCTCACACTGTTGGCATATAGAAATGCTACTAATTTTTGCATATTGATTTTGTATCCTGCAACTTTACTGAATTTGTTTATCAGTTCTAATAGTTTTCTGGTGCAGTTTTAGATTTTTCCAAAATAAGTTCCTATCATCTGTAAACAAGGGTAATTTGACTTCTTCCTTTCCAATTTGGATGCCAATTTATTTCTTTATCTTGTATAATTGCTTTAGCTACTGTTTCCAGTACTATGCTGAATAACAGTGGTGAACTTTTTCAGTACCAATTGAAATGACCATGTAGTTTTTATTCTTTATTCTGTTGATATGATGTATCACATTGATTGATTTGCATATGTTGAACCATCCTTACATCCCTGGGATAAATCCCACTTGGTCATGATGACTGATCTTTTTAATGTGTTGTTGAATTTCATTTGCTAGTATTTTGTTGAGGATTTCTGCAGCAATATTCATCAGGGATATTGGCCTGCAGTTTTCTTTCTTTTTTTTTTTAATGTGTCTTTTTCTGGTTTTGGTATCAGGGTAATACTGACCTTGTAGCATGAATTTGGCAGTATTCTTTCCTCCTCTATTTTTCAGAATAATTTAAGTAGGATTGGTGTTAGTTCTTCTTTAAATGTTTGGTAAAATTCAGCAGTGAAGCCATTAAGTCCCAGGATTTCCTTTGCTAGGAGACTTTTTATTACAGCTTCAATCTTGGTACCAGTTTTTGGTCCGTTCAGATTTTAGTTTTCTTCATGGTTCAATCTTGGTAGGTTGAATATGCCTAAGAATTTATCCATTTCTTCTAGGTTTTCCAATTTATTGGCATATAATTGTTCATAGTAGCCTCTAACAAGCCTTTGAATTTCAGTTGTAATGTCCCCTTTTCTATCTCTAATTTTATTTATTTGGGTCTTCCCTCTTTTTCTTCTTAGTCTGACTAAAGTTTTGTCAATTTTGTTTACCTTTTAAGGAAACAAATTTTTTGTTTTGTTGATCTTTTGTATTGTTTGCTTCATTTCAATTTCATTTATCTCTGGTCTGATGTTTATTACTTCTACAAATTTTGTGTTTGGTTTGTTCTTTCTTTTCTAGTTATTTAAGATGTCTCATTAGGTTGTTTATTTGAAGTTTTTCTTCTTTTGATGTAAGCTTTTATAGCTATAAACTTCCTGCTTAGTACTGATTTTGCTGTATCTTATGGGCTTTGGTATGTTGTGTGCCCATTATCACTTGTTTGAAGAAAATTTTAAATTTCCCTCTTAATCTTCGTTGACCCACTGGTCATTCAGAAGCATACTGTTTAATTTCCAGGTGTTTGTATTGTTTTCAAAATTGCTCTTGTTATTGATTTCTAGTTTCATTCTATTGTGCTCAGAGAAGACAGTTGATATTACTTTAATTTTCTAAAATGTTTTAAGGCTTGTTTTGTGACCTAATATATGGTGTATCCTTGAGAATGATCCATGTGATGAGGAGAAGAAGGTGTACTCTGCAGCCATTAAATGAAATGTTCTCTAAACATCTATTAGGTCCATTTGGTCTACAGCGCAGATTACATCCGATGTTTCTTTGTTGATTTTCTGTCTTGACAATCTATCCAATGCTGAAAGGGGGGTGTTGAAATCTCCAGCTATTATTGTATTGGAGTTTATCTCTCTCTTTAGCACTAATAATATTTGCTTTATATATCTAGCTGCTCAGTTGTTGAGTGCAATTATACACACACACACACACACACACACACTTATATACAATTGTTATATCCTCTTGCTGAATTGACTCCTTTATCATTATATAGTGACCTTCCTTGTCTCTTTTTATAGTTTTGTCTTGAACTCTATTTTGCCTGATATAAGTAGAATTACTCCTGCCATTTTTTGGTTTCCATTGGCATGGAATATCTTTTTTTGTCCCCTTATTTTTAGTCTATATGTGTCTTTATACATACAGTGTGTTTCTTGTAGGCAACAGACCATTGGATCTTATTTATCCATTCAGCCACTCTGTCTTTTGATTAGATATTTTAGTCCATTTACATTTAGTGTTGTTGTTGATAAGTAAGAGCTAAACCTTGCCATATTCTTATTAGTTTCGTTTCTTTTGTGGTCTTCTCTTCCTTCTTCTACATTCATCCATTTTCACACAGCTATAAAGAAATGCTTCAGACTGAGGCATTTGTAAAGGAAAGAAGTTTAATTGACTTGTAGTTCTGCATGGCTGGGGAGGCCCCAGGAAACTTACAATCATGGCAGAAGGCAAAGGGGAAGCAAGGCACATCTTACATGGTGGCCAGAGAAAGAGAGCATGCAGGGGAAACTGCCACTTTTAGAATATCACATCTTGTGAGAACTTCCTCACTATCATGAGAACAGCATGGAGAAAACTGTCCCCATTATCTATTTACTTCCCACTAGGTCCCTCTCTTGACACATGGGGATTACTTTCAGTGAAGGTGGTTTTTCTCTGGTGATATGTTTTAATTTATTCCTTTTAATTTTTTGTGTATCTGTTGTATGTTTAGATTTGAGGTTACCATGAAGCTTGCATAAATAATGGGTTATAAGATATTATAACCCATTATTTAAACTGATGACAACTGAACAGGCATTACATAAACAAACAAGCAAAAAGAAAACTAGTAAAAACTCTACTCTTTAAAGTTTAGCTCCTTGCCTTTTAACATTTTGTCATTTCTATTGATATCTTACTGTACTGTCTATGAGTTGAAAATTTGTTGTAATTATTATTTTGGTTGGTTCACTTTTTCATCTTTCTATTTAAGGTGTCAGTAGTTTACACACCACAATTATGGAGTTACAATAGTCAGTTCTCCATGTACTTACTATTATCAATAAGTTTTGTACCTCCAGATGATTTCTTATTGTTCACTGTGATGGTTAATACTGAGTGTCAACTTGTTGGGATTGAGGGATACAAAGTATTAATCTTGAGTGTGTCTGTGTGGGTGTTGCCAAAAGAGATTAACATTTGAGTCAGTGGGCTGGGGAAGGCAGATCTACCCTTAATCTGGTAGGCATAATCCAATCAGCTTCCAGTGAATATGAAGCAGGCAGAAAAACGTGAAAAGGAGAGATGGGCCTGTCCTCTCAGTCTACATTTTTGTCCAGTTCTGGTTACTTCCTGCCCTTGAACATCAGACTCCAAGGCCTTCAGTTTTGGGACTCAGACTGGCTCTGCTTTCTTCTCAGCTTGCAGGCAGCCTATTGTGGGACCTTGTGATCATGTAAGTTAATACTTAATAAACTCCTTTTTATGTATATGCTATTAGTTCTGTCCCTCTAAGAGAACTTTGACTAATACATTTGCTAACATTTGTTTTTTTTAGATGGAAGAACTCCCTTTAGTATTTCTTGTAGGACAGGTCTGGCGTTGATGAAAACCCTCAGCTTTTGTTTCTCTTGAAAAGTCTTTATTTCTCCTTCATGTTTGAAGGATATTTTCACCGAATATATTATTCTAGGGTAAGTTTTTTCTTTCAGCCCTTTAAATATGTCACACCAATCTTTCCTGGTCTGTAAGGTTTCTACTGAGAAGTCTACTGCCAGATGTACTGAAGCTTCATTGTATGTTATTTCTTTTTTTTCTCTTACTGCTTTTAGGATCCTTTCATGATCCTTGACCTTTGGCAGTTTAATTATTAAATGCCTTGAGGTAGTCTTCTTTGGGTTAAATCAGCTTGACGTTCCATAACCTTCTTGTACTTGAATGCTGATATCTTTCTCTAGGCTTGGGAAGTTCTCTGTTATTATCCCTTTGAGTAAACTTTCTACTCTGCCTCCTCTTTAAGGTCAATAACTCTTAAATTTGCCTTTCTGAGGCTATTTTCTAGATCTTGTAGGCATGCTTCCTTCCTTCTTATATTTTTTCCTTTGTCTCCTCTGATTATGTATTTTAATAGCCTGCCTTCAAGCTTACTAATTCTTGCTTCTGCCTGCTCAATGCTGCTATTAAGAGACTCTGATACATTCTTCAGTATGTCTATTGAATTGTTCAACTCCCAAATTTCTGTTTGGTTCTTTTTAATTATTTCAGTGTCTTTGTTACATTTATCTAATAATATTCTAAATTCCTTCTCTGTGTTATCTTGAATTTTTTTTTTTTGAGATGGAATTTTGTTCTTGTTGCCCAGGCTGGAGTGCAATGGTGTGATCTCAGCTCACAGCAACCTCTGCCTCCCGGTTTCAAGACATTCTCCTGCCTCAATGTCCCGAGTAGCTGGGATTATAGGCATGTGGCACCATGCCCGGCTAATTTTGTATTTTTAGTAGAGACAGGGTTTCTCTATGTTGGTCAGGCTGGTCTCAAACTCCTGACCTCAGGTGATCCACCCACCTCGGCCTACCAAAGTGCTGGGATTACAGGTATGAGCCACCATGCCTGGCTTGAATTTCTTTAAGTTTTCTCAAAATAGCTATTTTGAATTCTCTGTCTGAAAGGTCAAATATCTCTGTCTCTCTGGGACTGGTCTTTCATGTCTCAGAGACTTTATTTAGTTTGTTTGGAAAGGTCATGTTTTACTGGATCGTCTTTATGCTTGGGGATGTTTTTTGGTGTCTGGCTATTGAAGAGTTAGGTATGTACTGTAAGTTCACAGTCTGGGCTTGCTTGTACCCATTCTTCTTGGGATTGCTTTCCAGATATTCAGAGGGACTTGAGCGTTGTGATGTAAGTTTTTGGTCACTGCAGCCATATCTGCATTAAGGGGTATGCCAAGCACAGTAATGCTGTGGTTCTTACAGACTCATAGAGGTACCACTTTGGTGGTCTTGGATAAGATCTGGAAGAATTCTTTGGATTCCCAGGCAGACTCTTGTTCCCTTCCCTTACTTTTCCCCAAACAAATGGAGTCTCTCTGTGCTCAGCTGCCTAGAGCAGGGGGAGGAGTGGCATAAGCATCTCTGGCCACTACCACTGGGACTGCACTAGGTCAGACCTGAAGCCAGCACAGCACTGGGTCCTGCCCAAGGCCCAATGTAATCACTACCTAATCACTACATCACTACTGCCTATATTCACTCAAGGCCCTAGGGTTCTATAATTAGCAGGTGGTAAAGCCACCCAGTCTTGCGTTTTTCCCTTCAGGGTGATGAGTTCCCCCAGGCCCCAGGCAGGTCCAGAGATTCTGTCCAGTAGCCAGGGCCTGGAGTTGGAAACCTTAGCAATCTATCTGGTGTTCTAGTCTACTGTGACTGAGCTGGCACCCAAACCACAAGACAAAGTCTTTTCCATTATTTTCTTCCCTTTCCCCAGGCAGAGAAGTCTTCTCCACATCCATGATCACCACAGGCCCATGGGGAGTACTGCCAGGATACCACTGATGTTTACTTAACCCAAGGGCTCCTCAGTCAGCTTGCGGTGAATGCTGCCAGGCCTGGGACTCACCCTTCAGGGCAGTGAGCTCCCCTCTGGCACAGGGTAGGTCCAGAAATGCCTTCTAAGAGTCAAGTCCTGGAATTAGGGACCCCAAAAGCCTGCTTATTGCTCTCTCCCTTTGAGGCTGAGCTGGTACCTAAGCTACAAGACAAAGTCCCCTTTACTCTTCCCTCTGCTTTTTTCAAGCAGAAGGCATCCCTTCTGATAGCTACCACAGCTTTGAATGTGCTGGGTCACACCTGAAGCAAGCGTGTCTCAGAGTCTCACCCAAGGTCCATGATGTGTACTACCTCATCACCACTGCTGATTATTCATGGCCCAGGGGCTCTTTAGTCAGAAGGTGATGAGTCCTGCCAGGACTGGGTCCTTCCCTTCAAGGCCGTGAGTTCCCTTCTGGCCTAGGGTGTGTATAGAAGCGTCATCTGGGAGCTAGGGCCTGGAATGGAGGCCTCACTACTCTGTCTTGTGCCCTAGCCTACTGTGGCTGATCTGGTATCCAAGTAGTAAGACACAGTCCTCTATACTCTTCCCTTTCCTCTCCTCAAGCAGAATGAAGGAGTCTATTTTGGAGCTGTGAGTTGCATTGCCCAGGACTGAGGGAGTGGTGATGCAAACACTCTCTTAGCCACCCCAGCTGATATCTCTCTAGGTTGCATGTGCCCCAAGTCCACTAACTCCAAGCCCAGCACAGCACTAGAACTTGCAGTCTTTGTGGCCTAGACTGCCTTATAAGTTTATTTAGGACCCCACAGCACTCCAGCCCATAGTGGCAAGGCTTGTTAAAACTCAAATTCTGACCACTGGGATGGATGAATCTCCTCTTGCTAGGAATCACCTAAATGCTCCTTCCATGAGCATCGTCTGAGTTCTGCCTAGTGTTGGCAGCACTGAGTTCCATTGCAAATTTCCACAATCACTGTGCTCTCCCTCCCCAAGTGTACTCATTCTGTCTCCACACCACCTGGTCACTGCAGGGTGAGTGGGGGAGTGGTGGCATCAGCAATTCAAGGCTATCTTTTCTACCCTCTTCAGTGCCTCTTTCAGCAATATGAAATTAAATCCAGATACTGTAATTGGTCTCCTGATTTTTGGTTCTGATTAATTCTCTCCTGTGTGTAGATAGTTGCTAAATTTGGTGTTCCTGTGGTGGGGACAATCAGTGGAGGTTTCTATTTGGCCATTTTCCTCTGCCTCCAATCTAACTGGTGCCTTTAGACTAGTAGTATTCAAAGGGATTATTGAGATAGTTAGAATAATATCTACCACATTTATTTCTATTTTCTATTTTTTGCCCTTGCTCTTTGCTTCTATTTTGTCTCCTACTCTTTTTCTGCTTTATGTAGCGTTGAGTATCTTACATTATTCCATTTTCTCTTCTTTCTTAGCATATCAGTTACTTTTCTCTTTTTACTTTTTAGTAGTTGCCCTAGAATTTGCAATATGCATTTACAATTAATCCAAGTCCACTCTCAAATAACATTATACCGTTATAACTTTATCAATAGTGTGAGTGCCTTATAATAACAAAATAAACCTAATTGTTCCCTTCCATCCCTTGTATCATTATTGTTGTTCATTTTGCTCATATATAAGCATATGTAAGCATATATGTATACATAAGCAAACATAAATACCTTATTGCTATTATTGTTTTGAACAAATTGTTAACTGTTATATCAATTAAGAATTTGTTTAGAGTTTTGATTTTACCTTCACATATCCCTTCATTGATGCTCTTTCTTTCTTTATGTAGATCTGAGTTTCTGACATATTATTTTCTTTCTCTCTAAAAAATGTATTTTAACATTTTTTGCAAGGCAAGCCCACTGGCAACAAATTTCCTCAATTTTAGTTTGGGAAAGTCTTTATTTCTCCTTCACTTTTAGGAATAATTTTGCAGTTTACAGAATTCTAAGTTGGTGGTATTTTCTCCCAAAACTTTAAACGTTTCAATCCATCCTCTTCTTGCTTGCATAGTTTCTGAGTAGGCTGATGTAGTTCTTATCTTTGTTCCTCTGTAGGTAAGGTGTTTCTTCCTCTGGCTTCTTTCAGAATTTGTTCTTTCTTTTTGATTTTCTGTAGTTTGAAAATGATATGCCTAGGTATACTTTTTTGGGCATTCATTATACATGGTGTTCTCTGAACTTCCTGGGACTGTGGTTTGTCATCTGACATTATTTAGTGAACTTCTCAGCCATTATTTTTTCAAGTATTTTTTGTTGTTGTTCATTTCTCTCTTTCTTCTCTTTCTGGCAGTCCCACTGCACATATATTACACCTTTTGTAGTTCTACCACAGTTCTTGGATATGCTGTTCTGTTTTTTTCAGTCTTTGTTCTCTTTGCTTTTCAGTTTGGGAAGTTTCTATTGATATTCCCTTAAGCTCAGAGATTCTTTCCTCAGCTGTGTCCAGTCTAGTAATAAGACCATTGTTCTTTATTTATTTTACAGTGGTTTTTATGTCTAGCATTTCTTTTTGATTCTTTCTTAGGATTTCTATGTCTCTGCTTACATTGCCCATCTCTTCTTACATGCTGTCTGCTTTATCCATTAGAGCCCTTAGCATAGTAATAATAGCTGTTTTCAATCCCCAGTCTGCTAATTCCAACATCCTTGCCATGTCTCACTCTGATGTGTGCTCTATCTCTTCAAAGTGTGTTTCCTGCTTCTTCGTATGCCTTGTAATTTTTTACTGATAGCTGGGCATGGTGTACCAGGTAAAAGAAACTGCTGGAAATAGGTCTCCAGTAATGTGGTGCTAAGATATGGGGAGAGGAGAAGTGTTCTATAGTCCTATGAGCAAGTCTCAGTCTTTTTGTGAACTTATGCCTCTAGACTGTGAACTTCACAAGTGTTTCTCAGTTCTTTCCTGTCTCCTTCAATGGGAGAGGATGGCTAGAGCTGTGTGGAGCTGAGTATTTCCCTTCCTTGGGTCAATTAGGCTCTGATAATACCTTAGCAGGTTAAGCTCTGGTTAACTACTTTCTTCCAAGGGCAAGCTTTCTTAAGAACAAAGTGTTCTAGCACATTTAAAAATGGTTTTGTTTTCCCTCCTGCTATAGACATGAGTGAATTTTTCTCCGATATTTACTCTGTTAAACTGGTTGAACCCCTGGAGGTAAATATCACAAAAGTGTTGAGCACCCTCCATGACTGGGTCACTCTGGAGTTTTTAACTCTAAGACTTGTCCACACTGAGCCTCCAGCAATATGTTTATAGTTTATAGTTCTGGTTTGCCTCCTCAGGCTCTGATTCTTGCAGCATTTCCACTCATGAGTGCCTACTCTGGTAAACCATGACTCCTTGTATTGGCTTATCTCTCTCCAATCTTGAGGGAAGCAGTTTGCCTTTTTTCCTCACCTATCTTATGGATCCTAGAAGAGTTGACTATTTTTCAGTCTGCTCAGCTTTTTACTTGATGTTAGGATGAAGTGACAGCTTCTAAGCTCCTTACATGTGAAACCAGAAACTGAAATTCTTCATCCTGTTATAGTTCTTTAAGATAAACCTTGATTTGAATCCCATAAATTAAATGTGGCTAACCATTAAGATTTTTTTACATTATTTAGGCATTGTTAAAAAGAACATCGATTTTGAGGCTCAGATACATTATGGCACTACCTTCTGATTTGGTTGATTGGCAACATATTCTACAACCTAAATTCACTTTGGAAGGATTCCAAGTGAATTATCAACTAAAACTCCATGCAGAGACCACAAAGGGCAAAATGAGAATCAGGCCATTTTTCACTTGATGTTTCTGTTTCTTGTTGTCATCTCCTTTCTTCATTTCCAATGCAGGAAATAGCACCCTAATGCAAACCTAGTTGAATAGTTAATGTGAGCTTACCCTAGCTTCCTGGATGTTCCAGCCGTAACAAAATTTCCAAACTGTTAAGTTGAAACCTATACATACTTTTAAGGATTAACACTAATATACATACCTGTACTGCATAGATTAAGAGTCCTACAAAGGCTTGCATGATCCTCTAAGGTCAAACATGAGGGAATATACTAAAGAAAAAATTAATAAAATTTCAACTGAATTAAATAATTTAGCAAAGCCCTTTTTCCATAAACTTATACAATACACATTTTTATGATATGTCACGCATATAAACATCTCATTAAACCTACCTTAAATATATTCCTGACTTGTACTTTAATGACAAATTAATAATTTAGAGCAGTAGAGTCAGTGGGGAAAAAAATTGTCCAAGAAATATATCCAAGTGTGATTCACTTTCTAAATTTGTATTTGAATTTTTTTTTTTTTTTTTTTGAGACGGATTCTCGCTGTCTCCCAGGCTGGAGTGCAGTGGTGTGATCTCGGCTCACTGCTAGCTCCGCCCCCCTGGTTCGCGCCATTCTCCTGCCTCAGCCTTCTGAGTAGCTGGGACTACAGGCACCCGCTATCACGCCCGGCTAACTTTTTTTTGTATTTTTAGTAGAGATGGGGTAAATTTGTATTTGAATTTTTAAAAGAAGGAATTAAATGCAGATATCTGTGATCTCTTTCACTAAATGATCTTTCAAGTGTTTTTTGAGTTAAACTTTTGTCCTTTTTTTTTTTTTTTTTTTTTTTTTTTTCAATTTGAGAGCAGGTACTGTTTATTAACCAACCAGCTTAGAAAAATAATCATGGTAGACACCTTAGTTCATTCTTCTAATAAGCCTGTTGATCTGGTCCTCCCTGTTGCCAGCATCTCCACCTTCTACAAAATGGGTGGTCTTTTTCTTCATTCCACCTCGTGGAGAAGACAATTTGAAGGGCCACAGGAAGTTATTTGCCTCTTTGAAGCGTTTTCCAACAGTATAGATCTCATGAATCAAATCCTCCATGCAGATGATGCCGTATTTACCAAGAGATCGAGCAATCAAAGCGTTATCTGTCAAAGCAATTCGCTTCTTATTGATTTTGCCATAACCACGCTTGTAGATTAGTTCATTTACTGACTTCAGATTGGGGTACCTCCATGCAATATATGGCTCTACAATCCTCAGCATGTTAATCGAAGCCTTGTTGAGCTTCACAAAGGTTCCATTGAAGATTTGACGAAGGCGAAGAAGCTGCAACACCTTTCGAACCTTTGGGCTCACTCCATTGATACCTCTGATTCTGATGACAAACGCCAATTTGGGTTCTGCAGGTACATAGAAGTTGCCAGCTTTTCTTGCCATCCTCGCCATTCGAATTTCAGTTCTGTACATCTGCCTATATTCCTTGTGATAGTGCTTTGCTTTTTCATAGATAAGCTTCCTCCTTGCCTTTCGAAGCATCTTTTGGGCAAACTTCTTTCTCAGGCGCTTGATCTTCAGCTCTGCGAAATTCCTTCGCTTTTTCTTAAGGGTTTCTGGAACAGCAGGAACCTCCTTCTTCTTCTCTTCTACACCCTCCATGGTTCCAGCCGGAAAAAGAGCTAAACTTTTGTCTTTAATGGTCTTTCTACTAGTCAAATCTCTCATTCCAATAATTGCAATATTTAAATATTTAATTTAAAATAAGTACATAATTTGAATGCCACTAATTCAGGTTAGTCCATATCTTCCAAAACCAGGCCAAATTGGTGATATTTCCTGGTACAAATATAGGGAAAGTGAAATGCTTAGCAAACTATGACTAGCACACAGTAGATACTCAATAAATCTTTGTTGAATTATTCAATGAATGAATTCTATAAAACCAGGAACTGAAAAACCAATGTGGATCTTTTTCTTTTCACAAAACGTCAACTCAAAAACATAGGAAAGGTCTCTTAGGGAAAGAGAAAGTGCATTTAATTCATTCTACATGAATATCCAAAAAATTTTAAAATAAATTTATGAAATGAATTTGTCCTGGATGTATTTCTTGAACCATTTTTTTAAAAGATGGTTCACTATCCAGGCAACCTACAGAATGGGAGAACATTTTTGCAATCTACCCATCTGACAAAGGGCTAATACCCAGAATCTACAAAGAACTTAAACAAATTTACAAGAAAAAAACAAACGACCCCATCAAAAAGTAGGCAAAAGATATGAACAAACACTTTTCAAAAGAAGACATTTATGCAGCCAACAGACACATGAAAAAATGCTCACCATCACTGGTCATCCAAGAAATGCAAATCAAAACCACAATGAGATATCATCTCACACCAGTTAGAATGGCGATCATTAAAAAGTCAGGAAACAACAGATGCTGGAGAGGATGTGGAGAGACAGGAACACTTTTACACTGTTGGTTGGACTATAAACTAGCTCAACCGTTGTGGAAGACAGTGTGGCGATTCATCAAGGATCTAGAACTAGAAATACCATTTGACCCAGCAATCCCATTACTGGGTATATACCTAAAGGATTATAAATCATGCTACTATAAAGACATATGCACACGTATGTTTATTGCAACACTATTCACAATAGCAAAGACTTTGAACCAACCCAAATGTCCATCAGTGATAGACTGGATTAAGAAAACGTGGCACATATACACCATGGAATACTATGTGGCCATAAAAAATGATGAATTCATGTCCTTTGCAGGGACATGGATGAAGCTGGAAACCATCATTCTTAGCAAACAATCACAAGGACAGATAACCAAACACCACCTGTTCTCACTCATAGGTGTGAATTGAACAATGAGAACATTTGGACATAGGAAGGGGAACATCACACACCAGGGCCTGTCATGGTATGGGGGGCTGGGGGAGGGATAGCATTAGGAGAAATACCTAATGTAAATGACGAGTTAATGGGTGCAGCACACCAACATGGCACATGTATACATATGTAGCAAACCTGCATGTTGTGCATATGTACCCTAGAACTTAAAGTATAATAAAAAATAAATTAATAAAAAAAGATGGTTCACTATCACTACTGTTTTAAATTATTAATTTGCCATTGAAGTATAATTCATGAAAACATTTAAAGTAGGTTTTGTGAGAGGTATTTATGCAGGCACACCATGAAATAGCATTTTCTATAACTTCATGAGTATATAAATAAATACAATTATTTTTGAAATATTCAATGAAAGAGTTTTGCTGATATGATTATATAAATGTGCTTCTCAGATCTCCTGCAGTGGAGAGCAAAATTCACCAAAGCCTCGGCTGCTCATGCCCTTCAAGATCTACCCCAACCCCAGCCTGATCATGGCAAGACCACGTTCCCAGAAAATGGATATAGTGGGGGACAAGCTTAGTCCTGCAAGGCATGGCATTTCTTAAATGAGTTGCTTTGGCTCAAGAACTCTTTATTGGCCTGACCAAAACTCTTAAATATGGCTTTAGTCTGCAACTCCTACTACTGACTCCTTCCTTCCTCCTCTTCCTCACAGAGAGCCAATCTACATTGCACACCATCTGAATGTTCTTTCCACTTTCTCTGGCTCCTTCCCCTTTATATTTCACAGATATTTCCCCCAATAAATCTCCTGCACTCCTAACCCCACCTTTGTATCTGTTTCTCAAGCCAATCTAAAGAACAAAGCTGAATAATTCAGTTTAGTAGAAAGTTTATTGATTGTTTTCTCTTTAAAATCTTCTCTGGGATTTGAGGATCATGCAGGGTTTTATAGAACTCTTATCCTATCCAGTATAGATGTACATACTAATATTAACCATTAATATATGTATAGAATTCTACTTAACAGTACGGAGCTTTTATTGAGACTGGGAAGGACAGCAGGACAAGGCAAGCCCCAAATAGCTGTTCAATTAGGTCTGCCTGAGATGCTAGGCCCCTGGACTGGAACTGGAGAAAGGTGTTGAAAATCAGAAAGAGAGAAACATGGCCTCCTTCTCATTTAGCCCATTGTTGACCCTGCTTCTGAAATGCTTCTAAAGTAAACTCAGGTTGTTGAACATGAAAGCCAGTCAACCAAATCCAGGAGATATTGCCATTATGTCTTGGAACTCAAGAATTATTATAACATTTCTTTAGGATCGAATTGTGGTTAAAAAAATGAATCTTAGTGGTGAGTCATGCCTTGATTTGTGAAATTAAAGCGAAGTTTCGCTTTGAAGATCTTATAAAACTTCCCTATTTTAGTAGAGGACAAAAAATGTTAAGATATGACTTTTTTGGGGGCTGGGCGCAGTGACTCAGGCCTGTAATCCCAGCACTTTGGGAGGCCAAGGCGGGTGGATCATTTGAGGTCAGGAGTTCAAGACCAGCCTTGCCAACATGGTGAAACCCCTTCTCTACTACAAATACAAAACTTAGCCAGGCCGAAGTGGCACATGCCTGTAATCCCAGCTACTTGAGAGGCTGAGGCAGGAGAAAGGAGAATCATTTGAGCCTGGGAGGGTGAGGTTGCGCTGAGCTGAGATCTCGCCACTGCACTCAAGCCTGGGTAACAGAGTGAGACCCTGCTTCAAAAAAAAAAAAAAGATGTGATTTTTTTTGGTCAAAAAAGTATTCTTATATTTAAAGAGCTCTCAAACATATGCTTGCATGTTAGTTAATTTTAAACACCGCAGTTTACTCCAATTTAACCTTCACCACTAGGCTGACAACTCTCTAGATGTGTCCTTGTTTATCCAATGTAATGGTTCTTTTTCTACATGTATAATTTCATATCAAGCAACAACAATTTTAATGTTGTTTTCTTATTACAAACAGGAAAATATTTGTGAAAGAATGTCCGGAAGAGAAGAGTAATAAGTTGCATGACCTGTAAAAACATTAAAATGTAACATAAAAACTACAGTAAATAACTACCATGAATTGGTTGACAAAACAGAGAAAACATTATTTGCAGTGATTATAATTGCATACCTGTACAGAAGCAAGGTTTTAGTATTAACTGTCAAGGGACACAACTGAGGCATCTGTAAGACATATGAGAAAAAGAGTAGAATGTTGTAGAATTTTGAAAGATGTGAATAAATGAAAAGGCCACCTAGTCTTGCTGAGGGTATACATGGTGTTTGGTAGCCTGTGAAGGGAGCCACCACAAAGACCCCCCCCAAAGTAACAGATTCCCAGGTTCCAGCCACATCGCATGTTTCCTTCGCAAGTACAAGGCTGAATTCCCTTGTCCCAACAGGAGTGTCCTTTGAAAGAAATGTAATCACAAGTACATCACATTGTGCCTACATATTTCAATGCCTTTGCTTGGCCATAAAAAAGTAGGGGGTGCAGGGCATAGTGGAACTATAGCATGTGAAGGGGAGTTATGGCATAGACCAGCCACACTCCCTTCCAAAGACTACTGCCAGAGATAAACTCTGGGTTTAAATAAGATGATCCATAATTTACTAATATGTTTTCCTAATTGTAAATCAAGTATCTCCCCCAAAGCCAGTTCTATTAGAATATGAACTCAGGAGCAGACATCTTTGCAGTTTTTGCTCACTGTTTTATCCCAAGCACCAAGTATAGTTCCTGGCACAGAGTAAACACTCAAAAAACTAACTGTGTATTGAATAAAAGATCATCCTTCTTCAGGAAATAGTGAGATCCTTGGGAGCAAGATCTGTGTTTAATTGGTGTTTGTAAATCCAGCATCCAGCTTACTGAGACCTCCTTGGCATCAGTGAAGGCTTGTTGCATTAATAAACTGACGATTTAGAAATAGAACTAATAGAGAAAACAATTTCCTTCCAATCCAGAGATTGTACATGGGAAGCTATCTTTGGGTCACATGTATGTGGCTTTTGTTTAGCAGGTGTCCTGCAAACTCTTCTAGCCAGCTATGAGGTTCAAGGATAAGAATGAGAATGTAATCCACTTTTTTATGAAATCCACACAGAAGCTGATACAATGCTTAGGAAACACATTACGGTGCCATTTCCTGGACCTCAAGCATTCAAATATCAATTTAGCGTTGCTGCTTGCCCTGTGCCTTGCTGTACTGCTATGCAATATGATTTTCAACTATTATGAAATAATTGTAGACTTACAAAGAGATAGTACATGTGCAGATAGTACAGAGAGTTCCCATGTGCTCTTTACCCAGTTTCCCCTAATGTTGACATCTTGCATAATCATGGTACATTTGTCAAAAGTTATGAAATTAACATTGGTAAAACACTATTGACTAAGCTACACTGTATTTGTATTTAGCCAGTTTTTCCACAAATATCCTTTTTCTGTTCCAGGATCTAATTCAGGATACCATGATACCAATTTAATTACAAAGACTCCTTAGTCTTCACTAACCTGTGAGAGTTTCTCATTCTTTCCTTGTTTTTTATGATCTTGACTGATGAACAGTTTTGAAAATTCTTGGTCAGGTATTTCACAAAGTGTTCCTCAATTTGGGTATGTCTATTATGTCATCATTAGACTAAAGTTGCAGATTTTTGGGGAACAATGTCCCAGGGGAAAAGTGCACTTGTCCATTAATTTCTAATGTTCCAAATTATAATGCTATTTTACAAAGCAGTGTGAGCATTTCAAATCACATACAACACATATCAAAACTTAAGCCAGTTTTTGGTTGTGCAAAATCTAGAAATCTTGGTAAATAGTTCTTTTGTTTGCCAGAACAATTTAATACATATTCTAGATATACAAAGGTAGGCTGGGAGTCTAATCTGGGGGTGGGAGGGTCAAGACCTAAATTAGATGGTTGAGTAAAAACATCTACTCCTGTTTTGCCCCTTTCATTACTGACCCCAGAAGCCACTAGAGAACAGGAAAAGAAAAATAGACTGGTGGGCATACACCCAAGTTTTTTTTATATTGATGTCATGGGGGATGATACACTGCACAGTACTTGGCACATACTAATTGTAATAAATATTTGTTAGATGAATAAATAAATGACTGAATGGCCAGTCCCCAAGGCACATCTACTGGTACCAATGACAGAATATTGGGCTCTGCAGACAATGGATTTGACCCAGTATGTCTGGCAATTTTTCTCTTTAGATGTCACAATAACCTGCCAAGATTAGCTTTATAATAGATAGTTGAAGAGAAACTGCCAGTAGGATCACATCAGAGGCTATGATAAGTATAAAAGCTAGAAATTAAGTTGAACCACACAAAATAAGTTCATTTTTGCTTTCTTTTTTGAACCAAAGAGAAGATCCTAGAAAAAATTATTCTTTCCATTATTTTAATTGGATATATGTATGTAACAACCTTAAGTCATTACATTTTTTATAACATTAAAATGAAGTGTATTGTGGGCAAAGATGACAAGAATTTTCTTTCTGTTGCCAAACTTAAGTGTAGTATATATTATTGGCAGTATTTCATTTTCATTATTCTCAAGGGGTTTACTTGGATAAATTCAAAAATGCACATATTACTGAGAAGGCAGTTTTCTATTTCTGAAATAATTCCCCCTTAAATAATGTTCCTGGCTTAAAAAAATTTGGAAGAGGTTTTCTCTTTGAAAAAAAAAAAACTCAGATGATTGAAGAGATTTCACCTTCAAACAGTTTTACTCTAGAGGGAGCCCCCTTTGAGAATTTTAAGCATTGCATGGGAAATGTATTCTTTGAAGATTTTCATGTTAAAAAAACAGTTGCATGACTTGGGTATCCTCTTTGAAGTTTTTTTAAAAACAATATTTAAAGGATTTCCCCCTTCAAATACTTTCATGTTCCTGAGTTCTGTTTTTCTGCAAAATATGACTCTCTACTCAGGTGGTTTGCTTTTCTTTTCATTTCCCCTCATTATTATTATAGCTTTAATTATTTTGTTCTATTAAGAGAGACTGAAGACGCTACTATGCTAGGGCTCCTCGTATGTACTGTAAAACTAAGACTGGCTTTCCCACCTTCTCCCTGCATCAGATCAGACTCAACAACACTGTAAAATTACTACCTCCTATAAGTAACCAATGTAGAGATGTGACCTAACATAGGAGATTTTCTAAGAGTTGTTGGTATTTGGTGAATTACTCAAGAGCATCATAACTTGATTGTAGGTAACAGAGAATACCTCAATGAATAATTTAATTATCATATTCCTAAATCAAATCCAGCTAAAGAAGAGAGAAAGAAATATTTTAGGGTAGATTGGGAGAGGCATAACTTGACTAACAGCAGGTTTCTTTCATCTGCCTAACTTCTAGTGAGACTCTGTTTTATTTCCGAGGTGCCAAAGAAGACACAGCACAAATAAAATACCACACTTACTTTCAAATACACTAACAAGCAGTAAGTGTATAGTCTTACAAGGAGTCTAAAATGCACACAGATATCTACAACACAATGTCTTGTGTTAATAGGTGCTTCAGTGGAAAAAAATCTCTTAGAGCTTAGAGAAAGGAAAGGCTATTTCTGATTAGGGGCGTAAAAGTCTTTGTAAAGGAAGGGATATTTTATTACGTTGGTGCAAAACTAATTGCAGTTTTTGCCATCAATAGATAAGCATTAAAGCAATGCTTCCATTTGGAGCATATAATCCATAATTGGGTCAAGAAAACAATTTGATGGGATGAGACTAGCATTTTCTTTCAATAAAATAGAATGGTGGAGAATAGAATGCAATATAGTTTAAAAAAAGAATGTTCATCACAGAAAGTGGGAAAATGTGCTTTAATGAAAATTGTGTTTTATTTTTTAATTTCTGTGTGTGTGTATGCATGTTTGGTTACAATGTAATATATTTCTTACAATAAGTCTCAGTAAAACCACTATGTTAAAAGATGGAAAAAAGAGTCCAAGGAGAAAAATGAGCTAGGAAAATGAATGCATATTTTGTAAAGGCCTCTGCCTTTGGAAAGATGGAAACATGTTGAAGGACAAACTAGCTCACTAACTAGAAGAGTGTTCACGAGAGGAGTGAGATAAGGCTGAAAAAGTAAGATGAGGTGAGAAAAGTGGTGAAGTACAGAGGACTTGAAATCCAAGCCAAAGATTTCAGGTTTTGTTCTCATGTAGAGGAGAGCCATTGAAGATTTTTGGACAGGGGAGTAACAGTGTCAGAGTTACGTACTAGGAAGATTAATCCATCAGTGATAAATTGCAGGAAGTAGGAATTAGACCTGGGCAAGAGACTAGTGGTGTATTATAATACTGACTGAACAAGAGTGATGTTTGTTATTTCAAAAATAAAACATAACTATATGAAAAATACTTTATACATTTGTAAACACTAACATAGGATAAAGCATCATTGCTATTATCCCAAATAGAGATTTGTTTTCTTATAAAGAAATTAAAGTTTAAAAAACCTTCCCCTTTAATTGTGTTCTTTCAAATAAAAAGAATAAAAATTACATGATAGTGACACTATTGCAACACCACATACAAACAGTATAAAAATTGGGAATTAATTTGTAGGCCTTTTTCTGTTTTCTTAATATTAGCATTAGGCTTTCTTTTTCCTAGGCATGCAAAAATTATAACTCAGAGATTTCCTTTGAAGTTATAGCACTCTCATGTTTAGTAAATTACCAATATAGGTAGAATTTATATTACTGATATGTCTAAGAATTACCATAACTCAAGAAAACCCTTGAAAAGGCCAGATTATGTCTATGCCTCATTGTATTTCAGGACCTAGCATAGCGCCTGATGCATAATAGGTAAGGTTGCCATCTTTGACAAATAAAACTGCAGTATTCCTAGTAAAATTTGAATGTCAGACAAAAAATGCATTTTTTTGGTGCAAATATGTTTTATTTCAGATAAACAACAAATAATTTCTTAGTATGCATATGCCCCAAATATTGCATGGGACCTATTTACCCTAAAAAATTATTTATTATTTTTCTGAAATTCAGGTTTCACTGTGTCATATGTTTTATCTGACTACTCTAATACTAGGTGTCCAGTAATGTTAAATGAATGAGTGAATGCTTATATGTGTATGTGTTTTATTGTGAACAAATATATATAATATAAAATTTACCACTTTAGGCCAGGCGCAGTGGCTCATGTCTGTAATCCCAGCACTTTGGGAGGCTGAGGCAGGCAGATCACTTGAGGCCAGGAGTTCGAGACCAGCCTGGCCAACATGGCAAAACCCTGTGTCTCTTAAAAATACAAAAATTAGCCGGGTGTGGTGGTGTGTGCCTATAATCCCAGCTACTTGGGAGGCTGAGGCAGGAGAATCGCTTGAACCCTGGAGGCAGATGTTGCAGTGAGCCAAGATCTCACCACTGCACTCCAGCCTGGGTGACAGACGGAAACTCTGTCTCAAACAAAAAAAAAAAAAAAGAAAAAAACCACTTTATTCACTTCCCAGTGTACAATTCAATGGCATTTAGTACATTCACATTGTTGTGCAACCATTAGTGTGATCCCTCTCTGGACTTTTTCACCATCCCAAACTGAAACTCTGTACCCATTAAAAAACAGCTCCCCGTTCCCTTTGGTCACCACTGTTCTACTTTGATAACCACTATTCTGCTTTCTGTCTCTATGACTTTGCCTATTCTAAGTACCTCATATAAGTAGAATCATAGAATATTTGTCCTTTTATGTCTGAATTATTTCATTTGGCACAATGTTTTACCATTCATCCGTGTTTTATCATGTATCTGAATTTTACTCCTTTTTAAGGCTGAATATATGTGTTTTTGTTACAGCATCTTAGTAGAATGTGAGTATAAAGACGCCTCATAATCCTCATATAGTCTTTCAAGCTTTACCCCAATTCCAGCCCTTTGGGGGTCGGAGTTTTGATCCTTATTATTGCCCATTTACAGGCCAACAGCTTTCCACCCCCCTGTAAGGAGCATATAGGGGTCAGAGGGCAGCACTACCTGCAATAGAATCATTGAACAAACACATCCTCTTGTTCTGTCCCTGTGTGATGCTGCCTCCAGCTGTCACAGCTTCCTCATTTCCTAAACACAGGAGCTTATCAGCCCAGTCCTTGCAGAGCCAGCCACCAGAGTCCTCTGGCTTTGCCAAATTTCCTGAACTTCTAACACATTGTCTCAACATAGATCTTTCCAAATCTTTCTTTACAACTGCTGCCATGTACTGGGGTGATAGTCCATTACAACATATCCAGTAAACAATTGCAGTAAATATATGCTAAGACGAATTTAATTCTTTTGTATTATTTTGAAAAATGTATAGTCATTGACACATCACTGGCCATTTTGAAATCATGTTGGGTAACTGTACATTTAATTCCATGATAAGACTTTTAAAAATCTTTTGAAATATTTTTATATAATAATATTTTTATATAGCTGAGATTTGTTTGATTTTCAGCTCTTAAAGCAATTTTATGCCATTCTCCATATATATGAGATGGTTGCTAGGGAACTATTCAAGGTAAATATCAAGTAATTTGAGTTTGGGCTTCAAAGGGCAAAGATCTAAATTTGAGAGATCAGAGAAAGATAATAGCAGTTTGTTTCTTTTTTTTTTCCTTTTTCTTCCCCACTTGAAAATCCAGAGACACATACTAACGTCTCGTTTGTTCCTGTGCAAAATAAGTCAATTATGGCACCCTGTACCTTGCCTGTGATGACACTCGTCACATCTTATGGCGCTTGTTTTAACAGTTTACTCCTCTGTGCTATGCTACATACAACATGAGGATTGTTTTGTGTTCCCTCTTGTTCCTTCCTCAATTCCATGTTACAAATCCAGGCCCATAGTAGGCTCTCAAGAAATATTTGCTGTTTAAGTGAATAAACTGGCTAGACGAATGTAATAGTTTATTTGATTTTTCCAAATTTTGCCTCTATTTCTCTTTCTTCTAGAAGTGACAGCTAGGTGTGCAGGTGATCTAATAATGGTGGTCATTTTGTGTAATTCATCCTGACCTCACCCCAGCAATGATTAGTACAAGAGTGAAAATATGATACAAACTTGGGAAAATCAAAAGGAATTTTAGATTTTTTGCTTGTGGAAAAGGGGAAACTTTCTTTGTCTGGGGTTGCTAAGCTAAGGAATTATAAACCCAGAGCTTAGAGCGGCCACTCTGTGAATAAGGCCAACAGAAGAGAACAGAACTGACAGACTGAGGCCTCCTGACAAATTCTGAATTTCTGAATCCAACTCTGCCTGACCTTTTCTATCTTTGCGCATTTCAGTTTCATGAGTTATTGTATTCCCTCTCACTGTTTAAAAGAGTCTGAATTTTCTGTTACTTGCAAATAAGAGTCTTGCCTGAAGTAGCAAGTTTTAAAGTAGATGGCTGATATGAAAAACCCTAGTAATTATGAGCAAAATTTCTCATTTTCAAAGTAATTTTAACTAACCCTCAAATTTTCCTCTGTGTGTGTGTGTGTGTGTGTGTGTGTGTGTTAACTGTATAGCAAACATTGTTGGTCTTCTCTCCAGAAGATGTTGCATGGCTTTACACTGTGAATTAGCCATACATTTTTAGTAGGAGTAACCTTTTCATCTATTTCTGTTCAGGTAAGCACATGGAATCCTTTGGCTACAGTGATTACTTTGAGGATAGGCACATGACCTTAGTTGGTCCAATCAGAGCAAAAATCAGCGTTTTATTTTAATGATTGTGGGAAGAAAAACTCTCTCCCGAATGATGTGGTGTGCAGATATATGGCCTGGAATTGCTGCAGCCATTTTGCTACTGACAGGTGAAGCCAGCTGGACTTCCTGGGTAGAGTGGGGACTTGGAGAATTTTTCTGTCTAGCTAGAGGATTATAAATGCACCAATCAGCCCTCTGTGTCTAGGTAAAGGATTGTAAATGCACCAGTCAGCACTCTGTAAAAACACACCAATCAGTGCTCTGTGTCTAGCTAAAGGATTGTAAACGCATCAATCAGCACTCTGTAAAAATGCACCAATCAGCACTCTGTGTCTAGCTAAAGGATTGTAAATGCACCAATCAGCACTCTGTTAAAACTCACCAATCAGTGCTCTGTGTCTAGCTAAAGGACTGTAAACACACCAGTCACTACTCTGTGAAAACGGACCAATCAGCGTTCTGTAAAATGGACCAATCAGCAGGATGTGGGCAGAGACAAGAGAATAAAAGCTGGCCACCAGAGCCAGCAGCAGCCACACGCTCAGGTCCCCTTCCATGCTGTGGAAGCTTTGTTCTTTTGCTCTTCACAGTAAATCTTGCTGCTGCTCACTCTTTGGGTCCACACTACCTTTATGAGCTATAACACTCACTGTGAAGGTGTGCAGCTTCACTCCTGAAGTCTGCAAGACCACAAACCCACTGCAAGGAAGAAACTCCAGACACACCTGAACATCTGAAGGAACAAACTCTGGACACACTATTTTTTTTTTTTTTTTGAGACAGAGTCTGGCTCTGTCACCCACGCTGGGGTGCAGTGGTGTGATCTCCGCTCACTGCAAGCTCCGCCTCCCGGGTTCACGCCATTCTCCTGCCTCAGCCTCCTGAGTAGCTGGGACTACAGGCGCCCACCACCACGCCCAGCTAATTTTTTTTTTTTTTTTTTTTTTGTATTTTTAGTAGAGACGGGGTTTCACTGTGTTAGCCAGGATGGTCTCGATCTCCTGACCTTGTGATCCACCCGCCTCAGCCTCCCAAAGTGCTGGGATTACAGGTGTGACGGACACACCATCTTTAAGAGCCGTATCACTCACCACAAAGGTCCGCAGCTTCATTCTTGAAGTCAGCGAGACCAAGAACCCACCAGAAGGAACCAATTCCGGACACACTACCAGGAGGAAAAGCAGTCTGAGGACCGTCAACACACACAGAAAGATGATGCTTGAAGCTCAGAGAGAAGCAGAGTCTAATTCCTAATCAATTCTACTCTACTTTCATGCACTGGTATGTTGTTCTCTTTATTGTTGAAGCCAATTGAATTTAGTTTTCTGCTACTTGGGTTTGAAAGTGTTCTATTACAATGTCTTAATTAAATCTCCAGTCAACTAATAAGACAAGATAAATTCACTGCAAAATGCCTTATTTTGCTAAAATATCTCTTTTTCAAAACCAAAGAGGCTAGCACAAGGTATGGCACATAGTAGGAGTCCAATAAATGTTGACTGAATTGGAACTAAATGTTTTAAACAATAGCTATTATTTTAACAAGCTATGCCAGGCTATGCTAAGGACATATACTTTCCTCATTAAATCTTCAAAGTTGTAGTTTATTATTAATCTTCATTTTATAGAGGAGAAGACTAAGGATTCAATAAATAATTAGTCAAAGGTTCTGATTTAAGAGCACTTACATTTAATTTTTAAACTATTACATGCCATTTATAAAAGGGTTTTATGTTCTGAAGCTTGGCTAAGTAATAACTAACTCACATCTGAACTATGAGAGCTTCGAAGGCCAAAAAGGGCAAATAAATTGACCAAGATTATGCATCATGTTTGACAAAGGGTCCAGATAATTTTACCAAGTAGGAGCTACTTTCATTTTCCCAAAGTCTTGAGATCACTGAGGAGAAGGAAGTAAAGGGAAAGAATTTACTGTCAAGGAAGTCCCTTAATAAGGTGGTTGGGAAATTTTACTAATTAAGTCCCTGTTGCTTTATTCTTGCTCCTCCCCACTGAAGATCCTGGAAAATCGTAGAGAAGTAGTTGTGGGGTAATTAGGTGAAAGGAAAAGAGAGCTGGAATGGAAAATGGAATGGGAGGTGTATGAGCCAGTGTTAATAAAACAATAAATAATTAAGAAGACTTGATCTAACATGCAAGTGGAGAACCCTTTCAGGAGGCTCTTGCGATTATGGTGTGTTTTCTGCCAACTTGAATATGATGGATATAGGTTTTGGCTTTTATTCTAATTATATCTAACATTAGTTACTGACTTTCTTTTATGGTTTTACCCACTCTCCTGACACTCATCCCATTGGTTAGGAAAGTAATAGTCAAAGTGCTAAACATCAGTAGAGTATAGAAATAAATGTACTAACTGTGGTAGACAGAACAACAATACCCCCTGCCCGTCCAAAGATGTCCCTGTCCTAATCTCCAGAAATTGTGAATATGTTACCTTACATAGCAAAAGGGACTTTGCACATTTTATTATGTTGAGGATCTTGAGATGAGAAGATTATCCTGGATTATGAAGATGAGCTTAATGTAATCACAAGAGTCTGTATAAGAGGAAGGCAGGGGTGTCAGCGAGATAAAGCAGGTGTGAAAGAAAGCAGAACTCGGAGTGAGGTGCTTTAAAGATGTTGGAAGGAGCCACAAGCCAAAGAATGCAAGTAGAAATGCATTTCTAACCTTTAGTAGCTAGAAGAAGTAAGGAAATGGATTCTATGAAGGCTGCAGAGGAAACACAGCCCTTCCAACAGCTTGATTTTAGCCCTTCAAGACTAATTTTGGCCTTCTGACTTCCAGAACTATAAGATAATAAATTTAGGTTGTTTTTAAGCTACTAAATTTGTAATAAGCCCTTCAGTTTGTGGTATGTTGTTACAGTAGCAAGAGAAAACTAATACACCAACTAATTTTAATGGATGCTGATCATAAACACTGGCAGAGCAGTAATCGTATATACTGGCTGAATAAAGCACTGTCTGCAGGAAAACCAGTCCCTATTCCAGGGATGTGATTCAAGCCTGAGCCAATGAATATAACAAATTCCAATAGCTACAATGATTAGTTCAAGGATGGTTACATGATCCAAGCCATGCAATCAGAGTAAATCTCAAAACTTTTATAGAAGCTACTGAAAAAGAGACTACTTTTTGCCATTGGATGTGAAGTTGGAAGAATATAGGCCATAATAATCTTCACACACTTAATGAAGGTCCTGTCGCAGAATAAGACTAACACAGAAGAATCAGAACTAAGAGTTAAAGAAGGAAAAGCAGATCTTTTTTTTTTTTTTTTTTTTTTTGAGATGGAGTCACCCAGGCTGGAGTGCAGTGGCGTGATCTCGGCTCACTACATGCTCCGCCTCCTGGGTTCCAGTAATTCTCCTGCCTCAGCCTCCCGAGTAGCTGGGACTACAGTCGCCCGCCACCATGTCCGGCTAATTTTTTGTATTTTTAGTAGAGATGGGGTTTCACCATGTTAGCCAGGATGGTCTTGATCTCCTGACCTCGTGATCTGCCGTATCTCGGCCTCCCAAAGTGCCGGGATTACAGACGTGAGCCACCGCGCCCGGTCGGAAAAGTAGATCTTAATTTAACTGTTTAAAGTTGCTTTGCTCAAATGTTTCAATTGTGTTATACCAGTTATCTGTTGCTGTGTAAAAATAACATCAAAACTCGGTGGCTTAATTAGCATTTATTATTGCTCGTGAGTCTATGGGTCTGGGTGGTTCTGCTGATCTGGTCAGGCTGACTCCTTTCGATTAGGCTTGTATGTGGTCACCTGGGGACTGATTAGTGTAGGATGGCTTCATTTACATACCTGGTGGTTAGTTGCCTGTAGGGTGGAGCAAAGACAACCGGTCTTTTGTCATCTAGCAGACCAATGTATGTTTATTCACATGACAATTACAGTATGTATTGGATAGCAGAAATGTACAAGGACTCTTTACTCTTGTACAATGACAATTACTTCTGCCAAATTCTATTGGTCAAAGTAGTCACAAGGAAAACCCAGATTCAAATGCTACTGAAATAGACTGTCTTGATGGAAGGAGCTGCTAAGTCACCTTGGAAAGCATGTGAATACAGAGAGGGATGAAGAATTGGGGATAGTTTTAAAATCAATCTATCACCTGGGCCTAAAGTGAGTTCTACTCTTAGATGTCTCAATTATAAGAACCATTAAAGTCACTTTTTTATTGAGCTTAGTTTCTTATGTCTCATATCTACCAGAATTCTAACTAATGCAATGATTGACCTATGCAGCCAGATTTAGGGCTACTAAAGGATGAGTTTCATATGCACATATATGCCCCTCAAAGTTACTCTTGGTTGGTGCTTGGAAATTTTACTATTTTAAACTACCGTAGTTGAGAAAATATCATATCAGGACTGCCCAATAGTAGCAACTAGCCACATGTGACTATTGAATACTGAAATGTGGCTAATTTGTACAACAAATTGACTGGTAATGGTATTTAATTTTTATTAATTCAAATGTAAATAGTCACATGTAGTATGTGAGCATGCTATAGGTTGAATATTTGTGTCCCCCACAAAATTCACATGTTAAATGCTAACTCCCAACGTGATAGTATTTGGAGGTCAGGCCTTTGGAAGGTAATAGGGTTATGAGCTCCTTCACCTCTTCTGAAACATAAGGACACAATGAGAAGACAGCCATCTATGAATCAGCAAACAGGTCCTCCAGACACCAAATCTGTTGGCACCTTGATCTTGAATTTCTCAGCCTCCAGAACTGTGAGAAATACATTTCTTTTATTTATAAGCCACCCAGTCTACAGTATTTTGTTATAGAAGCTCAAACAGACTAAGACAGAGCACTAGAGAAAACTGACAATATTGGAAAGTAGAAACTAAAACTCACCTATAACTAGGATAACTATATTACTTATTGTCCAAACTGATATACTTTTAAGAGTGAAAAGGGCACATTACTTTCAAGAGTGAAAAGGGCACTAATGACAATTACAATGGGACAATAGATGGAAACAAAAACTGATCCAAACAAATCAGGGTATATGGTCACTGTATAATCCACAATGTGCCTTAATGTAAGCTAAGAGCATAAAATGAGACCAACATAATGTGGTCTGGGGACATATGCTCTCTGATGTCTGTCATACTATAGGGATGGATTTTGTAGTATGTAAAGAAGCGGATGGATGGTGTTGCTTTCAGTCAATTCTTCAAAAATAACTTTTCTCTGGCCAGAGCTTTGAAAGTCGTTGATGTGCCAAATTGAAGATTGGCACATCAGGATGTATCTCTATTGAATATTGCAGATTAGAAACAGGCCCATGTGTTTTAACAGTCAGTCAAAGAGACGGTTGAATTTGCATCTTTGGAAGCTTGCTTGGAAAGTCTAGCAGGGGAATGCAGCTGCTGGTATACCCTTGACCAAAGAATGGTCCTCCCTCTATGAGGGAGGTCATCCTCTTTGACTGAGCACAGGAAAGATGCACATGAAGGGGATACCCGCCTAGCCAGCCAGATCAGCCCAACCAACCCAGGTAATCAATGGGGTAACAGATGTCACAGCCAGAGTGACGTCACATCCTGCATCTTTTATTAATAGAATTAGCAATGTCTTGCGAAAATATTTACTATCACTTTAATTCTGGGAAAATAGGAAAAAGTAATCTCTCATTTATGTGAATGTTAATTTGCTTACAAAATGAGAAGGTAGTTTAACTGTGACTTAATAATAACAGTGTTTTATTTGTTTCATTACAACATTATAAAAACAATTTTATTTGGAAAATAAAATAGATTTTAAAAGATTAAATGTAATCACTTTAATGTAACATTTCAACCAATATTAACTACTTCCTTTTCTTTCCCTTCTGAACCTGGGTCTTTATATTTAAATAAATATATTTATATTTAAAGTTAAATATAAACTATTTATATACTGGTGGACATTATATAGTTGATTCCACTTTTTATCCAAACTGATAATATCTGCCTTTCATTTGGACTGTTCACACTATTTATATATAATGTAAGTATTGCTGTAATTGCATTTAAATCCCTCACCTGGCCGGGTGCAGTGGCTCAAGCCTATAATCCCAGCACTTTGGGAGGCCGAGGCCGGCGGGTCAGGAGGTCAGGAGATCAAGACCATCCTGGCTAACACCGTGAAACCCCGTCTCCACTAAAAATAGAAACAAATTATCTGGGCGTGGTGGCAGACGCCTGTAGTCCCAGCTACTCGGGAGGCTGAGGCAGGAGAATGGCATGAACCCGGGAGGTGGAGCTTGCAGTGAGCCAAGATCGCACCACTGCACTCCAGCCTGGGTGACAGAGCGAGATTCTGTCTGAAATAAATAAATAAATAAATAAATAAATCCCTCACCTTAGTTTTTTTCTTTTTTTTTCCTATTTATCTTATCTGCTTCTTCACCTTTTTTTTTTCCTATGTTTTCTTGCCTTCTGTTGGATTGAGTATTTTTCTGAGAATATTGTAACTTCTTCTTTGGCTTTTGGCTATAATTCTTTATAGGTTTTTTAATATGCACCTTTGACTGATCATAATTTCACTGTAAATAATATTGCATCTCTTCATATATAATTTAAGAACCTTAGGCTGGGGGCAGTGGCTCATTCCTGTAATCCCAGCACTTTGAGAGGCCGAGGTGGGTAGATCACCTGAGGTCAGGAGTTCGAGACCAGCCTGGCCAGTAAGGTGAAACCTCCATCTCTACTAAAAATACAAAAATTAGCCGGGTGTGGTGGTGTGTGCATGTAATCCCTGCTACTTGGGGGGCTAAGACAGGAGAATCCCTTGAACCTGGGAGGCGGAGATTGTGCCACTGCACTCCAGCCTGGGTGACACAGAAAGACTCCATCTCAAAAAAAAAAAGGAACCTTACAACATTATCTTTTCATGGTCCCCTTCCACTCCATGTATTGCTGTCATACGTTTACTTTAACATTGACTAAATTTTTTCACTACAACATTTTAAAAAAAATTTTACTTGGAAAATGAAAGAGATGAAAATATTATATATCATTTGTATATAGTATTTTAACCAATACTAGCTACTTTATTCTGTTTCAACTCATAATAAATAGTTGTTTATTTTTGCTTTAAACAATCAATTATCTTTTGAAGAAATGTAAAAGTTAAAAAGATGTTTTTAAATATACCTTTAGGGCCAGGTGTAGTGGCTCACACCTGTAATCTCAGCACGTTGGGAGGACAAGTTGGGAGGACAAGGTGGGAGAACTGCTTGATGCCAGGAATTCAAGACCAGCCTGGGCAACAAAGCAAGACCCCATCTCTCCAAAAAAAGAAAGAAAGAAAAAATGAAAATCAAAAAGTTAGCTGAATACAGTGGCACATGCCTGTAGTCCTAGCTACTCAATGGGCTGAGACGGAAGTTAGTCCTTGAACCCAAGAATTTGAGGCTGCAGTGAGAGATGGCTGCATCACTGCACTCCAGCCTGGGTGACAGAACAAGACCCAGTCTCTAAATGATAAAAATGAAAGTGAAAAAAATACATATATACCTGTGTATTTACTTGTTCCAGCACTCTTCATTCCTTTAAGAAGATTCAGTTTCTCATCTAGTGTAATTTTTCTTTTACCTGAAGAACATTTTTATTACAGTGCATATCTGCTGATAAATTTTTCCAGCTTGTATCTGGAAAAAAATACTTTTTTTTCTTCATTTTGGAGATATTTTCTATGAATATAGAATTCTCATTTGACAGAATTTTATTTTATTTTATTGATTTTTTTGGAGACAAGGTGTCTTTCTTGGTCACTCAGGCTGGAGTACAGTGGCACAATCTCGCTCACCGCAACCTCTGCTTCCCTGGCTCAAGTGATCCTCCCACTTTTTGAAGAGGTGGGGTTTGGCCGTGTTGCTGAGGCTGGTCTGGAACTCCTGGGCTCAAGTGATTCACCCACCTCAGCCTCCCAAAGTGCTGGGTTTACAGAAGTGAGCCATACCCCCTGGCCCGACAGAATTTTTTTTCAGCATTTTAAAGATGTCATTGCATGTCTTCTGGATTACTTTTTTTTTTTCTCCTGGTGAGAAGCCTGCGATCATTCTTATCTTTATTTCCTTTGGCTGCTTTTAAGATTTTCTCTTTATCACTGGTTTTCAACAATTTGATTATAATGTGGCTTCATGTGGTTTTCTTTGTGTTTATCAGGCTTAATGTTATTTGAGTTCTGGGATCTGGGTGTACTGTTTTCATCAAATTTGGAAAACTTATAGTCATTATTTTTTAAAATATGATTAGCCCTTTCTTCCAACTCCAGTATTTTAATTATACTGTTTAGACTGTTTAATATTATCCCATGGGTCATTGAGGCTCTGTTCATTATTTTCAATTTTTTTCCTCATGTCAGTTTGCAGTTTTACTGATTGCTCTCTCTAAGTTCATCAATCTTTACTTTTGCAGTTTCTAAACTCCACTAGGCTCATCCCAGCAAAATTTTCATATCAGATATTATCTTTCTCAGCTCTAGAAGTTTCATGTTATTTCTTTTAATATCTTAGTCATATATATTATGTAATAATGTTATATACAGTAATCTTTTTATATCTTTTATGTCTGTCCTCCTTATGTTTATATTTTTATTTAAATCTTTGAGCATATTTATAATTTATTTATTTATTTTTGAGACGGAGTCTCGCTCTGTTGCCCAGGCTGAAGTGCAGTGGCGCAATCTCAGTTCACTACAAGCTCCGTCTCCCAGGTTCATTCCATTCTCCTGCCTCAGCCTCCCGAGTAGCTGGGACTACAGATGCACACTACCAAGTCTGGCTAATTTTTGTTGTATTTTTTAGTAGAGACAGGATTTCACCATGTTAGCCAGGATGGTCTCGATCTCCTGACCTTGTGATCCATCCACCTCAGCCTCCCAAAGTGCTGGGATTACAGGTGTGAGCCACTGCGCCCAGCCTATAATATCTATTTTATTTATTTTTATTTTTATTTTTGAGAGAGTCTTGCTTTGTTGTCCAGGCTGGAGTGCAGTGTCGTGATCTTTACTCACTGCAACCTCTACCTCCTGGGTTCAAGAGATTCTCCTGCCTCAGACTCCTAAGTAGTTGGACTACAGGTGTGCACCACCACTTCCAGCTAATTTTTGTATTTTTAGTGGAGACAGGGTTTCACCATGTTGGCCAGTCTGGTCTTGAACTCCTGACCTCAAGTGATCCACCCACCTTGGCCTCACAAAGTGCTGGGATTACAGGTTTTAGCCACCATGCTTGGCCTTATAATATCTGTTTTAAAGTATCTGCTAAAACCCATCATCTGTATAATTTCTGGACATATTCCTACTGATTGATATATCTCTTGCACATGAGTCTCATTTTCTGCTTATTTGCATGTCTTGTAATTTTGAGTTAAGTTCTGGACATTGCAAATGTTGTATGTGTGCATGTTTTTGTTTTTTAGAGTATTGAATTTTGTTTTGTAGACATCTAAGTTACTTTTGGACCAGTTTGATTCTTTCAAGATCTGTTTTGTAGCCTGGTCAGGATGGTAAGATTAGTCCTACCATGAAGCTATGACCTTTCTGGGGTCCCTGCTGAATTTCTAGGGAGTTCAACAAGGACTTTCTACTATGGCTTGCTGGAATTCAAATACCTCCCAACCCTGTGCGAGCAGTGGGATTTTCTCAGTTTACAGTTCCTCAATCATTCTTTATCAGCCTTGTGGAGTTTCACCCTATGCATACGCAGCTCATTATTCACCATCAGACTTAAAGGTAACCCTTTTAGCAGATTTCTGGAGCTCTTTCTGTGCTCTCTTTTCCTTTTAATTTTCAGTACTTCAAATTTCAGGTGACTTAGCCTCGCCTAAATTTGATATTTGATATCAAGTCTGCTCTTCTTAACTGTCTCCTCACCTCACCAGAAAATGCCTTCAACACACAAAGCTAGAGAGAACATAGAGCTCATCTCATTTTTTCCCCTTCTCTTAGCCCTGCACTGCTTGTTGCCCAATGTATGAAAACAGTTTGATATGGTTTGGCTCTGTGTCTTCACCCAAATCTCATCTTGAATTGTAATCCCCAAAATCCCCACGTGTCAAGGGAGGGACCTGGTGGGAGGTGACTGAATCATGGGGGTGGTTTCCCCCATGATGTTCTCGTGGTAGGGAGTGAGTTCTAATGAGATCTGATGGTTTTATAAAGGGTTCTTCCCCTTTCACTCTCTCATCTCTCTCCTGCCACCATGTGAAGAATGTCCTTGCTTCCCCTTTGCCTTCCACCATGATTGTAAGTTTCCTGAGGCCTCCCCAGCCATGTGGAACTGTAATTCAATTCAACCTCTTTCCTTTATAAATTACCCAGTCTCAGGTATTTCTTTATAGCAGGGTGAAAACAGAATAATACACAATTTTTTTTTATATTTTGTCAAGTTTTCTGGGTTTTTTTATGTTAACGTTTAGAGGAAGATCCAATCCCAGCTACTTTCTAATGACGAAGGACAGATTAATTGCACATTAGAGCAACAATGTTGTTCATTAGAGTGTGGTCTAGATTCTTGTCTGGGGTCAACTTGTCTTGACTATTTACTGGTAAAGTTTCTGTTTCCCCCTGCATGCGGTGCTGCTGTGTTAGCTAGAAACCCAGATTCTACCACATGGAAGTGGGTTCAGTTTGATCTACCTCTGAGAGTTGGAGATAGAGCATAGTGATTTTTGAAGAAAAAATACACAGCAGACTACTCCCTGTGCCCATTATGTTTTCTGTAGCTAAAGGGCCTTGTCCCCAGATGCCTAGACTGTGGTGAACCTTATACTACTAGAGACTCACTCAGGATTTTGGTCGTTATTTCTTAACCCAGGTGGTATCAGTTTAATATTCTTTAAAGTATTTCTGAACATTTATGTATGGTATGCATGAAATATTTCACAGTAAAAATTAAGAGTTTTGCTTACAGTAAAGTTGAAACTTTAGAATTATGAAGTTCACATTTTGTGTTTTAGCATTTGTGAGGTGAACATATTCCTGTGGACATATTGTGATCAGAAAACAGCAAGCAACCAAGCAAACAAACCAAGAAATAAAAACCTACTTGGCAATGTTCTATCAATCCTAAAAACAAGATGTCTGAGGAAAATTATTAATTGTTATGAGGAACCTGATTAACTATATTTCAGTATTGTAGTACTATTAAAAAGTTGGTCAATCCAGGTGAATAAAATGTAGTTTCTACCCTCAAGGACCTACAAGGTATGTATAGTAGTAGAGTCAGGGGAATGGGGACAGATCATAGGCTTAAGGAGATAATTAAGAAATAACAAATAAGAATGGGTGATGGAGAGTCACAGGATATTATTAGAGCACAAAGGGAAAGATTTTTAGGTAGAAATGGCTCATTAACTGACTCTAATAAAGTAAACAAATTATTTAGGCAAAGGGCATGGGTGATGTGATGTGATGTAATGCAGTGTGGGAAAGTTGGGAAGGTCATAAACAGACATAAACAAGGGCAGTAAGACAAGAAATGGCATGGTAGGTGCAGAAACTATTGATGTTCTATTTGTCTGGGGCATAAAGTAAGAGACTGGGATTGCCTGGAAATGAGGCTCAACACTATAAGTAGATTTCATACCATGTTAACAAGCTTGAACTTTACCTACCTTGTAGGGGAATCATTAAAGGACTTTAAGAAAATTGTACTCATAAACACATCTGTGTTTCACATACGGTGGAGCGTGGAGTTAATATGGACAAGAAGAGAGGTTAGAAGAGTCAAAAGATTATTATAGTAATTGAGTTCAGAGATGATGCCTGCCCCTAAACAAAGGTTAACGATAGAAGAGAGGGAGTAATTGACAAATCAATGACACAGATGATATGCCATCAAGGAACTAGAAGAGGTAGCCAGACTAGAGGAAAGGGGTTTGAATGGTTTATGTATATTATTTCATAGGAAAAGGTCTGCAAGTTAAGAGAGATTATACTTTATGGCTCTGGTTTTCTCAATGAAAGTAGTCTGAAAGTAAGTGGAGTATTTCATAAGATGTGTGCAGATTTAGAGTACTAGTTGAGGGAGAGGAGGCTAAGTACAAATCAAAGAATTGTTGGGCGCTGAGGATCCAGCTGAGGTTGGAAAATATGACTTTATTGTGGCAGCATCTAAAAGACTAGGAGATTTCTCACTAGCAGCACTCAATTGTTAGGGTGTAGGGAAGAGGAGATTAAAGCCCTGATTGGGGGTTTTGTTGGACTAAGTTGAGAGGATAAAGTTTCAGAGTTTCTCTTAGTAGTAGTCAAAAGCTTTCTTTAGGTGAGCAAAACCTACTTTTTAAAATGTCTGTCCAGCACTCCTATGACAAGGAGGAAAATTGCATTTATCGGAGTTTCTCTTGGGAAGAACGATGTACACTATTATTTGAAAGAACTATTTCTAGAATAGTTCCCCAAAGGTATGTTGAAGCAATAAATAATATGAAATGATATGCATAGAGGGGGGATTTTGTTTTGATCAACAGAGAGAGGACACAGTACAAAAACAAGAAAAATGGAAGAAAGAGAAGAAGATTGCAGAAGTCTGACTCCTGTACAATATAACTCCTCATCACCACCCCTAAGTATTTGGGCACATACTCATAAATACCTAATAGAAACTAATTTATCATGTAAACTAGACAAGAAACTAATGCAATGGATATTTCATTGCAAGGGATACAGTTGCAAAATACAGATACAGGAACTGGAGGCACAGTGGATCATGAGAATTTAACCTCTCAGGGGTGAACATTGATGATTCACATTGTTTACCTTCATTGGCAGGAAGGCCCGCACTACAGTATCTCAAGAACAAGATTCAAACTCTTCTCTCCATGTCCTCTGACTGCCTATATGCCTTATACATAGGAAGTCTTCAATAGATAAACTCTATTCTGAGGCATCCCCTCAAGGATGTATAAGAGGAAATGAAGAAAAAAGTGACTGGATTTCTGACCTTTCACTGCCTCTGAATAAACAACTCAAAGCACAGCTCAGTACTGTCATTTTTATATAACAAGGGCATGACATTTTCAAACATCAAAGAACTATGATAGCACATGAAAATTTTCTGAGCAAGACTGGGTAACCAAAAACATATGTGCATTCAGGACTTATTGTACCTTCCTGTGGCTGGGCTAAAAAGTAAAACCACTCTAAAAGCAACCATATACCAAAAGCCATAGGTATCTGTTCCTAAAGGTAAATGCTGGCTCCCAGGTCTCTTCTGGCTGATCCAAAAAAGACATTGTCTGGAAACAGCTTGTCAGATTGGTCACTATAATGGCTAATGCTGGATTAATCAATAATCAGGTTAAATTTGTGCTTAGTATGTCAGCAAAGCAGGGCTGCCACATTTTTTCCCCCAATGAAATGCTTCCAAGTAATCACTATAGGAAAACGTATTGGGCAAGGTTTGGAATTCTTTTGATTTGGGATTATATTGGGAGCTGGAGAGATAGAAACCATACTTTTATCAGTAATTATATCTTCAAAAATTACTCTGTGACTTCTGAAGATGGGTATTATTGGCAGACATATTGGTGTTGGTTCTTAAACAAAGAGATACCAAATAAATTGAGACAGTCACTGAAGGGGAAAAAGGAAAATGTCTAAGTTCATTTGATGAAGATGCAGGACAGAAAATATTTTACAATATTGTCTTACCCATTCAGCTATCAAGTCTTAAATAACTCAAACTCTTTAAGCTAACAAGATGTTGACTAATAGAAGTCCTTAGGGAACTGATTTAATGAATAGATAATAATTATTCATAAAATAATCATAATTAGCATATCAATTGTATGTAAATCTACTACTTCTGAAGTATTATACTTGAGGGTGTTGAAGGTGCTTAGAAACACTTCATAGTCTACATTATTTTAAACCTTCTGCTTATAATTAAATTGTACTGTCTGTAAGCAAAGAATTATTTTTGGCAAAGAAAACTTTATTTAAGTCCAGTTCAACCTCAGATATCCTAAACAATCATGAAATCTGAATACTGTAGTTTTAAAAAAGATTTTATTGTAGCTTTTATATTTTCCTCCTCCTCTTCCTCCTTTTCCTCCTCTTCCTTCTTCCTTTAGTAATATAGGGAAGGAAATCCAGAAGATGTGCCTATATTTGACATGAGTAAAAAAGACTCCAAAGATAATTTATAAAATTATAAATTATTAACAGTTTATCTTAAAGTATACCATAATTGCTCATTTTGCATTCCAAAGCACATGTAACATCAGAGTGGTCAGGCTGGTATCTTCTATTTAGCTATAGCCATGTAACCAATGGGGTAGTGTGTTGCTTACTACTGCCAAAACCCAACAAAACTTTTCTATTTTTATGGAAGATATGAGAAGAGGATAGCTTTTGATGAGATGTAAATAAGCTGTGTCTCTGGTTACTATCAAAATGTATTAATCCATTATATTAACCAAGGTAAAGTTATTATAATATTATTAACATTAATATCAGTGGGAAAATATCCTATTGGCCTACTATTCAAGCTTTGAATCAAAGATAGTTTCCAGGCCATACTAAGCATCCTTAAAAAGTAACTAACAAATATCTTGGAACTTAAATATCCTCTATCCTGTCAATATTAAAGAGAAACTCTAAAACATTATACTGGTTTTTCCCTCCTCTTCTGAGATATCAAGAACCTCAAGTGGCCAATTGTTTTATGAAATAATCCTATAGCTTAAAAAAAGTTAAGATCTCATGTGCCTATTTTGAATCTCTACCTAAATATCTCATATACTGATGTATGTATACATGATTGTCCTTCTGCTGCTTAAAATCTTCCAGCACCTACCTATTGCATTGCCTTTAGCATGCAATTTACATTTATTAGCATGGCATATACAGACATTTGAGGGACAGATTTCCTATTCATTGTCCAGTCCTTGCCAAAATTCTTAATGCCGTTATTATCTCTCTATCTATAGGCTCCAAGTATTGCATCCTCTCTCATGACTCCCTGTCTTTGCACACGCTGCTTTCTCTATTGGGAATGCCCTTCCCTGCTGTACCTACTGGCAACCTGACATGTGAATCCACAATCACTGATAAAAGCTGATCACGTGTTCCCAACATTTTTCCAACTCACATTCTGAAAAAATTGCTCAGGGATTCTCTTCTTTGTGCTTCTCCTGGTTATACTGGTACTATGCTGAATTATAATCATTGATTTTATTTTCTCTTTGCCAGAAGTTGCTTTACTTGAGGTTGAGGACTATTGTTATTGTTTCAGCTCTATGACTGTAGGATATCACACAGGGATTGAGACACGGTGGATATTTATTTATTTAAGTTTTTTTGAGACAGAGTTTCGCTCTTGTTGCCCAGGCGGGAGTGCAATGGCAGGATCTCGGCTCATGGCAACCTCTGCCTCCCAGGTTCAAGCAATTCTCCTGCCTCAGGCTTCTGAGTAGCTGGGATTACACGCATGCGCCACCACACCCTGCTAATTTTGTATTTTTAGTAGAGATGTGGTTTCTCCATATTCGTCAGGATGGTCTTAAACTCCTGACCTCAGGTGATCCACCCGCCTCGGCCTCCCAGAGTGCTGGGATTACAGGAGTGAGCCACTGTGACTGGCCCAGACATGGTAGATTTTTAATAAGTATATGTTAAATAACTTAATTTTTAAAAATTTTGAAGAACCACAGTTAATATATTTCCATATCCTTACCAGCCTGGATTATTATACCTGTAATCTCATACTGGCTTTGTTTTTTTTTTAATCTTCCTTAAGTCTCTGCTTAAATGCCACCTTATCAGAATGGCCTTCTCTAAACTCCCCATTAAAAAAAAAAATCACTCGATCCTCACTCTATTACCCTCTTTCTAGCCAGCCTTGCTATCTTTCTATATAACAGTTATCATATCCTGATATATATATATATTTTTTTTTTTCTCCTTGTTTTTTTCTCTGGAAAGTAAGTTCCTTCAGAGCAGTCAGAGTATTTGGTTTCTTATCTGCTGTATCCCTAGTTTTTAAAATAGTGTTTGAAACATAGAAAGTATAAAATTCATTCATTTAACAAATATTTATCGAGAGTCCAGTATTGTTCTAAGTGCTTCTGATACATTGGTGAACAAAGCACTTTGCCTATGTAGTTTACATTGAGTTGCTGGAGTGGAGGAGTGAGGAGGGCAAAAGAAAGATAATAAAAAATAAATATAATAAACAAGGTAATCATGTACTATATTGGAAGACATATGGAAAAAATAAAGTGCAGTGAAGAGGATCAGGTGTACTAAGGAGTCAGATTACACTGTTAAATAGGGTGGTCAAATAAATATTTAGGAATAAATAATATTTATTGAATAAATAAGTATGTATTATATGAATGAATAAATATTTGTTTAATGAATGAATATGTCTCCTATTTGGTCAGCTATTTCATATATATGTATATATTCCCTTATCTAGAACAATGCCTGGCACAAAATAAATAACCAATAAATAATTATGGAACGAATGAATTAATAGACTTCGTTAAATTTTCAGTAGTAATCATCTCTGTATCCTCAGTGCAGCAGTTGAAATAAGTAATTAGATATTACAATAAGTAATTAGACATACAACATTTATATGTATGTAAAATAGCTGACCAAACAGAATATATACTCATACATACATACATAAACTTGAATTAGTTAAATAACTTTGGCTCACTAACAACAACAACATGAATGAAAATTTCGTGAATAGAAACTTACTTTTGTTTGAACTAGATATTTCAGCTAATGTAAAAATAATTTGGAAATCTATATTCTTAAATAAGGTAACCTGATCATAGGACATCTGTGTTGGAAATAAATTTGTACAATTCCTAGTGATGTCATTCCTTTCACTGAAAAAAAGCTGTGCTATGTTTCACTCAGATAGGGCTTTAGAGGAAGAGCCAAATCTCCTAAACTACCAATCTAGTGTTCTTTCCATTGTATCAGAGCAATTCAAATCTAAATTTTCATTTCTGAGTTGACCTACTAGCCTTGTATAAATTCAACATATGTTATGTCTCAAGGTAAAGTCAATTTGTTTTCTGTATTTCAGTCTCCTAAGCTATAAAAAAGGATAAGGAAGAAAAAATTTGCCATCTGCTTTGTGAGCATATCGCTAGAAATAATAATGTTGCTATGTGAACTTCTAACTCCCAACTTTAGCTCATTTATCTTGGATATCTAATTACTTGTTTCATATATTCAAAGATTTTTATTGGGCTGGTTCAGGCACTGTGCTAAGCACTGAGAATACAGAGATGATTACCACTGGATAATTTTTTTTTTTCCGGAGAGGGAGTCTTGCTCTGTCACCCAGGCTGGAGTGCAGTGGCGCGATCTTGGCTCACTGTAAAACTCTGCCTCCCAGATTCAAGCAATTCTCCTGCCTCAGCATCCTGAATAGCTGGGATTACAGGCGCATGCCACCATGCCCAGCTAATTTTTGTATTTTTAGTAGAGACGGGGTTTCACCATGTTGATCAGGCTGGTCTCGAACTCCTGACCTCGTGATCCACCCACCTTGGCCTCCCAAAGTGCTGGGATTACAGGCATGAGCCACCGTACCCGGCCACCACTGGATAATTTAACAAAGCCCACTTATTAATTCATTCCATAATTATTTATTGGCTATTTACTTTGTGCCAGAAATTGTTCTAGATATGGGAAGAGCAGCAAAAAACAGAATATGCAGTCACTGCTCTTATGTAGTTTGCGTTTTAAGAGATGGGAGGTGAGACAAATAATAATCAACTAAACATAGACAATGTAATGTTAGGCTGATTATCCCTAAGAAGAAAACTAAAATACAGAAGGGGATAGAGAGTGATGGGATAGTTATGATTTTAAATATAACCATCAGGAAAGGCCTCTCTGAGGGGGTCACTTCTGAGCAATACTTAAATGAAATAAGAGAGAAAACTGCAAAGATGTGGGAGATGGGCATTCAAGGCAAAAAGTAGAGCCGGAGGCTGATCTGCTTGACAGCATGTTCTAGATATAACAAGGTGGCCTGTATGAGCAGTGTGCTAGAGCCAGCTAGTACTGGCCCGTGAGGACTAATTATGTGCATCTCTTCCCAACTCTGTGTTTATCATATTTGTAGCTTGAAATTGGCCATAGTGGGAGTACTTACATTAAGCAAATCAGCAGACACAATGAAGCAGTGCTTCTCTGCCAAAGAGCCGTTTCTTAAACTTTTGCCGGCACACCAGTGTTTTTGTTCCAGTGCACTGAAGAAGGGGAGATTAGTAAAGGCAAAATCATCTTGTCAGGATTTAGATCTGACTTCTATGAGCCCAATTCACATGGTGGAGTCCTGGTCAAATGATTGTGCTTGTTTCCTTATAAATCCTTATAAACTCCCATACCCCAAAACTTGAAGTAAACTTGATAGTTACTGCTTTTCTTATTTGCAAACAATGTCAAAGAAAAAAGCCTTTCTTCCCTATCCCTGAACTTATGTGCCATTTCTACTTTTCAAAAATGTTTAGCCTCCTCCTTTGATCTGTAACTTTGGTTTTATCGTGTTCACAATACCACCATCTAAACCTGAAAGAACATAAAACAGCCTAGAGAAAGGCTAGGAATCAAAAATACTAATACTTCTCAAAGTGAGTAGGACATAATAATGGTTTCGTAATACCCAAATAGAAAGATATAGTACTTTCGTGCAGCCCTAAAATACTCAGCATCGTAGAACTGCTATCGTAATTTTTTTAGAACTTCTTGTCAGCTATGAGTGTGATGGTAGTGATGGTAAAGCAAGTAATGCATTGCAAAAAATGTCATATGACATTGTTTTCTTTTTTTTTTTTTGAGATGGAGTTTCGCTCTTGTTGCCCATGCTGGAGTGCAATAGTGCCATCTCAGCTCACCGCAACCTCCGCCCTGCCCCAGGTTCAAGCAATTCTCCTGCCTCAGCCTCCCAAGTAGCTGGAACTACAGGTACACACCACCACGCCTGGCTAATTATGTATTTTTAGTAGAGACGGGGTTTCTCCATGTTGGTCAGTCTGGTCTCAAACTCCCGACCTCAGGTGATCTGCCTGCCTTGGCCTCCCAAAGTGCTAGGATTACAGGTGTGAGCCACTGCACCTGGCTTCATTGTTTTCAATTAATTCACAGTGTATGCAATTACAATTAATGTGTAGAGAGAATCTTATTTTTACTTTTTTATATAAGTGATAGATTTCATTGATTAACTCAGATACTTAAATACAGATAAAAAGAGGTTAAAAGCAAAATAAAAGTTTTATTGGTTATGAATCTGGTTGCAAGTCATAGAAATAACTTGACTGGCTTAAAGAAAAGAGAGAGACACACACGGACAGAGACAGAGACAAAGAGAGAGAGAGACTCAAGGGAAAGATTAGCTTTGGATCTTAGGAAATACTGGAACTAGGAACTGGAAAGCCATTGTAGATATAGTCTCTGTCACTTAGTTTTGTTCTCTCTACATCAGCTTCATTCTTTTTTCCCTTCTTTAGATCAGTTATCTCTCCTCTTAGCCCACATTGTAGAAACTGGCTATCCACTATTTCTGAGTTGACGTTACATTTCTAATGAAAAAAGAGGGCCAACAGAGTCTTTTCTCTTATTTCTTAACTTCCGTGTGGAAGAATCTGACTGGCACACTTTGATAAGCGGCCCATTCCTGATCTAATCAGCTATGGCCTAAAAGACTGGGCTCACACAGAACAAATATGGCTGTTGAAAGCCCATCTGTTTGAAGAGGGTCAAGGAATTAGGAAAGAGATTCATACAGAAAAAGGATTTTTTTATGGACTAAGCCGATACCTCGTAAGTGGCCACATCGAAATTTTTTTTTTTTTTTTTTTGAGATGGATTCTCACTCCTCTGTCATCCAGGCTGGAGTGCAGTGGCACTATCTTGGCTCACTGCAACCTCTGCCTCCCGGGTTCAAGTGATTCTCCTGCCTCAGCCTCCCGAGTAGCTGGGACTACAGGCGCCCGCCACCAGGCCCGGCTAATTTTTGTATCTTTAGTTGAGATGGGATTTTGCCATGTTGGCCAGGCTGGTCTCTAACTCATGAGCTTATGATCCGCCCGCCGCGGCCTCCCAAAGTGCTGGGATTACAGGCGTGAGCCACCGCACCCAGCCCAAAATCTTTCACAGTAAATTCTAGAGTAGAAACAGACTTAAAAAAGATCACCAAATCCAATCCACTGCCCAGTACAGTGATCTGTCCTGCCATCTCTCTAACAGATGCATTCAGCCTCTGCTTGAACACACATAATAGTAGAGAGCTGACTAAAGCATGAGGCAGCTCATTCCAGTATGAAGCAGTTTTATTGTTAGAAGGTTCATTCTTAAGCTGAGCTGAAATTTGCCTCTCTATAACTTTAATCCATTCTGCTTTGTAGAACAATAAAAACATGCCTAGTTCCTCTTTTTTGTATGTCAGCCCTTTATTTATTACAAGATAACATGTTCTTCACTAGTCTTCCCCATGGTAAACATCTCCAACTCCTTCAAACATTCTTTCTTGGACATGGATCCCCTATCCTTCACTATTTTAGCAGTCAGTTGGCTTTCATTTGTCTAAAAAAAAATTTGTTCTCTGAATGTATAAAGCAGTAAAGGAATACCTTGGCTCATATCAGAGTCAGTCTTCAGAAAGTGGGTGATTCAGCAGCTCAGTTACTCATTCATCCTTCAACACATGTTTAGAGAGTGTCTACTACGTCCCAGGCATTTGTACTAGGCACTTGAGAGACATCAAGGACAAAACAAACTGTCGTTCTAGAACTTGTATTCCAGAGGAGGGAGACAGATAGTAAACAATAAATGTAAAACTAAATAAATTATATAGCATATTACCATATAATATATGCTTTGAAAAAAGAATAGAGCAAGAAAAGGGGGTTTAAGATTGTCAGGGAGGAATAGCAATTGGCTGTATTAAATAGTGTGACCACGATATTTCTCATTGAGAAGGGAAGACTTGAATAAAGACCTATGAATGTGGGAGTTGTCTAGGCAAAGAGGGAAGCAGGGCAGTTTGAGGGAAGAGCAGAGAAAGAGCTTAAACAAAGGTTCTAAGGTAAGACAGTGTCAGGCATGCTTTAGGAATAGCAAAATAGGCCAGTGTATTGGTGAGCAATGAGTGAAGAGATGTTAGAGATGAGGTCATAGAGATGACGGGGCTTATAAACCTTTGTAAGGACCTTGGCTTTTGCTTAGAATGCAAGCAGGTTCCATATCTAGATTCTGAGCAGAGCAGTAACATGATTTTATAATTTTAAATGAATCTCCCTGGTTTTCTCCTATTAAGAATAGATTGTTGGGGCTGGGCGCGGTGGCTCACACCTGTAATCCCAGCACTTTGGGAGGTCGAGGCGGGCAGATTACCTGAGGTCAGGAGTTCGAGACCAGCCTGACCAGTATGGTGAAACCCTGTCTCTACTAAAAATACAAAAATTAGCCAGGCGTGGTTGTGTGTGCCTGTAGTCCCAGCTACTCGGGAGGCTGAGACAGGAGAATTGCTTGAACCTGGGTGGCAGAGGTTGCAGTGAGCTGAGATGGAGCCATTGTACTCCAGCCTGGGTGACAGAGTGAGACTCCATCTCAGGAAAAAAAAAAAAGAATAGATTGTTGGGACACAAGAGTTTCCTTCCTCTTTCTGTAGGCTTTATGTTTAGGTAAGCAACTTTTGCGTTTTAGTGTGGCTGCCAACATTGATCAGAGCTATATGCTTCCATTGGATACATTTGTGTTATCATCACACATACATTTCATGCTTGTTGACTCACCTTTGAACCAACTCCTGGATTCAAGGAAATGCTATGCTTTGATTGGTTTTAGGTCTGAATTACCTGAAACTATCACCAGGAAAGGAGAATGATTACTTTGATTGGTTTACCTCTGGAGCTGGGAAAGGGGTCAAACCTACCCAACTTGCATGGCTACTCCACAACAAGAGCACAGAATGAACACTAAGCTACCGATCAGAATGCCCTCCCTTATCATCCTAGTATAAGGAGAATTGTTTTCTTCATATTTATTCTTACTCAACATAATTTGTGGGCAAAATTGAGTAGAACACGATGAGACTATGACAACCTTAACTGAATGCTTACTTCATTAACAAAACCTAAGATTGTAATTGCTTTGGGTCAATGCCTCATGATTTCTTTACAGGGACTGTTATCAAGCCACACATCTCCTTATATGGAAAGTATTTATGCAGCTTGCTTTTTTTTTTTTTAATACTGTGAATACATACAATTTTTATTTGTCAATTAGAAATAAAAACAAAAGACTAAAGCAATAGGGCCATTGTGTACATCAATGGACTTTCTAGTTGGCAAGTTCCCATTTAAGTTAAGTGAACAGGAGAATTTCTAAAAACCAGAATTAGGAATGGGTGTATAAATCCACAGTAGTATACTGTCTCTCTCTATAAGTTCATTCAATTTTTTAAAGAAAAATTAATCCTTTTTGTTGTTCAGAGCTGTAACATCCTTCTCTAACCACCTTTATAAAACAGTACCCTCACCCAGCGACTATTTCTTTAACCTGTTATATTTCCTTCAAAACTCTTACCATCCTCAAAAACATTTAATTTGTCTACTTGCTCATAGTTTATCTCTTCCACTACAATGTAAGTTTTGTGAGAGAAAGGCTTTTTTACTTCTGGTTTACTGTTGTATCCTTAGTGCCTGGAACAGTATCTGGCGTACAGTAAGTGCTCAGTAAGTACTGACTGAATTAATGAATTAATTATATAATGGATAAATGAATAGAAATGCTATGGCTAGACCACTACAATCTCAAGAAATAATTCATATACATTATAAAAATGGGAAATAACAAAAGTTGTTTGATGTTATGGAAAATTGAGCATACTTACTAGTTTGCAATTTTTTGTGTGTGTTGTTTTTGTTTTTAACTTTTAAGTTCAGGGTTACAAGTGCAGATTTGTTACATAGGTAAACTTGCATCATTGGGGTTTGTTGTATAGATTATGTCATTACCCAGGTATTAAGCTTGGTACCCATTAGTTATTTTTCCTGACCCTCTCCCTCCTCCCACCCTCCACTCTCCTAAAGGCCCTAGTGTGTGTTGTTCCTCTCTATGTGTTCATATTTTCATTATTTAGCTCCCACTTATAAGTGAGAACATGCAGTATTTGGTTTTCTGTTCCTATGTTAGTTTGCTAAGGATAATTTCCTCCCCCTGCAAAGGACGTGATCTCATTCTTTTTCATGGCTGTATAGTGTTCTACAGTATATATGTACCACATTGTCTTTATCCGGTCTATAGTTGATGGGCATTTAGGTTGACTCTATGTCTTTGCTTTTATGAAGAGAGTAGCTCGATTTTTTAACCTATGAGAGACTTTCCATTTATATTCATTTTATATTCCTTTCAATATCATTTGGAATGCTGATTCTATCTTCCCAATATATTTGTCATTTGCAAATTTGGTAAACATACGTCACTGTAAATATTAAATAAGAACAAAATCATATTCCCTTCCCCTTCCTCAAAATGATACTTTATTTCTATAATTGAAAATGGGTATAGGGGTGAGGGGATCATAGTCTGAAGTGACAATCCTTGAACAGAGACATCTGTTACAAAACAATTAAGAGACAACCAAATTGGAACTATTTTCAGCTTCATTTCTTAGTTCTTCATTGCTACTGTAAAGAATTAAAACTACTTTGAAAACTTTAGAAATATTAAAAGATTTTGAAAAGGCTGATGGCTTTCATTTGTTGTAGTTCCTTTCTTTGTGACGTTTTCAAAGAATTTAGTTTTGAAGTGTTATTCATTCCAGGTATGAGGTTAAAACATGTATGTTGACTTAAACTACAGTTTTTTGTTTGTTTGTTTGTTTGTTTTTTCACTCTTGTTGCCCGGGCAGCTGGAGTGCAATGGCACAATCTTGGTTCACTGCAACCTTCACCTCCTGGGTTCAAGTGATTCTCCTGCCTCAGCCTCCCTAGTAGCTGGGATTACAGGTGCCCACCACCACACCCAGCTAATTTTTTGTATTTTTAGTAGAGACAGGGTTTCACTATGTTGGTCAGGCTGGTCTAGAACTCCTGACCTCAGGTGATCCACCTGCTTCAGCCATCCAAAGTGCTGGGATTACAGGCGTGAGCCACCATGCCTGGCTCAACTACAGTATTTTTATTTGCAAATCACTTTCTTTGTTTTCATCTATGTGGCTGTTTGCATAAGGCCACATACATTATGATGTGGATTGTATAAGATTTTTGTATTTCATAGTTGATAATATTACAAAGCAAAATGATGTTGTTTCCTGGGTATTTAGCATTTTTTCCCATCTTTTACTATTCTGTGTATTTTTCTTTACTTTTCTCATTTTCTCCCCTAGTTTAGGTCTTTATGTATGATCATTCTAAAAACTGCTGATCCACTCAAACTATTGTGTTCTCTTCCAAGAATAATCTTTATTATGTGCGCAATATAGGAAGGACAGCCAGCTATGCTGAGCTTTTTTCAGTAAACATGGAGATAAGCAGTCACTATTGCTGAATACAAAAGAGGCAATGTTTGTGCTAAAACGGTCCTTTGCTCACTGCCATCTAATTCCTTCTCTTTTTTAATGTAAAATTTATTTTTATCAAAGTAACACATGCCCATAGCTTAAAAAGTAAATAGTTTTGGAAGATTTACATGACATTTTTAAACCAAAAGTATCTGAGACAGGTTTCAATCAATTTAGAAGTTTATTTTGCCAAGGATAAGGACATGTCTATGACAGCCTCAGGAGGTTCTGAGAACATGTGCCCAATGTGGTCAGGCTACAGCTTGTTTTTATATGTTTTAGGGAGACATAAGATATCAATTAATACATGTTCTATCTGAAAAGGCAGGATAATTCAAAGCAGGGGCTTCCAGGTCATAGGTGGATTCAAAGATTTGGTGATTGGCAATTAGTTGAAAGAGTTTATCTAAAGACCTGGAATCAATAGAAGGGAGGGTCTGGTTTAAGATAAGGGCTTGTGGAAACCAAAGTTTTTATTATGCAGATGAAGCTTCCAGGTAGCAGGTTTTAGAGAGAATAGATTGTGTTAAGATCTCTGTTTTGATGTTAATGCTGGTCAGCTCCTGAAGACAGGATTCTGAAGACAGGAGGGTATAGTGAGGCCACCCATTCCCATCAGGGCCTGAACACGTGTTTTGGGTTAACTTTGGAATGCCATTGGCCAAGAGGAGGAGTCCATTCAGTTGGAGGGGAGGGGCTTCAAATTTTATTTTTGGCTTACAACAAAAACAAAATTCAAAAGTATACTCTTCTTTTTATTTCTCATCCTGTGGTGCGATGCCCCAGAAGCATAAGAGATAGAAGAGTATACTTTTCAATTCTCCCTAATCATCGTGATATTTACCTCCATACTTCTGAAAAATATGTTTGTGTGCCATTTTCTCACCTATTAATTCTAGACATATTCTGCTGACTTCCTACTTTTGAAGATGAGAGTTTATAACCCTACCACATACACATATGTGCACATCCGTATTTCTCTTCCTTCTCTGACAAAATTGTTTCACAATCTTAATTTTATTAGTATTCAGTGCTTATATTATTGTGAAGATGTAATTACTTTCACAAACCGAGCCACAGAGTGTGCTATAATTATATTTCTTTACAACTTTTTCCTTACCCTGTAGTTAATTTAAAACATATTTCATGTGTTTTTGATTAATGCTTTCCCTAAGCTTACCAATAGCACCACAAACCTGTACTAAACATATACAGACATATTATATTTTATCTATAAAAGTTCCATATTTTTCTCAGATACGTCTTTCCTTGAGCCTTCTGGTCTCATATTCCATTGTAACCATAGGACTGCTGCATAGCTGTTGAAGCTTCTTTCACCAACATACAATTTTCTTCTCTTCTATAGTGGATCTCTGGTTTCCTGGGTACAACATCTTCTTTCCTGGTGCATTAGCCTCATTGGGAAATACATCTTCCAGAAAATTCCAAATAAAAAAAATCCATAGAAAACAAATTTTTGACATTTGGTGTATCTAGATTTATGTTTATTCCATTTTCATATGTTACTGATAGTTTGGAAAGGAATACTTTTTCTCAGTACTGCACTCAGAAGCTTTGTGCTAGTCTGCCTACAAGGGGTGTTGACAAGTGAAAAAAGTATCTTAGTACAGTTTCACCTTGAATTGCTTTAAAATGAGGCTGAGCATATTTGTTTTTACTTTCCTGTAATATGTCATAATCTATTCATATGCTTTACCAATTTTTCTATTTGACTGTTGGCTTTTGATTTTGTATTTGTAGGAACTCCTTATGTATTAAAGAAATCAGTACGCTTCCCTTTTTAAATGGTAGGAATTGCTAATATTTTACACCAAGGCTCACGCTCATGTAGGCAACTTGACAGTCTCTTTTAAAATAAAAAATATACTCTACTCTATCTAGTAATTTTTATTTATAGTATTTATCCAGAAGACATATTCACACTTGCAGGGAACATCTCAGAAACAAGGATATTCATTGCAGAATTGTGTGTAAATAGCAAGAATGGAGGCAATCTAAATGTTCCTCAATATGATCTAGATAAATAAATCATGATTTACTTATTCAGTGGAATATTATGCAGGTGTATATAAAGAATGAGGCAGCTCTAAACATACTGATAAGGAAAGATCTCTAAGATGTAAATTTTTAAAGTCGAAAAAATGTTTCAGAATAGTGTGCATAATAGTTACCACTTTTGAATCAAAAGAAAAACTATATATATATAATCAATATATGTCTTTGAACATCTCTGAAAAAATATGTAATTAACTGGTAAGATGGTTTGCCTCTGGAACATGGAACTCAGTAGCTGGAGAGCAGGAGTAAAAAGTATATGCTTTTTATCTTTATGACACCCCCTCCAAGTAGACATAGTATAAAGTTTACAAGTACAGTACTGAGAAAAAGCATTGCTTTCCAAACTATCAATAACATGTGAAAATAGAATAAACATATCTCTGAATACACAATATATTAAAAAAAAGTGTTTCCTATGGATTTTTTTCTCTGGAACCTTCTGGAAGGTGTATTTCCTGATGAGGGAATATATCAGGAAAGAAGATATGGGATCTAGGAAACCAGAGATCCAATATAGGAGAGAATTACATATTGGTGAAAGAAGCCCCAAGCCAATAGCTATACAGCAGCTTTATTGATATATAATTTACATCCTCTGAAATTTATCAGTATTAAGTGTTTAATTCAATGAATTTTAATATATTTACAGAGTTGTACCATCATCACCACAATCTAATTTTAAAACATTTCCATCATCCTGAAGCGAAATTTGTGCCCATTTACAGTTATTCCCCATTCCCACTCCCAGCTCTAGGTGACCACTTTACTTTCTATCTCTACATATTTGTTTTTTCTGGAAATGTTGTATGTGATTTCATGTCTTTTGAATTTGTTCTCCTCTATTTTGTGTTTTGATCACTTATTCAAAAGTAAAATACTATCTAATTGATCTTATTATGATTCCTTCTTCTCAAATGAAGAAACTACAGGCTGAAAAATGTAAATGATGTCTTTGGTAGTATAAGCAGTCAAGAGGTGGGGCTAAGAATAAAATCAGAACATTATGAACCAAATCCTACTTCCTATTTTTATTGCATAAATATTAGGCCTCATTTTAGCTTAGCATACACTGAAATTTAATCATTGTTCACATAAGTGTAAATCTCTGTAAAAGGTCAAAACATTTACCATTCAGATGGGAAAGAACAAATCATTATACTGCAAAAAGATATGGGTATGAAAATAATACTGTACAGGCACTTCACTTTTTATTGCCTTATTTTGTTAGGAATCCATAAACACTAATAGAATCTTGTCATATATTACAAAGGTTGGCCATCTGCTAATGTTGAGATTAATAATCTATCCCATGGTTAACTCATAAAATCATACAAATTTAGATTTGGATAGAGGTTTAGAAATTTATCTATGACATTTTCCCAGATTTATTCCTGTAGATACCAGCCAATCTAATTACTTTAGTGACACGTTTAACCTTTGTGAAAAATCTCTATATAGATTTATTTTTATGAATATTGTTGGCTGTTAAAATCTAAGCTACAAATTTGTGGCCTGTTCCTTCTCAAACGAATAATAGTAATAACAAAAATAATAAGCATGATGATAACACTCTTTGCTAAGTATTTACTGTAAGTAAGTAGTTACTGAGCTAGGGAGGTGCCTTAGATACGTTAAGGTATTTAATTCACAGTCATCTAGGATGAAGGCCCTATTTTTTTCTTTTTTTCTTTTCTTATGAGATGGAGCCTCTCTCTGTCGCCAGGCTGGAGTGCAGTGGCGCGATCTTGGCTAACTGCAACCTCCGACTCCCTGGTTCAAGCGATTCTCCTGCCTCAGCCTCCTGAGTAGCTGGGACTATAGGCACGTTTCACCACGCCCGGCTAATTTTTGTATATTCAGTAGAGGTGGGGTTTCAACATGTTGGCCAGGATGGTCTCAATCTCCTGACCTCGTGATCTGCCCGCCTCGGTCTCCCAAAGCGCTGGGATTACAGACCTAAGTCACCGTGCCAGGTCCAAAGGCCCTATTTTTAATCCTATATTCAGCAAAGGAAAGTTTCCTGGAGAGGTTAATGAACATGCCTAATGTCACACAGGTATTAAACGAAAGAGCTCAAATCTGAATCCAGGCTTTAATCAATATGCTTTTGTGTACACTGTTGCATTAGCCTCATTCCTGACTCATGCTATGCTTTGTCCTCTTGTTTTATTCTTATTTCACTTCATGTCTTAATCTAGTACTTTATGTGCCTTGACTTGTAAATTACCTTGCATTTTTCCAAGAAACTGTTAGCTTAAATAAGCAAGCAGATTAACTATTGTATGTTTGTGGTCTTGTACCGTATTCGAAAAAAAAATAAAGAAAAATGTGTTTTTGTGAACACTGTAATTTCTTCTGCTGCCTAAGGACAAGCTTCCCTCCTCATAGAATGGTTTGTCTTTGCCAAGATAAAGTGAGAACCAATCAATCAATATCGATCGAGCGAATGTGGGGAATACCAAGAATTAATACCATAGTTCCCGCCCTTTGGTAGCTTGCACATTCAATTGTTGAGTGAAAACACATGTATGAAACCACAAATATGTGAAAAGTGATTATTAGTGGCACTAATAACAGATCCTTTATTTTAAGGTTTAAGGTGAAGTGGTTATTGTAGGAAATTTGATATGTGGTTTTTTTTTTTTTTTTTTTTTTTGAGACAGAGTTTCGCTCTTGTTGCCCAGGCTGGAGTGCAATGGCGCGATCTTGACTCACCGCAACCTCGGCCTCCCAGGTTTAAGCGATTCTCCTGCCTCAGCCTCCCGAGTAGCTGGGATTACAGACATGCACCACCACCCCGGCTAATTTTGTATTTTTAGAAGAGACGGGGTTTCTCCATGTTGGTCAGGCTGGTCTTGAACTCCCGACCTCAGGTGATCTGCTTGCCTCGGCCTCCCAAAATGCTGGGATTACAGGCGTGAGCCACCGTGCCCGGCCTTTTTTTTTTTTTTTTTTAACGATTGACAATCCCATAGGCAAATCAAGAATTTGTAAAAATTTGGGTGCTTTGAAGAGTTCTATAGCAAAGTGTTTGGACAAGATGCTCTTTAAGGGTCTATCCAATTTAAAAGTAATATTATTTATGGCCGGGCACGGTGGCTCACGCCTGTAATCCCAACACTTTGGGAGGCTGAGGAGGGCAGATCACCTGAGGTCAGGAGTTCGAGACCAACCTGACCAACATGGAGAAACCCTGTCTCTACTAAAAATACAAAGTTAGCTGGGCGTGGTGGCGCGTGCCTGTAATCCCAGCTACTCGGGAGGCTGAGGCAGGAGAATCGCTTGAACCAGGGAGGCCGAGGTTGCAGTGAGCCGAGATTGCGCCATTGCACTTCAGCCTGGGCAACAAGAGCGAGACTGGGTCTCAAAAAAAAAAATTCTAAAAATTATACACAATATCATTTAGTATATGAAATTCCAATTAGCAAAGGATAAGAGCTTTGCCTGAAGGAGACACAGAAAAACCCAGAGTGAGTATTGAGAGTAACTGGAGGGACACAGGGAGTATTTGTCATTTTTCAGAATTAGAAGTGCATTTGTCCTTGTGTGTGTTGGGGGTGGAGGTGAAGGGTGCAGGAGAAGGATGGGTACTGGCAAAGTCGCTACTCACTGAGCAAATTTTCAAGCGGGTGCCTTTCCCAATTTTGTTGAGCCTCTGATAAAAACACGTTGAAGTAAAATGTCCACTATAGTATCAAGTAAAAATTGAGACCGTAAGATATAGCAAAGGGAGTCAATTTGCATAGCCCATTTTAATGCTTCTACTTTCTCTAACCAATCTGAAGACTCAGTTGTTCCCACTCCCATCTCCACTTTCCCTTTCATGCCTCCAAATGTTAAACTCCAACTATTGTAGCATTTTAACACATGGCTCCATTTGTGTCTATTTCCACCTAGCGTATTGTGAATATTTTCTACAGGCGCACACTAATCACCAACTGAAGTGAGAATCACATTTTCCTCCACTTGGCTTGGTACTACAGGTCTTGAAGCAAAAGCCTGTATTTCAGTCTGAGGAGTTCTACTTGCTTGAGAAAGTACTGTTGTTACCAAGTGGTCTCGTTCAGTGGGGTAAAGATTTTTGTTTTAGAGGCTGGAGCCGGTCTGCAAATAAAAGATGGCTTAGGAGAAAAGCTATCCAATGTTTTTTCCTTGGCCCGCATAGGTTGACGGTAGCCAAGCTGGTACTTGGCTTGGAGTGAAAAGTGGAGGCTGCCTGGGGGCGTCCTGCAGTCAGGGCAGAGAGAGTGTGGAGAGCTGTTGGGAGGTGTCCCACCCACGCCCCCACAAGGAGGGGAAACCAGGTCGCCGCGGTCTGCAGCAGAACGCCAGGTTCCAGAGGACGGCAGGCGGAGGGCGGAGGGAGAAAGGCGCGCGAAGGCGCGGAGGAGGCGTCGGCTGCGGCGCCCACTCCCCCTAGTCCCAGCGCCCTGCCGCTCGCCTCCCGCTGCCGGGCGCCGGCGCGCTCGGCTCTTTCCGCCGCCGCCGCTGCCGCGCGGTGGCCCGTGCGCCTCGGCACCTTCGGCAATTTCCGTCGGGCCCCAGCCGCCATTTTCTCGCCGCTTGTGTGGCTCGCTGGCTGCGTGGCTCGGTTCTTGTGAGCGAAGCTTTGTCCGGTTCGGCAATGGACGGGTATGTAATCGGGCCGGCGAGAAGGTGTGTGTGAGAGAGGAGTTGGACCGTCCTTCGGCCCGGTCCCGGGCCGGGGAGAAACCCTCCCGCGGCCCCTCCCAGGGCTGGGCTGCCGTTACCCAACCCCCGCCCCATCGCACACACCCCTCCCTTTGCTTCCCCCGGCGGGCTTTGGTCGAGAAAATGAGAAGAAAGCGGGCTTGGAGGCTGGGGAGGCATAGGGGCGATGGCGGGGGTGAGGATCCCGGAGTGGGAGCGGGCACCGGCTTGGCGGCGGGGGATGGGGTGGGAACCCCATAACGTCTCCCCGGTCTGTCCCTGCCCCCTCTAGGAGCCATTTCGATCCGTACCTTGGGACCCGACCCTTGGGTTAGCGGTGCCTGTGAGAGCGAGTGGGATGGGCAGAGACAGGCCTTTGGATTGGGGGAGCCTCTAGGGGAAGAGGAGAGAGGCACCCCATGTGGACCCCAGCCATGAGCAACCTCTCCGGCCTCGCCCGGCCCTCCGTGGTCGGGAGAGATGCCGGTGGCGGGAGCTCCGGGGAAAGCCTAGTGGGAGCCGCTGGGGAAGGGGGGAGGGCGTGCGGCGGCGGGAGGAAGGGGGAGGGCAGATGTCATACTCCTTTGTTTTCATTTGAGTCTGGTAGTGGGGGCGGGAGGGAGGAAAAAATGCCTTTTTGTGGGGACTGAAAACATTCAAGGCTTGGCAAAAGGGCCCAGAAATTAAATCATCTAAAAAACGAAGTGTTTGAAGCCGACATCAGTCACATGGGCAAAGGCCAACAGCAATGGCAGAAACAAGAGCAGATAGTCAACAAAGGGCTATCTCTTTAGCTACTTTGGTCAGTTTCTGGAAAAACGACTATAAAAACCCAGAACCATGCTGCATCTTTGCGAACCTGAGTCAAGACGGAATGCTGAGTGAGGTGAGAGGCAAGACTGTGAAATGGTAGGGACCGATGTCTCGCTCATATGCTTCACACCTGAAAAGACTCAGTAATTTAACTCAATGTTAGAAAGGGGGCACGCTTAAGGTCAAAAATACAGCAGTATGCAGCTCTTTTGGGAGTGTAAACATAGTATCATTTAACAAGTACATTTATTAAAATCAGTGAGTATTTGAAGAATCAACAATTTGGTTAAGCGCCTAGAGTTTGGTGTGTTTTAAAAGGTACTAAAAACAAGATTTTATAAAAGTTAACACAGTCTCACAGAATTCAAATCATCCTAGATGTTACCTAAAGATTATTTTCCAGATGAAACAAATCCAGAGAAGTTCAGTATTCCCCCCAGATCAACACGGAAATTGATGTCAAAACTTGCACTAGAATTCATGTTTCCTGATTCCTGGTTCCTGTGGAGACTACTAAAGAGTTTAAGCGTTAAATTATTAATCTCAGTATACTGGCATTGTAGAAATGGCATAGTGTTTTGGGTTTTGTTCTTTTTGGCTATTGAATGTGTTGTTAAAAAATACCACAAGTTGTCTCACATTTGAAAGTTACTTTTAGAAAACCAGGTTGGTAACAGTACAGGTAAGTCACGGATCATCTGTGGTATTTTTTATCCCCATCTGTGTGTGAGTGGCTGGAAGATTTATGAATGATGGACTATCCTAAAAAGTTTTAGAGCCAAAGAGTGAGTGATTAGAAGAATAACAGGAGGTTGAAACTACTTATTTTTTCTTTGCAGAATCGTCACTGAGGTTGCAGTTGGCGTGAAGGTAGGAAAATACTATGTTTGAAACTGGGATTGTTGGATCTATTATCATAATTACTGGAAAATTTTAGCTTTTGCTTTTGAAAACTATAACGTAGCTAACAAAACCCAAGTGTAAAATGTTTCCTTTCATTTGTAAAGTTGGACCATATAAACAGTTTGTAATCACCATAAGTTTTTCTAGAACTGTCAGTCTGTAAGAATAACCTTTTAAAGTAAGTATGAATGATCAAGAAATTGAAAATGCTTTCACACATGGCTTCTTGTAATATAAAACGATACCCCAATTTTCTGAGGGGAAATAATGATTTTAAATGGATGGTAAGTGGTTTGACCTATATCTTATAATTTTGTTAATCTAAGTTTTTTGTTTTTTATTACTTTTTGTCATGAAAATGAATATATTTTGGTTAATAATAAAGCACATTAGAAATGAATTACACTGATCCTTAAAAAGGAAGTTGTTGAGGCAGTTAGCTTCAAATTTGAATTAGAAGTTAAGAGCTGGTTTGTCTATTAAAGAAAGTCTTTATGGTAGAGATCCTTTGGAATCCTTCCTTTTTGGCTAAGAAAACTACTCATCGTTTAAACTTTAGTTCTAATGCTTAACATTTTCTTGAGTACTTGCAACTTTTAATGTCATGATGTATTGTAATTTTTTTTTGTTTTTTGTTTTTTTGAGACGGAGCCTCACTCTGTTGCCCAGGCTGGATGCAGTGGCACGATCTTGGCCCACTGCAACCTCTGCCTCCTGGGTTCAAGCAGTTCTCCTGCCTCAGCCTCCTGAGTAGCTGGGATTACAGGTGCGCACCACCACGCCCAGCTAATTTGTATTTTTAGTAGAAATGGCATTTCACCCTGTTGGTCAGGCTGGTCTCAAACTCCTGACCTCATGATCTGCCTGCCTCTTATGATCTGCCTGCCTTGACCTCCCAAAGTGCTGGGATTACAAGTGTGAGCCACCGTGCCCGGCCTGTATTGTCATTTTTCATTTGCAAGCCTCTCTGTCCTGAGAGGCTTTCTGCTTAGTCCAGTGATGCTGACTGTTCAAACATTTTTTCGAATTCTTAAAATTGTATCCATAATGGGGGGAGGGGGAAGGGATAGCATTGGGAGATATAGGGGGGAGGGGGGAGGGATAGCTTTAGGAGATATACCTAATGCTAAATGACAAGTTAATGGGTGCAGCACACCAACATGGCACATGTATACATATGTAACAAACCTGCACGTTGTACTCATGTACCCTAAAACTTAAAGTATAATAATGATAATAATAATTGTATCCATAATGATGTGGTGTTCTTTCAAATACTTTTGGGGATGGTACTGTGTTTTCTTGCTTATTTTCTGTCCTCTTTCCTATAGTGAAATAGATATTTGCCCATTCTTTAGGCTTGTTTCTTGAGTTCATTTTGTACAGACTAAAGGAGGAATAATACGCTCTTTTTGGTGATAGTATTTTCCAAGTTGAGTTAGTCATGGGATTTAAAATCAGGAATAGCTAAAGATTGCAAAATGGTAGATGTTGTAGGTTCCATCCAAACAGATTTCTGTAAATTTTGTAAAAGAATAAATGATACAAGTGTGAGTTGTCGACTGTTAGTGGAAAAGGAGAGGAGTTTGTAGACAAGGCTCAGAATGAGTAGACAGGAAAAAACTGAGGAGACTTGGAATAGGATGTCCAGGTGTAATGTATTGGTTACACCAGTTTTTTTTTTTTTTTTTTGAGACAGAGTCTCACTCTTCGCCCAGGTGGAGTGCAGTGGCACGATCCTGGCTCACTACAAGCTCCGCCTTCCGGGTTCACTCCATTCTTCTGCCTCAGCCTCCCGAGTAGCTGGGACTACAGGCGCCCACCACCACGCCCGGCTAATTTTTTGTATTTTTAGTAGAGACGGGGTTTCACCGTGTTAGCCAGGATGGTCTTGATCTCCTGACCTTGTGGTTACACCAGTTTTTTGTTAGTTGTTTGAGGAGAACACTTTAGAAGATGATAAAAAAAAATTGCAAATCGTTTTTAAAAATCCATTGTTTAATATAAAAGTCTGAATAATTAAAGTTAATTTAATTTTCTGGAATAATGGTTAAGAATTTTTGCTTTGGTGTCAGGCCTGTGTACAAGTAATTAAGTGTTCTTTAAAACTTAAAACATTTGTGAATTTGCTTTAAAGACACTGATGCATGTGCATATTTAAAAAAATTCAGGCCGGGCGCGGTGGGTCACACCTGTAATCCCAGCACTTTGGGAGGCCGAGGCGGGCGGATCACGAGTTCAGGAGAGACCATCCTGGCTAACACGGTGAAACCCTGTCTTTACTAAAAATACAAAAAATTAGCCGGGTGTGGTGACGGGTGCCTGTAGTCCCAGCTACTCGGGAGGCTGAGGCAGGAGAATGGCATGAACCTGCGAGGCAGAGGTTGCAGTAAGCGGAGATTGCACCACTGCACTCCAGCCTGGGCGACAGAGACAGACTCTATCTCAAAAAAAAAAAAAAAAAAAAAAAAAAAAAAAAAAAAATTCAAACTGCTTCACAGCTTTTTTTGCTATTTCTTAGGTGTAGGTAATTGTGTTAAAATTTTGTGCCTTTTTTCTTGAAATTATTAATTTATATATTAGCACACATATAAACATCTTTATTTACGTGATTGAATTCAAACTATTGTTTTGGCCCACATCTTGCCTTTTTTTTTTTTTTTTGAGTCGGAGTCTCCCTCTGTCATCAGGCTGGAGTGCAGTGGCATGATCTCGGCTTACTGCAACCTCTGCCTCCTGGGTTCAGGCAATTCTCCTGCCTCAGCCTCCCTAGTAGCTGGGACTACAGGCACACGCCGCCATGCCAGACTAATTTTTTTTTTTTTTTCGAGACGGAGTCTCGCCCGGTCTCCCAGGCTGGAGTGCAGTGTCGCGATCTCTGCTCACTGCAACCTCTGCCTCCTGGGTTCACGCCATTCTCCTGTCTCAGCCTCCCAAGTAGCTGGGACTACAGGCGCCTGCCACCACGCCTGGCTTCTTTTTTGTATATTCAGTAGAGACAGAGTTTCACCATGTTAGCCAGGATAGTCTCTATCTCCTGACCTCGTGATCTGCCTGCCTCGGCCTCCCAAAGTGCTGGGATTACAAGCGTGAGCCACCGCGCCTAGCCAAAATGCCAGACTAATTTTTGTATTTTTAGTAGAGACAGGGTTTCACCATTTTGGCCAGGATGGTCTTGATCTCTTGACTCCATCATCCGCCCGCCTTGACTTCCCAAAGTGTTGGGATTACAGGCTTGAGCCACCGCGTCCGGCCCATATCTTGCCTTTAAAAAAAATAGCTTTATTGAGATATAATTTGACATAAAATAAACTACCCATATTAAATATACAATGTTTTATCTCATATATACCCTTGTGAAACCACTGCAATCAAGATAATGAACATCTATCACTCCCTACAGTATCATCTTGCGCCTTTATAGTCCCTCCTTTCTGCTTTTCTTTCCCCAAGGAACCACTGATCTGCTTTCTGTCACTATAGATTAGTTCACACTTTTTAGAATTTTAGATAAATGTAATCATATGGTATGTACATTTTTGGTCTGGGTTAGTCCACTCAGAATAATTATTTTGAAATTCACCCATGTTGTCTTTCAATAGTCCATTCTGTTTTATTGCTTAGTAATAGTACACTTTATGGCTATACAGCAATTTGTTAATCCATTCAAGTCTTGAGGGACATTTGTATTGTTTTCCGTTTTGAGCTAATAAAAATATAGTTGTGAACATTACTGTACAAGTCTTTGTATGGACATATGCTTTCATTTCTCTTGGTGGGGCAGGCTATGATTGGAAAGTCTGGATCATGTGATAGGCATATGTTTAACTTTTTAAGGAACTGCAAACTTTTTAAAAGTAGTTGTACCATCTTACATTGCCATCAGCATGGTATGAAATTTCCAGTCCTTCCACATCCTCTTTAATGCCTGTTATCTTCTGTTTTTGATTATAGATATTGTAGTGTATATGAAGTGATATTTCACTGTGGATTTAATTTGCATTCCTCTAATATCTATGATGTTGGACATCTTTTCGTGTGCTTTTTGTCAGCTGTTATCTTTGGTGAAGTGTCTGTTTATATCTTTAGCCCAATTTTTTATTTGGTTATTTATTTTAAATTGAGTTTTGAGAGGTCTTCATTGTGGTTACAAGTCCTTTATCAGCCATAAGGCCTGCAAATATTTTCTGCCACTCATCTTCTTATTCTCGCATTGTCTTTTGAAGAGCAACAGTTATTAAATCTGATGGACTCCAGTTTACCAATTTTTTCTTTTATGGATTGTAGTTTTGGGGTCTTGTCTGAGCCATTTTTGCCTGACTGTAAGCCATGAAGATTTTTTTCCTTTTGTTTGTTAATAATAATAATAATTTTTTTTTAGAGACAGGACCTGACTCTGTCACCCCAGCTGGAGTGCAGTGGTGCAATCGTAGCTCATGATAACCTTGAACTCCTGGACACAAGGGCTCCTGCTTCAGCCTCCCAAGTAGCTAGGACTATAGGCACACAGCACCATGCCCAGCTAACTTTTAAATTTTTTATAGACCCGGGGTCTCTCTGTTTTGCCCAGGCTGGTGTTGAACTCCTGGCCTCAAGCGATCTTTCTGCCTCAGCCTTCCAAAGTGTTGGGATTAAAGGCATGAGCCACTACACTTGGCCACCTTTGTTTTCTAATAGAAGTTTTATACTTTGGTTTAACATTTGGGTCTCTTTCATTTTGACTTAATATTTTGAATATGGTACAAAGTGTGGGTCAGAAGTATTTGGTTTTGCATGGGGATATCCAGTGTTTACAGCATCATTTGTTGAAAAGACTATCCTTTCTCCATTCACTTGGCTTTGCAGCTTCATGAAAAATCACTTATGTCTGTATGTGTGATTTTATGTCTGTACTCTTTTTTGTATTGACCCATTTTCCTTTATCTAGATGCTGGAAACATACTGTCTTAATCATTGTAGCTTTATATTGAGTCTTGAAACCACTTACTTAGTCTTGGCCCTCCAACTCTGTTCTTTTTCAAAGTTGTTTTTAACTCTTCTGAGTCCTTTGTATTTTCATATGAGTCAGTTCTTAGAAAAACTGCTTGGATTTTACTGGATTTGACTTGAATCTGTAGAGCAAATTTGGGGAAAATTGGCATCATGACTACAATTGATGTCTCTATTAGGTCTTTAATTTCTTTAAGCATTTTTTTTTTTTTTTTCAGTGCACACGTTTTGTGCATTGTTTGATTAGATTTACCCATAAGTATTTTATGTATTTTGAAGTACTGTAAATGATATTTTAAAAACTTAATTTCCAATTGTTTGCTAGTGTATAGAAATGATTATGGCATATTGCTCATATGTTCTGAACCTTTGCTAAACTCATTTAGTAGATCTAATAGTTTTTTTTATATATTTCATCAGATTTGCTTGAGAGGGAGTCTCAGTCACCCAGGCTGGAGTGCAGTGACGTGATCTTGGCTCACTGCAACCTGCACCTCCTGGGTCAAGCAATTCTCCTGCCTCAGCCTCATAAGTAGCTGGGACTGCAGGTGCACACCACCACGCCCAGCTAATTTTTGCATTTTCAGTTGAGGCAGGGTTTCACCATGTTGGCCAGGCTGGTCTGGAACTCCTGACCTCAAGTGATACACTTACCTAGGCCTCCCAAAGTGTTAAGATTACAGGCGTGAGCCACCACCCCCAGCCTATGCCATTAAATTTTCTACATAGATAATTTATACCCAATTGTTTTTAAATAGTTTTCTTTCTTTTCTATCTGGATGCCATTTTTTGTCTCCTTTTTTTGTCTGTGGTATCCAGTACAATGTTTAATAGAAGTGTTGAGAGAATATCTTTTCCTTGCTCCTGATATTAGGGTGAGAACTCTAAAATTTCTTCCTTAACTGACACAGTTCACTAGTGAAGCCATGTGGGGCCAGATGTTTGTTTTGTCGGGAGGTTTTAAACTACATATTCAACTTATTTAATAGATATAGGGCTATTCAGTTTGTTTAGTTCTTCTTGAGTGAACTTTGGTAATTTGTATCTTCTGTAGAACTAGTCCATTTCCTTTAAGTTGCTGAATGTATTTGTGTAGAGTTGTTCATGATACTACTATTTTTTTTTTTTTTTTTTTTTTGAGACGGAGCCTTGCTCTGTCGCCCGGGCTGGAGTGCAGTGGCACCATCTCGGCTCAATGCAACCTCCACGTCCCGGGTTCACGCGGTTCTCCTGCCTCAGCATCCCAAGTAGCTGGGATCACAGGCACACACCACCACACCTGGCTAATTTTTTGTATTTTTAGTAGAGACGGGGTTTCACTATGTTGGCCAGGTTGGTCTCGAACTTGTGATCTGCCCGCCCTGCCTCACAAAGTGCTGGGATTACAGGCGTGAGCCACTGCGCCCAGCCATGATACTACATTTTTACACTTTTGGTATCTGTTGAATCCTTAGTGATGTCAGCTTTCTCATTCCCAGTAGGGATAATTTGTGTCATCTTTTTTCCTTGTCTGTCTGGATTGAAGTTTATTGATTTTATTAATCTCCAAAATACCAGCTTTTGGTTTGAGTTTTCTCTGCTGTTTTTCTGTTTTCTATTTTATTGATTTCTGCTATTTTTATTTTGTTTTGCTTTGTGGTTAGTTTGATCTTCATTTTCTACTTAGTTAACATTGAAGTTAATGTCATTAACTTAGTACTTTTACTTATATAGGGATTTATTGCTGTATGTTTCCCTTTTAAGTACCGCTTTCACGGCATTCCTCAAATTTTGACACGTATATTTTTATTCACTTCAAAATACTTTTTTAAATATTTCTTTGACCCATGGGTTATTGGAAAGTATGTTATTTATGTTATTTAATTTCCAAATATTTGGAGTTTTCCATATATCTTTCTGTTATGTATTCATAATTTTAGTTTTATTCTGGCCAGAGAACATATTTTCTAAGACTTGGATCTTTGTAAACATGGAGACTTGTTTTGTGGTCCAAATATATATGTTGTTAAGTATTCACTGAATACTCTGATGATTCTCTGCAGATTTGGAGAAATCTCTGTGCAGTTCTTTTCTCTGGTACTTTGACCTGTATGTAAACTCTAGTTACTTTGGTCTTCTCAGGCTCTTGGCTCTTTCACAATTAAAGTAGTCTTTGAGGCTCAGCCTGCTTTCCTCATAGCTATGCTATGGCCTGGACACTCAAGGGAGTATAAGCTGAGGCAAACATGGACTCATTTGTTTTCTAACTTTCAGGGATTATTGTCCATCATTGCCTGATGTCCAGTGTCTTGAAAAGCAATTATTCTGTATAGTTGCTTGATTGTTTGGTGTTGTTTCGGCGAGGCAAATCTGGGTCATGTTATTCTGTCTTGACTGGAAGTAGAAGTCCACTGTTTTTTTTTAATTACATAATATGGTCTCAGCAGTTGTAGATCTACCTCATTCTTTGTTAATGACAATGGAGGATACTCGTGTGGCTGCACCACAGTGTAGTTACTGGACATACCACAATTTAGTTTCCTACATCGATGGACATTTAGGTTTGATTCCAGTTTGTTGTTATAACATGTGGACATATTTAGAATAGAAGTAAAAATGCTGTGTCAAATGAAATTTATACTTAAAGAGTTACTGAAAACCACAATGCCAGAACACTCATTTGTTTTTCACAAGTGTGTATGGGAGTGCCTATTTTTCCATACCCTTGGCAATTCTAGGTTTTATCAAAATTTAAGAATACTAGCTTATTTTACACTAAAAATTATTTTGTAATTTATATTTTGAAATGGGTGAGGTTTTTCAGATTTGGTTATTTATATTTCATTTTCTGTGAACTGCCTGTTTGTGTACTGGACCTAGTTAATTCAAATATATATATTTGAATTAAGTGATTTTATTGTTTAAAGTCCATTTGATGTGTAAACATTTTTAGCCTCAGCTTCTTCACCTTTTAAATTAGGATTTTAATAGTTCCACAAACTAGGTCTAATGTTAATGTATTTACATTTAGAATATCCAAGTTTTTATGGCTTTAGGATACAAATGAAATCTCATTTTCCATTATTTTATAAATTTGCTGTATTCAGCTTTTCTTGATTTTAGACTTTTTTTTGTTAGCTCAGTGAGACTATTAAGAAAGAATATTTGTGAGTTTGTAATAGGAGATTTGTTGCATTTCTTTAAAATGGCTTTTTATATTCTTCGTAATTTGTAATATCAGGGGTGTCATTTCTGTACTCTTAACCATTTTGCCAATGTGAAATCCTTGCAAAGTAATCGGCCTATTACTTGGGAAGACAGAATTGTATGAAATGACTGTAGAATAATTCAGGATGGTCCCCAATACGGTAAAATGTTAACTTTTTAGATGTAGATTTTAAGTATGGTGAAATTTGTAGCAGTGTTCTTTAGTAAGTTAACTATTAATATATCAAGACCTATAACTGGACAACTAATAAATAACCTGTTTCTTAAAATGTTAGCTTTTTCTAAATATTCTGAAAGTACTGGTTGTAAATTGCTGAACTCACAATTTAAATTATGATATGACTATTGAATTCATCCTCATTGGCTTGCATAGAAAATTACAATCAAATAATGCTAAATGTAACTTTTTTGGTAATAGTTGTGTGTAACTGGTTGTTCATTATAGATGTGTTATTCAAAACTTTGGGTTTTTAGGTTTTGACTTTTCTTAAAATACTTTTCTTAAATGCTACTTAATGCTTTCTCTAGGGTATTTTTATTAGAATTTCAATTAACAGATATTTTGATGTCTGCGAAATGACAGTACTATGTTAGAAATTGATGTATTGGCTCCTTGAGGGCAGTGACCCTATTTGTTATGTTTGTTCCTCAATCATTAATAGTACACATATTAAATAGTACATATACACTTAATATTTAATAACTCTTAGAAGTGTCATAGGCTTTAATATGCTCATACTCTAATGAGCCATTTATCAATAAAAAGATAAATAACAAGACTATGTCTTTTAGGACTTTAGTTAGAGAAATAAGGACTCAAGGTTTTAATTAAGTGCTATATGGCTACAGTAGGAAAGATTGGTTTGGGTTGGTAGGCTCAGAATAGTGGTCTGTGACCTAGCTAGATTGGGAGATAGGAGAAAGAGTGGAGAGCAACAGGCGTTGAGAGAAGGACGTAACCAAAGTTGTGTCTATAGGTTGGCATAAATTTACAGCCATTGATCAGTGAGTTGAATAGTTTGGCCTTTATGGCTAACAGCTTGTATATGGATATGAGAGAAAAGATAGAATGGCAGATAGGTTATATAGAAGACCTCAATTACAGGTAGTGAAATTTGTACTTCATCTGGTAGGCATTATTCTATATACCTGTAATTTTCCACATAAAAGTAGCTCATTACTCTGCTTTCTTTCTTTCTTTTTTTTTTTTTTTGCTATAGCAAATTTATTGTAACAACACAAAGTATTATCTTATAGTTTTGTAGGTGAGAAATCTGACACAGGTGGGCTAAAATCAAGGTGTTAGCAGGGCTGTGTTCCTTTTTGCAGGATCTGGGGGGAATTTGTTTCCTTGACATAACTCGGCTGTTAGCTTCATCTTCAAAGAAGGAATGGCAAAGAAGACTCTGTCTCACATCACATCACTCCGACACATTCTTGTGCCTCCGTTTCCCACTTACAGGGACCTTGTGATTACAATGGGCCCAACTACATAATAGAGGATAAATGTTTAAATTACAAATTAATGAAGTGGCAACTGAAACAAGTTTTAACCTATTCTCAAGAAAGGGCTTTGCTGGAATGGTGGCTCACACCTGTAATCCCAGAACTTAGGGAGGCTGAGGCAGGCAGATCACTTGAGCCCAGGAGTTTGAGACCAGCCTGGTCCTCATAGCAAGACCCCATCTCTACAAAAACTTTTAAAAATTAGATAGATCTGGTGGCATGGGCCTGTAGTCCCAGCTACTTGGGAGGCTGAGACAAGAGGATCACCTGAGCCCAGGCGGCAGTGAGCTATGATTGTATCACTACACTCCAGCCTGGGCGAGAGGAGATCCAGTCTCAAAAAAAAAGGAAAAGGGCTTTCCTGAGGGTCAAATGAAGTACAGTTGACCCTTGAACAACATGATTTTGAATTACACAGGTCCACTTATGCATAGATCCACTTATACAGAATTTTCTTCTCCCTCTTCCACCCAAGACAGAAAGACCAACTCGTCCTCTTCCTCCTTAGCCTACTCAGCGTGAAGACAGTCAGGATGAAGACCTTTATTATGACTGATCTCCAAAAAGATTGGCTTCAGTATTTCATGGAGTGCTATGAATTAGAATCCTGAGTCTCTATATTGTTAATTATTTTAGTCTCTTGGTCTACGTGTGTTCCTAAACTGTAGTAGCTTTCTTAATTTAGTTCTAGGCATACTACATTAGGGGATAAGGTGGTTAAGTGATATTTTCACTTTAAAAGTAATAAGGTGTCACAGAAAGTTATCACGAGATTTTTTTGAGCAGTACTTCTTTTTTAAAACTATTATAATGAATTTTAGACACAATAGTATCATGAACCATTGTGTATCTATCATTCAGTCCCCAAAACCATTAGTAACCCATAGCTAAAATGATGATATCCACACTCTGCTTTTCCACTTCTGTTATTTTGAGATAAATTTCAGATATTCATATTGTTTTATCTGTAAAGGCTTCAGTGTATATCTTTAAAGAATAGGGACTCTCCTCTCCTTTTTAAAATATAATCAAAAGACTGTTAGGACACACACACAAAGTTACCTCATATTATAAAATGTCAAATTTGTATTAAAATTTCTAATTGTCTCATAAAAGTCATAGTATTTTTATAGGGTTTTTTTTTTTAGTGGGGGAAGGAGTCACGATAAAATAAGATCAGCAAATTTAACAGGTCGTTATTACCTCTTAAATATCTTTTAATGTACAAGCTCTCCGTTCCTGTTTTTTGTTTTTTTTTTAAGTTGCATTTCATTTGTTGAAGAAAACTGGTTATTGGTCTTACACAGTTGCCTATAGACTACATTTACTGATTGCGTTATGATTTTGTAATTTAGTATGTTTTCCATATTTCCAGTAAATTGGTAGTTAGATCTAGAGACTTGCTCAGGGTCTCTATTTTTTTGGTAATATTTTTAAGTGGTGGGTTTTTATTTCTGTTAGACATGGTTTCTGACTTTTCGTGTATGTCATGTTTTTCCCAGGAACATTTCTTATACTTTACCTTGTTTGTGCTAGGCATAGTCTGTGCTCAATAATTGTCTCCTTTTTTTTTCTTTTTTTTTTTTTTTTTTTCCTGCTTTTTGAGAGACAAGAGTCTTGCCCTGTTGCCCAGGCTGGAGTGCAGTGGCCCAATCTCAGCTCAGTGCAACCTCTGCCTCCCGGATTCAAGCGATTCTCCTGCCTCAGCTTCCCAAGTAGCTGGAACTACAGGCGCCTGCCACTACACCTGGCTAATTTTTGTGTTTTTAGTAGGGATGGGGTTTCACCACGTTGGCCAGGCTGACTTGGAACTCCTGACCTCAAGTGATCTGCCCACCTTGGCTTCCCAAAGTGCTGGGATTATAGGCATGAGCCACTGTGCCTGGCCAATAAGTGTCTCTTAATGAGTATTCTTAAAGGATATCTAAAAAGAAATGTAACTTAAAATTCACATAATAGTAATACTATACAGTATTAACATTTAATGTAAGTTGGAACTATTGATGGTGGACAAGAATGTTTTCTTGTCAAGAACATACGATTTAGAATGAAAAGATGAGGGTTTGACTTTTATAGCATTGAACAGGTTAACCTCTGAGCTTCAGTTTTATACATTTTTAAATGGTTTCAGTTGTACCTACTTCCAAAATTATTTTGAATGTTAGATGAGATGAGGAAAAGACTTATGCTGAAAGGATGAGAATGGTTGTTGTTGTAGTTCTTTAATCTGTAAATCTACATTTGGAAGGAACACTTTTATGGAAATCAAATACAGTAAATTAATTTCTAAGAGGTCCTGGAGTTCAGGTTAAAAATAGCCTCAGACAGCACTAAATATCTTTATTAGTGAACAAAAAAATAAAAATAACTTAGAATTTAGCACAGAGAAGCAAAGAGATGAAAATAGGAGAAGCGTTAAAAATGTGTTGGAAAGGAAGAGAAGTTCTAACAAACATCTAATTAGCGTTCCAGAAATTAAAGATTGCAGAAAGGCAAAATTTGAAATGCTAAAGGCTGATAATTTTTCAGAATTGGTGAGCTATATGAGTTCTTAGATTTAGGAGGCACAAGAAAACCTGGACACATAACAGTAAAAGAGCAGAGCACCAAAGACATAGAGATCTTTAAAGCAGCCAGAGAAAATCAGATTCCCTAAAGAATAAGAACTAGAAAGTCCTAATATGCTTCATCAGCATGGGCATCCAGAAGATAGTGGAATAATATTTTCAATGTGTTGAGTGAAAATAGCTGCCCACCTGTTATTTTATAGCCAGCCAAATTATCATATAAGGAGAAGAACAAAATAAAGACACTTTTTGAAACACGTCATTCTGCCTCCAAAAAAGCAATTTAGGAAATGTATCAACAGACCCACTGAAGGAATTTCTGGAGTTTGTACTTCAGGAAGAAAGCCAATGACACCAGAAAGGAAGTCTGATATAGAAGTGAGGCTAATCAAGAAATTGGTAGGTCTGTGAGTAAATCTAATTACTGACCATATAAGAATGTAATAGCAGTGATTGATAAGGGGTTTAAAAATAGAATTAAAAATATTAAATCATAACAATATGTGAGAGAGTGGTAGAGACACTGGAGTTTGAGTTCTGATGATCTAGTATTGATTGGAGCTGTGTTGTCAGTTACAGTAGCTACTAGTCATTTGTTACTGAGCACTTGACATGTATGTAGTTTAAGTTGATCTTCTACTTAATTGAAAAATACACATTTCTGAGCCTTAGTCTGAAAGAAGAATGTAAAATATCCCAAGTTTTCATATTGGTTACATGTACAGCGGATAATATTTTGGTATTTTGGGTTAAATGAAATACATTATGTGTGTTGCCTTTTCCTCTTTTTTCCTTTCCTTTTTTTAAGATAGGGTCTTGCTCTGTCCACCAGGCTGGAGTGCCGTGGCATGATCATGGCAGCCTCAACCTCCTGGGCTCCAGTGACCCTCCCACCTCAGCCTCCCAAGTAGCTGGGACTACAGTTGTGTGCCACCACACCTGGCTAATTTTTGAGTTTTTTTTTGTAGAGACAGCGTCTCGCTGTATCGCTTAGGCTGGTCTCAAACTCCTGGGCTCAAGTGATCCTCCTGCTTTAGCCTTGCAAAGTGCTGGGATTACAGGACTGAGTCTGGCCACCTTTTTCTTTCTTTCTTTTTTTTTTAGACGGAGTCTCCCTTTGTTGCCCAGGCTGGAGTACAGTGGCTCTATCTCTGCTTCCTGCAAGCTCTGCCTCCTGGGTTCACGCCATTCTCCTGCCTCAGCCTCCCGAGTAGCTGGGACTACAGGCGCCTGCCACCACACCCGGCTAATTTTTTGTATTTTTAGTAGAGATGGGTTTTACCATGGTCTCGATCTCCTGACCTCCTGATCTGCCCACCCTGGCCTCCCAAAGTGCTGGGATTACAGGCGTGAGCCACTGCGACCGGCCCACTTTTTCTTTTTACTTTTAAAAATGTGGCTAATAGAAATTTATGAGATTATATTTATGGTTCATACTACGTTTCTTTTGGACAGTGCCAGAGTGAATCAGATAAGCTTGCATTTTAAAATCCTAAGGGTAAATGCAATAGAGATAGAACGCAAATAATTGGGGAGGGGGGTTGACTGAAATTAAAGATGTATAATCCAAAAGAAGGCAAAAAAAAAGGAAAGACACAAAGTGAGCTTATATGTTAATAGCGTGGAAAGGTTCTATGAAGGGTTGTTTAGAGCCTTTAAGGGCAAAATTTTCTTGTCTGGTTGCAGGAAAGAGTGGCATTGTTTTTGTTCACTTTTAAAGCTACAAAAACAAGTAATGATGAGGAAAATTGGGACATGTTGAGGAAGTAAGTAATTTTTTGGAATGTAGGTTGAGTTAGAGTAGTAGAAGACAAAATTTAAAAAGTAGTTTTTGACAGTAATATGGAGAGCTTTGAGTGCAAAGGATTTGCAGTGAGGACCTTTGAAAATTGAACCTGCTTTCTCCTATCAGTATTTATGTTTAAATAAACTTGATTCTTTGTGAGTATTGTTATATATGTTTTCATAACTACTGTTGTAGTAACGTTTCTTTTTTTTTACTAGCTTGCTTTCATGCCACGCTGTTGATTAAATATTTATGGGCCATTTTAAGGCTTCTAATCTTCATTTGTGATGAACTTTTGAGGAAGAGTTAGGTTTTGTAAGTGTTGAACTCCAATAAACACAGTTCCACTTTCCTTAACTTCTCAGAAAGATACTTTGCTATTTGATACAGATAGTTGTCTAGGCAAGCTATTAGCAGGGTTTCAGGTAAGACATATGTGTTTGCTATTTGTTTTAAGCACTCTTCCCTCATTTATTCAAATTGTAGCAAACATCTACTACACCCATTTCCAGTTCTTTGTCTTAATAGTTCAACTATTATAAAAAGGAGTGGTATATATATATATAAACTCTTGCTTGGCTTTGGTTTGATTGAATTAATAAGGTGAGTTTTTTTTGTTTGTTTGTTTTGAGATGGAGTCTCGCTCTGTTGCCCAGGCTGGAGTGCAGTGGTGGGATCTCGGCTCACTGCAGGCCATTCTCCTGCCTCAGCCTCCCGAGTAGCTGGGACTGCAGGTGCCTGCCACCACACCTGGCTAATTTTTTGTATTTTTAGTAGAGATGGGGTTTCACCGTGTTAGCCAGGATGGTCTAGATCTCCTGACCTTGTGATCCGCCCGCCTCGGAAATACTTTGCATTGTTGGATTGATTGGGTTTGAGCCCCTGTTGTACTTAAGTGATTATGAACAAGTCTTTTATAATCTGAATTTCCCTTTCCTAGTTTGTAATATTGAGGATAATAATTTCTAACTTGCATGATTGTTGTGAAGATTAAATAAGACAATGATATTGGTAGGAGCTCTTTATAATCTTTCTCTCTTATGTACAATTCAAATATATGTCGGTTTAAATACCAAAATACCACTTTAAAAAATCTGGGCTGAAATGGACACTTCTAATGTAGGAGTAGTGCTTTAGAAAATAATGCTTTGTTTCGTATTCTTTTCCTAGTATTTTATGTCTAGTAACTCATAAGGAAAAAATGATCAGATAAGTATATTTTTTAGATGCTGATTACAGCATTATTTAAATAGTAGAAATAACAACTGTTCAGTGATAAGACAATGAATAAATTCTGTTCATAAACATTACAAATGTTTTTTAAATATTTTTCATATGTGTGAAAAGTAGGATTAAAAATAACTTTGACAAATGCATACAATTTATATGTGTCCCCAAAAGCTGGAGGGCAGTGTACCAAAATAGAGTAGTTTTCTCCAGGTTGATGGGATTAGTTTTTTGTAATTCTTTATATATTTTCTCTATATTCCACATTTTAAGTATTTTATGATAAAGTTATTAATATTGATAAAGTTATTAATGTTGCTTAATTGATTAAACCCTGATATTTTCTTGTTTCTTTAAAAAACGTTGCATAACTTGATATAAATCTTTTTAATTGTACAAAAAAACACATAAAATTTACTATCTTAACCATTTTTAAGTGTACACTTAAATTGTTTAATTATTCTTATACGTACTTAATAATATTACATTGCAAAACCCATCTCCAGAACTTTTTGGAGAACTGAAACTCTATACTGATTTTAAAACTCCCTCTTTTGTCCTTCTGCTGGTAACCAGCATTCTATTTTCTGTGTCTATGAATTTGACTACTTTAAATACCTCACATAAGTGGAATTATACAGTATAGGTTAAGCATCCCTAATCTGAAAATCCAAAGTCTGAATGCTACAAAATCTGAAACTGGTGTGTGTTTTTTTTTTTTTTTTTTTTTTTTTTGAGACGGAGTCTTACTCTGTCGCCCAGGCTGGAGTGCAGTGGCGCGATCTCTGCTCACTGCAAGCTCCACCACCCGGGTTCACGCCATCTTCCTGAGTAGCTGGGACTACAGGCGCCCGCCACCACGCCCGGCTAATTTTTTGTATATATATATATATTTTTTAGTAGAGACGGGGTTTCACTGTAGCCAGGATGGACTCTTATCTCCCGACCTCGTGATCCGCCTGCCTCGGCCTCCCAAAGTGCTGGGATTACAGGCCTGAGCCACCGCGCCTGGCCAATCTGAAACTTTTTGAGCACTTACTTGATGCTCAAAGGAAGTGCTTAGTGGAGCATTTTGGATTTTAGATTTTCAGATTAGGAATGCTCAGGTTGTGTTTGTCCTTTTGTGACTGGCTTATATTCACTTAATATAATGTCCTCAGGGTCCATCCATTTTGTAGCATGTGACAAGATTTCCTCCCTTTTTAAGGCTACATAGCATTCCATTGTGGTACACAAAAGTTCATTTGAAGCCCCCTGTGTCATAACTCAGACTTCCATAACAAAATACCATAGACTGAGTGACTTAAAAAACAGAGATTCGTTTTCTCACAGTTCTGGAAACTGGGAAGTCCAAGATCAAGGTACCAGCAAGGCAACTTTCCTTCTGAGGCCACTTCTCTTGAAGTGAGGCCACCATTTTACTTTGTGTGCCTCACATGACCTTTTCTTTGTGAGCACACTTTGGGGGAGTGGGTGGCAGAAGCTCTCTGGTATTTCTTCTCATAAAGGCATTAATCCCATCATGAAGGCCTTACTCTCATGATCTCATGAAATCCTCCAGTTAACTCCTAAAGGCCCTGTTTCAAAATTGCATCACATTTGGGGTTAGGACTTCAGCATGTGATTTTTGGGGAAACATAAGCATTGAGTTGATAATACCCTGCATATAGTTGACCCATACTTCTCCACTCCAGGTAATTACTATACTAAATTTGATGTTTACCATTCCCATAAATTTCTCATTTACTACATGTTTATGTATTTTTATCTTAAGCAATATATGGTTTTGTTTTGCATGTTTAAACTATAGATGTACTATCATGCTGTATGTATTCTGTAATTTGCTTTTCTTGTTCAGTGTTATTTTTGTTAAGTTTATATATATATATATTTTCATTGCCATATAGTATATGATATATGAATATATCATCTTGACAAATGAGTTAATATTTGACGAGATTGATTTGTCAAATATTTTAAATTTTTTTCCATTACAAACTGCTACTGTAAGCATTAATATGCATATTCTAACGTGTTAATATTAGAGTTTCTCATAGATTGTGTCTTTTCAAATCGATTGAATATTAACATATTGCTTTCATAGGTAATTATATTAATTATACTGTTAGCGCTGCATGTAGATTCTTGTTTCTATACATTCTTTGAAAATCGGCATTGTTGGACTTTTTAATTTTGCTGATCAAATGTACATGGGAAGGATATCTTGTGGTTTTAATTTGCATTCCCTATTAATGCAAAAAAAAAAAAACATTGATTCCTGGGAGTTTTTATATACTGTGCAGACTAATTGTTTTGTTATTTTTTTTGGTTTGTTTGTTTTGTTTTGTTTCATTTTTGTTTTTGTTTTGAGAGACAGAGTCTCACTGTGTCATCCAGGCTGGAGTGCAGTGGCTCGGTCACAGTCACTGCAGTCTTGACATCCCAGGCTCTAGCAATTCTCTCACCTTTGTTTCCTGAGTAGCTGGGACTACAGGAATACACCACTATGCCCAGCTAATTTTTCAATTTTTTTGTAGAGATGGAGTCTCACTGTATTACCCAGGTTTGTTGCGAACTCCCAGGCTCAAGCAGTTCTCCCGCATTGGCCTCCTAAAGTGCTGAGATTACAGGCGTGAGTCGCTGTGCCTGGCCTGTTTTGTTAGTTACATGTCCTACAGATAACTCTCTCCTCTCTCTGACCTGTTTTTTTTACACTGATGAATAGTTGTAAATTTTAATGGGACATTTATGTTTTTCTTTTAAAAAAACATTTAACCTAAGGCCTTACGTATAGGCTTGTGTATTTTATTTTGAAAGTTTTAAAATTTTGATTTTCACATTTATGGCGTTAATCTACCTGGAATTTATTCTTTGTGTAGCATATGTTACAGGTTTAATTATTTTTTCTATATGGATAGCAAGCTTAGTATGTACTTGATTGAATAGCTCAGCTTTTCTCCAATGATCTGCTTTCTCAGCTCTTCAGGTTTCCGTATATTCACAGAACCATTTCTGTGCTATGTCTTGTAGCAGTACAACAGTGTCTTAATTACTTATGGCATCAGCATTAAGTTTTGGAATCTTGTACAGTGAGTGTCAAAACTTTGTTTTTCAAAATTGTCTTGGTGTTTTCTTCACTGCATTTATTTTAAGATCATTTGGCTAAGTTCTGTGAAGGCTCTTTGGGTCTTATTTATACTTGCCTTAAATTTAGTAGTTAATTGGGAGAACATTATAGCTGCATTATCAAAATAAAATGGCAATTTTTTTTGAGCTGAAAGGCAGAGAACTATAACATTTCTTTGAAGAATTTTCCACTTTCTTCTTCATGGTATTTTCCCTAAGAGACATGCTTAATGCAGAAAATATATTAAAAGGATTTTAAACAGCTTATATGTAAGGGATGAGGGAACAGGGATACTTGGACTAATATTTCAATATTTCTAAAATTATTGGTTTATTGAGTACGTTCCTAGAAAACTGTTTTATTGAAAGCTTCAAATTTCTCAGAATTGTATAGCATTTTTGAATTCTCTCTTTTATTACTAATATCAAGCACCTATGTTTTCTCCTATTTCTTGATTTGTCTTGTCACAGAATTTATTTTACTGGTCTTTTCAAAGAACCAACCTTTTTACTTGTTTTCTTTTTTGTTGGGGGCAGTGGAGGGATTCACTTTAATTTGATCCTGAACTCCTTTATTTTCTTTTAAAATGCATTCAAGGTTAAAGGTAATCAGCTGATAGCTTTGGCTTTTTTTTTTTTTTTTTACTTTTAGAGTTCTCTTTTTATTGTAAACTTCATTTAAAGGTTTTAAGCTACACAAAAGTAGAGGGAATGGTATATAATACACTTTTTTCTGTTGGATAATATTAATGCAAATCTCAGATCATTTCATATAATCTGCAGATATATCAGAATGTGTGTCTCTCTATTAAATGTGACATTGGTACCATTATAAAGTTTAAAATAATTTCTTAATGTCGTCTAATCTCCAGTATTCAGAATACTTTCTTTTCATTATTTTATTTTTCTTGCCTTTTCTTTTTTGTTGTTGTTAGATAAAGTGAGTCATCTGTACAATTTCCACTTTCTGGCTGGGCGTGGTGGCTCACGCCTGTAATCCCAGCACTTCGGGAGGCTGAGGCGGGCAGATCACGAGGTCAGGAGATCAAGACCATTTTGGCTAACACAGTGAAAACCTGTCTCTACTAAAAATACGAAAAAATTAGCCAGGCGTGGTGGGGGGCACCTGTAGTCCCAGCTACTCGGGAGGCTGAGGCAGGAGAATGGTGTGAACCCGGGAGGCGGAGCTTGCAGTGGCGCCACTGGACTCCAGCCTGGGTGACAGAGCAAGACTCCGTCTTAAAAAAAAAAAAAAAATTCCACTTTCTGGATTCTGCTGATTGTACCGCTGTGTTGTCATTTCATATGTTCTTCATGTAAACAAGTTTACCTGAAATACAGGGGTTTGATCAGACTCTGGTGTAATTTTTACCAAGAATATTTTGCAGATGTACTCTATGTAATTCCTGTTGTATGTCAGCTTGCTCCATCTATTACAGAGCGCATCATCCTTTCACCTAATAGTTTTTAGTAGCTAATGATTGCATACTTTTATTAGGTATTGCAAAAGTGGCGCTATTCTTTTTTTCTGTGTATATTAGAATTCTTAAGAATTATATCCATCAACTGTTTGGTCATACGTAAGTACCTTTTTATAAGAAAAGCAGGAGAGAATTTGACTTCTTAAGTTTTCTGATGAGTTGTTACCCTAAAACCTCCAGTATAATCAATATGAGTTCCTTTTTGTTGCTGTTAGTATCGTCGCAACAGCAAAGAGTTTAATAACATTTATTTTCTAGTGTATTGCAGTAATCATTCTTCTTTTTTTTAAATTTCTAAGCTGTTTTATTAAATGAAAAGAGAACAATGCTAAGCAGCTTGTATGGTGTGTGTGTTGTGTGGGTTTTTATTTTGTATGAATGTTAAAAACACGGTGGCTAAAGCCTGTAATCCCAGCATTTTGGGAGGCCAAGGTGGTTGGATCACAAGGTCAGGAGCTTGAGACCAGCCTGGCTCTACTAAAAATAAAATGTGGTGAAACCCCGTCTCTACTAAAAATACAAAAATTAGCCCTTTGTTGTTGCACGCGCCTATAGTCCCAGCTACTCGGGAGGCTGAGGCAGAAAAATTGCTTGAACCTGGGGAGGCTGAGGCAGAAAAATTACTTGAACCCGGGAGACAGAGGTTGCAGCGAGCCGAGATTGCGCCACTGCACTCCAGCCTGGGCAACAGACTGAGATTCCATCTAAAAACAAAACCATGTATATATGTAAGTTTGAGGAAAAGAGTTGTATGAAAATTCAGGATAATTAATAAAAGTAAACGAGAACTTCTTTACATATATATATATTTTTTAATTTTCTCAGTTAATGTTTGAATTTTTTTAACGTAGAAAATGTCAATGGGGTTATCTGGGGAGAAAGATTATAGTCCATGAGTCCCCCTGTTGTATATATACCTGTATTAAAATATGCAATAAATGCTATTTTAAAAAATGTCTTATTACATAGAACAGAAGACCAGAATACTAGCTCTCCACGTCTTATGTCTTGATCAGTGAAGATTAGCTAGCAAAACAACCATAACTTAGGGATAGCTTTATTTGTGGGAAGTGTCATTTAGTATGTCATGTATTAAAAATCATTTGTAGTCTTTCAGAGAGCATCTTATCTTTCTTGTAGGTGATAGTATTGGCTATCTATGTAGTGTCTTAAGTTCTTTAAATTATCCTTATTCTTACTTTTTGTGTACATTGTTTATAAAATAATGTGATCATCTTAATCTACCATTTTGATTATGGTTTGATCATTCTTTTACTATTTCCACTTGTTAGCAAAGCCTTTATACTTACTAAATTATGATAAAAATGATTATTATAACATGCCCGGTTTTACTTAAATGTCTTATTTAAACGTTCTGATTGTTATTCTTTCTTATTCAGGTTTCTTATTGTCATGTTTTATGTCTGTTTTCAGGTGTAATTGTCCTCTCACAAATGTATCCCATTTTGGGTGACAAAATACCTGATCACCTTATCCTTATAGTTTTCTCCCTAGAATCTTTTTTGTTATATTAATCAAAGTTTATTTGTGAGAATGTTATGAAATATAAGAAAATGAACATCATGAACCTGTCACTCAAATAAAAAAACTTGAATGTTACCAATACTATTGTATATTCCATATGCAGCAATATTGCTTTTTTTTTTTTAGAGTCTTGCTCTGATACCCACGCTGGAGTGCAGTGGTGTCATCTCGGCTCACAGCAAGCTTCGCCTCCCTGGTTCACCCCATTCTCCTGCCTCAGCCTCCCGAGTAGCTGGGACTTCAGGCACCCGCCACCACACCCGGCTAATTTTTTGAATTTTTAGTAGAGACGGGGTTTCACCCTGTTAGCCAGGATGGTTTTGATCTCATGACCTCGTGATCCGTCTGCCTCGGCCTCCCAAAGTGCTGGGATTATAGGTGTGAGCTACTGCGCCCAGCCCAATATTGCTTTTTAATCCCCCTTCTTACCCTGCCATGGGTAGGTGGCTGCCACAACTTTTGCCTTATTTTTTCAATATGGATTTTTCATGTAAATGACAAAAATATATTTAGTTTTTTTTTAGTTTATGGAAACGGTATGCCTATATAATGTTTTCCATGTCTTGTGTTTTAATTCAATAATGATTCTAATAAATAGCCGTATTTTTTGGATAGTTTTATAATACTCATTGCTGTGATATACTCTTTTGTGAAAATACCCATTTTATCTTTTATTGGACATTTGGGTTGATGGACATTTGAATATTTAAAGATTTTGACTTAGGCCGGGCGTGGTGGCTCAAGCTTGTAATCCCAGCACTTTGGGAGGCCAGGGCGGGCAGATCACAAGGTCAGGAGTTTGAGACCAGCCTGGCCAACATAGTGAAACCCCCATCTCTACTAAAAATACCATAATTAGCGGGGTATGGTGGTGGGTGCCTGTAGTCCCAGCTACTCAGGAGGCTGAGACAGGAGAATCGCTTGAACCCAGGAGGCGGAGGTTGCAGTGAGCTGAGACCGCGCCATTACACTCCAGCCTGTGTGACAGACTGAGACTCCATCTCAAAAACAAACAAAAAAAAACAACAACAAAAAAAGATTTTGACTTTAAGAACAATACTGCTGTGAACTTCTTTGTACTTGTTTCCTGGTGCATTTATGCAAGCGTTTTTGAGAGGGTATATTTAAAGGTATAGGTATATATTACTAGTGTGTAAAATAAACTTTATGAGACAGTACTAGATTATTTTCCAGTGTATTGTTCCTATTTATGTTCTCACCAGTAGTGCGTAGGAGTTCTTGCTGTTTCAGATCCCCACCAGCACTTGGCTAGGTATTTAATTTCTTAATTTTTAACAATTTGGTGTGTAGTATATTCTCTGGTCTTCCTTTGTCTTACCCTGATTATTAATGAGGTCTTACATCTTTTTTCCCCCCACATTTATGGCCATGGATGTTTCTCTTTTGTGAAATTCTGTTAAATGCCTATTTGTGTTTTTTGCTTGATAAAATGTGAGCTTATTATTTAACTGATTTTGTAGTTTTAAAAAATTGCTGGGGGCGGTGGCTTGCGTCTGTAATCTCAGCTTTTTGGGAGGCTGAAGGAGGAGGATTGCTTGTGGGGCCCAGGAGTTTGAGGCTGCAGTGAGCTATGATCGTTCCATTGCACTCTAGCTTGGTGACAGAGCAAGACTTTGTCTGAAAAAAAAAAAAAAAAAAGTGTGTGTTTTACAGTTACTGATTGTCTTTTGGTTATTTGTGTTGCTGGTGTCTTTTCCCAGTTTGTAGCTTGCCTTGTCACTTCTTTATGCTGTCTTGTCTGTCTGTCTGTCTGTCTCCCTCCCTCCCTCCCCCTCCCTCCGTCCGTCTGTCCCTCCCTCCCTCCCTCCCTCCCTCCCTCCCTCCCTCCCTCCCTTCCTTCCTTCCTTCCTTCCTTCCTTCCTACTTTACTTTAGATTCAGGGTTACATGTGCAGGTTTGTTACATGGGTATATGGCATGAAGCTGAGGTTTGCAATACAAGTGATCCTGTCAGCCAGAGAGTGAGCTCAGTACCCAACAGTTAGATTTACAATCCTTTCTCCCTCCCCCCACCACTAGTTCCCAGTGCATATTGTTGCGGATTAATACAGATTCTTAATGTATAGTTTTAATGTGGCCACAAATTCCCTTTGCATCTTAGATAAAAATAATTTATATGATCCCATTCTTTACACATTCCAAATTTTCCTTTGCTCTTCTGGACATCTTCCATGTTGATTGCTGGAAGTCTTGAAGGCAATCCCAAATAACAGTTTTTAGCTTTTCAACTGTTGCTGTGATACGGTTTCTTATAGAGATTTTTGTAGTAGAATTTATCAGTATTTTCTTTCATGTTCAGTTTTCTTGTGTCTTAATTTAAAAATCCTTACATACTCAGAGTTCATAAAGATACTATATTTTCTTCTGAAATTTTAAAAAATTTTGCTTTTTATATTTATCAGAAAATTATTTTTGTGTATTGTATTTAGTAGGGATCTGGTTTCATTTTTTTGCCCTTATTAAGATAGTCAATTAAATTGAAATCTCTGTAATGACTTTTTCATATTACAGGTATATATATCGTAAGGCAAAGGCTGAAAAAACTATCATAACAAAATGCAGAATATGGTGGCATAAATAAAAGAGTTTTTTTGTTTCTTTTTCTGTCATAGCAGAAGTCCTGTTGGTATAAGAAAGTGGTATCAGTCTGCTCCATAAGGTTATTCACTGGGCCAAGTTTCTTTCATATTGTTGCTTCACTGATCCCTAGGCTTTTGTTCTTGGCTATGTGGTCTGTTGATGTGTGATTGTGCTCTTCTCCTTGTTTAAAAAAAAAGTTTTCCCTGTATTTGTGTATTTCATTGTCTTTTTTTTTTAAAGTCAGCTTTTGATTTTACTGATCCTCTTCATTGTACCATTGTTTTCTCTATTTTTATTGGTTGCGTGAGTCAGGGCTTTTGCAAGTCTTTAATAGGTAGGTGGTATTCAGTCCACTTCTTCATCATCTTGGTGGCACCTCTGTTTAAGGAGACCAGGAATACTCACCTGGGTACGTACCTTTCTTCCTCTCTGATAATCTATTTTTCCTCAGGAACTTAATATTTGTGTCCTTGCCCGGTGTCTTTCTGTCATGGTTCCCTAGGCTGCCATCTCCACAGGAGAAAATGTTTGGTTAGTTCTCAGTCCCAAACCATAGCAGAGCCCAGAGACTCTTGTCACCCTCAGCCTTCAGTCCTTGGTTGCCTTCTTCGCAGACCTGGCAGCTCTTCCACCTGAAAGTGATACATGGTATTAATAGTTGGACTAGACTATTATGATAAACAGAGTATCTAATAACCATGAGAATAAAAAACAAGAAATTTGTAACATTGAAATGAGTGCTAAATGGCCTTTAATCTGTACTTGCTTTTGCACATTTTTTTTTAAGTGGTTTCTTTCTCTGACGTGTAGAGTGTATCTTCCTATTTCTGAATTTTCTTGTTTCTGTGGGATGTTAGTTTCTCTTGAAATGGTCATTGATATTACTCAGGAAGAAAAGTTTCTGTGGTCAGATTTAATAAGAGATATCTATGCTAGTCTTAACATTTAATTTCTTTTAGTTGAATCTAAAATTGATATCATTCTTAGATTAATTAAAAATTTTTTAAAGAGCATGTATTCTTTAGTATTTTGATTCTAAGTACCACTAATTTGATTTGTTTCAACAGTCATTAATGTGGGGCAGTCATCAATCACTACCATTGATCATTTATTTCATATACATTGTAAGTTAAATGACCAGGCTGAAATAATTCAGATGAAATTATTCTGTCAGTTAATGTGGTAATGTTAACATTTATCAGTAGTGCTGAATCACTTCTTTTGGGCATAATAGTGGTAAGCTTTTTGCTCAATGCAAAGACAGGCATAATTGCTTTTTTCAAATAAAAATGTAATTTGTAAAAATACTCCAGTAATTTTTGTAAAATCTCAAAATTGCAAATAATTTGACGTTATTCTCAGTAATGAAGGCTGTTAAATCTCCTCTCTTAACGGCAGGTATGAAATCATTTGAGGAAGAAAAAAGTTCATAAATACAAACTTAAAAAAAAATGGAAAGACTTTTCCATGCAAAAAGATGCATTGCAGGAAGGAGGAAGAGTGTCCTTCATAGCACACCACAAGTCAGTATTAGAGGCTTGCTTTTCTACTTGAGTAGACCCAAGATTCCCCACCTATCGTCTTCCAAAGTTACTTGTGATCCACTGCAATCACAAGTTTTACAGTGTGTATACTCTAGGTGTATGGAAGGATTTGAATTCACAAATAGTCAAACATCAGAAGAATAAGCTGATAATAATACATTTGAAAAGAGGTCAAGTATATTTTTGAAAACTAGGAGAGTTAAAGTGTTTTTGTGAACTAAGGAACAAATAAGGCATTGACAATATTTTACTTGATTAGGAATTTTGTTCAGGTGAGTAAAACTTTAAGCATCACTTAAGTTTTGTTTTTGTTTCTTACTTTTAGAATATCTGATCTGGACTTCTGTGGATTTATGGAAGAGCTGGCTTTATTTCTCTATCCTGTGGGAGGGGCAAACTTTGATTTTGTATGTGGAGTAACTTGACCTTCAGTTTTTTTGGTCTGAGAACAAAGGCCAAAAAATATGTAACAGTTAATAACGTAATTCACTTACTTAGTCAATAAATATGTGGGGACATTGTACTTGGTTGACACTTGGGAATATTGTAGTGAGCACTACTGATGTGAGCCAGGCACTTTGCCTGGTAATCACTGTTCGTGTATAATTTAATCCTAAGGGCTGTGATGTAGATGTTATCCCTGTTTTACAAATAAAGAACTTCAGGCTTAGAATGATTAAGTACTGTTACCTAACTGATAAGTGGAAGCTGAGCTCCAGAGCACCCTTTCTTAATACAGTATTTTCTACTTGTCATGAAAACATGAAGAAAGCTAGGAAACATTTTCTGTGTTGATAATGAGCCAATAATGTGTATCAGTGGTTCTTAAACTTTAGCATGCATCAGAAACACTTGGGGATTTTTTTTTTTAAACCTGGGGTTTTTAGATCCCACCCTCAGAGTTTCTTATTCAGTAGGTCTGGGATTGGACCTGAGAACATATACTGTCAGTAAGCTTCCAGGTCTAATCTTAGGATTAGGGACCACACTTTGAGAATGATTAGAGTATTCAATTAGATCTTAGGGACTACACTGTGAGAATCAGTAATGTATACAATTCTGCTCATCATGTTCTTATAAAACTATGCCATGCCAGATCTTCCATATCTTGATTAGAAATTGGTTAAGAAATTAGGCTTGGTGTAAATACAGTATCAATGTGGCTTGAAACTGGTTGTATTTTTCTGTTTTTTTTTTTCTTTGTGCATTTGATGCTAATAAGTAGAAAGCTCTTAAAATATTTAAGGGAGACAACCTATGGATATCTGTTTACTCTTCTCATATTTGTTGTAATACAGTTTATTCATTATGAGTTTAAATACAAATTAGCGTAAAGCTTATGGTTAATTTGGATTTTTTGGACTTTCTGAAATGCTTTGATAATTCATTGCCTCCTTTGCACATTTTTTTCATTTTGATGGTTGCATTTAACTTCTTTGTACTGATTTTTTAAATCAGCCAGTATTAATTTAACCTATTTTCAATACTAATATCCATGTATGTAAATATCCATAACTAAGGCAAAACAGTTGATTTTAGCTAGTTTAAATATTAGTCCATTCATATTTTTGTAAGTACATAACATTTTCAAAATAGCTAAAATGTCACTGGCTGGTTTGAACAACTGTGCAGTTACCGAAGAGATGAATGTATAACCTTTTCTGTAAAGAATTTTAAGACATGACCTTATTTTTTTGCAGAAAGAAATCTCTTCATTCCAAAGATTTTGCCTTTGCTTTCGGTGTTCTAGCCACTGAAGTATATACCTGTTTAATTTTAATAATGATGAAGATATTGATATCTAACTCACCAGAATGAAGTTCTAATTTTCTAAAGACCTGAATTATCTGGATGAATAAAGGACCATTGGGATGGAGGATTTATAGAACGTTTCTGAGAAAGTCTAGCTGTTGTGGCTTTGGTTTGTTTGTAAACAATTGAGATAGCTTTCCAAAGCTTTTGCTTATAGAATCTAATCACTTTTTCTATTTATTGTCTTTTGGGCTTAGAGTAAAGAAGGGAAGGGAACACTGTTGCCTTTGTGAGAATGGGAGAGGGATAGATGGGAGAGTAGAGGGATGAAGTTAATTTTTTATTATAGGGATTAACATTTTTAACTATTCCCAATAGTGTAACATTTGACATTTAAGTGAAAGGCTTTTAGATTAATATTTTTAAATTTAAAGATGTCTTATGCTAATTTGTTTTTGTTTTCATAGAGAGGATCTGACGAACTACTCTCAGGCAGTGTTCTCAGTAGTCCGAACTCTAATATGAGCAGCATGGTAGTTACAGGTAAGTGTTACTCTCTTAGCAGTCTGTCATTTGCCATTTTAGGGGGCAGAATGTTAAAACTCAAATTTAACCCTGTTATACCAGGAAAGCCTTTCTTTTTAAATGCGTGTTGAAACATTTTAGAGTAAATTTTACTAAAGTATATATGAGCCGAGTGGAAAAAAAAAAAAAACCTGAAGCTGGTAACTTTGGTGAACAAGTTACTCTTAAATTTGATTGCTTTTCATTTTTGAACCACAAATGTAATTCTGTCTCACATTATAGTCCCTTCATCTGCCCCTCTGGTATTTTTATTTTGTTTTTATTTTTTGTGTTTGTGTGTCATATAATATTTTTACTTTAAGTATTTATGCCACAAACCCTAAAACCCAAATTTTAAGTAAAAACCGAAGAATTCAGCTACATAGTTGTTTAAAACCATTGCAACCATAGTTGCTATGGTTTTAACTAATTTTTTGCTGAAACAGTATTTTAATTCTGAGTTGATCCTTTTATGTTGTCTACCTGCATATTTAAGATGATTTGTTTTAATCTTCAAAGTTAGAGTTAAAAAAAATTGTATATGTCTGAAATAATGTTGTTTGTAGCATCTGTCAGTAAAACAATATAGACCAAATTTTAGACCTTAGTTTTATGGCTGATGGGCCAAATTTTTTTTTGTATTTTGTTTAGTTTTGCTTGAATTGACGTGTTCTCATCTGAATGGGCCAAATTTTGAATTTGATTATTATTATTATCAAATGAATTTACCTCACAACTCCACATTTTACATTATTTACCTGAAACCAAAGTTCCTTTTTCTGTATTTTAACTTTGAATTATTTGCTTGAAGAACAAATTATATTTGGCAATAAAAGGATCATGAAAGACTAGAAGACATTTTGATTTCCCTTAGGTAGCTGTGCTTAATGTATACATACATCTTGACACACACAAACACAAACACACATCTCTGACAATTCAGTTAACTAAAAATTATAAGGACTTAACAGATAATAGTCATGATGTGAAGATAAATTTGTCAACAGGTCATTATCATTGATTTTGCTATGTAATGATTACAAAGCAAAATCACTGGGCCTTGATTTTGATAGTCAAAGTACCATGTACACATAATTGAACAAATAGGCAGAAGTGTGTAACTCTGGTTTGTCGGTTTCTCTTTTTGTTTTTACAATGCATACTGTGATCGATAATGGGAAATTAATTTGGAATTAATTTCCAAATATTTAGGGCTAGTGACAGAGTAACTAGTAGCAGCCTTGGCCCCTTTTTCAGTCTCCCCCCAAAACCAAAAAGTATGTAACTGAATAAAATACGTGGAACAACTGTTGTTTGGAAGTGATGAGCAGACGGTATAAGATCATCCTTGAGAGAAGGGGTACACGTGAGGTAAGTATCATGAACACTCTGGCTTTCTGTCTTGGACTATTTTACTGCTCTAAACCACAGAGAAGTGGAGAGCCCAGAGTATACAGGTCTCACTGAGCTGAAGAGACCAAGAGTGGGTGTCAGGGCTGCCCAATCATTTGGAATTTATGGAGAAGTCCTGGAGAAAAGAGAGCTGTCTAGGGGTTTAGGAATAGAGCAGGGGGCAGAATTTAGTATGGTCATTTCACTTCATTCACAGTTTTGGATAATGACTTGGTTACATGTGTGCAGGTTGAGGCTTTGCCAGGTCTGTCAGAAATTGTCTGCTCTGGGGCTAAATGGTGATTCCATAGGTTGCACGGTACTCTGAAACATTGGAGTTCTGAGAAGTCAGAATGCAGACATATTGCAGGGTACTTCAAACACTCCATTTAGACTACAGAAAGCCTGGACCTGAATAGAAAGGATCACACCCTATAGGAAGTGCCATCTATAAGACTGAGATAAAAACCAGAAACCTAGCCCGATAGGAAGTGAAGGATTCACCAGTTAATCTAACCAGTAACTGATGAAGGATTAATCAGTAATTTAGTTGCCTTCCAAAACAAAACAACACCCCCAAGAAAGACATGATATAGTTTTCCTGCAACTATCTTCCATAATATCTAGTATACCATCAAAAATTACAAGTGATGTGCAGAAGCAGGAAAGTAACCCATGAAATATAAAGAACACATTTAATAGGAACAGATTCCAAAATGACCTAGAGTTAGAATTAGCAGACAAGGACGATAAGTATTTTAAGCTGTAAAGGAAAAGATTGAAATAATGAGTGATGGAGGAGTGTGTTGAAGAGATAAAAAACTATAAAGAAAGCATGTAGAAATATTCTAATTGAAAAATACAGTTTTTGAAATAGTTGGGACTGATTCACTGGTTGGAACTAGTAGCAGATTGGAGACAATAGAAGAAATGTTAGTGAACTTGAATACTGTTGAATACAGTGATTAAATCTGTCAGAGAGGAGAAAGTATATCTAATGGACAATGAAGCAGTCTGACATGTAAGTTGAATTTCAGAGTGAGAATGTGGGGGAATAAAACATCTATCTGTTTGAGATAGTAATGACTGAGAACTTCTAAAATTTGAATAAAATATATCAACTTACATTCCTAAGAAGCTCAGGTAAACTCCTCATGTAGGCTAAATAAAAAGAACCATACTTAGACACATAGTAGTCAAAATATTGAAAACTAGAAATGAAGAGCAAATCTAAACAGCTGCGAAAAAAACGTCTAACAGGAGACCAACACCTCGTATTAAAGGGGGAAAAAAAGCGAATTTCTTTAGACTGAATGGCATAACTTGGCTCTACAGGGGATAAGAGGAGTACTGGGAATGGTTAATATGTGTATAAATTTTAAAAGGGCTCTCTCTTTTCCTATCAGTTTCTTTGAAAGCCTTTATGTAAACAACAACTTTGTATTATGGGGTTTATTATGTAAATGGATGTTTATATGACAACAGTTAGTACAAAGTGAAGATAAATGGAATTCTTCAGTGGTAAGGTTCTTATATTTTACCTGAAGTGATACAGTGTTAACTCTAACATAAAAAGATTCTGTTAAGGTTGCATATCAAAATTCTAAGTGTAATCTCATTTAAAAAGATAAAAAGAAGTATAACGAAAAGCCAATAGAGGAAAAATTGGAGCATTGACTACCAGTTTTCAAGAATTACTGCAAAGCTACGGTAATTAAAAATAGCATCATAATAACATAAAGATAAATAGGTCAGTGAGACAGAGCAGAGAGTTCAGAAGTTAACTCACACAATTATGGATAACTGATTTTTGACAAAGGTGCAAAGTCAATTCAGTGGAGAAAAAGTAGACTTCCAACAAAGGGTGCTACAGCAGTTGGAGCTATCCGTATGCAAAAAAATGATCTTGGATCTGTATCTCACACTGCATATGAAAATTAACTCCAAATGGATCATGGCCTAATGTAAAACCAAAAATTATAAAATCTCTAGAAAAAAATACAGAAAATCTTCGTGACTTTGGATTAAGCAGGAATGTATTTGATATGACCCTAAAAGCACAATCTATTAAAAAATGGAATTTGACATCAGAATTAAAATCTTCTGCCATTCAAAAGAAACTGCTAGGGAATGAAAAGACAAGCCATAAACTGGAAGAACATCATAACAAAGCATATAGCTGATAAAGGACTTCTATCCAGAATATTAAAAGATTCAGTATATGTAAAATCAGCAGTCAAGCAACAAACTACTCAATGAATTGGCCAAAATATTTGAACAGGTAGTACAGCACAAAAGATACACAGATGGTAAGTAAGCACGTGAAAAAGCTGGTCAGCATCATTAGTTATTAGGGAAATGAAAATTAAAACTACAGTGAGATAATATTACAAACCTATTAATAGTGACTAAAATTAAAAAGAGTGCCATCTTGGAAAGCATGAGTTGGGAAGAATGTGGAAGAATGTTAATATTCACAATACTGCTGATGGGAATGTAAAATCGTAGTACTTTGGAAAACAATCTGGTAGTTTCTCCATGATCCAGGTTATTTGTCTCCTAAGCATTTACCCAAGAGAAAAGAAGGCATCTATTCATTAAAAAACTCTCATGTTAATGTTCATAGCCATTTTATTTGTAATCACCAAAATGTGAAACAAACATTCATCAACAGATGAACTAATAAGTAGATTCCTGTTTTGGCATCATATGCTTTTCCATACAGTGGAATACAACAGCCATGTAGAATGAGCTATTGATAGACACAACAGCAAGAATGAATCTCCAAACAATTATGTTATGTAAAAGATGGGAGAAAAAAAGACTACATCCTGTATGATTCCATTTATATAAAACTCTGGGAAATGCAAACTAATCTAAAGCAAATTCATGGTTCTTAGGAGTTTAAGAGTGGGAAAGGACAGGCAGGAGGGGTGGCAAAGGGACACAGGAAAACTCGGGAGTGATGGACATATAAATTATTGTGATGGTGGTTTTATGGATGTATGCATATGTCAAAACTTGTCAAATTTTATAATTTAAATACATATACACATCCTAGAATGGCCGAACTTCAGAACATTGATAACACCAAATGCTGGCAAGGATGTGGAGCAACAGGAACTCTCACTTACTGCTCAGTGGAATGCAGAGTGGTACAGCCACTTTGGAAGACAATTTGGCAATTTCTTAGAAAACTATACGGCCGGGCACAGTGGCTTACGCCTGTAATCCCAGCGCTTTGGGAAGCCAAGGCAGGCGGATCACCTGAGGTCAGAAGTTCAAAACCAGCCTGGCCAACATGGAGAAACCCGATCTCTACTAAAAAATACAAAATTAGCTAGGCGTGGTGGTGCATGCCTGTAATCCCAGCCACTCAGGAGGCTGAAGCAGGAGAATTACTTGAACCCAGGAGGTGGAGGTTGCAGTGAGCCAGGATCACGCCCATTTCACTCCAACCTGGGCAACAAGAGCGAGACTCCATCTCAAATATACTTTCATTGTATGATCCAGCAGTTGTGCTCCCTGGTATTTGCCTAAAGGAGTTGAAAACTTAGTCTGCGCAGAAAGTAGCACATGGATGTTTATAGCACCTTTCTTTATAGTTGCCAGAACTTCATAGCAACCAAGAAGTCCTTTAGGAGGTGAATGGCCAAATAAACTGTGGTGTATATTCAGACAGTATAATGTTAATCAGCACTAAATGGAAATGAGCTATCAAGCCATGGAGAACCTTCAGTGAACATTACTAAATAAAAGAAGCCACTCTGAAAATTCTGCATACCATATGATTCCAACTATATGACATTCTGGAAAAAGCAAAATTATGGAGACAGTAAAAATCAGTGGTTGCTAGGGTTTAGGGGTGGAGGGAGGGATGAACTGGTGGAGTACAGAGGATTTTAGGGTACTGAAAATATTCTGCATGATACTATAATGATAGATACATGTCATACATTTTTCCAAACCCATAGAATGTAAGACACTTGGAGTGAACCTGGAGGTAACTACAGACTTTGAGTGATTATAATGTGTCAGTGTAGGTTCATCAGTTGTAACAATGTGCCATCTGGTGGGAGATGTTGATAAAGGGGAGGCTATTTGGGGCAGGAGGCAGGGAAATCTCTCTGCTTTCCTCTCCATTTTGCTGTGTACCTAAACTTACTCTGAAAAATGTCTTTGAAAATTTACTCATGCGCTTGCATTGCATTTCTTTTGGATATTACTGGTCTAAGTAGTCCAGTTAAAAGACAAAGATTGTCAGACTTGATTAAAAAGCAAGGCCTAACTACACTGTCAATACGAGGGTCAGGTAGAAATATCAAGATGCAGGTTGAAAGTAAAAAGATGGAAAATGATATTCCGTGCAAACAGTAAGCACAAGAAAGTTGATATGATTATATTACTAGACAGAAAAATTTAAGACAAATATTACCAGATATAAAAAAGCATATTTCACAATGTTGAAGGGTCAGTTTATCAGAAAACATTTCTTAATTTGTATGCCAATAATAACAAATCAAAGTATATTAAGAAAAACATCACAGAACTAAGTAGAGAAACAAAAATCCACAATCATAGCCTGGTTTTTTAAAACATAATTTATGGCAATTGATAGGATAGTACAGTCCTAGCCCCCAAATAAAAAGATACATAATTTGAAAAGTGCTATCATGTTGGCTTAACTCACATTTATAAAACTATACCCAGTAACTGTAAAATAACTTCAAGTGTACATAGAACATTCACAATGATAGACCTTATATTGGATTATAAAATAACTCAATAAATTTCAAATGATTGACAGCTAATGTATCTGACTGACTATAGTGGAATTAAATTAGAAATCAAAAATAGACATCTAGGAAAGTACTAAATATTAGAAATTACACAATCGTGAACAATACATGGATTATAGAAGTGTTACCACAAGGACATATTTTTGACTGAATGAAAATATATCAAAATTTGTTGGATACTACCCAAGGGTGTGTATGGTGAAAAGTATGTCTTCAAATACCTATATTACAAAAAAAGGTTTAAAACTCCCAATTTAAGACTGACCAAGGAAAAAGACATAAATTACCAATACTGGAAATCAAGGTCGAGATAATCACTTTCAGAGAAAGTGGATATATGCAGAGTATAATAGTATAACATAAATAATATAAAGTGGAGATAGCACTTTCAATAAAAGCAGAGATATATAGAATATAATAGGAAAATAAGTCAATATTAGTAATGTTGTTAAGGCTAACAAATTCAGCAACTTAGATGAAAAGTTTCTTGACAAATGCAAAACTGACTTAAGTATATAGCTTAACAGCTATATACTACTGTATTATACAAATTGGAATTTATAATTAAAAAAATCTTTCCACAAAGATTACTCTAGTCATAGATGGTTTCACTATTGAATTTTATGAAATTTTAAAGGAATACTAGCTGTCTTTGAAAATGGAGGAGGGAATACTACCCTGTTCACTTTATGAAACCACTATAACTGACAGCAAAACCTGACAAGGGTAATATATCAAGATTTCAGACTAGTATTTCTCATTAACCTAAATGCATATATTCTTAAGAAAATGTTGGTAAATCACCTCCGGTAGAATATGAGAGACAATTCTGAGACTTATCGCAGGATTGTAAGGTTTGTTTAACATTTGAAAATGAACTCAGTGTAATTTGTCACAATGATAGAATGAAGAAAGAAGAATTTCTCTCAGAAAACTAGGAAGAGAAGGAGCTTTTACAATGTAAATAAGGGGTATCTACTAAGAACCTACAACAAATTTCATACTTAATGGAGAAATATTGAATGTTTTCTTCTTAAAAACAGAAATGAAGCAAGGATGTCTGTTTTCTCAATTTTTCCCCTTAGCTTTCTGCTTACATTAAGGCAGGTGAAATAAAAGACATAAAGATTGTAAAGGAAGAAAGAAAACTGTCTTATTCACCATTCAACATGCTTTTTAAAGTAGAAGACCTGAAGGACTCTACAACAGATTTGGTAGAACTAATAAGTGAATTTAGAATAATTATAGGATACAAGTTCTATGTACAGAAATAGTCTCCTTATACTTGGCAGCAAATTCTTAGAAAATGAAATTTTAAAAAATCTGTTTATAAAAGTATCAGACAAAATATCAGGAAAAAAATTTGACAAAAGATATGTAAGACATCTACACCAATATGAAACACTGCTAAGAGAAGTTTTAAAAAGACTTACATGAAGACGTAGACCATGTTCATGAATTAGAAGGCTCAATATGTTAACATGCCAGTTCTCCCTAAATTGGGATGGCATTGAATCTATAAAGACTTATAAATTGAGAGTACATTCTAAAATTTATGTGGAAATAAAAAGGAGCTAGGACAATTAAAACCATTTTGAAAAAGTAAATTTTGCCACAGTTCTCAAGACTCACTACAAACCTGTAGTTAATCCAAAACAGTTTACTACTAGCATAGTTAGTGACACAGAATAGCGTTCAGGGAATAACTCATGCATTAAAGTTGCCTTGATCACTCAGTGAAGAAAGAGAAGGCCTTTCAACAGATGTGCTAGAACAGCTGAATATACATACAAAAAAGCAAAAGAAACTTAAACCCTACATCATTCTGTATAAAACAATGAGATTAATTATATAAAAACTAATATATAGAGTTTTTAGGAAAAAGCATAGGATATACTTGCAACTTTGGGATAAATGAAGATTTCTTAAAATAGAAAAATCTTAAAGGAATATATAAACTTGACTCCATCAAAATGGGAAATTTCTGCTTCATCAAAAGACATTGTTAAGACATTGAAAAGACAAGGCACAGACTTGGAGAATATAATATTTGTGTATCAATACATGCATATGACTGTATTAGTCCATTTTCATGCTGCTGATAAAGACGTACCCGAGACTGGGCGGGCAATTTATGAAAGAAACCAGTTTAATGAATTTACAATTCTATGTGACTGGGGAAGCCTCATAATCATGGTGGAAGGCAAGGAGGAGCAAGTCACATCTTACGTAGATGGCAACAGGCAAAGAAAAGAGAGCTTGTGCGGGGAAACTCTCCCCTTTTTAAAACCATGAGACTTACTTCACTGTCACGAGAACAGCATTGGAAAGACCTGCCCCCATGATTCAGTTAACTCCCACCAGGTCCCTCCCACAACACATGGGAATTCAAGAGGAGATGTGGGTGGGGACACAGCCAAACCATATCAATGACAAAGGACTTGTATCCCAAAGGACTTGTAAAAAAAAAACTCCTCCAATCAATAAATATGAGCAGCCCAATTTTTTTTTAAGTGGCAAAAGAAGTGACATTATAAGGATGGGTAACAAGCACATGAAAAGATAATGTTAGTCATCAGGTGATCACAAGTCAAAACCATTAGAGATAGAATTTACACCAACTAGAATGGCTAAAATTAAATAGATTGGCAATACCGAATGTTGATGAAGATGTGGAACTGTCTTTAATTACTGCTGAGTATATAACATAGTTGGGAAAATAGTTTGCTTTTTTTTTTTTTTTTTTTTTTTTGAGACAGAGTCTTGCTCTGTCACCAGGCTGGAATGCAGTGGCATGATCTCAGCTTACTGCAACCTCCGCCTCCTGGGTTCAAGCGATTCTCCTGCCTCAGCCTCCTGAGTAGCTGGAACTACAGGTGCACGCCACCACACCCGGCTAATTTTTTGTATTTTTAGTAGAGACTGGGTTTCGCCATGTTGGCCAGGATGGTCTTGCTCTCTTGACGTTGTGATCTGCCCACGTCGGCCTCCCAGAGTGCTGGGATTACAGGCCTGAGCCACTGCGTCTGACCTAGTTTACTATTTTCTTACGGAGTTAAACATTAACCTATTTTATGGTCCATAACTTCTACTTTTAGTTTTTTACCCAGTAAGAACATGTTTGCTGTAAAACTTGTATGTGTATCAAAAACTTTACTGATAATGGTCCCAAACTTGAAATAACCCAAATGTTTATCAACAGGAAAATGGATAAATTGTGGTATAATCATATAGTATATTACTACTTACTAATAACAAAAGAATGGTTAGTAGTACATGCGAAAACATGGGTGAATAGTAAGCATTGTATGAAGCAAAAGAAACCAGACAGACCTGAAAGAGTACATAGTGTGATTCCATTTCTTGAAAGTTTAAGAGCAGATCATTAATTTTTTGTTTAGAAACCAGAATGTTGGAGATTAACAGAAAGGGAATATGGTGGCATTTTCTGGTGTGATGGAAACGTCCTATGTTAATAAACTAAGTTGCAAAACAAATCCAAAAGTTGTTTGAAGCAGTAGATTATCTCTGAGAACTCTGAATTTCCAGTAGTTGTGTCTTGCTGTAATGAGAAATATGAGATTGGGAATGACTAGGTGAGTCCATGTAGCAGGGGCCTAGATGTGGGATTTGATGTGTGTGTGTGTGTGTGTGTGTGTGTGTGTGTGTGTGTGTGTAGCTTGGACTTTAACAGATTTACATTTTAGAAAGAATTTTTGTTCCATTTGTATTTCACAGGTAGGATCAGTATTGTATAGAGGGGAGAATAGTTTTAAAACATTACGGTAGTTCATTCCAAAGATACCAAGGTCCTGAATTTTAGGGTCTTGGAAGGAGAATGCAGGAAATGATAAAACGAGTTATCTGGAAGAAGACAAGTTTGGAATAATATTAAAGAGTTTTGTCTTAGAATCACTGGGTTGGTAGAAGATGATGCCATTAACAAAGGGGGAAAAGTAGGAAAAGGAGACTCGTTTTTGGTGGGAAAAAAGAATAATCCGCTACTGTTCTGTTTTTTTTTGTTTGTTTTTTGTTTTTTATTTTTTATTGATCATTCTTGGGTGTTTCTCGCAGAGGGGGATTTGGCAGGGTCATAGGACAATAGTGGAGGGAAGGTCAGCAGATAAACAAGTGAACAAAGGTCTCTGGTTTTCCTAGGCAGAGGACCCTGCGGACTTCCGCAGTGTTTGTGTCCCTGGGTCCTTGAGATTAGGGAGTGGTGATGACTCTTAACGAGCATGCTGCCTTCAAGCATCTGTTTAACAAAGCACATCTTGCACCGCCCTTAATCCATTTAACCCTGAGTGGACACAGCACATGTTTCAGAGAGCACAGGGTTGGGGGTAAGGTCACAGATCAACAGGATAAGAATTTTTCTTAGTACAGAACAAAATGAAAAGTCTCCCATGTCTACCTCTTTCTACACAGACACGGCAACCATCCGATTTCTCAATCTTTTCCCCACCTTTCCCCCCTTTCTATTCCACAAAACCGCCATTGTCATCATGGCCCGTTCTCAATGAGCTGTTGGGTACACCTCCCAGACGGGGTGGTGGCCGGGCAGAGGGGCTCCTCACTTCCCAGTAGGGGCGGCCGGGCAGAGGCGCCCCTCACTCCCCAGTAGGGGCAGCCGGGCAGAGGCGCCCCTCACCTCCCGGATGGGGCGGCTGGCCGGGCGGGGGGCTGACCCCCCCACCTCCCTCCCGGATGGGGCAGCTGGCCGGGCGGGGGGCTGACCCCCCCACCTCCCTCCCGGACGGGGCGGCTGGCCGGGCTGGGGGCTGACCCCCGCCACCTCCCTCCCGGACGGGGCGGCTGGCCGGGCTGGGGGCTGACCCCCCGACCTCCTTCCCGGACGGGGCGGCTGGCCGGGCAGAGGGGCTCCTCACTTCCCAGTAGGGGCGGCCGGGCAGAGGCGCCCCTCACCTCCCGGAAGGGGCGGCTGGCCGGGCGGGGGTCTGACCCCCCCACCTCCCTCCTGGATGGGGCGGCTGGCCTGGCGGGGGCTGACCCCCACCTCCCTCCCAGACGGGGTGACTGCCGGGCGGAGACGCTCCTCACTTCCCAGACGGCGTGGCTGCCGGGCGGAGGGGCTCCTCACTTCTCAGATGGGGCGGCTGCTGGGCGGAGGGACTCCTCGCTTCTCAGATGGGGCGGCCGGGCCGAGACGCTCCTCACCTCCCAGACGGGGTCGCGGCCGGGTAGAGGCGCTCCTCACATCCCAGACGGGGCGGCGGGGCAGCGGCGCTCCCCACATCTCAGACGATGGGCGGCCGGGCAGAGACGCTCCTCACTTCCTAGATGGGATGGCGGCCGGGAAGAGGCGCTCCTCACTTCCTAGATGGGATGGCGGCCGGGCAGAGACCTCCTTTCTTTCCAGACTGGGCAGCCAGGCAGAGGGGCTCCTCACGTTCCAGACGATGGGCGGCCAGGCAGAGACGCTCCTCACTTCCCAAACGGGGTGGCGGCTGGGCAGAGGCTGCAATCTCGGCACTTTGGGAGGCCAAGGCAGGCGGCTGGGAGGTGGAGGTTGTAACGAGCCGAGATCACGCCACTGCACTCCAGCCTGGGCACCATTGAGCACTGAGTGAACCAGACTCCGTCTGCAATTCCGGCACCTCGGGAGGCCGAGGCTGGCGGATCACTCGCGGTTAGGAGCTGCAGACCAGCCCGGCCAACACAGCGAAACCCCGTCTCCACCAAAAAAATACGAAAACCAGTCAGGCGTGGCGGCGCGTGCCTGCAATAGCAGGCACTCGGCAGGCTGAGGCAGGAGAATCAGGCAGGGAGGTTGCAGTGAGTCGAGATGGCAGCAGTACAGTCCAGCTTCGGCTCGTCATCAGAGGGAGACTGTGGAAAGAGAGGGAGAGGGAGACCGTGGGGAGAGGAGGGAGGGGGAGGGGGAGGGGGAGGGGGAGGGCTGTTCTGTTTTTTTAACTATGCTTTAGGGATGATATATAATGTACTTCATGACCAAGGAATCAATCTAATCTTTTTGTAATGATGGCATAAAATTCCTTTAAGCCTTGTTTTAATACAAGAAGTCAGTTTATTTAACCTCCATGTACAGAGGAAATACTGAGTTTTAAGATTTTTCTATTTTTTTTCTGACAAAAATGAAAGTCTGCATATATTCTAAGAGACACCAATTTGAATACTGTTGCTTATAAGAGCAAATAGCATAAAAGACCTTTAAAAATTGGTGATTATATTTGCCTGGAAAAATACTCCATGTAATTCAGATGACTCAAAAGGACGTTGGTAGACAATGTTACAAGGACACTTTTATGGTTATCAGATATAGTACAGGATTTCATTTTTATGTTCCAGCTTCCAGCTTTATCTAAAATATTTCTTGTAATAGATTTTACTGTAGAATTGTTTCCTAAGGCATCTGTCTCAACAGCCTTTCCCTTATCTGTGCAGACTTTTCTTTCTCTGTACTTGTTGAATAGGTGCTTTTTGTCAAAGAAAAAAATAATTTTACAGGTGAAAAAATTTCATGTTATTAGAAACTTAATCTCAGGTAAATAAATGTTTAATAAATTGATACAGTAAGGACATTTTCTAATGAATTGGTTCCTTCAAGAGATATAAAAGTGAAATATTTCAAAAATACAACTGTTCCTAAGTAGCATTAGAATTTGATTTTGTTAAATTTGTAACTATTTAGCAGTGACTATGAGGCTTGACAATTCTAAGGTACAGTCTCTTTAATTTTCTAGTGATTTCTTTGTAGCTACGGAACTGGAATATCCCTTTAGGTATACATATTTCTGCCAGTGGTGATTGTTACTCTGTAATAGCAGGATTTTCTGAAAATTATTGCTAAACATGACATTTTGCTCTACCTGAAAGCAGTTAAACCATTCCATAGAGTCTGGAACATTTTACTTAGAACTCTTTTAAGATTTTCATTTTAACTTTTACAGACATATTTTTGAGGTGATGTCATTCTTTTTGCTATAATGTTTTGAAAGTATTCCAGTAGATTATTTCATAGTTTTACTATTTATAAAGGTTTTAACAACTCATCTTCTTGCATATAAAGGTAGTGAGAGCCTTATTTCATAGTGTTACTATTTATGAGGGTTTTAACAACTTATCTTCTTGTATATAAAGGTAGTGAGAGCCTTCTCTAGGTGCCTTCTGTGTTTTTCCAGCTCATGCCTAATATGCTTTTGACAACTACACCACACAACTACTTGGAAATACAAGAGTTAATAGTTACCTTTTACGGAAACCTGGTGAGGCTTTTTGCGTGGTGGCTGTTGCAGAAACAGCCAACAGAATAGCAGAAGTACCACCTATCTGCACCTACCTGCTTTTTTTCTCTTTAACTCTTCTTTGGAATTTGTTTCTCATACAGGAAAGAGTAGCAGCATTCATTTTTTTTTTCTTAGCTTAGAGTCTTTTTATTTTGTTTTTTGTTTTTCTAAAGCTAGAAAACACTGCTTTGCCTTGAAGTCTAAAACTGCTTAGAATTAAAACTTCTTTGCCTCTCAGTTTCATATTTGATAAAGAGAGTTAGGAAAACTTTTATAAATGTGTGTCTCTGAAAGACTTGGAGAATGAAGATGTACCTAAGTTTTGTCACTGATTTTCATTGGACAGAAGTATAAGGTTTTGCCGTGTCGTATTTTATATTTGTACACAGTTGAAAGTATAACGGTGAATGAGTAGGACTAAAATAATTTACAAATTATATGAGAAAGTAGGCCAGGTGCTGTGGCTCATGCCTGTATTTCAGCACTTTGGGAGGCTGAGGCAGGTGGATCACTTGAGGCCAGGAGTTCGAGACCAGCCTGGCCAACATGGTGAAACCCCATCTCTACTGAAAATAGAAAAATTAGCTGGGTGTGGTGGTGCACACCTGAATTCCCAGCTACATGGGAGGCTGTGGCACGAGAATCACTTAAACCTGGGAAGTGGAGGTTGTAGTCAACCAAGATCATGCCACTGCACTCCAGCCTGGCAATACAGCAAGACTCTGTCTTAGATAGATAGATAGATAGATAGATAGATAGATAGATAGATACTGTGAAACCCAGTGCTAGAGTGTTTATATTTAATAAGTAAAGATAGGTAGAGTATCGGAACAAAAACAGCATGGGAAACTAACAATTTTGGGGAATGAATGAGTAATCAGGATTCAAAGCAAGTATCAAATGAGTCGGGAAATTAGAAAAGTAGAAATTGAAGTTTTTAGGGGTGCTATTAGAGAAATTCAGTGAGGAAGAGAGGGTTCACAGTTCCTTGTTGACTGATGGATGTGGTGATTTAACAAATTACCCATGATCCTTGCCGACACCCATTTATGTAAAAATTGCAGGTAAAAGCTAGTGGAGAACAAAGGTCAGTCAGCAGGAGAAAAGTGATGTACTGATCAGAGGTGAAGATGCTGGCTTTAGAATTGAGGTGAAAAACTGGTTTTGAGTTTGGAAGAGAAGTATTCAAGTAGAAACCATTTTAAAATTTTATTTGCTTTGAATCCGTGATTACATGAACATCTTCCCTAAGCAAGAGGCTTTGAAAGAGTTGAATAATGTATGGAAAATGGTGTGCTTAAAGATTTTTTACATTCATATACAATGAATAAAATTTATATGCATAAATAAAAGCATTACCTCATGCCTTCTTAACTGAACATAAACATTTGAATTATTACTGGTTTTACACGCCCAAACAAAAGTTCTGGGTTTACTGGAGGAATGGAAGGGAAAGATCTCTTTCATTCCCCCAGTAAACCTTTCCCATTCAGGATCATGGGAAGATGCTGAAGAATTGTAGAACTGTAACACAGGCAGACCTAATGCTTCATAAGCTAATGTTTCCATTTTTGGACCCTTTTTCGGTGTTGCTGGAGTGTGTTTATATTTGAAAATAGGCTTTGTTATATTATTAAAGGAGCCCCCATTCCCAGTTTCACATTCTCATAGTATCATTTATTTAAAATGAAGACTTTTATAATATTTGGCACTAAGATATGAATACTTAGTAGTCACCTCATGGAAGCTATTAACTGAGGGAGTGTCAGGTAGTGTAAATGTTGATAGTTTACTACAGTAACTGGCTTGGTCTTTGGGAGAAGAGGACAGATCTTTTTTAGGCAACCTGTATGTAATGTAATGTTTGTTTTTGAGATCCTACTATAGTGTAGTTGTTGAAGAGCACAGACTATGGAATCATGCTCCCTGAGTTTAATCCTTTCTCTGCTACTTCCTGTCTATACCACTTAGTAACTATCTAATCTTGGGCATTTAACTAATTGTTACCTGTAAATGGGGTTGATAGGTCATAATGATAGCAATCTGAGAGTTGTAAATTGCCCGGCATGTAGTTAATTAGCAGTGAATATTAAATATTGATGCAAAATAAAATTACATCTTTTCTATATTTTTTCCAAGAAGTCAAGATCTTTGTCTTATCCTTTGATTCTCAGAAGTTTCCTACGTTCTTTCTGTGTTATTCAGCTATTTTACTTCTGCTTAATATCCACTATCCAGAAAACATCCAACACAAATCCAAAATAAATTATTTAATTTCCTTAATAATAGGTTTAGGCAGGCTTTTGCCTTTTGGGAATTATTTTTGGAAAATCATTTGAAAGGGGAAGCCTTTTTTCTCCTTATGGGTACAGTGATAGGTAGTATCTTTATTGGTCTTTTTTTTTCCTTGTCTTTCTCCCAGAAGGAAAAGGACAGACCAAATTAGGAGAAACTGAAATTTGCTTTTTTGAGTATCCTGATACCATAACTATAACACATGGGGCTTTAGGTTGGATTGTGAAGTATTTGTTCTCGTTATTCAAACAAACTAATGAACAAGAACAAATTATCAAGTTTCTGTACTCAGACTGCTTTGTCAAAAAAAGGTCTTAGTCCTGTATCAGAATAATATGTGTTCCTTGTTGACTGATGCCGATTGTTGTGTGTGCCCATTATGTGTTTTAAAGTATATGTGTATTTTTTGGATTCTGTGCTTTAGCTTACATTTTCAATTAACGGGCCTAGAGATGATTTTGTTAGATAAGATACTACAAAATGCAAAGTTCAGTCTCTTCCTTTTGACAAATTCAGGTGCCCTGTGCGCACACAAATCTTTGTCAGTAGTGAAAGGACATGTGATAGCTTCCTGTAGTTTTTTCATATTTCTGGAGTGGTGAAGAGCTACCCAGCCAAGATTTTCAGGGCAATATATTCAGAAGCCAGAGCTTACTCTTCTGTACAAAGACAACCTAAGGGGATTTTTAAATGCATTGGCTTGCCGTTCAAGTATATAAACCTAAGTGAAACTCCTAGAGTAAAATATGACTTAAGTATAGCTTGAGTCCATATATTATCACTTAGAGATACCTTCTCTGATCATCCAATAAAGTCATTACTACTATCAATCTTCCAGTCCTAGACAAAGTAACTTTTAAGCACATCACTGTTTTACCTCACAGCATATACCGTAGAAAGTATCTGGTTCAGGTACTAGTTAGTCCAGCTCCCTACTATAAGGTATCAGGAATCATATAATCATCTTGTTCACTCTCTGTACCCTCAGAACGTAAAACATTGCTAGACACATCCCTGAATACCCAGTAAATGTTTAAGGAATTAATGAGTGAATTAATTTTGAAGATACGTTGGAGACCAAGATAATCTGACAGTCTTATAGATGTTGTTGAACATACACAAACACATTATATAGTTTATAGGTTGTGTTGAATGTTTTAGGAAATACCATAAATTACCTAAAGTTTTATACAAAATGGAGTATACATGTATATTTCTGAATGTGTCAAGATCCTTCATTTTAGCTAAGTCTCAGAAATATCCTTGAGATCCTAAAAGACTAAGAACCATTGATCTGGCATAGTAGATATACTGCAAGTCCTTCAAACAACTGTATTTAAATATTACCTATTTTATAGGCATTTTGAATAATATTTTTATTTTTTGGTGAAGTTTTGGAATGAAGACAGTTAACTAATTTGTTGATTGAATTATGTTACTTTACTTTAAATCTCACGGTAACAGAATAAGGTAATTAAGTTCATGAGTGATTTAGAGTATATTGATGTTAATAGTCACAAAATATTAGGTAGTTTAGACGGCAATAGTAATATATCAGGAGAGGCTCATTGTAGATAAGCCATAATATGGATTGACTGCATTATCATTTTTATAAACTTTACATTCTTTGATCCCACCTTCAAGTACATTTTTCAAATCAAACAATTTATAATTTCTCAGGTAAAATTATAATCTTCCTAATTTTGGTCAAACCAGTTTTTTCACTTTTTAAAAATGTTCATATTAGTTCATTATAAGATGATTAAATTACAAGATACAGTCATAAATCTTGGGGATAGTGATGAGGATACTCTCGGAGAAATGCATTGTTAGGTAATTTTGTCACTGCATAAATGTCATAGAGTACATTTGCACAAACCTGCTACACATGTAGGCTATATGGTATATGTAGCCTTTTGCTCCTAGGCAACAAATTTGACAGCATGTTACTGTTCTGAATACTGGAGGCAGTTGCAACACAGTAATAAGTATTGATGTATCTAAACAGAAAAGGTACAATAAAAATATGGTATTATAATCTTATGGGACCACCATTGTATATGTGGCCTGTCAATGACCAAAATGTAGTTATGTGGCACATGACTGTGATTGTATTCTTTAGTCATTGGACAGTTTCTTTATGAGATTACATTTTAATGTTGTTGCTTATTAATAATTACTCTTTATAATACTGTTAAGAAACATTAACAGCAATCTTAAATAGTTGATAATTTCATTTAATAATAATAGGTGGATATGATTTTATTCCTTTGAAAGCCTGGCATTTGAATTTTCAAGAATTATTTAAGTATTCTCAGCTATGTTTTTAAGTTCTTTTTGGAAATTTGTAGTTTTTTTACACAAATAGGAAAATTCATACATTCTTTTATTGTTGATATATAAGGACTGTTTTTTAATGTCTTTCAGCCAATGGTAATGATAGTAAAAAATTTAAAGGAGAAGATAAAATGGATGGTGCTCCTTCTCGTGTACTTCATATTCGAAAATTACCTGGGGAAGTAACAGAAACTGAAGTTATTGCTTTAGGCTTACCTTTTGGTAAGGTGACCAACATCCTTATGCTGAAAGGAAAAAATCAGGTACACTTCTTTCAGGGTTTATGAAATGTTAAACCCCAAACTATCCAGCAGGTGTGAATTAATTGTAAAAGGGAGAAAATAGTAGGTTATTTTTCTTAAAGAACAGAAGTCTTATTCTCACTTTTTCGAGTAGATGTCTGTGGGAAACTAATGCTAGGTAGCCAAAGTGAGTGAATCACTATAGTTTTTAAACTTTGTCTTTTGAATTGACTTTAGGGCTCTAATTGAATAATTGTTATGAAATTGTGGAAAATACAAATGAAGTATTTCTTTTACTGTGGCTCTGTTCTTTGGTATCAGAAATCAGCAGGGGTACTAGTCGCATCTTTCCTTAAGCTTTATGAGAATATGAAATTTTATTTAAAAATGTTAAATGATACCATTTAGAAGAATTTATGAAATTTAACACTCCCTTTTATATACTTGAGGTTAATCTGACATTTAATTTGTAATTTTGTTCTTTGTCTCTATATAATTATACTGCTTTTAAAATGACTTGGAAATCTTACATTCTCTAGGGTAGAAGTGGTAAAATTCTGATGCTAGAAAATGTTTACATTTTCTCTAGCATTTGTTGCAAGAATAGATTTGTGGGTGTGAAAAATCATAGGTGGAAGGCAGAAGCAGCGTGTACTCGGTTTTCTTCTGAGGTTAGCTTTAACTGTATACCTAAACTTCAACAAGAGATTTCTAATTCTGCTTATCAGAACATTTAAAAGTAACCTGAAGGATTATATTCTAGATAATTGATTAAAATCATCTGAATAGATTGCTTAGATATTAATTTTATTTGAATTTATAGTATTAAAAATTGTGCTACTTAAATTTTCAGGCATTTTTGGAACTAGCAACCGAGGAAGCAGCTATTACTATGGTTAATTACTATTCTGCTGTGACACCTCATCTTCGTAACCAACCAATATATATCCAGTACTCGAATCACAAAGAACTAAAGACAGATAATACATTAAACCAAGTAAGTATGTGTAGGTACATAAATAAAATGGCCTAGAACATATTATGAATCTCATAAACATTAATAGGAAGGAAATGTTTACCTGTTCAGATGTTCCTTATAGGCATTTTCTTGTTATTTTTAAGGTATTTTCATGCAGAATGTTTCTAAGTATTAAATACTATGTCATTTTGAATTCCTTTAATCCCCTGGTCAAATGTTCTTTTTCTTGTTGCAAGTTAAAATTTTTGTGTAGAAACTTATCAGGTAGGATTTATTATTAGCATAAACTGTTTATACAACTCTCCTGCTTAGAATTTAAGGTAAGAAGTTCAGTGCCTTTGGTTATTTGATTTTTTTTATAGGTCTTAATTTCTTACGGAAAATTTTTTTTTGAAGATGTGTTAATGGTTTTCCTGGAAAAGAAATCTTAAGGATGAAGAATATGTGAATGTATTGATGTTTTAAAAATGTAATATAGAAGATATTGTTTAAAATTAATGTATTCAAAAATAGCATTAGAATGTTTTCCGACCTACATTATAAGACTGCTGTAATGATCTAAAACTTTAGCTGTTTTAATATAGTTTTAAAACTAATGATATCTTTCTCTGTCAGTAAAATACAAACTTTTTCTTAATAAAAATGTAATGGAAAACTGTTCCTCATAGATTTTTGTCACTTTACAAAGTGACAAAATCATTTTGTTAGTTTATGGAAAATAAGCTTGTAAAACTTTTTACCTAAAAGATAGGACTGAAATTTCAGCTTTTTTAATTTGATGATGAGTTTTTAATTTCTTTTGAAAAAGAATGTATGCTTCTAATAATTTATCAAGAGGAAGAATACCAAAAGAAAATATCTGCTCTTCTTTCTTTTTACTTAGATTTTTTTGCATTTTTAACTTATTTTTAACAAATAATTGTTTATACTTATGGTGTACAATGTGATGTTTTAATACATATATATTATGGAATGATCAAATCTGGCTGGTTAACATATTCATCTCTTCAGTACTTACAATTTCTTTATGGTAAGAACATTTAAAATTCCTTTAGCTATTTTGGAAGTATACAGTGGAATGTGGAAAAACTGTTTTTCCTCTGCTCACACCACAACAATCAACACAGAAGGCTTCTGTGGCCTCAAATGTGGGGGAATTTTTTTCCACGCCAAGCAAGCAGTCAGGTCTGCAGTGTTCTCCAACTTAGCTCAGTTTCAACACTGTCTGCCGGGAGATAGCATCAGATCCCACAGGTTGAGGGCTCAGTCCCACAAGATCTCCTGAGACACCAGCAAGTCAGGCCTCTGGAACTTCTGATTGACCAGCTTCAAGTTGGGGTTCCCACAACCCCCTTTTTGGATTTCATTAATTTGCTAGAGCAGCACACAGAACTCAAGGAAACATTTACTGAGATTTACTAGTTTATTATATAGGATATTAAAAAGGATAATAAGCCTCTAATCATGCCTTGATCTTTCAGGTGACCAGTCCCCATCTTAAAGTGGGGCTGCCAGCCATCAGTCAACTCATTAGCATACAAAATATATCATTTTGGAGATTTATTAGGAATTTAGAGTTGTATGCCAGGAAATGGGGTTGAGGACCAAATGTCTATTTTACAATGTCACAATACAGTATTATGCATTACAGTAGTTGCCATGCTGTGCGGTAGATCACCAGAACCTATTCTTCCTGTCTGAAACTTTGTACTTTGACCATCATCACCCCTTCCCTGTTCACTCCTCCCTCCCCCAGCCTCTGGTGACTATTTTTCTACTCTCTACTAATGTGAGTTCAGCTTTTTTAGATTACATATGTAAGTGAGATAATGTGTTATTTGTCTTTCTTTGTTTGACTTATTCACTTAGCACACACAGTGTCCTCTTAAAATGACATTTAATATCCCATTTCTAGTTCGTTATTATTTAAGTAATTTGCAAGTACATTCTCATTTTAAAAGATTAAACGAAAGGAACATGTAAAGAATAAAGCTGGGGGCTGGGCTTGGTGGCTTATACTGGTAATCCCAGCACTTTGGGAGGCTGAGGCGGGTGGATTACCTGAGGTCAGGAGTTCAAGACCCGCCTGACCAACATGGTGAAACCCTGAGTCTACTAAAAATACAAAAAAAAAAAAAAATTAGCCAGGCATGGTGCCAGGTGCCTGTAATCCCAGCTACTTGGAGGCTGAGGCAAGAGAGAATTGCTTGAACCCGGGGGGGTGGAGCTTGCGGTGATCCCAGATGCGTCACTGCACTCCAGCCTGGGTGACAGAGCGAGACTCTATCTCAAAAAAAAAAAAAAAAAAAAAAAGAGTAAAGCTGAGGCCTACACATGGATGGATGTGGAGGAGGGGCACTTAGGATGACTAGTGGAAGCCCCATTGAGAGGGGATATTTGAATAATGAACTTCAAAGTGGTTAGGGAATAAGCCACTTATTCCAGACAGAAGGAATAATCAATGCAAAGTTCCTTCTGTTGAAAAAAATGCTTTTATAATTTTATTTTTCATCTTCTAAAGCCCTTCAGTCTCCTTTGGTCATCTTTTTTTTGTAGTTGGTTATGCCTTAACAACAGTACTTTGAGGATACTAGTTACAGTATTTAAAAAATACGTCACTATATGCTGAGTTATTTTTTCAGTGTTAGCATTTATGTTTATCTTGTTCTCATTCTCTTCATCCCCCCTTTGTTGTCTTTTCGTGTTTCAGAATGGACAATTAGATTTTGTTAAAGTTGTATGCTTTCCTCTAGGATAAAGTAATGAAGAGCGTTTACTAAGCTGTTACCCCCATTCCCCCCAAATACCAAAGAGGCTCTTATTCTGGGTCAACAAAACTCCCTTTAGAATTTCTGGTACCAGGCTGTGCGTGGTGGCTCACACTTGTAATCCCAGCACTTTGGGAGGCTGAGGTGGGCGGATCACGAGGTCAGGAGATCGAGACCATGGTGAAACCCCGTCTGTACTAAAAATACGAAAATTAGCTGGGCGTGGTGGCGGGCGCCTGTAGTCCCAGCTACTCGGGAGGCTGAGGCAGGAGAATGGTGCAGACCCAGGAGGCGGAGCTTGCAGTGAGCCGAGATCGCGCCACTGCACTTCAGCCTGGGCGACAGAGCGAGACTCTGTCTCAAAAAAAAAAAAAAAAAAGAATTCCTGGTACCAGCAGGGCACTTTGGCTCATGCCTGTAATCCCAGCACTTTGAGAAGCTGAGGTAAATTCAGGGCAGCAGTGAACTGGTCACACCACTGCACTCCAGCCTCAGCAACAAAGCAAGACACAGTCTCTTAAAAAAAAAAAAAGGAAGAAATTCTGGTTCCTTTAAGGGAGATTTGTTGTTGTTTTCTTCTTTTAATGGTGAGGGTACAAGTTGGTCACAGGAGGGAGAAGAGAAATTTAGCTCTTTTGTTAATGAACTAGACTTTCTGTTCGTCTGTTTTTCACCCACTCCCTCCTCCTGTGAACCTGCCAATTTCTGATTTGGTTCCTGTGGCTGCTACCAGTATAACACCTGTTTGCTGTGTGTTCACTGTGTCTCCAGTCCATTTGGTTCCATTCATTTTCTGTGTTCCAGGAATTTGATAAAATTATTCTCAGCTAATGATAACCTTCCCTCCCTTCAGTGTTTGTTTATTTTATATTCATTCACTTCTAGGCATTTTAATAGAGTTTCATAATAGAAGACATGCAAATGAGTATGCATTAACCATGAATTCTTTCACATCCGTTCATGAAATCACCAGGTCCTATTAGTTCACACTTTTTAATTATCTGCCTGGTTTTCTCCATCTTTCCTGCTACTTGTATTGCTCAAACACACTCACCTGTTGGCTATATTACTACGACAGTTCTCTTTATAAACTACTTTCTTTTTCTTTTCCCTTCTGGAATTTTTTTCTCGCTAGTACAGCCAGTACGTATCTTTCTCAAATGCACATATCTAAGTTACTCCCATGCAGTAGGTCCTGTTCATGCTCAGGCTAAAGGCCCTTTCTGAGCTTACTACTTTTTGTCTTGTCTTATGACTACTCCCACCCTATTTGCTTATGCTTCTGTCCCAAAAGTAATGGTGCATCCTGTAACCTGGCATGTTTTCTCTTGATGTCAGTCGTTTGCTGCCATTATGTCACTGCTCTCATGCATGGAATATTGTGGGTTGGCCTGCCTTTTGCACCACCCTTCCTCCACCTCACACTTCACATGGCCAGTGTTAAATATCTTGAGGTCTCCCTTTAGCTATTTCTTCTCCTAAAAGCTATCCCCTGATAAGCAAAGAGTAGATTAGGTTTGGATTGAGAGTGTTAACTCCGAATGAGATACTGCTATGCACATAACCAGAGTGGCTAAAATTAAAAGGATAGGTAATAAAATACTGGTGACAACCATTTTTGAAAACTCGAAATATCTACTAAAGTTGAGCATATAGCTATTCTTTGATGTAGTAAACTCGCTCCTAGTTAACATACCTGAGAACATGTACATAGGTATGTTAAAAGATATGTACAAGAAAGTTCATGGAACACTGTATGTAATAGCCCAAAAAACTATAAATCATCCAAATGTTCAACAGCAGCAGAATATGTTGTGTTGTATTCATTTAGTGGAATATTGTATAGTAATAAAAATGAACAAGCTACTGCTGCCTGCAAAACATGGGTAGTGTACATCATAATTATTGGAAGAAGCCAAACCAAAGTAGAATACATCTGATATGATTCCATTTATGTAACTTGGAGGAAGCGTGAGTATGGCTTCTAGAGTGTTGATAATATACTGTTTTTTATCTGGGTAATTATTTCACAGAGATGTCCAATTTGTGGTATTTTATGGAGCTTTATACTTAGGTTTTGTGTCCTTTTGTGTGTGTGTGTAATATTTTGATAAGAAGTTTTATTAAAATCTAGGTTTGCAAGCCAACACTGCTCCATGAATTATAAGAAAAAATATATGAAGTCATTAAAAATGAAATCATAAAGAAATGTATGAAGTAATTTGTTACTGATGTGAGAGAACATGATTGTTAAGCCATAAAAGGAAGATAGAGAACAATGAATAGTATTAAATAAAAGTATGAATAGTATTGAATAAAAATATGAATAGTATTGAAAAAAATACAGACTAAGTATAATATTTATATATATATGCTTGTAGATGTAGCTAGTATCTCTGGAAGGATATCGAAGATAATACTGTGAGGGGTTGGTAGGGGAAAATAGACTGGGTGACAGAGTTGCAGGGGAATTTTTAATCTTTAATACCACTTTTATACCATGATCATGGATTCCTATTTTAGAAAACATTTTATTATTTGAAGCAGATGTTAGTGTTTTTCTAAGTTGTGGTAGTCTATGCTTGTTATTATAGATAAATACAGTAAGAACATGTTCACTAATGAAGAAGATAATATTGCAATGAGCTACTTAAAATATTTAAATACATTTAAACATTTGAATAGATACTGCTCTATAAAACTAATTTTACCAATTTACAATTATTTTTTCAATAATAGTATCAAGATGTCTACTAAAATAATCTATCACATTTCAAAATGTTGAGTTTTAATTAGTAAGTCATTTTGACTAATACATAAATTTATAGATAAAATTAAGTAGCATTTAAATGATTGTTTAGATATATATCTGGACTCTCAAGCCGTGTGATCTGTGGTTATATAATATTTTAGTAAAATGACTTTTCTTGTTTATTCTCCTGAGTGTCCTAATTCTTTTGTATTCTCTTTCATTAACCTGTTGATATAGATTTTTCAAACTGTAAACCTATGTATAGGTATTTGTGGTATTTGTCATTGTTATATTTTAGAACTATTTGCCTTTGTATGTTTTTTGACCACAGATAAGGTAGAAAGAAATTATTTCCTTATCATAGACTGTCATCATAATAACAGGAAAGGGATAATAGTAATAAAGGCAGTCTTTTGGAGCATTTAACATAATATTTGATTGACAGATTTCCTACAAATACTGTGTTTATTCAATTTTATGGGTATATTTTTTCGCATTTTAAAATCTCAGAAATTTGATGTGTCCTGCAATAGTCTATCTTCCATAGTTCAATTGGCAACATCTTATTAGTCATACATAAAACAATAGTGCATTTTATAATTAATGGTGTATTTGATACCATAAAATGTATGGGAAATATTCTTCATATTATATCTTGAAGTTTACCTGAGAATTTTGTGGTTTTGGACTAGACTACACGTTGGTTTCTATTCTAAAAATTTTGGTGTCAGAAGTTAAGTGTAGTATGAAAAATGTATTTTCTGAATGTTCCTATTTTAAGATTGTATTAGAAATAATAAGCTTTATGGGAGTTCTTTTGGATAATTCAGTAACCCCCTTGTTGAGATTTACAACGTACCTGTTTTATGGAGTGATTAATGTTAAAGTTGTATTCTCTAAATTTCTGTTTAAAACATTTTCTGATGGTACATGTATTTATAAAACTACATCTTGTTCTTTTGAGAATAAATTACATATCATACCTTTGCATGTTCAACATTGATCCCAAAGCCTGGATAATTTTTTTGAATGAAATACTAGTAGAATATTTGATTTATTAAACAGGTAGTACCTGGCTCATGGCAGGTGCTTAAAAATATCTGTTGAGGGGCCATTTAATTTTGTTTAATCTGTGTAAGTTCTAGGAACAAAGTGAACTAGTAGTGTAACAGGTTGCAAAGTATGTGACAATAATGGGTATGTTTCTAAACTACATAATCTTAATTTCCAGCGTGCTCAGGCAGTTCTTCAAGCTGTGACAGCTGTCCAGACAGCAAATACTCCTCTTAGTGGCACCACAGTTAGCGAGAGTGCAGTGACTCCAGCCCAGAGTCCAGTACTTAGAATAATTATTGACAACATGTACTACCCTGTAACACTTGATGTTCTTCACCAAGTAAGTTTAATCTGCATAATTACCTATAAATTAGAGAAATAATAATATAGTAAATAAGTAATGTTTTGATTTTAATGTTTTAACAGATATTTTCTAAGTTTGGTGCTGTATTGAAGATAATCACATTTACAAAAAATAACCAGTTTCAAGCTTTGCTCCAGTATGGTGATCCAGTAAATGCTCAACAAGCAAAACTAGTAAGTCTTTCTTTTGAGATGGTGATTTTTTTTTATTGAAATGTATATGTAGAAAAATATATATATATGTATGTATACTTAATGATATCTTGTAGCATTACAGATAGTAGAAATTGATGGCATTAATATTAAGAAACCTTAATATTTGTCATAAAAGAAATATTTATTTTTAGGAAAATCATAGTTGTAGTTAACCATGATGTGGGTTTCTATTATTTTACTTTTTTTTTTTTTTTTTAATTTAAGGACAAAAGTTTGTACTCTTAAGAAAAAAGCAGGACTATATTGTGAATGTGCACCAGCATAAGATTTGAAGTGGCTTTTGCTGGGAATTTCAAAGTAATTAGTTTTCAAAAGAGTTTGGCTGAAATATACAGATGTGGCTCAAATGCTATGATAGGCTCTCAGTTTATTTAAAACTATATATTCTCTTTAATGTCTTTTTTTTAAAGGTTTTATGAATAGGTTTCTAGTCACTTTTTATTCATATCATTTATCTTTTTTGTCATTGTTACATATGGAGGATGTAAGGTCATTGAGAGATGTAAAATTTCCCATCAAGGCTGCCACTGAAAACTGCGCACCACATCTTTGCTTCCAAGTACCTTAATCTTCTGTTTGTATATCTTAAATCTACTTTTGCTCTGTCTCTTTAACTTTTTGTGCCATAGTATCTCATTATTATTACTATTCCATTATTAAGCCATTAAAAATTCATTATTAAGCCATTATTATGAAACCATTTAATAAGCTTACATTTATCTTAACTGGTTTTCTTCCTTTCATTCATTCTTTTACTTTCAGATTAATTATTGTCTCTAATACTTAAATGCTTCCTCCAGATCAAGATTACTTCTGTGGAGCCCAGACCATTTTTTACAATTGTTTCATTGCATTTCCATCCACACAACCTCATTTTGGGAGCAAAATTAGTTGTAGGTAGCAGAAAGGCTATACAAGTAATAATAGCATAATTGTAATAGTTTACCAAGTGCCGTAGTCTCATTTTTTCTGACCACTACTCTATATTGTCAACAAAACAGGGTTTTCCCCTGCGTTACAAGAGGATGCTAAGATTTAAAGAGGTGAATTACTTACAGTGAACACCACCTATAAGGTAGACATTTTTTCAGTCTTAGCCTTTCTCTCCAGTATGCTGCTTCTCACTGGTTCTCGGGTATAATCTAATCTTACTGTGCTTTCCGCTTCAGGCATAGGTTAATAATTAGAATTCTTTTTTTTTGTCCAAAAAATGATTATCCTCCTTTCACATGCCCTGGCTACCAAAATCAATGTGGTATGAGGTTTTATGAATAGGAGACAATCTAGAAGTCATGGTTTCTGTGACATTTTTCACAACTTCAAACGTTTAAATATAGTCTACATTTTTCTTGGTGTGGAATATTTTCCTTGCTCTTCTGACCCCAAAGAAAAGTATTTGTTAGAGGACCAATTAAATGAAATTTGAGTGGGGATTATACTGTGTTTGAGCTATAATTCTTAAGGGGAAAATTGTTTATATGTGTATCTTGTCTGAAGTAATACATAGTTACATTAAATCTCATAAAAGTACCTCAATTGTGTCAACTGTTTGACATTTTTGTTTAATCTTCTGTGAACAGATACTAAGCATCCAACTATGATATTGATGTTTGTGCACAGGTATGCACTCAGGTCTTCTTGACAAAGATCTAAAGTTATAATTCTAAGAGAGTAGATAATTGTTTTACTAAGTACTTATTCTGGTATCAGAACTCACACTTCACTTATTACAGAAGGAAAAAGAAATTTGTTTCCTAAACTTGCTTTGCCCCATTACCTTGTAATCTAGACCCTTTGGTAAAATTTGCATTTTTGATAACTACAGTAATGTTCATTTTACTTGCCTGCATCTGGGCTCTACTTAGAGAATATCACATAATATTACATAATCTGACAATTGGTACCAGTTTAAATCCATCAACGTCAACTACAAGTAAGCCCTCTACTCTACTTTAAAAATCTCTTCCCATTTCTTCAGTCAACAGTTTTTCTGTTTTTCACAATGCCTATGTCAGATAGAAATTTTCCCTTCTACCATATCTCTCCTCACTCTCACTTGCTTGAAGAGGAAAATCACATGGAAGCTTCATCAGCTTTTCTTGCAAAATCTGCTAATACTCACACTTGTCTTTCTCTTTTAATAAAAGGCATAGATGTTTAGTTATCTAAGACCAATAAACACCAAAGCCTATCGTCTTCTGCCTGTCAAGAGACTGCACTATCTGTCATCCCCTTTCTCATTTATTTCTCTCTATATTGGCCACTTTTCACCAGTTTCAAGCATTCTCAGCTTCTTTCATTTTAAATGAATTTACCTTCAACTTTCAATCCATCCATCTATAACTCTACGTACTTTCTATCACCCTGCCTCCCCTCTCCCTTTTCACTCATAACCAGACTTCTTAAATAGTCTATCTTTGTTGTTTATTATCTCATTTCTCTACTTACTATTATTTGGTTTTAGCACTGTTGACCCAAATTGCTCTTCCTCAGCGTCACCAGCGATTAGTAGAGTAGCTAAATGCTAGTGATATGATTTAGTCCTTGTCTTACTTAATACCTAGATAATATTTGGCACTGTGCACCATTGTCTTAAAATTCTCTTTCTTCCTGGTCTCTGATACTTCTCACCTGGATTTATCCTACCTCTCTATTTCTTCCTTGTCTTGTAACTCCCCTTCTACCTGGGAGGCCTCACCTGCTGTCACAGCTCCATTAAACCTCTTATGATTCAGACAGAGTTCACATCACATTTTCTAGCTCAGACCTCTCCTAAGAGACCCACACTAAGAACCTGGCGGACTAATGAATATCTTCAAACAGTGTGTTCAATCTAGCTCCTGTTTTTGGTGTCCGCTGTGTTAGGAAAGTGCAAGATACCAACTTCAGTCTCATTAACAAGCCAGTAAACATGGTATTTTTCCCTTTCCTTCCAACCTGTCATCAGATATTATTGATTATACCTCCTAAATTTTTGTTGAATCTGGCCTTTTTTCTCCAACTCTTGCTACCATTGCAGTCTAAGCCAGTGTTATTCAAGATGCTGGTCTCTCAAGGTAGTAGTGTGTGTCAAACTGAAATCAGCATACTTCTAGCAACAGTATGCTTAATGTCAATATTGGCATAAATTTTGACACAGACTTCTTATATTCATGCAGAGTAGCCTGGGCTTCTGGACCGTCAATCATAATTTAAGTAGCATTGATGTAGTAATAATTCTCTTTCATATCTCCACTTCCTTGGCCTTCTGACTGAACTCACCATTTTGACATCTTCCCCTACCTCCATTATTTTTCCACAGAGTACTAGGAATCATCTCAACGTCAAGTCATATTGCTTCTAATCACAATACCCTTTAGTGACTTTTTTGTCCTTGCAATAAAGTCCACAGTCCTTATCATGGCTTATAAGACTCTAAATCAGTCCTCAGCTTGCCTCTCCATTCTCCTCTCATGCCTTTTTAGCTATATTGGACTTCTTTAAATAGCTTGCATATACTGTATTTTCTCTGATGTCTCGATCTTACAGATTGCTGTTCCATTTGCTAATACTATTTTTTCTCTTCATCTCTTTATGCCCAACTTCTGCTTCTCTTTGTCTTTCAAGTATCAGTTTAGAAGCCTCTTCCTGAGATAAGTCTTCTGTAACATTTCAACTAGATTAGATCCCTTCCTTTCTTAGTTCTCAGTATCACACATAAAATTTATAATTTGTTAAATGTGTATATTTTCTGTCGGACTGTAAGTTCTGAGTACCATGTCTGCTTTGCTTTCTGCTGTATTTATTAAACATTGACATTCAGGGTGAAAATCAGAAGTCATAGTAACAATCTTAATTATCAATAAAAAGTATTTTATGCGATCCTCATATTTATTAAAGAAAACACCTTAATACCTTTCAGAAAATCTTGTTTATTTATTGGAAAGTAGTGTATTAGGCAAAGATGCGTCTTCTCTTGGCTTTCTAATTCAGCTTTTATAATGTTGAGGAATATAATTACTTGATGCATAAAAATATCAATCTTTTTAATAGTATAATAAGACATATAATGTAATCTCCTTTTCACCTGGGATTTAAAAATTGTTTTTACATAGTCCTTACATTATAACACACATAAGTAGGAAATGGTTCTTTTTGGTTTTTGTTATTAGAAACAGCTTTTCAGAAACATGTCTTTATTAGGAATATCTTTAGTTGACACTGGACAGTATATTGTGTCTTCTGGAAGTCCTGTTTATATGATCATTTTATTTTAACATATAAGTGGGTTGTTTCTTATTCTTTATTTCTTCCAGGAGATTCCATTTCATCACTAACTGATAATAAAAATAAATATGAGATAAAACATTTGCAGCAGTAAGATTATGTCATTCATTTCCTTCTCACAGAGTACACATTGCTTTATGCAGATTCTTTGAGAGACCTAATGGAATTATCCTTTGCTAATTTCTTGGGCAAAGATTCTCCTTGACATCTGCTTAATTTACAATCTGTATATTTTACATTCATATTAATGGAGAATTTATGATGAAATCAGTGGTTTTAGGATGCTTTAGGAAAATCCTGCATAATCTACCAGGGTGGGGTTATTTGATATTGGTAAATAATTAGTCTGAAGTATTACATTAGTATTATAAGCTTAATTTTGTGTTGTTGATTTTGATAATTTTTCATGACTTGCCAAATATTAAAAAGTAGATATTTAAAGAATTTGGAAGTTAAGGTTTCTCTCAGTGTGTGTTAAATCTGATCCCCAACAATCTCTTCAAAAAAGTAAGTTATCAATAGTAAACGATGAGAAAAATGGAAATAGTTTTATTTTGGCTTTTCATGTTTTCAGTCCATATGCAGTGTTTCATTGTGCTGCTTTAATTATGCTTTCTGTGCCTAATATCTTTCCTGTGTTTTGATTTCCATGTTTTAGCCATAAACTTTAAATTTACATGAAAACTTTTTTTTCTGATTGTTTTTGCTTACTGTCTAAACCTTCACTGTGAGTAGGCACATTTGGAAGGTCTTTCTGCAAATTATCTTGAGCTTTTAATGTCAGAAATCTTTGCTCCAACAAGATCACCACATTCCTGATTGCTGAACCACAGGACTGGTTTGTGTGCTACTGCTATTTCTTGGGATTTTGCAAATACATGAGCTTGAAGTGAGCTTGCATATATTTTTTAAATTTGATTTTACTCCCTTTCTTATTTGTGGTCACCTCCTTTAACCAACTATTTAAAATACCTGGATTTTTGCTCTCATACACCCTCAGCTCCTATTTCTTTCCTCTTTTGCCAACAGATGATTAATTTACATCTTGTTTGCTTATTTCTCTAGCTCTTGTACCTTAGGTATACTTCTGCATCTTCCACCTACATAAAGTTTTTGTTTTTGTTTTTAATGTTCAGAGGGAAAATTTCAAAGGGTCCTGGAGGGCTTTCTAACAATTGGCATATTCATTGTTAGATAATTTGGCAGTCGGACCTCAGTATTGCTGGGAAAGAATTCAACTCCTAAAAAACTTAGTGTGTGTTTAGTAATTTTGTATCAGCACTTTTAGCATTAACCTAGATACTGTGACTCAAACCCAGCTCTTTTCTCATAAGGTATCATTTTCTCTTTGATAACATTGAAGTAGTCACCTAAGAGTGAATTTTGCTACTTATCTTTTGATATTTATCTATTGTGTAGAAACATCAGTTCTATTACTTATCTCACATTTTCCCTATAGGAATGCTACATTAGTAAATGAATACCTATCTTCAGTGCTTTCTTCACCTTTACACCAGGGTATTCAATTAATAGTTATGTTATTCTGGCTGATAAAGTTGATTGATACATGGCTTCCACTTTTATGTGATGATAGGTACCTTGCCTAACCCAAATGTAATTCAAATCCTGATGTGTATGAACTCTCTTTCAGTTTTTACCAGTGCTGTATTGAAGTGGATGAATCTGTGTTGAATTATTTTCTAGGTTAGTTTTTAGGTAGGTAGATTAGTCCATAAAAAAATTCGTATATTAAGAGAAAAGGTTTTATATTCCCAGAGGTGAGAATATTTGAATTAAAAGCTTTATATACTTAAGCAACTGTAGAGGTTTACTTTTTCCATAACACGACATGTTTATTCTTCTAATGAAAAGTTAACAGTATGTTCACCTGTTCTCTAGTTTGTTTCCAGCTTATATCCAGCTGAACTAGAAATGGTGATTATATAGGAGCAGAAAAAGTACAAGATAATCATAGCGGTAACATAGTCCTTTATAATTCATGATGTATTTTCACATATGTTGTCTTTAATTTACTCCTCTTAATAACCCTTGAAGAAGCATGACAGCCATTGTCATCATTCCTGTTTTCCCGATTAAGAAATTGAGATTCAGAGAGGTCAAATAACTTGCTTAAGATGACCGAAAAGAGTCTAGGCTTTTAATTAATCCTAGACCTGGCACTCGTCAGTTTCAGAACTTTTCGGGAATGACATTGGATTTGCTAATTTCATCAAGATAATCTGATTGGGGGTGAACATTTCAGGTTAAGGAAAATACTAGTTTTTTTCTTTTTTGCCTCATTTTATGGGAATTGCTATTATGTGTTAGGATAATTTGGTTTGAAGCAACTTTGTACAATGTGGCATCAAATAGCAGTTACCTTCTAAAACTGTACTGAATCATATAAGTACTGCCATCCAGCAATAAATATATGTATAATAAAATTAACCTTATTGAGCAGAGTAGTGTGGTACTACTTTGGTAGGACTTCCTGTTTGTGATCCTTATTAGTTTTTTTAAAACTAACCTATTTGCAATTTTTAAAAATTAAAAGTATTAGCATGGATGCTTAGCTGGTTGTATTTTAGGTTGAAGTAGCATTTTCTATTTAAGGAAGATAATATTTGGGGGAAAGTAATACATGGACAGCTGGAACAGCAAAATTTGATATATGAAATTTGAATCCTTTTCCTGGTAGCTTTTAAGTTCGAGTTTTTGTTGTTGAGTTTTATTACTAAAATTATACTTTCACTAATTTTTATTTTTTGTTTAAGATTGCTGATATGCTTTATTCACTTTTACAGGCCCTAGATGGTCAGAATATTTATAATGCCTGCTGTACCCTAAGGATTGATTTTTCCAAACTTGTGAATTTGAATGTAAAATACAACAATGATAAAAGTAGGGATTATACTCGACCTGATCTTCCATCTGGGGATGGACAACCTGCATTGGACCCAGCTATTGCTGCAGCATTTGCCAAGGAGACATCCCTCTTAGGTATGATTTTTATTGTCTTAACCACTTTTCTCCCATTTTGCCAAATGGAAAAGTACCAGTAAGTATAATGAATCCCCCCATTTTGGACCTTACCAAATTGTGTTAGGTTTCGTGAGTTTTCTTTTTCTCAAGTGAGAAGGCATATGAATACTGTTAAGAAAAACCCAAAGTATTCTTTATAAGTCTAATTAAAATTATATGTTAGTTTTGTTCCTTTTAATACCTTCAGCTTCTCTTCCATGCCACTCTCCCAGAACAAAAGAAGAAAAGCTCTAATGAAGAAATACTGTTGAATTCTTAATGCCATATTTACACTTTAAACTTGATGTCACTATGCCTGAGTCTAGGCCTAAAGTTCTTGTGTGTGTTTTTCAGTGCTGATCTGATTGTTTTAATTTAGCATTGCATGGAAACAGTGAAATGTTAAGAGACAAAACATACATAATGGGTGGAGGCATATGGGATTTTTTTTGAAGCATATTGTAGTGGCCTTTTAAAAAAACAATTTAAACTAGAAGAAATTTTCTGTAAAATTAATTTTGCTATTTCTTTGCATTTTGTCTTAATCATTTATATTTTACTTTGTACCACAATGGACTTGAGCCACCTAATAAAAATACAGTGCAAACATATGCAACTTATAGTTGATAGCGTGGAATCAAGATGAAGAAAAAAATAAGGAAAATCTTACTTTGTAAGTAAAATGTGCAAAGTGATTTATAAGTTAAGATGGAATTTTAGAGTTTCCTTTTATTTGATGTATTTCTTGATTTCTAGTATTGGTAAGATTATCTTTAAGTCATGATTTTTATATATATGGAACTCAAAATTGATAGTTGACAAACTAGCTTTTACAATTTAGTTTATGTCTGTCATTTCAAAAGAAAAAATAGTATAATTAAGTAGTTATTGGAAATATTTACTTCCCAATATATAACAGTCATGCCATCAGTTTGTGAATATGAAATCTGTAAGTGGTATATATGTAGAGAGAGATACTCTAAGGCAGTTGGTATTTGATTCTGGTAACTAATAAGAATTAACTACCTGTTAATTCTGGCAGCTGCAAACAAATCTGACCCTTTATTCGAATTTTCTGGTGTATCCTAGCAGAAGTCATAGTGTTTATTATGACTGTAGTAGATGCTTTAGGTCACTTACACTCTTTCCTGACAGAATCTCTACTACCTCTGTGTGTGTCTAGCTTAATTCGTAATTCAAGTTAATAAGATTGAATATTTCACAGTGTGCAGTTTTTAAAGGCAAAGTCAGGAATGAAAGAGTGAAACATGGTTTTTGCTTATAATTATTACTATAGATTATTAAACTCTTTACTGATAGACATTGTTTTAGAAAGAATCAAAATTTATTGAGTAGCTTCTAGGTCATATTCATTCAGCTAGGCACTTGGCAGATACATTACTTTGTTAAAATAGATGGTCTCATCAAGATTTTACATATAGTTTCTAAGAAGTTGAAAAATTCACATGCAACTCATCAAAGAAACAATTTAAAGATAAAATACCAAGAAACTCCAGCTAAAGATAAAATACCAAGAAACTCCAGCTAGTATTAACAATGGACTACAATAATCACTTCTTTGGACCCTACTGAGGTGTGTGTATTTGCCCATCTGGATATACTTAGATGTGCTTGGATCCTGGGTGGGAGGCTTGGTTAGAAGTCACGTGGATTCTTCTAGGGAATTTATCACCATTTTTCTTGTGATCTTATGACCTTGCTGAAACTTTTAAAACAATAATAAAGTCATTTTTTTTCTCTTTGAGATGGAATCTCACTCTGTCGCCCGTGTCAGAGTGTGGTGGCGCAGTCTCGGCTCACTGCAACTTCCGCCTCCCGGGTTCAAGCGATTCTCCCGCCTCAGCCTCCTGAGCATCTGGGACTACAGGCGTGTACCACCACCCCTGGCTAACTTTTGTCTTTTTTCGTAGAGATGAGATTTCACCATGTTGGCCAGGCTGGTCTGGAACTCCTGATCTCAGGTGATCTGCCCGCCTCAGCCTCCCAAAGTGCTGAGATTACAGGTGTGAGCCACCATGCCTGGCCGCTTTTGTTCATTTTTTGAGCGTTGTACATTTTTACATTAAAGGCGTGTAAATTAAGTTGCTCGCTTTGCCAAAAAATTGTCTAGTGTCTTTTTCCACTTCTGTGTTGAATTTTTTAGTATAACGCATTTTTGTTTCTTCATCTCTGCCTCATAAGAAAAAGGAAAAAGTGTTTAGCCTTTCCTAAGTGACTTCTTTTTTTTATCTGTTTTAATGTTTTTGCATCTTGTTATAACTGGGCTTTTTAACTATACTCAAAAATAGGTTAAAAGTAGGTGAGTTAAAGGTTTTAAAAATCAGATAATGGACCCTGGTTTTGATAATTCACAAGAGATAACCATTTATTTTCATATTTTTTATGTAAATACATGTTTCTGTACAAAATTAAAATTGCTCTGTATTTGCAGATTTGCATTATCTTTTATTGTAATTGACATTTTACTTAGAATTTGTTTTAAAAGATAGCTTTAATACCTGCGTAGCATGTTCATGGGTATGCCATACCTTTGAAAGTGGACATGTAGGCTATTCCATACTTTTTATTAAAACACCCTTGTACTTTTTTGCCTCTCAAATTATTTTCTTAGACTAGATTCCTAGAATTAGAATTATTGGGTCAAAGAAAATGTTAAAGCCTGTTTACTTTATTTGCAAATTTCTTCATCTAAAGGTGATATTAACTTAAACTAACATTAATTATATATGAGGCTGGGTGTCCTACTTTTTCCCCTGCCAGCATACTATTTTTTAATTTCACAAGATTAATTTGATAGGCAAATGCCTATTTTAATTTCTGTTAAGATTTAGTTTACAATCTTTAAATGTTTATTTGATAGTCACAATTTGCTAAATTGCTTGCCTGCATTCTTTCTGTTAGGATGTACGGTAATTCTTATAAAATGCATAGTAAGGATATTAATATGCATATTTTGGATGAGCCAAGCCTTCAGCTTTATTCACTTATGTTAGGTCAGTTTTTGGAAAAGTATTTTTCAATAATCTCTCTTTTTAAATAATTGATCTCAATCCCAAAGTATTCATTTGTAGGACATGAAGACACAATTTTCTTCTTCATACGTTTGGTGAATATTTTGATCTCAGTTTCCACTTCTCTTTTTGCTTTTTAAACATTGTTTATGGTGATATCCAATATTGCATGAGTGAGGTCATGCCTTTTAGAATAATAACTGAATCTTTTCTTCTAATTATTTAATCAGATGACTTCAGCAAACTAATATTGGTGGGATTAACTTCCTGCTCAGTCTTCCAGTAACAGTACTTGTTCAAAATGAAATAATTGATAGAGTATTTATTTCAAAAATTTTTAAGAACACAAATATAAGGTGATACTCTTTTGCTAAAATTTGTGGGGGGCTTCACTTTACCTTGTATGATTTTTATATTAGATCTAGCTACTTGACTGAATTTAATTACTTTAGAATCAGTACTATAAATTTTAATTGATTTATTTTACACAGTAATTTTTTAAGACTAACATTTATGTCTGGCTTTTCTGTTTCCTTTAATGCTAGGTATCACAGTGTCTCAGAAAATGTAATTTGTTCAAAGAAAGGAGACTGAGTGCTTTGTAATGAGTTTAAAATCTGACATCTAAAATACATAATCACAAATGTGGCCGACTATTAGTCATTCACATATTCTGTTTCAAAGAACACAGTGATCAAAAATCCTTCAGATTATAAATTGAGACATCATTATAATGGATCATTTTATCATGTTAAGAGGTGTAGTTAATTTATTAAGGGGTAGATCACTTTTAGAAAAATTGCTGGAAGTAATTTTTCATGATCATGTTATCTACATTCTAAAAATTAGGAGAGAGACTGTGTACAAAGAGTGTTTATTTTAGAGCTTTCCTTGTATTTCAAATTGAATAACAGGCATTCTCATCATAAAGTTTTTAAAAGAAAGGCAAAGCAGACTTTCTGTAGGAAATCATTGACGTTAAAATAGTTATAATTGTGAACAGATACAACATTTATTCATGAAGGTAAACATGTAGGTCTTATAGAATATTGTTTCTCAAAATTTTGCTGCACGTTGAAGTCACCAGATTCTACCCCAGGCTGAGAATAGTTAAAGAGTGGGTCACAGGCATTCCTATGTTTTTAGGATCTCAAGATGGTTTTACTATGTAGCAAGAGTTGAGAATTACTGCTACAGAAAAGAGCTTGTAACTTAATGTCATTTAAATCTATTTTGGTACAGTTCTCCTGGCACAATTTTAATTAGCTGTTAAACTGAATTTATAATTTTCTATATGTTTGTGATACATAAAATTAACTGGAAAACTTTGATTTTCTTTCTTTGTTACATTTGTATGGGTTATTCATTTGGTAATATTTATTAATTTATTATTAGAGATTTCAGCTATTTGCTAATATAATGAATCCCATACACCTGTCATCTTGGTTCAATAGCGCTGACACTTAGTTTTATCTATTCAGTTTTTCTTTTGTGTTCTAAAGCAAATCCTTGACATTGTGACATGTCTTCTCAAATATTACCATAGTATCTCTAAAATAATTACATTTTCTTACCAAACCATAATATGATTATTACACTTACCAGAATTGACAATGATTTCTTAATGTCCTCAAATACCCAGCTTACATTAAAATTTCCCCAATTATTTTGAAAATGCTTTTAAAGTTTGATTTGTTCAGAACAAGGTCCTATGGAGGGCCGCACATAGTATTTGGTTGTTACATCTCATTAGTCTGTTTCAGTCTGTAATAGTCCTCTCCCTCTCTCTACTCCCAATCTCTCATTCATTTACTTATGAAGTGATGTTTCCTTTTAGAAAGTTTCACAGATTAGACTAGTCTGGCTGTTTCTTTAGAGTGTCATGTTAACTTGTTCCTCTATCTGCTGTGTTTCTTATATAAACTTAAAGTTAGTTCCAAAGGCTTGATAAGATTTAGAGCCTTTTTTTTTTTTGAAGTGTTTCTTGTGCTTCCTATTGTGTCTCAGTAGGAGACATCTAATATCTGGTTGCCCCACTTTTAGTGATTTTAATGATGCTTTAAGACTGATTGTGGATTTGGGTGTTGACATTCTGATCCTTTCGTTACTTTTTTTTCTACTAATGATTTTAGTATCCAATAATGGTTGCTGCCTTAATTAATTTCACTAGTGGGTTGCAAATATTGCTTTTTCTCCCCTAATTCACATATTCCTTCTCTACATTAATTAGCTGAAAATCTTTATAAAGTAGAATTTTCCTTCATCAACTAGAATTATCAACCTTGTAATTCAATTTGTGCAGGACAATTAGTTAAATTCTTGCATTTGTTTGCTAATTTTAAGTTGGTGCCCAGCTTTTGTTTTCAGGTAAGTACTTAAACCAGCTTATGAACAGGTACAGTATAGATTCTTCCCACTGTCTGCTTTAAACTTTTGAAACTGTCAGTTGTTTGCAGGTTCTGGTAGCCCAGAGTGGTTTGAAATGGTGACCTTAGCCCAGAAGTATGTAATTATTTAATTTGGCCTTGACCAGTGGCCCAAAAAAGGAAGGGGGTGGGGTGGATAAAGGACTAAACAAAATTAATTAAAATTTAGAAATTTTTCTCTCAGAAGGAATTCATGCCCATAAAACAAAGACCAGGATACATTCGTATTTTATCGGTAAATACCAATAGATTATAAATCACTTTTCTCGTATACATAATTGTGAAAAAAAAAAACCATCCAGGTATGCATGTTATTTATTCATTGAGAGGATATACATCTCTCAGGTGTTTTTTGTCGTATGTGTACTTTTGTGTAGTCTGCCTGTTTATTCTTTTTGAATAGGATGATATGTACAATTAAAAAAAATCTTTTGTGAAATGTGGTTTTCTTAAATACATTATTGCATTTCATACACAGTGATGAAGGGAAAAACTACAAAGCTAGACAGATTGCAAATTAGTATTGCAGTAGTGAGGTAATAGAGCAATACCCAAATGTTTTCTTAAAATATATGTAGGTGATGCCTGTGTTCTTTACTTTTGTGTGTGTGTATGTGTTTTTAAACAAGATTCATTGTAGTCTTTTAGATATAATTTAATAAATTTAGGCTGTTCAGGGTTTCAGTATCCTACAAAGAAGAACGCTGCTTCTAAGTTTTTGGGTTTCTTGAACCAGAGCTTAGAAAGAACAAAAATATGGCATGGTATTTTCATGGTTTAGTAAGGCTACTTTTAGTTAATTATTGTGATGTAGGCCATTAAGTAGACTTTTCTAAAACGAAACCCCAGAGGAGAGGGGTTTTGAAGATACATATATACTGGTTTCTAAGAACTAATCTTTTTGGATCATTGGTATTGGTAGAAGGGATTCGCTATGTTTTCTGCCACCATTGGATCTCTGTATAAAGTTTGGCTCCACTATCAAAATGCTTAGATAGATGCCTTTGCAATAGTTGCCACCCTAGGAATAGCTCAAAAATTATTAACTTAATACTGGTTACTTAAATTCCACCTCTGTTGCTTGGAGTTGTGCTTTTTTTTTTTTTTTTTTTTTTTGAGATAGAGTCTGGCTCTGTCACCCAGGCTGGAGTGCAGTGGCATGCAATCTCGGCTCACTGCAAGCTCCGCCTCCTGGGTTCACGCCATTCTCCTGCCTCAGCCTCCCAAGTAGCTGGGACTACAGGCGCACGCCACCACGCCCAGCTAATTTCTTCATATTTTTTTTAGTAGAGACGGGGTTTTACTGTGTTAGCCAGGATGGTCTTGATCTCCTGACCTCCTGATCCTCCTGCCTCGGCCTCCCAAAGTGCTGGGATTACGGGCGTGAGCCACCGCGCCTAGCCTGCTTAGAGTTTTTTATGTAATTATTTTGTGACACAAACATTTAAAATACTGTAGCTTAGAATGAAATTGTCTCAATCCTAGGAGCCAAAAGTTTGATGAATATGAATACTAATATTAACCATTTTTGTGTTCTGTGTCAGGCACTGTTCTTAGCCCTTTACAAGTAAGTTAATACATCATCTCTAAATGTAGTTACCATTATCGATCCCATTTTATAGATTTGGAAAGTAGGGTACAAAGAACAGTTTGCCCAGATTCCTTTAACTTTTGAGTGGCCGAGCCCTAGCACTGAAAGCCAGGTAGTCTGGTTCCAAAGTCCGTACTCCTGACTAATAAATAGTGGAATAAAATTAGATTAGCTTGACATTTTAGCCTGTCGTCTTCTCACCTGTAGAATAGTTATCAAGAATAGTAATATACATATAGTAAAAATTTAAGTCCCATCATTTTAGCTTGCTTTTTTTTTACATACTAAGATATTTTTTGTTACCAAGTCCATTAAGTATTTAGCCTGATTATCTTATTGATTAAAATACCAAAAATGTGTATTGTTCATGCATTGATTCAAAATTGGGTACAAAACGGGTAGATATGTAACATGCAAATAATAAATTGAACTTATATTTTTATCTTTTTGACAAACAACACGTTAAAATTTATGTCAATCTTATTTTTTCAAAATCCTTTTCTATATTTTATTAAGACTAATTATAGCAAATAATAGCCATAAAATTAAACCAAAAAACTCATCTACTGCAGACATATTTGAAAGCTGTCCCCCAAGAAAGACCAAAGTAATCACACATACCTAAACATGCTAGTATTTCCCAGAAATATTAAAAATACATAGATTTTGAAGCACATTGCTGAATGCCATAGTAACACCAAACTAAAAAATACATGTAAATTAAAAATTAATATTTTATTTTCAACATAAATCAGAAATACTTGGTTAGAGGTCACATGATAATACCTGTCCTAACTGTCCCATAACTTCGGCTTTCTCATTTCATGTGTTTTAATATCTAAGAAGTAAAAAATAGTTGGAGCATGCCTCTTTATATGTGCAATTTTAAATTATGTTGACTTCTTTGGATTATTGAACTGTCCTCTGCTTTGCTATAGCTGAATTTTTAAAATGTTAATTTTGAAGTCTTAAAATGTGTCTTTTGGAAAAAACATTGGAAGAGCTAAAGTAGATAGAGTTGTTCATTTAAATTGTTTATTTTTTATTTTATTTTATTTTTTTTAGTTGGAGTACTGGCTCTGTTGCCTGGGCTGGAGTGCAGTGGCGGGATCTCTGCTCACTGCAAGCTCCGCCTCCTGGGTTCACGCCATTCTGCCGCCTCAGCCTCCTGAGTAGCTGGGGCTACAGGTGCCCTCCACCACACCTGGCTAATTTTTTTTGTAGTTTTAGTAGAGACAGGCTTTCACCGTGTTAGCCAGGATGGTCTCAATCTCCTGACCTCGTGATCCGCCCACCTTGGTCTCCCAAAGTGCTGGGATTACAGTCATGAGCCACCGTGCCTGGCCTCATTTAAAATTTTTTAACACTGGGTAAAATTTTTATTTTTGAGTCACAAATTAATTTGAAGCTGTGTCTTTTAGAGAGCTTATTCAACTCTTAATTCCATTATAAATAATATTTGAATGAATGTGTTTTACATCTGGAATGATTTTTATCATCTGAGTAAAGGAAATATGTTTGATGGTAGTTGGGAACTTTGAAGGTATTACGGGCTACAGATGAGAAAAAAATGTTACTACGTCATTTCATGTTTACATACTGACCAGCATTTTCAATGAAATAAGCTTATTACTATAGGACTATAAAATGTTTTTCAAAGGTTTAACTGTCCAGGGCAGATACTTAAGACTATCTGATCATCCATTAAAAACTTTTCACATAGTCTTGCTTAAATGGATCCATTATGTTTACCCATTATATTGTTCTCAGCTGTAGTTTTAAGAAATTTATTTCATTTGTTAATACTTACTTTCCATTACCTTCCCCTTTTCTGTGACAATCCGTTGATACTTGAAGACCTCTCTTGTATTCATCTTAGGGTTAATATTTTTAAGGCCAAACAGCCTAAATTCTATGGTAATCAACTCCAGCCTTGTGTAATGAAATCTTCTGCATAAAGATAGGTTTAAATCAAATCAGATTGCAGATTTTATTGAAGAAATTGTGTTTTTAAGAGTTGACAAATATATGTTGTATGGCTAAAACAAAGAAAATACTTCTGTTGCTTCTGCATTTAGTAGAAGAAAAACTATATATGTTTGTGACCAAAGTATAAAATATGATTCTTTCCAGGGAGGTAAAGGTTATGCAGAAGATTTTCACTAGCAGCTCTAAAAGGCTACCCTCAATTAATTGCCATGAACATTTCATAGCCCTAGAAGGATGTTGGCTCATTTCAGTGTCATCCTGGTTTATTCTTTATTGTATTATTCAGCAGTCATTTTAACACTATGCTAGACACTTTAGAGATTCAGAAGAGTAACAGGGTTTCTGTTCTCATGAAGCTTATCAGAGACAGAAAACATATGAGTTAGATCTAATTGGAGGCAAACTGAAATATATAGTGGAGTTAGTGTGGTTATCAGCACATAAATGAGTGATCCATCAACAAAAGGAGAAATTGGGAGGGTTTTATGGGCCAAAAACAGCATGATTAAATGTGATAGAGTATATGTCATGTTTTAGGTGTGATGAACATTCAGTTATGTGTGACGAATAGGATAATTGAAAAAATATGAAAGGCTATGATGCCAGAAAGTATTATGGGACAAGATCTTAAAACCAGTGTTACCCAGGGAGTATGAATTTAATATGGGAATTCTTAAACTCCTTTATGACTGGAAGATGAGCATCAGAGTGTCTGCGACCATTTGATGATATTATGTACCAAGTTTTAGATGTTTGGCTTTTTTCAGGTTATGAAAGCGGGGGATGAGTTAAGAACCACTGCTGTGAAGGATTCATCAACTATTTTTAGGCAGTTGGGTAAAAATGACCAATTTAGTTTTAAGAAACTGACTGTGGCTCCAGAGTATGTTGGAGAAGTGAAAATGGAGACTAGGAATAACAGGTGGGAGACTATTAGTCTAATTAAGATGTAATTATAAATCTAAGCTAGGAACGTAAAATGAGAATGCAAAGTAAGAAACAAATATGGGGAAAATTATATGTAAAAGTAATAGGACTTGGCATCTTACTGATGTGATTGATTATGAGAAAAATGAAGCATGTGGAGGAGTCCACTGGACAGTAGGAAATTCAGCCTAAGACTTGGGTAAGAGTTCTGTGGAGTTGTGAATTCAGAGGCCAGAGATGTGATATTTAAAATTTTGGTTCAAGATTTCCCAGGTATAAGAAAGCAAGAGGATTAAAGCATTGTAATTAAACTTTAAGCAGTGCATATTTATGTTATAGATAAGATAAACAAGAAATCTAGGGATCAAATAGGATTAAAATTAGTAGTGATCATTCAGTACAGTAGTTACGTACTGTTATTCACAAGAGTATATAAATCAAATTACAAGGAATTAAGGATATAAACGTGATAAGAAAGTATGCACTGTACTCTTTGAGGAAGTTTGCCATAGAAAGGAAGAAGAAATAGGATGGTAGATCAGAAGTAAAGCAGGACCCAGTGGGGGGAGTGTTTGCAGTGAGGCAGTATGTATAATCATTTAAAACATGGGTTTGGAGTCCTCTCAGGTTCCATGTTTGTAATGGACATAATGATAATAATCCCTTTCATTTAAGGCTGTTGTGAGGATTAAATGTGTTAATGTGCAAATAACTTTACACAGTGCCTGGTATATAATAAATGCTTGCTACCTATTAACTAGTATTTGTTTCTAAGGCTAATTTAAGTCCTAGAATTGATTGCAAGGATTAGATCAGGAGTATAGTGGACATGTTGGGATTTAAATATTTAAATATAGAGATGCTTTTTAGGACCATTGTTAGAACCAGAAGAGATTTTTTACCAAGTTCACACAGAAATGTAGGTGCATTGGCTGGGCATGGTGGCTCACACCTGCAATCCCAGCACTTGGGAAGGCTGAGGCAGAAGAACTGCTTGAGGCCAACATTTTGAGACCAGCCTGGGCAACATATTAAGACCCCGTCTCCACCAAAAAAAAAAAAAAAAGAAGTAGGTGCAGAGCTGGAAGCAGAACCGAAATCATCAGTGTTACAGTCATTATTCTTTCCTGTCACCATTATATGTCTTTATGAAGCAAGGGAGAAAGAAGAACAGATGAAAGAAGTGAGGATTTTGAAGTTGGTTGAAAGATTTGATTGAATTCTGATCTAAAAATTATAAGGCACTTGTTTAACAAGTTGAAAGTAGGAAAGTAGACATAAGACTCTACTAGATTTGGGGAAACTCTCAAAAATGGACTGGAAATTCAGCTAAAAGTGGATAACAAAATATTTCTAGAATTAGCATTTGTGGGGTGTGTGTGTTTTCACTCTAGTATTTGTCAAGCCCAGATGAAAGCATAGACAGAATGTAAGACTGGATTTATCTAAGTCTGGAATTGTGTAACATTAAAGGAATAGTAGCAAATGAGCAGAGTGTTGGCTCAAGCCTAAGCTTGAGCCTAAGCTTGACTCTATGGTAAAGTCAAGTCAAGGGAGAATAGAAAGGGGGTCACCATAAAGGTCAAAAGTGGGTTTAGTGGTTGTGTGGGAATAGGCAGATCAAGAAAAGAATGAAGTTAGGAAAGGAGATATAAGTGTTGAATGACCATTACAAAAAGAGACAGAGGAAAGAAAAATGAAGATGTATCAAAAGAAGTTGCTAATATGGATGGCAAAGTAGATGTTTTTAAGAAATCATGAGACCAGAGTCTTGGAAAAGTCATAGGATGATGCAGGGAATGGAGAAGAGGGAAATAAAGCCAGGTGCTGAAGTCTTTATGTAATGGGAGGAGATGTTCCAGTAATCCAATGGCTATTTTGATGGGAAAGAGTGTGGTATGATTGGGTGGCATTGACATCGGAAGCCATCCTCATTGATGGTGGTGGAACAGCAGTTTGAAAGTAACATTGTGCGGTGAGGTAGAGTGGCACATGATGCATCCTTATTCTTACCTTTGGAGAAAAGTTGAGGGAGACCAAAAATGACTTTTTGAGGGAATTGTAGAAGTTTCATTAGAAGAAAAGTAAGTTTTTAATTAAAAAGTTAATCTGAGGAACAGGTAGAATAAAAGTGTAGTTGTTAGTGGTAGAAGAGAATGGATTCCATAGGGCAAAATAAGAACTCAAGGGAAGGTTGGTGGAAGAGGAAGAGGATTGAATTGTTTCAAGAAAGAATAGCAGTTGTCATCCTTATGAAAAGTAAAATTTTTATTTTCAAATCAGGAAATGTAAAATGTGCCTTCCAGACCCCTTGGTGGTATACATGGGAGATTGGTTCTAGGACACACACAGTCCCATCCCCCACCCTCTGACCCCATACACCCCCTGGATACTCAAATCCACTGATGCTCAAGTTCCTTGCATAAAATGGTATAGTGTTTGCATGTGACCTATACACAACCTCTTATGTGTACTTTAAATCATCTCTAGATTACTTATATTACCCAGTACAATATAAATGTTATGTAAATGGTTGTTATAGTGTATTGTTTAGGGAATAATGACAAGAACAACTTTCTATACATTTGCAGTACACCATTGTTTTACCCCCAAATATTTTTGATCCAAGGTTGGTTGAATCGGAACCCAGAGATACAGAGGGCTGACTATACTTTAAGAATTAGAATTAGCTGGGTGTGGTGGTGGGTGCCTGTAGTCCCAGCTACTCGGGAGGCTGACGCAGGAGAAAGGCGTGAACCCGGGAGGTGGAGCTTGCAGTGAGCCGAGATCGTGCCACTGCACTCCAGCCTGGGCGACAGAGCGAGACTCTGTCTCTAAAAAAAAAAAAAAAAAATTAGAAGGGGCTGTCAGGCGTGGTGTCTCATGCCTATAATCCCAGTCATGCCTGTAATCCCAGCACTTTGGGAGGCTAAGGTGGGCATATCACTTGAGATCATGAGTTCAAAACCAGCCTGGCCAACATGGTGAAACACTGTCTCTACTAAAAATACAAATATTAGCCAGGTGTGGTGGTGGGCGCCTGTAATCTTAGCTACTCAGGAGGCTGAGTCAGGAGAATTGCTTGAACCCAGGAGGTGGAGGTTGCAGTGAGCTGAGATCATGCCATTGCACTCCAGCCTGTGTGACAGAGTGAAACTCCATCTCAAAAATACAAAAAGAATTAGAAAGGGCTTTAGAGTCCCACCACTAATGCTCTTCTGTTCAGTAGTACACAAGACTAATAACTACGAGATGTTATGAACAGGGAAAAGAAGTAAGACCAAAAGAAATCATAAATTACTTTGGATGGAACTTTTAGAATGGCAGATGGAGGGATAAATTTGACATTGTTCAAAATCATAGAGTAAACTCTCAAAAGTAAGGGGAACCTAAGGAGACAAGATGATTAAATGTAATAGGAGATACTGGAACAACAAAAAAGGGACATTAGATGCAATTTGAGGAAATCTGATAATGGACTTTTGTTGATTTATCGATATTGGTTGATTAATTGCAAGAACTAATAAATTGTAATACCATACTAATGTATGATGCTAATAATGGGGGAACTGCGGTTTCCAGGTTATATAAGAACTCTGTAATGTCTTAAATTTGTTTGTAAATCTAAACCTTTTAAAATAGCTAAAAATTATAGATACAATTTCTAAATGATTTAATTAACAAAACCAGTTTAATTCTTCAGTTGAAATGAGCAAGGTTAGGGATACCTGTGTGTTTCAGTGTAATATCTGAAAGGAAAAGAATAGATACATAATTTATATCACTTCTCTCTGGACTTAGGGTCTCTTGTCATATACATGACTGGGCATCCATCAGCTTCAGTGGAGGAAAGGTTAGGAATAATAGTGTCAGAACTAACATGAGAATTTTAGGAGATTACTGAGTCACTCAAAATGTCTGGGTGACCCAGCTGATGAGGGCCATTTCACATGAAAAAGATTCCTGCAACACCTTCTTTTCTTTAGCACATGATCGTTTATGAAGCTCTTTTACATTGTTTTATCTTTATAGCAATCCTCAGAATAGATCAAGCTTTTTTTTTTTTTTTTTTTGAGATGGAGTCTTGCTCTGTCGCCCAGGCTGGAGTGCAATGGTGCGATCTCGGCTCACTGCAAACTCGGCCTCCCGGGTTCGTGCCATTCTTCTGCCTCAGCCTCCCGAGTAGCTGCTACTACAGGTGCCTGCCACCACGCCCAGCTAATTTTTTTGTATGTTTAGTAGAGATGGGGTTTCATCGTGTTAGCCAGGATGGTCTCGATCTCCTGACCTTGTGATAGATCAAGTATTTTTATCCCTCTCATCAACATGTGTAAACAGTTTTTTCCTCACATATCTGCTGCCTTAGCTAAAGATGCAAATCATTAAAGTTAAAATTATAATTTATGTAGCTAAAAGTAATCTGTTAGAGCCAGTGTATACAATATGTGTAATATGCTTTCTATAACTTTCTCAAAGGGCCCTTGGTAAGTTTATTGTTTTCTCATTTAGCTGGGAGTTAAGAACAGAACTATTTTCTAGAATGTATTAATTATATAAATAGTGCATCATGAAATATTTTGTAGGTTTTTATATTTTTATTGCAGCAGACAGCATTTAGATTAAACCTAAAAATACCTGATTGACAAAGTAGTTTTTCAGACAAAAGTATATTGAGGGAAATTGGAGAATCTTCAGAGGCTTTAAAAGTCCAGGAAAATCTTAGACTACTCCAGTGATTTAGAACGGTGTAAAGATAGCCTAAGTAGTTTTTCTAAGTTATCAGCCGCGGGGAGGAAATAATGAAAGAGAAATACATACGAGTGGCATTAAGGACAGGTGGTGGCTTCTTTTACCTATTAAAGCATTCTTACACCATACTGTGAACTGTGTAAAAGGAAGGATCATTGGACATAATAGATTATCTGACAGGGTGGTCCGGAATGGTGGAAGTAAATCGACAGGTGAGGACACTGAATTAGCATTCAGACAGTGGGGACCTCACACCTTGTATTCCCTTTTTTGGTAAGATTTTTATTACCTCCTTAGAAAGAGGTAAATTCATCTATTTCGAGCCCAAATTTTTCTGTCTAGAAGATTGGTAGTCTTATTTTTACTAAAGTACAAGATTATTTAGTAAAAGGTAGCATTCTCTGGCTTTTTTTTTTTTTTTTTTTAATGTTTCAGATCTGTCACACTAAAAAGGGCTTTAGACCAGGTGTTGTGGCTCACACCTGTAATCCCAGCACTTTGACAGGTCAAGGTGGGAGGATTGCTGGAGGCCAGGAGTTTGAGACCAGCCTGAGCAACATAGTGAGATCTCAGTCTCTACTAAAAATAAAAAAAATTAGCCATGCCTGGTGGCATGTGCCTGTAGTCCCAGCTACTTAGTAGGCTGAGGTGGGAGGATTGCCTGAGCCCAGAAGATAGAAACAGCAGTGAGCCATGATCATGCCACTGCACTCTAGCCTGGGTGACAGAGCAAACCTTGTCTCAAAAAATAAAGGGTGGGGAAGCTTTAGCCTAGGCTTTTAATTCTCAATTACCATTATAAATTTATTTTAATTATTAACTAATTACTTTAATTCTCAATTACTATTTTTCCATGAAAAGGCTTGATGTTCTAAACAGTATTATACCACCAAGTTATCTCTACTGGAAAACCCAGATTTCAAGAAAAAAAAAATGTATTTTGAAAACAATTATGTCTTAAATATTTAAAATTCTTTTAAACATGTTTTTAACCATCTTTAAATTTTTTTGGTAAGTAATTTTCATTAGATTGTTAAAATGTATAGTGGCACGGTAGGGTTGTATCTCAAGATATGAAGCAGTTTTTCATAAAAATAAAGTATTAACCTTAGGCTGGTATGTTTAGATCAATACTGTATTTAAATAGATTGATAATTTTTTATATATTTTATGAATTTATACTTTTTCCTGAGATTTCAGGAGGGAAAAATGAGTAGGAGATGACTGAGAGCTTAAAGTTTGGGAGTGTCAATTAACTCAGCATTCTTTTAAAAAACATGTGTCATATATTACAGCATTTTCTTTTATTTGAAGTGAGTAAATGTATCTTTTTAAATTCCTTAGTAATTTTTGAGCACTCCATATGTATAAAGCATGTGAATATTTGGTAGCATTTTACAAATGTCCAGAGATTTGTGAGAGTTCCTGAGATCTTCATAGGGGGCCCACAAAGTTTAGTATTACTTTTCACGGTAATACTAAAGTGTATTTTGCCTCTTTTTACTTTTTCTCTTAATAGCATACAGTGGTAACTGAAGGCTAATAGTATGTGTGTTTATGTGCTTTAAAAAGTTCGTGGTTTTGGCCAGGCGCAGTGGCTCAGACCTGTAATCCCAGCACTTTGGGAGGCTGAGGCAGGTGGATCACCTGAGGTCAGGAGTTCAAGACCAAAACCAGCCTGGCCAACATGGTGAAACCCCATCTCTACTAAAAATACAAAAATTAGCCAGGCATGGTAGTGGGTGCCTGTAGTCTCAGCTACTCGAGATGCTGAGGCAGGAGAATCACTTGAAGCTGGGAGGTGGAGGTTGCAGTGAGCCAAAATCTCGCCATTACACTCCAGCCTGGGGGACAAGAGCAAGACTCCATCTCAAAAAAAAAAAAAAAAAAGTTATTGGTTTTAATTTTGGAAATGACAACCATTAATAGAACCCACATTAGGCCGGGCGCGGTGGCTCATGCCTGTAATCCTAGCACTTTGGGAGGCCGAGACGGGTGGATCACGAGGTCAGGAGATCAAGACCATCTTGGCTAACACGGTGAAACCCCGTTTCTACTAAAAATACAAAAAATTAGCCGGGCGTGTTGGCGGGCGCCTGTAGTCCCAGCTACTTGGGAGGCTGAGGCAGGAGAATGGCATGAACCTGGGAGGCGGAGCTTGCAGTGAGCCGAGATCACGCCACTGCACTCCAACCTGAGAGACACAGCGAGACTCCGTCTCGAAAAAAAAAAAAAAAAAAAAAAGAACCCACATTAACAAAAACTCCTTGTGATTCTCCATAGTTTTAAGACTATAAAGGGGAGCTGAGACCAAAAAGTTTGAGAACTTTTTCACTGTGGGATACAAAGTTGAAGACAATTATAGTTAAATAAGCAGGAGATACAGAGTATTTTAATGAACAGTAGATGGTTATAAGAGTCAAGAGATGTACAGAGAAAATGCTAGTGATTAGAGTTTTTAGATTATTTTAATTTTGGTAACTAATTATAATTCCTCAGTTAAGATTTTTTGGCTTAGTGGGCCCTTAGAATTACTTCTTCCTGTTAGAATTAAAAGTGAAACCAGAAATTAAAGTGATTTAATTTTTTTATTGTGGCAAAGATCTAGTCCAAATATCTTTGATGGACTTTTTGAAAACAGACTTTATTGTTAAAAAGGGAATTTGAGGCTTGGTACTGAACTTCTTCTGCATGCCATATTGAAGTTGGTGGTTTTTTGTTTGTTTGCCATCAGTGGGATCTCATACAGACTATGGAATTTAATAGAATTTTTAAGATACTGTTTTTCCTAAAAGGTAGCTAACTAAAGGCAGGAAAATAGAATGATGTAACAATATAATGACTACATCTGGAGTTTCTGCTACTAATAAATAATTGTATTGTCAACTTTAGTCAAATATTCTGTGCATTCAGTCAGAGCTATCTGAAAATACTGACGAATAGTATTACAATATGGGGAGGTCACTTCTCAAGACTGCAAGAAAAAAAATTGTTGTGTGTAGGAATGTTTGCCTAGGAATTAGGAATGTATACTTGACAACAAGTGAACGTATCCATTGAATGTTAAATGAGAACAACTTATGGGGAGGATAGTGAGAGGTATAGTATTTAACATGGAAAAGTTAGTAATATAGTAGAATATTTGGTTGAAAAGATCCACATTGGTGTATTCAAAGACACACTGAAGACTATTGTGCATTAGTAAGTATTAAACATGAGAATTCTTAATTTTAAAATTGGACCCTAATTTCTGAGATTTACTTTAAGAATAAAAGGGGATGAAACGAGATTGGCCATGAGTTGATCATTGTTAAAGTTGGGTGATGGCTACTTAGAGTTGCATTATTTTAGTCACTTTTACTTTTGTATATGTTGGAAATCTTCCAAAACAAAATGTATAGCCATAAAAAAAAGGGAGCAAAGTAAGAAAAAAAGGAGAGCCTAAAAAAAAAGGTACAGGCAAAAAGGTGTGAAAAGAAACTCATCAAGAGCAAGAGTATTAAATGAGAAACATATGCCACTGACAGAGTTCTCAGAAGAGATAAAGGCTGAATTAAAAAGAGATGGAGGGGAAAGTTTTATAAGTCAAAAACTTAGGTTAAGGTTTGTGAATATTAAAGAGCGCTTCAGATTGCCAATGAAAGGTCATAGTAGTTTCTATAAAGTCAAAAGATCAAAAACTTGACTTAAAAGAGTAAGATCTCTAAAACCAAAGGTAACAGCAGATTCTTATGAAATGCACCAGAAAGCTGGAAAGAAAGAAGAAATAAAATGTGAACTTATGGAACAAGAGTGCTAAGGGCCTGTTCTACCCAGGTATGTTATGAAATCAAATTCATTTAGTTTGGGTGTTTGTTCCTTTATGTTGGGAAGATAAAAAAGAACATATAATTCGTTTCTTGAGTGAACCAGTATTTATGAGAAATAAGCTGGGTGTGTAAGAATTTAAGGGATGAAAATATTCCAAGTTGATTGGTAATTGAAAAGTAGATGAACGGTGCTAACACAAAAGGGAATTCTGTCTAGAATAAATGAAAATATGGTGACTTAAAGATAGTAGGACAGCAATAAGACTGGAAATTAGAACAATAAAATAAGAAGGAAATGATAACATAGATTGGGAAAGGATAGGAAAATACTGAAACAAAATCTGTGTTGTATAGTGATGGTTTCTTGTTCTTTCAACCGGGAGAGTGTTGTGTTGAAGGAACTTGTATTCATTTTAATTACTTGAGTGTATAATTAAGAAGGCAAGCACATTTTGCTAAGATTTTCTTTATTTGCATGAATTAAATAATGATGTTCAGAGTGATTTGTCTCTAGGAGCTGAAAGACTACTACCTTTGTTTCATAAGCTGTAATTATTTGATTTCAAGTGTGAGTTTATGAAGAAGATAGCACTTGCGGAAAAAAGTGAATTACCATTATGTCGAAAGTGATACTTTTTTACATTTGGCCTTTTACTGTAAATCGTGGAAGTGAATTTTCCAAGCCTGTGACTTGGAATTATATTTTTCATGCTTTGTTTGCTTTTCCAGAGGAAATAGAGTATTATATATTTGATATTTTAACATAATACAGGTATGTACTTTAGTTCAAATAATTAATGGTTTTGTTGAAATCAATTATTTTTCTTTACTACACATCAGCAAACAATTTTTCTAAACACTATAAAAATTAACTTTCAGGAACCATTTGGAATGGTCAGCCGTAAGCCATGCAGCCATCGTGCTTAAATTGGTTTTTGTAAACGACTTGTGTGTGTTTCGTAAAATATGCTTTATTTTAAAATTAGGGCTTCCTGTTGCAGCTGTTCCAGGAGCTCTGAGTCCTTTGGCCATTCCAAATGCTGCTGCAGCAGCTGCTGCAGCTGCTGCTGGCCGAGTGGGTATGCCTGGAGTCTCAGCTGGTGGCAATACAGTCCTGTTGGTTAGCAATTTAAATGAAGAGGTTAGTAAAATAATCTCTAATGTTTATTCTTTAACTCCATTTCATTTGTGAAAGTTTTTCATGTTTATTTCATTTTGCACTTGCCTTTCTTTTTATGTACATTCATTAGTCAAAGTATTTTCTGTATGTTTCTACTTCTGAATAAAATCTACATATTGTTTAGGTAATACTTTATTTCCTTAAACAGTCATGTCTCTTTATATCTATATCTATATATGTATATTTTTTAACCTAACCTATTTTTCCTAAGAAAAATATGGTGAAGTACTGTAGTTTGGCTTATCTTTTTGTTGTTCTCAAAGGCAAATGTGATCTAATTTGCAAATTTAACTGTAAAACAATTTTGCTCTTTGCCTTTTCTAATTATTTGCTTGTTCATTTCATGCTTATATGTCATTGCATTTTTTTTAAATCTTATTTTATGTGAACTACTCTAATACATTTTTCTTTGAAGGTTCTTCCAAAGATCTTGACGAGGCACTCTTCCCGTCTTTCTTAGTAATTTTTTCTTTGCAGTTATTAGTCATTGTCTTCTAAAAATATTTTTTAACTTTATTCCCCCACCCCTTCCTTCCTTACCACCCCCTCCACCCAGTTAAATAAAATTTATTGCTAAGTTATTTTCTTTAGTTGTACATTTTATGTCTGGTATATTTTATTTTGAATGCTATGAAAGCTGGTATGAAATGTGGGAAGCTCAGTGTATCAGTTTATGATGTCTAATTTGAATATTTGTTTCATTTTTAATTGGCCTCTGTTAATATGAACATTAGCTTATTTTATCCATTTAATACTATTATCATTCACAGTTCTGCATGCTAAAATGTTTGAATCAGAGTGCCTTTGTTTTTATTTTAAGACTTTTGCCTGCATTTCATAACCAGCCATGCTTATGCAGTTAAAGTTCAAAGTTTAAAATTCCTATGCATGCTTTCCTTCCCTATGTTGAGATGAAATGCTGTAATTTACTCTTTGATATAGATGTACTTTACCCATATTTGTCTTGGATGACTACATTTTACTCAGTTTTTCTTGTACAGTACATAAACCAACCATTTTCTGACCAAATTCCTGCATTTCCTATGTACTGACCTATATTTTATTTTGTTTTTGTTCCCCAATTCCTTATTTTTTTCTTCTGCATTGCTGTTTCCCTTCCCCATTTCATCCTTTTCCCTGTGTGTTCACCTTCCCTTTCCTTGTCTTTTCCCAAATGCCCATTCCCTTCCCTGTCTTATCCTTTATTTTCCTTGTCCTTGTCTTCATTCCCTGTCTCCATTCCCTATGTTCATGCTTCTGTGCTTGAACAAATGTTCCTCGGACCAACTTGCCCCAATTAACCGCCTTGAACCATGATCCATGACCACCTCACCATTCTGCGGGAACCACCCTTCGTTATGGATGATCTGTTCATCTCCGCTCTTCCTCGACTCTTCTCTCTTCTTGTCTTACGCTGCTTGCTCTTCTCTCCTTCTAAAGATGGTTACGCCCCAAAGTCTGTTTACCCTCTTCGGTATGTTATTGTTAGCACTATACTTTTATTATTGATTTGATTTTTGTTTCACCTTAATTCTTATTTGTAGCTAGCACTTTGGCTTAAAGTTGAATAGTAAATCTTTTGCTATTTTTCTTTGCTATTTAAAACTCTCCATAGACACAAAATTTGTTTTAATGCATGCTAATTTATTTTGCATGGTCTTTAATTTAATATCATTCACATAGCTTTGAGGGTTTATCAAAAATTATTCTTTTCAAAATTCACTGTTCAAAATCTTGATCTTCTTTATTCATTTGTGAGAATGATGAGATTGAGTGATCATGTTGATGTCTGAATGTTTCATTGATATGTCAGAAAGATAATCTTTAGGTGACTTCCACATAAAATTAATTCCATTTTTGGATTACCTCTCTGTGGCTCCAAAAAAGGTGTTTATGGAGATGTGCAGCGTGTGAAGATTTTATACAATAAGAAAGACAGCGCTCTAATACAGATGGCTGATGGAAACCAATCACAACTTGGTAAGATTAAACTATGTTTTATCTATACATCTTCACTTCTGCTTTCAAATGCATAATGTGAATGTGCGAATAAAAATAAACTCCTTTACATCAGTAAGAAATTATTTTAATGGCCAGGGCTCAAAATGTCATTTTAATGTGAATAGTTGTATGTGACGAACATATTTGTATTTTTCTGCTATCCTCCTACTGTTTTTCAAATGCACTCATAATAGGAAGAGATTTTAGCTTCAAAATTGTAATAATAGTTTCACATGAGAATTATATCATTTATATTGAAGATTCATAGTGATTTTTATTCTAGGTACTCCTTGTTAATAGAGGCTAACTGTTCATACAGTCCATAGAATCCTTCTTAATGCCATGTTATTTTAATTCTTCTAAAGTCTTGCGATACCAGGTTCTTAGAAAATGAAAAGCTTGTGCTAAAAACACTGTTGTTAATCCCTTTGGGAATCTTAAAAGGCACTTTAGTCAGGTTACACTTTATATCATTACTTAAATAAGTAATTGATTATTTTAATTAAACTTATGTCGTTTGACTTCATACATCCTCGAATACATAAATCTAGAACACACCTGCACATTCACACCAGTGATTGACTGTAAATGCCAGGATGTTCTTACATTTCTGTTCATTGAGATTCAGGGATAATGGTGCCTCAGACTGATTGTATTCACATTGTTAATTTGTAAATTTGCCATTTTTGATGTAAGGACGAGTGTATTTTTGCTCAGAGATGAACAACTTGCTATATTAGACCAATTTTGGCCTTTGACATCACATAGAAAATTTTGAATTTCAAACACATAATAGGTTTGAATTTTAGTGTTTCTTGGCAATAGTCTTAGCAACTCAGATGAGGTATAAAACTATCCATCTGGCTGTCCATTTTTAAAATGGTGGTATGTGTTTTAAAGAGATACGAAAGTGCTGATTATGTCAAGATACTTAGTACATATTTTCCTCTTTCTCTGTGTGCACTTCTGTACTCTGGTTGGAATAGTCATTGCTGTTGTTTTCATATATGTTGTAAGTAGCACTTAACAGTACTTCATAATAGGAGTATTCTCAAATATGTCATTTTTTTCCCTAATTGTTTGAGGTATGGGTGGCATTGTGTCATTTAAATAAGGGATGCATAGTCTTTATGGTTGGTAATTACCTGTGGTAGAATTACCTCAGATCTTCCAGATAGTTTTTGTTTTATGTAAAGACTGTTTTATGTAATATTTTAATTTTTTGCCATGCTCGTAGTCTGCTTGGGCTGCTGTAACCAAAATACCATAGACTGAGTAGATGAAACAACAAAAATGTATTTCTTCAAAGTTTTGAGAAATAAAACTTTGGGGTCTAGAAGTCCCAGATGAAACTGCTAGCAGATTGTTTCTGGTGAGGTCTCTCTTGGCTTGCAGCCAACCATCTTCCCCCTGTGTCCTCATGTGGCCTTTCCACTGTGCAAGCACGTTAAGAGTCTCTTCCCCTTGTAAGGATCCTAGTCCTGTTGAATCAGGGCTTTACCCTTAATGACCACATTTAACCTTAATTACCTCCTTAAAGGTCCTGTTTTTAAGTACAGTTACATTGGGGGTTAGGACTTCAACATATAAATTTGGGGAGGACACAATTCAGTTAATAGTACTTAAATTTGTAAATCATTTATCCCAAATTTTATAAGATATTGTCACTAAAGTTTTGACTTGCTAGTAGGGCTTATAATTTTTGGACTATCTGTAGTGGTAAATAATTCATCATTTCTCATTGCTGCTAGGTAGATTTTGCTTTCTTGAACTGTGTGACCATAAAAGTATGTACTGACACCATCATTTCCTTTAAAACACACACACACAAACACACACACACACACGCATACACTCCCACACAAAACTCTATGGTGTACTATTTAGTATGGTGTACTAAAAAGATTATCAAACTTGGTATTTAAAAAGTTAGCTATATACTTTTTACAAGAGACATGTAAAGCAGAAGAATATGAAAGATTGAAAGGAAAAGGATGTAAAGAGATACTAATATACTGGACAGATAGTAAGCAAGACAAAACTTAAATACCTTTATTAACTTAAGACAGAATTGATAAAGGATTTAGTTCACTAGAAAGATATAACAGTTTATGTATATGTGTGCCTAGTGAAATAGCCTCAAAATATATAAATAATAAGTAGATAGAACTACAGGTAGACTTGAGCAAATCTATTATAGTGGTGGATTTCAATTCACTTTTCTGAATTACATGTCAAACTGACCAAAAAAAGACAAAATCAACAAAGATACAAATGATACAATACAATTACCTTAACAGAATTATGTGTCTAAGTTATGCATCCAACACAGTTTTTAAACGCATATGGAACATTTTTGAAAAATCAGTCACATACTAAACCATAAAGCAAGCTTCAGCTAATTTCAAAGAGTATCATACAGACCTCATTCTCTATTGCACAAGTAAGTTAGAATTAATAACAAAAAGATGCATATAAAATCTGTATCCTGAGATTTAAAAATAAGTCTCAGTATTGCATGAGTCAGAAGTTTGTTTGTTTGTTTGTTTTTGAGCCAGTGTCTTGCTCTGTCCCCCAGGGTGGAGTGCAGTGGTGCTATTGTGGCTCACTGCAGCCTCGACCTCCCAGGCTTAAGCAGTCCTTGCACTTAAGCCTCCAAAGTAGCTAGGACTAAAAGCATGCACCACCTGCCCGGCTAATTTATTATTATTATTATTTTTTGTAGAGATGAGTTCTCACTGTGTTGCCCAGACAGAAGTTATTTTAATGGGAATATAAAATACTTAAAATTAAGCGATAAAGTACTATATACAAATTAGATATATGTGGTACAGTGAAAGAGAAGTCTTGACGGGAAGTTTTAACTTTAAGAATAACAGTGTTACCCCCAGGGAAGGAGATATTAAAGACAAGACTGGAAATCAATGGTATAAAAGACAGTTGAGAGAAAAAAACATGCCACAAGTTGGATTCTTTGAAAAGACTAAAAAAATAGACAAACATCTAAAGATTGATTAAAAAATGAGAGTGGTAACACAAAAAAATTTTTTTGAATTATAAAGGGGAGAAGCATTGATAAAGCTCCAGTTTCCACATCATATAAACACCACTATGTCTGTAAATTTCTTGAGGTCTTTTAAAATTTTTATTATTCGTTAATAATCTCTTTCATAGATGGATTAAGGGAAATGTAAAAAATTACATTAAATCAAAAATGTCATTTCAATTGTGAAACATTGACTTTTTCCTTTATTATTGCCTTGTCCATTTATGCCATATTTCTTGGAATAGGAGAGTTCAAGTGTAAGATTCACATTGTTTAAAATTTTATTCATTTAAAATTAGTAATTCAGGTAATTTCCTTCTGCTCTGTTTACTCCTTGTGTACTTTCAGTTTTTGACAAAGCTTTTGTTTTCTTTTTTACTTAAAAATTTTGGTATTCTAATTATCATCCCCCTTCCCCTTTAGATCACTTCAGATCCTATTGTCAGCAATCAGCTGGCTAGAACTCTCTTGTTACCTGGCTACTTCCTGAGGTAGCTGTTTGGTTATTTAGCTTTATTTTAATCCCATTCCTCTATCACTCATCTGTTCTGTATGCAGTTACTATGCCTGGGACTTATTTTCTTATTCTTTCCCTCCATTATCTCAAAGCTCTGCTGTTTGTGCTGTCTTTTTATTTAGACAGCTTTTTTTCTGACAACGTTAAGTCTACTTATTTATATCACTTTATTTCTCAAACTCACACTTAATAACACATTTTATCTGAGGTAGTTTATCTAAACAAAAGTTTGTTCACTTAAAATAGTTATAGAACTTTAAAATTTTATAATTCAGTGGGTTTTATTGTAAAAGGATTTTATGTACTGTCACTGTAGATAATTGGTTTTACAGGTGTAAGCGTAAATTTGCAAGTATATGAAATTAAGTATGTGAAATGCAGTGTGAGAAACAAATGAGAAAATTCAGACTTGTGAGAAGATTGTTTTGTTTTTTTTCTGTGCTTAGCCTTGGCGAAAAATCTGAGAAAACTTAAAATATATAACACTGGAGTGACAATCAGGAAGAGTGGACTCTTTTTTTTTTTAATTTTTTTAAACAAATTAGGGAAGTAAGTTCAATGGCTAGTGGTTATCATAATAAGAAAAATTTAAGGAAGTTATAGGTAAAATAAGAATTTTACTTTTGTTTCTTTTCTGAATGGTACCTCATATTTTGACAGCATTATCCTTTTCAGATCTGTTTTATATTTAATTGGTTTATTATACATGTAAGTATGATTAGATTCATGGATTTAACCAGTTCTTTGTATCTTCTGTGTCAAAATGTATACTGTAGTATACTGTTTATATTAGAAACTCTTTAAAAGTGGATGTTCTATTCTTAATTTCCTGATCTTCCACATTGTCTTTATCTGTAACTCTACTGTTTTTTGTTGGTTTTTGTTTTTGTTTTGAGACAGAGTCTCGCTCTGTCACCCAGGCTGGAGTGCACTGTGGCACCATCTCAGCTCACTGTAACCTCCGCCTCCTGGGTACAAGCAATTCTGCCTCAGCCTCCTGAGTAACTGGGACCACAGGCACGAGCCACCACGCCCAGCTAATTTTTGTATTTTTAGTAGAGATGGGGTGTTACCATATTGGCCAGGCTGGTCTCGAACTCCTAGACCTTGTGATCCGCCCACCTCAGCCTCCCAAAGTGTTGGGATTACAGGCGTGAGCCAACGCGCCCGGCATCTACTGTTAATACTTTATTATCTAGTTGATTATAGTCATTTAGACCTTCAGTTTAGCCAAAGTGCATGACATATTAGAAATGGTCTTTTTTAGTTATTTTGACTGGTGAATAAAACATATAACTTTCTAGCATCAGACCAGTTCATTTAGTTTAAAAATGATCCAGCAGCTATGTCAAGAAATAGTCATGTAATGTTCTGTTTTCACACACTGCACTATGTTCTGGGGTAGAGACAAAGGTTTGGATTTTGGAATATTTGCATTATACCAATTGAGCTTCCCAAATCTGAAATGTTCCAATGAGCATTTCCCTTGAGCATCATGTTGGCCCTCAGTTTTGGATTTTGGAACATTTCAGATTTCAGATTTCTGCATTAAGGATACTCAACCTGTACAGACTGGGAAAGGTATAAGCCATGTTAAAGAATGAGTTTCAACTTTGTCCTTAAGGGTTTTAAGCAGGTATTGACGTGATCAGATTTGTAATTTATGAAGGTCATCAAGCTGCTGTATAGAAAATGGATTGGAAAAATTATCCAACAGGAAGACAAATATGAGACTGAGTTATCCAGATAAAAAATAATGTCAGCGAGAAGTAGAGAAACAGATCATGAATTTGAGGGACAATTAGGAGGAAGGCTATCACAATATTTAGCAATTAGGATGTGTAACAGAAGGGAGAAAAAGAGCTAGGGATGCTTATTAAGTTTCTTTCTTGTGTAGCTCACTATACGATTTGTTAGCAGGATTGTTGAGGAAGATAGATATTCATAATCTGGATTTTCATTCTATGAAAGTAGCTGGCTTTTTTGCCAGAATGCCTTGTCTAGTTCAAATGAAAATGTACTTAAGTCTTATCACCAGTGGCTATGGTAAATTGGTGATTTATTTTAAAATCATAAGAAAATTCAAATTTTTAAACTGTTACGTTAAAAGAATTATGTTTGTTTTGAGCTTTGATATTGTTTGTTAATAGACATGCTTTCTTTTTATAGCCATGAATCATCTTAATGGACAGAAAATGTATGGAAAAATTATTCGTGTTACTCTGTCTAAACATCAGACTGTACAGCTACCTCGAGAGGGACTTGATGATCAAGGGCTAACAAAAGATTTTGGTAATTCCCCATTGCATCGTTTTAAGAAACCTGGATCCAAAAATTTTCAAAACATTTTTCCTCCTTCTGCCACCCTTCACCTATCTAATATCCCGTAAGTATATAAGCTAGAGTGTATTGAGATACATTCTATTTTGATAAAATATGAAATTTATTCTTAATCTTCACTTTTTCTTCCCATTCAATTTTCCTAGTCCATCAGTAGCAGAAGAGGATCTACGAACACTGTTCGCTAACACTGGGGGCACTGTGAAAGCATTTAAGTTTTTTCAGTAAGCAAGCTTCCTTATCTTTAAATTAGTGACCTGATAAAATTTTTAAGTAGTTTTTGTTCTTTTCGTTTATAGAAATTTTTGATTCCGGAATGGCCAAAATTCAAGTATTTAATAAGCCCTTTCTAATTTGTATGAAGTGTCTAATTTTATAATTTTGTTTCAGAAGAGATCACAAAATGGCTCTTCTTCAGATGGCAACAGTGGAAGAAGCTATTCAGGCCTTGATTGATCTTCATAATTATAACCTTGGAGAAAACCATCATCTGAGAGTGTCTTTCTCCAAGTCAACAATTTAAAAATGGGAAGATGAAGATTGGGGGTGAATCACATTGTTCAATGTCATCACCTATTTGACTGTTCAGAAAAGTGGGGACCAGAGTTTGATTTTTTTTGTTTTTGTTTTTTTGGGGTTTCTTTTTTTTTTCCATGCTGTTATCATTCCTTGGTTATAAAATGAAATGGCATATGTAAAGGCAGAGTTGTTAACTGCTATATTTCATCTGTTCTATAGGGAAGCCATTTTGTCTGTTTAAAATTTCAGTTTAATTTTGCTTTTTTTTTTTTTTTTTTTTTCCTTTCAACTTAGTTGACATACGTGCCTTAAAAAGGAAAACTAGTGTTGCTATTGTGCATTTACTAGAAAAAAGGAATTGGTTGTTTAGGGCACACTGTTATATGGGAATTAAAATATGTTTAGGCAGGGGTGTGTAAAAAGGTTAAGTTTTTGTTTCTCCTGCTTGGAACTTATTTTGAATTACTGGCTTGTCACCTTTTTTTCTATTTAATCAAATAAGATACATGATATTGAAAGAATAAAGCAGCATTTTTAGTTTTTACTACCTTAGGCTTTATTGCTTTGAAAACAACATTGGCCTTTTGTATCTCACAATTCTGGTCTAGATTCAGTTATGAATGTAGGCATTAGTTAAAATTAACAAGATGCAGAGTATTAATTTCTTAAGACAACAAAGTGATTTCTGTAAGTTTGAGCCCTATGTGGAAAGCATTGTGGAATCTTAACCTTTTCGTACACACTCTTGTGGGACGTATCATATAAATGTCAGCACTAAGTAATGTCTTGTTTGTGGCTGAATATTTTTCGTAGATGTTTTTGAAGTTGACATGACTTACGTGCATTTAAATATATATTGCCATCCTTAGTTTGTAATTAAGATTTGGAATATGGTTGTGGATTTCTGAGCATGTGCAGACTGGTCTAGCTAGTTCAGGAACTGGTGCATGTATTTTTCAAAGATAAAGAAAGTGTACTGCGAAAATATGCAGGAAGATTAATTTTGTGGCAGTTTTCTAAAACTGACAACCAGGTGGGACCAAAGTTTATGTGCCTTTAGTCTTAATTTACCTTGCATTGTAATATTCAGTTTTAATAAATCTTCAAAATATTTTGTATTTAGGAATAGATCTGACTTTAATAAAAACATGGCTCAGAATCTACAGGTCAAATTAATTTGAACAGTTCTTGTCAATCCGAATTGTTGATTCTGTTTAAATGACCAATACTTTTTGAAATTGATGTACTTAGTTTCAAGATTCATAGATTCTGTTATCTATGTAGACAGAATGGTCATGTATATTTTCTATTAGTTGAGTTTTTACATCTTTAGAAATGTAAAATTCAGTATAGTTTGAAAGCGGCACAATTAAAAATTAATTTTCTAACAAAGTTGGGAGGTTTGATGGTTGTTTAATTTCATTTTGTGTGTACTCTGCTTACCCCTGTAGCATGCTCAATAAACACTTCTGTAGCTCTATATTCACCTTTTCTGTCTTTCTCTGCTGCCTTTTCTCTCTCCTCTTCTTTGTTTTCACTCCACTGTGCTTCTGAATTCATGTTTATTCTCTGCCAGGGTGGGAAAGGAGTAATAATATTACAATTCTATGGCTTTATACCATAAATAAATCTAGATGCTGTGAAAATATACCAGCTGGTTTTTTTTAATTTAAAAGATGGTAACTGCTTTTCAGGAGGACACATATTAAACATTTCCCACCCTGTTATAATCTACTGCTTTAAAGACATAACTTTTATTGTAGCTTGTTAATTCTATCTCTTTTGTTCTTGTTGTTTTTTTTTTTTTTCCAGTAGATTTATGCACTAATAGATCTTTTGGATTTGCCATGCTCTCTTGCTGCAGTTTCATCTTTCATCTTTTGTGTCTGCTAAAGATTTCTTACTAATCTTAGACTACCTTGTGAGTTAACAAAAAGAACTTGATATTACTGGGAAGAAAGAGCAGCATATCTGCATATCAGCATATCTGCTTTTGCCTTGGGTGGGAAGAATGATATACATTCAAGTATTTAAAAACTTAGAGTAATTTGCATTTAACAACTGAGGATGTTACTACTGTAACTTGTTAAGCAGTTACAATTAGGGTGCTATTTATATTCAAAATATTTCGGTCAGTTTTTCTAAACAGATATATTGGTATCAAATAACTTTGGAGTTACACATGTTTCTTAGGTTTGTTCTGTTATAAAATATCCCACACTTATGCAAAACTTACACATAGGATAATAAAAAGTAAATGAAGGAACATAAAATATGTTTTACTATACTTAATGTAGTAATTCAGTTACCTCCAAGAAAGAAGAATATAATAAGTAAAATAATTTTGTTTACACTAGTGTCACTGTTGTCATCTGAAGAAGAACCATTAGAGTCAACAGTCTGGGATGATTTGGAAGCTAGGTGATCTGTGTTTTTTTCTTAAAATAACATCGTAGCACAGAGGAACTCTACCAGCATCAGATAAGTCTAAAGTCTAAAAAACCAATACCAGGGTTAGTGAATAGTAATTGAACAAAGCTTCTCAAGGTGAAGTTTTTCTCAGTAATTAGTGGTGGCTATAATATTTGAAAGTAGGTTCTGTCACCTTTTCAGGTGCTCATTGTGGGTGGGATTGCCTTGGGAAGGAGAAACTAAGTCCTGAGCTGTGTGTGTGGACTTAGTTTGTGCCAGTTGCTAAGCTGGTGGGAGTTCCCAGTCTCCCTAGTGGGAGATAACCAGAAACCAGCTCTTCCTGCCTAAGGACTACAGCAGATTCTATACTGTCTTACAGTATGCCCTAATACGGCCTTCCTTCCAAAGCACCAAGTCACTAAAGGGGGATTTTGACATTCTAGAATATTTTTAATTCAGTACATCAAATTAACCCAGGCCTTGGCATATAGTGAATTGCTTATTAAAAGTTAGGTAAAAATAAAAACAGCTTTGTCGTATATTAGTACTCTATGACTCTTAGAGTGAACAAGCTAACAAGTATTCTTAGGACTTAGCTGCTTTGTTAATAGAGGTCTTAACTTGAATATTTAGAAATAATCAGAAAAATTATTTTTTGGTATTGAAGATGTATTTTGGAAATGGGTTTTAAAGTACCTACTTAAGGAAGAGATATCTACAGTTTATATTTAACGTTAGCATTTGAAAGCAATGAAGAAAATTTTTCCTTAACCAGGAAGTGTAATGAATCATTATATTAGAGATTAAATTAACACTTTGGAAGCATTTTAGCTCCTAGAGTTAAGGTTAGTATAGTGAAATTATGGTGATTAGCTTAATTCATTCATGTACATCTATTTGTATCACCATATAATTACTAGGGAAAGGACAAATCACTTTTCAAAGCCTCAATGTTATTTGTAAAATGGAGGCAATAAGTTCTGCTCTGCTCCCCTCACAGGATTATTACAGAGGCTCAAATAGGATAAGTGAAGGAATGCTATGCAATTAGTTAACTAATGCCAGTTCCCAGACTGCCAGATTTGCCCACAGTAAACTTCATTATCCACAATACATGTTATCCTAATATGTCTTTTTGCTACAAAGAAATACTAATGTTTTAAAATTATTTACTAGTTTCATAAAGCAGAAAGATGTAAAATGCAGTTATAGAGAGCATCCCAAGCCAGATGAAAAGAAACCATGGATTTAGCTTTATATTTTCTGTTTGAACTTGATAGCCCAATCATAAAATGCACATATTTAATTATAGACTGCACTTAAGATTTCATATGTATAAAAAAGTTGCTGTGAAACAGGTAATTTTAACACTCAGGAATTTCAAGGCTAAGGAAGAAAGACATACTCTCATGAGCAGCTCTGAACTTCAAACAGGATTTTCTGGCTGCCTTAATATATTAAAATGGAGCCTAAATCTGAAAACGTTTTTTTCATTCAGAAGAAAGTACAGAATTCAGTGAAATTGAGTATACTAGGAAATCTGATGGCAAGAATTCAGCAGAAAGTCTTAATTTTAAACCGTAATATTCATTGATTATGCAAAACCTTAGTTTTATAGTTATTCTTTGTTATTTTGAATAGCTTCCCTTTAAATTTTCTAGTTTCAGATTTTGCAAATAAAAGTGTACATGTTAAAGTTATAGAGTATTAGATTATTCACATTAAGAACTGTTCAAATACGCGGAAAAATAAAACCGTAATGAACACCTATGCACTTCACTCAACTATATCACTACCTAACATATTCCATATTTTAAACGTAATTATATATTAGTTGAAAGAAAACGTTACAGAATGAACTGAAATCCCATATGAACCTCTTTCTGATCTTAGTTCAAACCTTATTCTTTCCCAAGAGGTAATTGTTACCTTCAGTTTAGTATTTTATTATTCAGTGGTTGCTTTTCAAGAGGAATTTGTCCTATATTCTGTAGGCTAAATTTCTTGTTTTGCCTAGTTATAAAAATGGCAAATAATATGATATTGGGTGTTTAAATAGTACAATATTGTTCAAAACACACTTTATAATTTTTAACAGACTGTTTGGACATTGATAATTCCCCTATCAAATCTCATGACATTTAACCAATTTTTAACAAGGATTTTAAATTGTGTTTAAGAAATAAGTCATTTGGGCCTCAGGTTTCTCTTAAGGATGTAAACAAGGAGCTATATCATTGGTATTTTAGACGCTGAATTATGTGTAAGGTCCTTAAATACAAACATACCCTTTGTAGCTTCACAGAGCCACCCGTTTTGCACTTCTCTCGCTTTTCTTCCTCCCTCTTTGGCTCCCATTTCAATGGACAGAAAGACTATGTGGCATCTCTATTTTCATTCACTTGGTTTATTGTCTTGGTATGTTGTATAGGTTTTTGAATCAGAAAATTTTAACATTTTTAGATATTTCAAACATACAAAAAATAGAAGAATATTTAACAAACCCTTGTCAGCTTCAGTTAGCAACTTAGATCTTCCTCGTTTCCTCCACCCAATTCTCATCTCCTTTATTAATGCAGATCCCAGATATATTTTATCAAGAAATTTTGTAGCATATATTTGTGTTGTTTTATTCGTGGTCATAGTTGCTTTCTCTAATATCTAGACTAGCCTAGCTGGTCAATACTACTTTTCTTCAAATCCTAGAACCTCCCTATTAAAAATATAGTCACCAGACCAGTGGCAAATTAGTATCACCTAGGAGTTTATTAGAAACTCAGTCTATGAGCCTACTGAATCTACATTTTGACAAGATTGGCAGGTGATGCATTTGGACATAAGTTGGAGAAGCACTCAATGCATTTTTTCAGTTCTATAAAAATCAGCTTCAAAGTTTTTTCCTGAGTGTGGAAATTATTTCATTAGTAATTTTAAGTTATGCAGATATAGTTAATACCAAGAAATAATTGAACTGAAAAGGAACCCGGATATCTAGTTTTAACCAGCTGTTTTAAAGATAAACAGTTCTAGAGATCAAATGAATAGTTTAGCAACATATTTATTGTAACTTACCTGTAGTTAGAATCCAAGTCCCTGGCTTTCCAATCCAGTCTTCAATGTATAATACTGATCAAAAGAAATACAGGCCTGCTATTATTCATAAATTTAAACTATTATGTACAAGTTGATAGCTTATAATAGAAATCAGTATGATTAGTGTTAAAAGTCAAATTTAGTCTGACAGGGAAGGAATGTCCATGTGAACTGATTTTTTTTAATAGAATGCAAATTAATACTCAATTCCTGATTTGTTTATTACATTTTGTGGTTTAATGAAATGATACTCAGGTCATTTTCATAAATAGCTTTTCTATTAATGCTTCCTCAGTCACATTCTCTATTCCTATTGCATAGCACAGTCTAACAGTTGAAATGCCTAAGCCTTACTGAATGATGACTGATATTCTCTGTGAGAGTTAGAGCTGTACTATAAATATACATTACCTGTGCAAAGTATGCCTTCAGGGGCTATTCCCCATAACCTTAGCAAAATTTTAAAATATTCTTATGGCTAGCAATCTTATCTATTGTCATGTCTTACTATTTCCTGCTTACCACCCCCATTTCTCTCTCAACCTTGTTGCTGCATTAGCTGTCCATCACTTAACACTGTTTATTTCTCTGTTTTTCTTCCATCATTCTCTTCTTTGCAACTAAATGATTTAGACTTTTTATAACCATAATCAACCAGTTAGATTCTTTTTATTTGTGGTTATTGAGTTGATAAATGATAGTGCATTTTATGTAATATTCAGGTGTTATGCTATTTTTATCTGGTTCACTTTAAAACCTCCCTCCCCCCACTCCCTTTTTTTGTGGGTTTTTTTTTTATTATTATTATTTTCCAGTTTTGTGTTGTTTTGCTTTTTAACTTCTGAGATTGCAGTGGTTCCAGATGGTTGAAATCACTAGTAGTGATTTACATGAAGCATTCATGTATTTATTACTGGTATATTCAACTATGGTGGAGGGAAATTGGTCGAAGAATTACGGTTAAAGAGCTCCTTTAAAAAGGAGATTTGTAGAATTCTAAAATGTGATTCTGATTCATATAGTCATGATTCTTAGAAATTAGCTACAGGAAGAGATAGAAACATTGCTATAGTTGTCTTTGCCCTAAGTTTGGAGTTTTATAGTGTAATATATATATAATAGCTCTAATTATAAATACACTTTTACTCTGGAAAAAGCATAGACATTGACATAAGAGACATTTAAAAACCATTATTTTCTCATCTGTAAAATGGAGAGAATTACTTCATATGTTCACTTATAAGGATTATGTGAAATACTGTTCCATTCCATTAGTAGTTTTTCTTTTCCTCTAATTGGGGGTGGGGGCAGTTTTTGGCATTCTATTTATGGAAGGTGTTTTTTTCCCTAAGATCATTTTGATGTCTCAGAAGACATTTGCTATGTACGTTGGACATTTGCCATGTACATTGTAGAGAATACAAAGATAAACAGAACCACAGTACAGCTGGTTCTATTAGACATTGAAAATGCATATTCTAGCATATTTAATATATTAGGGAACAATTTAAGCATAATGTGAATTTCATGTTTACTGAAGATTTCATCCTGAGAAACAAATGAAAGCAGAAAATTACAACCAACTGAACCAGCTGTGTAAGAAATATATATATGGTGTGCACACATGTACATACCTCAGACATCTATTAGCATTCTCAGTTTTCCACAAGTTAAAAGCCACGCTCATCCATATCTGGTGCTAATAACTTCCTATCCAATTTCAGATAGCTGTTTTCAACACATCTGACACCTTCTTTTTTTCAAGCAAACTTCAGGTCTTTTTCAAGATAAAGTCATTTATAGTAGTGTCTATATATTTCTTAACCATTTAACATGTAAACTGTGCTGCCTTTTAAGAAATTAATTCTATCCTTTTTAGTGTCAGAGTTGAAGATTTTGAGTGTTGTGCCCTAACCTTATCATTTTCCTCATAAGTCCTGTGGTTTTTATTGTATGATTTTGCATAGTGTGGCAATTCTTGGAAATGCTTATGTTGTGTTATAGTATAACTGACTTACTACTTTCAAATAGCTTCTAGTCTGATTCATGTTATGACAGTATACAGTATAGCAAAATAAGGACATCAGGGAACAGGAGGCTGAGCATATCACCATTTACCAATGGTAGCTTGAGCAAGGCACTTCATTTATCGAAGTCCATTTTCTCATCTGTACAATGGAGGTGATGATAGTACATGTCTTTTCTGTCTTGTGTTATTTGTAGTTTCAAGTAAGATATGAAATATGCTGTAGAAATACAGGGTTGGGAATATCTAGTGGTACAAAAATCAACTTTTGGCCCAATTTTAAGGTGAGATAATTATGAGACATTTTTCGACCTCAAAGTCTTTGTTCTTTTCTCTCTACACCATTGTGAATAACACAGTGTATATATGAGATTAATTTATTACCTCGACTTTCCATTTTTGTTTTGTAAAGTAGTTTAATTTTTTATATCTATTTATAAAGTTAACTGCAGGAGTGTACCTGCAGTTAACTTTATACAGTTAAGAAGAGGTTGGTTTCAGTTTTAAAGATTGTATGTCAGTGTAAAACATCCATTATTATGCTTTCAAGTAAAATAGCTCCTAAAAATATGGATTACTATCAACTTTCAAGGAAAATAGCTCCTAAAAATATGGATTACTACCAACTTTCAAGGAAAATAGCTCCTAGAAATATGGATTACTAGCCACATAAATTGCTAACATTTGCTTTTATTATTATTATTATTATTATTTTAGACACAGTCTTGCTCTGTCACCCAGGCTGGAGTGCGGTGGTATTATCTCGGCTCACTGCAACCTCCACCTCTCGGGTTCAAGCAATTCTCCTGCCTCAGCCTTCCGAGTAGCTGGAATTACAGGCACCCACCACCACACCCAGCTAATTTTTGTATTTTTAGTAGAGACAGGGTTTTACCATGTGACCAGGCTGGTTTCGAACTCCTGACCTCAAATGATCCACCTGCCTCAGCCTCCCAAACTGCTGGGATTACAGGTGTGAGCCACCGCTCCCAGCCTATTTGCTAATATTTAACCTCTTGAGAGTCTTTAATTCTTTTTTTCAACAAGTGTTCATTACCTGCTATGTGCCAGCTTAGATGCTTTGGATGAAATACAGGTTGGTGCGAAAGTAATTGCGATTTTTGCCGTTAAAATTAGAAAAACCACAATTACTTTTGCACCAACCTAAATAACTAAAACACAATTTCTTCCTATCATGGGGCTTTCAGTTCAGTATGAGATAAGTAAAGAATTATATGGGTTGATAAATTTTCTGGAGGAACTATTGGGTGTTATTACAGTGTGCTCAATCTTTAGCAGTTAGGAAAGGATTCTTGAAGGTAGTTGTATTACCTGGGTTGGAGGTAAGTGTTGGGGACACAAGTGTTAGAAACAGAACAGTTTGTTTAAAAGTTGGGGACAAAAAAGGACCAGAATCAAGATTACGGCACCCTGGAGAAAGTTAAGCATGGCTCGGTCATAAATTAGGAGACAAGGAACAAATAGAGAAATACGTTTGGATAGAATAGTCAGATTATAGGCTGTGCTAAGTTGTTTGGGCTCCACTAGGGTTTCTAAATGCAGTTATTGGTAAACTGGACTTAGGAGAAGGGACAGGGTTGACATGACAAATCTAGTGAATTTATGTTCATTAAAATATCCCTTTTGAATTGATTTAGTTTTTGTATGTTTCTTTTTTATAATTCCAAAAAATCATACAAATAAGTTAAACTTATCCATCTAAAAGCTGCACACAAAACTTGATGTTAGATTCTTTTAAAATTACAAAATTAAGACTTCCAAAAGAATCTTGTTGAATAAGAGTAAAAGAAAGACCCTTACTCAGTAAAGCTGCGTAATACTTTGGCAGTTTGAACCCATGGCCATGCCTCTCTGTGTGATAAGGATTTGGCAAAACCATGGAAGAAACATGCATGTTTTTGAATTGTCTTTCCATGGTAACTTAAAACATTTTTTCATGAAACATGGATATATATCCTTAGAAAACTGCAAAACATAAAGCTTGTAAGTTATAAGACAAGATTTATCTCTTTTTTTTTTTTTTCTGAGAGAGAGTCTTGCTCTGTTGCCCAGGCCGGAGTGCAACAGTGTGATCTCTGCTCACTGCACCCTCCGCCTCCCGGGTTCAAGCAATTCTCCTGCCTCAGCCTCCTGAGTAGCTGGGACTACAGGCGTGTGCCGCCAAGCCCAGCTAATTTTTTTGTATCTTTAGTAGAGACGGTTTCACCATGTTGGCCAGGCTGGTCTCGAACTCCTGACCTCAAGTGATCTACCTGCCTCAGCCTTCTAAAGTGTTGGGATTACAGGCATGAGCCATGGCACCCGGCCAAGATGAAATGTCAAGGCCATTTTAGCCACTATGCTTTTAAGACTACTTAAAGCTGTGCTTTCAGGTCTCCCCAGGAATACTTGTTCACTCTATACTATTGCTGCTGCTGTTCTGGCTTGAGAATTTTGAGAATCACTAAGATACAATTTTAAGTTTTGACATGTAAATTATTTGGTTGAGTAGAAAGAATTAATGTAGATAAGCAAAAACCCCTTTATAAAAAATGCTTACCCTTTAAAAAATGTTGAATCCTCACAGTATGATTAAATACTACTTGTAAAAGTGTCTGTTAACCATAATGTATTTTTTAGATAATTTGAGTAGAATTATACGTGCAATATATTCTTGAGTTTGTGACCAACAAAGAAACAGATTAATGATTGAAAATTCACCATACATTACTACCTATGTCTCTCCACCTGCTATCTACTTCCAATTTTTTATATATATAAAAGTCATTAAAGTCATTTGTAATTGAGTTTGTTTTTTTTTCTTGAGACAGGGTCTCACTCTGTCACCCAGGCTGGAGTGCAAATGGCATGATCACAGCTCACTGCAGCCTCAACCTCCCAGGTTCGATAGATCCTCCCACCTCAGTCCCCCACAGGCATGCATCACCATGCCTGACTAGTTTTTGTGTTTTTTTGTAGAGACAAGGTTTTGCCATGTTGCCCAGACTGGTCTCAAACTTGGGCCAAAGCCATCCACCTGCCTCGGCTTCCCAATGTGCTGGGATTACATGTGTGAGCCACCACACCCAGTCATGAGAATTATTTTAAATCAGGTAAACAAAATGTCTGTGGGAATATTGAGCTTTATGATAGATACCTAAGTTTTCCCAAAAATAATTGTGTTAGCATTTCAGTGAATCACTATACTTAACCTAGAAATCTAGGTTACCAATAACAGTCTCTTTCAGGTTTTTTTCTTTTCCTGTGTCTTTCTTTTTACTAAAATCATTCATAACTGGGATGACTTATGGAGTTGATACCTTAGGTCAAATCCCAATTTAGAAACTCCCAAAAGCCTGTCAAATTTTGACACATACTTTAAATGAACTGTTATTGAGTAGATATAATTTAGTTGTAATAGTTTAATAGTGTTTGACCTATCCAAACAGATAAAAGAACTCATTTTATTCAATCTGTATTTAATATATTTACTGCATAAATCTCAGACCCTCTTCGTCTAGCACATGGCCCTAATAAATGAAAAATAAGTGGCAAAATCAGTCCAAATTTTGTTTTCACTTATCTATTTTCACTAAATTGTGTATCTAAACACAATATACACAAGTACTAATCTGCCAGTAACAAGGTTTTCCTTTTTTTTTAAGAATAGCTAGGATTTTGTTTTCTGCTGGGGTTGGAAAGCTGAAGTATGTGGTTCCTTGTAGAATTGTTAAGGCAAACTATAGGAAGCAATTGAGATTATAAAACAAGACACACAAGAACATAGCAACATTATTTAACATGTAAGAAGATTATGTAAGAAGAAAGAACACAAACATGGTTACGTATGTCCTTTTCCATCTGCGCTACTCTCAACAATCAACTTCATGCATTGGGATCTGGAATCGTGGTGAATTTTTCTCTTTTCAGCTTCCTTTTAAAAAAAAAGTATTTCCTAAGAAGCCAATAACAGCTATTTGACAATTTGCTGAAAATTTGAGGTTCAGTATAAAAAACTAAATTTATACTGTTTTCATTTGCTCTGATGAAGACATGACAAAATCAGAATGGTGTTCCTGCCCATGGACTTAATCTAGCTTTGTTAGATTTGCAGTGCAAGAAGAGGACATACAACCAACACTAAAAGTAAACCATCCATCTGGTAGTCCTTCAGTGAAAAAAGAGGATGGAGCAAGGAATGTTTTTTGAATTTTATCCTTCTTGGTTCTGGCCCCTTATCTAGCTGTCTTATTTCTGACACAATTTTATATTAACATTTCTTCTGTCTTTTAGATGTAAGTCTTACACATTTTTATCATAAGATCTAAATGCATTTTTGCACTAAAGAGCCAGAACTTTCAGCTGTCCCCCATCTTTGTCCTGAAGTACCAGCACTGGAACTTCTGTTTTCATTTTTCAGATTAGGGCTTAGTAAAGCTTCAGGAAATGACACTCCTGTTGGAGCAGTGGCAGCAGGAAAACAAATCTGATGTCCAGTAGGCTGGATTTAAAGGTGTGGTCTTGTAGTAAGTAATAGCTAGAGCTTAGAGAATATTTTCTAGCCACATTCACTATGCCGAACTCTGTATGCATTGGCTGATTTAATTCCTGTGGCAAATATTACTTCCATATTAGAGAAAACAGGTTCAGTAGGTGTTAACTACCAAGGTCATATAGCAGATGGTAAAGCCTGAACCTGTATTTTAAACTCTGATTCTCCCGCTGTCATCCCAGGCCACAAGCTTTTAGTGATAACACTTTATCATAAGCCTCCATAAATATGCAGAATTTTCATTTGACACATTTATTTATCCTGTCTCATTGCCCTGCCTACTTAAGGCTCAGGTAGGGACAAACAAACACAAAGCTGGGCTCACTTTCCAGTGGAGGTGAGCCAGTTGCAGAGACCAGGTGATAGCATTCTTTGCTTTTTACTCTTCAAGTTGGGTAGGTACACCAGAATCTCGACTCTGCCTAAAAGGAATGTATGTGTGTTCATATATGTGTGTGTGTGTGTGTGTGTGTGTGTGTGTGTGTGTGTGTATGTATAAAATAGTTACAGTCTGCTTCAGCCATACTAGCTGCTTTCTAACAACATATACACATTTTTTGTTTTTGGAGTTAGGTTTTTGTGTTTCTCTCTCCCCTCAGCTTGCATGCTTCTAGCTCTCTGATCTCCACATATCTTTCCAGAGTCATTAAATTTCCCCTCCTCTGTAGAGCCCTCTCTGATGTCTAGAGACTACATGGCTTTCTGTACTATTTGGCTGATCACATTATTCATTCAAAACAGACTTTATGAATGACCTCTGATTACCAGGAATGCATTTGTAATTAGGGCCTGAATTTATGATTCTCTTATTTGTGGCCCTTGGACCAGTATCAACATTACTTGAGAACTTAGTATAAATGCATATTCTCAAGACTCACCCTAGATCTACTGAAATACAAATTAGGAGGGGTGGGGCTCAGCAATTTGTTTTTTTAACAAGCCTTGCAGATGACTCTGATGGACACCAAAGGTTGAGAATCATTGGCTTATACAACAAGGCCACTGATTTTCCAACACTTACTACCTGTGCTGGCTGTGAGGCTCTGATCACCTAGTATGTCTGTTACTTACCCCAGTGTAGTGAAGCCTCAGTCCACTCTGAGTTTTGCAATATGTTCACCTCCATTTCCACTCGGAACCTATTTGTACTAACTTCAACATCTACAGACCTCTGATTTCTCAAGGCGTCAGCCTACACTGGCTTATAAAACAGGCCTTCAGTGACCAGTTTCTTTCAACTTTCAACACTACCTTTGGTTTTAGCACATTAATAATAGCTACTATTTAAGAATTGCAGCTGGGTGCGGTGGCTCACTCCTGTAATCCCAGCACTTTTGGAGGCCGAGGCGGGCGGATCACGAGGTCAGGAGATCGAGACCATCCTGGCTAACAAGGTGAAACCTTATCTCTACTAAAAAAATACAAAGAAATTAGCTGGGAGTGGTGGCGGGCACCTGTAGGAGGCTGAGGCAGGAGAATAGCGTGAACCCAGGAGGTGGAGCTTGCAGTGAGCCGAGATCGCGCCACTGCACTCCAGTCTGGGCGACAGAGCGAGACTCCGTCTCAAAAAAAAAAAAAATTGCTTTTGGCAAGCTCTATATAAAGTACTTTATACGATTTCCAAAGTCACAGAGTCTGTACGTGGTAAAGCTGTAATTCTAACAGCAATTCTTTAGAGCCTGCACTCATCTGCCGCACTTCGCTCTTTCTAACCCTTGAGTCAGCCAAGTGCACTCAGATCACTGCCCACAATGTCCGTTCCTCAAATCATTTCTCATCTTCCACCTCACACTCACCCATATACTTTTCTGTGCTTTTTTTTTTTTCTGAACCAACTTCACCACTGCTACTATCTCCTTGACCTTTTTAGTGGGCCTGTGGAACGCTGTTCCTCATGCCATGGTAAACAAAACGTATCCTTAATGTTCATAAAATGTGTCTTCCTTGATCTTGTCTTAACCAATACTAACCTAGTTCTGCCCATTTTGTGTGCATCCCAGAGGATCAGAAAGTAGTGCATGTTCTTTTCTCTCAATGGCTGCTTCTCGTCATATTCTACTTTCAAGTAAAAATTCTTGCTTCAATGAAACATTTACATCTGACCATGCTCTCTTCTACCCATTTTCATCTTTACAACCCAGCAACCTCCTGTTCACTCCACATTCATTGAAAACTTTTGCACCTAGCCTTTTGTCCATTATCATCCAAGTCCTTATGTCCTGATTATTCTGATTTCCTGTTTATCACTTAAACATATTTTTATGGAATATGTTTTCCTTAGAGTTCCTTGTTCACCTAAACTCCAGGGACCCAGACTTCCACCACACTTGAGTCGTGTGTGGTCATGATGTTTTCCAGAACTGGTTTACCTCTGAACACTTGAAGATTAACAAACATCTTGGGGATTTTTGTCTTTCTTTTCATTGTTGTATCCCCAGTACCTAAAACAGTACTTGGGACATAGGAAGTGCTTAGTAAATAACCTATTGGATCCATGAATTACAGCTTTCAATTTTTCAATTCCAGCATATCTGATTTTTGAAAACATAGTCTGTGTTCCTTGATTCCTCCCAGTTCTTCTACATAGTCTGGAACCAATGACAGGTTATCTGAACCATTCACTAAGATCTTCATTATCCTTATACTTGTCTGCTTATGCCACACCTGCCCCACAAATCCCAACCCAGATCAGTATCAAACTCTATATTCTTTGTATTGCTAGGTACAATTGAACAAAATCTTACATCCTTGCAGATTAGCTCAACTCATCTGAGTCTTTAGCAACATCATTTAAACATTTGAAGGATCAGGTTCAATTCTCTTTTCTTATCCCCCTTAGCTTATATATACATTTTCCCAGCTTTACCACTAGCAAATACTTATGGATTACTGAACATGACATTTTGTACATGTTTGTCCTTCTGCTGGAATGTCCTCCCCCTTTCCCAGCTTGCTGATGTATATGTACTCCTAAGACTGAATTATTTTATGTGAGTCCTTCCTGATTTCTCAGCCTAGCCTTGGTAATTTGTACTCTGCTAACAAACTCTGTTTATTTGTATCACTGTACTTTCCAAATTCATTCAAGTAAAAATTACAAAAATGATCTATAGTCTAGCAAAGAAAACATAAGCCATACCAATATATATAACCATGGTAGTATGATTTATGTTTATAAATATATAATATGTATGTATATAAATATATATAGATATATATTTATATAAATTGTGCCATGAGAGCACATGGGAAGGATAATGCTACAGAGGAAGTGACATTCCATTAGGGTACTGAAGGTTAGGTAACCATTTGCCAGAGGAGAAAAGGATAACGTGCACATCTTGGTTAGATACAGTAAAAAATATGTGCAGTATAGTGGAAAGACATATTACGTTTAGTTCATATGAATAGTTCAATATTGATGGCAGGTGGGAAGTGGCAAGAAATAAAAGTGGGAAAGCTGATAGGTCTCATTTCTATAGATAGAAATAGTCAATATTTAAGCAAGAGCTTTATCTCATCAGATTTGTATTAGAAAGGGAACTGGTAGGAATGATGAGGATGAATTACAGTGAAGAGAGCCTGCAGTAATTGAGATCAGTCTGAGAAACTCTTGAAGTAGTGCAGGCCAAAGATAATGCTATCAGCTCGGGCAGTGGGATTGGAGAGAATTTGAGAAATTCTTTATAGATGGGTTGAAGGATTGACTAAATGAGAAAATGTGAAGGAGAAAGAAGAGCTGGTGACCAGAAGGTTAAGCTATTATTTTTTAAGGAAAAAATTAGAAAAAGTAGTTCTTGTAGTATAGTCTGAGTGTGAAAGCTAGTGATTTTCACATTAGTTTAAAGAACTATTGAAACATCTATTGGATTATAAAAGCATAATATGAATCACAGAGAATAGGTGAGAGTGAAGATAATATTTAGAGAGTCTTTGGCCATACCATGTAGATAATAGTTTAAGCAGTGGGAGTGAATAAGATAAGACTATCTCTAGAGAGTGGGTAGATATTTATATTTTTATCTGTTTCATGTTCTATCAGTTATCTCTGTCCAAGTAGACTGTGTGCACCTTGAGGGCTGAGACTGAGTCAAATTTTGTATGCCTCTAAAAGTGCAGCAGCAGAAAATGATACTTTCAACATGAATGAATATTTGCTTAAGAAGTTTTTTTCCCTCTTTGCTCCTTTATGTTTAAAGCCCTTTTCTTTCTTTGCTTATGTACTCTTTGTTAAATTCAGCACAGAGAGTAATTTAGACAGTAATTTCTGGCAAGGTGCAGAACGTAATGAAATTCCACCACAGGGAAAAATTTGAATGCTCTGTGGAACCTACTCTGGGCAGAGTTTCTTTTCACCTTAGAGATTTTTCAAGAACATTAAAAAAGTCATTTTTTTTTGTAAAGTGATGATGATGTAACTTCTATTGTTATGCTTTGAAGCTAAAATATATGCTAATTGGAATGGATACAGTATATAAATAGGGTACTGCGTGGTTTTCACCAAATGTATGAAAAGGGGCTTAGACTATCACTGCTTATTCTATAATGATATAAATTACTTACAGATATGCTGTCATAGAAAAATTGCACAATTCTACATCTATACATCTATACTCTATGTCAATAGGCTGACTCTATGCTTGTAGATACGTGTTACAATTTTATTCCTTTATATTTGGCATTTTTTCCTTCATATTTTCCTCTAACTGGCTTAGGTGAGGTGGGTTTTTCTTTTCCCCCTTCTTTTCTTTTTTTCCCTACACTCTTTTTGTTCCATTAAAATCTAAGAGTTAAATAAGCAATTTTCTAAGGTGTCCTTGTCAGGCAACATTATGGAAATTATTTGAATATCATTGCTAAGCCAGGTGAGCCTTTAAAAATGTAAATAATTTGCAATACCATGAATCTAGCTGATGAAGAGCAACCTTAATGCAGATTGATTTATTAGAATCTTATCCTGATTAGTAATTGCTTCAAAATCTCTTTTCTATGGTTCAGTTTATCATTTTATTCCCAGATCTTAATATATACCTGTATAACTATCAAATTTGTAATAAGCATTTTACATCATTAGTTACCCCATACTTTTCCAGCCAGTCAGAGAGGGCCAATAACTGTACAGTTTTTACATCGATTGACTGCTCACACTTAGTACATCATTGGTATTATTAATGATCTGATTCATAAATATTTGAAAGCTTTGCATTGGTTCTACTCAGCACTGTTTTCCTCATGGTATTCTATTTTAAAATATATAGTATAGCCACAAAACAACATTCAGGTCACTGACTTTCAGGCTTGCATTCATTCTTTAATATTACTTTAAAAGGTATAATCATGACCTTGAAGCATATTGAACTTGAGCTTTGCCTGAAATTCACAAACATGATTATAATTTCAAGAAACACTGCCTTAAAGTTGCCTTATTCCTGTAATTAAGCTGCTAGAAATTTCATTTATTCTCAAGTTAAATCTCAGGAAACCTATTTTATCATAGGAAATCAGTCAGTGCTAAAACACTGCTTTGATTCTATAGTTCAAACTTATTCATGTACCTCCTGAGAAAATCCTTTCAGTCAATCACAGAAATTTTATTGCCTATTATATTTATTTTTAATATACATTTAAATTTAGCATTCTCTGAGGGTAAGTACCCTGTGTGTTGCTACTTTTATCGTGTGAATGTCTTCTTTTATTTAACTATAGATACATCACGAAGTTTGCCATATTCTACACGTCACAGACTTTGGTTGTATAGTGCTAGTAGGATTTAAGGACAATACATGTTAACTCAAAAATCTGTGGTTATGGCTGATTGGTAGTTATCTATTTAATGGTTAAGAGATATACTATGTGCTATACAAGAATGTTTTGCACTTTGGAATTAACATGACGTTATTTTGGCAGTTATGATTATCATAAGAACCATGATTTACTGATGACAAGTTTAATACTTGCTATGTTCCTGAAAATGTTAGGACAGATCATTTATTAAAATGAGAACAAATGCATATCTCTTTTAAAATGTTCACTTGTAGCTCAAAATCTTATGCATTGAATGTCCCAAAAATATCCTTTCATGAAAACAAAAGGCATTAATTTTTATCAATTTCTCAAAATGTGACTACTTGTCTTTAAAAATGCGTAGTTATATAAACAATTTTTGTGCTAGTATCTATTACTTTAAAAGTAACTTATTCTTAAGTTGAGGTAACATATTTCAAAAATCAGGAGATAATATACACCACAGTATTGCAGATAAAATATGATTTCTCTTTGTGTATTCATCTAAAAATTGTTTTTGTACCTAGAAGTATGTATAAGTTTATTTGTTCAATGCTATACCTTTTCTTCTGAAGTGCAGGCTAGTTTCATTCCATTTACGTTTTATTTAGCAAGACTTTGTGAGGCCTAAATAGACTACTTATTTGAAATAATAGAGTACTAGAGTATAAAATGAACATGTCATTTCTGAAGTCAATAGGGAAGAAATGACAAACTGAAAGGATCCTAGCTAGAGTGAAAAATTAAGCATCTTTTTCCCCCAGATAGTTGTATTAAACTGTTTTTCTTTCAGTTGATTACATAAGATATAGTTCAAAGATGCTACACTGGAACTTAAAAGTAAATAAGCACTTCTTAAATAAAAAGTATTTATCTATTTATTTTGTTGATAAGGAAGCCTATTTGTGCAACCTAAAGACTGTGTCACCTCTGATCCATTATATTTATTTAGTACAATTGTACTTTTTCATCTATAAAATGTCCATTTTATCATGAAAAATGTTTTGTTGTAAAGTCAAAACTTAATACATAAGGGAACACATTTAAAAGTAGTTTAGGAGAATGAGCCAGTATTGAGAATGATTTAAATCTGACCTTGAATAAATCATTTAACTATTTAATGGATAAATTTTCTCATGAATAGATTGACTATATTTAATTGATAGTTTTAGAGAAACTAAAATATCTTTCTACATAGAAAAAAAATCTTTTCTTTTCTTTCTTTTTTTTTTTTTTTTTTTTGAGACGGAGTTTTGCTCTTGTTGCCCAGGCTGGAGTGCAATGGCACGATCTCGGCTCACTGCAACCTCCGCCTCCCAGGTTCAAGCAATTCTCAAGTGCTGGGATTACAAGCGTGAGCCACCGCACCCAGCCAAAAAAAAATATTTTCATCTATCTTTCCATTTCTGTAGGAAATGCTACACATTTTTTAAAGAATGCTGACAACAAATAATGTTTTTGATTATAAAATAAGTGGAAATTTTATCTCTGATGGAAGAAAAGAATCACAGGATAGTTGAAAAAAATCATACTGTGATGTAGCTGAAAAGAGCTAGGCTCCTAAGTAGTATCTAGTCTTAACTAGTTTAAGGACCCTGAATAGTGCCTGTGTCCTGAAAATCATGGTTGCTTGGAAGATCTCTACAGGACTTAAAAATCTAACGTCTTTAGTTAAGATCATCACAGACTGAGAATATGTTTAATATAAAATGATAAAGGAGAGCTCCTTGGAACATTACCACAGTTGTTTCAGAGAGATGGAGTCCTTTAAAGAGTACATCAGGCAGGATCCAAATGGCAAGTTTCTTCAAAACTTACTGCAAATAACAGTTGTTTGGTAGCATGTTTTGTCTTTACGGTCTATGTAGTCTCATAAGCAGACTTCTTCATTTACATATCTGGGCTATGGATCCAAAGATAAAGATAGGCTCACAACTATTAGATTGAGGCCATCACTTACTGCGTCCTCAATGCTCCATATCAGTCATTTTACTTGACCTTGATGAACTCCTACTCCCCTCCTTCTCCTCCTCACATTTACTCAAGCCTACTGTCTAATAAACATGCACACACACAGGTAATATGTATGTACACATGTGGTTCCACTCAGTAAAGGATCCTGTGACACCCTTCCTCTCTTCCCATCCCAAATTTGTAATCTAAATAGGAAACATCAAGTGAGACTCCCAACTTCTGTCTGCCAACATCACTGTCACATATGCACTTCTCTGCAGTCTCAGAGAATGAGCCCATTCTATACCAGGATAATTCCTCTCAAAGCCCTCTTCCTACACTTTTAAGAACTTTTCTGTGAATCACCCTCTTTCATCAATCTCTAAATTGTCCCTTTGTATTCTGTCTCAGCGTATAAACATGTTCAAATTGCCTAGAACAATCACACACACATACACACCTTCTTTGGTCTTATTTTTCCTTCTAAATACAATTTAATTTCACCTTCCCTTCTCATTCAAACTGCTTATAGGTATAATCTATACTCAATATTTCAATGCCTTATTCCTTTTTTAGTCAACTGCAGTCTGACTTCTGCCACCAACATTCCACAGAAACTGCTCTCACTAAATTATTAATGACCTTCTAATTGCCAAATTTACTATGCAAGTGGTTTACATGTATCAATGCTTGTAGTCCTCTAACATCCTATTACATGTATATTCTTATCCTAGTATTGCTTAGGACAGGAGTCATCAAACACTGGCTGGTCCACAGACCAGCCTTCCTTTTTTTGTAAATACATATTTATTTCTGTACTGTCTATGGCTTCTTTTATGTCACAATGGCAGAGCTGAATGTTGGAACAGAGACCTTATGGTTTGCGTGGCCCAAAATATTTACTATCTAGTCCTTTACAGAAACACTTGTCAGCCCCTGGCCTAGGGAGTTGAGCCTGGCTGGTCTTGTGTGAGAGCAGAAGAAATGTCTGCTATGCTTAGGTTGAGGGACTGGACACAACCACTAAGCACATAATAAGCAAATGATTTCCCATGCATTCAGAGTGGCAGAAGAGTGGAGGAAAGCCTAAGACAGACAGGTGAGTTTTTCACAACTTATGTATGGCATGGATGCAGCAGAACAATGACTATACAGAAATAACTAAGACTACCATCAGGGCTTGGGGGAGCCAGCACAGAAATGAACAAAGGATGGCCCCTCAGTTTCCCGCATGATCCAGTGACCAGGGACCCAAAGGGATGACTAATGTTATAACAGATGCTAGTCTGGACTAAGAACCTACACCACAGACCAGGTATTCTTGACTTGCCATGCCAATGCCCAATGTCCCTTTAAAGAATGGCAGAGATGGGAGAGTGGAGACCTTATATCCATTGCTTCATTCATTCATTCATTCATTCATCCATTCGGACATTCAACAAATACTCATAGAACCCATATTATCTTCCAAAATGGATCTAAGAATGGGAAGAACAACATTAAAAAAAAAAAACTTTTGCTTAATCGTTTTCACTATGAAAGACAGTGTGTAAGAAGTTTAAACAATGTTGAACTTCCCCAAAATATCACCAGACAACCTGTTAATGAAACAAAGATAAATTCATTAGAGCTTACTGCAATAAAGGAGAACACCACCTTGACAGTTTTAAGAGTGGTTCAGAAAGGAGAAGTCAAAAATTAAGTGTTGTATGACTTTGAGTTTGAGCTCAAGTAGTTTAAGGCAGGCCTTTCAAAGTGGGCACCTGAAATTGCCCACTTTGAAATTATTATAAAATTTTTCAGGATTAGTGAACATGGGAAATTGAGAATTTTGAAGAGAACTTTGATAAGTAAGCTGTGGTTGATGAGTGAACAGTTCATTGTCTCTGATAAATTGTTCTCAGGGGATTTCCTAAAGAAAACAATGAAGTTATTTATTGGCTAACAGCCTTGCCTTTTCCTCACAAAAATTTTCTGTAACAAACAGTTCATGCTGACTGACATAGTGGGTCTGCTGTCATCTACATCATATTACCACAGATGCCCTCGATGCTCATCAAAGTCCTCGTGGAGCTTCCATTTAGAAAGGGATGTCAGGCAATGAACAAATTATACCTACATCTGTCTATCTAAATCTGTCCATCATCTATCTGCTATATCATCTCAAATAGTGGCAAATGCAGTGGACACACAAACACACGCAAACAAAAAATGGAAAGAGATTGGAATAGAGTTAGGGAGTGCTATTCTGTATCATGTGATTAAGAGAGGCTTCATTGATAGAGGAACATTTGAGCAGCATTCTGAAGGGTGTGTGAGAGAGCCACAAAGACTGGGCTAGGAATTGCCTGAGGGTATCTTCACCACTTTAGAAGCAAAGGCTCCACAATTAGTTCAATCAGAGAAAAATACAGTTACATTTCTTTCTCACCTGAGACTGAAATTTGTACCTGCTCTTCCAATAAAACGCCCAATCTGCATTTTTCCCCTTTTTCTGGCCTTCCTGCTTTAGCCTCCCACCATCCTGTCTCAACTGTTCATCTATTTTTCTGAGTATATCTCACCTCCCCCAGCTCTGCGGCAGGAAAAAGCAGCTTTGGCCTTTCATATCTCCAAGTTTCTGTTCCACGTTTCATCATGCTTCACTCCCCTCTTCCACTTACTGAACTTCCCACACTTTGCTGCTCAGGAAACATTCCTTTCCTCCTCTCGCCCGGGGCACACATAGCCTCCTGGCCTGGGCAGACCACCAGGGGATGGTGAGAAGCCATGGCACTTGATACTGAGGCACAGATGGGTGAGAGTGTCCCTAGCAGACAATGTTAGGGCTGTAAGACGCAGCTGAGCTTTCCTGACACCTAGTTCTTACCTGTTGAGCCAAGAAGACTGTCTCAAGCCATGTGTGGAATGTAAGGCTTTAATCTCAGACTCTTAGGTCTAAATTTTTAATTTCATATAATTATAACTTACACTCCTGTAGCACTTTGCAGTTTGCAATACATTCCTACGTTCATTTAGGCTTGATACAAAACTTTCAGAGGTAGCTCAGCCAATGAGGAGGAGGAGGAGGATGATGATGATGATGATGATGACAATGACTTCAACAATGATAGCAGCTAAATTTTAATCAATCATTAATTATGGACCCCTGTCAGATCTAGGTGGTTTACATATATTATCATTCTGTTCTCACAAATTCCCCTATGATTACCATTCCTGCTTATTGGTTAAAATACTGAGTTAAATAACTCATCCCAAGTATGTTAGCTGTAGGTGACTGAGTCAGGAGTTAATCCCAATGGTCTGATCTGGAGTCTGCACACTCACTACTCTATTGTATACTCCTACAGTATCCCTATTTTTTTAGGTATGGAAACAGGTTTCAACATCACTGTTCAAGGATGAAACCAGAAGTGCAACCCATAGTTTTGTCATCTTTCCACCTCATAAAATCTCCCTTTTAAAACCTAGCTGTTTTTAGCTAAACTCAAAATGGAAACCATAAGAAGCAGCTTTGTTTAACCTGAAGGAGTGGATAAAAATGGATTTAGCATGAAGATAGTTTTTCACTGTTCAAGACAGTGTAAGAAGTTCCAGACTTCGCAATCTACCCCCTGTCATCTTCCCCATAGCCTGTGGTAATATAAACTACTGCATTATATGAGCTCAATGTAAGGGTCAGAAGTCCCTTAAAGAAAGACCAATTTCCATGCAATCTTGTCAAAATATTTAAAAACTCTATTCTCATAGACGGAACATGAACAGTAATGTTTTCCCTTGAGGACTGTTTGCTCTCTGACACTGAAGATTCTTATTTTCTACAGTTTCTCTTCTCCTGACTTGTAAACAGTTTGCAGCTAAAAGTTAAAGCAAAAAAGACAAGATGGATCTATTTAATAGGATCCATCTGGGCATTAGTGGCAGTTTGAAATACACAGCTTCTCCACAAACAACTTTATTTTTAGAGCATTCTCGTTTATTCTCTTGAATATTCTGTTTCTCACTGTGGTCTGCATATACTTAATATGCAGCACCCTGAGCAGTTAAAACAGGGTGAATGCAAAGTATGTGGAATAATGTCAGTATATAGTTCCACGTCTCTTCATGGTCTCTGCTGAGTCCTTTTGCTCACAGGTAGAATACTATATTTGCCCATTTTCATCTTCAAAGAATTTTTCGGGACAGTTGGTGATTAATCTTTATAACCCTCTTTAGAACTGTTTTCATTATCTCTCTTTTATGGGGGAAGAAACTGAGGTAGAAAAGTCAGGAAGTTAAGACACTTGCCAAAAGCTACGGAGTGTGTTTTATGAGAGCTGCGATTAAGATGAGGCCAGATCTTTGCCTCAAGTTCTGCGCTCATAGTTCTCCTGCTTCATGAAAAATACATGCCATTTAAATATTTACATTTTGCTAACAGTAGCAGAAATAATGCCGACAAATGTTAATTAAGCAGCCACAAGATGATTAAAACACTGGTACTGGCCTCCCCAGCAAGAGTAAATCTATTAACATTTTCTTATTGACTCTCAGATGCCTCACTGTGATCTGTCTCCATGAGCTGAAACAAAACAAAATTTCTGATCAAAGGGATTTGTCTCATGGGGGATCAACTTTGTCAGTAGATAACTCATCACTCGGCTGGCAGGGAGTTGTTGCTTATCTGAGGACAGCCAGAAATGGCAGCATGACTCTCAGAAAGGATTTGTAGTCAAAACCAGTAACTCTCTGGGTGTCAGATATGAACAAGGGCTGCTCAGTCCCCACCATTACTTGCTTCTACTATTTCTTGAACAAAGGGTTATCTCTGCTTCCTGCTTCAATAGATGAGGTCCCTATCGCTACAAGCAGTGTTGTGTTCCTCACCCAGCCCAAGGGCCTGCAGACACAAGATGCCAGGTGAGCATGAGGTTGTGTGTAGGAGTGGGGGTGGGTCAGCTTTACCTTTTTCCTCTCATCCAGCAAGTTCTTTCTGCAAAGCTGGGAACTGATTTCGTCACCTTCACTAAGCACAGAGGCAGGCTGGGTACACTCGGTTTCCTGGCCCTTTTCTTTGCATTCCAGTAGATTCATATTGGCCTCTTTACTGTCTTACTCTTTCCTGCACTCCTTGGCAAAGCAGCCATGGGAAGTCTTTCTTTTCTCTTTAAGGCAACTCTTGTGAACATGGCTGGATGAGGGCCCTCTTTATTGGCCACATTTTTCCCCAACTCCGATCTCTCTCTCTGTCTCTCTTTCTCTCTATCTCTCTCTCTTAATTTTCTTTTTTCACTAGAGTTCCTTCTTTGTGGCCTTGACACTGCCACTGAGAATTGAGGACTGTGTTTGGTAGATTGGAGGCCGCCAGTGTACATGCTCAGAGCTGACTTCAGCCTGGCTTTGTAGTACCCCCTGAAGCCACAGACACCTGTCATTGAAGGAACGGGAGCTTTTCTAACAGAATAGATTTCAGTTACAAGCAAGAATTTATAGTAAGAAGAATCTGAAAACAAGAAACACCTCATTCATTCAGTCTGAAAATATTCTTATGCGTTTTGCCCTAAAGGAACTCATGAAATAACAGGGGACATAAGGTAATTAGTGTTCAAAATAGTGAGAGAAGTACTCTGATAAACCTATTCATATGGAGCTTATATAAGGGGCACCAAAATTAGACTGTTGGGTTAAAGATGCCAGCATGGAGGAAGTAATGCTAAAGTTCTAGTTGTGGAGGATCAAGGGTAAGTGGAGATAAGACCGTACTTAGGAGGTTGTGACAGTTATCAGGTAATCCAAGTGGACAGATTTTGGCAACTAAGTAGAGGGAATATACAAGACCTCGTGAGTCATTGGCCTTGAGAAGAAGTAGGGTTGCTAGTGAGAGAAATGGAAAAATTAGGAAGAGCTCTCTGATTTCTCTTTTGAGTGTCTTGGTTTTTGGAGGTGCCAGTCATTGAGATGGGAAGGCAGGAAGTAGATTGTGTTTGTCAGGGAAGAAATGTGATTGGTTTTGGACAGGTTGCCTTTGAGATGCTTGTAGGTCATCCAAGTGAAGATGACATTCTACTTGCCTGTGTGTTTCACAGACCCATCTGCAGACTCAAAGCAACAGACACATTGCCAGGCCCTAGCAGGGCCATTTCCAATTAGCAAGGAGTCTTAGGATATCCTGAGGAGCAGAAAACTATTCAATGTTATTTATGAATGCATAGATGGTTAGAACTGGAAACACCCTTAGACAACAACAACTCACCTTATTTTGAAGATTGTCTAACCTTAGCAACATGTGTTGTGTACCACTGGAAAAAAGTACCACAGTTGGCTGCTATAGAAAGGATGAAAAAGGCCAAAGAAACATTTCTGCTGCCTCTAACACAGAATGCTAGGAATGATGAGGCCTTTCTCTGAACAAGCCTACTTTATTCACTTATGAATAAGAATCCAGAAGACATATACTTACTGAACCATGTCAAGACTAGACAACTTCACTGGGATAAAGAGACCCTCTCCTCATCAGTGCTCTGAGTTGGAAATCCTCAGTAGCCTAAGACATCTCTGTTTTTTAAAATCCTCCTGGACAATGTCTGGCAGAACTGGAAATCAGAATCTGAATAACAAGGACAATCTCCCTTGACATTTGCCACTCACACTCAATTCTATAAAATAGATACATTCAATGCTTACTGAGTTTTCTGTACCAAGTACTACTAAGTACCATGAGTCAGAGACAGAAAGAAAAATTATAAGCTATGGTCTCAACCTTCAGATTGCTTATGGCCTAGAAGAAGAAATACACATTTAAAGAAAACTTCACAACATAAATTCTTGACTTGTTCTATTGACAGTTTTATCTCTCAGGAGGTTAAGAAAGCAATTGGAGGAACAAATGCATTGGGTCTATCTGTGAGAGACATATGGGGAAGAAGCATTAAACTCACATTTTATTTTCCTATCAAAGGAAATTATTATTAGCAGAAATACTAGGTTTGACATTAGCAAGAGGGAATTAAGGCTGGAGAGAGGGTGCCATTCAAGTGTCCTGGTGTGGATGAACTTCTTCATGCTAGGTTACTCTAAGAATTTACAGGCGCAACCTTCAAATGCTACTTAGTGATTTTTGAGGAAATGAGAAGTGCTGGAGAGGTACCCCCAAACTGAAGGCAATAGTGCAGCTTTTCAAATAAAAAAGAGAAGCATATGCTTTTCAAACCACAAGCATATGAGTTTTATGACAATGCAGGACAGTATTCTAGACTAAATTTACTTTTTAGAAAACACAAATACTTAGAAAAGGAATCATAATGAACGTGAATCAACCTTTTTGAGTATAAGTTGTGCCAAACTCACCCTATTTGCCTTTCAATTCAGCCACCACACTGACGCATCATGAAAACTCAGTCAACATTGTGTTTCCAATTTATGTGGGGACACCACATGTGGTTTTAGAGCCACAATTCCAAAGATATTTCAAGAACATTAAAAATTCTCAGAACATAGCATTTTAGCTCTTACTTTAGGTGTAATTAAATTCCCCTGTATTTGCAGTGTCCTCATGACCAATCAACTGAAAGCCATCGTACAGCCCAGGAGGCTATTAGAGAGCACCCAGCGGTTACATTTTAGTTATTTATTCACTTTATCTCATGCTATTTTCTCTCATCTCTTCAACCTTTCCATTAATCTGTTAGCCTGTCTTCAGACTCTGTTTGCTTTAAGTTGCTTTTCTCAGGCCCTGGGACTTGATTAAGGAAAATATCTATGCAATTCATCAAAGCCAAAGGAAAATCCAAGCAGTCTTTCAAGTATAATGTAACCTTTTGCTTTGCCTCCATATTTATTAACTAGGTCAAGTAGTGGACATGAGGCCCTGAGTGTCTCTGTTTGACCTTGATTTGGGCCAGGCTGCCTCCAGAAAAACAAAATGAACTCAGAGTATGGATTGCTTTTTATTTTGCTGACACTAGATCAATGGCTTTCCAGTTTTTTGGCTGCGACTCATATCACTTACGGCCTTTATATCTGCACCACACTTTCATGGTTATTGCCAGATTATAGGGTGTGGCAAGGATTAGATTGGGGCAGTTTACCTGCAATTCCTGACAGCTTAGTTTTAAATCCACCTTTTCCTTTATCACTCAAGAGAACATGAGTGAAATTCATGTTATTACAGGGAAATCTTTTTTTTTTTCTTTTTCTTTTTTTTTTTTTTTTTTTTTTTTTTGAGGCAGAGTTTCGCTCTTGTTGCCCAGGCTGGAGTGCAATGGCTCAATCTCAGCTCACTGCAACCTCCACCTCCCAGGTTCCAGTGATTCTCCTGCCTCAACCTCCCGAGTAGCTAGGATTACAGGCATGCGCCACCATGCCCAGCGAATTTTGTATTTTTAGTAGAGACAGGGTTTCTCCATGTTGGTCAGGCTTGTCTCAAACTCCTGACCTTAGGTGATCCGCCCAACCTCGGCCTCCTAAAGTGCTGGGATTACAGGCGTGAGCCACCACGCCCAGCACAGGGACAATCTTGATTCTGGTCCATGTTTATGAAAAATCTGTTTGTTCCTATATCTTAGTATTATTATTAAAGGTTACAAGTTACTTACAACATCTTATAATTGATTGTTCAGTGATAGTGGGTTGTGACTCCAGTACCAAGAACTGTACCAGATAATACACAGCCAATGGCTTATGCTTCAACATAAACTACTTACTATGTTGGGGGAAAATTCAGTTTGTGAAGACCTTTGTGTTTCTAATAATTAAGCCCGTGTCAGGCCGATTGGTGAAAAAGGTCAGTCTTTCATGTTTCCGTTAATTATTTCTCAGATTAACACAAAGAAACAGGAGGGGAAAAAGGAAAGCAAAGATATCAAAGATATTAGTTACTACCAATATCTTTGCTTTCCTTTTTCCTCTCCTATCAAAATCTTCCCTCATCAAAATGACATCAGTCATTAACACTATAGTATAAATTCAAGTCAATGTACATTGTATTTCCAGAAAACGTGTATTGCTTGCATTTTTTTTTTTTTTTGCCTTATTTCAGCAGTAGAGTTAAGAGCATTTCTATCCAGTAGATGTAATTTTAAGTAACTGCTCTAACACCAGATAGCTTGATGCTGAAATCTAGTGGGGAGATGAGTTACCCTTTTCTGAAATCATTAAAAAAAAAAAAAAGGGAAATTGCAAAGAAAGGCAGTGTTGATTTGCAGCCTCCTCTGCTGGTACTTTGCAAGATTTGCTGGCTAAGATCAGTGATTTCTCTCCACTGCTGTAATAGTTCCTCTATAAAGGGCCCATTTCCCTGAAATTTAAAAATTATCCTTCTTTACAGGAAAAACAGTTTGATTCAGCCCATTTTCACAAACTAACTTTTTCACACTGGAGTGTTCTGAATTGGATAATAAAACCAGATGCCAAAGAGAAGGGGAAAAAAAGAAAATCAAGGCTTTATATCAACCATAACCCATACATAGTATAGGATCCCTCCTCAGTAATTCTTTTATAATTCCATGTATACCTTTTCTGATTTAGTTAAGTACACATGGTGGGCAGCTAATCAGGGTTTTGTTTTTTTAATTAAAAATTAGGGCTCGATACGGGGGAGGGGAATCTCCGATTGACTAATTTAAGTGCTCAGACATTGAAATTTCTTTTGAAACAAATCACATCCCGGTTTAGGTATTTGCTACATTTCAATTTCTTTAATTTTAAAAGTCACATTGGGGATAATAACAGCTATTTAAAATAAGAGGTCTAAAAGGCACCACAGACATTGAAGAAGACAGACACAGCATGGAGTTTGAGGGAGTCAGTAGCAAGTTTCCCTTCTGGAGTGTTACTCAGGCCCATAGGCCTGGGTTAGTTTCGGGGAACCAAGTTACAGTGAATAACAGGATTGTTTTACTGGCACAGTTTCTAACCTGTGAAACTCTACTCTGTCTTTAATTTATTGGCCAAGTATCTTCACACTTCAGCACTGAGGCTGTGGGGAACCCAGAAGAGAGTGCAGCCCCATAGTTTCTGTTCATATGGTGCCAGTACGAGCTTCCCCAAAATACAAATTCATTCACTGCTTCTGTTAAACCCTCTAACAAACTCGAGCTGCTCAAAAAAAAAAAAAAAAAAAAAAAAAGCCATAGACTGGGTGGCTTATGCAACAGGCATTCATTTCTCACAGTTCTGGACACTGCAAGTCTGAGATCAGGGTGTCAGCATGGTCAGGCTCTGATGAGGCCCACTTCCTGGCTTGCAGACAGCTGCTTTTTCATTGTATCCTCACATGGCAGAGAGACAAAGCTCTGGTGTCTCTTCTTCCTCTTCTGGGGCATTCATCCCATCATGAGACCCCACCATCCCTACTTTATCTAAACCTAATCACTTCCCAAAGGCCCCACCTCGTAATACCATTTACATTAGGGGTTAGGGTTCAAAATATGAATTTTCTTGGGGGACACAAACATTCAGTCCAGAACAACCTCCTTACTTCAAGTCCCCTATCCCCACCTGGAATTAGAAACCCTTTTACACACTGCTCCCTGCCTGTCTATCTCCACCCTGCATCTCTCATCCCTCCCCTTACAGGCTGATCCACATCTGTTCCAAACCACTTGCCATGTGCTTTCTGATGGCTTTTTACACCTTACGTTACAGGCCTGGAATCTCTTCCTTAACATTTTTGATCTGAGCAATTCTCATTCTTTTAAGAGTAGCCAATATAGCCTCTCTCCTCTCCACCATATTAGCCTGTAGCATTCCATCACTGAGTCAACTGGGGTATTTATTCTGCTTATTGGCTCAGGAAAAGCAGAAAGCAGAAGACAAGGACATCTATCCTTGACTTCTGAGTTTTTAAAAGCCTTAGGCCCTCAGGGAAAGGGAGGCCATGGATTTGAGAAAATAATGAGGCATAAAAGCAGCTTTTCCCCTACCATAGATGAAAGCACCAAAGATGAATTCTCTACTGGTTTAAGGAAGGAGGAGTTGGTGGAGGAGCCATGAGGAATGAGAAAGCAGGGGCAGTGGGTAGGGGTTGGAACAGGGAGAGGCAGATCTCTTAGAGAGGTGCGTGTTATTGGAGAGCACAGAAGGCTGTGTCCACACTAGGAGAAGCAGCCCCAGAGAGGGAATGGTTTCGTGGCCCATCCAAGCAGACAGGCCTAGAGCTCCAGCCAGGAGACCCTGGTTCAGGGAGCTGTGGCATCTTCACAAGAAGACAAGTGCCATAAGATTTTAGCACCCTTGTTTTTGAATGTGCAGCTGCAGCAACAGAGAGGAAATTGCTGAATGGAGTTGCTAGATTTGAATTGACCTTTTGCTGGATGTGAAGGATGACTTGGGTATGATCTGCATGGACCACCCCAGGAAGCAGGTGGGATGATGGATGTGTTTATAGATGCCAGGCCCTCAAATGCCACCATACACACAACACTTGGGCACTATAAACACCCCCAGAATGTGGATACAACCCCAAACTGACTGAGGTGAAAATTCTACCACCTGGCAGAATGGGCACACAAGATAGAAATTGATTAAAATCAATTAAAATCAATTCTAATTGCACATCAGAATTTTTAGACAGGGATTCAAACCCATACAAAATTAGGGCTTAATGCAGAGATGATCAATGCAGATTCAACGCAGAGATCATCCATACAGACCTTCTAATAAACCTTCATGAGAAAGTTAGGGGCTCTCTCTTTTTTTAAAAAAGGAAAACAATTCCTTCCTTATAGGGTTAATATAAGGATTAATGATAGCATGTTTGTAAAAGACTCAGCATAGTGCCTAATTTGTAGAAAACCCTCAATAATTTGTGGATTTGATTCCAGTTCATCTTGCTCACCTTTGTTTGCATGGTGCCTGGCACAAAGCAGACACTCGTATATGCTCACTGAATTGAACCATGATCTATAATCTAGTTAATAGAAAAGACTGGCACATGTAAAATGTGAATGTTTATAAATTATGTACCACTGTCTATATTTATAGAGTAGTATATAATCTATCAAAGCAGTAACAGTACAGAAGGGAGGGAGAGATCATTTTTGTTAGTAGTCTAACTTCCTAAAATCTGAACCACAAAGAAACAAGAAAGTTTGCTTGGCAAATAAATCAAATCACTCTACCTGGAATATGAGAAAAATTATCTAACATCCACTGGACCACTGCAAATTTAGGCTCTGATTCTAGCTTAAGGAATGTACAATAACTTCCAGTACGACTCTGTCCACACATGGATCTAAACACCCATCAAAATTCTTTTTCTTTACAACATTTGGTTAAATTTGAAAGTAATATTGAGAGAGGCCACAGAGAAATGCAAGCTACATCACAGTGGGACATGTGAGAGGCTGTTACCAGACGACAGAAAGCAAAAGTTACGTTTCCATAGGAGAAAGTTAAGGGAAGACTGTGGGTCGAAGGAGTCCGCGTGGGGCAGGAAACAGCACCCCCTACTGTCTCTGAACTGCAGGCCACCCCACCTACTGGGCATGCTGTGGGAGCATCAAAGCACAGTGCAGGATGTTCGACTCCTTGGAGAGGTCTGTGGCTGTGACTGCTTGGTGGCGTTAAGGAAGGTAACGCCAGCATCACTAATCAGATAGCTGGTAAGTGTCTTTATCTGCATGAGGTAGAAAACTAATTGGAGAACAGGCCCATTGTGAAGGTGTGAGACAACCAAGAGGGTGACTTGGTATATGCTGTGCTTGGCTGGAAAGAAGAAGTTCTGTAAATTAATTGCCAGCAAAGAATGAAATGAAATGTTTTGTTAGATACAGCAGTCCTTCCCTTTCCTTTCTGCCCACACCCCACTTCCCTCTCCTCCCCCTCTCCTTCTTTTCTCTCTCTCCCACCTCCACCCCTTACTAGACATTCATCAGTTGAACAGCCTTGGGACAGCCACAGGTTTGAGAACGTTTTTCCAAGTAAGATGTAAAAACCCCAAACCTAGGCCGGGCGTGATGGCTCACGCCTGTAATCCCAGCACTTTGGGAGGCCGAGGCGAGCAGATCACCTGAGGTCAGGAGTTCGAGACCAGCCTGGCCAACATGGTGAAACCCTGTCTCTACTAAAAATACAAAAATTAGCCAGGTGTGGTGGTGGGCGCCTGTAATCCCAGCTACTCGGGAGGCTGAGGCAGGAGAATCGCTTGAACCTGGGAGGCGGAGGTTGCAGTGAGCCGAGACTGTGCCATTAGACTCCAGCCTGGGTGACAAGAGTGAAACTCCATCTCAAACAAACAAAACAACAACAAAACACCCAGGCCTTTAATGGGATCCAGAAGGGAGAAAGGGGAAATAAACTATTTGTGTCAGAGGTCCTGTTCTGAAAGAAATGGAAATGGAGGCGCTCTTAATAAGGTGTTAGTGCTAGGAAAGCTTGTGAATATATGGACTGGTGGCTTCTGCTTTCTTCCACTGAGGTCAGAATGAGGATTAATAGACAAACTGGAATAGGGATGGGGAGGGAGGTACTGGGGGAAGAGGCTTAAGTTTATTGTGAGGCACTGAAACCTATGGAGCCAAAATACAGACTCACTTCAATTGGTTTAATGGGGGCATTTTGCTTTGTTTTTCTTTTTGTTTTGTTTTGTTTGACTAGTGTAGTGTTGAAAAGACATTAGACCACAGTTTCTTATCCCTGGCATTATAGATATTTGGGGCTGGAAATCTGCCCTGGGTATTGTAGGATATTCAGAGCATCCCTGGCCTCTACCTTCTAGCCACAGGAAGCACTCTCCTATGTTTTGACCACCAAAATGTCCCAGACATTGTCAAATGTCCCCTTGGTGGCACAATCAATCCTGGCTGAGAACCACTGCATTAGAGAGTAAAACAGCGAGACATTCACTGATGCTGGTAGCACTGTGATTCTGGGGTCTAAATTAGAGTAGAAAACTTCTTGATAGAGAACTGATGATGATTCCAGGCTGTTCCAAGTTCAGGGTAGAATGATCTGAAAATTTATAACACGTGTTGAGAAGTTTGTTGACAAATCTGGGCATAACACTGATAATAGCATTTACTTAGAGATGCATTTCTGTCTAAAACAATTATTTTAAAAACCTAAGGACAAAGAGTGTTTGTGCAGATGCCAGAGATATGGATATTAAGGGGGAAATAATGATAGAAATAAGAGCAGTTTCGTTCCTGCTGTCCAAAATTATAAGTCAGTCCACAGAGATTAAAAACAACACACAATCCACCTTAATGGCAAACTACACCCAGCACTCCATGGCAGAAAAGTAAGAATGAAAATGATGAAATGCACTGCAGCCACAGCAATACCCAGTCTCAGCCCATTATCTTTTACCCATCCAGCCCTCCATCCAGGATGAGAGCTCTGCTTTCCACACAAGGAATTCAGAATTGTACATTCGCTGCTACCCTCTTTGGAGTCCAAACACAAAGGGGAAGAGCATTTGTACTGGGTTTGAAAACTTAATAAACAATTTGAAATAAACCTGCGATAAAGTGGTGAAACCAGACAGGTGAACATGTTTCAGGAGCAAGACATAGATGAGCATTCACCTGCAAGTAAATCCCATGATGGGCTCTAGGAGAAGTAAGTACGGACTTTGGGTTAAAAAAGCAGAAGAGTAGGGTTAAAACACCCAGCCCCTGAAGTGGTAGGTAAAGAAATCTTCAGATCACAACTAAATGAGGTGTGTTCCTATAATACCTGAATTTGAGAGGCTAAAAAATATTTGGACACTGCATTACACTTCGCCCCTTTCCACTTGGTGCTTATGGTAATCCTGATGCATTTCTATTTTTTTCTAGGACACTGGACTCCAATCATACATGATATGGTTTGACTCTGTGTCGCCACCCAAATCTCATCTTGAATTGTACTCTCATAATTCCCACGTGTTGTGGGAGGGACCCAGTGGGAGATAATTTGAATCATGGGGGTGGTTTCCTCCATACTGTTCTCATGGCATTCAGTAAGTCTCATGAGATCTGATGGGTTTATTAGGGATTTCCACTTTTGCTTCTTCCTCATTTTCTCTTGCCGACGCCATGTAAGAAGTGCCTTTTGCCTCCCTCCATGATTCTGAGGCCTCCCAAGCCATGTGGAACTGTAAGTCCAATTAAACCTCTTTTTCTTCCCAGTCTGAGGTATGTCTTTATCAGCAGTGTGAAAATGGACTAATACAGTAAATTGGTACCAGTAGAGTGGGATGTTGCTGAAAAGATAACCGAAAATGTGGAAGTGACCTTGAAACTGGGTATCAGGCAGAGGTTGGAACAGTTTGAAGGGCTCAGAAGAAGACAGGAAAATGTGGGAAAGTTTGGAACCTCCTAGAGACTTGTTTAATGGCTTTGACAAAAACGCTGATAGTGATATGAACAATAAGGTCCAGGCTGAGGTGGTCTCAGATGGAGATGAGGAACTTGTTGGGAACGGAGCAAAGGTGACTCTTGTTATGTTTCAGCAAAAAGACTGATGACATTTTGCCCCTGCCCTAGAGATTCGTGGAACTTTGAACTTGAGAGAGATGATTTAGGGTATCTGGTGGAAGAAATTTCTAAGCAACAAAGCATTCAAGAGGTGACTTGGGTGCTGTTAAAAGCCTTCCATTTTAAAAGGGAAACAGAGCATAAAAGTTCACAAAATTTGCAGCCTGACAATGCAGTAGAAAAGAAAAACCCATTCTTTTTGTGGAGAAATTCAAGCTGGCTGCATAAATTTGCATATGCAACAAGGAGCCGAATGTTAATCACCAAGACAGTGGGGAAAATGTCTCCAGGACATGTCATAGGTCTTCATAGAAGCCCTTCCCATCACAGACCTGGAAGCCTAGGAGGAAAAAATTGTTTCATGGGCCGGGCCCAGGGTCCCCATGCTGTGTGCAGCCTAGGGACTTGGTGCCCTGCATCCCAGCTGCTCCAGCCATTGCTAAAGGGGGCCAAGGTACAGCTTGGCCCATGGTTTTACAGGATGTAAGCCCCAAACCTTGGCACTTCCATGTGGTGTTGAGTCTGTGGGTGCAAAGAAGTCAAGAATTGAGGTTTGGGAACCTCCACCTAGATTTCAGAAGATGTATGGAAACACCTGGATGCCAAGGCAAAAGTTTGCTGCAGAGTGGGGCCCTCACAGAGAACCTCTGCTAGGGCAGTGTGAAAGGGAAATGTGGGTCAGAGCCCCACACAGAGTCTCTACTGGGACACTGCCTAATGGAGCTGTGAGAAGCGGGCAACCATTCTCCAGACCCCAGAATGGTAGATCCCCTGACAGCTTGCACCATGTGCCTAGAAAAGCCACAGACACTCAACATCAGCCTGTAAAAGCAGTCAGGAGTGGGGCTATACCCTGCAAAGCCACAGGGTTGGAGCTGTTCAAGGCTATAGGAACCTACCTCTTGCATCAGCATGACCTGGATGTGAGACATGGAGTCAAAGGAGGTCATTCTGGAGCTTTAGAATTTGACTGCCATGCTAGATTTCGGATTTACATGGGCCCTGTAACCCCTTAGTTTTGGCCAATTTCTCCCATTTGGAACAGCTGTATTTACCCAATACCTGTACCCCCATTGTATCTAGGAAATAACTAGCTTGCTTTTGATTTTCCAGGCTCATAGGTGGAAGGGGCTTGTCTTGTCTCAGACAAGACTTTGGACTGTGGACTTTTGGGTTAATGTTGAAATGAGTTAAAACTTTGGGGGACTGTTGGGAAGGCATGATTGGTTTTGAAATGTGAGGACATGAGATTTGGAGTGTCCAGGGGTGGAATGATATGGTTTGGCTCTGTGTCCCCACCCAAATCTCATCTTGAATTATACTCCCATAATTCCCAAGTGTTGTGAGAGGGACCCAGTGGGAGATAATTTGAATCATGGGAGTGGTTTCCTCCATACTGTTTTCATGGTAGTGAATAAATATCATGAGATCTGATGGTTTTATGAGATCTTTCTTCATCTTCAGATCTTTTTGCATCTTTCTCATTTTTTCTTGCTGCCGCCATGTAAGAAGTGCCTTTCACCTCCTGCCATGATTCTAAGGCCTCTCCAGCTATGTGCAACTGTAAGTCCAATTACACCTCTTTTCCTTCCCAGTCTCGGGTATGTCTCTATCAGCAGCATGAAAATGGACTAATACAACACACAACTCACTGAGAGATTAGAAAAGCGTTGTCTAGAGAATATGAGAGTTAGTGGATAAACTTGGATGGCTTACAAAGAGTGGTTTTTATCAGGATAGTACAGGGCTGGGGTATGGGTCCTGTGTGCTCCATCAGAATATGGCCTGAGCCCACCACTTCCATGCAATCCTCCTCACCTTGAAAAGGTTAATGCAATACTGACTAAATTTGCAAATAGCAGAAATCTTGCAAGGAGGGGAGATAAGATGACATATTACAACCCCAGCAGGATATAGATAATACAGGGCATTGGTTGAACAAATGTGAAATGAGGTTTAATACAAAGCCATGCAAGAAAATATATGCACCTGAGAGAAAATAATGCTCAGCACAGATTCAAATTATGGGGGTATTACTCAGGAAGCTGTCGTGCTGAGTGAGACTTGGGAAGGATGGCGGTTAACAAATTGAATAGGAGTTCATAGTGCAATGCGATGTCAAAGAAAGGCAGTGCTATTTTGAGATGTATGGACAATATAAAGTAATCTTTGAAAATACAAGAGGGGATGCCGTGTAAAATCTCACCTTGAACTCCCTGGTGCCCTGACTTTAACAAAGACACAGTTAGATGGGAGATTTAGCAAAGATAGTCGTTTGAATGCTATTCAACATGGTGCATGGGTCTTATTAGGAAAAGCAGAATTGTCTTCTCATGCCAGGTAAACACATTTATAAAAAAGTTTTCTCATGATAAGGTCCTCCTGTCATTGTATTTTCTTTAAGGCCTTTTTGACTTTCAGTAAGGGGAAGATAACAATTTAGGCAGGAAAAAAGACAGAAGTAAGAAAACATCCGTATCAATTAGTTTAGGAAGCAGAAAAATCAGAATATAATTAAGATAGAATAAAATTAGAATACATATTCAGCAATATGTATTGGGATTAAATTCCTGCCTGCTAAAATCTTTGACTCTAACAAGAGTTGACAAAATAATCATACAAGAGTAAACTTGGCAAGAACAATATTAGTTTACAAAGAATATATGCTATAAAGTTTCAAAAGGAGAGATCTTGTCCTGCGAGCCAGTTGGGGAATTTTTCAAAGAGCTCTCTCATTCATACTCTTGATCAGTAATGTGGGAGTGGGCAGACGGTTGAATAGGGAGGAACTGGAGCCCAAGAGGCTGGTGAAGGGGATAGATGATAGGCACCTAAGCCGGCTGGTGGGAGTATTGGGAATGGAAAAAAACAGAAGGATACAAGAATTTGTATGAAGGAAAAATAGCAATACTCAGGAAGATGGCTTTGGAATCAAACATAATGGATTTTAATCTGGACTCTAGTACTTAGTAGATCTTTACATGTAATTTATTTAATCTCTCTGAGCCTAAGTTTTTTTATCAATTGAATTCTAAGAACTACTTTGCAAGATTACTATGAATTAGAAATAATATGTCAGAAGCACTTAGAAGTTAAAATCTGTAGTAAGTTCATGAAAAATGTTTATGATTTTAGTGACTGATTAGTTGCTGAGGGCATAGGAAAAAAAAACATGAGGTTTTATTCCTGGAAAGGATTTTGGTACTATTTTTAGAAATGCATAAAACAGGAGGAGGAGTTATTTGCTTGGCAAAGTGCTAGAACTGGGTTTTACCTAAGTTGAATTTAAAGAGATGATAGAACACCCTGGCTGTTAACTTTGCCAGAAATTTCCTCTTCAGGTGTTTTATGCACACTCCTGAATACAGTGAAAGCCCAGTCTCTAAAGCTGTACAGTTTTGTAAAAATTATGAACCCAGTTTTCAACACCTAGAGAGAGAAATAGAAATGGGTTAGCATTTCTGTGGAACAGATTTTTGAACATTTTGATGGGCCCAGGTCAAACTGAAAAAGAACTCAGGGCTAAGAATGCTCAGATCATTCAATTACATGTATTATTTTTGAAGAACCTAAGTATCTAGCTAAAGTATAGGAATTGTTTGTGCCCAGTTTCTAATTCAGACAAATAATTGGCAATTAAAAAATCTTTCTTCTTTTATTAAAACAATAATTTACATAATTATGGGGTACATGTGAGTGTTTGTTACATGCATAGAATATGTAATGATCAAGTCAGGGTATTTGGGTATCCATCACCTTGAGTATCTATCATTTCTATGTGTTGGTATCATTTCAAGTCCTGTCTTCTAGTTATTTTGAAATATACAAAATATTGTTGCTAAGTATAGTCACCCTAATCTGCTATCAAACATTGGAACCTATTTCTTATATCTAATTGTATTTTTGTACCCATTAATCAACTTCTCTTTATATGTCCCCTGCCCGCACCCACACTTCTCAGTCTCTGATATCTATCAATCTATTTTCTATGTCCAATTCATGAGATCGAGTGTTTTAGTTTCCATATATGAGTGAGAATATGCAGTATTTGTCTTTCTTTTCCTGGCTTATCTTACTTAACATAATGACCTCCAGTTCCATCCATGTTGCTGGAAATGACATAATTTCATTCTTCTTTATGGCTGAATGGTATTCCATTTTATATATTATATATATGTATATATATATGTGCGTGTATACATGTGTGTGTATATATATATATAATTACATTGCATACACACACACACACACACACACACACACCACATTTTCTTTTTTCCATTCATCTGTTGATGGACACTTGGGTTAATTCCATATCTTTACTATTGTGTATAGTGCTGTGATAAACATGAGAGTGGTGTTAGCATATAGTTGTTCCTAATAATCTCTGATGATTTTTGTATTTCTGTGGTATCAGTTGTAATGTTTCCTTTTTCATTTGTGATTGTGTTTATTTGGGTCTTCTCTCTTTTCTCTTTTCTTGATTAGTCTAGCTAGAAGTTTAGCAGTTATGTTTATCTTTTTAAAGAACCAACTTTTCTTTTTTTATTATTATACTTTAAGTTTTAGGGTACATGTGCACAATGTGCAGGTTAGTTACATATGTGTATACATGTGCCTTGCTGGTGCGCTGCACCCACTAACTCATCATCTAGCATTAGGTATATCTCCCAATACTATCCGTCCCCACTCCCCCCACCCCACAACAGTCCCCAGATTGTGATGTTCCCCTTCCTGTGTCCATGTGTTCTCATTGTTCAGTTCCCACCTATGAGTGAGAATATGCGGTGTTTGGTTTTTTGTTCTTGCGATAGTTTACTGAAAACGATGATTTCCAATTTCATCCATGTCCCTACAAAGGACATGAACTCATCATTTTTTATGGCTGCATAGTATTCCATGGTGTATATGTGCCACATTTTCTTAATCCAGTCTATCATTGTTGGACATTTGGGTTGGTTCCAAGTCTTTGCTATTGTGAATAGTGCCGCAATAAACATACATGTGCATGTGTCTTTATAGCAGCATGATTTATAGTCCTTTGGGTATATACCCAGTAATGGGATGGCTGGGTCAAATGGTATTTCTAGTTCTAGATCCCTGAGGAATCGCCACACTGACTTCCACAATGGTTGAACTAGTTTACAGTCCCACCAACAGTGTAAAAGTGTTCCTATTTCTCCACATCCTCTCCAGCACCTGTTGTTTCCTGACTTTTTAATGATTGCCATTCTAACTGGTGTGAGATGGTATCTCATTGTGGTTTTGATTTGCATTTCTCTGATGGCCAGTGATGGTGAGCATTTTTTCATGTGTTTTTTGGCTGCATAAGTGTCTTCTTTTGAGAAGTGTCTGTTCATGTCCTTTGCCCACTTTTTGATGGGGTTGTTTGTTTTTTTCTTGTAAATTTGTTTGTGTTCATTGTAGATTCTGGATATTAGCCCTTTGTCAGATGAGTAGGTTGTGAAAATTTTCTCCCATTTTGTGGGTTGCCTGTTCACTCTGATGGTAGTTTCTTTTGCTGTGCAGAAGCTCTTTAGTTTCATTAGATCCCATTTGTCAATTTCGGCTTTTGTTGCCATTGCTTTTGGTGTTTTAGACATGAAGTCCTTGCCCGTGCCTATGTTCTGAATGGAAATGCCTAGGTTTTCTTCTAGGGTTTTTACGGTTTTAGGTCTAATGTTTAAGTCTTTAATCCATCTTGAATTGATTTTTGTATAATGTGTAAGGAAGGGATCCAGTTTCAGCTTTCTACATATGGCTAGCCAGTTTTCCCAGCACCATTTATTAAATAGGGAATCCTTTCCCCATTGCTTGTTTTTCTCAGGTTTGTCAAAGATCAGATAGTTGTAGATATGCAGCGTTATTTCTGAGGGCTCTGCTCTGTTCCATTGATCTATATCTCTGTTTTGGTACCAGTACCATGCTGTTTTGGTTACTGTAGCCTTGTAGTATAGTTTGAAGTCAGGTAGTCAGGTAGCGTGATGCCTCCAGCTTTGTTCTTTTGGCTTAGGATTGACTTGGCAATGCGGGCTCTTTTTTGGTTCCATATGAACTTTCAAGTAGTTTTTTCCAATTCTGTGAAGAAAGTCATTGGTAGGTTGATGGGGATGGCATTGAATCTATAAATTACCTTGGGCAGTATGGCCATTTTCACGATATTGATTCTTCCTATCCATGAGCATGGAATGTTCTTCCATTTGTTTGTATCCTCTTTAATTTCATTGAGCAGTGGTTTGTAGTTTTCCTTGAAGAGGTCCTTCACGTACCTTGTAAGTTGGATTCCTAGGTATTTTATTCTCTTTGAAGCAATTGTGAATGGGAGTTCACTCATGATTTGGCTCTCTGTTTGTCTGTTATTGGTGTATAAGAATGCTTGTGATTTTTGTACATTGATTTTGTATCCTGAGACTTTGCTGAAGTTGCTTAGCAGCTTAAGGAGATTTTGGGCTGAGACAATGGGGTTTTCTAGATATACAATCATGTCGTCTGCAAACAGGGACAATTTGACTTCCTCTTTTCCTAATTGCATACCCTTTATTTCTTTCTCTTGCCTGATTGCCCTGGCCAGAACTTCCAACACTATGTTGAATAGGAGTGGTGAGAGAGGGCATCCCTGTCTTGTGCCAGTTTTCAAAGGGAATGCTTCCAGTTTTTGCCCATTCAGTATGATATTGGCTGTGGGTTTGTCATAGATAGCTCTTATTATTTTGAAATACGTCCCATCAATACCTAATTTATTGAGAGTTTTTAGCATGAAGTGCTGTTGAATTTTGTCAAAGGCCTTTTCTGCATCTATTGAGATAATCATGTGGTTTTTGTCTTTGGTTCTGTTTATATGCTGGATTACATTTACTGATTTGCGTATATTGAACCAGCCTTGCATCCCAGGGATGAAGTCCACTTGATCATGGTGGATAAGCTTTTTGATGTGCTTGCTGGACTTGGTTTGCCAGTATTTTATTGAGGATTTTTGCATCAGTGTTCATCAAGGATATTGGTCTAAAATTCTCTTTTTTGGTTGTGTTTCTGCCCGGCTTTGGTATCAGGATGATGCTGGCCTCATAAAATGAGTTAGGGAGGATTCCCTGTTTTTCTATTGATTGGAATAGTTTCAGAAGGAATGGCACCAGTTCCTCCTTGTACCTCTGGTAGAATTCGGCTGTGAATCCATCTGGTCCTGGACTCTTTTTGGTTGGTAAGCTATTGATTATTGCCACAATTTCAGCTCCTGTTATTGGTCTATTCAGAGATTCAACTTCTTCCTGGTTTAGTCTTGGGAGAGTGTATGTGTCGAGGAAGTTATCCATTTCTTCTAGATTTTATAGTTTATTTGCATAGAGGTGTTTGTAGTATTCTCTGATGGTAGTTTGTATTTCTGTGGGATCGGTGGTGATATCCCCTTTATCATTTTTTATTGTGTCTATTTGATTCTTCTCTCTTTTTTTCTTTATTAGTCTTGCTAGCAGTCTATCAATTTTGTCGATCCTTTCAAAAAACCAGCTCCTGGTTTCATTAATTTTTTGAAGAGTTTTTTGTGTCTCTATTTCCTTCCGTTGTGCTCTGATTTTAGTTATTTCTTGCCTTCTGCTAGCTTTTGAATGTGTTTGCTCTTGCTTTTCTAGTTCTTTTAATTGTGATATTAGGGTGTCAGTTTTGGATCTTTCCTGCTTTCTCTTGTCGGCATTTAGTGCTATAAATTTCCCTGTACACACTGCTTTGAATGTGTCCCAGAGATTCTGGTATGTTGTGTCTTTGTTCTCATTGGTTTCAAAGAACATCTTTATTTCTGCCTTCATTTCGTTATGTACCCAGTAGTCATTCAGGAGCAGGTTGTTCAGTTTCCATGTAGTTGAGCAGTTTTGAGTGAGTTCCTTAATCCTGAGTTCTAGTTTGATTGCACTGTGGTCTGAGAGACAGTTTGTTATAATTTCTGTTCTTTTACATTTGCTGAGGAGAGCTTTACTTCCAAGTATGTGGTCAATTTTGGAATAGGTGTGGTGTGGTGCTGAAAAAAATGTATATTCTGTTGATTTGGGGTGGAGAGTTCTGTAGATGTCTATTAGGTCCACTTGGTGCAGAGCTGAGTTCAGTTCCTGGGTATCCTTGTTAACTTTCTCTTTCGTTGATCTGTCTAGTGTTGACAGTGGGGTGTTAAAGTCTCCCATTATTATTGTGTGGGAGTCTAAGTCTCTTTGTAGGTCACTTAGGACTTGCTTTATGAATCTGGGTGCTCCTGTATTAGGTGCATATATATTTAGGATAGTTAGCTCTTCTTGTTGAATTGATCCCTTTACCATTATGTAATGTCCTTCTTTGTCTCTTTTGATCTTTGTTGGTTTACAGTCTGTTTTATCAGAGACTAGGATTGCAACCCCTGCCTTTTTTTGTTTTCCATTTGCTTGGTAGATCTTCCTCCATCCTTTTATTTTGAGCCTATGTGTGTCTCTGCATGTGAGATGGGTTTCCTGAATACAACACACTGATGGGTCTTGACTCCTTCTCCAATTTGCCAGTCTGTGTCTTTTAATTGGAGCATTTAGTCCATTTACATTTAAAGTTAATATTGTTATGTGTGAATTTGAACCTGTCATTATGTTAGCTGGTTATTTTGCTCGTTAGTTGATGCAGTTTCTTCCTAGTCTCGATGGTCTTTACATTTTGGCATGATTTTGCAGTGGCTGGTACCAGTTGTTCCTTTCCATGTTTAGTGCTTCCTTCAGGAACTCTTTTAGGGCAGGCCTGGTGGTGACAAAATCTCTCAGCATTTGCTTGTCTGTAAAGGATTTTATTTCTCCTTCACTTATGAAACTTAGTTTGGCTGGATATGAAATTCTGGGTTGAACATTCTTTTCTATAAAAATGTTGAATATTGGCCCCCACTCTCTTCTGGCTTGTAGAGTTTCTGCCGAGAGATCCGCTGTTAGTCTGATGGGCTTCCCTTTGTGGGTAACCTGACCTTTCTCTCTGGCTGCCCTTAGCATTTTTTCCTTCATTTCAACTTTGGTGAATCTGACAATTATGTGTCTTGGAGTTGCTCTTCTCGAGGAGTATCTTTGTGGTGTTCTCTGTATTTCCTGAATCTGAATGTTGGCGTGCCTTGCTAGATTGGGGAAGTTCTCCTAGATAATATCCTGCAGAGTGTTTTCCAACTTGGTTCCATTCTCCCCATCACTTTCAGGTACACCAATCAGACGTAGATTTGGTCTTTTCACATAGTCCCATATTTCTTGGAGGCTTTGTTCATCTCTTTTTATTCTTTTTTCTCTAAACTTCCCTACTCGCTTCATTTCATTCATTTCATCTTCCATCGCCGATACCCTTTCTTCCAGTTGATCACATCGGCTCCTGAGGCTTCTGCATTCTTCATGTAGTTCTCGTGCCTTGGCTTTCAGCTCCGTCAGCTCCTTTAAGCACTTCTCTGTATTGGTTATTCTAGTTATACATTCGTCTAAATTTTTTTCAAAGTTTTTAACTTCTTTGCCTTTGGTTTGAATTTCCTCCTGTAGCTCGTAGTTTGATCGTCTGAAGCCTTCTTCTATCAACTCGTCAAAGTCATTCTCCGTCCAGCTTTGTTCCATTGCTGGTGAGGAACTGCGATCCTTTGGGGGAGGAGAGGTGCTCTGCTTTTTAGAGTTTCCAGTTTTTCAGCTCTGTTTTTTCCCCATCTTTGTGGTTTTATCTACTTTTGGTCTTTGATGATGGTGATGTACAGATGGGTTTTTGGTGTGGATGTCCTTTCTGTTTGTTAGTTTTCCTTCTAACAGACAGGACCCTCAGCTGCAGGTCTGTTGGAGTTTGCTAGAGGTCCACTCCAGACCCTATTTTCCTGGGTATCATCAGCGGTGTCTGCAGAACAGTGGTTTTTTGTGAACCGCGAATGCTGCTGTCTGATCGTTCCTCTGGAAGTTTTGTCTGAGAGGAGTACCCGGCCATGTGAGGTGTCAGTCTGCCCCTACTGGGGGGTGCCTCCCAGTTAGGCTGCTCAGGGGTCAGGGGTCAGGGACCCACTTGAGGAGGCAGTCTGCCTGTTCTCAGATCTCCAGCTGCATGCTGGGAGAACCACTGCTCTCTTCAAAGCTGTCAGACAGGGACATGTAAGTCTGCAGAGGTTACTGCTGTCTTTTTGTTTGTCTGTGCCCTGCCCCCAGAGGTGGAGCCTACAGAGTCAGGCAGGCCTCCTTGAGCTGTGGTGGGCTCCACCCAGTTGGAGCTTTCTGGCTGCTTTGTTTACCTAAGCAAGCCTGGGCAATGGTGGGCGCCCCTCCCCCAGCCTCGCTGCTGCCTTGCAGTTTGATCTCAGACTGCTGTGCTAGCAATCAGTGAGACTCTGTGGGCATAGGACCCTCTGAGCCAGGTGCAGGGTATAATCTCCTGGTGGGCCGTTTTTTAAGCGCGTCGGAAAAGCGCAGTATTTGGGTGGGAGTGACCCGATTTTCCAGGTGCCGTGTGTCACCCCTTTCTTTGACTAGGAAAGGGAACTCCCTGACCCCTTGCGCTTCCCGAGTGAGGCAATGCCTTGCCCTGCTTCGGCTCACGCACGGTGCGCTGCACCCACTGACCTGCGCCCGCTGTCTGGCACTCCCTAGTGAGATGAACCTGGTACCTCAGATGGAAATGCAGAAATCACCTGTCTTCTGCGTCGCTCACGCTGGGAGCTGTAGACCGGAGCTGTTCCTATTTGGCCATCTTGGCTCCTCTGCCCAAGAACCAACTTTTCATTTTGTTAGTCCTTTGCATTTTTACCTTAGACTATATTTTGTTTAGTTCTGCTTTATTATTTTGTTTCTTCTGCTAATTTTGGGTTTGGTTTGTTCTTGCTTTTTTAGTTCCTTTATGTACATTGTGAAATTTTAGCTTTGAAATCTTTCTGTGTTGTTGATGTAGGTGCTTATTGTTATAAAATTCCATCTTAGCACTGCTTTAGCTGTATTCCACAGGTTTTCTTATATTGTTTTTGTTTTCATTTTTTTCAAGAATTTTTTTTTATTTCTGTCTTAATTTCATTGACCCAGTGGTTGTTCAGGAGCATGTTATTTGGTTTCCATATATTTGTATAATTTCCAAAGTTCCTCTTGGTATTGATTTCTAGTTTTGTTCCATTGCAGTCTAAGAAGATACTCGATATGATTTTGGTTTTTAAGAATTTGTTGAGATTTGTTTTGTGGCCTAACTTGTAGTCTATCCTGGAGAATGTTCCATGTGCTGATAAGAAAAGTGTGTTCTGCAGTTGTTGGATAAAATGTTCTTTAAATATCTGTTAGGTCCATTTGGTCTAAAGTCCAACATTAAATCTAATGTTTCTTTGTTGATTTTCTGTCTAGCTGATCTCTTTAATGCTGAAAGTGAGGTATTGAAGTCCCCCACTATTATTGTATGGAGTCTACATCTCTCTTTATATCTGATAATATCTGCTTTATTAATCTGGGTGAGTCCATATGTATTTAATCTCATTATATCCTCTTGCTGGACTGATCCCTTTATCATTATTTAATAACCTTCTTTTTTGCCCCTGTTTTTGACTTAAAGTCTGTCTTATCTGATATAAGTATAGATATTCCTGCTTGATTTTGGTTTCCATTTGTGTGGAATATCTATTTTCCATCCCTTTCAATCAGTATGTGTTTTTATGGGTAAAGTGTGTTTCTAGTAGGCAGCATATAGTTGGATAATGATTTTTTATCCTTTCAGCCAGTCTATGTATTTTTAGTGATAAATTTAATCTGTTTATGTTCAAAGTTATTATTGATATGTGAGGTTTTGTCATTTTATTATTGTTAATTGTTTTCTGGTTGTTGTGTATATTCTTTGTTCTTTTCCATTTCTCTTATTGTTTGTCCTTGTGGTTTAGTAGTTTTCTGTAGTGGTACCATTTGAATCACTTCTCTTCTTCATTAATGTGTTTGCTTTAACAGTGAGTTTTATACTTTTGTGTGCTTTCATGATGGTAACAATTATCCTTTTGCTTCCAGGTTCAGGAGTCCCTTGAGCATTTCTTGTAGGACCAGTCTGGTGGTGATGAATTCCCATAGCATTTGCTTGTCTGGGAAAGACTTTATTTTTTCCTTCAATTTATAAATTAGTCTTTATAAGGCTAATTTTGCTGGATATAGTAATATAGTATCCTTGGTGGTGACAACTTTTTTCTTTCAGCACTTTAAATATATAATCCCATTCTCTCCTGGCCTATAAGGTTCTTCTTGAGAAGTCCACTGTTGGTCTGATGGCAATTCCTTTATAGGTGACTAGATGGTTTTCTCTTCCTGTTTTTAGAATTCTCTCTTTATCTTTGACTTTAGACAGTATGATGTGTACACATAGTACTATAATGTGCTATGGAGAAAACCCTTTTTGCATTGTATTTGTTTGGGAATCACTGGGCCTCCAATATCTGGATGACTTAATCTTTTACTAGACTTCAAACTTTTCATCTATTATTTTGTTAAATGGGTTTTCAAACTCTTTTGTTCTCTCTTTGTCTTCTGAAATACTGATAATTCATGTATTTGATCACTTTATGGTATCTCAAATATCACAAAATCTTTGTTCATTCTTTTTTCTCTGTTTTTGTCTGACTAGATTATTTCAAGAGACCTGTCTTCAAGTTCTGAGGTTCTTTCTTCTGTTTTATCTAGTCTATTGTTGAAGTTTCCAAATATATTTTGTAGTTTATTCAATAAATTCCTCACTTCCAGAATTTCTATTTGGTTTGTTTTCATAATATCTGTTACTTTGGTAAGTCTCTCATTCATGTCATTAATTATTTTTCTGATTTCTTTGTATTGTTCTTTCAGAATTGTGTTGGATTTCACTGAGCTTCTTTAAAATCAATATTTTTTTTTCTGGGATTTTGTGAATTTCTTTTGGATTAGGATCTGTTGCTAGGGAATTATTGCGTTCCTTTGGAGTTGTCATATTTCCTTGCGTGTTCAAGTTTTCTGTTTCCTTACATTGATATCTGCACATCAGGTGTGATAGTCACTTCTTCCAATTTTTTAACTTTACTTTTGTAAGAGAGTATTTTTTCCTAAAGGTGTATCTATGATGTTGGTTGAGCAGGGGCCTACTTTGGCTTTGATTCTGGGTGTATTCAGTAGTGTAGTTTCTGTATGGTTTTTCATCTGCAAACAGCATCAGTGGAATCTGTAATTTCCTCAGTGGCTTAGAATGCAGTTATTAGTAGAGGCTGTAATGAAGTTTTTCTGGTGACAGGGATGCCAGGTAGATAAGTCTTCAGGCCTCACTGGTGGCAGGGGTAAGCTGACTTTCCTCGTGCCTCTCCTTGGACCCCAGGGTGGCATATGCTGACACTGGTGTTAGTGGGTTCAGATAGGTCATTTCTTGGGGCCTCCAGGTGGCTTTCTCAGATGGCACTAGTGGCAGCAGTGGGCTGGGCAGGTAGGTTTTTAGGCTCCTGGGCAGCTGGTGTGGCATGGGCAATGGCAATAGCAGTGGCAGGACCCTCTGGTTCCTGAGCAGTGTGTGCTGGTGTTAGTGGTGGCTGTGACGGGCTGGGAAGCCAGTCTCCAGACTCCTAGGTGGTACATGTGGGTGGGTATGAGTGGTGTTGGTAGCAGGCTAGGTGGACTCATCTTCAGGTTCCCAGTGGTGAATGCACAGATGTCAGAGGTGGTAGAATGGATGGAGTGATGCCCAGATCCTTGGGCAGCATTCTCAGGCTTTCAAGGGTAGTATCAGTCCAGGTGGGTCTGACCTCAGGCCCCTGGTCATAGGCAGTGGCATAGGCTGTAGTAAACAGAATGGGCAGTCTGTGGAGGTGGGTGTGGAGAACTTGACCTCAGGACTTGTGCTAAAGCATAGCAGTCCTGCTGTTGATGTAGGTAGGGTTGCTATCAACAGTCCCCTGCAGGCAGCTCTCAAGTCTCTGGGGAGTTCACACTTTGCCTCTGGCAGCAGTAGCAGCTGCCTTGGTATGCCTGGGGAGCCTATATTTGTGATGGCACTGGAGCACAGAGGCCATGCTCCTGGAGTGGGTGAGGTTGGCTATCGCAGCCCCAGATGGTAGCTCTCAGGTTGTGAGTTGTGCTTGCTTTGGCCCCTGGTAGCTGTGGTGTGCAGAGACAGGGAGGGATCTTGCCCACTGTGCATGGGCCAGGCACAGAGACCATGCAGCCAGTGGGGATGTGGTTGCCACACACAGCCCCAGACACACTGCCCTCAGGCTCACCCACCCCTACTCTTGGTGGCAGCAACAGTAGCTGCAGCAGTGTGCAGAATGGGGAAGAAATCTTGCTCTATGACAAGTCTGAGCATAGAGATCACTCCCCCAGTGGAGGCAGGGTTGCTACTCCCAGACCAGACAGTCTACTCTCAGGCTTGCCTACCTCAGCTCCTCGTGGGAGCAACTGCTGTGCAATGTGTGGAAAAATGGAAGGGGTTCCAGTCTCTGATAATTGGCCTGAGCATAGAGTCTGTGCTGCTGCTGGGGGCGTGGCCACTTCTCACAGCCCCAGACATGGAGCTCTCAAGCTCTGGAAAGTGCATGCCTTGATTTCTGTTGTACCAGGTGCCACCTCCTTGGTATGTTGCACCATCTTTTCACTTGGGAGTAGTATCCCATGTTGCCTAGAGTACTATGGACCCCCAGCACCTTTGGGTCGAGCCAGCTCTGTGCCACTGTAGGCATTGGTATGAACACTGGGGAATGTCAGTGGGGGCTCCTGGGATGTAGCTATATGGAGGCTGTGGTTCCCAGGGAAGGATGATGTCCCATGATGGCTGGGCTCTCACAACAATGCCATGCTGTAGCTGCTTAGGTCTCATGGTTGTGTATGATCCAGCACTGCTCCCTGTTTAGTGCAGTGCCCTCCAGAGTGTTCAGATCACTGCCCACACTAGTCTCAGGGCTCATGTGGGTAGAGGAGCTCTCCTATAGCTAGGATTGCAGCAGTTCATTGTGGAGATGTGGACTGCTTAGAGTCTCTCACTTACCCTTTCCCTGCAAGAGGGAGTCCCTTGGGCTCCCAGTTGATCTCGGCTGACCTGGCTGCTCACTTCCTTCTCTTTCTGTGACTCAGATGTTTACTGTGACTTCTCTGTTGAACTCCAGTGTTCTCTCCGAGATGTTCTATTTGACGAGTGATTATTTATTCACAATTTTGGTTCTTCTTTGGAGTGGGCGCGTGTCTGATGTCTCTATTCAGCCATCTTGAAGCTATGCCCCAGTAATATTTTTTATGAAAATCAAGAGTATATGTGATGGGGAAGTTTTCATATGGGGGTATCCAGATAAATAAATAAGTAAAACACTAAATTAAAAATAATCTAAAAAGAGGATGTGGCCAGCATATCTACCTTGGGTCTGTGACACCTTGCTTTAAGGCTTATCTTGTTTTTACCTTTTATGTCAGTAGAGTGTTATTAGTTATTCCATTGCCCATAGCCACAAAACAAAATATGATTATCTGATTAAAAGAGTCACTGATGATGCTTCTTTGCACATGTATCTATTCTGTTTTGTCTTCATTCAGAGGTATTTTTATTTCAGTCATTCAAACAATAATTACTTTTAAACTTATAATATATTAAAATTAAAAATGCAAGTAACAGCATAATGGGTGAAGTGTCTAATTTTACTGATGAAAACTTGCTAATAAAGAAGAGGAAGTTAATATTAATGTTTACAATCACCTTTCTAATTACCCACATTTATTCTTACACTTTAATATTCTAGAGCAAGGGTCAGCAAACTTTTTCTATAAAGGAGGAGGTAGTTAGTATTTTAGATTTCATGGGCCAACAGGTAAAATCTAGGATATTATGCAGGTATATATATAAAAGAGAAAAAACAAATGTACACAAATATTTGAAGTACTGTAATAATAATAATTGAATATTATTAACTAACATAACTCAGTTAATATATTAATAATTGAATACTTTTTTTGGAATAAAGGTCTATGACTGAGAAGAATAGGATTCTTTCTGGGGGAACATTTCACTTAATTGTGGTTCAGTTAGTGTTCCGTCATCATGGTAGAAATGTGGCCTCATTCCCCTACAAAGCCTTCCTGTACTTCTCTGAAACAGAGTGATTTTTTTCAGGGGTTGGGGGAAACACAGCAGAATGTATTGCCTGAGCCCCTCTTTTGGCACTTATGCACTACCCTGATAGTGTTAGATTTTTTTTCAATATGAGGAGACAGGTTAAGAGCACAGGCTCTGGGGTAAGACTTCATGGTATGAGTTCTAGCAGAACTGAAATTCATTAGCCATGTGATCTTTGACTACTTACTTCGATTTGCTTATCTATAAAATGAATAAGAGTATCTACTTCACACAGTTGTTGTAAAGATTAAATGAATGGGTAAATGCCAAGATTTAGAAGAGTGCAAAGTATATTTTTTTAATCCAAGGAAAATGTTATTTTTCCTTGGATTAAAAAAAGAACTATGTAAAAATGTAAAAATATCCATAGCTCATGGGTTGTACTAAAGGAGGCAGTGGCTGGATTTGGATCATGAACTATATTTTCCTGAAATTTTCATCTTCCCTTAAATTACCATTATCTTTGTATTGGAATCAAAATGTAAAAGCCAGTCCGGGCCTAGTGGTTCATGCCTGTAATCCCAGCACTTTGGGAGGGCAAGGTGGGTGGATCATCTGAAGTCAGGAGTTCAAGACCAGCTGGCCAACATGGTGAAACCCTCTCTCTACTAAAAATACAAAAAAATTAGCCAGTGTGGTGGCACATGCCTGTGGTCCCAGCTACTTGGGAGACTGAGGCAGTAGAAATGCTTGAGCCTGGGAGGAGGAGAGGTTGCAATGGGCCAAGATCATGCCACTGCACTCTAGCCTGGGCAACAGAGCTAGACTCTGTTAAAAAAAAAAAGTAAGAGCCAGAATGAAGCTTGAGCTATCTCTGCCCTGTCAAAACTATCTCATTCATTATACAGATTAAAAAACTGAGACCCAATGAGGAACTGACTTTCCCTCATCACTTAGTTAATTAGTGACAGGTCCTGTATTGGAACTCGAGTTTCTGAGACTTCCTACAGTTACAAGCCAAAGGACTGAGATGATGCTTGGACAGCATGGCAGGAGTTGACCTGAGTTAGAATTGGTGAGTTCAGACATTTAGGTCTTAGCGATCACTTAAAAGGAGATCCAGTATTCTGGCTTCCTGCCTGAGTCATAGCAGTTGTGAGAGTTTAGGAATTACTCCTACAGGAAGGCAGTATTTGCAATATGTAACTCTTTCTGTTCTAGGATCCAAACTCTCATAGGTTCTGTATTAGGTTGCTAAGGCTGTCTAAACAAACAACCACGGACCAGATAGCTTACACAATAAAAATTTATTTCCTCACAACTCTAGAGGCTAGAAGTCAGAGATCAAGATGTCAGGAGGATTGGTTTCTTTTGGGCCTCTTTCCTTGGAAGACAGCCATCTTCCTTCTGTATATGTTTGTGTCCTAATCTCTAAGTACACTAGTCATTTTGGATTAGGTCCCATCTTAATGATCTCATTTTAGCTGAATTACCCCATCTCCAAATAGTCACATTCTGAAGTCATGTGGGTTAGGATTTCAACATGTGAATTTTAGGGGAACATAATTCAGCTCATAACAGGATACAAATGCTAATACTTAAGTATCTTGTACCTACCTAATTCTGTTACACACTGAGCACAGGAGAGTATATTGGGAAGAAATGTATGGCAAGTAGCTTTATATAATCTTTCCCCTTTCAGTGTTAGAGATAAGATGGGATTTCATGAGCAAGTCTCCCAGATATTCCATGGGTCTTAATTTTCTCACCCATAAAACAAAAATCCTGACCTAACTCACAGAGGCACAGTAGAAGTGAATAGATGTTTGCCAAGTACCTCAGGGCTCTAGAGGAAAGTAATTCCATCTGCCCAAAGCATTCGGCTATGTATTATAGTTTCAGAATTATATTTTTAACCAAGTAATATTTCACAGGGATAACATAATCACCTAATGAAGTCCCCTTGAATGTTAATTATAGAGAGGAATTGAAATGTACCAACATGATTTATTTTGTCTGAAATATCTTTTACTTTTTTATACAATATAATTTAGAGTGTATTTTGCCTTCAGCACTCCATTCAAAGTCATCTTGCTCCTTCACAAACTTTTGTCCTGCTAGAAATGCATTTACATTAGTGCATGGTATACAGATTTTTATCTTACAGAAATTTGTGAGCACAGTGATTAAAAATCAGGGTAAGAATAACTATTTCTAGGAAAAGCATCAAAAGGCAAAATTTTGTCTACATTACTGTATACATCTCTTTTAATAAGAATCTCTTACTTTTGGTAAAGCACATTTACCTTCATTTGAAGTAGACTAGGAGGATATCTTATAGATAAGGAGACAGATGTTTAGTAATCTGCCCAAGGTCACAGAGTTTGTAGGTGGTCATGTCAAGACTAACTTCCAAGTTTGTTTGACTCTATTCTAACACTTTCATTAAAACATATTGCTTCCTCTTTCAGAATCCCTTTCACTGGAAGAACTTTAGTAACCTGAAGTACAAAGAGTTTTATATAATGTATGTTGTATGTCTGTAAGTCTTGAAGTACCCCAAAGACTTTCTCCACTCAATGATCCTTACTTTAGTAGTTAATCCTCCTGATCGTCTTCTCATATTTTCTTCCTTCATCTAATAATCTGCTTTTCCTGCTTATTAATAAAAGCCAACACTTGAATAGCATTTGATGGTTTACCAAGCATGTTCATGTAATATTAACATTTAAATTGTGAAGTGGATTTCATTTATGTCCCCATTTTGCAGAACAGAAGCTGATGTTCAGAGAGGTAAATATCCTTCAGCAAGGAGGTCCAAGGTCCTTCAGCAAGGAGGAGATAGAGACAAGACTGTACTCAAGTCTTTTATTTTTTCCTACTTTATGATAATGCCTTTACTCCAGCATCAGAACATATTCTTCAACAGAGAAGGGAATTGTCCTCTGGGCTATTATGTTTGAAAGGTATGGAGTGGAGCAAATGTCATGGAAATTTGAAATCAAAGGAAGCTATGCCCGGAGGGTGGTTCATACCCTCTTGTGGCCTTTTCAGTCTTCTCCTGGGAACTCCAGGCTGCCTTCAGGCATCCTCAGGAGCCAGGAGAAGAGGATGAGCTGCAGAGCCCTCAGGCTTTCCCATCAACCAGCGGAGGTGCACTTTCATCTCTTTTACACATTGAACTTTCGCTGAATGTTATTTTAGATGCTTCAGTCTCCAGCTTAAAAGCTACTGCTAAAGCAAACAAGCAAAAGAAAAACAGAATGAAGAAGTTCTGGTTGTCTTCCAAACTTCAGACAGGTAAATAATTTTCTCCAAATCACACAGCTCATAGCAATATAGAACCAGCAAGGCCATAACCCAGTTCTCCCAAGTTCCATCCCAGGGCTCTTTCTACCACACCATGATAAATGCTACCTTCCTGAAGAAAAGAGTCATTTAAAAATCCATTACAGAAATGACAAACTGGGAGCCAGGAACAAAATCTTAAGAAAAAAGTAGGCCAAGTGCTGTATTGAGGTCTGAGAAGGCCATTTTAGCCTACTCAGGCACGATTCAATTTTTCATTTTGGCATGATTTGAGTTTTCTTCTTTCTCATGTCCAGGTACAACTCTTTTTCAGGAAATTCACTATGGACAATTATCTGCTTGGGGAAATAAATGAGACTCTTTTTAATGGTGCTTCTTGCCTTGCTATGCAGAAAGATAAATCAGAATTTATCCCAAAAACAAATTACCAAAGACATGAAAAATGTACTTTAATATTTACACACATCCCTGGGTAAATGTAAAATAAAATATATACATAATATGCATGGAAAATACAAGTGATCAAAATTTTAAATAAAAATATAATAAAATGCTTAATTTACTGAATACTCAGGTAATGAAATAGACATATGAATATAATTTTCTAGTGAACTGAAACAACAAAAATTGATTATTTCAGCCCTCACAAAAGTTTTTAGTGTAATTTTCCTCATTCTTAAAAATAACTATAATACTCCTAATGTAGATTATTTGACAATTTAGAATATTACGGTGCTTTTGGATCATCATTCTGAATATGAATTCTCATTGAGTTCTTATAAGGTGAAGGAAACTGGACTTAATAAAGCTGACTCCAAAAGGATATTTTAATTTCAAAAATGTCTAAAATTTTCTCCTTAAAAATTTTAATTACTTTTATATCTGGCTATGACACAATAATGTATGTTGTATGTCTGTAAGTCTTGAAGTACCCCAAAGACGTTCTCCACTCAATGATCCTTACTTTAGTAGTTAATCCTCCTGATCATCTTCTCATATTTTCTTCCTTCATCTAATAATCTGCTTTTCATGCTTATTAATAAAAGCCAACACTTGAATAGCATTTGATGGTTTACCAAGCATGTTCATGTAATATTAACATTTAAATTGTGAAGTGGATTTCATTTATGTCCCCATTTTGCAGAACAGAAGCTGATGTTGAGAGAGGTAATGATATTTGAATTACTGCCTGCTCCACAACCCCCACAGTAAAAAAACTAGAAAACTGGACAAAACATTGAACAACTCTTTTCAGACATTGGGTAATAGGCAGAGCAAGGTTGTGACCCCCTAAGAAAAGGAAAACAAATGAGATTATTTCTATAATTGCCCTAGATTTCTGACTGGAGTCACTTTTCATACAGTGGCAAAAGTAAGATGGACCCAAACAGAGCACAGAGGTGTCACTGAATTATGCAGTCAGAAATCAGAGTTCAAGAAAGATGAAGCAGTTGGAATTTGGGGGTCACTGCAGGAGAGGAAAGAGTTGCCCAGAGTAATAGCTGCAGAAATTTGCATAGGAATCCACTGTGTCTTTTTTAAGAAAATACTATGCTACATGATCATATGATGGAATTATACTGGAATAATCAGAGACTACAGGCACTATAAGACAGATAATTCTCAGACCTGAAACAGGGCTGGGAAATGTTCAAGCTCTCACTAGCTTGGTAGAGAGATCTCTCAGCAACTGAAACATTCAGTAGAGAACCTAGAAGGATCACTTTTTAATAGTAGGACTAAACCAAAACTAGAGTAAATGCTGCTACAGTACTATGTTGAATAGAAGTGGTAAGAATGGACAACTTGTTTTATTTCAGTTCTTAGGGGGAGTTCTTTCAACTTTTCCCCATCCAGTATGATGTTGGCTATGGGTTTGTCATATATTGCTCTTGTTATTTTGAGTTATGTTCCTTCGATGCCTAGTTTGTTGGAAGTTTTTATTATGAAGGGAGGTTGTATTTTATTGAATGCTTTTTCTGCCTCTATTGAGATGATCATATTTTTGTTTTTAATTCTGTTTATGTGGTAAATGACAACTATTGGTTTGCATATGTTGAGCCATCCTTGCATCCCTGGAATAGAACCCATTTGATCATGATGTATTATTCTTTTGATGTGCTATTGAATTTGGTTTGCTAGTATTGTTTTTGAGAATTTTTGCACCTATGTTCATCAGGGATATTGGCCTGTAGTTATATTTTCTCGTTTGCCCTTGCCTGATTTTTGGTATCAGGGTGACTCTGGTTTTGCAGAATGAATTAGAGAGGAATCCCTTTTCTTTGATTTTTTGGAATAGTTTCAGAAAGTGATACCAGCTCTTCTTTGCAATATCTGGTAAAATTCTGCTGTAAATTCACCTGGTCCTGAGCTTTTTATATTGGAAGATTTTTTTATTATTGATTCTATCTCATTATTTCTTATTGTTCTGTTCAGGATTTGTATTTCTTCCTCGTCCTATCTTGGGAGCTTATATGTTTCCAGGAATTTATCCATTTCCTCTATGTTTTCTAGAGAATTTCATAGTAATCTCTGATAATCTTTTGAATTCTGCTCTGATCTTTATTATTTCTTTTCTTCTGCTAGTTTTGAGTTTGGTTTGTTCTTATTTTTCTAGTTCCTTCAGGTTTGATGTTAGGTAGTTAATTTGAGATCTTTCTTTTTATGTGGGCATTTAATGCTATAAACTTTCCTTTTAGCATTGCTTTTGCTGTATCCCAGAGGTTTTGGTGTATTGTGTCTCTGTTTTCATTTGTTTAATATAAAATTTTAGCTTTTTCTTTAATTTTGTTGTTTCCTGAAAAGTCAAGAGCAAGTTGTTTAGCTTCCATGTACTTGTATAGTTTTGAGAGTTTTTCTTGGTATTGATTTCTAATTTTATTCCACTGTGGTCTAAGAGGGAGACTTGATATGATTTTGACTTTTTTGAATTTGATTAGACTTACTTTATGGTCAAGCATCTAGTCAATTTTGGAGAATATTCCAGGCACATACAATAAAAATGTATACTCTGTGGTTTGGGGGTACAATATTCTGTAGGTGTCTATCGGCTCCATTTGGTTTGGAGTCTTGTTTAAGTCTAGAGTTTCTTTGTTGATTTTCTGCCTTGATGATCTCTCTAGTGCTATCAGTTGGGTCCTAACACCCCCCACTATTATTGTTTTGCTGTCTACCTCATTTCTTCGGTCTGTAGTATTTGTTTTAAGAATATAGGTGCTCCAGTGTTGGGTCATATATATATTTAGGCGGTTAAATCTTCTTGTTGTATTGAACTCCTTATTATTAAGTAATACCTTTCTTTGTCTTTTTAAAATTGTTGTTGGTTTAAAGTCTCTTTTATCTGATATCAGAATAGCTACTCCTGCTCACTTTGGTTTTCTATTTCTGTGATATTTTTCTATCCCTTTTCTCTGAGTCAGTAGTAGACCTTACCTGTTAGGTCTCCTGTAGTCAGCAGAGGGTTTCATCTGGGTTTTTGCAAATCCAGTTTGCCAGTGGGTCTCTTTTAAGTTGGGCATTTAGGCCATTTACGTTGAAAGTTAATATTGGTATGTGAGGTTTTTTTCTGGTCATAGTGTTGTTAGCCAGTTGCTTTGTCTTCTCAATTGTGTAATTACTTTATTGGATCTGTGAGTTTTGTGCCTCTATGATGTGAGTATCATCCTTTCATTTCCATGTTTAGAACTCCTTTAAGCATTTCTTGTAGGGTTAGTCTAGTGGTTATGAATGCCCATAGCACTCAATTATCTAGGAAATACTTTACTTCTTCATTTATGAAGCTAAGTTTGGGAGGATATAAAATTCTTGGCTGGCTTTTTTTTCTTTTTGTTTTCTTTAAGAAAGCTAAAGAGCAGCTCCTATCTCTTCTGGGTTGTAAGGTGTCTGCTGAGAAGTCTGCTTTTAGTCTGATGAGGTTTTCTTTATAGGTGATTTGACACCTCTCTCTAACTGCCTTTAAGATTTTTTTCTTTCAAATTGACCTTAGTCTGATAACTATATGCCTTGGTGATGTTCATCTTATATAGTATTTTCTAGGTGTTGTTTGAATTTCTTGTATCTGGGTGTCTACATGTGTAGCAAGATCAGGGAAATTTTCCTAAATTATTCCCTCAAATATGTTTTCCAAATTTTTTACTTCTTTTTCTTCCTCAGGAATGCCTATCAGTTGTAGGGTTAGTCACCTCACATAATCGTATATTTCTCAAAGGGTTTATCCAGTTTTTAGAATTCTTTTTAAAATCTTTTTATTTAACTGAGTTAATTTGAAAGACTGGTCCTTAAGCCTTGAAATTCTCTCTTCTGCTTTGTGTAGTCTATTATTAAAGGTTTCAACTGTATTTTGAAATTCCTTCATTGAATTTTTTATTTCCAGAAGTTTTTTTTTTACTTTTTTAAAAAAGCAAAACAAAACAAAACAAAACAAAAAACACACATCTATCTTGTCTTTCATATCCTGAATTATTTTTCTGACCTGTGTTGTTTTCAACTTTCTCTTAGCACTTATTGAGCTTTCTTACAATCCATATTTTGAATTCTTTTTCTGTTGTTTCAGAATTTTTATTGTTTTTGATTAGGATTCATTGCCATGGAGCTAGTGTGATCCTTTGGGGGTGTTGAAACATTCTGTCCTTTGGTACTGCCAGAAAGCTTGTGCTGATTCCTTCTCATCTGTAAAAGCTATCACTTTTTCTTTTTGAAATTTCTATCATTTGGATGAGACTTGTAAATTTTTTATTCTTTTCTCTCTTGGGGGTATAACTGCAGTGTATGTTGTGTATGACCATTTGGCTACTGTTTTGGATGCTTTCAGGGGGCCAAGCTCTGTATGGATTCCTTGGTTATAGATAGCTTTTTTATGGTAGCAGATCATATGATCTGACTCACTATCTTCCGTGGGGCTGGAAGTGCAGAGGTCTCAGAAAGCTTATCTTGTATGCTGACAGGTTTTTACTTGGTGATGCAGCTTGATATCTAATCCAGTAGGTGGTGCTTAAGAGTAAAAGCTGGCTCACTCTTGGGCACCCTGATGAAGAGTGGAAGCACCTACCCTGATGAAGGTGGCAGGGGGAATTTACGGTGGGATTTACTGAGGTCTCAGGTGGCTGCACCAGCTCCCCATCCTAGGCAGGTAGGGATGCAATCCAGTTCCCTATCACCTCCCTGTCACAGAGTTTGTGACCTTCAGTTCACATTGACAGTGTCCTTTATCTCCAGGCTGCATTACGACTGAGGTTCACAGGAAATTCCCATCTGGCGGCTTACTGCAGAAATGATCTCTGGGCGGAACCTCTTCCCCCAGCCCAGAATAGATAGCTCTGTGGCTGGTCCACTCTCTGTTCCAGGGACATTGCAGCTATATGTTGGGAAGGAAAGATGAGCCATACCCTTGTGTGAACCTGTGCAGCAGGGACACTTTCAGCAGGGATGCAGATGCTGAGAATAGCACTGGAAAGGCTGTCTCTAAGTGCATGTACAACAGCCCCCAGTTGTGTGGGAGGTGGGGAGGGGCAGTAGGAGGTGACCCCCTCTCTACATTTGTTCCTAGCCACTGGTGCTGCCTATCAACTGGGGTGCCACTGTCCCCCACCTTCAGAGATCACCATTTCCTTTGTTCCAAGGGGTGCTTTGGTGCCCCTTCCCCTAGGGGCAGCTCATGCTGAGGGCTAGATCTCCAGGGATCCTGTAGTTCACCAAGAACCTACCGATCCTCTGTGGCTGCCAGAATCAGAGCAGATTCTGGGTTATGTTTATGGGGTATTTGGTGATGCAGCAATACAAGGGCTGAGAATCCCTGGGCCCGGTAATGGTCCACAATAGATGCACAACCACTTTGGTGCCAGCTGCCTCTGTTTGGATTTGGGGTGAGTGTGAGTGCACCTGCACAAATTTGCTTCCCGGTGCTCTGTCCCCAGGAAGTTCCTAAATTGCCACAGGGTTGCCCAGGGTGACAAGGGCAGAGGGGCTCTCCAACAATTCCAGCAGTCAGCGTTTGTTGCAGGGGTGAGGGGAGCAAAGAAATACCCACACCTACCCTTTTCATGGGACTCCAGGTTTCTTGGGGGTCTATCTCTGCCAGACTTTTGCTGCCTTCATTCTCTGCACTCCAGCTTCTTCTCATGAGTTCTCTGATAGGTTTCAGCACTCTTCCCTTAGAGTCCTGATAGGTTTCAGTACTCTTTCCACATGGGCCATGACTATACACTTGTAACTTTGATCTTCTTTCTGAGGAGAGCTGGCATTCGATGTCTTTAGTCAGTCATCTTGAAAAACAGCATCAAAAACAAAACAAAAAACTAATAGTAGGTCTTGAATTTTCATTAGAAATAATGCAAACCAGAAGACAATGAAACAATATAAAGTTCTGAAAAAAAAATCTGGCAACCTAAAGTTCTACTTATAGTAAAAATATTCATCAGAAATAAAGTGAAATAATGATATCTCAGGTAAACAGAATCTGAGAGAATTTAATTATTAACAGATCTGAACTATAATGTGAAGCCTTTCAAGTAGGAGAAAAAAGATAAAAGCTGGCAACATGAATCTATAAAAAAGGAATTGAAGTCCTAGAAATGGTAAATGTTTAAGAAAATAAAAATGACATGTTTTTTCTTAATTGAAAAACATAATTGACTTAGAATAAGAGTTACAGCAAGACTAATGTTTTCTGGGTTTATAACGTATGTAAAATAAAATGGATGACAACAGCACAAAGAACTGGAACACTTGTACATTGTGAGTGTGAATATAAAATGGTACAAACACTTTGGAAATTTGTTTAGCAGTAACTTATGATGTTAAACATATATTTTGCTCCTCATTATTTACCTGAAAGAAATGAAAATATATGCTTCACAAAAACATTAATGCACAAATGTTTATAGATGCCTTTTTCATTTAGAACAAATGTGCATAGTAGCCATACAATGGAAACAAACCAAATATCAACTGGTGAATGATAAACATATTGTATTATATTCATGCAATGAAATGCAACTCAGGCCTAAAGGAATAAACTACTCATACATGAAACGACCTGGGTAAATCTCCAAAATATTATGCTGAGTGGAATAAGGTAGAGACAAAAGAATAAATTCTGTAACTTCCATTTATGTGAAATTTTGGAAGAGAAAAAAACTAATCAATATTAACAGAAAGTAGATTAGAGTTACGTGAGGCCAAAGTTTGTAGATTAACTACAAAGGGGTCTTGGATGAACATTTGGGGTGATGGAAATGCTGTATATCTTGAATGTTGTAGTGGTTAAATGGGTATATACATATGTCAAAAATCACCAAACTGTATAGTTAAAATGAATTCTTTTTATGGCATGCAAATTATAACCAATGAAGTTTATTTTTAAAAAACTAATAGATAACAATAGAAAAATCAAACGTTTCTATTTAATGAATGATTTTCTTTAGAACAAGTTAATGTTATAAAATAGTTGATATAGAAGCTTTACATTTAAAGGTTAAATGAGAAACTTTGTGTTCCATCAGCATTCTTGTCTTTTTCATTAATAGATTTGTCTGAAATGACTCATATTCTGACCTAGTTGTATACCTCTGATTTTCTCATTTGATAAATGATTTTCTGATTTATAAAGGAATATTTAAGTCAAAGCTGCAAAATAAATTTAATTATTACATTTTCCTTTTTTTGATCGATGAGAACTTTATTCATTGATTCACTTTCTAAATATTTGAACAAGGCAGCCAACCTAGGCTTTGAAATCAGCCAATTAGACCTGGGTTCTAATCATGGCCAGTTATTACTTGCATGACGTTGGGTACCTCAGTCTTTTGTTGCTGTTGTTCTGCACTATGGAGTCAATAGGCAGCAGAATTAATAAGTCATAAAGAAAAAGGCACAGTCACTGCCTTTAAAAAGGTTACGCTTGGAGAGAAAGGCAGAGAAACAATTGTGAAATATTTTGGTCATTGTCAGGATGAAAGAATATATGTGGGCAGTGGAAGCTCCGTGAAGGGCCATTTTAATCTTAAGGTATTGGAGAAGGTATCAGAAGTTCATATTTAAGTTCAGAGTTGAAGAATGACTAGGAACTCACCTAGTTGACAAGCAGGCAGAGGCCATTTTAGGTAAAGGAAGCTGAAGTGCAAATGGAACAAGGCTTGAGAAGCATGATGTTTTCATGTTGTAGGGGTATAAATCAAAGGGTTGTGGGTAAAAGCAGGGGGAGATGAAGCAGCACAGGCAAACACACACCATATCATGGACGTCATTGCATTCTATCTGTTTGAGGGCTTTATAGGATAGGGGGCTAATTCATAGAAATTTTATCTTACTTATCTGGATGCAGAGATAATCAGACAGGAATCACAATGCTGACCAACACAGTAGGCTATTTTTCTTTGTGTAAATCTGCCAGTTCTAGTAAAAGCTTCTACTAGGTTGTTTAAAGTTGTAGTTAATTGTTATAATTTATATTAAATGGTGCTAATATTTTATCAACATATCTACTTTTCCTTTCAATGTGTGATTTTAGAATTTTCTATATTGTTGGATGAGCTGATTCCATTTGTCGCTTCATTGAGAATAAAGTTTGCCAATTTCGAAATGATAGTTCATGGAAAAAAATGCAGTCTTATAAATTGAAATATAATTTATAAATAACATATATACATAATAAAATCAAGTTCATGTTTAAAGGGCTTTGAAGCACCACCTTCCTCATATTTTCCCCACATATTTTAGAATTTAGTGACCAATAAATAAAAGAAGGTTAAATTAAGCCCATTTTATCTAATGTCCTAAATAAACAACAGGCTTAAACTCTGTTTTAAAATAAAACTCAGAAGGACAAGAAACCATTGATCAGGGCCATATCTAGAAACAAATCATATTCACCAAAGTTCAGTGCAGGAAGTAGAACACTATGTATTTCAAACAGTAAGGGGTATAAAATAGCGTATTAGAAACTTACATGCATTATTGGAAAGGTTGGAGAAGTAGGAGTTGGGAAGTGACTATTCAAGTAGTGAGTTTAAATATATATCACCATAACTTCAATCCAGGAGTCAGAAGGATGCTGCTATCTCAATCCTCACCACTGCAACTAATGCTGCCACCTGACACACATAAAGCCGAAGACCAGACACTGAGAAGCTGAGTCCAGCCACCACAACTGCCTCTGCTCCATAATCATGATTGTCAGCACCCATTAACAGGAAGTTGCTCTCTAATTCTCTTCCACCTTCCAGACCCCAGAGAGTGCACCTAATTGATACCTAATTGGCAGAAATTAATTTGCATTTATAGTTCTAGCTACAACGATATCTGAGGAATGCAGATTGTAGTTTTCCTTCCCCTAGGGGAAAGTGCATAAAAAAGAAAACAGACAAAAATGAATCCTGAGGACCTATTAGACCATAGCCAACACCTCCTTTAATCTTTAGAATTTTATATCATTGTGAAAAAATGTGATGCTTTAATATTGAAATGGAACATAATACAAAGAAGCATGGTGTTGGAGACTGATGTCCTACAGTGAACTACAAAGTAATATCTCCATTAAAGTACGTGTGAGCTCCTTGGGGGCAGGGTTACTATCTTATTGATCTCTGTATTTTTAATCTGATTAAAAAATACTTGATGTAAGGTGCACATTCAATAACAATTTATTGAATAAATAAGTCAAATAGAATACATTACTCCAACACAGCTGACCAAGGCTGTTCATTTATTTATTAACGTTAGAACTTCAACTACTCAGGCTAAGTGCAGTGGCTCACATCTGTAATCTCAGCATTTTGGGAGACTGAGACAGGAGGTTTGTTTGAAGCCAGGAGTTTGAGACAAGTCTGTGTAACATAGTGAGACCCCATCTCTAGAAAAATAAAAAAATTTAGCCAGGCTTGGTGGCATGCCTCCCAAGTAGCTGGTGTCATCTCAGCTACTGGGAGGCTGAGGCAGGAGTTGTACTTGAGGCCAGGAGTTTGAGGCTGCAGTGAGCTATGATCATGCCACTGCCCTCCGGCCTGGGCAACAGAGAAAGACAGAAAAAGAATTTCAAATGTCATAGTTCAAGTAAATAAACTTTTTTTTGCCATTTTCCCTCCAACTTACATATATGTAATCTATACACATGTATATGTATATATATATACATACACATACATACACCATTGGACAGTTAGTTACTAATATTTTGCTGCATTTATCTTCTAAGAATAGAATATTCTTCAACAGAAATAAATTTCAGTTATCAAATTTAGGAAATTGAACTTTGATATAGCACTATTATTTAATATACTGTCTATATTCAGATTTTACCTTTTGTTTTAAAACCTAGGATTTGATAAAAGGATCATATATCATATTTAGTTGTCATTTCCCTTTAGTCTCCTTTAATTTAGAAGGTCTCCAGTCATTATTTATTTACCTATATATCTATCTGTCTATATCAATTTATTTTCATCTTTCATAACATGGTACTTTTTTTAGTCTAGGTTAGATATTTTGCAAAATATCCTTTAGTTTGCATTAGTTTGACTGTTTCTTCATAATTAGAGTCAGGTTTACACTTTTTTACATTATGGTCGGTAGTACTTTGTGGGTGATGTTGTGTTTTCAGTGCGTGACATCAAGAAGCATTGATGTCAGTTTGTCCTGTTATCAGTGGTGTTATGTTTGATCATTTAGTTAATGATTATTAGTAATTTTATTTTGAGGCCTGCATACTGTCCTTAATATAGGTGTACTGTCCTTGTGCCAAATGTCTCCTAGCTTCTAGAGGCTTATCTATACAAAAGGGATATGTTTTAAATTATTTCTCAGCAATATTAGAAAGTGTTAGGGAAAAAACCTTATATAAGATAATTTTGACAATTTTTATTTGAGCAAAAAATAAGTCATGAATTGGGCAGCACTCAAAACCATAAGAGGTACCAAGAGCTCTGCTCTAGCAGCATGATCAGCAAGACTTTACCAGTTGAACATGGAAGTAAAATGAAATTACTTGATTTGATTGGAGCTAGATATTTGCCTTATTTGGGCGTGGTGTGATGGAGGTCCCTAGTTATATAGCCAATTGGCTGATTAGCTGTCTGTGATTGACTAAAGATCAATGCAAAATTAATCAGTTACAAGGAATGCCTCTAAATTAAGTTTCTGTTTGCTTGTGGAAGAGTTCCGTTTACAGAAACAACCCCAGGCTAACAGCATCCTGCTTATCTTGCTTTAACAGAGATAAATAGAGAATGTTTCTCATCAGCTATTTTCTCTAAGGAGTTTGGCACCCACTTATTATACTACTGTAAGTCTTATAAATTCAACAGATAGGAGATTGAATAAAGCAGAAAACACTAATGTGAGTATGAAAGTTCTGAGCAATGCCATGAAAATTATCTCTGTAAACAGACTCTCAAGTAGAGGTGAACCTTCCTGGAAGCTTGTTTCTTTACTTCGGACTCTGCTCTTTGCCTCAATATTTAAATTGAAGTGGTGATCTGCACAGAATTTCCAGATCCAAGCCAGGAAATAGCCAAGGTCTGCAGCATTTCCCACTCACAGGACTTATCTCTAAATACTCTGATTGTCTTAATCCAGAATTCAGTTTGGATTTGTATTTTTTCCTTTTTTTGAACATTTTTGGAAAATAGGTCTCTTTACTAGTGGGAAAAAGATGCTTCTCTGAGATTTACTATCATACATATAACCCAGTGAACTAGAAGCATTTGTGGAATGCTGTAGAGGTAGAGACTAGCTTTGTCACAGATGGAAATTTCACTTCAAAGAGGAAGATTGATATAAATTTTTCTTTTTCCCAGATACAGTAGTCAGATTTTCCTGACTGTGTTTACAGAATGACTTTGATTAAGAATGCAGTTTGTGAGGAAAACTTAAATATATAGAGCAAATATTAGCAGAAGTGAAGGGAGAAATAGACAGCAATATAATAATAGTAGGAGACTTCAGTACTCCACTCTCAACAATTGATAGATCATCCAAACAGAAAATTGATAACAGAACAGTGGGCTTGAACAACACTATAGACTCAAATGGACCTAAAAGACAAACACAGAACATTCCATCAGTAGCAGAATACGCATTCTATTCAAGCTCACATGGAACATTCTCCAGTACAGATCATAGGTTAGTTCACAAAACAAGTCTTAACAAATTTAAGAAGATTGAAATCATATCAAGTATCTTTTCCAACCACAATGATATAAGGTTAGAAACCAATAATAGGAGAAAAATTGGGAAATTCACAAATATGTGGAAATTAAACAACACACTCCTGAACAACCAAGAAGAAATCAAAAGGGAAATTTTAAATATTTTTCAGATAAATGAAAATGGAAACACAACTTAGCAAAATGTATCAGATACAGCAAAAGCAGTTCTAAGAGGTAAGTTTATAGTTATAAACACCTACATCAAGAATGAAGAAATATCTCAAAAAACCTAATTTTATATCTCAACAAAATGGATGAGATTGGGTATGTCCAGCATGTATGGCTGTATACCAATAAAATAGAAAAGAAAGAACAAACTAAGCCCAGGGTTAGTAAAAGGAAGGAAATAATAAAAATAAAAATCAAAGCAGAAATAAAGACTAGAAAAACAATAGGAAGGATCAATGATGTTTTGAAAAATTAAAAAATGGACAAATATTTAGCTAGACTAAGAAAAAACAAAGAAAACTCAAATAAACATAATAAATGAGAAAGTAGACATACAACTGACACCACAGAAATACAAAGGATCATAAGATACTACTAAGAACAATTACACACCAACAAATTGTATAACTTAGAAGAAATGAGTAAGTCATAGAAACATACAGACTACCAAGACTGAATCATAGATTAAAAAAATAGACAATCTGAATAGGACAATAATGACTATGGAGATTGAATCAGCAATCAAAAACCTTCCAACAAAGAATTGTTAGGGTCATGCTGACCTCATAAATAAGTTTGGAAGTCCTCCTCTTCAATTTTTTGGAAAAGTTTGAGAAGGATTGGTGTTAATTTTGTAAATATTTGGTAGAATCTGATGAACTTCAGGTTGCCAGCATTACCCTGTGTATTAGTCCGTTCTCAGGCTGCTATGAAGAAGTACCTAAGACTGGGTAATTTACAAGGAAAAGAGGTTTAATTGACCCACAGTTCTGCATGAATGGTGTATTAGTCAGTTCTTATGCTGCCAATAAAGACATACCTGAAACCAGGTAATTTATAAAGGAAAGAGGTTTAATGGACTCACATTTCCACATGGCTGGGGAGGCCTCACAATCATGGCAGAAGGCAAAAGAGAAGCAAAAGCACGTCTTACATGGCAGCAAACAAGAGGGCTTCTGCAGGGGAAGTCCCATTTATAAAACCATCAGCTCTTGTGAGACTTATTCACTATCACGAGAACAGTATGGGAAAGACCCATCCCCTGATTCAATTACCTCTTATCAGGTCCCTCCCACTACACGTGGGAATTAAGGGAGTTAACAATTCAAATCTAAAGGTGAAATTTGGGTGGGGATATACCCAAACTATATCAGCTGAGAAGGCCTCAGGAAACTTACAGTCATGGCAGAAGGCATCTATCTCTTAACAGAGCAGCAGGAGAGAGAATGAGTGCAAGCAGAGGAATTGCCAGATGCTTATAAAATCATCATATCTCATGAGGCTCACTCATTATCATGAGAACAGCATGAGGGAACCACCTCCATGCTCCAATTACCTCCACCTGGCCCCGCCCTTGATGCATGGGGATTATTACAATGTAAGGTGAGATTCGGGTGGGGACACAGAGCCAAACCATACCACCCTGATACCAAAGCCAGACAAAGACACTACAAAAAACGAAAATTACAGGCTAACATTTCCGTTAAATATAGATGCAAAAATCTCCAACAAAATACTGGCAAACTGATTTCAACAGCACATTATCGAAAGGTTCATACACCATGATGAAGTGGGATTTATCCCTGGGATGCAAGGATGATTCAACATACGTAAATCAATGAATATAATACATTACATTAACAGAATGAAGAATAACAATTATATGATTATCTCAATAAATGCAGAAAAAGCATCTGACAAAATTTAACAACCTTTCATAGTAACAATTCTCAACAAAATAGAAGGAAAGTACTTCAATGCAATAAAGCCATATATGACAAACCCAAATCTAACAGGTTTGTGACAACATGAATGTACCTGCAAGATGTTATGCTAAGTGAAATAAGCCAGGCACAGAAAGACAAATACTGCGTGGTTTCACTTTTAAATGGAATCTAAAAAATGTGAAATTCACAGAAGCAGACTGTAGAATGGTGATTGCCAGGGGCTGGGGGGTGGGGAAAATGAGGAGATGTTGGTCAAAGGGTGCAAAATTTCAGTTAGGCAGGATGAGTAAGTTTTAAGATCTCATGTACCCCCTGGTGATGATAGTTAATAATCTGCTATATAACTGCACTTTAAATTTGCCGGGAAAGCAGATCTTAAATGTTCTCAGCACACACACACAAATAATAATCATTTGAGGTACTGGGTATGTTAATTAGCTTGATTGTGATTATAATTTTACAATGTATACACATATCAAAACATCACATTGTGCATCATAAATATATACAATTTTAATCTGTCAATGGTGCCTAAACAAAGCTGGGGGAAAAGATAGTGAGACTAGTGGACTACATATAAATTTCTAGCTTTCCATCTTACTAGTGGTGAGCCTGAGCTTCCTCATCTGTAAAATGGAGATAATATATACTTTCCTCATGGATTATGAAGATTAATTAGGTGACGTTCTTAAGGTGTGAAGACACTTCTAATAATAGTGTCAGGCATGTGGATACCAAGAATACAGTAAGAATATTATTATCAAAATCACCTTCAATTTAGATATCATTTCCCAAGAATGTGGATGGGGGCATGTCCAGCCTTTGATAACTCAAGCTTCTAATTTGAAGATGTTACTAGTGATATTAGAAAAGCCAGTGATGATTTTTGGGAAGCAGAATGTGATTGTTTAGGGGAAAGATTAGTGGACTGTGGAATCTGACAATATGAGTTACGATCTTTACCAATGATGTCTGTGGGCATGTTATTTAACTCTCAGCCTCCGTTTCCTGATATCTGTAATTTGTAGGCTTTTTATGAAGATTTGAACAAATGCATAAAAAGGTAAGAAGGACAACTTCTATGGCTCTGGGTTTTTCTCTTCACAGGGTAATAAAACTTAAGACCCCCCCGAGTCTCCTGACTCTTCAGACTCTCACGTCCTCCCTGGAAAAGGATTATACAGGGCTGCTCCCCACCTCTGTCTTATACTCAGCCCTGTAACAACTCTGGAAAGACAAAAAAAAATGACTTATATAGGATAGCACCGAACAGATCTTTAGATCTTTCTGTTTCACTTGATTTCCTATGAAATGATTGTCTTCTCTTGTTACTATTTATTTATTTATTTTGAGACAGAGTCTCACTCTGTTGCCCAGGCTGGAGTGTAGTGGAACCATCTCAGCTCACTGTGCCTCAGTCTCCCGAGTAGCTGGGACTACAGGCACACACCACCATGCCTGGCTAATTCTTTTTTGTATTTTTAGTAGAGATGGGGTTTCACTATGTTGGCCAGGCTGGTCTCGAACTCCTGACCTCAGGTGATCCGCCCGCCTTGGCCTCCCAAAGTGCTGGGATTGCAGGCGTGAACTACCGCACCTGGCCTCTTTAACCTTTCAATGATGGAAGGAACTTTGCTAAAATATATTGCCTTTTTTTCAGTGAATAAAAATTAATTCAAATAGTACTTACAAGAAGTATTCAAGAGGAAAGTAAGATTCCAAGTTTGTTTCTCTGATTTCTGGGGCTGTGGTCAGCTCCTAGTTGTTCCGTGATCTCAGAATACACACACACACACACACACACACACACACACAGGTTTTTATTAGTTTTGTGAAAGTTAATTATATTACAGATCTGGATATTTAAATATTAGGATTCCTGGATGTTCAAGGATTTTTTTTATGAAGAATTATTTATAAGCAGATCCCTAATAAAATATTTTTCTGGATTTTTACCAAAGATGTAGATAAAAATCCACCATCTAAGTATTTATTAAGCATTTATGTATTACAAAGGAATATTCTAAATTCTTTTTTAAAATTTTATTATTATTATACTTTAAGTTTTAGGGTACATGTGCACAATGTGCAGGTTTGTTACATATGTATACATGTGCCATGTTGGTGTGCTGCACCCAGTAACTCGTCATTTAGCATTAGGTATATCTCCCAATGCTATCCCTCCCCCTTCCCCCCACCCCACAACAGTCTCCAGTGTGTGATGTTCCCCTTCCTGTGTCCATGTGTTCTCATTGTTCAATTCCCACCTATGAGTGAGAACATGCGGTGTTTGGTTTTTTGTCCTTGTGATAGTTTGCTGAGAATGATGGTTTCCAGTTTCATCCATGTCCCTACGAAGGACATTAACTCATCATTTTTTATGGCTGCATAGTATTCCATGGTTTATATGTGCCACATTTTCTTAATCCAGTCTATCATTGTTGGACATTTGGGTTGGTTCCAAGTCTTTGCTATTGTGAATAGTGCCGCAATAAACATACGTGTGCATGTGTCTTTATAGCAGCATGATTTATAATCCTTTGGGTATATACCCAGTAATGGGATGGCTGGGTCAAATGGTATTTCTAGTTCTAGATCCCTGAGGAATTGCCACACTGACTTCCACAATGGTTGAACTAGTTTACAGTCCCACCAACAGTGTAAAAGTGTTCCTATTTCTCCACATCCTCTCCAGCACCTGTTGTTTCCTGACTTTTTAATGATCGCCATTCTAACTGGTGTGAGATGGTATCTCATTGTGGTTTTGATGTGCATTTCTCTGATGGCCAGTAACTGCGCTTCTTGATATTTACCCAAAGCAGTCACAAATTTATGTTCACAAAACCCAGCACATACGTGTTTACAGAGGCTTTATTTATAATTGCCCAAACCTGGAAGCAACCAAGATGTCCTTTAGTAGGTGAATGGATAAATATACTGTGATTCATCTAAACAGTGGAATATTATTCAGCACTAAAAGAAATCAACTATCCAGCCACAAAATGACATGAAGGAACCTTAAATGCATAATACTAGGTAAAAGAATCCAAACTGAGAAGACTGCATACTGTATGATTCTAACTAAATGACATCCCTGAAAAGACAAAAGTATAGTGACAATGAAAATATCAGTGGTTTCCAGGGGATGGGGAAGGAATGAGTAGCAAAATACAGAGGATTCTCGGGGCAGTGAAAATACTCTGCAAAATACTGTAATGGTGGATACATGTCATTATACATTTTCCCAAACCCACTGAATCTACAAAACCAAGAGTGAACCGTAATGTAAAATGGATTTGGGGTGATTATGATGCATGTGTAAATGTAGGTTCATCAATTATAATAAATGTACCATTCTGGGGGTAATGGTGATAATGGGGGAAGCAATGCATGTTTAGAAGAAGGGAGAATATGGGAAATCTCTACACCTTCCTCCAAGACTGCTCTAAAAAAAGAAAGAAAAAAGAACAACCGTGGAGGAGTTAAAAGGATGATTAGCAAATGGAAAAATGTAGTCATATATGTTAAGTGGGGGTAAAGTACTAAAGTATTATTAAAACTGAGATGACAGCCATGTTAAAAAATATATATGTGGGGAAATTTTGGCAATAGAAACAACACATTCACACACACACACACACACACACACACACACACACACACACACAGCACACCCAAATGTACCCTAGCTAATATTCAATAGTAGTTGAAAAACAAAACAATTAAAACAAAAATCTCACTAAAGGGAGAAAAGGTAAGGAAACTTCAGGTAAACACCATATGTTGGTCATCTTCTGCATCCTCTGGATAGGATAATAAAGTATATTATGGGAAAAGAGACATCCATGGGAAATAGTTTATCAGATCCCTTTCTTGGCATTAGAATACATCCTTGGCAGGAAATCTTGACTCCCTGCTCCAGGTTTTTCTCTAGCACACCATTTTCTATAGGTCCCTTCTTAATAGGGCACTAGGAATAATTTTAAGCATGTATTTATGTGTCTGAATTGCCATAGTAATTCAGTTATTGGTGGTGGCGGTATCCATTGTACTTTGTTTTAGTTTTAGCCTAGATGACACTTTCAGTCAGATGAATCAGTCATAAGCCACTACTCTCTAAGCTTGGGATTTTTACTGATGTTTCAACCCTCTTGAAATCTCCCCATTCACTTTAGAAACTCCATTTAATTTATTAAAAGCCACTTCTAGGGATCTCTGCCTCTCAAGCCATCCTTCCCAAATTCTGTTTACCAAGCTAATTTGTTTGCTTATTTTGAGGATCAAGCCCACTTTCATGGGATTAATCTTTGCTATTTGGGATCTGTTCATCCACATTACATGTTGTTCTGTGCTTAATGGCCCTTGTCTCAGGGCAGGGATGAAGGAAAATGGATTGGGAAGAAACAGATTGAGCTTTTTTTTTTTTTTTGCCTAATTTGGTTTTATCATATCACCAGTCACTGCACTGAAAATTCCAAAACTAGAAGTAGAATAAGGCGGTAGAAGATTATTGCCTATCCACGATTTTCTCTTCCTGCAGGAAGGGCAAATTGGATAGAAGGGGAAGATAAGTTTAATTTTGCTGCTTCGAATTTGAGCCTGTCAGCAAATTTCCAAGAGAAAATGTTCTGAAGATAGTTTGAAATAAGAAACTATAGTAGATGTAGGAGATTTGGATTGCAGAAGTTTTGGAATCTACTTTCAGCAGTTTTACAGTTGAAATCCTGAGTGCACTTAACTTCGGTGAGGAAGTAAATCAATGGTGAGAAAGAGTTTTGGAGAATCAAATAGGGTAAGTAAGCTAGCATGTATTGTATATACTAAAATGCAATGAAATACTGGTTTTGATTTTATGATAATAGCTATTCTTATTAAAAGGAGGAAGAGGATACAGAAATGGATAACTTATAGGGAAGGAGGAGAATAATGAAAGTTTAAAAGTCAAGGGAGGATACTAGACTTCCAATACTGTCTCTCGTATTGAAAGTGCCAGAAAGGTCAGTGTCACTGACTGACAGAAATTCATGAGATTTGGTAAATGAGAGAGTCATCAGTGATGATGTTAGGGGTAAGAGTAAGAGTACATGAAATTACAATGAGAATTAAGGCCAGCAATGGGGCATTTGTTTAGATTGTTGGCATAAAAACAGAGGGTGCTATGGACTGGTAAGTAGAAAGGACATTAAAATGAAGTGAAAAAGTACTATCAATCAGGAGACATGAATATATTTCAGGACGGAAAGGCAGCGGGGAGAAGGGGGGTGCATCTTGTAGTGAGGAAAAGATTGAACTGTTCTAGGGTAGTGATGGTGGGAGGTAATCTTACAAAGAAAGTAGGAAGCAGGGTGGGGGTTCTCTCAAGAATTGCCTTCATCTGAACTCAGACAGAGATGGTGTGGATCCTGCCATACCACACAAGAGTTTGTTCTCTTTCCACTCTTACTAGGTGATAGATATTCTCTATCTATTTCATAGATTTTGTTTTCTTTCAACATCAATTGAAACTTTCCAGCATGCTTTGGCATTGTATTTATATTCTATTTGCCTACACATCTCACAATATGGCTTACTTATGCTATACCACATAGAATTGTGTCATAGGCACAGAAGAAGGGTGAAGCAACTGTGAACCTGATGCCCAGTAATGCAAGTGTTTGCAGGAATTGAATGACTACTCTTACTCAATACTCAAATATATAAATATAACAACAATTCTTTTCATAACTATCCAGAACATCTTCATGATGAATTACTTCAGAATTATGAGTGGGTACAAGAAAAAACATATTTTATTCTTTTTAATGTAAGCGGTTTAAAAACAAGATTATTTTTCTGAATTGCATTATCATGTGAAGTTTTTTTTTGTTTGTATATGGCTTTTTTTGGCTCAGATTCAATAGACTTCACAAAATCAACTTCAAATTCTGTTATTGCCCTCCCTCACTCACTTCCTAATGTCAAAATATGTGCAAAGGCTGAGATTTAGGTTTAAAAACATGGATATGCAGTTGAAATATCTATGGAAATTATCAGAGGAGAGTGTATTTTCATAACCCTTTCTGATTTTTGCATACAGTGTGGACATAGGGGATTTAAAGTTGGTGCGAGTACCTTTTCAATTATAATTAGAACTGAACAAAAACAACAGTCAATAGATTTTTTTTTCTCCTTGGGGCTATAAGAAGTCTGCAACAGGAATTACATTTTGGGACAGCAGTGCAAGGAGGTTATTTAGGAAAAAGATAATTAATTATAGCCATTATGATGATTTGATCTGAGCAAAAGAAAAACTTTTAAATAAACTTCTTATTTAATCCACCTGAATCCAGTCTTCTTTAGTGCAAGCCCCAAAGGGATATTTTCATGTGGTTTATGTTATTCTCTCGTGTTTGTTACTTCACAACTTTGTGTTATTTACGTCAGTGCCAATGACCAGAAGGAATTTGTTCGCTCCATTCTTTCTCACACTCTGGATTGATTCACACATATAGAGGCAGCATGTAGAAAAGGTTTCAATAATTTCAGACAGGTCATGGATTGAAGAAACATATAGAGTGTTAATTGAAAATACCAGATTGTATGCCGTTTTCTTCTTAATTTCCTAGTTTAAAAGCTGGCTGGATTTTTCCTTTTTGTCACATAATATATGTCTACTCTTTTTTTACATTAGCTTTGGGTTGTTGAATGGTTGAAACATCATATTGAAATTTGTTTTAAGCCAAATTATTATAAAGCATTTGATTGTGTGTTTTATGTGTCTACCACTTCTTTTTTCCAGATTGTTTAGTTTGAAAAGATAAATTCAAGTTCACCTGGATGTAAGATAATTCTGGAGTAACATAGCTAACAGAATGCCATAGTCTGTTTCAAAAATATTTTGTTGTACAGTTTCATGAGGAAATATGTCTGTAATTTTTCATTTTATAGAACTATGACCTATATTTCTCAAAGATAGCATCGGAAAACATAATGCTTCTTGATCAAATGGCTGTCATATTCATGGACCTGATAAATAATCCTGAATATGAGTGTGTATAGGGTAACTTTAAAAATATCTATGTACAAAGCTATAAATTTGAATTTAAAAAAATTATCTATTTTGTTAACACATAATAGTACATACTTGTACATAATTGCACATATGTATGATGTTTCCATACATGTACATATTGTGCAAAAATCAAAGGTATTTAGCATATCCATCACCTCATACATTTATCCTTTCTTTGTGCTGAGAACATTCAAATTCCCTCTTCTAGTTATTTCGAAATATGCAATACAACATTGTTAACCATGGTCACCATACTGTGCAATAGAACACCAGAACTTATTCCTCCTACCTAACTATAACTTTTGTATCTGTTGACCAATTTTTCCCTATGCTCTTTTTCCTCCTTCCCTCCCAGCCTCTGTTAACTGCTATTCTATTCTCTACATCAGTGAGATCAATTTCTTTAGATTTCACATTTTCATGAGATCATGCCGTATTTGTCTTTCTGTGCCTGACATATTTCATTTAACATGATTTTCTCCAGGTTCATTCATATTGCTGCAAATGACAGGGTTTCTTACTTTTTTATGGCTGAATAGTATTACATTACTTTTATATGTCATATTTTTGGCCATCCATCTGTTGATGGACACAGGTTGATTCTATATCTTGGTTATTGTGAATAGCAAGCAGTGTAATAAACATAGCAGTGCAGATATTTCTTCAACATACTTATTTAAATTCCTTTGGTTATATGCCTAGTAATGGGATTATTGGATCACAAGATAGCTCTACTTTTAATTTTTTTGAGGAATCTGCATACTCTTTTCCGTAATGGCTATAGTAATTGACATTCCCAACCAAAGTGTATGAGTTCCCTTTCTCCACATCCACACTAGCATTTGTTATTTTTTTTTATAATAGCTCTTCTATTCAGAATGAAGTGATATCTCATTGAGGTTTCGATTTGCATTTTCCTGATGATTAATGATGCTGAGGATTTTTACAATATATCTGTTGATCATCTTATCAACAGATATGTTTTCTTTGGAGAAATGTATATTGAGGTTTTTTGCTCATTTTAAAATTGGATAATTTAGTGTTTTTGTTGTTGAGTTGTCTGAGTTTCTTATATATTGTGGATATTAACCCCTTGTCAGGTGCATAGTTTGCAAATATTTTCTTCCATTCTGTGTGCTGTCTTTTCACTCTTTGATTATTTCCTTTGCTGTGCATAAGATTTTTAGTTTGATGCAATCACATTTTTCAGTTTTCTTCTGTTGACTGTGCTTTTGGGGTCTTATCCAAAACATTTTTGCCCAGATCAATGTCTTGAAGCATTTCCCCTATGTTTTCTTCTAGTAGTTTTATTGTTTTGGGTCTCACATTTCCAGCTTTTTGAGTTGATTTTTGTATTTGGTGAGAGATAAGGATCTAGTTTCATTCTTCTGCATATGGATATCCAGTTTTCCCAGCACTAATTATTGAAGAGACTGTTCTTTCTCCATTGTGTATTCTTGGCAACTTTCTCAAAAATCAGTAGGCTGTAAATGAATGAATTTATTTCTGTGTTCTCTATTCTGTGTTATTTTTCTATGTATCCATTTTTATGCTGGTACCATGCTGTTTTGGTTACTATAGCTTTGTAGCATATTTTGAAATCAGTGTAATGCTTTCATCTTTGTTCATTTTTCTCAAGATTGCTTTGGCTTTTTGAGGTCTTTTGTGATTCCATACACATTTTAGGATAGTTTTTTCTATTTCTGTGAAGAATGTCGTTGATATTGTGATAAGAATTGCTTTGAATCTTCAGAGTGCTTTGGGTAGAAGGGTCATTTTAACCGTATTAATTCTTCCAATATATGAGCATGGAATATTTTTCCATTTATTTTTATCTTCTTGAGATTATTTAATCAATGTTTTATAGTTTTCAGTGTAGAAATATTTCACTTATAGGGTAAATTTATGCCTAAGTATTTTATTTTTTGTAGCTATTGTAAATGGGGTTATTTTCTTAATTTCATTTTCAAATAGTTAACTATTAGTGTATAGAAACACTACTGATTTTTATATGTTGACTATTTTCTGCAACGTTTTGAATGTATTAGTTCTAAGTTTTTAGTGGAGTCTCTAGGGTTTCTATATATAAGATCATGTCATTTGCAAACAATTTAACTTCTCCCTTTCCAATTTGGATGTCTTTTATTTTTTTCTTTTGCCTAATTGCTCTGAGTAGGACTTTCAGTACTATCCTGAATAGAAGTGGTGAAAGTGGACATCCTTCTCTTATTCACAATTTAATAATGAGGAGGTTATTAGAGGTTTCAGCATTTCCCCATTCAATATGATACTAGGTTTGAGTTTGTCATGGATTGTCTTTATTGTGTTGAGGTACATTTCTTCTATAATTTATTGAGAATTTTTATCATGAAGTCATGTTGAATTTTATCAAATTCTTGTGCATCTATTGAAATGATTATATGGTTTTTGTTTTTGGTTCTGTTAATGCGATGTATCATATTTATTGATTTGCATATGTTGAACCATTCATCCCTGGGATGAATCCCACTTGATCCTGGTGAATGATCTTTTTAATGTGTTGTCGAATTTGGTTTGTTTATATTTTCTTGGGGATGTTTGCATCTATGTTCAGCAGGAATGTTGGCTTGTAGTTTTCTTTTGTTATTGTGTCCTTGTCTGATTTTGGTATCAGGGTAATACTGGATTTGTTGAATAAATTTGGAAATATTTCCTCTTCTTTAATTTTCTGGAATAATTTGAGTAGAGCTGATCATTGGGTTGGTGCAAAAGTAATTGCTGTGTTTGCCATTAAAAGTAATGCAAAAAACCCCAATTACTTTTGTACCAACCTAATATTCTTTCTTCTGTTAATGTTTGGTAGAATTCAGCAGTGAAGCCATCAGGTCCTGGGCTTTTATTTGATTGGAGAGTTTTTATTACTGATTCCATCCTGTTGCTTGTTATTGTCTGTTCAGATTTTCTCTTTTTTCATGATTCAGTTTTGTAGGTTGTATGAGCCCATGAATTCACCCATTCCTTCTAGATTAATCAATTTGTTGGTATGTAATTGTCTCTTATGCTACTTTGTATTTCTGTGTTACCATTTGTAATATCTCCTTTTTCATCTCTGATTTTACTTGAGTCTTTTTTTCTTACTCTGACTAAAGGTTTGTTAATTTTGCTTATCTTTTCAAAAAATCATCTCTCTGTTTCACTGATCTTTTGTATTTTTATACTCTATTTTATTTATTTCTGTTTTGATCTTTATTATTTTCTTTTTTCTATAATTTTTAGGTTTAGTTTATTCTTTCTTGTCTAGTTCCTTGAGGTGCAATGTTAGGTTGTTTAAGATCTTTTTTTTTTTTTATGTAAGTCTTTATTGCCATAAACTTCACTTTTAAAACTGCTTTTGCTGTATCCTATAGGCTTGGCAAGTTATAGTTCCATTTTCATTTGTCTCAAGAAATTTTTTAATTTTACTTTTAATTTCTTTATTCACCCAGTGGTTGTTTAGGAGCATGTTGTTTAATTTCCATGTATTTGTAAAATTTTCAAAGTCCAAGGCTCTTAGTAGGTATATTACATATTTCTCAGAAAGCAAAAAATTTAATAAACTTGGTGATATAAGGTATAAAATACACAGTTTACTCATTTTTTATCTTCTGAAAGTGAATAATTGAAACAGCTACATATTCAATGCTACTTGAATTAAATTGAACCCCTAGGGAACTTAGGTGCTTGCACCTGAAAAATCTATTTGCATTCTAGTTTGTAATACTGTAGTCATTTCAACTAACTAGGGATTACTAGTTCTTAGAAGCCTGATAGAGTCCTCTAATCTCCCCAGTCATTTGTCTCATTCAGGGTAGTGGACTTCTAGAAACAATGTTCTTCCGTAATCTCTTCTGGCAATACAAGTACACAGAGAAGTATCCCCTCTCTCCTCTCTCTTTGTTCCTTCCCTCTACTTCCTCCTCTTCGCTGGATCTCTCCCTGTTCTTTGTTAGTACTGGTGGAAATAGTTCTACTTTCTCATTTCCCTTTTTGTATCTACTTTAGATCTAAGTCTCTATAGAACTTTCTTTAGGGGAAAGGGAGCCACAAGGGTGACCTCGTTTCCCACTTATGCAACCTACCTTCTTAAGGATTTCTCATGTGGCTGCCATTTTATTTATTTTCGAAATGAAAACAGCTTTACGTTTTGTTTTTATTATTAAAATAATACATACTCATGAAAAACACATAATGCGAATTAGAAAAAGTAAAATTTGCAAAACAAAATACAATACAAATAAAAATAAAAAAATAAAATGTAAATTACCCAAGGATAATTACGGTTAACATTTTTATAAAAATCCTTAAAAAGAATGTAAACCAATAACGTAATCCCTTTTCTGTAGGACTGTGTGCCTGCACATATATATCTCTAGGCATGTGCAGACACACATATCTATAGAACAGGGATTATGTTATTGGGTTACTTGCTTTTTCCACTTGACAGTATGTTACAGACATCTTTCTTTATCAGTAAATGTCACTCCACATAATTGCTTTAGATTTCACTTAGTATTCAAGAGTACTGATGTACTATAATTTGTTTAACTGAGAAAGATTAAGATTTTTTTCAATTTTCTCCTATTATAGACAATGCTGCAGACATATCCGTGCATAGATATCTCTGCATACATGTGTTACCATCTCCACAAAATACATTTCTACAAAGGGGATTGTTGTACATAGGGTGTATTTTAGGATCACATTCAGTTTGTCTGTATGAGAAAAATATAAGTAACAATAGTTTATCTGAGTACATTATTTGCTTGTCTTTCATAACAAAGTCTGGAAGATGAAGTTCAGGCTTGGAGCAAGTATCTGAAGAACCAGGTTCATTTTTCTCTTCTTGTTCCACCGTTTTAACATAGAACTTTTTTCTTGCAGTTACAAAAATGCTGCCTTACCTCTGTGCATTGCATTCTCATTTTAAACAGGAAAATATTGGGAGGCAGTGACAAGGAGGAAAGGGAAGGATTTCTGTCTATATCGGGAAAACAAAATTCACAGAATCTCCCGTGGATTTCTGTGTATGCTTCGTTGACCAAAATAGTCTCACAAGACAAACTCTAACAGCAATGGAGACTGGCGCATATATATATATAAATTATTAATATTATATTATTATTCATATATTAATAATATGTATTTATATATTATATAACATGTATAAATATATATTTATATATTAATAATATATATTATATATAACATATAAATATATTATATATTAATATATGCATATATTATATATAACACATATAAAATATTGCATATTAATATATTATATATAACATATAAATATATTATATATTAGTATATATTTATATATTATATGTAACATATATAAATTTATTATATATCAATAATATATATTTATATATTATATATAACATATAATATATATATACACACACAAAGTCTGGGCACATTGCCATTGAAAACATTGCCACTGAGAGAACATTTTGGGTTCTGTTAGTTTGGAGGATGGATATGGACAGGTAGTTAGCAGCATCTGTTACAAAGGCTCTGTGTGTTAAACATTTCCAACACAATACTCAACTATCATCAACTCTCGAAAAACTGTTTCAATTTACCCCTCCCAGGCATTAGAGTGTGCTTCTGCTATGTCTGAAAGTATAGGAGTAGGAAAAGAGTTCTCAAGTGACTTTTGTTCTTGAACTTTCATGGGAGGAAATGTTTGCCACTTGGAGAGGATGATCACTGGTCACCAGACATGAGGGTAGGTCAGTTTTTACATTGTGTAAAATTTTTCTCTTCAAAGTTTTGGTTATTTATACTAGAAACAATGGCACTGTGTTCTCTTGCTTCTAATCATCAGCATCTTTAGTGCAGGCTCAAGTGGAAACCTAAAATGAGCTGAAGCAGGATCAGGGTGGTATGAGCTGCCAAAAACAGGACTTTCTGGGGATATTGGTAAGAAGTTGATGATGAGGAAAGATATGTGGTAACATTTGAAAAAGTGTTCTAGGGATCAATAAGGTTGCCCTTCTCACCAATGCTAGTCACTGTATTTAGGATTGCATTTCTTTCCAACCATTAAAGAAGCTTACACTTAACTTTTGATTTATTTATATAATCATTTCTGTTTTGCATATAAAAGAATAAATGTGCATCAGAGAAACTATAAAAATTGTAACCACTTTAACATTTTGGTAAATTTTTTTTGTATGTATAAAAACTTATCTGTGCACATACACATATAAACAAATGCAGAATCACACTGTATATTTAATTTGGTATCTTACATTTTATACTTCAAATTATTATAATAAGAATTTCCCCCAATTCTTATAATTATACTCTAAAAACATGATTTTAATGATTATATGTTATTAGTTTGATATTTCATTATTCTCATATTGTTTGATTTTAGTTTTTTCCCCTAATTTTTCTACATTATTTAAATTTTAATATTAAGCATCCTTAAATTATAAAAGCTATTAAGTATATTAATTATTGGGTCAAAAGATAGAAAACATTTTGAAGCTCTATGTGGATACCTTCATAAAATGGTACAGATACATAAATGTTGCCAAATCTTTCAGAAACTTTGTGCCAATTTACTTTTTTGCTAGTAATGCAGGTACCTCTCTTTTTGCACTTTTGCACCCAAATATATCAATTTTAAACCTTGCTAAATTTGGTGTCATTATTTTTCAAATTATAAATTCTGTTTGTTACCATTGAGTAGAAGTTTTTTCATTGTTCAACTCCCACTTATGAGTGAGAACATGCAGTGTTTGGTTTTCTATTCTTGTGTTAGTTTGCTGAGAATGTTGGTTTCCAGCTTCATCCATTTGCTTATTGTGTGAGGTTTAAATGACATATCTAAATTGGGACACTTTTTTTTTTTACTTTAAGAAACTGAACAAATTTAAATTGTTTATTTGAGTGTAGTTTTATTATTATTATTATTATTATTATAATACTTTAAGTTCTGACATACATGTGCGGAACATGCAGGTTTGTTACATAGGTATACACGTGCCATGGTGGTTTGCTGCACCCATCAACCCGTCATCTACATTAGGTATTTCTCCTAATGCTATCCCTCCCCTAGCCTCCCACCCTCTGACAGGCCCCAGTGTGTGATCCTCCCCTCCCTGTGTCCATGTGTTCTCATTGTTCAGCTCCCACTTATGAGTGAGAACATGTGGTGTTTGGTTTTCTGTTCTTGTGTTAGTTTGCTGAGAATGATGGTTTCCAGCTTCATCCACGTCCCTGCAAAGGACATGAACTCATCCTTTTTTATGGCCACATAGTATTCCAAGGTGTATATGTGCCACATTTTCTTTATCCAGTCTATCATTGATGGGCATTTGAGTTGGTTCCAAGTCTTTGCTATCATGAACGGTGCCACATTAAACACACATGTGCATGTGTCTTTATAGTAGAATGATTTATAATCCTTTGGGTATATACCCAGTAATGGGATTGCTGGGTCAAATGGTATTTCTGGTTCTAGATCCTTGATGAATTGCCACACTGTCTTCCACAATGGTTGAATTAATTTACACTCCCTCCAACAGTGTAAAAGTGTTCCTATTTCTCCACATCCTCTCCAGCATCTGTTGTTTCCTGACTTTTTATTGATTGCCTTTCTAACTGGTGTGAGATGGTATCTCATTGTGGTTTTGATTTGCATTTCCCTAATGACCAGTGATGATGAGATTTTTATATATATATATTTGTTGGCTGCATAAATGTCCTCTTTTGAGAAGTGTCTGTTCATATCTTTCATCCATTTTTTCATGGGGTTGTTTTTTTTCTTGTAAATTTGTTTAAGTTCTTTGTAGATTCTGGATATTAGCCCTTTGTCAGATGGATAGACTACAAAATTTTTCTCCCATTCTGTAGGTTGCCTGTTCACTCTGATGATAATTTCTTTTGCTGTGCAGAAGCTCTTTAGTTTAATTAGGTCCCATTTGCTAATTTGGCTTTTGTTGCCATTGCTTTTTGTGTTTTAGTCATGAAGTCTTTGCCCATGCCTATGTCCTGAAGGGTCTTGCTTAGGTTTTCTCTTAGGGTTTTTATGCTTTTAGGTCTTATGTTTAAGTCTTTAATCCATCTTGAGTTAATTTTTTTATAAGGTGAAGGGAAGGGGTCCAATTTCAGTTTTATGTATATGGCTAGCCAGTTTTCTCAACATCATTTATTAAACAGGGAATCCTTTCCCCATTGCTTGTTTTTGTCAGGTTTGTCAAAGATCAGATGGTTGTAGATTTGTGGTGTTGTTTCTGAGGCCTCTGTTCTGTTCCATTGGTCTATATATCTGTTTTGGTACCAGTATAATGCTGTTTTGGTTATTGTAGCCTTGTAGTATAGTTTGAAGTCAGGTTGTGTGATACCTCCAGCTTTGTTCTTTTTGCTTAAGATTGTCTTGGATATACAGGCTCTGTTTTGGTTCCATATGAAATTTAGTTGTTTTTTTTTTCTAATTCTGTGAAGAAAGTCAATGGTAGCTTGATGGGGATAGCATTGAATCTATAAATTACTTTGGGCATTATGGCCATTTTCACGATATTGATTCTTCCTATCCATGAGCATGGAATGTTTTCCCATTTGTCTGTGTCCTCTCTTATTTCCTTATGAAGTGGTTTGTAATTCTCCTTGAAGAGGTCCTTCACATCTGTTGTAAATTGTATTCCTAGGTATTTTATTATCTTTGTAGCAATTGTGAATGGGAGTTCACTCATGATTTGGCTCTCTGTTTGTCTGTTATTGGTATATAAGAATGCTTGTGACTTTTGCACATTGATTTTGTATCCTGAGACTTTGCTGAAGCTGCTTATCAGCTTAAGGAGATTTTGGGCTGAGATGATGGGGTTTTCTAAATATACAACCATATCTTCTGCAAACAGAGACATTTGACCTCCTCTCCTCCTATTTGAATACTCTTTATTTCTTTCTCTTGCCCGATTGTCCTGGCCAGAACTTCCAACACTATGTTGAAAAGGAGTGGTGAGAGAGGGTATCTTTGTCTTGTGCCAGTTTTCAAAGGGAATGCTTCCAGTTTTTGCCCATTCAGTATGATATTGGCTGTGGGTTTGTTATAAATAGCTCTTATTATTTTGAGATATGTTCCATCAATACCTAGTTTATTGAGAGTTTTTAGGATGAAGGGGTGTTGAATTTTGTTGAAGGCCCTTTCTGCATCTATTGAGATAATCATGTGGTTTTTGTCACTGGTTCTGTTTATGTGATGGATTACATTTATTGATTTGCATATGTTGAACCAGCCTTGCATGTTTCCCAGAGATTCTGGTATGTTGTGTCTTTGTTCTCATTGGTTTCAAAGAACTTATTTATTTCTGCCTTAATTTTGTTATTTACCCAGTAGTCATTCCGGACACTTTTTTGAGAGTCAATGATAGTTAACTATTGTGTTGCTTTGAAAATTGCTCGGCCCATGGAATGAGTTCACTTAATTATTACTCATCCACACGCACAGAACCACATCACCACCAGCCTCCGAAACACACACACACAGAGTACCCTTTGGATTGAAATCTAGTATTTTTTATATCTAATTTTGTAATAGCTACATGATATTCTCTTACCTGAATGTTTTTATGACTCACCTTTGTAATATATTCAGGTTGTTTCAAATTTTTTCAAATTGTGTATGTTGCAAATACCGAAGCAATGAAGATTCTTGTGGTTACAGCTTTGACAGATTTTTAGTTATTTTCTTATAACAAGTTCACAGAATTGTTGAAATCACTTATTTTTAAAATATGCAAAATTTAATCCTTTTATATGTACTCCCAGTTACAATACTACAATGATTTCTTTATAATGTTAGTCACATCTTTTTCCAGGAAATTATTTATGACATTGAGATTTTCCAATGTATTCACATTCTTTTATAATAATAATTATAATAAACACTCTATATTTGTTTCAGCATCCTCTTTCTCATTTGTCATTCTTATTTCTTTCCTTCTTTTGTTCTACATTGACTTTTTAATAAATTGATCTGGTTTATTCATTTATTATACAGCAGAAAAAACTTTTAAAGTTTGTTAATTCATTTTTTATGTTTTTAAAGTAATTCATTTGTACTATTATTTGTGTTTATTTGTATTTTTACTTTCCATGGTGTTAACTTCTTGGTGTTTTTTTTTTTAACTTTTTGAGTTAAAGCTTGAGTTTTTAGATTTACATATTAATTCTATTTTTCTATTTTAAAAATCATTCATTTATGGCATTATGTTATTTTCTTTTACCTTATATTTTTTATTTCCTTGGGGCTTATTTGGTGTTTGTGATAATGTTGCTTATTCTTATTCCTTGAGTTGAAAACCAGTAAATCAGGATTTAATGACCATTAGGTATATGAAATTAGCTAGAAATTAGTAGGGATTCAGTTGCCTCTCATACTTTTGTGTATTTATGTATAAGGTTTGTATTTTTATTTTTATTTTAAAAAATATTTAATTCTTTGGGAGGCCGAAGCGGGCGGATCATGAGGTCAGGAAATCGAGACCATCCTGGCTAACACAGTGAAACCCCGTCTCTACTAAAATTACAAAAAATCACCTGGGCATGGTGGCTGGCGCCTGTAGTCCCAGCTACTCAGGAGGCTGAGGCAGGAGAATGGTGTGAACCTGGGAGGCGGAACTTGCAGTGAGCCGAGATCGTGCCACTGCACTCCAGCCTGGACAACAGAGCAAGACTCTGTCTCAAAAAAAAAAAAATTTAATTCTGTATCTTTATTTTCTGCTTGTTCCATTCACTGTTTATGGAGTCTGTTTGAAATTCAGTTGTTTAGGATTTATATTAAAACTTTTATATTAATTATTTAACTTCACTGTAATTGGAGAGAACAGTCATTAGTGTTTCTATACTGGGGGGTGACATCAGCAAGATGGTAGACTAGGAAGCACCAGGTCCTGCTTCCCCCTTGGAAGCACTGATTCAACAACAATACACGGGCCTATCTCCTTTTTGAGAAATCCAGACACCAGTTAAGAGGCTGTTGTATACCCAGGGGATCACCAAAACAATTGCATTCAAGTTGGTAGAAAAATTCATAGCACTCATTCTCTAGAGCACCTGTCTCTGGCATAATATGGTGACTAGGAGGAAACTTCCATCTCTCAGCTTCTCCTGGGGATGGAAAGAAAAGACTTGAATGTACATCTAATATGAAACTTTTCTGTCTTACCTGAATCTAAGTGGTGATAGAAATGAGTATCAGGTTGAGGGCCACTGAGAACAAAGGTGATGTGAACTAGCACATACTCATTTGTCATTGCCCCTTCCCCTAGCTCAGTGCAAAGTCAGCAGCAGAAAACCTCCAACTTGTGTCTTCTTCCTGGTTAGAGAAAAAGTTGGAGCATGTGTCCAACATTCAAACTTTTTGTTGGGGTAGGAGAGTGGCTGCCTGAGGCTGGTTACTATCTTTCCTGACTAGGAGACCTTATAGGACTTTACATGCCTGGGGCACCCTAAGAACAAAAAAGGAGCTGGAAAGCTTGCTGCTGCTTCAAAGGACTTATAGTATAGTATACAGGCTGATACAGCTTGGTAGCTTCTCCTTTACTTTCTGGTTTCTGAAGGGCATTGCCTGAGGGATAGTATCTTACCTGACTGGTGGCATGACAAAACCAGCATACTCTAGATGCCAGGTGGCCAGTGAGAGAGAGAAAGAGAGAGACAGAGAGGAAAAAAGAAGATCTTACAGTAGCCCCAGGGAACCCAAAAGAGATACCAGAGGGTGCAAGAGATTGCAAGCTGCTGAAAAAGGAACTCTGCAATTCCACTCTAACTTGGAATTTACACATGTAAGTCAGAGAAGAATCATCCACAGAAAAGATTTGAGAGGCTGTCAGAATCTCTAACGGGGCTTATTGATGAAAGTCTTTCCTTACATAAAGCCAGTTTGTAAACACTGGGAGAGGTGGCTGTTTTTTCAAATGTCTATATCCCAACACAATATAATAAGGCACATAAAGAAACAGGGAAACATGGTCCAAACGAAGGAACAAACTAAATCTCCAGAAGCCAACCCTAACAAAACAGAAGTATACAAGTAATTGAAAATAATTGACAAATAATTGAAAATAATTATCATAAAGATAGTCAACAAGCTTAGGAAAATGATGTATGAATAAAATGAAAATATTAACAAAGAAATAGAAAATATCTAAAAGAACCAAACAGAAATTTTGGAACTGAAAACTATAATAACAGAATACTATATATCTAATAAAAAGTTAATCACCAAAATACATCAGAATCTCCTACAACTCAATAACAAAAATGTACAAATAACCCAGGTAAAAATTGGACAAAGGACTTTAATAGACATTTCTCCAAAGGAGACATATAAATGGCCAACAAGTGTATTTTTAAACGCTCAACATACTAATCATCACAGAAATGCAAATCAAAATCACAATAAGATCTCACCTCACGCTTGTTAGGATGACCATTATTAATAAATAAATAAATAAATAAATATGTAAATAAATAACACATTTTGCCAAGGACATGGAGAAAATGGAATCCTTGTGCATTGTTGATGGAAATGTAAAGTGGTGTAGCTGCCATGGAAAATAATATGTGTTAAATACAGTAAGAAATTCTTCTTCAAAGGTTTAGCTTGTTTAAGTTTCCTTGTCCTTTGTTCCCTGCTATCAAGGCCAGATTTCCTTACTCTTTGTGTCCCCCTGTCCTGGTAAACAACCTTCCCACCAGTCCTTATCTATAGAGCCCACGTTCCACATCTGCTACCCACTCTGTGAATTACCCCTCCCGTCGCAACAGCGCCTCCTGTCACAACGGCCCTTCCTGCTGAAATTGTCCCCATGCCAGTGTAACTGCATTCCTGCACTTTTCAAGTTAGCCAACCGGGTTCAGCTTAGATTATGCGGTCCAACTCCAGCCCATGGAGGCAGGACACAGTAGCAGGGACAAGTTGGGTTAGGAATAAAACCCCTTCCCTCCTTTGTTCCGTGTGCTCTCCTGACAACCCGACCTATGAGAAGCACCTTTCTGCAGAAGTAGATTTGCCTTGCTGAGAGATTCTTTGTCTCAGTGCCGGTTCTTCTTTGTGGCACTGAGCATTTGTTTCCAACAGTATGATTCCTCAAAAAATTAAATAGAACTACAATATGATCCAGCAATCCTACCTCTGGGTATTTATCAAAAAGAACTGAAAAGAGGATCTTGAAGAGATATTTGCACACTCATGTTTTTTATAGCATTATTCACAATAGCTAAGAGGTGGCAATAACCTGTTTCTATTGTTGGATGAATGGCTAACAGAGATTTGATACATACATGCAATGGAATATTATTCTGACTTTAAAAAGAAGGAAATCCTGTCATTTGCAACAACATGGATGAAATCTGAGAGCACTGATAAGCCAGTAACAGAAAGACAAATACTGCATGATTCCACTTACGTAAGGCATCTAAAGTAGTCAAATTTGTAGAAGCAGAAGATAGAATGTTGATTTTCAGGGACGGTGGGAAGGGGGAATGCAAGTTGCCATGCAGTGGCTATAAAGTTTCAGTTATGCAAGATGAAAAGGTGCTGTTAGGTTGGTGCAAAAAGTAATTGTGGATTTTTGTCCTTAAAAGCAATGGCAAAAGTGGCAATTACTGTTGCACCAACCTAATATATGACAAAGTATACACTCTGCTATACAACAAAGTGCATATAGTTAATACTGTACTGTACACTTAAAAATACAATAGGATAGATTTCATGTTATGTGTTCTTTACCTCCTTTAAAAATTTTTCTATATTTGAATCTTGCTGAGTTAAAAAAATAGTTTAGTACATATTTGATGATTTTAAATGTCCTATGGATATTTTTAAAAGTATATATATATATATATATAAAATAATTAGTAAATCTTATTACTTAATAAGTCCTATGAAATCTATTATTTGAACCATTTATGTCATAATTTTGGCAACTGAGTTTTCCACAGATGGACAGTGGCTCATGAAAGTCTTCTACAGTTATACACAGGCCATTTCTCCTGAAAATTTTAAACAGCTTTCCTTTATAATTTTATATTATCTGCCCCATTTAATGCTTTGTTTTGGCCTGCCTTCTCTTTTATGTTTTTGGCATTTGCTCAATATATATTTAATCATTCTTATTTCTTTTTAGCTTTACCTTTGCTGTTTAAACAGCATATAATGTATTTTTATTTACTGTCTTTTTTTTGAGACAGGGTCTCACTGTGTCATCCAGGCTGGAGTCTGGTGCCAGTAGCATGATCTTGGCTCACTACAACCTCCACCTCCTGGGTTCAACTGATCCTCTGCCTCAGCCTCCTGAGTAGCTGGGATTATAGGCATGTGCCACCACACCTGGCTAATTTTTGTATTTTTGGTAGAGACAAAAGGTTTCGCCATGTTGCTCAGGCTGCTCTCGAACTCCTGGGTTCAAGTGACCTGCCCACCTCGGCCTCCCAGAGTGTATTGTCAATTTCAACATCTTACTTTTTCAGTGTGTTTTGTGCTTTCTAGTTTCTTTTTCTCTTTTCATGAGAATATTTTGTTTTTATTTTCTTTAATGTTGCAGCCACAATATATTCTATTCTAAATTCTACATTTGATTGCTTTTAACTTATCAAATAAATGCATAATCCCAATTTCTCCATTTATTAAAATCAAGAACCAAAAAGAAATGACACTCCCTTTATGTACTGAGGAATTTATGCCATTCTACTTCTTCTCCTTAGTGTAATTTCTGAAGGCTGAATATAGAGTTACTGTGGGTGTGTTTGTGTATAATTTTTAATGTAATTATTGTAAATGTATCTGCAGAAGTTATATTAGCTGGTTTTAATTTTGCTACTTTGCCATTCTTGATTTTTAAATTTTGATTATCTCTTAGTAACCAAGAGGATCTTTGAATAATTTTTTCTAGGGAGATTTGTAAGTGGCATAATTTGGGAACATCTTTTTATTTCATTTTCTTAGGTGTTAGTGTTGCAGGAAAAGTTAGAGGCTGACCTGATGTTTGCTCTAAGTAAGAAGCTTTGGTATTTGCAGAAATGTTGTTATCGTATAATTGGTTTTAGTAGTTGGGCTGTGGTGATGTATGTACCTTTTTCATTAACCATGTCTGGGATATGGTGAGCTCCTTCAGTTTCACATCATAGGTTTTGATCTCAGGAAAAGTTTCTCTGAACACATCTTTGATTATTGTGTTCAATGACAATGATAATGGTATTGGTAACAGTTATTCATTGAGTGCTTAAAATGCCTATGTAAAAAAATTTATATGCATTATCTAATGTAGTCAAGAATAGCTACTATTCTTTTTCTCTTAAAGAGAAGCAGACAAAAGTCAGCGATGTTAATTAACTTTCCCAAGCCTCCAAGCTAGTAAATAGTAGTTTCAACCCCAAATGCCTCACTCCAAATCCTAAGCACTAGCTCACTAGTTTATACTGTCTCCTCAAGGATTCTATGTTTCTGATGTTTTTCTTCAGGGCCTATCTATATATTAGCTTGGTTCTCAGCCCTTTATCCTATATCATATTATGTTCGTATTAATATCTATATCAAAATCATTCTTTTCAAATTCTAGGAGAGCATCTCAAATTGGACCATTTCCTCAAAGATTTGATTTTACATAGTGTAGCTTTGCTTTTTTTGCCTAATTTTTTAAAATTTTAAATTGTATTTTAGGACTCATTAAAATCCTTTCTTATTTCATCAGCCTCATTTTTGCCTGTGCCTTGATTTAACAGCGTTTTTCATCATGCTTTGGGACCTGTTTCTGAGAGCACCAAATAGACACACTTCTAAAACAGTCTTATGATTTCCTGAGTTTTTAACATACTTTTCCTTTCCTCATGTGTTGCTTTTTGTTGTTTACTTTTCTTTGGTTGGGAGAAGACTCTCTGTGTCTCACATTTGTCTGTAGACATGACATGGGGAATGTGTTTTTAGCAACACTCCTTGTCTACTGGTTGTTGGGAAATTCCTCCTCAGATTTAGGTCTTAGAGGCAAAGTAGTGTGAATAGTCTCTACATTTAGTTTCTAGCACTTATTTTATTCAGGGTGGGTCTACTGGGGTGAGGTGAGATATTTTCTGTGGTTGGGTTCTCTACCTATGCTGATGAGACAGCAATTCTTGGCACAGGTTTAGAATAGGGGAGACTAATCCCTGCCAGTGTCTACTTGTCCCATTAATCTTCATGTCCCAGCATCTCATAGTACACATTTTTTCCAGGTGCCTATGTCTCCAAAAATGCTGTACACTATTGACTGTTCTCATCTTTTTCTGGTACTGTTGTTTGTTGACTTTCATAGCCCCTGAATATGTAGAAAGTGGCAAGCATATGGAAGTAGGGAGAGAAGCATTATTTTGGTCAGCTAGATTTTGTACATGCTACCATGTATACCATGGCTAAGGACTAATATTGCAAGCGAATCAAGTTTGTTCTTATGGTTTTCTATTGTTTTTTGTATTCTGTATTATTCTTGGTCAGACCCAAGAATAATACCACAGAATATGTGTAATCTAGGAATAAGTTTATGAATGTATAAATCTCAGTGATGGATTTATTGAAAATCTCCCCAGAATTTAACATATATGCTTTTAGGAACTTTGTTTTATACTTCTCTTGCCAGTTTTTAACTTTTTTTCTTTGATAGGACAATTTAATTGCAATATGCAAAGATGCTGTCTTCTATTGGGTTCCCTAAAAAGTACATCCTGGAACCTATACTTCATTTAGACGGTGCCTTCAGATAGCAGGGTGGGTCCAAAGCAAGAAAGGAGAGAGAGCCATTACAAAGAGGGATTATGGAGCTGGTCTCAACTACGGTGACAAGTTGATCAATCTTGTTGATATCTGAGAAACAAAATGAAATGTGTTTTAGCATCTAGTGTAAATTAGTTCCCATCTCTCATTAGTCAAAAGTTTAACCCATGGGACATTAACCCATTGGTTGTACGTGTGTGAACACTGACTAGGTTCCTGCAATGTCACACGCCACAGTACCAACCCAGGAACCCCAAAGTAAGAGGACAGGGCATACAGCACAGGCCTGGGCTAGGTGCTATCAAAATGCTCCTCCCTGAAGCAGATCAGGGTCCATGTAGAACCACTCACTGACCAGGGGCTTGAGAAAGATACCGCTGAGGCTCAGAGGATGTGGAGTAGTAGACAAGAGGGGCCTATTGGAGACATATTAGGTTCCCAGCAAAGGTTTGAAGAAGTATCAAATGTAATAATCTGGGATAGAGCATTGTTATTTTCAACCGGATTTAACATTACCTTGTATTCTAATAAAATTGAAATCACGAACATTGTTCAGACATTTGCTGATATTCTGAGATTTTTCATTTTCTGATATTGTATGAATTAAGGAATCAATACCACATCTACTAAACTCCTCTGCTGTGAGCCTATGTGCCCTACCACATCTCCTACCACTCTGAATAGAGGCCTTCATCTTATCTTTTATGTGAAACACATACTGTCTTCATGAAATCTGTTAATGGACAGAGGTGACATGGAGACTTTATGCAAGGGAATTTTAGTGTAATTCAAACAGGAGGCTTGGGGGTAAGGACTGAGAATACTACGTTCTTGAGAAAGGAAGGCAAGAAACTGGGAATTCCTGGGGGCCCATTTAAGATGTTTGCATCACCCTGCTCGCTGACTTTTCTCAATCATAAATTAATCCTGAAGATAAGAAAGCTGTTTTAGCTCTGGAGTTCAGACCCATGTAAAGAGACAGATTAGTTAGCAAAAACGAACAATTGAAATGCTTGTATACCATATGCTGCTTAACCACAGACATTCAGCTATTTCTAACTTGCTGTGATGCCTGATAGTGTAATTGTACTCCACATACAATTTTATGGCTGTACTACTGTGCTGAGTAGACCAAAAGATTGGTAAGATTTTCAACTATTGTAAACTCACACTCATATATGTGTTATAGAGGTGATTTTTAAAAACTTTTTGTTTTGAACTTATTTTAGATTCATGGAAAACTTGCAAAGATAGTACAGAGAGTAGCTATATATGTCTTATCTCACTTCCCCTAATGTTAACATGTTAAAAAACCATCATCCAATTGTCAAAACAAGGAAATTATTGATTGAATGCTCTTATCTAAACTTCATACCTTATTTTAACTTCCAATTTTTCCAATATTTGTCTTTTTTTCTGTTCCCGGATCCTATCCAGGATCCCTCATTGCATTTAGTTGTTATGTCTTCTGTCTCTACAATCTGCAACAGTTCCTCAGTCTCTCTTGGCGTTTCATGATCTTTCCACTTTTGGAGAATACTACTAAGTTGTTCTGTAGAATGTCCTTCCATTTGGATTTGTCTAATATTTTCTCATTCTTGGAATAAACTTTTGTCTTTTTGGCAAGAATACCAAGGAAACGATGTTGTATATTTCTGAATATATAGAGGTGATATTTTTATCTTTTCTATGTCTAGATAAAACTTGTAAAGTTTTCAGAAGTGTCCAAACAGTGACTAGTTGATGCTCAGGGATGTTGTCTATAAGATTCTTGGCTTTAGATGTGAAATCAAAGTAGATAATTTCTAGGATCCCTTTCTATTTATCATATTCTATGATTCTGACTTATTCATTCAGCCATTATATATTTACTGAGAAACAAGTATTTGCCAAACACTGGAACATAGACAAATACTTGCATTTTTAAAAAATCCAGTATTCCAGAAATACATACATATAAATGCAGATACACATAGAGCAAAAACAATTAGTGTATTAGTAGAGGAATGTGTAAACTTAATGGGGCACTCAGGAGAGTTTGGGTTTAAGAAAATTAAGTTGGGGAGTATAAGGGGAGGCAATTCTTTCCCTATTTCCCATCTTTACCCATACATAAATAAACTTCCACTAACAATTAAGGTCTCTTGAGGAAGTTATGGGGAGGGAGATATATTAGAAGTTAGGGTTCTCCAGGGAAAAAGAACCAATAGGAGATTTTATATATATAATATATATAAAATATATATATATTATATATATATTATGTTTAATATATATATATATTTGTATTGTGATTATGCAGAACAAGAACTTTCAAGATCTACCGGCAACAATGTATAGAAGTAGAAAAGCAGATGGTGCAATTCAGTACTAATATGAAGGCCCGAGGACCAGGAGCACTGACATCTGATGGTGGGAAAAGAAAAATGTCCTAGCTCAAACAGAGAGAGACCAAATTCATCCTTTCTTTGCCTTTTTGTTCTATTGAGACCTTCCATGGATTGGATGATGCCCAACTGCATTGGTGAGCTTAGATCTTCACTGATTCAAATGCCAGTCTCCTCCAGAAACACATTCACAGACACACCAGAAATAATGTTTTACCACTCCTCAGCTAGTCAAGTTGACACCAGAAATTACCATTAGAGAAGCCTCTCCCTTCTGTATTCTCTCAACTGAGTTAACTCATTACTGAGATTGGTAAGAACCTGACATTCTCTGGGTCTCACTTTTCCATTTGGCATTGATAAACTGTTTATGTATGATGCAGACACTTGATTTCTATGACTGGTTTCTCTGGAAGCCACATAATTTCCTTACAATTTCCATGAAGTCAGACTCTCAATAGATCAAGCTCTGGGAAAGTGTGAAGGAGATGACTCTTCTATCTTTTTATCTGTCACTTGTGTGTAAGCTTCAGTGTGTCTGGGTAGCCGGTGGTTACAAGGCTGTACTCAAGTCTCCAATCCAGCCTTACCACTAATAACTGAATGCTTCAAGCCCTGTTTTCCCTCATGTGTCTAATATCTATTGATTTGAAGCAAAAATGTAATTGGCATCCTTAAACTTTAATACGTTGACTATCAGGACAGGCTTTATAGAAGCAGAGATCTTTAGACTAGGTTTGAAGGTAAGACAGAGAATGGCAAGGGTGGAAGACAGGTACATATTTCAGGCATAAGAGTATTGGAGTATTTGGAAGTGGCCAATTATAGCATCATTCTTCTTTACCTGGGATTTGGAACAAATCATTAAAAAAGACAATGCAGTAGCAGATAGAGAAAAAAACATATTTTTCTAAACCCATACATGCCAAATTGGAGAATGTAGCTTAATATAGGCCTGCTGACCAATCTCCAGAATTATACAGACTTACCGCCATGGTCATAGACAGTGATAAACTGGGGCAAGCCTCCTGATATGGGTGTATATATGTAAATTGTGTGTGTGAGTGTGTGCGTGTGTGTGTGTTTGAAGCAATAGAATATGTGACTAGAAAGGACAATTGAAAGAGCCTTAGCACATTGGTATATAGCCTGTATCCTATTTTAGATCACTCTTGTTTTGTATGAGGGATGCTTTGGTGGGAGGTGAGATAGAAGGAAGACAGTAAGTTCAATTCTCCCTTTATTGAACTAATCTAGAAATGAAGTGATTAGCTTATTAACCAATACAATGGAAGTGAGGGTAGAGTGGACAGAATAGGTTCAAATAAGAGTTTAATAGAATAGGCCTTCTTGGTAAACAGTTAGATATGAAAATATGGGAGACCTAAGCAGCCTCAATTCCTTCTTCCAAATTAACTGAAGTCTGATCATATTTTACTGGGAAGTTTTCCCTTGGAATCTATGACATATTTTCAAAGAAAGAGCACTCTTCATAATTATGTTTACTAGCCTCCTAGCATAGGAGCCAAATCTGTTCTGTGATTGCCATGCCATCTCTGCTTGATAGCAGCATTGATCTTGAGTTCAGACAAACTCAGAAGACACTGTAGGCTTCACCCGGCATTGTTTATTTGGTTTTCAGAAAGGCTACAGGATGCAATCATGGCATGAATGGAACGGTAGAATGGAAGTCCTTGTAGGCACAGCTTCTGAGGTCCCCATCATTCTACAATTGGAATGCAATAAAAGTGAGTAGAAGCAGAAAACCTCAGTTTAGGAAAGCCATAAATTCTGGGTCCTTTTAGCTTTTATAGACTAGCTAGTCTCTTAGACTCCTCAGGATTTTAATTCTAACTCTCATTCTCTCGTGCAGCTCATTCTTACCACTGAAAGTTATTCATTATTTGATGAATAATCTTGCTAATAAGGTATAGGCTCTTGGTCCAGTACATAGTCCTTGGCTGGATTATTATTTATTTTGGGCCTGGTATACGTATACTCCTAAAATTCTTTCCATTAATGTTAAAGGAGGATTTGCAGGATCAAATTCCAGATGTCTCTGAGAACAGAGGAAAGGCCATAGAATCAGCTCTCAAGCCTTTCATTCCAGTAATGAAGAAAAAAATCAAGGGAAATATAAAAAATATGTATTGTACCAACTGTTTAACCTACTTTAGTCTAGAAGATAATTGTTAGTGCATTTTGGATGATCAATGATCATTCACTTGACAAAAAAGCACCCCCCACAGAAACCAAAACCAAAATCTCTAGCTGATTTCAATAAAAAATGGAAATAATTGACTAAAAACCTAGAGGCAAAATATAGCCCCAGATACAGGCTGATCTCGGGTCTGAAGGCCTCAAATGATACATTACTTACTCTTTATTTCTGTGCTCTGCTTTTTGACTTATACTGACTTACTGATTAGGTAGGCCCAGCATGGTAGCCCCTGTAGATGCAAGGCTCAGTTTTCCCAGTATTTAAATCTAGTGGGAAAGGAATATATCTTTCTTCCAAAATTTTCATTCTGCTTCATTGGCTCTAATTGGGGCATATTTCAATTTTTGAGCCAATCACCATGAGGCCAGGGAATTTGGTGCTCTAGTTGGCCAGACTACAGTTGAAGGTTGAGACCACCCATGTGCCATGACTAAGAATGGGAACACAGTGCTTCCTCAAGAGGGAATTTGAACAACTGCTACTGGAAACATGGTGAATAGATGCTGAATGGCTATAAAAGTCATTTATATTTAGGTTTTTTTTTCCTCTTTCAACTTATAGGAGCCCAGCTCAAAATAACTTAAAGATAAAACAACATTCATTAATTCACATGCATGGGAAGTCCAGAGATGCAGCTAACTTCATATAAGCCTGCAGGGGGCTCAAATGTTGGCATGACTCTGCTTCACTTGCACTCTGTCATTTCTCTTTGTGTTACTTCAGTAATCAGGTTTCTTCACAAACTGGGCAAATGGCAACTGGAAACCTTGTGCTTGCTATAAAGCTAGAAAAGTTCAACTACTTGAGTAATCTCAGTGGACAAAAACTGTCTTTACTGTTAGCTCCAGAATCCCTGGAGAAGACTTTTTGGCCCTCTTTGGGTCAACTTCCTATTCCTACATTAATTCCTGGGCCCCAAGACACATGGGGACTTTGGCAATATTTGGATGCAGTTTGACCAGGTGAGACCAGGTCACTGGGATTAATGACCCCACACAGCATCAGGGAGTAAAGTTTCCTGAAAGAAAAATGGCGTATATCAGAGGAAGAGAGATGAGCAGACAAAACCATAGCTGCCACAGTCCACTATGGCTGTTGAGTTGCCTCAGGGATTTTTAATATTGTGCCCCTATTAACTTTATTCATGAGTTTTCTCACTCCTCTGAAAGCCGATCACCAATCACAAATGTCTGGCACAAATGTTTTTTAAAATGAAAAAGAGAATGATCACATATGATTTCCACTTGATCAGAACACAAGACCTCATATCTACTTCTTGCAACTAAATTTGGAAGAAATTTGGGAGGAATCATGAAATTTCTGGTAATAGGCCTGGTATTTTCCTCTGTAAAGCTATACACTCACCAGGTCAGAGGAAATAAAGTTACCCAAGTGACTAAGATGAGTTCCACTGACTGGGTTTTATTAGTTGTAACTATTGCTAATACCATTTCTTAAATAAAGTATCAGAGCAACAATAAAATCTCTCCTTAGCAATCCTAGAGTGACTTTGGCAACATTCTTATTTAGCTATAATTCCTTTATAAGCAAATCTTCTGGAAATCAGCTTTCAGAAAGGGAGATCAATTAGGGAGTCCCTTCTAAATTCATATAACTTTAGGATTAGGCTTGGAGGTGAGTAGGGTGCTTTTAGTGAGGTACATTAGAGATGATTCACTTGATTTGTTCACCACTTGCCATACATTTCTCTATGTGTGAGCTAAGTTTTTTTCATGTTCATCAGTAGGAATGAGCCCACCAAAGCCGATTAACTCTCACCAAGGGTTTAAATGGAATGGAATAAAGATGGCTTATTTAAATCACATGCATTTTGAAGATCATTAGAGCTCTGTGTCCTATGAATAAGGACGATTAAAATTCAGCAGAGTTTTGTGTATTCTTAATATGCATTTAGTTTACACCACAACGTTGTCTTTAACATACCATTATGCAGTGTGCTATGACCGCTATTCATAATGGCACACACTTGGTAATACGCATGATGATTCAGAATAAGTTGAAGTGTCTTTACATTATTCTTAATATAATAATGGTTCCTAGGGCTACATGCAGCTGTGAGTGCATATTAACAGGGGTAGCCCACTGAGAATTATGAATCTATAACACAAAATTTTCAGAAAAAGTACTTACTGTGTATGCAAAATTGCGGCCCTTTAAAGCTTGAAACTTGGGCTGGTTAAAATTGCTTCTAGAAATATTTTTTAAAAGAAAATATTACAGAGGTAATAAGTGAACTGAAAGGATTTGTGAATGATTGCTATAAAGTCTTCTTTTTAAGGTAATAACTCACAAAACTGCAAAAGGAATAGAAAATTATCTTTTTATGCATGTGCAATATGAACTCAATTCAAGTGAATTTCAGTAATACATGTTCTTGATGTTTTTACCATCTTAATAGATCTCACTATTTATCTTTTATTTTTGTTGATTGACTGATAATGAGACATAAATAATCCTATTTCTTTGCTAATTTGATCTCAATTTCTACAAATGTAGACAGTATTAAGAAGTATTTTTTAAATGGTCATTTTTGACCTTATTTTGGTAATGTCCACTCTTACTTCCACTCCTCCCTAAAACCTCTCTAAAATTCTCATCATCCTATAAATCAGTTCAAACACTTGAACATCATACATGAAGCTCATTGTGAACTATCCATTATTCTCCCTGCACTCAACTTTCTTTACCTCCCATAACCTCACACAGTACACATCGGCATTTTGCAATCATTCATTATCTTTTGGTTCTGCACACGCTGTTCCTTTATTCTGGAATGTTTGTCTTGCCCCTCTGGACACCATTTTTTAGTTTCAAGACACAGTTAAAGCCTCATCTTCTCTATAAAATGGTCCTTGACCCTGTGTGTATTGTACCTCCTACCCCAGCCCACCTCAATCATGCACTTAGTGACTCCCTTTATAATGCCATTGCTGGACTGGGTAGACTAACCTCCATCAGTATACTTACTGAACAGCATGGTCATAAAATAGACAAAATAATTCTGTTCCCATGGGATTGACATATGCTTGAAAATATGTGTAATTGACAGTATCTAGCACATTGTATATACAGTACATATTATATTCTTATTGCTGCTAAACTGAATTTTAATTATTTTTACATATTAATCTCTTCTACTAGTCTGTGAATTTCTTGAGGGCAGGGACTATGTTCTATTCTCATTTTACTTTCAGGACCAAACATAATATTAAGCATAAAAGAGGTGACTAATGAGTGCATGTTGCATAAATACATTGAATATTTCACTAAAGAATTTCATATTTTGTAGAATTATTTTACATGTAAATTGTTGTATTTCATTAGTTCTGAGATCCACTTTTTTGCACATTTTACCTTCTCAGAAATTAGAATGGGTTATCACAGCTTGATTAGCAGCACTCACTCTTTCTTTTTATTTTATGAAACATAAAATAATGATGTGTCTTACATTTGATGGTGTCTTAAATTCAAAGAAATATAGTACTTCTGTTTCTTACTAGAGTTAATAAAATCAGTTAAAAATATCTAAGTGTCTGTATTAGTCAGAGTATTCTAAGTACCACAATAAATAACCAGAATGTCTCAGTGGCTGCTTACCAGAGGTTTAGGTGTCACTCATGTTCCAGTCTAACGTGGGTCAGAGAAGGGATGAGGGGAGCCTGTTGCCATGCAGCCCTTCAGGGAGCTATGCTTGTTCCATCTGGGGGCTCCCCCATCCTCTGGGGCGGGATGTCCTCTGCTAGATTTTCTGAATGAAGGGAAAAGTGAGAGCACAGACAACTTCGCAGCACACTTACCAACCAGTCCTACAAGTGGTACACATCACTTGCTTTCACAGTCCACTAGCCAAACTCAGTCACATGGCCCAACCTAACTGCAAGAAAGACATGACATGGAATCCAGATATGTGCCAGGAGGGAAAGGAAACTGGATTTGGTGAGTGCATAAAAATTTCTGCCACATGTCCAGTGCTGCACAAGACAATATTGAGAACACACATAGAAGTTATCACAACTCCTACCTACAAAGAGCAGACAATTCAATCTCTATGCTTATTTAGTCAATAAATATCCATCAAATACCTCCTATAAGCCACACCATGTGCTACATGATGTGAGGTGTACAGAGCTCAATGAGATTTTGATCCTGCTGGGTTTTTATTATCTAAGATAAAATAGGCACATAAATAATTATAATACAAGACAGAAAGTGAAAAGGACCATAAAATAGAAGATGCATCTAACCGGAGAAATCGAGGAATGGTTTTGGAAGAGAGATGTGTAGACCTATACTAACAGAAGACTTTGAGCATGGATATTACCAGAAAGGATCCCAGGAAGAGGGATCATCTTAGACTCAAACTGTGGAAGAGGATGAGGGTGCAGTCTTGCTAAGAAGATTCTAGAGATTCTCTTGGAATAAGAAATGGTGTCAAAGGACAGAAACAAATCTTACTGAATAGAAGCCATCTAGAGAGAGGGATTTGAGGAGCAGAGAACATTTTGTTAGGTAAAGCTTAGGGAGGAAAGAATACAAAAAGTAAATGCTCAGAGGCAAAATCTCCATATTGCCCCTTTGGTTCTGTCATTTCAGTAGCTGTGTGAGCACATATCTTCCTTGGTCCACATCACTACCACCCAAGCAAAATAAGATATGGTGGGTCATGCTCCGGGGGTGAGTCTGTTAAGAACTCACTATCTTTTCCATTTGTATATCATATATAAGTATAATACAGTATGATACATGTATAATGTTCACATATATGTGTGTGTGTGTGTGTGTGTGTGTATATATATATTTATATATATATATATAGTCATATTAGACTTTTAAAAATAACACTGGGCACCACAGTAGACTCCTTTTGTACCCAGTGTCATATCCCCTCTTACAATCTCTGATTTCAGCTACAGCCATGATGCACAGTTCCATGGGAACTGAAACTCTCATTGTGTTGGCAGCTTTCCTGCAAAACCTGTAGGTTCTGAAGTCAGGGAGAAGTTACCAGCTTTGGGGCAACCCTCAACCCGTGATAGGGGTGGTGGGGGGTGGAAATCAGTGGATAAATGCTCATATGTATTTCAATTCAAATATTTAAAAACTCTTCGAAGAAAACTTTTGCAATCTATCCATCTGACAAAGGGCTAATATCCAGAATTTAAAAGGAACTTAAACAAATTTACAAGAAAAAAACAAAGAACCCCATCAAAAAAGTGGGCAAATGATATGAACAGACGTTTTTCAAAAGAAGACGTTTAAACAGCCAACAAACATATGAAAAGAAACCCAACTTCACTGACCATTAGAAATGCAAATCAAAACCACAATGAAATACCACCTCATGCAGTCAGAATGGCAATTATTAAAAAGTCAAGAAGCAATAGATGCTGGCAAGGCTATAAAGAAAAAGGAATGCTTTTACACTGTTGGTGGGAATGTAAAATATTTCAACCATTGTGGAAGACAGTATGGTGATTCCTCAAGGATCTAGAACCGGAAATACCATTTGACCCAGCAATCCCATTACTGGGTATATACCCAAAAGAATTTAAATCATTCTACTATAAAGACACATGCACATGTATGTTTATTGCAGCACAATTTACAATAGCAAAGTCATGGAACCAACCCAAATGCCCATCAATCATAGACTGGATAAAGAAAACGTGGCACGTATACTCCATGGTATACTATGCAGCCATAAAAAGGAATGAGATCATGTCCTTTGCAGGGACATGGATGAAGCTGGAAACCATCATTCTCAGCAAATTAACACAGGACAGAAAACCAAACACTGCATGTTCTCACTCATAAGGGGGAGTTGAACAGTGAGAACATATGGACATAGGGTGGGGAACAACACACACCAGGGCCTGTTGGGGGGTTGGGGGCAGGGGAGGGAACTTGGAGGACAGGTTAATAGGTGCAGCAAACCACCATGGCACATGTATACCTGTGCAACAAAACGTCACGTTCAGCACATGTATCTCAGAACTTAAAGTAAAACTAAAAAAAAAAAGAATTATTATAACTGGGTTAAGAAAATGTGGCACACATACACCATGGAATACTATGCAGCCATAAAAAAGGATGAGTTCATGTCCTTTGCAGGGACGTGGATGAAGCTGGAAACCATCACTTTCAGCAAACTATCACAAGAACAGAAAACAAAACACTGCATGTTCTCACTCATAGGTAGGAATTGAACAATGAGAAAACTTGGACACAGGGCAGGGAACATCACACACCAAGGCCTGACATGGTGTGTGGGGCTAGGGAATGGATAGCATTAGGAGAAATACCTAATGTAAACGAAGAGTTGATGGGTGCAGCAAACCAACATGGCTCATGTATACCTATGTATCAAACCTGCACTTTGTGCACATGTACCTAGAACTTAAAGTATAATAAAAAATTAAAAAAGAATTACTATAAAGCAATAGTCATCAAGACTATATGGTATTAGGAAAGGATAGACATATGAATCAGTGGAACAGAATAAAGTGTTCACAAAATAGACCCACACGTATATGCTCAATGGATATTCAGGAAAGGTGCAAAGACAATTCAACAGGAAAAAAGGATAGTCTTAATAATGTTGAAACAATTAGACAATCATGAAAAAAAGAGAACCTTCAATAGCCGAAATATGGAATAAATATCATGTTCATTGATAAATGAATAGATAAAGAAAATTTATTATATATACCCAATGGAATACTGTTCAGCCTTTTAAAAAAAGGAAATTCTGTCATTTACAACAACATGATGAACCTGGAGGACATCATGTTAAGTGAAATAAGCCAGGCACAGAAAGACAAGCACTGCATTACAGTACTTACATGTGAAATCTAAAAAAGTTGAACTAGAGGCAGAAAGTAGAATGGTAGTGGTAGCAGATGGGTGGTAAGGAGGCTGGTGAAGTGGAGCTATGTTGGTCAAAGGCTACAAAGTTTCAATTAGACAGGATAAAAATCTTTTGGAGATCTATTGTATAGCTTGGTGACTTTACTTAATAATGATGTATTTTATACTTGAAAATTGCTAAGAGATTAGATTTTAAATGTTCTTATCACAAAAAAATATGTAAAGTAATAGAAAAAAATTCTTTGAGAAAAATAAGTTTTCCTATTGATTGCTGGCAAAGGGAAAGAAATATTGAAGGTGTTTCAGGAATGGAGGAAACATTCTCCAGTATCAGAGATTAAGAAACTTCTTACCAATGGATAAAGAAATTGTGGTATACATACACAATAGAATACTATTCAGCCTTAAAAAAGAAGGAAATCCCGTCATTTGACACAATATGGATGAATCTGGAGGACATTATGTTGAGTGAAATAATTCAGGCACAGGAATACAAATACTGCATGATCTCACTTATATGTGTAGTATAAAAATGTCAAACTCATAGAAGCAGAGAGTAAAATAAATGGTGGTTACCAAAGGCAGTGGGGGAAGGGGAATTGGGGCAATGTTGGCCAAAAAACACATTTCAATTAGACAGGAGGAAAAAGTACAAGAGATCTATCATAAATAATGGAGATTACAATTAATAATATTTTGTATATTTGAAAATTTATGTGTTCTCACCACAAAAAAGTGTGTGAAGTAATGCCTATGTTAACTTGCTTGATTGAGCCATTCCATGATGTATACATATATCAAAATATCATGTTACACACAATAAATGTATACAGTTTTTACTTGTCAATTAAAGGAAAAACACACTCCTTGTTATGGAATTTATATGCTTTTGGAGCTCTGAAATGATCAGACATTTTCCAGGGTGTTTGGATTTTTATTGGGTTACTGTTCTTTTACCTTAATAAATGCTGACTCTGTAAGTCTTCTTCTAAATATAAAAGATAACCCTTCTTTGTCTTACAACTATAAAAGCTTATCAGCACCTTAGTAACCTTTACAGGTTTATTTCTATTTAACTCCCTTAATCTGATTTGCATTAGTCTTTTTAAAAGAAGCAATATTTTCTTGTGCTAGACACACTTTGAAATTGATGTGGTTTAAATCTTCCCACACATAACTGAGTGGTGACTTACTGCTTTCCTTAGTTGCCAGCAGACTGAAGAGATGCCAACAATAATGAAAGAAAACACAGGCTTCCCTGCCTCTCCGTCACCTCAAAATTCTGTAACTCTGAATGGCTAAAATAAGAAAATATGATAGGGATACCATCTGGGCTCTTATTATAAAAGTTAACTACAGAAAAAATTATTAAATGTACACACCTCTACCTTGACTTGCTTAGAGGTTTCCTCAAGCTCTGATGTTGGTTGACAGAATGCAGTTCACAATTTTAATATGCCACATTTTGATATGGATGACAGCAATGATAACAATATCAAAAAAGTTATCCAGACTGAGTGTTTACTATCTGTTATGAAGTATGATACATGTTTACATGCAATTCACTTATTCCTCAAAACAACCCAATGAGGTAGGTACTATTATCCGCATTTTACAAATGAAACATTAAGCCTTAGAGAAGGACCAAGTAATTTTCTTTAAAGCTACATGCTAGTAAATGGCAAGTCCTTTCAAAGCAGATCTGTTTGATTTAGACTGCATTGATCCCACTTGGTTGAAATGACAAACTGGCTCGTTCCTTCCCCTCCTTATTCCTGCCTTCCTTCTGTCCATCCATCCATGTTATTTCTCTTATTCTTGTATAGATCCATGTTGAAAACATTTTCTGCCCTGGATTCTGGCTTATAAAATGTATAGGCTTATCAAATGCATTCATTGGATAAAACCACTGAGGTATAATGAACCTAAAAGGGTATATAAGTGGTTAGACTTCCCTCCAGATGCAGGGAAAAAAAAAAAAAAAGCTACATCATTCCAAACAGTTCTAGTTCCACTTGATACCTTCCTGGGATTGGGAATTTAGTTGTTGTTTTTTGTTTTTTGTTTTTTTTTTGAGACGGAGTCTTTCTCTGTCGCCCAGGCTGGAATGCAGTGGCGGGATCTCCGCTCACTGCAAGCTCTACCTCCCGGGTTCACGCCATTCTCCTGCCTCAGCCTCCCGAGTAGCTGGGACTACAGGCGCTCGGACCACGCCCAGCTAATTTCTTTTGTATTTTTTTTTTCTTTTTTTAGTAGAGATGTGGTTTCACCGTGTTAGCCAGGATGGTCTCGATCTCCTGACCTCGTGATCCACCCGCCTCGGCCTCCCAAAGTGCTGGGATTACAGGCATGAGCCACCGCGCCCGGCCGGGAATTTATTTCTTTTGTAACAGCCCATTCTTCAAATTTCAGCCTTAATCTTTTTCTTTACGTGCCCGTGGTAACTAGGTTTTATCCCTGTGCTCTTCTAGAGCTGCCTGCAGGGGAAGAGCAAGCTCGTCTCCAGAGAAAACAGTTGCTAGACTGCTTTGGCTCCCAATCAAGTGGAAAAATGAGTTTAGAAGGGTCAATTCTAGTTGCCTTGATCAATTTCCAAATCACGACAGTTTGACTGCCAGTGTCTCCTTTTTCATGTAGAGAACAGATATTTAAAATTTCTGATCTTCCACCTGAATTTCCAAATTGGGAGGGTATTTCTTTCTCTCCTTCTCCTTTTCTTCACCTCCTCCTCCATTTTCTCTTTGTTATCATCAGAAACCAACATAAGTTTCCATCCAACTATTTGCCTATTTTATCCACCGTTTCTCTTAGGTATTTTTCTATCTGAAGCTTGTACTCTAGCACAACCTCCACTAAAGGTAACTCTATATATTCTGATTTATTCAAATCCAATCAGCTAGAGTTAATGAATTCCTAAGGGCAGGAGATCAATCATGTGCTATTTATATTTAATTAAATTCGTGTTGCCTCCCTTGTTTTTTATAACAACTTTAAGGCATTTGAGAAAAGCATATTTGTGATACATTCTTATCTTAGAATAATTTTTCTTATAATTTGATGGATTTTACTTTACCAAATTCATAAAAATCTTACTTTCTTCAGGACTTTTAGGACATGCACACTAATAATACTTTTATTAGCACAAGAGTCCTCCTCACAAATTTTCTCGTTTCCTCCAAGGTAGAATTGATCTCATCCCTGTATTTTGGTCTCAAATTAAACTCAATTGTAACAGTTTATTGCATGTGCTTGTTGATCTGTTTGCCTCTCTTTCTGGGCCATGAACTCCTTTGTTTCCCTGTGTTTATGTGTAACAGGCTGGTTACACATAATGCAAAGTGATATGTCAGATGAAAGAAATTACGGCACAATATAGTTAACTGTGAATAAAATGAAAGCATGCTATATAATCTATGATGTTCCTAGGCACTAGGGTTTTAGTATAGAGAAAAAGAAGGGCTACGTTGGAGGAAGGAAAGAGTTTGATGGAAAAGTGGGTATACATGTGTATAGAGGGAAGATTGAGAAAACAGAACCAGGGCATGAGAGACCCATATCTTTGAGAAGCTGGTATAACATGGACACAGGTTCTTTCTTTCATTAAAGACTCTCAGACTTCCCTTTGGTTGTCGTGCCAGTTGCTAATTTTCCTTCTCAACAAAGTAGGAAGACCATCTAGGGCAGGGGACTGCAAACTTTTTCTATAAAGTGCCTTATAGCAATTATTTTCAGCTTTGCAGGACATATTGTCTCTGCAGAAAATTCTCAGCTCTGCTGCTGTGAAAACAGCCATAGACTGAGGCCATGTGTAAGGGGTTTGATTAAACTTTATATGCAAACTCAGGCATTGGGCTGGATTTGGCCCACAGGCATCATCTGTCGACTCCCGATCTAGCATAGCGAGATCATAGTCTGTGCCTTCTGGTTCTCCCTCTGCTCTGTTGTGTTTTCATGATTTGTCCAACAAATTGGTCTAATGTGAAATTAAGAGCTTTCTTTACGGAATCAACAAATCACATTTTGCTTGCTTACTAACTAAATTCCTTAACAGAAAACAAAATATTTAATTTCCAATTAGCTATAAACTATTCACTATTCAAATAACACAATGTCTGAAATTTACTCACTAAAATATGCTCTATTAATAAACCAAAAAATTCCAATGACTGATACTAAATCTTTTCTAGTATTCCAAAAGAAACGAGACAAAGCAGAAATGATAGCTTGATATATCTGAGTTTAGGGAAGTGGTAGACATGGAAGTGGTAGGTGAATAAAAGTGGCAGAAAAGATTAATTGGAGGGGAAGAAAATCAGCTTTGCTGTCCTCATTATTTGATTGAAATTTGGTCCAGTTTGCTTTAAACTAGTCATAGAGAAACAGATGCTGAGTAGGAGGCATTTTTTTGGTCAGCCATGCTCTTAAGACTCTATGACTTTGTTTTTCAAGATTTCTTGAGGGGTGTATAGGGTGATGGGAATTGTTTAAACAATTCATCTGACCACAGGAAAAGATCATTATATTTCAAAGGATTCTAACTGTGGTGCCACTCCGTTCTTTGGATTTAAAACTCAGACTAGAGAGGCAGTGATCTGATTGAGGTGGGGTTGAAAGTTTATGTATAAAACTACTTCCCTGCAACTATAAACGTATAGCAATGATAGCTATAAATAATATTTATGGAACCATTGTTGCTCTGGAAAAAATATATAAATGTTTCTTATAAAAAAACAGAAAAACAAAACCAAACTGCAGTAAGTTAGGCTAAAGCTGGAGATCTACTGCACTACAGGGAGGCTGAAGCTAGAGATCTACTGTACAAAGAGGCAGTTAAGATTTCAATTTCTGTGGGGAAGTAGAACCTAAGTCTTCCACACTCCAGTCAGAAGCTGGAGTAGGAAAAAAGCCAAAATCATTCTCAGGGACTATAGCCTATATTGTAGTGCTGGATGGCATGGCAGGAGGAAGCAGAGACAGCTGAATATGGCTCAAGCCATATGTTGACTTGGACCCTCAATTTGTTACAGCTCCCAGAATGGTAATTCTGAGCTGCCAATACAAGACTTGTTTCTGACTGGAGACTTGGGTAACCCAAATAGAGGCAACTATAAAAAGACCAGACATATAGAAGTGAGTGCCGAGAGAGAAATAGAAAAAAAAAAAGTTAAAATAAAACACAAGGAAATTGTTAACTTGGTCTTGCAACTAAAATTCTATGAATGAAAACTAAACTCATAATAGCCAACAAATTTCATAAATGATAAAACTCATTACCCAGAAAATTACAATCTTCTGAACAGGACATTAAAATGTACATGGTTAAAATCCTGAAAATCATATAGGAAAAATACACAGCAGGAGCAAGATATGAATAAATATAGATGATTATGAGTCAATTACAGGAGATGATTTTTTAAATGTATAGGTTTGAGAAATAAAAAAAATGTAATCACTGTAATAAACTCAGTAAATTGAACATAGCCAAAAAAGAAAGAGTTAACTGGAGGAAATATCTGAAAGCTTGACCTGTTATTCAGGAGAGATAGACAAAGAGATGGAAAATATCTAAGTAAAATTAAGAAGCACAGAGGATAGACTGAGGAGCCCCAAACTACATATAACAGTTCCAGAAGCAGGAAAAAGAGGGAATAGCAGAGAAGTAGCATTTCAAGAGATAATAGCTTAGTGTTTTTCTGAATTGAAGACAAGAAATTTATTGTCACAAAATACACACTGCAAGCTGAAAAGGAAAAATAAAAGTAAATCCAATTAGACTCAGAACCAAAAAACCCTGTAAACAATGAAAAGAAAATAGAAAATTTAAAAAAATTTTCTATTTTTTAAATAGAGTAAAAAAAATTTTACTCTTATTTACTACCTAAAAAAGAGTAAAATTAAATTCACAATAGCCTTCTAGGAAGCAACAATAGATGTTATAAGTTGTCAGAGAGGGAAAATAACTCTCAACATGTAACTATAACTAGCTAAGCTATCATTCAATAGTAAAGGCAAAATACCATTTTCAGGTACTAGGATTAAATGAATTTATTGCCCATATGTAATTACTGAATGAAGAAATAGTGAACTAGTGAATTTGTGACTCTCTAGGAAGATATCATTGGAATATGAGTGCAGCCTAATTACTGACTCTAAAAGGAATATTAATAGTCACTAATTATCTTAAGATTATTGGGAATAACAATATCCTAGAAAAAAGGAAGGGCAGTGTTTGGAGGATAAAACAAGCTAAAACATTTTAGGAGTAAGAGAGAAATAGCAAACTTTAGGTTTTGTTAGAAAAATATGAAATTAAGTAGGATTGCAAAAAATTTTAATGTTGCCACTAAAAGAATAGAAATACAAATGGTAATTTCTAAATTAACATAAAAAGAAAGAGCAAACAAATTTATCAATCAAACAACAGGCTGAAAATGTGTAAAACGAAGCAGTGGAAAAAATATGGTACACACAAAACATAAAAGAAAGTAGCATAAATAAGTGTAAAGAAATCAGTAATCACAATAAATATAAATGGATTAAATATACCAATTAAAAAGAGATGATCCAATTGCATATGAAAAATAAATGCAAAACCTAGAATTATAGATGTATCATTAGAAAGGGTGGTTTGAAAGAAAGAGAGGCCAAAGTAAGGCATTTTGGTGCCATTTGTGTTGTTGGAATTTAGATGACTTCAAAGTGATTTAGTTTACACAGAAAACCAGAAATAATGAAAGAAGTTAATACCACTGAATTTGTCAGCACATTATTAAAGCAACTCTGCTTTTCAGGGGTTTTGGAATGAGAGATGCTTAAACTTAAATTCTTTTTGTACCACTTGGCTTTGTGACCCAGAATAATTATCTAAGACTTTTGTGACTGTGTTCTCATCTGTAATATGTTTTATCGAATCTGCCTCACAGGTTTGTGGTTAAAATTAAAATGGATGATGATTTAAAGTGTTTATTACAGTTCAGTGTATGTTAGTACCCTTTTTTCTCTTTCCCTTGTACTCTTTAATGTGCTTTAATTTTGAATCAGATGAAATAAAACATTTGGCTTGATTTGTTTCTATAAAGAAAACTTAGAGGCAGCAAAAGCTCATTTAATCTCAGTCTCCAAATATAGATGGTGTTGTGCTTGGAAGCTCTTCAGGAAATTCAAGATGAAACAATATCTAAGAAATGGGGTTTTCCAGCTTGCATTTGCTGTAAGTCATAAATTGTGGACAGGAACTTAGTGAACACTTAGTGCATCTCCTTCATTTTACCAGTAAGAAAAATGGAACACAAAAGATTAGTGTGCTGAAGTTACATAGAACAATCCCTCTCAAACTTTAATAATGTACACATGAATTTCTCAGTATCTTCTTAAAATGCAGATTCTGATTTACTATGTCTGGATGGAGCCTGAGTTTATGCATTTCTCACCAGCTGTCAGGTAATATTGATGCTGCTGCTGTCTGGGCCACACTTAGAGTTGTAAGGACAGATACAGATGGCAGAACAAACATTAGAATCTGAATCTACTAGATACACATATGCTTTACACTATGTCACACTTTAGGAAATTTTTCAGGGAAGCAAACAAGAGGTTGTTTCTGACATTTAAAAAAAGCACACAATGCAGTGGTTTATAGTACAGGAAGAATATAATTTATATAGATATATACTATTCTTGGTTTGTTACTGGGAATCAGGTGGCAACCCTATCTATACAAATCAAAATTGAATTGATCAAAAGACTTGTTAGAGGAGAGAAATCTGAATAATGTCACTTCAGAGTTCCCCCTTTGTGCTTTTTTGCTAACTTCTATGGCAAATTTTAAAATCGATCTCTAAGTGTTTCCATTGAAAACTAAGTGAATTTCAAAGCACCTCCTTCTTGCCATGACTATTACTGGATCTTTAATACAGATAGGAGGTGACCAAAATCCAAACCAAAATTCCCTGAAACAAAAGGCATTGAATTGTTGAGTTTGGATTCAGGTATTTTTTGTCAATTTTATTTAGACAATGTTTGTTTCAGAAATACTTCTTCCTTCTGAGATTTGAATAAGGTTCTTACACTCTTGGGCTCTATTTCCCTGCCTGTTCTAACACTAATTATTAAAAAAAAAAAAAGAAACAAGGAAACATTTAAAACAGTTCTTTAAGTGCTAAGTTCTTAGATTTATGGATTCAATAAAAAACAGTGCCTCTTCATTTTTCAGGGCTTGTGCTGATTTATACAGGCTTTATGGGCACAAAAATTAGATTAAAATTTTTTATTGAATCTTGTCTGAAATGCTGAAACGCGAAGGGAGATTTCAAGAAAGAAAATTCATTCTCCCAATTCTCTCATTAGATTTGGCTTTGGGAAAACAGAAGGTGTAAGCATACTAGGCTGCTGGTTTACCTCTGGATGCATCCCAGTCTGCCCAACCCACCAGGGGAAGAGGTTTCTTATCCTATTCAGAACCTCACAAACTACGTATTCTGCTTAGTATTTCAAGGTATGGCACACTAATTACCATCTATGTAGACAGGGGTTCGAATTTTCCAGGATCCCAGCAGTTGAGTAGAACTCCTTTTGACTTGCTCATGGATGAAAAAATGTCAGGAGATATCTTTAGTGAATTTGAAGGAACTTGTTTGTCAGAACTCAAAATTCAAATTTCTGTGTTGCAGCTTCCTGCAGATCTAATCATAGCTTTTCTCTGCTTGATCATGATTTTCTTCATTTGAGCTCAGTTTCATCTCCAGATGTCCAGTAGTGCTTCATGCACCTGGATGAACATTGAATCAGAAGGACAATTAAATAGCTGAGAACAATAAACTCAGGGATCTCTGCCTTTATTCTTTATTTAAATTCAGGAATTCTTCTGGGCTTCACTTTCAGGAAGATCAAAACTCTTTGGTTTTTACCTATCAGTTGCAGACTACCAGCAAAGTGTGGAATTGGTTTCATTACCTTGTGAGATTGCTGGCAACAGTGACTCATGCAGGGATGGTTATTTGCTTCCTGTGATTTGCCTGCCATGCAGGTGGTTGGTTATAAAATAAGAAAGTTATTTTCAGATATGTCTTGAAATAATATCACCTCTGTTGGATTGCCTAAGGTAATAGGACACTGAAGGATGAGGGGTACTAGGGGATTGGGGCTTGGTGTTATATCAGTGCATCAGAAAGGTGCTGAAATGACAAGGTACCTGTTAGAATATCTACATGTAGAATGTATGCTATAATTGTTTATGACTAAAAAAATTAAGAAACACTGCAATAACATAATTATCTAGTTGGGTGAGTTGGTTGACTGTGGTCATTTTATTAATGTGTTTTTGAGTAATATTTTAATATGAAAGAAATTTTTACCATAAAAATAATTAAGCAGGAATTATGATACCTAGTCTTTGCTTTTGTCATGCTCATTCCACCATACATCTGATCCCATGAAGAACCCCCCTCCACCCAGTGTTTCCATTTTCTCATCTAGAACGGTGAAGACTAGGTTTTTGAGACATTTATTTTTAGCACATGAATTGTACATAATTCTTTTGAGGTGTAGGTGTTAAATGGATTTTAAATATTAAAACATTCCTGGAGCATTGGTGTATCCATACCACTAGTGAGTCAGAAATATAAAAAAAATAAATATCTACTGTCATCCATGAAATACATAGGTTTCTCATCCTGGCACAAGTTAATACTCCATTTCCTAATTTTCCAACTTGTGAATTTAGTAAGTGCACACTAAGCTCAGCTGTCCCTGTAAATTTAACCAATCAACAAATGCTCCTTGAGTGCGCTTCCTCAGAACTACCATGAGGCTGTGTGGGGATGTTGGCTTCTGTGGCGACAGTGAGGTCTTTTGATGCTATTCTGTTTGCTAAGATCTCACTCCATCTCCCCCCAGCTTGAAGCCACCCAGGTTCTATGTGAAGGGTTTGGAGGCCATTATGAGTCAGGCAACAGCTTTCTCATTGACGTGGTCAGTGGGGTTCTTCTGAGAAACAATGAAGCAATGGCCCTGGCTGCAACCAACAGAATGCCTGCTGCCTCAGAGTTGCTGTTTTTCAAAGCTAATCTTTTTTTTCAGTTTATTTTTACACTTAGACTTTATTACTATGTAAAAATACAAATATCAGAAGAAGCATAAATTTACTCTGAGAGGATATGACTGACTTAATCTCATGAGATATCATGATTCCCATACATTTGCGTTCAGCTGTTATCAATTGAATATTTCATATTAATCAAGGAGGATATGATTTTACTGGAGGAACCAATTGGTGCTGCTGTCAGTTTTTCCTGTGTATGATTCTATCATCTTTTTAATTTGAGGGTAGGAGAATTTCTTCAGACTCTGAGCCAGAATAAGATCTAGGAAAAGGTGACATGATCTATATTCTTAATTTAAGAACCTGTTTCTAATGATCAATATCTGCATCAAAAGTGTAGTTTTTATGCTTTCACTTTAAATATAGATCAAGTAGCACTTCTCACTCATATATCTTCTGCATTAAGCATTTAATTTATTACACTTTTTATTTAAGGCTTGGGATAAGGGAACTATTAGTTTATAAAATAAAAGAACTTTTTGACTGAGTTTGAATTCTGCTGAGAGGAGGCAGCAAATTGGAGCTGAAATTGGACAATGTGGGCACGTCAGTGGATTTTAGGTGAATGATAAGGCATGTGTGTTTGTTTAAATAATCACTAGATCAAATTTCCAAAGAATAACTTGCTTCTAAAGGGATAATTGTTTGTTCACTTACAGTAAAAACACAGGGGAAGCGAGTTTAAGCACTCAGTGAAAGTTTCAAATCTACACTGGCATTAGGACGGGGGTCCTCAACCCCCAGCGTGTTAGGAACCGGGCTGCACAGCAGGAGGGGAGCAGCAGGTAAGTGAGCGAAGGTGAGCTCCACCTCCGATCAGATCAGCTGCAGCATTAGATTCTCATAGGAACGCGAACCCTATTGTGAACTGTGCATGCGATGGTTCTAGGTTGCACGCACCTTATGAGAATCTAATGCCTGATGATCGGTCACTGTCTCCCATTACCCCCAGATGGGAACATCTAGTTGCAGGAAAACAAGCTTAAGTCTCCCACTGATTCTCCATGATGGTGATTATGTAATAATAATAGAAATAAAATTTGCAATAAAGGTAATGTGCTTGAATCATCCTGAAACCATCTCCCACCTGCCCCCACCCCGCCCCCCAACCTGTGAAAAAATTGTCTTCCACAAAACCAGTCCCCGGTGCAAAAAGGTTGGGGACCACTGCATTAGGGCATAGATAAGAGCCACCCACATACTGAGTTAAGGTAGGTGTTTTGTGTTCACCTTGTCCTTAGGAATTTAAGCAAGGTTTCCATGCACTAAACAAATGGTACTTAAAAAAAGAATGGGAAAGAAAGACACTTTTACTAACATAGTTCCTCAATAAAAGTAATAGTTCCTCAATATTTATTACACAATTTCTACATCCTAGACACTGTGCTAGGTGAAGGAGCTCTGGCTCATTTGGTAAGTGCCTGGCTAGATGGTATTTGGTAAGATACCAAATCATCTAGCATGACCCCACCTTCCTCCTTACTGCTTATCTACAACGACCAAGTCCCAGGCTCTGGAAAATGTCTCTTGGACTAATTCAGTTTTCCTTGTTTTGACCATCTGTGGGATGTTTTTTTGCACTAGCTGTCTGGGTCTTCCTGCTCTTTTTTCTAGTTAGCTATCCAGCTGATCAGCCCAGGACCCTAGTGTAACTTGTCTAAATGGTGCTCTGATAATGGCTGTGTCCCAATTCTTTTGGGAGTGGGATTTTACATTTCTGGGTGTGGTTGTTCTGCTTCTACAGGACATAATAGAACCTGTGATTCATCAGAACTCTTAGCATAATCAACTAAAAACGGATTTCGTCTAGCACTCTATACTTTTTTTTTTTTTTTTTTAGGCAGAGTTTTGCTCTTGTTGCCCAGGCTGGAGTGCAGTGGCACGATCTCGTCTCACTGCAACCTCTGCCTCCAGGGTTCAAGCAATTCTCCTGCCTCAGCATCCTGAGTAGCTGGGATTATAGACATGTGCCACCATGTCCAGCTAATTTTTTTTTAATTTTTAGTGGAGACGGGGTTTCATCATGTTGGCCAGGCTTGTCTCGAACTCCTGGCCCCAGGTGATCCACCTGCCTCGGCCTCCCAAAATGCAGAGATTACAGGCATGAGCCACCATGCCCGGCCACTCTATACTTTTTAAACAAATTAACTTGTTAAATAAATACTTGTTAAACACATTTTAAATTAAAAAAAATTTAACTTGTTAAATTTTTTTTCTGAAACAAGCACTTTGCATTTGTTGAACAATACTTTTAGTATCAGAAAACTATGGAAATGTAATGAATTTCCATAGTTTCCATAGAAATAAAGGCTTACTTCTTCAAGGAATTTCCTAGCAAAAGCGAGACGATGCCTCCCTTGGTGCAATTTGCTTTTCAGTGAACATCTTTGCCTTATACTGTCCCAAGCAAAAGTGGGCACTAAGCAGGAAAGAATTCTAAGGTTTTTTTTCCTTAATCCTATTTTTTTTACCATTTGTTTGGCAGTGCTCAGAGAAATATGGCCACTCATCATTGCCAAAATGGACACTTTTTTTCTTTTTAGCAGCAAATATTTTTTGAGGATTCTCAGAAACTTTTATGGTTTTTGGTTAGATTTTTAAAAAGATTATAACAACGAATTTTCAAGTGTTTACTTTGACCTATGATCATTAAAAGGAATTCAAAATCTAACTATAATATATCAATTATTTGTATCTGATATGAGTCTGAGATAAGAAGGAAAAGAGGAAAAAATAGAAAATTTTTTTACTCTGTAGTAAGCCACTCCTAAGTAAGTAATTCCTGTGTGTTGGTGCATTAGTCTGTTCTTGAACTGCTGTAAAAAAATACCTGAGACTGGGTAATTTATAAAGTAAAGATTTAATTGACTCACAGTTCCATAGGCTGTATAGGAAGAATGACTGGGGAGGCCTCAGGAAATTTTCAATCATGGTGGAAGGTGAAGGGGGAGCAGACATGTCCTATGTAGCTACAGCAGGATGAGGGCAGGGGAAGGTGCTACACCCTTTTAAACAACCAGATCTTGTTAAACAACCAGATCTTGTGAGCACTTACTCACTATCATGAGAGCAGCACCGAAGGGGAAATCCATCCCCATGATCAAATAACCTTCCACCAGGCCCCACCTCCAACACTGGGGGTTACAATTCAGCATGGGATTTGGGTGGGGACACAGATCCAAACCATATCAGCTGGGAAAATATAATTAAAACCAAAATTTTCTCCCAGCCCAGGAAACCTCTCCACAAAGGCAGTTTAAAAATAAAACGGTTTTATTATTAAATAAGCATAAAACCAAGATGTGATGCACATCACAGACAATCCACTAAGAGGCTGCAAAGACAGAAAGAAATCTCAACCCTTTAAGCCAAGTATATACAACTCATTACATATATGTTTTCAAGATAAACAATAACTATCCTCAAGTAAGAGGACTCAACAACACCAATTGTCACACATAGTTTATCCTAATTTCACCTGATAACTGGGGTGACCATATGTGTTAGTTAATTTGCTTTATCCAGAGGAAAAACACATTTCTTCTGTTTTTATGACAGGAGGTAGATTTGTAACTTGGAGCAAGGCGCCCACTGAAGTTAGGCATTTACATTTCCACAAAAACTGAAAGATAGATGCTATTTCCCTTGAGGTTTACATTTCAAAGAGAAGCATTTTAAATGTTCCAAGGAAAAGGAGGGGAGAGAAATCTGTTTCCCCATTTTCCACAGGAAGAATTGAGTCTCTTATTTTTAAATTGTATTTGTTCTTATGTGTGTAACCTTGCAGATAAATCATTATTTGGTTTCACAATTGTCTGCTAATAAAATCTGCTATGTAAATGTTTATCTCTGAGTATTGAGACCATGTGCAATATTTATAACTTTAACTTTGATGAATGTAACCAGTCTACAAGCTGAGTTCCCTGGAAATTTGGAATCTTTTCCATAGCACAATCTTTCTCTGCATATTCTAAGGAAATGGAGTTGCATTGGAAACAAAGGATCTGGCTTATGTATTTTCTGAGGTGCTATGACCCTTGGTCATAATTCTGTGTCATGCCCAACTTTTGAGATCCTTAGTTAATTTGTGTAGAATTAATCATTCTTCTTTTGATCTTCTCAATTTAGTTACTATTAATGTAGATATTTTTGCCTCACACAATCTCTTTCTTGCTTTCATCTCCAACAATGGCTCTCAACACTAGCTAGATGTTATACTCACCAACAGACTTTCTATAAAATGACAGTGTCCAAAGACTCCACCTTCAGAGATTCTAATTCAGTTGATTTGTGGTGGGATCCAGGCATCAATATTTTTGAAGAATTCTATTTTGCAGCTGAAGTTCAGAACCTCTGATCCAGAACAACAAATTGGTCCAATAAGCCACTCACCAACAATAATAATTACTCTGTTTGTAAGCTGATCCCATGCTAATCTTTTTGGAATGCTGGGAGCTTTCACTTTACTGGACCTTTCATATAATGGCAGACACCTTATAGAGGAGACCACATTATCTTCTACACCATCATCACCACCACCAATAACTATAAATATAAACTACACATTGGAATCCTTGGTACTTGCACAGAACCTAACAGGGACTAGATATATCTTTATTGAATAAATAACAACTGCCTAGTTATTGAGCAGTACATAAGAATCAAGGAGGCAGAGTATGTACTTCTTAAATGTAAAGAAGATCTCTTCTGACATTCCAATCTTAGCTCTGGGGACATAGGATCATTGTAAAATTCAAGTACATGATTATTTGCTGTTAAGAATAATTAAGGTGTGATAATGGTAAGCTTTAGGGTTTAGAAAAGGGGCAAAAACTCAAAGCCAGAGAAATTTGAATGGTAATTGATTCCTGATTATTTAAATATTTTAGTTATAAGAGATCAATAAAAACTTATCTGCTATAGTTTATTTATCTCTCCACTGAGGAAAAAAAAAACTACATCCGGATGCTTTGTAAAATTATCACTATGTCTTCCCATCTTGACTTGGGTGGAAGGGTAATAGCAAGAAGAAAATGGATAAAGGAGAAAAATTAGGGAAATACATCTCCTCCTTTAGGAAGGAAGGGAAAAGAAAAATAAGTGAGAGAGGAAAAGAGGAAATTAATTAAGTGGGCTTTTTCCTCTAGAGAAAGGGATTAGAGTAGGGCTTTTTTTTTCTTTAATGTAGCACAATATTGTGTCAGCCTAAAAGACACCTAAACAATATTTTGAAACTTTCTGTCTTGACATGCACCTCATGCCATTGGTAAATGTGCTTCCTACCCCCTCCTTCCAGCCCCCAGCAGATATTTAACCTGGATTTTACCTATGAGTGATCCAGAGAATTCTAGTTCTCCCAAATGTTCCACATTAAAAAAAAAACCCATGGTCAGGCAAGTCTGAAACACTAGGTCCTACAGCCCAATGTATACTAGCATATTAAAGGCCCAGAGAAGCCTGAAATAAAGAAATGTGGTGCACAGTGACCTAGCATTCTCCCTGAAAGCAGGAACCCTAGAGTTATATAACACTGCAGCTGTGGAGCGAGAGGTCTGTATTAGACATGTTGGGGATACACTGTTAACCCATTCTGCCATATTTTCCATCCTATTACCTTAGTTTTATTATTGTGGGCCTCTATTCATTTGTGTCACAGAATACCTAAGAAAGAGAGGAAAGAGGTTGAATTTAGGAAAACAAGCGGGAAAAAGAGGAAGGTGAATAAATAATAATAATAATAATAATAATAATAATTAATAATAAAAGACCAAGATAGATCTAGAACAACAATGGCATTAAAGTGGAAACCCAGCTGAGGTATATTACAGCTAATCAAGGACTTTTCACACGTAACATCTGATTTAGGGAGAAGGGAAGAGAAAATGAGGGACCAGGCTGCCTGGGTCACTGCATTTGTGATGACAGGATTCCTACTCTATGCACAAACAGATGTGATCTAATCTTCAGACACTCAGCCTGTTCAGAAGAATTGTGATGAAGGTGAGCTGAGCTTAAGATAAGCATTTTTCAAGAAGAGTCAATACAGAAAAAGAAATGTCATGTTCTTTATGGTGATTTTAGAAAAATTTCTCTGATTCCTCTCTGGGACATAGTTATGACCCACATTATATTTAAAGAAAAATCTTGTTTGGCTAATATTGTCTCTCAACTACCTTGTTATCTAGTGAAAAAATGATCATAACCAAAACCCAACTAACTATAACCTTGCAGTAGCTAGAGAACCTTTCTTCATTATGCCACACTCACAAAACCAAATATCAACAAAAGAAGCTGACAGGAAGGATTTACAAGATGTGCAAAAATTCCAGCAGCGTGAGTTTGAGTTCCGAAGTGCTTTCATTTTGAGCACCTAATTTGGTATAGACTGGGCAGTTATGATTATCTCATTTTGCAGATGAAGAAGGTTAAATGATTTGTCCAAGATCATGTTGCTATGATAACTTTCTTCCAACTCCAAATTTTATTCTTGTTCCAATACATATGCAGTTTACTTTACTATGCCCTTGACTTCTATGGTAAATTCATACTTAAAATTCAAAGAAAATGATCAGTTAAAAGCTAACAGCTAATGATTATTGAGAACTTGCCCTGTTCCAGGCCCTGTTTTAATTACTTTACACCACCGTAGTTAATCCTAACGCTATTCCTAGGGAGAAGGCACTATCTTGATTCTCATTTTACTGATGAGGAACAAAGGCTGGCAGGGGTTGGTGGGTCTGGAACTAAGACTCAAGTGTGTTTGGCACAGGAGCCTATGCTTTGCCACATTGTTGTTTGTCTCCATTATCTATTGCTCCTGTAAAAAATTACCACAAACTCGGTGCTTAAAACAATGCAAATGTATTATCTTATAGTTCTGGAGGTCAAAAGTCCAACACGAGTATCATTGGGCTGAAATCAAGGTGTAGGCAGGGCTGCATTCCTTCTGCAGGCTCTAGGGAAGAATCCACTTCTTTGCCTTTTCTGTTTTTTTTTTTAAGGCCAGTCACATTCCTTGGCTCCTGGCCCCCTTCCATCTTCAAAGCCTGCAATGTTTACCGGGTTTCATGCTGCTGTCTCTGTTGGGTCTCCCTGATGTCCCCTTATAATAACCTTTGTAGTTATATCAAGCACACTTGGATGATCCAGGCTAATCTCCCTATTTTAAGGTCTGCTAATTAGCAATGTTAATTCCATCTGCAACTTTAATTTCCCTTGGCCAGGTAACCTGACGTATTCACAGGTTACAGAGATTAGGACATGGACATCTTTGGTGGTTAGGAAGGGTGGGGGCATCGCTCCGCCTACCACACTGTTCTTTCTCTTTTTATAGAAGGCAAGATTTAGAATGCAGTACTGTATCTACTTAGGCAGAAAGTGTTACCCGAATATTTTAGAAAGGCTTTAAAAAATAGATCTGTAAACAAAAATGACTCGGTTGACAATGAAACAAGAAAATATGATTTTAATTAAACAACCTGGGTTTGCACTACTGTGCAGTTTACAAAGTGTTTTCACACACATCTGATCCTCGTAGATAACCTTTGCAGTAACTAGGAAAGATCTGACAGTTAACTAACCCCCTCCCGCCCTCCTTTTCTTGCTTTCTTTTTCTTTTTCTTTTTTTTCCTCCTTTGGTTCACAAATGTTTTTCCTAAAATAAATCATACTGTGCAGGCCTAGTAAAAATTATAATTTTAACCTAAAATAAATATATTAAAATTTTCCACAGCTTTCTATTACTTTTTGGTTTAGTTTTCAAGGAACTCTGTCTGTGGGAGGAATTCTAAGTATCATTTACAGATGGCAGTTTCTTGAGCTGGTTTAATCACGTCAATGAGAGGAAAATGAGAAGAAGGTATTGTTGGGAGAAGTAAGAATGAAGTTGCTAAAAAAGTGGGCACTTATTCATTTGAGAAAACCATATTGAGCACTTGCTATAGGCCAGGTATTTTTCTGGGATCTAGGGATATAGTAATGAATAAAACAGTCAAGAGTCCCTGTCTTGGGAGCATAGACATCCATTTCTAGAAGAAGAGATTGATAATGGACAAATTAACAAGCATATATCTATATATATATATGTGTGTGTGTGTGTGTGTGTGTGTGTGTGTATATATATACACACACACACACACATAATATTTAGCAATGATAGATATTGGGAATTCTGGTGGCAGAATTGTTATTTAATATGGAATGGCCAGAAAAGACCTCCCTGGCAAAGTACCATGTGAACAGAGACCTGAAGAAAATAAAAGATACAACCAGTGTTTATGTGGGGAAGAGTGTTTCAGACACGGGGAATAGCCAGCCCAAAGACCCTTAGGTGAGAATGTGTTTACAATATTTGAAGAAGAACAAATAAATGGAGCAGAGGAAGCAAACTAGAGAGAAATAAGAGATGAGTTCCGAGACGTGATGTGGACCAAACCATAAGCAAACATTTGAGGAATTTGGTTTTTAATCTGAGTGTGATAAGGATCCACTGGAGGATTTGAGAGCAGAGACGTGATGTGATCTGACTTTAGTTTTGAAAGGATCACTCTGCCTGTTGAGGATGGGGAAGAAAACAAGGGATGGGGAAGAGAGACCCGTTAAGAGGCTATTAAAATATCCTACCTGATGGTAGCAGCAGAGGTGGAGAAGGGGTCAGATTGTGAGTGTATTTTGAAGGTGGACCTGTGAAGATGACTGATGAAGGGGAAATGGGGTATGAGAGAAAAGGAAGACCCAAATATAACATCAAGATTTTTAACCTGAGCAGCTGAAAGATGAGTTGATATTTACAGATGAATAAGATTGGGGACAGAGTAAGTTCAAAGAAGCGAATGAGGATTATGTCTTTGGACATGTTAGGATTGAGTGGCCTATTGGGCACTTGAGTATCAATATAAAAAAGAGAGTTGGATATGCAAGTTTGGACTTCAAAACTGGAAATACAAGTTGGGAGTCATCAAAAGATTGGTTCTTGGTGTGCACTGGTATTTAGACATTGGAGAACAGAGGAAAAGATCAGCAAAAGAGACTGAGGAGGGGCCAGTGGAGACAGGAAGTCAAGTACAGAAAGTACTTCCAGAAAAAGAGAATGAAAACGCAACTGGTAGAGGGAAAAACATAGGGCTGAAAATGAACGATTGGATTTTTAATATAGAGGTTTTATAACTTTGACAAGAGTTTTTGCAGCCCGTGGCATGGTGAAGATGAAACTGATTGAGGTAAGCTCAAGAGTGATATGGGGGAGGAAGTAAAGACAGCAAGTATAGACATCTTTTAGGAATGATTTCTATAAAGGGAGGCAATAAAATGGTACAGTAATGGACAGCATCATATTTCAAGGGAAATTTTTTCTAAAAATGGGAGGCTGATAGGAAAGAATGAATAGAGAGGAGAAATTGATGATGCAGGTGGAGGACAGTTGAGCAGGTGAGAGTGCATGGAGGTGCAGCCCAGGGAAGCATTGGCCTTCCCTAGGACCATGGAAAGTGACCAGAGGGAAGGCATAGGATGCCAGCAGAGGCAGATAGATTGGTGGATATGGTAGGGGCATGTGGTACTTCTGAGAACTTCTAATAGCTCAGTGAAATAAGATTTAAGGTCATCAGCTGACAATGAAAAGAGGAGATGGGATGTGGAGTGTTTAAAGTAAAGAAAAGCTATCATGTAAGAGAGTAGGAAAGTGAGTACACTAGGAAAATGTGATTTCCACTAGGATTTCTGGTTAAATTTCAGCTTGGGTCTGTTTGTCTTTAGCTTTCCCTGGTAAAGGAGGTTAAAAATCAATCATAATAATTGGTGCTATAACATTTTTAAATTTTCAAAAATCCCTCTCTCTGGATCATAATAAAATATTATGAGGGAAGTCTTTAATGTGGTCCACTTTCTAGGGGTATTTGCATTTTCAACAGTAGGAGAAAGCCTTACCCAATGCCTGGTGACTTAATAATGGAATTTCAGGCTTTGGAAATAAGGTTGTTGGGGAAATATTTTTGGGGAGTGGGTCCAATTCCTGTTCCTTAAATACCAGTATATTGTTATCAAATGATGCACAAATTTGGAGCTTTACAGAAAAACAGTTGTAATTTCTGATATTCTTGATAGAGGCTATTAGTTAATGGCAGCATGAGCATGCCACTCAACTGCTCTAGAAACAAAATAATAGGAACAAGGAGATGTTTAAGGGGGTAGGTTGATTGTAAATCTTCTTTGTTACTGTCTTCTGGTTTTCTTTTAAAGCTGTGATTCTTTCCCAGGGTTTCTCACCAAAGAAAATGATAAGCATCTCAATGATTCCCAATATTTTCTCTTTGTAGTCCTTTGGCCCATCATTAGGATGCCAAACTTCTAACACCTTTGGAAAATGACAATATGGTGGTATCCTCATAGCACAAGACACTAATTCTGGTCACTGCTTCCATTTAATAAAGACAAGGAAATGTCTTTCTCTCTCTTAAATGGCAGAGCTAACCTTATAATCTGTCATAGCTTTGCTAAAGCAAGAAAATTCTGAAAAAATCTTCTGACACATTTTTCAAGACTTCTGGAAAAATAGTATATAAAGAACCAAGAGAGGCTGACATAAAATGAAGACAGCTTACTGTTCTGTCTTTTTCCTTAATTGGATATGCTGTTTTATAAGAAGCTCTATTTTATTTTCATGTACTGCAAGGAAGAGCAGCATAGCTTGATTAAACTACAAAGATCTTCACTGGTGCTTTAACACAGTTATTCTATGTTAGAGCTCATGATGTGGACATAGAAGTCCAGAGAGGTTGAGGGGCATGATAATGTTTTCTGATCCAGGCTACAGTGGGAGTCTTGGATCCTGACTGGACTGTTCCCAAACAGAAACCCAAAGGTAAATAGCATAAAATATAATGCAATAGAAAGGCGACATTCATTGTTTTTAACATTTATAATTTATTGGTTTTTTATCACTGAGTCATTATCTCGTTTCTTATTTATTTAACCATGTACCCTATTAAACAAGCATTTATTAAGTATCTACATGGTACTTAGACTTCATGCTAGATGCTGAGGATACAGAGATTAGTCAGCGATATTCCTTACCCTCGTGTAGCACACAATCTAATCTTCCAAAGTAGCCAACAGTAGTGGGATGAATCACGTCCCTGCCAAAGTTCACAACAACCCGGAATCTCAAAGTGTGACCTTATTTGGAAATAAAGTTTTGCAGATATAATCAAGTTAATATAAGGTCAAACTGCATCAGGGTGGGTCCTAATCCAATGGCTGGTGTCCTCAAAAGAAGAGGAAAATTTGGACACAGACACACACAGAAGGGAGGTGGTTATGTGACGTCCAAGCAGAGATTGGAGTTATGCTCCACAGACCTCTTGCCAAGGATCGCTGACAACCACCACTAGCTAGGCAGAGGCAAAGAAGCATGATCCTCTAGAGCCTTCAGAGAGAGAGAGTGGCACTTCCCACACCTTGATTTCAGATTTCCAGCCTCCAGAACCGCAAGACAGTAATTTCTCTTGTTTTAAACTACGTAGTTTGTGGTCATTTGCTATGGCAGCCTTAGCAAACTAATATAGATACTTATATTTTGATACATTTACACTGATCTCCAAATAGCTTCTTCCTTCCCTTTTTCTTTCATGAAATCATTCCATTTAAATAGAAAAACTTGCAAACAAGTGCTTTGTTACAAGTTGATTTAAGATGCTCTATGGAGACCCATCCTCATTTTTCCACTCATCTTTATCAGTACTTTTGCCTTCATTCAGAGTGGATGCTTTTTTTTTTTTAAGTACATCTATTTGACAGTTTGCTTTCATAGTGAAAGTATTTTTGTGGTGGAAATAAAGGCTGTTAGTAGAAGACTTACTAGAAGCTAAAGGCTTTTTTTTTTTTTAACTGAACAGCATGTGAATGGTTTCAAATTTTTTCCTGAATTTCAAATACTTTTTGTGAGAAGCAAAGATGGAAGGAAAATGATATCATGGCTTCTTAAAATTAAATGAAATTTCTACTTGGCCACGTCTTAATAAACAGAAGCCAGCTAAGCCATATTTCTTTTATCTGCACAAAATGAATGGCATTTCAATCAATAGATCCAACAGCAAAGAGCAAGCCATGGTACTTACAGCTGCCAATGTCAAATATAGTAAGTACTCAAGAATACATTGGCAGGGACAAGTTTTGTGCAAATGCTGTTTCGTGAAAAGCAAATTCTCATAGTAATTGTTGGTGACCATGGAGATGATGTTCTAAATTAACATTGTACGATTATTGATTTGGAGGTAGGAAATGCATTTATTCCAAAAGCTCATTACCTAGCAACCACTGAGGCAGAGAGTCACCCAATCAGAAATAATCTTTCTCATAGAACTATGGAGGTCAAATTATATGTACGATGTGTGTGTGTGTGTGTGTGTGTGTTCAAAAATGGCCATGGATATTCTATTATATGCAGGTCTATTACTTTTCAAACCTGTTCAAAACTAGATTGTTTTATAAAAATAAGAAAAAGCATTAAAAGGTCTATTAGGTGCTTGGGAAATGGAAAAAGTATAAATTACTTGCATAGGTTAGGTAATTTTTATGTTTTCTTCAGGGACAGACCTTTTTTCATCTTGTCTTTTCTACGTCCTCTCTTCTATTGCACACACACACTCTTTTTTCTCTCTCTCTTCTCTCAGGACTAACCAGGTACAACATCTCAGAACTTAAATATACAGAACTATATGGCCAACACAACCTCGTCTCATGTGGTATTTCTTTTAGAATACTTCTTTCTGTGATAGTTTCCTGAGATAATGATACTCAAAATTAATCAGAAAATCTCAACTTGATGTAAAACAAAATGTAACTGGTTTTCCCTGAGGTGAATGATTTCATGAGGTACAGCCATTGTGAGGTGTCAAGTCTAAGTTTACTTGTTTAACTCATGGAGTTAAATAGTAAACCACAAGAAAATAATGTTCTTCAATGATGATAAATGTTTGCACATCTACTTTAAGATTCTTCTAATTTTCTCTCAGATTTTAATGTAGTGGAAAAAAATTTGATGTCATGGTATAAAAGTGGAGTTTTTTTTGTTTTGTTTTGTTTTTTCTTCGAGATCGCAGGGACATGTATCTTAAAAAATATGTTTTAATAGGCCAGGTGCGGTGGCTCACGCCTGTAATCCCAGCACTTTGGGAGGCCAAGGCGGGCAGATCACGAGGTCAGGAGATCGAGACCATCCTGGCTAACACGGTGAAACCCCGTCTCACTATATTTTTTAGTATAAAAAATACAATAAACACTAGCCGGGCGCGGTAGCAGGCGCCTGTAGTCCCAGCTACTCGGGAGGCTGAGGCAGGAGAATGGTGGGAACCCGGGAGGCGGAGCTTGCAGGGAGCAGAGATCGCGCCACTGCACTCCAGCCTGGGCGACAGAGCGAACTCCGTCTCAAAAAAAACAAAAAATCTGTCTATCTATCTATCTATATCTATCTATCTATCTATCTATCTATCTATCTATCTATCTATCTATCTACCTATCTAACTATAAATACATAACTGGAAACACAAGAATATATATAACTTGAGGTTAAGATCCTTAGCTGAAACTAGTAATGTGTTCCATAACTCATCCATTAACAAATATTTATTTGTTATTAACAAATATTGAGGTCCAGTCATTGAGAATTTAGTAGTTAAAAAAAAATTCCTGCCTTTGTGTAGTGCACATTTCATGATGACTCTAATTGTATTATAAACTAAACATTTAGCGAAAGGTGTATATAAGTTTGAGCAATGTAACTGGACTTTTTATTGAAGGGAAATTTATATATAGTGTCATGTACAGACAGGAAGTGAACAATTCAATGAGTTTTGATAAATATATACACCTGTGTTAAGCACAACTGTTGTCAAACTACAGCACATTTCCAGAATTTTCCCTGGTGCACTTTGCCACTGAGTTTATACCCCACAGGAGAGATCACCGTTCTAATTTCTATCACCACAGATTGCTTTGGCTTGTTCTTACACTTCATATAAATGAAATTATAGAGTACACACTCTTTCATGTCTTGCTTCTTTCACTCAGCATGAGGTTTTTGAGATTCATTCATGTTATATCAGTAGTTCATTCCTTTTTATTGCTTAGCGTTATTTCATTGTATGAATATACCACAATTTGTTTATCCATTCAAATGTTGATGGACATTCGGGTTGTTTCCAGTTTTTGGTTCTTATGAATAAAGCTGCTATAAACAATCTGGTATAATTTTTTTTCCATACAAGTCTGTTGTCAGATATATGCACTGTGAATCTTTTCTCCCAGACTGTAGCTTGCATTTTCATTTCTTAACCATGTCTTTTGATGAGCAGAAGTTTTTCATTTTGATGAAGTCAATTTGTCAATTTTTTCTTTTATGATCAGTGCTTTTTGTCTCATCTTTATGAAAGCTTTGCCTCCTTGAACCACAAAGGCATTCTGTTTTCCTCTAGATTTAGAGTTTCAGCTTTTGCTTTTAGGTCTATAGACCAGTTCAAGTTAATATTTCTGTGAGGTGGAAGTCAAAGTTAATTTCTTCCTCATCTAATTACTGCATCATTTTTGGAAGAGATTATTCTTTTCTCATTGAATTGCTGTGGGGCATTTGTCAAAAATCCACATACTTGATCATATGTTTCTAGACTCTCTATTCTGTTTCGCTGATCCTTTAAAAAATTTTATGCAATACCATACTTTTCATAGTAAACATTGAAATCAGGCAGTGTGAGTTGAAATTTTTTCTTCTTTTTTTTTAATATTGTTTTGGCTATTATAGACTCTTTTCACATAGATTTAAGAGTCAACTTTGTGGTATCTATTTTAAAAAGCTCACTGGAAGTTTTATTGAAATCGTGTTGATCAATTTAAGGAGAATTGACATTGTAATGATATTTAGTCTTCCATCCCATAAACATGGTATATGTCTTGGTTTATGTAGATCTTCTTTTATTTCTGTCAGAAATGATGTATACTTTTATATATCTTTTGGTAAATTTATTCCTATTTTCTATTTCTTGGTGCTATTTTAAATCGAATGAATCAGTTTAAATTTCACTTGTCAAGTATTTGCTGTTGATACATGAAAATTTAATTAACTTTGCATATTAATCTTGTATCATTTGAACTTGCTAAATGTACTTATTAGCTTTGTTTTATAAATCCCTTAGGATTTTCTATGTAAAGATGATATTGTCTGCAAATAAAGACAGTTATAACTAAATTTTCAAAATCTTATTAGGAAATATAATGTTACTGAGGTACAAAAAATTAAGGATGTAAGTATAAAAATGAGCCACTAAGCCTTCACCATTTCAAAGTTATGTGATGAATCTGAGACAGAGTTTATTTATATCCTTATTTACCTACATAAATTGAGTGCTAGCCATTAAAAATACAATGTGTGGCCAGGCGTGGTGGCTCACATCTGTACTTCCAGCAGTTTGGGAGGCCAAGGTGGGAGGATTGCTTGAGGCCAAGAGTTTGAGATCAGCCTGGGCAACATAGTGAGACCTCATCTGTACAAAAAATTAAAAAATTAGCTAGCCATGGCAACATACACCTATAGTCATTGCAACTTGGTGACTGAGGCAAGAGGATAGTTTGAGCCCAGGAGTTCAAGGTTACCATGAGCTATGATCATGGCACTGCACTCCAGCCTGAGTGACAGTGAGGCCCTGTCTCTAAAAAAAGAAGAAAAAATACACTATGAACCATATATGTAATTAAAAATTTTCTAGTAGCCACATTTTAAAAAGTAAACAGAAATGGATATAATTTACATTGATATTGTATTTTATTTAACTCAACATATCCACAATTATCATTTCAACATATAACCAGATGAAAATTATTAAAGAGGTATTTTATGGTCTCAGTTTTGGTACTCAGTCTTTGAAATTCAGCATGTAGCTTATACTTACAACATATCTAAATTTGGATTAGCCACATTTCAGGTACTCAATAGCCACATGTAGCTGGTGGCTTTCTTATTGTACAGTATAGATCTAGAGGATAAAAAAATATAGAAACAAAGGACTTGTAGTTAAATGACTCTGTATTTTGTCTTTCTACAAATGCACAGAACCTGATTTAAAAAAGCTTTAAAATTTTACTTTCTTAAGGCGCATATTGTGATATTGCGGACACTTTTCATTGTTAAGTACTATTTTAGGAAGACAGTTACAGTAATTGAGAGCCCAAGCTCTAAAGCTAGACTAATTGTTTTTCTATGTTTCCTCCATTGCTTACTATTTGAGCTTGGGCCAGTTACTCATTCCCTCTTTGCATTCATTTCGAAAATGTTACTTCATCTCTAAAATGGGGACAATAATATTACCTATCACATAGAACTTCTGTGAGTTAAATAATATAAAACTTAGAGAAGTTAAAAGAGATCAAATAGTGCCAGTCTGCACTGGCACATAGTAAGCAGTCAAGAAATATTAGCTATAATGAGTATTCACAGAGTGTGTGTGTGTGTGTGTATGTGTGTGTGTATGTGTGTGTAAACACCTTGTGTATGACCTGAGTGAAAAATGAATCCAGTGGAAAGATGTGTTCACTTATGTCCCTTTTCGTTGGTCTTATGGTTAAACTGAGCTGCATATATCGTATTGATATATTAAAGTGGAGTAATTAGGAACATGACACTTATGAAGAATGTGTCTGTGGAACCGACCAAAGAAGCAGCTGCCTAGGCTGGTCAGCCAGGAGAGGTTCCATCTAGGGATCTCAAAATCACTCTGTATTTGGAGCTGAATGGACTTTTCAGACATTTTCTATGGATACATTTGCTCTAATTTCTATTCCTGGTCCCTAGCTGCTAGTAACCTCTGCTGCCGCTATTGACATCTGGCAGCTCTCTGGTTCGGTAACTTAAGTCAAATTACCTTTTTCTCTTTGTTTTAATAACTATTCCCTCATAGCCTCCTCTCTCGAAGCCAGAGACAGGCCAGAATTTAAAAAAAGAAGCCCCTCTGAGGCAAAGTCTTAGATTTTTGAAAGAATCTATTTTGGACTCACTTTAAAATCCATTCATTTTGATAAATATAATCTAGCATGTGTCTGGAGCCAGACCAGTAAATTTGTGAAGATTCTCAGCTTCATCTCAGTACTCTCAGAGAGACAATAATTCTGTACTTCGACAGCATAATGAGATTTATTTGCACAACTTCCATGAGTGTATCTATAGAATGTTCTTGTGGGGGAGAAGGGTTATTCAAGTGCTATCATCTGACTTTCCTGCTTTCAGTAAATGTTTGCTATTTGAGATATTTTTCTATGTATGTGTCTCTTAGAGTTTCTTTGCTTTCTGATGTGTTCTCCTCTTGGGAGGCTGGCAGTGTAAGTGGTTGACAAAAAAAAGCTAATAAATCTGAGGTTAATAGGGCTCTAGACAGCAAAGTACATGGAATAAGGAGTCTCAATAGCTGTGGAGTATTGGTGAAGAAGGAGCTGTCAACAGAAAGCCTGATTATTGCAAAGGGCAGGACAAAGCTCAGAAAAATTCCAGATCAGTTTTCAATGTGCTGAAGTAGTGCTTCACATCAGCATATTTCTCCCATGGGATGTAAAGTTGGAGCAAAAGGAGTCAAACAAAGATACAACTCTCTGTGTGATTTCAGAAATCTTAGCTTGGATTTTAAGGTAGTATATGTATGTGGGATACCTTGAGAGGGCTAAATACACAGGAATGAAGAGTGTTCAGGCTCAGGTGCACAATACACCTTAAATGTTGTGTAAAGAACTAACGTATTAGCCAGGGTTCTCTTAGAGGAACAGAACTAATAGGATAGTATATACATATAAAGGGGAGTTTATTAAGTATTGACTTAATGATCACAAGGTCCTACAATAGGCTGTCTACAAGCTGGGGAGCAAGGAGAGCCAGTCCAAGTCCCAAAACTGAAGAATTTGGTGTCTGATGTTTGAGGGCAGGAAGCACCCAGCATGGAAGAAACATGTAGGCTGGGAGCCTAGGCCCGTCTCTCCTTTTCAAATTTTTCTGCCTGCTTTATATTCACTGGAAACTGATTAGATTGTGCCCACCAGATTAAGGGTGGATCTGCCTTCCACACCCCACTGACTCAAATGCTTATCTCTTTTGGCAACAGCCACACAAAAACATACCCAGGATTCATACTTTATATCCCTCAATCCAATCAAGTTGACACTCAGTATTTCACCATCGCAACTAGCATGGTGAAACCTCCTGCATTTTGTAAGAGTTTGTCATTTGTGTTGCTTTTGAGGCTTCATAATTTAGCTTCTCTCTCCACCTGCAGGGAAATCAGGTACATTTAAATATTAACTGTTTGTGGTTGCACAGCTCGGGTGAATCAGCCCATTCAGCTGGACCTTCTGGTAGTAACTTGGCTGAATGTGCCGACAGTGGCTGCTGACATCTGGCTGTCATGGTGGCCACCTCGATATTTCTTCAGTCACGTCCTCAGGCGGTGTGAGGAAAATGTGTTACTGTGGAGGTAGAGGTGACTTGTTAGTGGGAAGAGGGTTTCTTTTCTTTAAGATCTGAGCATAGAATCTGTGATGGGGATAAAGAAAAGATCTCACAGCCTCTAATATGGACTATGTAAAAAGAGTAAGTGGTTGAAACATTGTATATCTGAGGAGTGGAATCAGGAAAGAGAGCCTACAGTGTGCCTCTGACATAGGGGCACACTTCCTGAAGAAGCTAGCTGTCTCCGACTTATAACACAGGTGTTGGTTTCCCTTAAACTCAAGAAAACTACCTCTTCAAACATATACATTTCTCACATTGAAGAAAGAAAAGCATCTCGTTTAAAGATAACATGTCAAGAATTGGAGTAAACCAAGGCTTCCATATAAATTGTAAGTCTCTCAACATTTATTAAGTAGGCAATTTATGCCAAGTTTATTTCTAGATAATGGTGGAAGCAGGGAAGGGTTCTAAACAAGCATGGGTCAAATCCTGCAGCAATCTTCTCCAGCAGCAATTCCTGGTCTCCTACTTGGTGTCCAGCTTTGTACAAGGCTCTGGTCCATGTGGGTGGGGAAGAACAGATGGGTAGACCTTACAGAATCCGAGGGGGTGACTGACCAATCCACATACACCTTCTCTGGAGACTGCCATCTAGCTCTGAGAGAGAGAGGGAAGAAAGGGAAGTATCACTGAGAGAGTGAGTGAGCACTCTTAGCCCCTGATAGCACTTCACCTTCTGCAGCCTGGCAGCAATGCTTGCCATTGGAGTCACTGGATTGCAATTCTTTTCTAAGAATCAACTTTCCGTTTTGGCTTATACTAGTTTGAATGTTATCTTTATTTATTTATTTATTTTTGAGACGGAGTCTTGCTCTGTTGCCCAAGCTGGAATGTAATGACATGATCTCTGCCTCCTGGGTTCAAGCAATGCTCATTCCTCAGCCTCCCAAGCAGCTGGGATTACAGGGGTCTGCCACCATGCCCGGCTAACTTTTGTATTTTTAGTAGAGACAGTGTTTCACCATGTTGGCCAGGCTGGTCTCAAGCTCCTGACCTGAACGTCCGCCTCGGCCTCCCAAAGTGCTGGGATTACAGGCATGAGCCACTGCGCCCAGCCTGGATATCTGTTATCTTTTGATGGAAGCCAGACATGTTTATTATTAAACAAAGGAAAAATGAATAAGTATAAAATTGAAATAGAAATAATCCTTTCTACTCTAATTTCCACCTTCCTGCTATACATGCATGTGCGTGTGTGTATGTGTGTGTGTGTGTGTGTGTGTGTGTGTTTCTTTTTTTGAGCTGCTCAGGGTACCCCTTCTCTTTTCTTTACCCTTTTTCTCTTTTTAATTTTTCTTGATTTCCTGGCCCTCATAATGATGTCCATGTAAATGAGTCCTTATTTTTTATCTTTCATTTCTATCTTTTTTAAAATATACTTTAAGTTCTAGGGTGTATGTGCACAAAGTGCAGGTTTGATACATAGGTATACATGTGCTATGTTGGTTTGCTGCACCCATCAACTCATCATTTACATTAGGTATTTCTCCTAATGCTATCCCTCCCCCAGCCCCTCATCCCCCAACAGGACCCGGTGTGTTATTTCTATCTTTTATGGACATTATGATGTGATAAAATTGGACTAGTCAATGATAGGACAGAAATCTATTTTACACATGTTAATGTATTTGTTATTACTAAACAAATATAGCATTTATATAAACCACAGCCTTTGTCTATCTCAATCTCTGCATGTCCAACTCCTATTTCAGTCAGCTTAAATGCTGCATCTTCAGTATGTCTTTCTTATTCCTCTTGCTCACTTCATCCTTCTCCTCCTCCTCCCTTTCAAAACTACCTACCATGGCAAGTAATGTCTCTCCTTGAATTTCCCACACTATTCTAAGTGCCTTACATGTGATAACTCATTTAATACTAACCATACCCTATCATGTACATAACCTTGTCATCACTACTATTTGACAGATGAGGAAATTAAATATCAACAGTCATATAACTTTCCAAAGTTCATGCTATTAGTAAATAACAGATCCAGGGTTCACACCTAGACGGTCTGGTTCAAGGGTCCAGGTTTTTAACCTTATTCTGTAATGCCTAAGTCTCTCCAGGGCTTTATGCCTAGTAGTGTTGATGAACACTGCCTTTCCTGCTACACGCTAATTGTCTTGAGTGTAGAGCAGCTGTCTGACTTTCTTTGTCTCCCACACATTACCTACCGGGGTGCCTTGTACATTCCAGAAACTCAATAAATATTGGGTGAAGGATTGATTCTCTTATTTGTTACTGTATCCCTTTCTGTGGTTTGTTGTCCCTAAATTTAACCAAACGACATATTAGTTGATGGTCAATATGTTGATTTATCCAAAGCCTTATTAAGAACAGAGTAAGCCATCTCCTTTGCATCTTTCATGCCACCTCTCACCAACTCCCGGCTGAAGAAGAAAATGGAATTGGTTTGACATGACAAATTTTGTGGGCTGCTTCTAAACAACTTAATAACCTCCAGGATTTTACAAATTGATCTTTTTCTTAATGAATTGCCCCAGAAACTTTCAGGTTTGAGAGTTGGACTAACTGCTCCATAATTCATGAGCTAGTACTGATGCTCTTCTTGTAGTGTAGGATGAACTGATTAATTTTTTGGACATTTTGGAAAATCTGATCTGGATGAATAAGTCCCTGGCCTGTTTTAAATCTTATTTCTTAAGTCCTCTGGTAGGAATTATATTATGTCTCTGACAATAGTAGCCTTTGTAATGAGAACTGAAACAAAACAGGCATTAAATATGTCTGTGTTAGTCAAGGGCTTCATGTGATTTTTTAAAAGGATCAAATTATATTCTGAAGACTCAGACCTAATTGAGAGAGGTATTTTATATTTAATGATCATGTATTGATAATGGTTAATGATGTATTTGCCCTATGGCAAAAGAATTAGCTATGGCATGCCTTTCCTGCTCTCAGAATCACTGTACAGAATCACTGTTTTTTCCCCTATTCATTGCCCATTTTTGAAATTCAACCCCAACTCTTGATATTTAAGCAAGTTCATGTTCATTTGTGAGCTGTTTGCACAGCAAAATGTAAACAAATCTTTAATGCACATTTGTCAAGAAAATGGCATTAAAAGTGATTGTGGAGCCCAAACTTTCTCTGCTGATTATGATTAAAGTAGAATCATGTTCTATTTAAGAGGTCCTGAGACTGATGATGGGGCTTGAGATACTGTAGAGCTGATAGTGGTGGTAGCTGCAAGAAATATGCAGAGCCTCACACCCAGTGAGTGGCCAAACTGTTAATGGATGGTGATTCCGACCATTATGATTCACTAATATGAATGGCCTTTGGGAAAAGTAGCTGTCTTGGACATTTGGATCATGTCTTTGTTTGGGCTGCTATAATAAATTACCACAGACTGGGTGGTAATAAACATCAGAAATTTATTTATCACAGTTCCAGAGGCTGGGAAGTTCAAGATCAAGGCACTGGCAGATTTATTGTCTGGTGAGGACCCACTTCCTGATTCATAGACAGCTGTCTTCTTGCTGTCACCTCAGGTGGCAGAAGGAAGGAAAGAGCACTCTGGGGCAACTTTTATAAGGGCACTCATCCCATTCATAAAGGCTCTGCCCTCATAACCTAATCCATGTCTACAGTCGCCACCTCCAAATACCATCACATTCAGGTTAGGCTTCAACATTTGAATTTCGGGGGGCATAAGTATTCAATCTATAGCAGCTTGGAATACTGGTGTGTTTTTGTTTCATTGGTTTTAAATTTGCTCATAGAATTTGGAAAGTTATTTCACTAGTAAAAAAAAAAGTCCATGGAAGCAAAAATTTCCTCTAGTCATGAAAAACTGTAACTTTTTACTCAATTCTCAGATCTCATATTTATAAAAGGAGAATCTCGCCATGCAAGGTGTCTTTGAATAGCCTGCTGGGTGGATTTGAGAACTGCAGTATATTATAGGGTGAAGAAAAGAGTAAAACACACAAAGAGAAAAATAGACACCGAGTCTATCTTTAAGGACTTATATCCTAGTTGGTTTTTAAATGTTGAAAAGTAATGAACATATATAGCTGAAACACAAATGCGTCTACAATGAATTACAACTCTGGAAAAGTATCATGATGTTATAATGTTTGGCGTGAAGTGGAAGGAATTTTGTAAGTAGAAGCTATGATGGTTTTGCTATCAAGGGATGGCAGGGGGATGACAAATCAAGGCCACAGCTACTACAGATATGATAAAGTAAGAGTCCATCTTTTGAGTCTTGTCCAAAGACCTGAGTTCAAGACTAAGTTCTCCCACATATTGGTTCTGGGATTGTGGGAGGTTTGTTTAAGCTCTGGGCCTGTTTTCTCACATATAAGATGAGGAAGTCCAATTATTTGTCCCCTGAGGTGTCTCCTAGTTCTAATATTCTTTAACTCTACAAACTGATGGGATTGCCTGAAGGCCTACAGTTTCAGCGGTTTGATGAATCTGAACAAGAGGTTGGCTTACAAGATTCTGTTGGTTGGTTCTGGTGGCCATGGTGCTAAGCAGCAATGTAGGTGAGGCAGGGAAAGGAAGGACTTTCTCTGTATTTCTCTGTCATTGGAGCTGATCTCCATCTCTACCTCAGTCTTTGCAAACCAATTAAGAATGTAGAGTTTCTGAAGCAAGGCTATAGCTATTCATGGGACTGCATTCCCCTTAGGTAAAAGAGAAGGAAACAAGGCTGGAGTATTCTGGCACCTTTTTGCCATAGAGTCAATGTAGTGTGGTAGGTAAAGCATTGACTAGCTTAATGAGTTAGATAAATTGCTTACCCTCTCTGAGCCACATTTTCCTCATTGGTAAAACTTGCCTAATAATAGCATCTATCTCATAGAGTAGGCTTAAGGATTTAAGAAAATAATCTGAAAAATGGTATTTATTGAATGATACTAAAGCCAGGCACTTTGTATGAGCTTTAAACTCTTGCTTAATCTTACTTATTTCTCCAAAAAAGTAATGAGTATGTTGAGTAGAGAGACTGAGGTATGCTAAAATAATTAGTTGAAAGACCATTAGACTGGGGCAGATCAAGTGCCCTGTGTTAAGTAAGCAACGTGAAACCCAAATCAATGTAAACTTTCATATTCTAGGTCAATTAGAAATCACCAATTACCCCTAACTAGCGACTTTCCACTATTTAGGCTTAACCAATCAGAAGGTGCCAACTAACCTCTGACTAGGGACTTTCCACTGGAATGATCCCAATAAGGCAACTGCTCCACTCTAACCAATCAAATATTTTCTTTGCCTTGCTTTAGTTTATAAAAGCCTTCCCCTCGTGCTCCTTCTTCAGTGGAGCTCAAAATGGCCCACAGTCTGGAGCTGCCTGATTCATGAATCGCTGTCTGCTCAAATAAACTCTCTAAAATTTTAATGTATCTTAGTTTATCTTTTAACAGGTGGTAGAGAGGGAGGAAAGAGAGGCACCAGAAACAATGTTTTTATAGAGTTGTAGCTTCTCCTAGATCTGGCCTCTGTCCCACATATTTGCCTCAGTTTTCTTATAATTCATTGGAAAATTGCTGTCAAATGTGTGACCCCCCTTTAAATTTCCAGAGGAAAATAAAGAAGCAAGAGAAAGTTAGTGGACATGGATTAGTGGCTAAATATGAATGTGGTTCTATCATTTTATGTTCCAATACATGCTTTTTTAACATTCTCTAATTCTTCTCCACATTTCAACTTGATAAAAATCATTTGCTGTCCTTATGTTCAGTTAGTGGATTTCTTCTGGGAGAAAAAGAGCTTTTAAAAAACCTACTGTAATGACCACAGCACAAGTGAATCCTCTCTGTAAATTCACTTGTATTTTTTCCTTGAATATTGTAAATGAAATGTAGGAATAAATTTAACATTCTCAAGAGAAGCAATGGTCTCCTATTCTATTACTTTCAGGCCCACTCTTATATTGTTAATTTGTTTTTGGTCTCCATAGAGGGCAGCCTAAGATAAATTGCATTTAAAGTGAAACAGGAGTGATTTGGAAGACATAGGGTAGAACTGGCTCAGATGAAGATTTTGAAACACTGTGGTGTATTATCTAGAATGACTGAGATTCCTTCCCTTGAGAACTTTGTAAGTAGACTGGCTTCCTCCTTGTTTATATTATTTCAGTGCAGTGATAGCTGAAAGAGGGTGTGTGTGTGTGTGTGTGTGTGTGTGTGTGTGTGTGTGTGTGTGTGTGTGTTGGGGGTGGGTGGGTATTCAAAAGCCCTTCCAGTCCAATTCTTCAGAGTTTAATACCAAAGGGAAAGGGACCTTCACAAAGAGCCTTTATCATTGGAGCCAACTTAATGACAAAGAGCAATTAAGCATTTCTATGGTGGGTAGTATTCTGTGTCTGTTAGCTATTATTAAAACTTATTGAGTTTTTGAAGGGATTTATCTCTTGTTGCCTCTCTTTGCCTTTGGCTCAATAGGGCAATGAAATCGGAATTGCATGCCTGCGACAACATGGGGGCGTTGCCACAGGATGAAAGATGTTACCAATTTAGCCTGACGACCACTTCAAAGTCAAGAGGAAGAACAGATGGGTTGGCATTGGAAAATTCTCCTACTTGCTTAAATAAAAATAACTCATAAAATACTAAAGATGGAAAATTGACTTAAAAATTAAGCAAATACAATTCAATTTTTTGTTTCTATTGGGTTTTTTAGACAATAAAGTTGTGTCTGATCTAGGATCAATCAAAAAGTATTTGCTGAGGGCCTAATATCTATGTTATGAACTATGTAATACAAAATTAATGAGTGTTAAAGATGTGGACTGCTTCTGAAGAGAGTATGTATGATTACCTGGACAAGCTACACTCACATGTGTGTATGTGTATATATGTTGTGTGTATACATGTAAAAATATGTGTATATCTATCTATATATCTATAAAATTGTATTAGCAGCAGATTTTGTACTGGAATTATATGTATATCACATGCAGATAAAACTAAATGTTAAATTGTGAGGTTCCATCATGAAAAGAACTATAATCTGTGCAATATGCCATGCAGATATTGTAAAATAAATTTTTAAAAGGAGATTAATATGAATAGAGGCATCAGGGATGACTTGATTGGGGCATTCGGTGCGTGGAGATTGATGGGTAGATGGGAGGAACAAGGCAATCAATCGAGTATGACAAAGAGCTTAAGCCAAGGTAGAGGCTAGAGTCAGGGAGGCAGTAAAAGGACTTGTTTAATAGAAGCTAATATTTCTTGATTTGAAATTGTAAGAGATAAAATAAACTAAGCACCTGGGCTGAGAGAGCCAGACAGAGTTGGAATTAATGTGGTTTCCATTATAGGGTCCTAAATTGGAGATGGCATAAGATTTAGAGGTTGGATGAATTTGGAATTGAAGATAAGATCCACCTTCATCACTGTATCATAAGGCTGGGGACTTGCTTAATGGAATTAATTTGGAATGATGGGAACCAAACAATTGTGTAAAAATGCCATAATAGAGACAAGTCCAGTTTTAAGGGTGGGAAGGGGTGTAATTTGACATAGAAATTGCCGCAAGCTTGGTGACATCATTCATTTAAAAAACATTTGTTAACACAACTTTGTGCTAGGTGCATCCAAAAGACAGGCCTCTCATTCTTCTGGAGTTTATAACCAGAATGACACCCAAATTTAATACTGTCCAAATTTAATACACACTACTGTTCTTGTGTAGAAGAAAAAGCAGCTTCTTTTTCTATAACTTATTGCGCATTGATGGTATTCCAGGCACCGTATTAAATACTTTACAAATATATCTGTAATCTTACAACAAACCTATAAGGAGATATTATTAACTTCTTCTTATAAATAATAGAATACAGGCTCAGAGTGATTAAGTGATGATTAAGGTTAAGTGGCCGAGCTGATGTGCAAACCCAAGCTATACAATCCCATTATTCTGTAGTATAGGCATGTAGTGCATTTACACGGAAAAAGGACCAAAAAGTGTTAATGATAGAGAAAGCGAGGTAAACAAGAAAGATGTAATTTGAGGGAGGCCTCTAAACACTTGTGGAACTCTCATCCCAGCTGAATTTAGGACCAGTCAGTACAGCTCATTTGTCACTGTGCCTGTCTACCTCATCAGCTCCCCATTAAGTCTTCTTGTGTTCATGCCGTGTGTATCCGTTTCCCAGGGTTGCCACAGCAAATAACCACAAACTTTATAGCTTACACGAATAGAAATTTATTCTCTCACAGTTCTGGAGGCCGGAAGTCCAAAATCAAGGTGTCAATGGGCTGCATTCCCTCTGAAGGCTCTGGGGGAAATCTTTCTTTGCCTCCTCCACTGGTGGCTCCAGGCATGGCTTGGTTTGTGGCTGCATAACTCCAGCCTCTGCCTTTGTCTTCACATGACCTTCTCCTCTTTCTCTCTGGGTGCCTCTACCCTGTGTGACTCCTATGCGGACGTTTATCATGGGATTTAGGGCCCACCTGGATAGTCCAGGATGCTGTCATCTCATGGTCTTCAACTTAATTATATCTGCAAAGACCTTTTTTTTCCAAATAAGGTCACATTCACAGGTTCTAGAAAGTGGACAAAGCCTTTCCCCACTTAACCATGTGTTTCATTTCAGGAAGCTCCTGCTTATGTTTTGGACAAATACAACCAAGACAATTCAGCTTATTACCAGTCTAGTTGTGGCCTCTTTACTTCTAGAGGCAGAAGACCTTCTCAGGGTTCAGCTCTGTTGTAGTTAAGGCTTCTGGTCAAGTATAGGCAGGTGAAAGGTGCACAGAAGCCCATGGGTTTTCCCCCTTTCTTAATTGGGGCTTTTGTAACATTACACAATTGATCAAGATCATACAATTTCCTCCTTCCTCCTTGGTAGGGAGAGATATACACAATTCTCTTTTGTGTTCTAGTTTGTACATAGGGCATTAGAATTTGTATTGTTATTGTTATTGTACCTAAGAGTAAAAAGTCTGTCTGGAACATAAATAATGGTTATGACTTGAAGATTATTTCTTTCTTAATTTGTCAGTGTTACTCCAATAAACCAAAGTGAAAAAGATCTTCACATAGCCCTGAGTTACCATATTCTGTTCTACTCATTCATACGTCAAGGCATAAATGATAAGGTATAGTATGTGTCTGGAATGAAGCCCTGTAATCTGACCTGCAGATCAAAAAAGTGCTAATAAGTGGCAATCAATCCATCAGCCAACAAATGGTTTTATTTTCACTCAGTATGGGTTTCACGCTTAAAGGGGAGATAGATAATTAAGACTTCATGTTTCAAAATATTAAATATTGATTTGTAGACATTTAGCAGCAGGCATAAAGCTCTCCTGAGGGATGACAACAACTGTCTAAAAGATTATAAAAGATTTTATTTCTCTTGGTAGAATTTAGCATTTATTTCTTATTTAAAAGATGTGAAATGAGAGTTAGTAAAATATTATATCAAGGAGAGAGCTCAGAGCTCTGCAAATGGATGTCATGTCTGTGGTGTGTGGCTAGCCAGAGTTAAAGTAAAACCATTTTGCTAGTTTCATATTGGCGTTTGGTTTATTGAAGTGTCAGAAGGTTTATAAGCTCTTCAACTCAAGTTTTGATTGTTTTATCCAACTACTGTCACTTCTTATCAGTATTAAAGGCAAAAATCAAAGAAAAGGCCCAAGGGAGGAGCACTTCCAAATGTTGCTTTTTGCTGTCACAGTTGTAGCACTGATACTCTCTTGACAGGCCCTTTTTCTTGACACCACAGAGTAATTAGGGGGATTTTTATAATAGGCTTCACCAATTAGTTAATACATTTTCTGATTAAACACTCCTTTATCTCAGCCTTAGAGAAACTGCCTAAATGAGTAAGAGCTGGAGATTGGACCTATAGTCAGGGCGAGAAGGGAGACAGCATTCGGAGTGCAAGTGTCACCAGGGCTTTGATCTACCCAAGACCTTGAGTCAGGAATACTTGTCAGTGCAGGCAATTGGGACATTAGGGCCCAGCACAATATTCAGACCTCACAGAGTAATTTTGCAATCAATAGACTCAGGTTATGTGTGGTTTTCTAGCACCTTGAGGAAATTTAGTGTCTTTCAAAAGGTTTATTCTACTAATAAGCTCTTTTGGTTGAGGGACTTTGCAAGGTAGAGAAAATGTCATCAAATTGAATGAATGTGGAGAGACTTACAAAACAGTGTAAAGGTTCTGGGAACACCCAAGATATAAGATTTACAAGACTTGCAGAACTTCCCCATGTTGCCATAGCATTCTCACAGAAGCAATTTGAGTTTCAAAGTTATTTGTACTATCTAATATGCTTCAATAAAAACAGCAACGCTCCCCCAAATCTTATGCCATTTGGTTGGTTGGATCAAGTTTTTATAGTTGATAAAAGTAAAATGCACACTTGTGGTCCCAGCTACTCAGGAGGCTGAGGCGAGAGGATGGCTTGGGCATGGGCATTTGTGGGTGCAGTGAGCCATGATTGTGCTACTGCACTTCAGCCTGGGTGTTGAGATCCAGGCTGTCAAGATGCTGGGATCCAGATCCAGCCTCAAAAAAAAAAGAGTAAAGAGTAAAATGCTGAAGTTCCAATTCTTTCGGCCACTTAAGGCTGGGGGTTTGTCTGGTGGATCTGAGGATGTGGTGGATGTTGGGTCTTCTCTTTTCCTGGGTTTACAAGTGGAATTTGGGTTGAAGTTTTTATAAAACCTCTTTTCCATTGAAGATAATCTAATGTTTGAGCATGCAGCTTTAAGGAGTTCCCTCTGTTTACTAAGATTTAGGTAGGTAACATATCCTATGGGCATAAACTATGCAGAGAAATGAGCAGGAGTTTAAAGCTTCCAAATTGTAGCCCAATCTCTCCAATGGAAGGTGTCCTTGGATCTCCATGCCCAGTGGTCTGCTTCCTACGGTTGTTGTTGTTTTTAAATCAATTGCTCCATAGGCTTTAGAATTGTTCGTTAAAGAGGTTGAGAAAGAAACAAATTTGGTTCAAGTTTTTGTGCTGAAAATTTGCACTCTCTAAATCTGAAGTGCCCAGAGCTAGGGCTCTGCAGCTCTTATCTCATGCTTTGATAGCTCCATTGCATACAATCTACGGCAAAGTGGAAAATATTTAATGAACAGCCTTGTTGTATATGAAATTGATTTCTTTAGCAAATATTTGTTTGAGAGTTCCATGTGTGAAACTGACAAGCAATGTCACAGTCCATTTTATTTTTTTTATTATACAGGTATATTCAATTTTCAAATAAAATATATTTGAATTTCTCATTTAAAAGTTTGAAGTTCTTATGATGCATTTCAGAGCTATCTTTTTCTATAATGAAATGCTTAGAATTAAAATGCATTCTCTTAAAGGCACATCCTTTTTTTTATTAGACATTTGAATGCACCACGCCATTTTATCAGCAGTAGTAAGTAGAGGATAGAATAGGGAAGTGACAGAAAATCCATCTGACAGAGAAAATAGGCTCTCTTCATATGTGTATGTGATTGCATGTGTGTGAGTAACATTACAGCAATCGTAATATGGGGATAGACATCTTTTGGCATCATAATGTTGAATCATAAAATAAGATACAATTTTTAAAATGTGGTCTGTTTTGATCACTTGATTATTTCATACTAGCAGCAAATAGAAAATAGACTAAGACAAGAGAATCTACTACAGTCAATTCTAAATTAAGTCCTAGGCTATATCTCTTTTACAAGTGAAAGGAAATTGGAAAGGCAAGTCATCTTTTTGGGAAAGAAAAATAGACAATATATTTAGAAATAAACACACTCATATTTTGTTTTAAACATATATTTTATAAAACAAAGAAGCAGCTGCGGTTTCCATAAGAGAATCATAGAGCGTACATTAAATGGAAAATTTAAAGCTGTAAAGTTGAAGTGGGAGTTCATACCAATTATCATTGCCTCTAATAATTTAGATAGTATTTCCTAGTATGCAAGAAAATCTCTAAAGTATATGATCATGTTCATATTTATATTTAACTTTGGAAAAACAGAAGAAAACAAACAAAAAATTGTCTTCTTTTTTTGAGACCTTCCAGGACATTTTTATTAGACATGCAAATTTCTTCTAATTATCAGGTGATCCAGGAAGTATTTGCCATTTCTAAAATAGAAAATGTTAGATTCCAAATATAATGCACCCCGAAGAGGGAAAAACCTGGCACACTTAATAATGTATACTTCATTTACAGTTCTGAGAATATGCATTTTTCTGACTATGACATTTCCCCCAGTCATGGTTCTGATGTATTTGGATCTCCAAGTACGTTGTAACTAGAACAACAACTGAAGGATATACTCAACAGAATTCATGGAGAGGAAATAGACATATTTCAGCATGAGAGAATATTTATGCATTATTTAACAGCAATAATGTTTGAATTCATACATTATGCAAATGCAGTTATAATCAGGAAAATGAAAGAACTTGGACTGCTGCAACATCCTTAAACCCACCATTAGGTACCTATTTGTGCATAACATTTGATACTGCACAACGCCTTATGATGCTACACCATGTCACTTGAGGAGAAAACTTATCAGAGATTAGCCAGATATCAAATGAAAAGGTGATGAACCTCTGATTACTACCTGATATTGACTTCTATAAATTTATCCTCAAACATGTGTTAAAGTGTGAATGATAATTAAAATGATATTGGAATAAAGTGCACTTTACTCAAATGTTGCCTATTTAGTCAGATATGAATGACTTCATCTTCTTTACCAAGAGAGGCCTACCTATGTGGAGGCACTGTTCTAAGAATTTTATAAGAATTACCTCTTTTATTCTCATAAAAATTACCTCCTAACAATGCTATGAGGTAGACATTATTATTTTTCCTACTTTACAGATGAGGAAACTGATCCACAGAGAGGAAGAATAGTTTGTCCAAGGTCACTAAAGTATTAAGAGGCAGAACTTTGGCTTTGAATCCAGGCGATCCAAATCTAAGCCACTATGACACATTGTTTACATTACTATGATAGTTATTTGTGTTCTGCTTTTTCTTTCCGACTGTAAACTAACAGCATTAAAAAAGATAATAGTTGAGCATTTCTTATATCCCAGGCACTGTGGCAGTCACAGTGGATGCAAAGATGAGTAGGCATAGCTCCTATTCTCCAGGGGCTCACAGTCCAGCAGGGAAGATAATCATGAACTTATGCTGCATCACAGGATGTGCAGAGAGGGCATTAGAGAAGCAAAAGGAAAGGTATCCCATCCATCTGGAAGAAAGGCCATAGGAAAGTGAGGAAAGCTAAAGGAAGAGTTACTATGATTAGAGCTTCATCCTATACCTTGTCCATTCCTTACGCTCTGGCTCCTGGATGGAGTACTGCGCATAATATGAACAAGTAAATCAATTTAGTATTTAATTTTGTTAAATTAAGTCACTCTTTCTTGACACCAGAGAACCCAGTGACTTCCATACTGTTTGTCCTCAGGTGCCATGGAGTCTAGGCAGAGTCTGGAGAAGATACAATCCCTGACTTTAGCAGTGATTCCTCATGACTTAGAGAACCTTATAAAATTCATGACTCTTGCCCTAGAAAAAAATATACCTAAGTGAAATTCTGTGAAGTATTATGGTTTTGTGAACTCTCTAAAATCCACTTAGGACCCCACATTAAGGACTCTGTGTCTGAAAGAAAGCAAGGTAGCTGAATAATGAGCCTACTAGAATACAATGACAACGAATGGGTGTACAGCAGCAGTTCTCAAACTTTTTAATCTCAGGACTTCTGTATACTTTTTAAAATTATTGAGAACTCTCCTGATTTTTTGTTTATGTGGATTATGTCAATCTATACTTATCATATTAGAAATTAGAACTGAGAAATCTAAACATATTTATTAATTCAAAAATTACAATAACGAACCCCATTACATGCTAACGTAAATGTTGTTATAAAACATAACCAGGCCAGGCACGGTGGCTCAAACCTGTAATCCCAGCACTTTGGGAGGCCAAGGCAGGCGGATCACCTGAGGTCAGGAGTTCGAGAGCAGCCTGGCCAACATGGTGAAACCCCACCTCTACTAAAAATACAAAAATTAGCCAGGCATGATGGCGGGCGCCTGTAATCCCAGCTGTTCAGGAGGCTGAGCAGGAGAATCTCTTGAACCCGGGAGGTGGAGGTTGCAGCGAGCTGAGATTGTGCCACTGCACTCCAGCCTGGGCGACAGAGTGAGACTTTGTCTCAAAAAAACACAAAACAAAACAAACAAAAAACACCACATTTTCAAAGACAAGAAAAATTAATGACTAATGTTATTATATTGCGTTGTTTGTTTGTAAATATCTTTTATGTCTGGCTCCATAGAAGAAAACTGGATTGTCAGGCCTGCTTCTGAGCTTTTAATCTGTTTGGATATGTTACTCCTGTTGAAGCATATGAAGAAAATCTGTTCTCCGCTATGTAGTGGAAAAAGGGGAGTACTTTAACAGTCTGTTAAGATCATCATCTGTGAATATTCCTCTTTGATACTTCACCAAAACTTAGCAAGTGGTTGTTTATTAAAAGTTACTTACAATGCCAAAGCTGAAATCACATTAAACAAACTTCTCATATTTTGTTAATTAAAATCCCTTGGTCTGCTTTTAATTTTGAGTAGCTGTTTTGCCCTTGCATGACTTTTGCAACATTTTTCAATGGTCATTTGAAAATATAAATTCAGGGAGTTACGCAGATCTTCCAAATATTAACATATTTTGTTATGTAATATAAAAAATGCACTTATTGATATCATCATCAATCTTATTAAACAATTTTCAAGTATTGGGAAGCAGCAAGCTTATCATTTAGATACAAGTTTCCAAAATTTCAATTTTCTTTCAAAACTTTTAGTTTTATCAATGGCAGCAAACATTGTCAGTTGCTTTTCTTGATGTGCTAGGCTTATTTTATTTCTTTTTGGGAAAATGTCCCCCAAATACACAAGATTGAGTAATCATAGCTTGTCGGTTATTCTTTCAAGTAAAAATAATGTTCCACAAAGTGTCTTGTTGAGCTTGCAACCCAAACAATCACACAAATGCTTTCCCTCGACACAAAGCTTGTATCTCTATATGCAGCAAAAGTGCTGCATGTCTTCTTCCTATTTTGTCATCTAAATTATTAAATACTGAGCGCTCAAGACCAGCCTGGGCAACATAGTGAGACCCCATCTCTCAAAAACAGAAAAGAAAATTTAGCCTGACGTGGTGGCACATGCCTATAGTTCTAGCTACTCAGGAGTCTAAAGCAAGAGGATCCCTTAAGTCCAAGAGTTCTAGGCTGCAGTAAGCTATGATCACATCATTGCAGTCCAGCATACGTGGCATAGTGAGATCCTGTCTCTAATAAAAAATTAATAATAATATTATTCAATATTGTACTCAAGGATTCAGTTTTAATAAAATTAATAATCTTTACTCTTTTATTAAGATATTTCTAAGTGAAACAGGATTTTGCAAAAACTGTGTGAGGCAACTGAAAAGCACAATAACTATCTAATACAGTGGATGCCATTGCCTTGATTTTGCTAAGGCACCGGAAGTCTTACCCACCACTGCTTTTGCACAATCCATGCAACAGTCAACAAAATGAAAAAGGTAAATGTCTTAGTATTATTATGAAAAAATGTTTGACCCTGCAGATCCCCTGAAACCATTATGGGTTCTTAGGAACCCTGAAGATTCTGCATTTCACACTTTGAGAACCACCGGTGTAGATGATACAAGGAGAAGAACCTGTGAGGGGAGGTTGAAAGGTTTGGGAAACAGACTTTGTAGAGAGAGAAGCTGGCTAATCAAAGCCTTAGTATGTGCCTTAAGTAGTTTCAGTGAAGGGAAAGGCTGCAGACATCTTGGATGCCCAATACACCAATTTTAACGTTGGATTTCCCTAGGATAAGGATGTGCGTTTCCTTCAGGAGTCATTTTTCTAACTGCAATTTTTGAACTTAGTATTTTGAGCACAGTGATATCTATTTCTCTGGGCAGAATTTAAAGAAAGAGTGAATAGGAAATGGTAGGAGGGAATTACAGTCATCCAGCTGAAAATAGAGATTTAAAAAGAATCTCGCAAAACAAAGCCTTCTTAAAGAGCGAGCTTATATTATGAACACAGAAGCTTCAGAGAATCCAGGTTCAGAGTGGAGTGTTGACAGAGGCAGGACTAGAGAAGCAGAAGAAGGCTGTTCTGCAGTAATTAAAACTAAACTGAAGAAGCTGAAAGATGCTTGTAATTCTGTGTTTTCATAGCAGTGGGTTCAAGCTGCCATGGAAGAGGCTCTATTCGCATTTACATTACAAATCTCATTTCTTCAGAGGTCATAGCTCAAGCTGAAAATTCACTTCTAGTGAAAACTCCATCCCGTTTTGTTGGCCAGTGTCACAAATGGAATGCTGCTTAGGTTTATTTTAGTTGTCTAAATATTGTAGGGTTGCCTGGTAATAAATCAGCTTTATGCAGTATTTTTCTACTATTTATCTGTAATCATCTTGAAACACTAGGGTTTCTTGCATTTAGGTAGAATCCTGTATTATATACAGATCACTGATAAAAAGATATTTTCATGTTGTGAAACAGGTTAACAAGAAAGAATATTACTCGCCATTCATCTTTCTGCCTCCAGCAAAGCATATCTTCCAGAGAGATAGCCGTTGATGTCTTTTTTAAATGCAGTGGTAATTTCCCCCCCAAGATTATTGCCATATGGATGGAAACTTGTGGTAGAAAGTTATCCTAAGCTTCAAATTTCATTCATACTTTGCGATTTTCCTGGCATCACCATTTCTTTAAGCATAGTTAAATTATATTGTGTAGAATCTTTCATATGGTCCAATATGCAGTTATTTCTGGGACAAAGTTAGCATTTGGTAGTATTTCCTGCCAAGGAATTTTGCAAAGGAAATTGCTATGCTGTGGTATTGCATGAAGGATGTAATTTGCTGGGGTACTGAATACCTACCACAATGAATAAAAATACGTACTCACAGCAGAAAAAAAATCCTGGACTAGAAAAACCTGCCTTGTTCTTCTTCCCTCTGTGAGTCACAGTCAGGCTGGAAAGAGGACAAGTACACAGCTCTGGAGAGAAAAGTAAACGAGATCAGGTGCTCATGTCATGATTACACTCAGGTGGAAGAAAATACTTTTCGAGTCTGGAATGTTCTAGACACCCACATGTGGCTTTGTAATTAATATGGTGATTGAACACATTTATAAAATTCTGGGCAAGGAACAGAAGATAGATTAATGGAAAAACTTTCCATTAGTGTAGTCTGCTAAGAAAACCCCAGAGATTTCTCAAAGTTCTTTTTGGAATATCTCATTTGGAGGCTTACATAAGAAGAATCATAGAAAGAAAACATCGTAGTGATAAGGGGTCTTGGAAATGGTTCATTTCTAACCCTTCATTTCCTAGGCAAAGTGTATTTTCAGCATTTTAGAATCGTATCAAATGAGAGTGAACCTCTAGGTGAAAAATGGGCCAGGGAACTTGAATTTCTTTTGAGCCCTAAGTTTTCATGTTTTAATAAAAATAGATATAAAAGTACTTTCGTTGAAATAAAAGCCCTCCATAAATTCTAGAGATTTTAGTTATCTTAGCTGTTGGTTAGATGCCATAGAGTGAGACAGTAACAATAAAACCAGATCTACACTGGCTGAAAAAAGGTTGTCTTTGTCTATGGAGCCTTCCAAGGGAGGTAAAAGCAGCTTTGGCCTGCTGACTGGTCAACGGGGAGCACTTGAAAAGAGCTTAGAATTTCCAAATCGACACAAAAGCAGTATAGGTGTCACTTCAATCTCATATAACCTTAAAAAAAAACCCTTGTTCTCTTTTTGATTCTGAATGAATATGGCCTAAAAAGAGGCCATGGGAAAGCAGGATGATATTTGCATACTCACCATGAAGACTGTACTTGTAATATATTCTTAATATTGAAGTCTTTGTTTTTAGAAAGGTGAAATACACCTCTCCCTCCCCTAATACATTCCAAGCTGAAACATGGTACCAAGAGCTTCATCCTGCACAGTTTCATTATTAACAGTGCTATCATTAATGCAAATGTTGACACATTATCTGCACAACCATTTTCTAGTAAGGAAATCCACAAATAATATTTGACATCTTGTTTACATAGCAGCTACAGTGTGTATTTTTCACTCTTCTTTATATCTTTACTGCATATTGGAGCTCCACATCATTTTGGCCTAGTTCAAAATCTTTTAATATGCAAACCTGAATCAACATCAAAGGAAAAATCAGCTTCAAAATGATTTTCCACACTAATAGTCTTTTGCATCTACACCAAATATTATCACATTGATTACTATACATTTTTAAGATTCCATGGTTTCATAACGCTTTTTCTGACCATTAATATGATGTATGGACTTTCACAATATGTTTCTTGGGCATAATTTTTAAATAAGTTTTCATTTTCTTTTTTAAAATATAAACTTAATTAAATGTACATTTTTTCATCATAATCTAGGCTTTTCTAAGATCAGGGTGTTAATGATACTTCAATTATTTTAAACCATTGTTTGCAATACAATTAAGCAGACATCGTGAATCTTTAACATTAAGATTTCCTCTATATGAAGAAATTATATAACCATTGCAAAAGTGCTATCAATTCTGCAGGATTTTAATCAGAAACAATCTTTTAAGAGCCATACTTCACCATAGGATGCAAACATCTTGTCTCCTAAGAAAAGCATTGTAGAGAGGGTTTGCTAATTGATTTTTCCTTAAGAACAATCTGTTTCTTTTCCAGTTTATTATAGGAAACACTGGCATTTGTCATTTTTCCAATATTTGGAGCTTGCTGCCTTAATAAATGCACATATCAGATGATGCTCTCTCCCTGTCTGATGGGCGGATGGTGTTGGGCAGAGGAAGGTCACAATGATGCTAAATTTGCTGCTGAGCAAAGGATCAAAGTGTAAATGGAATCCAGAAAGCTGGGAAATGTAAGTGTGCCAGTGTAAATAATCTATTAATTATTGACAGCTAAGAGACTGAAAATTCCTATTTAGTCATGACATCTTTATTTTCATACTGATGGAATCATTTCTGGCATTTTTAAAATTAAAGGTTTTTTTTTTACTGTAGATATAAAATATTTCAATTTATAGTACATCTCTGCTGGTGTTTTCTTCTTCTTTTGACATTTTTGTCTGATTTCCACATATTAAAACAATATCAGATATGACAAAAGGCAAGAAGAGCTCCAAGTATGAAAAATAGAACAATGGTGTTAGGGTTGCCTATACATTAAAAAAAAAATCTGTTCCAACACAGAGGGAAAACAAACCTCCAGGTACAAAGTAAGTGATGTTTGAGAAGCTTCAGGCATGTTAGCTATTTATAGAAAGCAAGTGACATTGAAGGTGCTGACACTTATGAGACCATTTAGCAGATGTTACAGGAGTATAAGCCGTTTTTCAAACATTTTCAAATATATCGAAGAAAAGTACAAAGCAAACATGAAATACATTAGGGTCCTTGCTGTAAGTTTTTGAAATTATTATTATAAAGTGGACAATGATATAAAACCTTAATATGTTCAGTTTTTATGTCTATAACCTTATCAAAGTTAATTTTAATATTATTTTCAGAATTAGCTATTTGTTTAACTGAAGTAACTGACACTCCGCTCATCACAGTTTAACTGGATAGAGTATAAATTTAGCCTAAAAAAAAAGGTTGGTACCATGCCAGACATTTGGGAACTTCTGAGGCACAGTGGGTTGGTGCCCCCGACACGTGGGGGAGCAGCTTTTATTAACAGCACACTTCCATTGGCGAGGTAACGTGCAGACCTTTGATAACTATAAAGGCCCTCTCTTCTGGGTTTCTTAACAAACTAAAAGGTTGAATCAGGTTCCCTGAAGTTTGTGAACCCCTTTTTGTACATTTGAGTCAAGTTTGAAGCCCAAATGGGCCAATTTATGTTTTCAGGTTAGTTTTGCTTTGAGTTGAGGAAATATGTTTCAACCTTCCATTCAACAACCAAACTCAAGGGGTGTGAACAACGGTGAACTGTTCACACAAGCCTCTGCACACCTCCACTGCTGTGTTTCCTACTGCTGGACTGCTGGTCCGAACTGGCCTCAAAGGACTTGACACCAGAAGGAGGTCTTTCATGTTTCTCTAGCTTTGATTTCACACTCTCGGCTACTGATCATTTATGATAAACTGGAGCCTTTTGAGGTGAGCAAGGCAATGTCATGGTTACTGCCTAGATTTGAAATGACACTATATTGATGCATTTTACAACTGGAACATATATTAAAAATATATATATAGATAGAATATGTATAAGATATATTCTTTTAAAAAGAAATGTTTTAGATAATATGTCCGAGATAGAGAGTGAAAGAAAAAGAATAGGAAGAGTTCCTATGGAATACATTTCAGTGTAAGGAGTTTTATATAGTTTGTTTAAAAGAAGGCAGGAAGGGTAAGTAAAAAGAAAATGCTATCAGAGTTTATGCAAATTGAAAACCATTATTCCTAATAGAATCACATAGTAAGAATGAGTCTCTGTATCTTGTCTTTAGTTTGGATTTTTTTGTCCTTGGGGAGATGCTGTGTGTTGTGTGTCTTACAACAAAAGCATCTGAATTGGAAAAATATGTATCCATCCTTACTGCTGGTAACAAGGGAGACAGCCCAGCCACAGCCCTCCTGGTGAAATGCTCATTCTGTCCAGCAGAGGGCACTAGCAACTAGTGCACACCAGTCAACACATCATGGTCTTTCCCGTATGATAAATAACCATATTTTCTTTTTTAAAAATTTAACTTAATTTAATTTAAAGTTCCAGGATTCATGTACAGGACGTGCAGGTTTGTTACACAGGTAAACGTGTGCCATGGTGGCGAATAACCATGTTTTCATTACATCATAAGCCACAGTAGTAAGAAACACCTTTTTTTTTTTTTTTTTGATACAGAGTCTTGCTTTCTGGAGTGCAATGGCGCGATCTCGGCTCACTGCAACCTCCGCCTCCCGGGTTCAAGCGATTCTCCTGCCTCAGACTCCCGAGTAGCTGGGATTACAGGCGCCCGCCACTACGCCTGGCTAATAGTTGTACTTTTAGTAGAGACGGGGTTTCACCATGTTGGTCAGGCTGGTCTCGAACTCCTGACCTCAGGTGATCCGCCCGCCTCAGCCTCCCAAATTGCTGGGATTATAGGTGTGAGCCACCGTGCCCGGCTGAGAAACACTGCTTCTTATTTTTGTTGTTATCACAACATAATCTCTTTACTCCAGTGAACATTTCAGATTCCTCTAGCTTCAATGAAAATATCAATATCCAATTCAAAGCACTCTCTCAATGTCCAGGACGGGTCTTTTAAAACAAATCCACACAGCCCTTTCCATACTTCTGAATAAAATGAACTTTCCTGACTTTCCTCACATGCACACTTCTGCTCATTTCAGCAGGATTCCAAAGCAGAGAGACAGCATCCGGAATGCCTGAGATCTTCGGGTGAACGGAAGAGGTGCTTCAGAATGTTTAAGACCCTTGGCTCTGCTACTGCCGTACGAACTTCTTACGGAGGAGACCTGATCAAAGTCAAACAAACCTTGATTTTACAGGAACACTGCAACGTTTTTAAGTAGCCATATCTTTACATATTTAAATATTATTTAAGTAACCATCATAAACATATTCAAATAATTAGATTTATTTGAAAGTCTGCTGTATGTTGATCAGTATAATTCCTTGGAGAGTGACAAATATTTCAAATATATTGCCACAATATCATTGTAAAAGTTTAACTAAAGGAATTTGGCCCTTTTTATTACCCTGAACAAGAATGTGCAAAACAAAGATGCAATGGACTGTATATATCTTAACTGTTGCTGAGTAAACTTACCAATAAAAGCCAATAGCAATATCTCCAGATCATTGACAAGAAAGAGTTCCTTGCAATATCTTTATATATTAGCCTTATTGAATGATGGTTACATAAATATAAATTGTAAGAATGTTTTTATTGAAAGGAAAACTTACAGGGCATTTAAATTATATTTATATAATTTATATACATTTATATTTATAAATTTAAATTTATACAATTTATATACAAATTTTTAACTTTGGATGTTTGTGATTTTTCTGTCTCTTTTTCTTGGGGGGGAGTGGGGACCTAAACCCTATGGAGATGTATAATGATTTAAAAAAATAAAAACATGAATGTAAACTGTGTATCACTGAAATGACGTATTTTACTACAGAACTATACCTTCTATGGCTTCCACTAAAAATATAGGATACATTGGTCTATCGGTCAGAGTTTTGAATTTTTTTTTTCAATCATTGGTTTATAAATAGCATCCATCTTGCTTTCCATCACAATCATGCCTGAGTGAGTGTAGAAAAAGTTGCATTCAGGAATATGGTAAAATGTTACAGGAAGATTTATGCCATTTTGAATGGATTGTTTCAGGTTGCCTGAATTTTTAATACCCCTTTCTTGTCACAGAGAAGAGAACTTTGTTATTTTTGGCTTTCATTAGAGTTCTCACTTCAGAGTTGGTTAGTATGGGTTTCTGCTTTCCAAGCTGACATCTCTTTTCTATTTAGCATCTGTTACATAAACAGGGTGAATAGCTACACGGTTCCAAAATTGTGAGTGAAGCAGCTAACCCCCTTCTTCCTCACTAGCCAACATAACTGACAGCACTTAGCTCTCTCCATCCCTGCTGTCTTAGCTCTGAAGGGACTCCGTAGCACTGCCTGCCTGACTCCGCGCCACTGACGGCAGGCAGTGTTGTTGGGAAGAGAGCAAAGGCAGGGAGTCTGGTGGTGTGACGATGAAGATAATAAAGGAAATTATTAATGCGTCTACAGTATTTTTTGCATATTTATCTTACTGATCCTCACACCATCCCTCTGAGAAACATGTTATTATTATTACCTCACATTTTTAGTATTCTGTGTACATATTTTTAAGTTCTATGTACATATTTGTAAAAAAAATTTAAGTAAAGCAGGAGAGAAGAAATACTCTAGATAGGAGAATTTTTTTTTCCACTCTTTTGCAGACAGTGTTAAGGCAGGGGTTGGGCAAATCAAAATGCCTTAAACACAGAGGAAAATATTTATCTTACGCAACAAGAAGCTTAACATAGGCAGTCCAGGGCACAATGATGTCCTCAGTACTAAGCACTAGCTGTCATATTTCTGCTCTGCTGTCCTCATAGGGCACTGATTCATCCTCAGCTTGGGTGTTCATAGTCATAAGTTGGCTGCTGCTCTTCGGGGGTCGCAGTCACGTTGTCACATAACACAGGTTCTAGCACAGGCTCTTGAAGATAGCAAAGACCAAAGAAGTCTTGTGTGTCAAATTGAACTGCACCACCTCTGAGTTCCAGGGTTGGTTTAATTCTCTGGCTCCACATAGAAGCAAGATGGCTCTAGTCTTTCCTGCCACTCAGATGCAAGCACATCATAAAACAAATGAACAAACAAATCAAAAATTCCATGAGGCTCAGAGACTTTAAATAATTTGTTCCTGGATTTTGAGGCATGTATGGAATATGGTGCCCCTTGTTCTGTCTCCAAGTACGGTGCTCTGCCGTGAAAGGTGTTTGGGTTAAGAGAAGGCAGCTCTCTCAGGTATCTGCCGATTTGCACAGGCTTCTTTGTACACAATAGGCACTCAGCATCCACTGATTTGATTTTAGGCTTAAAAATGAAATTAAAATGGAGCTACCTTGGGCTGTTTGGCTTTGTTCTCTCTCTGGCATTTTCCTGTGTTAAGTTTAATTGCATTTGAACCAGACTCCACTGTTCTGGTTCAGGACAATGTCCAGAACCCAGACAGCTTTTTCTGATCTGTTTAACTCTCTGCTAACATCCACACAGATGGAGAAAATCAGAATCAGTGGACTCATTCTATTGTTTCAGGATCCTGGACCCCCTCTGTAATCAGCCAATTCATCTACCCTTTTTGAGCACCTCCACAGTACTACTCCATTCTAGCTGCTTCAAAGTATACAAGATGTAGTGCTTTTTGTCCATGTACTTACAGTGTATTTGGAGAAACATGTCAAGTACATGTGAACAATTTGCTAACTAACAATTTTAAGGTGCATTATATGCATCAGATAAATAAGCTCTATGGGAAGTCCAGTGCACAAATAGACATAAGATGTGGGCTGGCCCTTGGCAGATGAACCGGTCACAAGAAGCTCTACTCAAATTTTATGAACATGGGGTTTCTCAGATACCTGCCTGCTGCACCACCTGGTGAGAATGGAATTGAGGCAAACCTAGGGCCTGGAAAATTAGGGCAATTGCTTAGGGCTATGAACTCTATGCAGTGGGAGAGCGATTCAGAGAGTCAGTCTTGAGGGGCAAAGGAGGATTTCTATTTAGGTAGATTTAACTAAGACATAAAGTTTGAGGGATATTTTCAAACAAAGAATCAACCAGTATATGTACTCATTATGCCCAACACAGAGCCCCCCTCAGGCAACACAGCCCTCTTTGTGACTTAATTAATAAACCTGATTTTACTTGCCTATAAATCTTACCAGGAGTAGGGGGTCATTGGACTTGACAGCAAGAATTTTCTGTTTTGTTACTGTTTCTGCACAGCCTCTGAAGCTTGGATTAGAAAGAGAGGTGCCGATTTGGAAGTCAACAACACAGAGGTGGCTATTAACACCAGAAGAGTAGATGAGCCATGAAGGCAAGAAATTCCATACAGAGGGGAAGGCTAGAGATAGAACCTAGAGGATCGCCAACCACAGTTCCTCTTAACCACAGACATGACTGTGGTCTTTGATGCTTCATTTGTAGAGTAAGGACAATGATAGTATCTACCCCATAGAGCTATTTGAAGGTTTAGTGAGTTAATAAATGCAAAGCACTGGACAATTGCTTCATAGATAGACAACACTCAATACTGTTATCAAGATGAATCAAATTCTCACTCCCCCTCTCCCATTCTCCTCTCTCTGCACTTTTCTCCTGTGCCCATGAAACTGCCCTCCTGCCTGTAAACCTTCGCCGGATGTTTAGAACCCTCTGCCAAACATTTCTTGAGTGATGGGTGGACCTCCAGGCCTTTTTCTTTACTTTCCACAATCAAAATTTAACTGTTTCATTTTAAATTCCACCAACTCTACCATGGGTGTTAGCATTTTAACCAGACAATGCCTTCATGTGAAAGAATGTCTGTATTGCTGAGATTTTGGTCTCTAACAGTGATTTCTAGATACAGGGCTCTCTTTGTACACCCTCCTCAAAACACACTTGTAAGCAACCTCCTACTCGTGAGACCTCGAAAGTGGGAAAGGAGACAGCAGTAAGGACGATACAGAAATAGGCACAGAGAAACCAGCAGGTACCAAGGATGTCATCAAGCAATTTCCACAGAAAGCAAGCATGGATTAAAAGAGAGAAGCCAACAAATTTGTGGTCATTTGAAGCCTAAAGACACATTTTAAAACATTTCTTAATTTCTTTAAGTTTCTATCTTTTTTCCTCCTATGGAAGAAATCTACCCAATATAACATAAACCACTAATACTGTTCTCTAGGCAGAACATAGTTCCGTGAGCCAATGCAGGCTGGTTTCAGGGAAACTAACAACATTATTGATTTTAGTCAGGCTTATTAGAATCAGTGTTACATGCCCTTTTCCTCTACCAGATTGTATTTGGACTTCATTATGAAATCTCATTACATTAAGAGGAGGCTGCGATGAGTTCTGTAAATAAAAAATTTCCAAAGATGGATTTGTTAAAATTAGTATATCTGTGAAATCTGCTTTGGGTATCAATCTGTCAAGAAAGGGAATCATATATTTTCTGATTAGACCTTGCTTTTTAAAAAATATTGGGAATATTCACCAATTCTAGCAGCATACAGGAAAGCTTCCCTTGTTTTCCTGTTAGGAACTCCTGTGCAACATATTGTCACAGAACCTGGGTGAGACATCGCATCACATAATGATTACAGACAGCTTGAAGGGATGAACATGGCTTTTTCCTCTCCATGCAGCTCAGTAACACAATAGGCTCGTGAATCCCAAACTGAGAGCTATGAAAATGGAGTCAAGTCTGTAGCTGGCAATGCCTGGGATTTTTAGTGCAGGAATACGGAGGACTAAAAGAGATTCGAAACACCCAACCCTTCCATTTCTGCTTCAATATGTGGCGTATCATTTGGATTAGGCAACTTAAGTGAATTGATAAAATTGATGAAAATGAACTGATAGAGGAAATTACTTTTCCAAAACAAACAATTGCAATATGTACTTTTCTCTTAGACACTCACTCCTGTGTCTGTTTATTCAGTATCTGCACGCACAACCTTGTAAATACTGAAGAAAATGATGAAAACTGTTTAGTCAGACAGCTTAGTGCTTTCTCGTCCAAAATTATAACCACAAACTCAACACCAAACCAAGTAGTGTGGTTTCACTGAGAACTGAGAGAGCAGTTGTGGGATTTTCATTTAAGAGGCAGGGAATGATAAGGCATTAGAGTGAACAAGTGCTGTCGCAAACCTCTTCCCTGCATCTCTCTATCTGCTGCCCTGGTAGAACCCTGTATCCCCTTGATCCCAGAATGCTTCCCTCCCTCCCTCCCACCCAGGTGACATTTAAGACCTCTCTTGTTAGCCCAGTGCTGTGGCTTATGCCTGTAATCCCAGCACTTTGGGAGGCCGAGGCAGGTAGATCACCTCAGGTCAAGAGTTCGAGACCAGCCTGACCAACATGGCGAAACCCTGTCTCTATTAAAAATACAAAAAATTGGCTGGGTGTGGTGGTTCACACCTGTAATCCCAGAACTTTGGGAGGCTGAGACGGGTGGATTACCTGAGGTCAGGAGTTCAAGACCAGCCTGACTTACAAGGTGAAACCCCATCTCTACTTAAAAAAAAAAATAGCAAGAATTAACTGGGTATGGCAGTGGACGCCTGTAATCCCAGCTGCTCAGGAGGCTGAGGCAGGAGAATTGCTTTAACCCAGGAGGCAGAGGTTGCAGTGAGCCAAGATCGTGCCACTGCACTCCAGTGGGGGCAACAAAAGCAAAGCTCCATCTCAAAAAAAAAAAAAAAAAAAAAAGATCCAGGTGTGGTGGCAGGCGCCTGTAATCTCAGCTACTTGGGATGCTGAGGCAGGAGAATTGCTTGAACCCTGCAGAAGTTGCAGTAAGCTAATCACACCACTGCACTCCAGCCTGGGCAACAGAGTGAGGCTCTGTCTCAAACAAAAACAAAAACAAAACCAAACACAAACAAACAAAAAAACCTCTCTTGTTCAGGGCATTGTTACAATTTATTGGATTCATTCTGATAAGGGAGAAAGACCTAAGCATGGAGATACAGAGTAGAATATTACAGTGTGGGAGAGTCACACAGACAGGTTGGGAGAACTCTCAGGACTCAGATCTCCTGGTGCAGGGTAGGAGTTGCAGTGACAGGTTGATTTCTCCCATCTCTTCCGACATGGGTTTCCCCATGTGCCACTCCCTGTAGATTAGTAGTGGGGTCACGAATATACTCAAACCACACTAGCATGCTGGGACAATGTGTGTCTTTGTGTTCTGTAATTGATCTGAGTCTCCTTTATGAGCCCCCTCTCTCCTGAATACTTCAAGTTGCCAGTTAGCAAGATATCAGTCACCTCTGCTTTAACCAGTCTCACTTCAGCCTCTGGTTCATCCATCTGGCCTCTTCCCAGGGCTGCCTCTGTGCTACTGATCCTGCACCATGGGGAATTGGCTTGGTTCCAAAGGCTGAGGATGTCCTAGGGACCTGGAGTCTCAAATAGCATGCTGGCACTTGTCCCAGCATTCCTGAGTTCCCCGATGACTGTAAGTTTTAAGTTATCATCCCCTCTTGGGATATGACTCCATGACAGGAAGGGGGCAGAGAAGGAGAGTTGTCTGCATATCTAGATGCACTTGCACTCTCTACCTTTGCTTCTTTTCTTCCTGCTATGCCTCACTGCTGGAAATATTGGGCTTTTATTTTACTCATTCGTCCTATTTGATAGGGACTTTTCCTATATCCTGCATTCTCCTTGTAGACCCCAGCATCATAACCTCATTCCCAGTGATATTTTTTGGATATTTGTCCCCTTTATATCTCACGTTGAATTATAATCCTCAGTGCTGGAGGTGAGGCCTTGTGGGAGATGTTTGGATCATGGGAGCAGGTCCCTCATGGCTTGGTGGTGTCTTTGTGATCCAGAACTCTGGATCTTGAAGATAGTGAGTTCTGACAATCTGGTCATTTGAAAGTGTGTGGCATCTCCCCCTGCACTCTCTCTCTCACTTGTTCCTCCTTTTGCCATGTAAAGTACCTGCTATTGCTTCACCTTCCATTTTGATTGCAAGCTCCCTGAGGCTTTGCCAGAAGCTGAACTAATGCCAGCACTGTTTCCTTTCAAGCCTGCAGAACTGTGAGCCAATTAAATCTCTTTTCTTTATAAATTACCCAGTCTCAGGTATTTCTTTATAACAATGTAAGAACAGCCTAATACATCCGAACATCATTAAGATTTAAAGAGAGAAACCAATTCACCAGTAGAAGATTATAATTCAGCAGGTATTTCAAGGACATTAAACTCATTGTCCATTATGATTTTCGTAGGGGTGAAACTTGAATGGAATTATAAAATATAGGGGCTTTGTCTTTCCCATACAAGCCTTCTTCAGGATACAGTTGGCCCCCTGTATCTTCAGGTTCTGAACCAAAATTGGTGAATAATAAGAGCCAACTAAAGAACTTGAGCATCTGCAGATTTCAGTGTCTTCATGGGTCCTGGAACCAATTCTCCATGAATACCAAAGGACCGTGGTATTCATTTTCCAAGACAGAATGGAGATGTCTATTGCCCTAGATTTCATATTGTTCAGCCAGATATCTTGACATCATTAGAATGTCTTAAAATTCTTTAAGCCAGATGGACATTTACTTTCGTTTAAGTCATCACAGTATACTTGAAAAAGTGTGCATGAAATGGTAACATGAACTATAAAGGGTTATCAGTTCGATTGTCATCAGCGCGCATTTATATTTATAAAATTCTCTTGCAGTGGTTCATTATAGCCCTGAAAAGCAAGGAAGTTCCTCATTACTAGTTTATAGAGTTATATGCACAGAGGCATGAGGTTATGAAATTAGTTATCTAAGCTTCTACAAAGGGGAGAAATCTCCTTCTACTTAACACTAGTCAAACATTCTCTGGAGAATATGATATGATTCTGGATACAAGATATCATAAATTACTGCACATTCTTGGAGGGCAACTGGGATTCAATCACTCAACATATATTTCTTCAAAAACCATTTATTGCACTCTAAGCGCTTGCCCATTTTTTAGGTGCTGGGGATGCAATAGTGTTGTGTTAAGTAAGGTAAATAAAGTCTCTGCTTTGAGGGAGCTTGCATTCTGGCAAGCAAACTAAGAAAGAGGAATATAGGCAAGTATGAAGAATCTCTAAAGACCTTCAAGAGTAGACCTATCAGAAGAAGAGAAACCTTGGGGAAGGGAAGCTATTTGATGATTGCAAATAGTAGAAGATCTGAACTTTAGAAGAGGAAGGAACTTACGTTTCTATTGGATGTTGCTCTGTAAGACAGAACTAGGACCAATGGGGAAGGTTAGGGAGGCAGACTTTGCTCAGTATAGAAGAGGACTTAGTAACAATTAGAGTTCTACTACATCTGAAAGTTACAAGCTCTTGAGAAAGTGTTCCAGATAAGGCTGGGTCGCCATCTGTCAGAGGCAGTTGCAGGAGGCTGCCTGCTTTTGGAGAAGAGTTTGAAGATGGTCTGTGTGGAACCATTCAAATCTATATCCTTATGATTCTGCTCAGGTAATTAACTTCGAATGTATCACGCTGAGCTCATGACATTTTGAAAAACAAAATATTTTGAAACTAAGACACACATCTAAGCACACAAAGTAATCACAGGTATTTTGGACAGCAGGCTAACGCAAAGACATCACATGGGGACTATTATAAAATCTGGGGCCTACAGGGTTCCAGGGGGCTTACAAGAACGGATGAGAAGTAGAATTAGAGCCCGTGGGGAATGGAGCAGGAGAGAGGAAATGGTGTCAAAGGGTTGACAGGTCAGGGCCAGGGACATGGGTTCTGTCATTAAACGGTTGAAGCAGGTCACTTTAATTCCCTAGTCCTCAGTTTTCTTATGCGTAAGAGAACATTTTGCATCGATGGCTTCAACTAGATCTGATTTTCTGAGATGAGAAGAGAAGTATACATCCCTTTTCCTTGCCACAAAAGTCTTTTGACTGGCAAAGCCGATAGTGAGTTCAGTAGGGAAGTGTCCTATACTATTGCTTTCACACAAGTTTACTCACATATTCATTTACTCTCATCCACAGCTCGGTGTTCAGAACTTTGGGCAGTATTGATAAACTTCACCTTTCATGTATATTTGCTAATAAGGTATTGCAGTTAGTTATTTGATTCTAAAGTCTACTCACTTAGATGTTACCTTACAATAATGGTTAAGATTAAGATATGGTCAACAAGAACAGGAAAAGATGTTCAGCATCACGAGTCATCAGAGAAATGCAAATCAAAACCACAAGATGCCACTTCAAACTCATTAGGATGGCTAGAAACAAAAAGTTAGATAACAATAAGCATTGGCAAAGACAGGGAGAAATCAGAACCTTTATTCTTGCTGGTAGGAATGTGAATGGTGCAACTCTTTTGGAAAATAGCAAGGCAATTCCTCATGTGATTAAACAATTACCATATGATCAGCAATTCCGCTCCAAAGTATACACTTTGGGGGGCCGAGATGGGCAGATCATTTGAGATCAGGAGTTTGAGACCCACCTGGCCAACATGGTGAAACCCTGTCTCTACTAAAAACACAGAAAAATTAGCCAGGCATGGTGGTGTGCACCTGTAATTCCAGCTACTCAGGAAGGTGAGGTAGGAGGATCGCTTAAACCCAGGAGGCAAAGGTTGCAGTGAGCTGAGATAGACCACTGCACTCCAGCCTGGGTAACAGAGCAAGACTCCATCTCAAAAAAAACAAAAAAAAAAAAAAAAGAAAGAAAGAAAAGAAAATATATGTTTCTGCAAAAACTTGTACATGAATGCCTATAGCAGCATTTTTCATAATAGACAAAAGAGGAAAACAATCCAAATGTCCATGAACTGACAACCAGTTAAACAACATACAATGTACTATTATTTGGCCATTAAAAGGAATGAAGTATTGGTACCTGCTGCAAAATGGGTAAACCTTGAAAACATTATGCTAAGTGAGAGAAACTACATGTTGTATGATTCTATTCACATGAAAATACAGAATAGGGACATTTATAAGACAAAAAGTAGATAGGTGCTTGCTTAGGGTTTGGGGGAGGGGATAGCAGGGTGATTGTGAAAAGAATACTGAGTTTCTTTTTAAGGTGACAAAAATGTTCTAAAATTGTCTGTGTTGATTGTTGCACATATCTGCAAATATGCAAAAAGCCATTAATTATACACTTTAAATGGATGAATTTATGGTTATTTGAATTATATATCAATAAAGCTCTTTTTAAAAAGTAATATTTGAATCCGTGGTTTGAAAATAGTCTCTAATAAAATACTTGACTCCCCAAACCAGGTTGTAGGACACCCCAAATTATAGCCTTAGTTCAAATAAGGAGAGTCCATTTCAGATTCCATTTGAGCCTTTAAAATCTGTATTTTAGTAAGTGAGGAACTCAGACCTTCAGTCTCTGATGATTTGGGGAAACTAGGTTTGCGGAAAAATAATTCCTATCCTTTTAATGCTTTCTGTGTCATTTGTCCTAGGTTCTCCCTCCTAAAGATGCAATTATAAGATGCAGAAGAGTGAAATATCTAGAAGATACCCCAAAATCAGTTGCTACTATACACCCTCCAGTAAGCTTCTATCAAAAAGGAAAATTTTTTAAAGAAAAATGTTATAAAAGAGGTATATTATTTTTAATACTATATTCTTGCAATTTAAAATAAGGAAAAAATATAAAGAGCTTCAAAATGTTACTGTCTCTTGTTACATGACATGGCCAAAGTTTTACTTATTGGCATTTATTAAGTACTCTTGTGCCCTAGATGCTTTTACATACCTTTAGTCATAATCCTGTTTAGGGTTACAGAAGCGGAGTTTATAGAGACTGCAATTTGCCTCAAATTACACTGTTTTTGGTAAGTGGTAGAACCAGGACTTGAATCTGTATCTTTCAGTCATCAGAGTCTTTTGGTCCAAACTGCCCTTGAAGAAAATGGACCAACACCATGGCTTGAGTTCTCCTATTGCTAAGGACAATAAAATAATACAAGATATAAATAGGAAAGCTGGCTACTCAAAAGATCCATCCACAAAGTTTTCTAACGTAAAACCACCTCCTGAAGTGAGTTATCCTTACTAATTTCTAAAAGGGTAGCATCATTGCCAAAAGTCTTCCCAATCCAAACTTTCTTACTTTTATGCTAGCTGAATTCAGATGGCAGCACCTTCCCTCTCTTGTCATTTTCTCTTGCTTTCACCCTACACAAATTGCTAGTGGTTGAATTGCCAACACACTAGAGCTCCCCTAGTGCTTCTCACACATCTCCAGAAATGATGTCAGACCAGCTCGGCTCATGTTCATATTCTCCTTGGCTGATGAAATATTTAAGCCATGCTGATAGCCTCAGATGGCATTTTAGATGCAGAATACACCAGCCTGTTGTTCCTCTTTGCAGAGGAACAGTAGGCTACGGCGCCCTGCCTCCATTTCTCTCCCATGTTTATGCTAAGAATGATACTTCTTCCTAATGGTGTTTTAATCAAAAACAGCTCATCACCAATACTTTTTTTTTTCTTTTTTTACAAAAAGAAGCCATTTCTAGTAGGCTTGGCTGACAGAGTGTATACAATTAGTAAGACCTTTTAGAGAAAGAATTTACAGAAAATGCTCCATTCGTTGACTTTCAATTAAAATGATAACAGCAACAGATCGAGTGAAAGGAAACCTGTTGCCATTCTGTCAGCCCTGTGGCAGGTGTGTGGTGGGAGAGTGAGGCTGTCTTTGCAAGCACAAGTGAGCAGGTCATTCTGACTGCAGCGTTTACACCCAAGCTAATTGATAAAGACATTCTCATTTTGACCCGATCCCATGGAAAACAGGCAAACAAACCAAAAACACTTGTCAAACAGCTATGTTAACACAGGTAAGGTTAATAGGTGTGAGAGACTAGACTTTCCTTAATATTAATCAAAAATAATTTAGGCTTTAACACAATGCCCTTGCTCTTTAATTTTGATGGTAAAAATCAGAACACTTCCCTTCAATGCCATTAATGGGGTCAGCCTCCAAGTCTGAGCGAGTAGCCATGCCGTCAGTCCCATGGAATCCTAAAAACCATCATCATTTGTTTCTAAACAGATCATGAGCTATTTACCATCCCAGTGTTTTGTGCACAGCTGGGTGTCTGGCAAGTGTCCAATATCCATTAACATTTAAAAATTAGGCCCATAATGCATCTTTTCTGGGGCTTGAGAAGTATACACAGTGACACATGGTGGGAACCAATTACACTTGCACTACCATTAGTCTGGCTGCATTCAACTTCCCAGTAAATGCAGGCTAATTTAGTTTCCAGAATGGTGTGTCTAAATTCATACAATAATCTTAGAGAAGGCTGCATATCTAAAGATTTATAGTGGAACAAACTGCTCAGCAAGAATATTACTTCCCACAGTGAAACATGAGAGCACATCACAGGACGATTCACTGAATTTCTGCAAGTTTCCTTTCAATATGTCCTTTCTAAAACTTCCAGTCAGGGGATGAGTTGGAGGACACAAACAGACTAACAGATTTCAGTAACCATTTCTGTTGCCTTGGTCTGCAGAGCTACCATCACTTTGTATGCTAACAGATACCTTTAAATGTGTCTTTCTCACCTTTGGAGTTATAGCTGGGTTACCTTAATCCATTTTTCCAGTGGATGGACAAATTCTGCCTTTGGAATAGAGTACTTTGAACTCTTTTTGGGCATTGTATTACCTTATTGCCCAAGATGAGCAAAGCAAACTCTACAATTGGTGGTTTGGTAAAAGGTTGAATACAGAGAAGTTCAGAAATAAATGCTGTCTGGAAAGTGCTGTTCTCCAAACTTCCACTGTCTGGAACAATTTCTCTAATAATATCCAAGGCAAAATAGGGAGTCAGGTCTATCTGGAAAGCAACCCAAAGAGAACCTCCTTCCTTGCTAGGTGTCCATTCCACTCTCAAAATCAGGATGGAAACTGATTAGCTTCTCTGGCTAATCATTCTGGGGCACATACTGTACCAAGCTTCTTAGCTCACTCAGTCTATGTCATGCTGCTTAATAAAGCTAAATTGCTCACACAAACAGAATACTGTGCCATGGGCTTTTAGGATTCAGAGGTGGTTTAAAAATATAATTTTTCACTAACATTCAGCAGAACAATTTAGCAATAGCTTACAGAAAATTGCAGGAAAGCAGTAATTTTCCAAATGTGCACAAACTGATTCAGCAATTTACAAATTAGAGACTTTGGGGGTGGTTAGGATGTGCAGTGAGCTAGCAAAGTTGTCCTCTCTGAGGGCAGACTTCCCGTGCCTCAGGCTATGCTGGGGAACACCATTTCCTTTTTCTCTAGCACCTTGAAATATTTAATGGCAAAACTTTGTTTGGAGGTTATAACTGTTAAGTTAAAAATTACGTTGACTGAATTGATTTAAATTGGAATTGACTCCAGGAAATGCCAAGGCCTCTGTAATTGAAGAGTGATTTTTAATGAGTTTGGAGCAAATACTAGTTCTCTTTCAGTGTTCTCTTATTTTGAGAAGACCGTATACTACAATGTTTTTCATTGAGAAGCTTATAAACAGCATCGAAGGTACAACTGCCTCATCAGGGCTGTTGATTTGTGCACTTACTGAATTAGGAGTTTGTGGATAGCATTCTTTTCTTATTGTTTAGGAAGTATGAATCACTGCCACAGCTGAAAATGTATAGGATAGGCAGTTAGGCACAGTATATTAAAATAATATGAATGTGCCAATTGAGGAAAACAATGAAACCTATTATTTAATAAAACTGTCTATATCGTATGTTTCCAGATCATTTTGTAGGGCGATTTTAGTGTAAGGATTAACCCAATTGGTGCAGATTAGATGAGGAGAGGCCTGATTTGAGTGAGAATATTTTCTTTCAATAACTTTAAAAGGTATAGATTTTATCTATAATAGTCATTTGGATATGTGTCTTGCTTAAAATAGCTAGTTCAATACAGACTGGGGAAACAGGTGCACTTATCTTTTGTATAAAATGCATGCAGGGTTATGATCTCATCACACATACAAAGAACCCTTTACAACTGGAATCATGAACAAGAAATGTATTTCCTTCAACTTAATTATTTAGTTTCCTACTAAGAAGTTGCTCTGCAGAGGTCAATTATCCTTCAGGGATATCCTGGAAGAAATGAACAATTAGCTTGATTTTCTGTTGAATTTGGAGCTTGAAACTCAGTATGTGATCTATTAAAAAAAGGAGATAATTCCTCTTAAACCATGTCCTAATCTACATTGGAGTCTTACACTGCAGGTAAGAAATCAGCAAAGTAATCCAATCCACCACCATGGGGCCAAGACTGAGTATCTTGATATACAACAATCATGGCTTCAAAACGTTAATGGAAAAATCTCTCATGGGGAGCTATGAAGAATAACAGAATTCACTCCTCTTATGAAGTGCAAAGCCTTATGAAAGGGAAATGCCATTTGATTTTTTTTAACTAAACAGAATTGCTCAAATCTGATTAAAGAGAGTAGCAGCAAACATTGTAATTTGGGGTAATCAGGAGAGTGTACAGTTTTATGGAGAGATGAAAGGCATGAGTATGGCTTTCATAAGCTTCAGACTATCCAGGAGGCTGACCGTTACCTGGCTCTGCTCTAAAAAAAGCTTTCTTGCCCTAAGAAACAGAATTTAAAGTGGGGACTAAATTGAGTTAAAAAGCATCCTGCACAGAGCTTTTCAGAAAAGCGCTGAACTCGCCTATGTAATGAATCTAGAGAAAAAATTATTTTCTCTCTGGAAATGTCTTTCTCTTTTTGAGTTATTTAAACATGGGAGTTGTAATACAACATTCTTTTTTATTTCAGTTTTTAAATTTGAGGATGCTGGTTTCAGCTGGCTCTATTTCCTTGGAAGTCAGGGCTATGCTTTAAGCTTAATAATATTGGATGACCCTCAAGACCTTTAAATCACCTTCATGTCACTGATTTAGCATTTCCCCTGAGGATGCATTCATTTGTTCTGTCTCAGTCCTGAAAGTCTGGCTTTAACACACACATAAACGCACATGCACACACACACACGGAAAAGAGATGAAAATATGCAGAGGGTTAAAAGAAGAACTCAAAAGTATATTACGGAGTAGGAACTTGCTAGAGTTGTGTCATTTAAAAGATAATCCCAAGCAAATAGTTTTATAGCCAGTTGCTGGCTTTCTTTACAGCAGAAAGATCTGTTTTATCAAAAACCACTGAGTGGGTGGCAGAAATAAGTCTCTGCCTGGAGATGAAGTAGAGCTCTCTTAAATGGCTGCTACTTATGATACCAATGATAACTTGTAATAATGCATAACAAAGAGCACCCTGAATTCATTTAACCAATTTCAATAAGATTGAAACACTTTTCACACATTTTCATTTACTTTTTTTTTTTTTTTTTGAGACAGAGTTTCACTCTTGTCACCCAGGCTGGAGTGCAATGGCGCGGCCTCGGCTCACTGCAACCTCTGCCTCCCGGGTTCAAGTGATTCTCCTACCTCAGCCTCCTGAGTTGCTGGGATTACAGGCATGTGCCACCACACCCAGCTAATTTTGTATTTTTAGTAGAGACGGGGTTTCACCACATTGGCAAGACTGGTCTTGAACTCCTGACCTCAGGTGATCCACCCGCCTCAGCCTCCCAAATTGCTAGGATTACAGGCCTGAGCCTCCATGCCCGGCCTCATTTACTTTTACAGCATGCTGGAAAAGCAGAGTGGGCAGATCTTACTTCTCCCTCTGCAGTGAAGAGATGTGAAGACCAGAGCTGAGAATATGTGAAGTGAGACAAGATTAGGTGCTTCTGGTTGAACCCCTTTGAGTTATTTTTTTCTAATATATATCCCTTTCAACATTTTTCTGTGTTCAATTTCACACTGTTTCCCATCTGGCCTAAGTGGATGGGAGGGGAGTCCCAGGAATTCAACTCAATCTGAAAGACATGCTCTTTGATTTTAATCTTCCCTTTTCCTTAAACTCAACTTCTGCAGACTACCTTGACATGACCTAGTAATCCCAAGCCATCAGACTGGTGTCCAATGTGACCACAAGAGATTTTATGAGGAAATGTATGGTCTGACCACTCAGAATGGACGTGTTTTTCCAAAACTAAGCACCAACCTACTTGGCAGCTTAATGTGTCCTAAAGGATTGGGTAAAGGGAACTATCACAGCTTTTGGTGTCAGACATACCTGGGTTTAAGCAATGGCTGATGCTTGGTCTGAGTCCTCACTTCACCATCTGCAAAATGGAGATAAGATCAGTAATCACCTCAGAGAGTTATTTATTTTAGTAAAGAGGAATGAGATAATGCAAGTAAAACGTGTCTGTAATTATAGTAGGCTCTCATCACAGACCCAGCCTGAACCAAGCAACTTACATCTTCATGATCCATATTAGCCTTGGACTCAGTGTTTTCTCCAGCCTTGTCTTTCCTGTGTACACTTTCTTAGTCAAAGTTCCCAAGTCCTAACTTTTTGTTATTCCATGTTGAATCTCACAAAGGAATTTCCCAAGTATACTCTTTATTTTGAAAATATATTACCTAACTCGTAAAGTCAGAAATTTTTCTTCGGCTATATAGCTTCCGAGGTTTTTCTGCCCAATTGCCCTCCAGAATGTGTAGGTTGAATTAGATCAAGCTTACTGAGGAAGCCAATTACTAATTTCCTTCCTATGGAGAAGTGAATTTGCCACGAGAAGGTCTCACATCTCATAAAACTGCCTGTGACGGTGTAAAACGCATCATGGGAGTTTCCAAATGCATTTCTCTGCTTTGCTACGAGTATTGAAGCATCAGAGAATATTAACAGTGACTTGGAGCCCCAAAGTCACTGCTCAGCCCATTTTCCAGATGAAGACACTGAAACATAAAAAGGTCGAGTAGTTCTTCAGTTACCAAAATGGAGAAGAGCCTTGAACTACTGACCTCTAGTGTTGTACCTTTTGTATCTCAGAATAAAGCACACTCTTTAATAAATTATTTGTGAATACAAGTTTGAAGGCAATGTCTATTCATAAAACAACTGACCTAGTTAATCTAGGCAATCAAGTTAATTAAACAATTAATTCCTTGGCAGGTGAAAGGAGGGCAAGTTGCTAACAAGCAAAGGACTGCTAAATTGGCTGTTTGGCCAATTGTTTGATGAAATCATCCTCAAGTCAGTCCAACAGTCATTTCAACAGCCTTCTAGATACAAGACAGATCAGGAGGTGATCTGTCTCCACTGCTGTGCTGAATGAATGGGCAGTGGTGGTGATAGTGGTGGGCCATCCAATTTAATAGAATGAGATGATTTTCATTCTTTGGGATTTACAGGATGCATAATTGTGGCTAGTCATTAATTTTTTCTTATTCAAATGGAGGTTAGTTCTTGATGAGCCGTCACACATTTCTTTCCCTTGCACAGTGATTTATTTCCTCCATTCATTTTTCCTTCAGTGACACTTTCTTTTTCCTAATTTTTTTTTAACTTTAAGTTCCAGGATACATGTGCAGAACGTGCAGGTTTGTTACACAGGTATACGTGTGCCATGGCAGTTTGCTGCACCTATTGACCTGTCCTCTAAGTTCCCTCCCTTCACCCCCACCCCCCAAAATGCCTTGTTTCCCGCCCTGTGTCCACGTGTTCTCATTGTTCAACTCCCACTTATGAGTGAGAACATTCAGTATTTGGTTTTCTGTCCTGTGTTAGTTTGCTGAGGATGATGGCTTCCAGTTTCATCCATGTCCCTCCATAGGACATGATCTCATTCCTTTTTATGGCTGTGTAGAAGTCTATGGTGTATATGTACCACATTTTCTTTATCCAGTCTATGATTGATGGGCATTTGTGTTGGTTCCATGACTTTGCTATTGTAAATTGTGCTGCAATAAACATACGTATGCACGTGTCTTTATAGTAGAATGATTTAAATTCCTTTGGGTATATACTCGGTAATGGGATTGCTGGGTCAAATGGTATTTCTGGTTCTAGATCCTTGAGGAATCACCATACTGTCTTCCACAATGGATGAACTAATTTAAATTCCCACCAACAGTGTAAAAGCTTTCCTATTTCTCCACACCAGTACCCATTGTTTCTTCACTTTTTAATAATTGCCATTCTGACTGAAGTGAGATGGTATCTCATTTTGGTTTGCATTTCTCTAATGATCGGTTAAAGTGATGCATTTTCACAAGGCCTAACTATATTAGTTCATTTTCATGCTGCTGACAGAGACATACCTAAGACTGGGCAATTTACAAAAGAAAGAGGTTTAATGGACTTACATTTCCACTTAGCTGGGGGGTGCTTCACAATCATGGTGGAAGGCGAGGAGAAGCAAGTCACATCTTACATGGATGGCAGCAGAGCAAAGAGAGAGCTTGTGCAGGAAAACCCCCATTTTTAAAACCATCAGATCTCATGAGACTCATTCACTATCATGAGAACAGCACAGGAAAGACCCACCACATAATTCAATCACCTCCCACCAGATTCATCCCATGACATATGGGAATTGTGGGAGTTACAATTCAAGATGAGATTTGGGTGAGGACACAGCCAAACCATATTACTAACAAAAGATGGACAACCAACTCAAGTGCAAAGTTAAATACAACTGTTCAAAGGCCCTTCTCCAGAAATTAAGCAGATATTTACATGACAGCCAGAATGACAGGAGAAATCAGTCAAAGGTGATTTTAATTTTTTCTCTTTCTCTTTGCTTCTAGAATCATACATTTTTCCTAATGAACTGAGAGAGATGAAGCTGCCTCTCTGATAGTAAGTTTCACAACACTCAGAAGCACAAGATGGCTTTGACTCCCATTTCTGATTTCATCCTGTCATTCTTTTTCTTTTACAGACATGTTTTTTTCTCATCGGTCTCTGAGAGTTAGGAAATGTTTCAAAGGCTATAGCATCCATTCCATATATCTTAGTTGTCCCCAAATGGGCTCTGCAGAATTATCTTCACTAATGTAGGGCCAGCAGTGAGCTCTGTGACAACTACTTATGCACCACATTTCTGGGTGCCTAACTACTCATATCACATGAAAGCCCTAGGTCTTCCACATGATGGCACATAAACAAGACTAATCCCTGAATGTCACCAGCTCAGAGGCACCTCTTGCTAATTTGGGAATTCCCAGTTCCCCTCCCCCTGCCAACTTGATTCTCTAATTATGTGTGCAGGCCCACCCTGGGATACAGTCATGTAGGATTTAGTCTTTCAAATTCTTTGCAAGGTGTTTCCCTAGACTTGGCTGTGTCCTGAGGAGGAAGACTGCTCAGCTCAGCAGTAATCTTGTAGTTTGGTAGCCTTTAGGGGGCTTGAGCTGCACAATAATGGGGGTGGAGTGGGGCTGGAGACCCACTAGTGGAGAGAGAAAGAAAAGGCCTTCTCCTCAAATCTCTGTTGTGCTTTGCACCTGGGTTCCAGAGTAACTTAATTTGGGCCCTGTGATGGTTAATATTGAGTGTCAACTTGATTAGATTGAAGGATGCAAAGTGTTGTTCCTGGGTGTGTCTGTAAGGGTGTTGCCAAAGAAGATTAACAGTTGAGTCAGTGGACTGGGAGAAGCAGACACACCTTCAATATGAGTGGGCACCATCTAATCAGTTGCTGGGAGGCTAGAATAAAGCAGGCAGGAGAAGATGGAAGAGCAGACTTGCTGAGTCTTCTGGCCTTCATCTTTCTCCTGTGCTGGATGCTTCCTGCCCTCAAAAATCAGACTCCGAGTTACTTGGCTTTTGGACTCTTAGACTTACACCAGTGATTTGCCAAGGGCTCTTGGGCCTTTGGCCACAGAAGGCTGCACTGTCGGCTTCCCTACCTTTGAGGTTTTGGGACCCAGACTGATCCACCATTGGCTTCCTTGCTCCGCAGCTTGCAGATGGCTTATTGTGGTACTTTACCTTGTGATAGTGTGAGTCAATTCTCCATAATAAACTCCTTTTCATATATACATCTAACCTACTAGTTGTGTCCCTCTAGAGAACCCTGACTAATACAGGCCCAGAATTGCATAACATCATCTATGAATAAAGCTCTTTTTGTCCTAAAGTCTCCCTCTCTTTGTATTTCAGACTGATGTCCACCAGACTGGTGGTGAGAGGAGAATGAGTGGGTGACCCGAAGGCTACCATGCCACCACTTCTGCTTTCTCTTTTTCTATCTCAACACCCTTCAAATATACAATAACCACAGCCACACTGCCGTCCCCCAAATGCTTCTTTGAGTAAAAATTCAAGCCTCCTTGAACATTAACTCGTGGAAATGTATATACGTGTGTTGGGGTAGGATGGAGAAGCAGATGGATGGAAACCTTCTTACCTTGAAGTGCATGAGCTGAGTGGGGAAGAAAATGAAATATTGGAGACAGCTGGCTAGGCTCTTCCTGTAAGGGTGTCCAGTTCTCTTCATCCAATGGGCCAGGCTGTTTCCCAGGTTGTCAGAGGGTAAATCCTCTTCCTCGTCAGCCAGTCTACAGTGTGGCTGACTGCAATGTCTGCTTCACTGACTTCCAGAACAAACACACTGATGAACGTTTTCAGCAGCTCTTTACTGAAGCGTTCATGTAATTGCTCTCTAACCACAGAGTCAGGAGACGAGGGCAGTGAAATTGTGGCGCTTGGGCACTGCACATAGGCCTTTAGGATATTCCAAGTGGACACCTTATTGTTCACTAATTCACCCCATGCTCTGTGCCCATCCTTTTAAAGCCCTTCCCCATCTGTGTTCCCAGCATCATTCTTATCCCCTTCCATTTTCCTCCAATAGGCCTTGAAATTCAACACCCTGGCCAGAATAATGGAGCCATAGTATCCCTGACGTGTCCAGCAAATTCTGAGACGATGGGTCTCAGGCCTTTCCTGCCTATCATGGCTTTTTCCTTCTCTCCAGTCTTTCCCAGAACACAGAATAAACTTTCACATAGAGCCTGCTGGTTCTGCTGAAAGCACTTCCCCCTCCCCTCACCACCTGCCTTCCTTACCCTTCTCAGATGCTTTCCTTTGTAAGACACTGTGCCTAATCTTTGTGGTGGGTTTATATTTCTCCTTCTCAGCATACCTTTTTTTTTTTTTTTTTAATTTGAGACAGAGTCTTGCTCTGTTGCTCAGACTAGAGGGCAGTGGTGGGATCTTGGCTCACTACAGCCTCTGCCTCCAGGGTTTAAGCAATTCTACTGCCTCAGCCTAATGTAGCTGGGATTACAGGTGCACACCACCATGCACAGCTAATTTTTGTCTTTTTAGTAGAGATGGGGTTTTACCATGTTGGCCAGGCTGGTCTCAAACTCCTGACCTCAAGTGATCTTCCTGCCTTGGCCTCCCAAAGTGCTGGGATTACAGGTGTGAGCCCAGCCTCCACTTACCTTTGACCTTGGTGTTTTGTTTTGTTTTTGAGAATGTTCCTGGCCTTATTTGTTAAAGACACACTTGATCCCTCCCTGCCTGGATTATATTCTGAAATTCTAAATTTCCTTAGATTAATTCACATGAATAGCACCAAATGCAAATCTCTTTTTTCTAGCCCCCGAATTTCTTTCTGACACACGACTGTGGGTGGAGGAGGGAGGAGGACTCAAGGGTCAGTTTTCACCCGATAGCAGTAGAGGCTGTGCTACCTAAGGAGGGTGGGGTGGGATCTGTACCTTGAGAGTGCATGTTAAGTTTTAAACATGTTCTTTCGTCTTATGAAAAAAATTACTGAAGACACTAAACCTTTGTCTTAGGTTGAGTCCCTCAGAAGCAGCCCCTGAGACAACGATCTGAGCATAACTCATTCATTTGGAAGGTGGTCTCAGGAAACACTAACAGGGGAATGAAGAAGTGAGTCTGGAAGAGGATGAAAGGAAGCCACAAAGTGTGCGGGGCTCCCTCTCCTCCCAAACCCTGGGAGACTGAGGAAATTACCACAGAGGTGTTGCCCAAGGACTGGGAATGGTGGCCATTTTTCTCCTCCTCCATTATTGAGTGCTGCTCCAGGAGGGATTAACTCCCCCAGCATTTCTGGCAGCCCCTGCCCTCTGTTAGAAACCAGACCCCTGGGGCAGAGCCCTAGGTACTTGAGGTTAGGCGCCAATAGCTTATATTAGGACAGTCACAGCCCCAGCAGAGGGGAATGGGCAGGACACTCACTTCCCCATCTGTTGTGCCCTATTCAAAGACATGAATAGAAACACACTTTTATACTTTACTGGTCAGTGACCCAGAAATGCAGGGAACCCTCCTTCCCTTTGGTCAGAAACTACTCCATGCGGTTTGCTGGTGTGATTTTCAAAATGAAAGTCCTTCCCACACCCCCTCCACAGAGAAGGGTCCAGTGAGGAGGGAGGAAGTCTGCTGGAGTTTTATATCACCTACAGTCAGTGTTCTTTGTTTTGATAACTCCTAAGAAAGTAGTTAGTGTCTGATTAATGAAAATAAATATTTATTAAATGGAAGAATAAATAAAGAAACTGGGACTGAAGCCAAGGACACCTGATCCCAGGAGTTGTGTTCTTTTCATTTCATTCAGTCTTTACCTTGTTAGGGAATCCCTGAGCTAGGGAGACTGGAAACAGTGGTTGCCACCAGTGGTGGCAACGAAGTGTCCCTCACTGGGAATTTGCAGCCTTGGCTGATAATGCTTTTGTGTCTCTACAACTGGGACCTGTAAATTGGCCTGCTAACCTCACCAGAATGCAAAAAACCCCACTCTATTAAGGGCTGTTGAAAAATCAACCAAAATGTCAACACTCTTAATAACAGATCTATTAATAATTCAAATGTTTTAGTAACAATATAAGCATTTCCTCACATTATATCAGAAAATTTGACAATGTTTGCCCATATTTATAATTGTGGTGGCTTTACTTTTCAGAAACAGTATGATTATTAAGCACAAATGCATTTGTTTCTGCACTGAATAGCCTGGCTTGACGAAAATATTCCAAAGCCAATAGCTCTTATTTAAATAAATAAAATTTGTCTAGAAAACTTCTGAATTCATTCCAAGAAAAGGGAAGCTATGTTTAGCATAGAGCTAGTGCTGTTTATGTGTTTTTGTTTCTTATAATTCTTTCATAACTGGTTATGGATGGTAACTTTCTATTCGGGATGCATTCTATTCCGCTGGCTGTAATAGGTAACAGAGTTTCCATGGTGTAAATTTGCATACACATTATGTAGTTCACATGCATGCACATTTACACACTTACTACATTTGTTTATTCAACAACTACTTATTTGCTGATTAACGCTTTTGTCATTAAATGTACAAACTTATTTGAGGGCCACAATAAGATAATTGCTCTGTTAAAAAGGAAAACACAGTCTTTGTCTTAAGAAAGACCTAATTCAAATCCCATTAGCTGCTTAACATTGAGTAAGTGACTTACACCCTTCAACTGTCAGTTTCTACATCTGTCAGATTGTGATAGATAATCCTTACTGCATGATTGATGAAGGTTAAATTAGATAATACATGTGAGTAAATTAGTACTTAATTCTATGAATGACTTTATAAGGTTGATATTACTATGCATATTTTTACAGAGAAGTCAATCGAGATTCTCCCAAATATGAGTCCTCCAATTTGCACAGAATGGCACCTATGTAGCTAACCCACTGAGGGCACATTCTGATTTTGCCCTCAGTGTGTTATTTAATGGGTTACTGAGTGAGATCTGACATCTCACTTTAAAGTTTTCAGGGTTACATAGAAGTAGCAAGAAGATTCCTCTTATCTCAGATGACACTACAATTGTTCTTATCAGGGAAGAGACATAGAATCTCTTTTTTATCAGTTAGATACTCATTAAGGTTAGCAAACTTTTATTGATTAGTGAAGGAGTGTGTGGCTGGTTAAAGGGATAGTAGCAGCTTAACTGTTAACTGCGAAGCAGGGGACGCCTAAACACTTCTCTAAAAGTATTTTTATATATTTTTTGCTGGGTTTCATTAAACATCCAGCATCAAGGCCTAAGAAGGCTGTTTAAATATTTGAAAGAGGATTGATTGTGTGTTTTGACATAGTTGTCCTTTTACAGGAGTATCAATGATTGTATGGATTGGTTGTCGGTTTGATGTACTTGCATGAGTGGTGTTGACAAAGTCAGAATATTCCTGAAAGTACATGTTTGGCTTCACCAGCAGCATTTTGTAATATTGAGGTAAATATTTTTCTTTGTGTGTGGGAACACATTTCTAAAATGACAAAGGAAGAGAGTGAGCCTACATGATTTTTGTATACAAATATTTATCTTATAGACAACTTTTCAGGAACATTTAGTGCATAAAGCCAAGTAGATCTATATATCGATCAGGCTGGCTGGTTTCCAGGCTAGGAGAACTTGATTCCTCTCCCATAAATTCACTATTCTCTTTATAGTCCCAGGATTTTCACTGGCAGCATTTCTCCCAAGGCTACAAGGCCTTTGCCACCTACTTGGGCATGGGCGAAGAAGAAGAAAAAAAAATAAAGGAAGAAGGAGGCATGTATAGAACATTTACAAAGCATAAAAGTGTTTACCTTTGATATAATTTTTATAAGAAACCTAGAAGAAATAATCTTTGTATTTTTTTCTTTGATTTTTGTCCTACTTTTGGCAAAAGAAAGAGGATAAGGCAGCGATGAGGTGGGTTTGGAGCTTGGCCCACCTGCACTCTCCTCTACCCTTTACTTGCCATCCACGTGGCCTGGCTTGAAGGAATTCTCTCCAGTCTTGAGTGCAGGCTCATTCCCTCAAAACTGGGTACAATTATACGCCATGTGGGGTTGTTGTGAAGATTAAAGAAAAGTACTCAGCAAACAGTAAGTAATTAATAATTTTTTGGCTATTTTTAATTTTTAACAAGAATATGATCACCTCTGGGATGGCAGAATATCTACTACTTAGAATATAGTATTAGAAATGGGCAAGTTGCTAAATTTTGTTTTTAACCTTACTATTGACTCACCGTATACTTGGCGTTAATAATGCAGTTGTTTAAGTTACATAGAAAATTTGATGTTGTAATTTGGTGATGATAACATGGTCCTAAAGTGTTTTCAGAAAGGGATTTGGAGGTAATGAGGGAGGGAACAGGTCACACAGAGCCTTGTTGACCATTCTGAGGACTTTAGCTTTGACTTTTACCACTTCAAGGTTGTAAGTAAAGGTGTAAAATGACCTGAATTATTTTTTTAATGGACTGTTCTGGTCGCTGTGTTGATAGTAGCCTATGACTGGAGGTGGGAAGGGAAATGTAAGGGAGAAACAGGATGACCTTTCGGGCAGATAGTACAGTAAGTAATCCAGGTGAGAGTTGACAATGACTAGGATCAGTATGATTGCAGTGGAACTTTTGAGAAGTAATCATATTCTTGATATATATGTTCAAAGCAGAGACAATAGCATTGCAGATGGACTTACTGTAGGGTGCAAGAGAAAGAAATGAGTCAAAAGTCACTTCCAAGTTTTTAGCCTACGCCACTGGAAGAACACAGTTGCCCTCAGTAGGGATGAGGGGAACTGAAGTAGAGTAGATTCGGGGTGGAAGATCAGGTGTTCGTTTGGTACATACTATATTTTAAAATGTTTATTTAATTCAAGGTAGAGATGTCAAGTAGGCAGTCAGAAATGTGAAACTGCAGTTTGAAAACAAGGTCAGGCTGGAGATATAAATGTGGAAATAGCTTGCATACAGATGGCATTTAAAGCTACAGACTGGATGAGATCACCAAGAAATATGTGTGGTAAGGAAGACAGCACCAAGGGCTGAGCCCTGGAAGAGTTTACTTTCATTAAATGATGTCTCCTGAAGATTAAAGGAAAAGCAGCATTATTCAAAAGAGGCCATATCTACATTTGATCACTTTCTTGCCTTGTAATTGCAAAAGGTTTAAGTCCTCCTGCTTTTGCCAGGATTCCGCTGAAAGAGAGGCTGCAATGGGACTCAGAACACAATACCCCAAAGTATGGCATTTTGATATGCTGAGTACTTTAAACTTAAGGACATTAGAAGGGCCTTATGAGCAGGTCACTCTGACCTTCTGTTGCCTTTCTGTCTCCTGCCCCATTTTCTCCCCAAAAAGGGAGTCATAGAAACCAGAATTCCTTTTCCCCAATGTAGGTCATAGAAATTAGGATTCCTCTCCCTCAAACCAAACCATAAAGTCTACAGAGGTTACTCTTTCCCCACCCCTTGAAGATTCCAGAGGCATCCTGCCCCACACCTGAGAGGAAGGAATGCTATGCAAGGAGGTCAAGGAGAATCTGAACAGACAGGCCTCGCTGGGTTTCCCTCCTCAGTCTATTAGCACAAGTTCATACCTTGTGCAATCACATCTCTACACAGCTGTTCATTCTTCATTGAATCTAAGCATAAAAATCGACAGCTTTCCCTTCAGAAATGAAGATCTAAAAGCCCTATCTTCATTTCTGAAGATCTAAAAGATCCTATGTCACACAAAATTTTGATTAAATACATCTGTTATGTTTTTCTCTTGCTAACTTGCTTTTTGCTACGGGAGTTTCGACTATGACCCTTATGATCAGTGAGGAAAAGTATTAAACCTTTTAGCCCTTACAATAGTAAACACCAGATACAATTTAATCTCTTTAATTGAATGTCTCTTAACTGTCTTGGACTTGTATCTGGAATATATAAAGAACAATAATAATTTGATAATGATAAAACCAACTCTCAAATAAAAGATGGACCAAGATTTGAACTGAAACTTTTCCAAAGAAGATATGAAGATGACAAATGAGCACATGAAAAGATGCACATCATTAGTCTTTATGGAAATGCAAATAAAATCACAATGAGATATCATTAACTAAATGGTTAAAAAGGAAACATACCCCTCCCCTGCCAAAAAAGCCAGCAAAAACTGATAGTACCAAACGCCAGGGTGGATAAAGAACAACCAGGACTTATATATTGTTGGTTAGGAATGACAAAAGGCACAGCCATTTTGGAACACAGGCAGTTTTTTTTTTTTTTATATAAAGTTGAACACATACTCGCCATATGTGTTTAACTTTATAAAGTTAAACAGCAATCCATATTTAAACAGCAGTCCATATTTACCCAAAGTGGGGGTAGAAACATGGTCATACAAAAACCTGTACACACATGTTAATAGTAGCTTTATTCATATTTGCCAAAAACTGGAAACTACTCGAGTGTCCTTCAACTGGTGGATGGTTAAACTGTGATACATCCTTACGATGGAAGACCATTTAACAAGAAATAGAACAAATTACGGACACACACACCAAAGTAGATGAACTCAAATGCATTATGGTAAGTGAAAAAAATCAGACTTAAACAGCTACATATTGTATAATTCCATAAGGATAATCTATAAAGACAGAGAAGTGGCTGTTGAGGACTGAGGTTGTGGAGAGGGGTTGAGTACGAAGGGCACAAGTGAATATTTGCAGGAAAGGAAACCATTCTACACCTTGATTGTAGTAGTTATATTATTGCATACCTTTGTCAAAACTCATGGAATGATACACCAAAAAGGGTGAATTTTACTATATGTAAATTATATCTTGGCCGGGCGTGGTGGTGGCTCACACTTGTAATCCCAGCACTTTGGGAGGCCAAGGCGGGCACATCACCTGAGTTCAGGAGTTTGAGACCAGCCTGGCCAATATGGTAAAACCTTGTCTCTACTAAAAATACAAAAAAAAAATTAGCCCAGCGTTGTGGCCTGCGCCTGTAGTCCCAGCTGCTTGGGAGGCTGAGGCAGGAGAATCTCTTGAACCCAGGAGGCAGAGGTTGCAGTGAGCCGAGATCAAGCCACTGCACTCCAGCCTGGGAGACAGAGCCAGAATCCATCTCAAAAAAATTAAAAAATAAAAAAAAATATATCTTCATAGAGCTGATTTTTTTTAAAAAAATAGCATTTTTTAAATAAAACAATAAACAGCTACAAAAATATAATAAAATACCAGAACAAACAAAAAACCACATGGCTTTTAGTGCTGAACTTTTTGAGTTAACTACGTCAAAAAGTCAAGAGAAAGTGAGTTACCATGCTGAAGTCTTTCCCAAAGGATGGGCAAGAGGTGGAGAGTTATTGTCCTCTTTCATTTGCAGCATCCAGGAACACTTTGAACAAAGCCAGTGACACACTTGCTGTGGACCTGTTGGATAGCACATTCGCCTCAGTGAAAGATGACCCCACCTAATGTACTATAAAGTGTCAGCATACAACAAGCTTGTTGTATTTTTAGATCCCAGACTCAGAGACTCCATGTATGGTATTTTCACACGGGGTGAGGTTGACCCAAAACACCACAGGCAGATTCTCTGGAGTAAAAGATTTTTAACTACATGTCAGCAATGATTAGTTACAAAGGGAAAGAGAACTTGCCCCACTTGACACTAAATGACAGAACAATTTGACAAAAGCTAAAAACAGGAAAAAAATCAGTCCTTAAGACAAGAGGCTGATCCCCAGTAGTGTTAGGGACAAGTCTTTTGATTACATCTTTTGTCCCACGAATAATAAATCCCTACCCTCAAAAGTCTTTCTAGGCTGGTCTCCTAGATTTTGGCCTGGTGACCTCCAAAGTATAATTTGCAGAGTTAAAGGAATCTGACCTGCATTTAATATTTAGTTCCTATGTATCTCCACAAAGTATATTCTGGAGAGGGAGCCATAGAATTTCATTATCCCTCTACATACCAGGTACAGCACAGACAACATGTTCTATAGTTTTTTAAAGACCTGGGTAGCCAGTTAAAACCCTGATTACTGAAGATGCTCTTTAAAACCTCTTGACTTAGGCCTCTAGCCTGGTTATTGTTAATAATTGTGATGCTGGCTTTCTGTGAAAGCTCAATCACAATATTTAATCATGGGACATGCAAGGCTTTGCTAGGGATAGTGTGCAGAGACACCAGACAGGCCCCTGTCATCAGGGCTGGCATTGGGGTGGGAAGAAGCAGGACTTAAGTATAAAATGATAATCGTCATAATGATGGTAATTCAAAGTAGCATACACCAAATCACAAATGTGTGGTAGGAAGAGCAAACACAATGGAGAAGTAGCACATCATAAACAGAGGTTTGAGAATCAAATGTCTCTGCCCTTGAGTCCAGGTTCCATTCCTTTTTAGCTGAAACACTGGAAACTCACATAACTTCTCTAAGCCTTCATCTCTTTATCTATAAAAAACAGATACATAAATTTCACTGCCTAAACCTGTAAGAACTAAAGGGGATCATGCCTATAAATGTTTAAGGACAGTGTCTGGCATGGAAAGCACTCAGGAAGTGTTAACTCTTGGTGGCAGAAGAAGCAGTAATAGGATTTGAAATAAGCAGTGACTTCTGCAGTGGTACATGGTGTGTACTTCTGGGGAGGTCCTAGGTGGAACTATAAATTTGGAAGTATTAAATAGTACTTAAAATGATGGGCTGGAGGGAGATTATTCAAGGAGAGAAAGTAGATGAAAAGGAGGATAAGGTCTCGTCTGGAGCCCTTCCGCATTCCAAAGTTCAGCATTTTGGAATTGGAACTTTTTCCTCCTTTTTCCTTTTCATTCATTTTAGAATAAACCTCTACAACATTTTACGAATTCCCCACAAATATCACAGCCATGGAATTAGAGCTCTCTACCTAAATCCTGACAGGCTTCTCCACTCACTTTCATTTCTGTCACTGTTAGTGGAACGTGGAAAAATAAGTTACATAAACTTCCGTTGGCTTATGTCATTTTAGTCCAGGTCTCCATTGTCAGGTTAAAGGTTGAAGCAATTATCTGGATAATTCAGGTAGAACTTACCAGGCCTCTGGGACCCCTTTCTCCTTCTGCTACTTTTGCCTGAGTAACCAGGGAATCACTTCAATCCTTTTTCTGCTCATGTAACTCTGGTCTGACTACGTCTTTACCCACTGGACCTTGTCACTGAAACAAATATATCATATTGGAAACAAATACCAGTGAGGGAAGGCATGCTCATTTCAAATGTGGGTGTATTTAATTTCCATATGGACTATGCTGTGAGCCAGTGCAAAAGGCAGCTCTAAAGCATAAGGGATAAATGAAGGCAGACAGTCAGGAACTGAGTCCTTGTCAGAATAAAAGGAAATCAATCTCACAAAAGGTAAAGGAGATGAATTTTCTTGACAAGAGCCTGTATCACCATTTATTGTTATTTATGGCTTTTTGGGAGAATAGCTAGAATACTAAAATAAGGAACATTTTGGCCCATGTCACAAAACACCATGTGAATTTACAGCCTCCTCGTTAGAGATATTTTTCTGATCAAGAGGCAGCACATCACCCTCATGAAAAAGGAAGTGGCGGGGAGGGGGACAGAAAAGAGATTTTTGATGGAAAAGCCTGGAAAGTTTTACTTGTTTAATTGCTTGGGTTGGGATAAATAACAGCAGAGTAAATGAAAATCGCACTAGCAAAGGATACCCTCCTGTTTGTGTGACTGAATATATAAGTCCATGAAACTTATGGTGGTGCCCAAATAGAGAGAAGCCACTAGCTCTAACTCACCATTGACCGAGCCTGTCAGATCTTATCTTAATGAGCTACAGATCCCAGGACAGGAGAGGAACAAAACGAAGCCGTGTGATAAGGTACATAGTGCCGTAATTGGACCAAGCTGAGGCAGCGGTGTTCCTCAACAGCAGCTGTGGGTACAAATGAAAGGGCTGTCAGTCGCAAATAATTTGCTATGTTTCAGTTTTCACTTTTGTCCATAGGGTAGGATGTCAGAAGAAAAGTCTAAGAGCATAGCTTTCCCTTCTGCATTTGCCTGCCAGCATATTTCTCTCTATCCACACTTCAGCAAATTTAACAACATGACAAATCTCGAGATGTTTGAAATCCTTTATTTACATGAATCCAATATACTTTCTCAGATCTTACAACCTTACTCTGCATCCAGTAAATTCCCTATGTTGCTAGTGCACTGTTGCAATTTGCATTGCATTTTCCATGATTTGCCAGTGTTCCCAAGAAACACTCAGTAAATACTGATGCTGGGCACTGTGAAATGAGCCCTTCAGAGTAAACTGAGGTTTTGTTACAAATGAACAAGCATTTAGCCTCCCGTGATCCACAGCAATTTTATGACAATTCCATGGGCATTGTTTTAGTAATCTAATGTTGTATAACAAACTACCCCCAAATTCAGTGGCTTACAACAACAATCGATTATTTCTTGCCATTCTGTAACATGGATTGGGCTTAGTGATACAGTTCTTCAGCACTTTGTGGTGTCTGCTGGGGCTGGAACCTGTAAGATGGCTTCTTCACTCACACGTCTGCCGCTTCAGCTGTGATGTTGGGAACAGCTGGTGGCTGGGCAGGCATTCCTGTCCACATGCCCTCTTCATGTGGAGAGCATGGTCTCAGAGAGTTCTGATGTGTTACATGATGGTGGCTTGCAGGAAGGAGGAAGCAGAAGCTTCCAGTACTCTTAAGGCTAGGGCTTGTCCAAGTACATCACTTCTGACATATTGTAGTGATTAAAGCAAGTGATGGGGCCAGCCCCAATTCAAGGGAGGGGAGATAGGTAGCGGTAGGGATAGATCCCCACCGTTAAGGGGATGAATGAGCAGTGTGTGTGTGTACAGGGAAGGAAAGAACTGATGGTGGCCATTTTTAGAGGCCTCATAGATGTGTCCTGGACTGCTTGGTGGGGACTGAGGAGTACTGGAATTGGATTTGTTGCTTGTAACTGGTTTGTTTCTTGTTTTGAGCACATGATCTCAGAGGAATGAGGAACTCTAGACATTTAAACAGGGATTCTCAAACAATTTTGTGGTGATCCATACTGGAAGTTTTAGGAAACAATGTTGACTCTTAATCTGTGCACTGAATTCTGAAGTCCTTTATTCTGTTTCATTTTAAAGAAAGTTTGTCTTGACTCTTGACATTGATTTCATTATCTACCAATGGCATAACATTGTGATTTGAAAAATTCCAGTCTAATCCTATCTACTCATTTTAGAGATGAGGTGGCTAAGGATTAATGAGGTTGAGTGACTTTTTAGAGGCAGGACTAGTATGCAGGTCTTCTGACTCAGAGGTGATTAAATGCCCTATCAGTTCACCGTACTGCATTTATAAATACAGAGTAAGCAGTGGATCTAACGTGAGTTATTAATTTTGTTTAATCTATACTTACTCATTATGGTCTTCACAAAAGTACAAATGAGGGATTGTTGTTTTTTTAAATGTATTTTTTTCTCATTCCCCTACAACTTCACCATGCTTAATATAATTTTTCAAGCATGAGCATTAACTCACAGCATTTCTGAGCAAGTATATAATGTATAACCTATTCTCTGCCCTCAGACTGTTTTTTTTTTCTTTTTGAGGTGGGGGGTATAGTTTGCCTACTTCACAACCCCAGGGGATATAAAAGAAATAAAAATCCATAAATATCGTCCTATTTAATATTATTGTCAAGAGGAAAAATGTTCTGACTTTCCTATTATGAAAAATTGGAGTAGTATTCTAATGAAGATGGTGGAAAGGTCCACAGGAGATTTTGAGGAGCAGGACTGTCTTCCAGGAAAAGTTTTAGTGTAGTTCTGCCTGGAGTCATAGATGGACTGGAGGACCTACAAATCCAAAAGTTACTCACTTTGGTTTAGTGGTGTTATGGGGCTTCATTAACTGATGGTTCCATTAGATTTCCAACAATAAAACTGCTTTTTAGGTAAACTAAACTATCTCTAAACTTGGAGCTGCAATTGATAGCGAAGAGTTGGATGGATGTTACTTTGGTTCTTACTGCAGTTTGATGGTCTAGTATAGCACTATTCAATAGAAATATAATGTGAGCCACACACATAGCATTTCTAAACATTCTAGAAGCCTCGTTTTAAAAAGTAGAAAGAAATAAGTGGAAGTAATTTTTTTAAGTTTATATTTTGAAATAAGTTTAGACATTAAAAAGTTGCAAAAATAGTATGGTGTTCCAGTATATCTTTCACCCATCTTCTTTTAATGTCAGCATTTTGCATAATCATGGCAAAGTTAACAACACTAAGAAATCATCATAGATCCAATATTCTTAACTAAATTGCAGACTTTATTTGGACTAGTGAAATAATTAACTCAATAGATCCAAAATATTATCATTTCAACATGTGATCAACACAAAAAATTATTAAGATACTTTACGTTCCTTGTCTTGTACCAAACATTTAAAATCTGGTGTGTGTTTTACTCTCACAGCACATCTCAGTTTAGCCAGCCACGTTTCAAGCCCTCAGTCACCACATGTGGTTGGTGGCTACTGTATAGGACAGTACAGTCCTACTGTCACAACTCAGAGAAGAGCCATCATGAACAATCTACTTATTCTGCATGTGAATTATCTGTAGGGAACTTGAACATATGCAACGCTTATGGGAGAGGCAACATGGCTTGCTGTTAGGAGCACTAACCTGGGAGCCAGGCAGAGTGGAATTCCAGCTCTGCAACTTATCACTGGTTGTGTGACCTTGACACGTAACTCAAACTTTCTGGGCCTCCTTTTCTTCATCTGTCAAAAAAAAAAAAAAAGGAAATAGAAAATAAAGAAGATAGCAACAACTCATGGGGTAATCAGATGGACTGAATGAGATAACACGTTAAATGTGAACACAGCAACTTACCTGGAGTCGGTACACATCAAATGTTAGCTTCTAGTCGTCCTCTATGTCACTGCCAATAGATCAAATATATGTGCACTTTCTTTGGGTTAAGTGATATGAAAAGACCAATTAGGGCTCTGGTTAATACTTTAGAAAGGCTCAACAGATGTTTATTGAGTACCTACTATTTGCCAGACACTGGGCTGAGTGCTAGAAGTATAAAGATGCATAAAAAGCACTTAAGGAGTTTACTATTTAGTAAAAGACAAATAGCATTTAAATAAGAATTCTGCATTTTCTGTGTATATGTGCTTGTGTTTGTGTATCTGTGATGGGGTGGAGGATGGAAATTGTTGTGGCAATTTAATTAATTTTTAAAATTATAAAACAAACATACCTTTAAGAGTTATGAAAACAGTTTAAAAAATTGAATATTGGCCAGGCGCGGGGGGTCACGCCTGTAATCCCAGCACTTTGGGAAGCCAAGGTGGGCGGATCACAAGGTCAAGAGATTGAGATCATCCTGGCCAAGGTGGTGAAACCCCATCTTTACTAAAAATACAAAAATTAGCTGGGCGTGGTAGCACATGCCTGTAGTCCCAGCTACTTGGGAGGCTGAGGCAGAAGAATCGCTTGAACCCTGGAGGCAGAGGTTGCAGTGAGGCGAGATCACACCACTGCACTCCAGCCTGGTGACAGAGCGAGACTCTGTCTCAGTAAATAAATAAACAAATAATATCAGTAATCCTGTCATCTTCACAATTAGCTTTTTCTGTCTTTTAAAATATTTATTTTAGAGTTTTTTCATTTGATTAACATTGTGTGATTGTAATCATAGTGTAGGTACAGTCACTTAACTTCTATATTGCTAGATATTTGCTGCAGAATCTGAAAGACTATTTGTAAAGAGACAGTTACCTAAGGCATTTTTAAATAAATGATTTAAGCTGCATTCATTAGTAGGAATAAAATTTATTTATTTCTTATTACAGAAGGAGGTGGTGAACTCATGGAGGTGGTTAGATGTGTTTAAGAAAGCTATCAGTGGTAATGATAATGATAGAGCTAATTTTTCCTGAGCACAAGTATTGTGCAAACCCAGCAGTATGACTGCAGAGCCCTGTCTTGTCTAATAACCTGTACTGTCTTCAAAAAAATTTGTGTGTTTGTTTTAATCTGAGTGTAATATATATTGAGTTCTTAAAGTCTGGATATATACAGAGATGTAGAAATTCACAATAATGACTCTACCAAATGTGTAATTGTCTTTGGGAAGTTACACTATGGACTATGTCCTTTCCTCCCTCCTTCCCTCCCTCCCTCCCTCTCTCCCTCCCTCCTTCCCTCCCTCCTTCCTTCCCTCCCTCCCTTCCTTCCTTCCTGCTTTCCTGCCTTTCTTCCTTCCCTCCCTCCCTTCCTTCCTGCCTTCCTGCCTTCCTGCCTTTCTTCCTTCCCTCCCTCCCTCCCTCCTTCCTTCCTTCCTTCCTTCCTTCCTTCCTTCCTTCCTTCCTTCCTTCCTTCTCTCCCTCCCTCCCTCCCTCTGGCCTCTGTAGCTCCTCACCAGGCCAATTCCAAGCCTCCCTCCCTCCCACCCTCCCTTCCTTGCTTCCTTCCTTCCTTCCTTCCTTCCTTCCTTCCTTCCTTCCTTCCCTCCCTCCTTATATAGTCTGCATTTACTTTGTATTATGTGATCAATAATTTTAACTAAATTGTCTTTTTATGTTATAGACGCAATTTGAGGGATGAACTATCTTGCACTTTCAAAACGAAAACTAAAATCTCATTGATGTATTTTTAAATATTCTATTCATTGTGTACTGGTCACAAGACAAACAGATCTAGGTTTGAATTCTGGCTCTTATGTTTGCTAAATATATTCTTTTTGGGCAGCTTACCTTCTTTGAGACTCAGTTTCCTTATTTGTGAAATAAGAACAAGAAAAGTGCCTTTCTTCCGGGGTAGTTTTGAGGTTTAAAAAAGATAATGTATGTAAAGCTTGCACTATTACAAAATATACTTCACACACATTGACCACAGAAAGTGTTCAATAAATGGTTGTATAACAGTCAGTTCAAGATACCACAGTTAACTAAATGTGATCTTTGTATCACAGCAGTCATTTTGAAATCCGGGCTTTTTTTTTCCAAGATAAAACTGCTTTGTTTTGCCTCCATTCTCTTACTTCTCATTTATCTTTTCAAGAATCAAATATAGAGGACTTAAAGCAGGATGTTTCTTTTATTACTTAAACAGGATTGCTCTTCTAACTCTATCAGTGAGGCCATGAGGCTTGCTGCCCTGGCATGGAAGGAGACCATGAGGAAAAGGAAATGGAAAGCCAGAAGTTGGCCCCTTCCATTCCAGGAGGATGTGGGGAAGAAGCAGACAGAGCAAGAGTAATGAGATCTTTCTGCCCCTTGGTTTGGTCGGCATCTCATTGGCACAAGGGAACTTTAGAATCATCCACATAATTTTGGGATTCTGAGAATGTGAGTGCTAGTGCTGTGGTACATGGGGGGTGGCGGGCTGCAGGCTCTTATAACAATTCCAATCCTTGCTATAGCCCAAATTGGTTTAGGAGTGATAGTGCTGTGGCTCTGAGGGATAAGCTTGAGTGAGCACCCCTGGCTCTCCTTGGCCTGTGGAAAGCTTGGAGGAATTGGCCTGGTGAGGAGCTACAGAGGCCAGAGGATCCCAAGATGGGAATCAAGGAAATGAATTTAAATGGTTGGGATTATGGACTTTAGCAATAAACACCAGAATCTCACTTTCAGAAAAATGTGACATAGAAACATTATACCTCTACAGCACAAGCTGACCACACCATTTGTAGCAGAGAACATTGGGTGAATTCACAGATTCTGCCTCCCCAGTGCCAGCATTAGGTCACATTATCTACATTCTTCTACATGACAACATTTTGACAAGTAGCAGGGAAAGGATAAGATTGTTCAAAATCCTGAAAAGACACTGTTTGATCAGAAGAGACTGAGCTATCTAAAGAGAAAAAGTCAACTATTGGATCTAAGTTTTTCAGATTGGGTTAAAATTTATTTTTTCCCCTATCAACTGGAGGTGTGAGTGTATATGTTTGCATGAGTTAAAAAGGATGGGAAGTTCCTTTTAATGAGATGGGTAAGATTCTTAGAGCCCTTTTGGTGACAGGGAGATCAAAGTTTCCATTTTGAACGTACTAAATTTGAGATGCCTGTTAGATATCTAAATGGAGAGAATGAGTAGGATTTTAGGTATGTGAGCCTGATATTCAGAAAAGAAGGCTGTGGCGAAGATAAAGATGGAGTTACAGCAAATAGATGGTGCTTTTGTGCCAGGTCATAGCTGGCCCTTGGCAACTTAAGTGTTTGAAGAACATATACTTCTCATCTGTTTCTTTTGGAAACCACTGCATGAATAGCTGGGGCTGGGAGGATGGAAGCTTAACTTATTCTCCCTTCTTCTTCATCATAATCCTAAGGAAAATGGAAAAGTGGCCATAGACTACACTGGCCTGGAGGGTGTGTAATGCTGCTGAGCATGAAATTCTTAGACATATGCAGGGTTGCCCGTATGGAAGGGACTAAGGCAAGCCTGCCCACACTCCCACGTACTTCATGAAAGGAGTAGTGAGGACACTATTTGCACATCATCCAGGTTGATATTTTTAAAGGAAAGTCCCATTCTTTTGTAGCTTCATGGTTTAATATGAACGCATGAGAAGGGATGACATTAAAGGTCTTTTGCCTCTGGTTGAACACTAACAAAAGCCACTTACCTTCTACTGTTTTTCCCAATAGCTTATTTATGATCTAGGCCTGAATATCCTTCCACCTGTCTATTGGGGTTTTCACCATCCTTGTGTCATGTTCACGCTTTATGATGTGGCGACATTTAAGGCATGTAACTCTGATTTCCTTCCTTCCATTTGTACTATCCATGTTTACCTCTACTTCACATATCCATCTTCTCTAAGTGTGTGAGTACGTGCTCTATTTCATGTCACTGGAGAGGGATGCTATCTTTCCAAGTAGATGCATTTGAACCAATCTTCTCACCATCACTGACATAATATACAACTCCAGCTCTGTTGAGGTGTCAGCAGGTCCGTTGTCATACTTGACTTGTTTTGAGTTGCTGATTCTGTGGAATCTATCTTCTTCTTGAAACAAATGAAGTCTCCTTTTCTGAGTATCTCAAACAAAGTATAAGACAAAGGCTAATAATTACCATAGTATTAATAACATTAATTATAATATTGATAGCTAACACTTGTTAAATATTTTCTTACATACTGGGTTACTGGGTTCATTTTTTCACATGTGCTATCTTAGACACAGGTGAGGTAGGATATGGGAGGCCATGTACCTAGTGGTTAGGACCCAGGATCTGAAGCCAAACTCTGTGGGTTGGGATTTTGACACTGTCACTTGTAAGTGTGTCATCTGGACCCCCCCCTTTTGCCTTGATTTTTTAATATAAAAAATTGGAATAATAATAGTGAGGAAAATAAGAATACCTATTGCACAGAGTTGTTTCATGGACTACATTTGGTAACACATCCAAAAAAACTCAGAAAAACACTTGGCAAATAGAGATCCATCAATATCAGCTTTATAAGTATCAGAATGACATGTTCTCCTGTCAAAAATGAGAAAAATAAATTAAATATAAGCGATCCTAAACTGTACCATGATAGGTGGAATATTCAGACTTAAAGCCAGGTTTGTTTAAGGTGATACATCATCCAGTAATCTAGGGGCCAAGAGGCCCCCCTAAGATACTTCTGATACTTGTATATAACTAATGAACGTGCATTCTAATGTGAACTGGTGGCAAACATGCCACATGCTGTATCACATGAGTACCTGTTATATCACCTACAAGAGAAGAAAACAGTACTTCCATTTTGCTGGACTTTCTTACCAGTTCAGATAACTCTGATCCATACGCAAACTAAAAAAAACAAAAATAAAAACAGCAGTTGTGTGGATATACCTGACTACTACCACATCAGTTCTTGGCCTATATATGTAAAAGTATTTTCTAAACTTTAAAGCTCTTATGATTATTATCCTGGGATGCCTATTGCGTGGGTACCAATACCTAGGAATATTTGTGCCATCTGGATAGAAATAAAAAGGCCCTGAAGGTTGATGTTATAACTCTCAACGCATTTTTTTCCCTCTACTTTTCTTGTTTCTAATGTTGACAACCACCCACATGGTATTCACTGGTTCTCAGTGCAGCCCACAGAAATGCCAGCTGGCTGCATGCCAGTGTCAGGGGGATGAGATTGTTGAGAGCTTCCTCATAGCAAAACCCTGTCAATGACAAGCATTGTTTCTGAATCTGAAATATTTTTCTTTTTCTGTCCCTTTGGTTTCTCTTCCCACTGGGGAATGGGACTCAGAATGGGTAACTAATTATATCATGGTAGCTGTGATGTCTAACAACACCAGTTCTCATATTTATGCAGCATCACTCACTTGGCTGTACCAGCTAATATGTGAAGATTGGGTGAGGCTGTCAGCATCCACGTGCAGCGTTGCCGGCAAGTCTGGTGTGCCTCTTTGTAGCTCCATGCTTACTTTCAAAAATATGATTTGTTTTCTCCAGGCCTGTCCAATGCACCACATTTGGAGAGAAACACGATAAAAACACAAAATCTGCCTTCTGCGTATTTTTTGGCAATTAAACAATCTTTTTCTTAAATGAATAGAAATACCAAATTTTCCTGTTTGAGAACAAATGATCACCAAAATTCAATCGCAAGCATTTGTAAACCAAAGATCCTTCTTCTATCCTGATAACAACTTCTCAAGTAGCATCACAGATTCACTCTAAGGAATATTCTTTATTTGGAATCCGGTCTTGTGCACATTGGATTGCTGATTAGAGCAATAAATGAAGGAAGCTTGGAGAGCTCACAGCACTTCCTAGACTGTATAAAAACACATTACCTTTTACTCAACAAGCATAGTGCTTTAAAAATTGATCCTCACTGACTTAAGGACTTTTTTTGGCTTCTGAAATCTCTCATGCAAAATCTAAGGGATTCAGACTGTATGTATTATACACATAATGAAAATTGGTGAGCCTTCAACAAGTGTATGATTTGTGCATACCATTTCAATAACTTCATATGTTACTGTGCTTATATTAGTCCGCCAGGAATGAGATCAGTTCACCAACTCAAGGTTTCTTTAGATAATGACGGAGCTAGGATTCATAGGCTTATCATTCAAGATACTCCTGTTTTACACTAGGTATTGTGATAGTTCAGAATATTGTATTATCTCTTGTGGTGAACAATCTCCTACCAAGGCTCCTAGAGATTGCCAAATTGGATTTCAAGTAACTCTGGATTTGAGTACAACAATAAGAGAATGATTGATTGATGACCCTCTTCTACCATAAACGTGAGGTTTCCTTGTGTCTGCAATTTCTGACCAAGTGATGTCCACTAATTATGTACAATGCAGCTACGGTTTGGAATATTTCAGTTGTCCTTCTAGGTCTGTGAAGATTGTGCTTTTCTTTGGTAGAACAATAGATGAATTAGTGTTTACTGAGCACTATGACTAGGCGTGTTCTAAGGACTTTACATGTATTTAATCATCACAGCTATCCTATGAAGTGACATTACTGTTTTCCTAATTTTCAGACAAGGACACTAAAACACAACAAGGTTAAGTGATTTTCCTAGGGTCACACAGTTGGTAAGTAGTGGGAGGAAAACAGACCCAGGCACTCCTATTCCAGGCATAGTGCTTCTAACCTCTGTGCCCATAGAGTTTGAGAGACAGCTTTTTTGTAGAAGTAGCAGTAAGGGAATTTTTCAGTATTAGGTGAATCCAGTAGAGAAGCAAGGACTCTCTGATTTCTAATGCACAAACTTCCTGGCTTGTTAGGTTTCTTTGCCTGATTAGTAACAGCTTGCAGGATTCCTTAATTTGGGGAAAATCCTAAGCCTACTGTAGCTACACAATTTCTCCTTAGCAACAAAAATATTCTGAATGGGTAACATACTGAGAGCACATGAAGGAATTGCAAATTGTAAATGGTATAAGCATAAAGATTTCCTCAACACATGGCTGTGGTGGTGATAGGATAGGCATTTCCAAGATGGGTACCATCCACAGTTCTAAGCTCTCCCTAAGAAAGAAATAGGGTTCCACCCAAAAGGAATGTAGTGCTCCCAATGGTTAAAGTATCTGGTCATGTATCTAGAATAAGGAGCACTACTGTGCCTTCCTATCAGAGGAAGTGTGAGCATCACATTTTCAAGTTACATACAAGGTTATAAGACATTTTCTTTAAATGCACTACATGGTGCATTTGATTAAGGACTGAACTTTCAAAGGATTCCTTTGAGTAGAGTGTTTTGATTTGCTCCTATCAGGCCTAGCCCTGCCTCATAAATAATGGAACAAGCCTTGCATGCCCCTGAATTCTGAGCTGTGGCAAGCATTTGAGGAAATACTGAGTCACTGAGATTCTCAAGAGCCTTAAAGAAATGAGGACCAGTTGAAATTCTACCCTTGGGGACCTTTGCACAGACTTTACTTTGGTCTGTGGCTAGGACACAAGAGGGAGGTGAGCCATTGGTTCATTTGTTTTCAACCCATACCATATTATTCCATATAACACAAGCCATCGCACTCTGGTGTAATATCAACTGCATTCTCTTCTTGGTCTTAACCAGACCATGAGTCCTTTAGTGTCACCTCCTGTTGCTCCATACAAAATCATTAGCAGCACTTGTGCATGATTTGGTTGATTCTCTTGCCTGTTTGGCTGCACTTAGAATCCTAGAGCAGTTCTACAAATGAAAAGGTGTCCAAGTAAAGGCTCTACATGTTAGGATAATTCAGTAACTAACGGTTGCACTGTTAATTTGATTTTGCTGCTGATCAGAGATAGGAAGAGAATTGTAACTGAAATGCATTGCAACCGATTTGTAAATGTTGGTACACATTATCCATCATTGTTATGCTATTATGCTATTAACATAAATTATCACATAGAGGTAATTTGAAATTGTGAACTGACACAGGTATATCTCATTTCTGGCAATAATTACACATAAAGGAAGGAGGTCAGGCTAAATGTTGCATAGTATTATTGTGTGAACTACTGATGGACAGTAGTGATTAAGTGATGTTAGCATTGAAAAATTAATTTGTTCATAGCATTTCTATTTTTTGTCATATATAAATTTTATGTATCACATTCAAATGAGTAATAGTTTTTTTTAAGAATACACTTTTAGGGCTAACTTCTTTTTCCTTTTCTTTTTCTTTTTTTTGTTTTGAGATGGAGTCTTGCTCTGTCACCTAGGCTGGAGTGCAATGGCGTGTCCTCAGCTCACTGCAACCTCCACCTCCCGGGTTTAAGCCATTCTCCTGCCTCAGCCTCCTGAGTAGCTGGGATTGCAGGAGTGCGCCACCAGGCCCGGCTCCTTTTTTTGTATTTTCAGTAGAGACCCAGTTTCACCATGTTGGCCAGGCTGGTCTCGAACTCCTGACCTCGTGATCCACCCACCTTGGCCTCCCAAAGGGCTGGGATTACAGGCGTGAGCCACCACACCCAGCCAGGAATAACTTTTCTAAAGTCACTTCTGCTTCACACTGATATTGATTTTACTGAGTTTTTGTTTCACATTTTATTTTTAGCTTTATACATAGTGATAGGACATTTTCTTTAAAAAGTTAGAGGATACAAGAAGACACTGTTAAAAAGAGAAGCTCTTTAACAGTGACTTCTTGGTTGACTACACGAATCTCCAATTCATTTGTGTATTGATGAAGTGCCTTCCCTATTCTTAAAGCAAGTTAGGACAAAAACAGTAAGAATATGCTTCAGGAGACGAGTATTCATTTTGACTAAAGGAACTGTGTATGCAGGCAGATTCCATGTTGACTCTATACTGTGGAGAAATACTTTCCATTTTTCAGTGTAGTCTATCAGATTACATACTACATTTGGTCTTTGGGATGGACTAATGAAAAGAAAACTAAGATCGATTTTATGATGGGAGACAAAGTCAGACAAGAAACATTGGATTCCTCAGATTTAAGCTTTGAAAATCTTACATGCTCCAAGCCTCTCAGGCAGAGGTTAAGTTGTCAATGGATACCACAGTGAAAATAGTGGACAAGTGTCACTCTGAGATCTTGCCACAACCAGATGTCAAGAAAAAAATGTAAAATGACAAATGGACCCTTAACAGAATAATGTGCTATCATTGCATCCTCTCCCAAAGGGTCCCATCAATTCTAGCACTTTTGAGTCTATGCAAGTCATACGATACAACTATTTATGAGATGGAGATGACACAACAACACCTGTGACATTCTGGAGCTCTGAAATGGGAGGCCTAAATGGGTTCCTTCAGGCTCAAGTCTGAAAGAAGCTGCACATAAACTTATAGAGACAGTGCCATAACAATTCTTGGTTATTCTTAAATGTGGCATGCTAAATGCAGAGTCAGGACACAGGAGTTTTTTTTCTAAGTGATAAGTTCTACTATAATCATGAAGGATAAAAGACATATGCCATCAAAATTACCCTTGAAAATCTCAAGAAGATGCCATATTGAAGACTGAGACAATCTCTCAGTGAATGCTACACTGCCAGCTTTATTCCCAGGTTTGATAAATCAGTAGATATTTCTGTGCACCAGATGTAGTAGGTGCCTTTCATTTAGGGCCATAATGTATGAGAAATACATATTTTTAAGCATTAGAATCTGAGTCAACATAGCACAGATACTTGCATGATGAGGGGCACGTGAGAACTGGGGCTGACTCGAGGAGCAAATTTTCATATTCTCACACTCCGTCTTCAATTCTTTCTGGGACATACATGCATTGAGTGAAATGGCCAAAACTGCGGTCTGTATTGCTTTCCTAAAATTTTTCCCTTTCACTCTCTTCCTCTCTTTGCACTGCCTCTTGTTGTTCTCTTCCTCTCCCAGACCCTTCCTTCCTTCCCTCCCCTCCCCTATGAACTATCAGCAGTTAGCATTATTTGTATTTCCCCAACTAACTCTTTGAGATGGGGTAGAAACATTAAGCCTTAAAAAACCCCAAAAACCTATATATGTTCTATTCTCAGCTCTAAGGTTTCTAGTTTCAATTTCTAGTTTAAAACCTATACGTCTTATTTTCTGTTAGCAGGGGTTCTTAACTTTTTATAGGCCAGGATTTTTGAGTAGTTGATGAAAACAAAGGGCCATTCCCCAGAAAAATATGCTGTTTGCATTCAAATTCAAATTTTTAAAAATCAAGGTGAACTCATGGTCCTATAATCTTTAACTAAGATTCTCTAGAGTTTCTCTTTCACCACAAGTTTCTCTTTGTAATAGCAAGTGTCCCATGTTCTTGCAATCTAATATTCTATGTTTTAGAGGGAGACTATAATGATAATAATGACGATTATACTAGGAATAAATAGGTAACATTCATTAAGAGCTTAAATCTGTATAGGCATTAGGCCAAGTTAACTCATTTACCCTTTACCAAAACCCAGTGATGAATGTGTTGTTGTCCTTATTTACTGTTAAGAAAACTGAGGTATAGGGAAGCTAAGGAATTTGCTCAAGATCACAAAATTAGTGAGCAGCTGAGTTATGATTTGAACCCATTTGCTTGGTAAAAAAGAGAAGAGAAGATGAGCATGGCCATATTGTACCATCAGATTGTGACTCTCTAACACTGGTCCTTTCTAATCAGGAGAGCGTCCCTCCTTAAAGGAGAGGATGTGCCTTCTCTTAGTAGTTGATGTTTGCTGTTGACCTAAACTACATCTATCCAGTCTTACAATCAGTCCTCCTGGTAAGCACTTGAGTCATTTCAGCAGTTTTATAGCCTGATTTTGGATTCTTAAAAATATTATACCGGCTGAGGCAGGAGAATGGCGTGAACGCGGGTGGCGGAGCTTGCACTGAGCCGAGATCACGCCACTGCACTCCAGCCTGGGCGACAGAGCGAGACTCCATCTCAAAAAAAAAAAAAAAAAAAATTATACCTACTTTCCAGAACAACTTAATTTCATATTATCATTTCAGAGAATGTTTAATTTAAAAAGATATTATTGAGGCTTCAAGCATGTAATGACTTTTCATACATATCAGAAATCTAACCTGCAGTAACTTAAGGAAGAAAACAAACTTATTGAATTGTGGTGTCCAAAGAACTACTGAACAGCGAAGTTGTGGAAGGAGCAGGGAGGCCATGAGGCCTCAGGAACAACTCACACAGGGAAGCAAATACCGATAGGTCCCGCTGGTTCTAATCTGCTTTTATTTGCGTTCATTTTCTTTTACTTCCAACTCACTTTCTTCAAATGGCAGGAAACATAAATGACCATAGCTTATAAGTTTTATATTTTACATCTTATCACAAGAGGGTGACAGTTTTGTCATTGTCGTGATGTCAATCCAAGGCAATTTATTTTATTGACCTAACTTGGGTTAATTTCCCACCCCTAGAATAAATCAAATGTGACTTGAGATGGAGAAATAGGATCATTTGTGAAAACATGTCAGTCTCATAGAAATATGTGAATGGAATAGAAATGGAGAAGTTCCCAGGAGAAGGGACCGGGTGATGAATAGACAATGCTGGTTTGCTGAAAAGTAAAACTCAACTAAATTTATTTGTTTGAAGTTAGCATTAAGTTATAGAGGTAACTATTAGGGGGCTTGAAAACATATTTCTTGATTTATACCATTCGATGAATATACTGGGAAAATGGTATGCACATTGAATTTCATTAATTTAATAAATAGGTAATTATATGGAAAAATTTTATCATGTCTTTCAGCAAAAGTAACATTATTGTGAAGTAAATAATATTATCCTTAATTTGGATTTTTAGATGAGTACATTTAAAGCGAGATAAACTTGCAATGAGGAGCCAATGGGAATAAGAAGCACCTATCTTAGAAGAATAGCTAGGACCTTCTACTGAATGACTTCTGGAAGAATCCAGGACTATGATTAAGGTAGCTTTAAGCAGAGAATGAAAGTGTACATGCAAAGTTCAGTGACTAAATTGTCAAAGTTTTTTGATGCTGTACCTGTCACCTGGTGCTTTTTAATGAAAGGAGAAAAATAGAATTAGTATGCACAGGACATTGTGTAACACAATTCTAAGATGTAGACCTGGGTTAGCCCTTTGAAGAATCTGAAATTTGCAACTGGGAAATATCGCTGGTCTAGCTACAGCTGCCTTACATTGCTATAGCTATGCTGAGTAAAAGATGGTTCTGGATAAGAGTCTATTTAGGAATTATGTCATTGGAAAAGGCTTGCATTTTGTGGAGGTCACATTTTCAGCATTGAACTAGAGCCAAGACGGGAAGAAGAAATTTCTTTCTCATTCTTTTTTATTTGCATTAAGTAAGAAAAATACATTTACATTTGGGACTTCACATATTTGAAAATATATGGAAGTCAGGTTGAAGATTTTCTTCTTGGCCAGCATCAGTGAGTGTGAGAAATAGTGGTGTGCTGTGGATGGATACATGCAGCAATGAGCCCCATCATTTGGAAAAATGAACATCAACAATTTCAGCTCAAATACATTTTTTAAAGGTGCTTTATATGTAGATTTATATTTGATATTAACAAATCTCTTTTGTTTAGCATGAACTCTGGGAACATGATGATAATAATACTAGGGCTAATTTGTAGTAATGTTTTTTGCACCTGGGAATAAATGTGCTTTTGTACAGAAAGTTCAAAAAACAATTTAATGTTGAATAAATATAATCTCTAATTTATGGTGATAGTAGGCTGTCCTAGCAGCTTGAAAGGACAAGCTGGTATATATGGGGAAAACAAGGAGCCAAAGGGTGACACAGGGTGGGACAAACGCAAGAAAGGTGCAAAATTGACAAGAAATGAAGTGTGCTTACACAGACTGTAATTGATCTAAATATATGCCCTAGCCGACAGACACCCTCCTGAAGTTGCCACCTTGAAAAAAAGTACCTTGGTTAGTTTTATCCTTGTCCCACTTTCCTTCCAAGTCCTTTGGGAAGAACTTTCAGGCTCCCTTTCCTCTGTTTTCTAGACACTAGGACAGGGGCAGGAAATCTAGAAGCAATGACTCATGTGTTATTTGGAACTGATTTGAACCTAGAGTCTGACCCTTTGCATCTTTTGGAAATATTTCAAGAAATACATAGCCAACTCCAAGAAAAACACATTTTTACCAAATCGCTCAGTAATAGGACAGAAAACAACTTTAGGAAAAACTTAAGTACAGTTCTAATTTTTATTATGTCAAGAACATATGAGATGAGGTGGAGCCTCCAGACTGTCTTTATAATGGAGATAAAAATTCTCCAAAATATACCTTTTCACCTCCTGCAAATAATGACTTAGGGTTCAGCTAGAAACTTATGTCCAAACTAAAGGTTTTCCACCCGTTGTGGAATAATTTATTTCTTTTGGAAAACTTGCAAACCATCTCTCCATAAGCAAAAGAGTGAAACAATAGTAGACAGAAGGGAATAGAAAAACAAGGAACACTTTGTCTTCAAAATAACAAATGGTTATTAGAGTATTGGCAAAGGGATAAGAAGATGCAAAGGACAGGGTGTGTGAAGAGAAAGAAGAGAACCACAGAAGGGCCAGACTGCCAGCTGTCTACCCTCTACAAACCCATTAGGGCAGGGAGAGATTGGGAGGGGACTCTCTTCTCCATCCTAGCTGAAAGACTCCCGAGAAAAAGGCAGGTCTATTAGTCTTCTAGGGCTCCCATAACAAAATATCATATTAGGTAGCTTAAACACCAGAAATCATTTTCTCACAGTTCTGGAGGCTAGAAGTCCAAAACCAATGTGTTAGCAGGGTTGGTTTGATTCTGAGGCCTCTCTCCTTGGCTCACAGATGGCCACCTTCTCACTGAGTCCTCACGTGGTCTTTCTTCTGTTGGCCGACATACCTGGTATCTCTCCGTGTGTCCAAATTTCTCTTCTTATAAGGACGCAAGTCAGATTGGATTAGGGTCTAGCCCGATGGCCTCATTTTAACTTAATCCTCTCTTTAAGGTCCCCATCTCCAAATGTGGCCACACTCTGAAGTACTGGGGATTAAAGCTTCAATTTAGTGTGGGTTAGGGGACACATTTCTGCCCATAACAGCAAGATAGCTCATCAGCCTGTCAGCCTCACAAATAGGCATCGTTACAGAGATGAGCAGAAATTTTTTTGTTGTTGTTTAACTGGAGCAATATTTCTGTAAGGCAAGGTAACGCAAAGTGTTGTCATCATTTACTTTCAGTTATCAAGACTCTGGAGACATAAAGTAGACAGTGAGTAAACTGGCTCTTTGACCCAGGTGTGGCCTGACTTTTGTAACAGCTCTTTTCACAGGAGACTGAAGTATTTAGGGACAAAATATTATCTGTTTGCCTGAGGATGGATTTCCAAAAAGGCTACCAATCCTGCTACAAAGGCTTTGCTACCATATACCTCTCATTGCTGTGTTTACTCACCATGGTGGAGCATTTCCAATCCTGTCAACTTGTCTTTGATTTTACATTTTTTATCGTAACTTTCTAGCCAAATATCAATGCTGCTATCTTTTATATGTTCAAAATAAAAAATTGCACAGTGGTTATGTTTTTATTTTATTTAAAGATTATTTCTGTTTTTGGCAATCTTTCGCAGCTCTTTTCAGCTCTGGTGCTACAATAAACCTATTGAAACTCTGACTTTTATGAAGAACAAAACAAGCCAGAGAATTATTTCACCCCACAAAGTTGGGAGACAGATTTTATTTGCACCCTTTAGTGTTCATAAATCCTATATATCTCCATTATACGTTTACCTTAAGAATGGAATTTTGTGTCTTGCTTACATTTTATAAATTTTGTCTGGAGTATTTCACATAAGGAAGTACTTTCATATCTTTTATTTAAAACCAAGACATCTTCTGGGCTAAAGAGGTGACTTTTAGAAATGGAGTTAGGACATGATAGTCTGCCCCAAATGAGAGACAAATCTAAAGTATGCTGAGCTAAGAAGCAAGACAGGTTTCAAAAACCTCTTACCATATTTATTTTTATATGTACATTTTATCCTGTGTTCATTCCCATATGATCTGCCATCAATTACCCAACAGTAATGAAAACTTCTATGTTTTTACAAGGTAGAGACACAATAAAACTAACTGGAGGTTGGCAAGGCTGCCACTTCAGCTTCTTTTCATATTACCTGTCCCTGCATACCCCTGACTCCTTTCCTGTGCCCTTCTTTCAAGCTTATATATATATATATATATATATATATGTATGTATTTTTTTTCCTTTTCATCTCTTAAAGCTTTTTCCCTCATTTATTTTATTGGGAAAAGCATAGTGTTGTATATCAAAGCACCTTGGACTCAGACTAACCAGAAATTGAAATCCCATCTCTATACTTGCTGCATACACTTGGAAAAGTTACTCACCATTTCTCTGCCTTTGTCTCCTCATTTCTAAATTGGTGCAAATATGAAAAATAAATGAGACTGTACTTATAAAGCACTGAGTCTAGTGCTACATAGTATAGGTAGTTTGGCTGCATAGTGTGAATGAAAGCTATTTTAATCTTTCTTATTCCCTCTCCTTATTATCCTCTTTAAGTCTCTTCCTTCCTTTCCTTCCCTTCCCCTATCTCCTACTCTTCTTTATTTTCTTTTTGGTTCATTATTGTCTCCAGTCTTTTCTTTCTTCCTCTAACAATGACAGTATACACTTACATATAGAGAGATATATATGTAATCAGATTATCATGTCCTAACTCCATTTCTAAAAGTCACCTATTTGGCCCAGAAGATGTCCTGACTTTAAATAAAATATATGAAATTATTTCCTTATTTTATGTGAAATACTCCAGAAAAATTTATAAAATGCAAGCAAGACATAAAATTCCATATATATATGTAATTTCCTGTGACCTGATCCAGTGAGTATCAAATAAGAGACTATATTGGGAATCCTTATGGATTTTTAATTATTTCAAGAGCCTGAGGGAAGCCTTAAATTGATCTGCAATAGTACTTCATTGTTTCTTTTCTTTTGGCTCCAATTAGGTCAACTCAGTATAGAGAAACTGGTTCATGCTGATCAGAATCTCTGATGAGGAGTTATAAATGTCTTTGGTTTTAAAAAAGAGAGAAGGTGGGGGAAATGATCAACTTATACTTTTTCTGGGAGTACCATCTTTCAACATGTAACGTTCGTGAGTACTGGAGAAGAAAATGAACAAATTAAAATCCTTATAGTTCTCTTTTCTTTTGTCTAAAATTAAATAGGTGGACTAGATCCTTTTACCTTTTCTGAATAATAGTGGTAGGACCATGTCAGAGTGATTCTTTAATTGAAACATGCTTTGGTGTTTCAGGCCCTCAGGCCTTTCATTACGGTATGACTATAAGAAAAGGTTGATAAATCCTATCATTGTATTAGTTATTTAGGAATATTATTGAGGACCTTTTTTAACCACATTATTCAATGTGGCTCTGGTGTGAAACCCATTTCACTATTTCACATTGGAATCCAGAAAGCTCAGAGTCAAATTCAAATCTTAATCACAGGCATTGAAGAGGTCTTTTTAGGCTACCTGTACTCTAATATCTCTGGTCCTGGAGTTTAAAAAACAATTCATTGATTTTCAGTTTCTGGTTTCATACATACAGAGCTTAGAGTTGCCACTCTATCCTAAAAACAAGTAAAAAATTGAACAGATTGAAAAATCAACTTTCCTTAGGTCCATCAGAGAGCTGAGGATGCAACCAAACTGCTCAACCCAAGACTAAAGAGACAGGCAAATGCAGGGAGTCATGGCTTGTCAGAAAAGAGACTCGGGAGAGGAAACAGACATGGGAACAACAGCTAGAGTAAGAAAACTTGAACTGTAATTTGTGAATTGCTAGAGGCTTAGTGTGGACAAATTTGAGTCAAAAACTCCAGGGGGCCTCCCACATTTTTGTCAGTTTTATCTCCAGGAGTTTAACCAGGTTTTCACAGTAAATATCAGAGAAAATGTCCTTATGCTTCTCGAAGGGAAGGGGAAAAGAAGCCATTTTGAAATATGCCAGAGCACTCCATTCTTCTTAATAAGGCCCACATGGGAAACTAGTTAACCAGAGCCCCACCTGCTGGGCTATTATCAGAGCCTAATTGACCTGGGGGAAGGCACGTACTCAACTCCAGTCAGCTTTAACTTTTCACATGAGAAAGGAAAATACCCAAATTTAGCCCACTTTAGCCATCCTGTCCCACCTAAGGGAGATGGGAAATGAAGAATCACTAGTGAAGTGCCTAGACCAGAGTCACAGGCTCATAAAAGACTGAGACCTGATTATAAAACTATAGAATGCTTCCCCTTGCCCACACCTTATCACCACATTACTAAAGACCTATTTACAACAGTTTCTTTTGCCTGGTTCATCATGCTTAGCTACCAAGAAAAAACTACAAGAGAAAGGAAATAAAGTTTAGCACCACAAGAAAATCACCAAACCACAGGTGTAAATAATAACAGAGGATCTAAAGACAGATCCTCTAAAAACCAGAAAATGATTGACAAAATTATAATCTCAATAATAACCTTTATTGCAAATGAATCAAGTTCTTCAATTAAAAGTTAAACAGTGGCTGAATGGATTTTTTAAGAAGACCCAACTATATGGTGCCTCCAAGGGAATCATCTCACTATTAAAGACAAACATAGACTGAAAGTGAAGAGATGGAAAAAGATATTGCATGCAAATGGAAATCAGAAGTGAACAGGAGTATTCATACTTAGATAAAATAGACTCTCAGTTAAAAACTATAAAAAGAGACAAGACTATTATATAATGATAAAAGGCTCAACTCAACAAGAGGATATAACAATTATATATGCACAAATACTGGAGCACCCAGATACATAAAGCAAATATTATTAGATCTAAAAGGAAGAATAGAGTGAAATACCATAATATTAGGAAACTTCAACACCCCACTTTCAACAACGGACAGATCATTTAATCAGAAAATCAACAAAGAGACATCAGACATAAACTTCAAAACAGACAAAATAGACTTAACAGACATTTACAGAACATTCTATCCAAAAGCTTCAGAATACACAGTCTTCTCAATTGTATATGGAACATTCTCCAGGATAGATCACCACAGAAGTAAACAAAATAGAGACAAAAAATAATTCACAAAAATGGAAAAAACAATCCTAAAATTCAAGTGGAACCACAAAAATACTGAATAGCCAAAGCAAACCTGAGCAAAAAGCAAAAAGCTTGAGACATCCTACAACCTGAGTTCAAAATATGCTATGAAGATATAGTAGCTAAAACAACATGGTCCTGGCATAAAAACAAACATGTAACTCAATGGAATAGAATAAAGGGCCCGTAAATAAATGCATGTACCTACAGCCAACTGATTTTCAACAAAGGTGCCAAGAACACAAATTGAGGGAAAGACAGTCCCTAAAACAAATGGTGCTGAGAAAGTTAAATATCCACGTGCAGAAGAATGAGACTAGACCTCTACCTCTTGCCAAATGCAAACATCAACTCAAAATGGATTGAAGACTTAAATGTAAAACCCCCAATTATTAAACTACCAGAAGAAAACATAGGGAAACACTTTATGACTTGGATTGGGCAGGGATTTTTTGAATAAGATCTAAAGAGCACCGGCAACAAACATAAAAATAGACAAATGGGATTAAATCAAACTGAAACACTTTTGCACAGCAAAGGAAACCATACAGTGATGATGCAGCCTACAGAATGGGAGAAAATACTTGCAAACTACATACCTGACAAGGGGTTAATACCCAGACTTCCAAAGTATTTAGGAGACTTAACTGTAGAAAAATAAACAACTAAATTTAAAAAATGGCTAAAATACCCCAATAGATATTTATCAAAAGAAGACATTCAAATGGCCAACAGGTACATGGAAAAATGCTTGTCATCACTAATCATCAGGAAAATGCAAATCCAAACCATAATGACATACTACTTCACTTCGGTGAGAATGGCTATAATCAAAATGACAACAGAAACAAGTGTTGGTGAGGATGTGGAGACAAGGGAACACAAACACATTGTTGGTGGAATTGTAAATTAGTACAGCCACTATGGAAAACTGCATGGAGATTCCTCAAAAAATTAAAAACAGAAATACCATATGATCCAGCCATCCCACTACTGGGTATATATTCAAAGGAAAAGAAATTACTATGTCAAAGAGGTATCTGCACTCTCATGTTTATTGCAGCACTATTAACAATATCCAAGATATGGAATCATTACAAGTGCCCAACAATCCAAAAATGGATGAATAGATAAAGAAAATATGGTGTATATATACACAATGGAAATACTATTCGGTCATGATGTGATTAAAATTCTGTTATTTGCAACAACATGGATGAACCCAGAGGATAACATGTTAATTAAAATAATCCAGATGTAGAAAGACAAATACTGCATGGTCTTACTCATTTGTGGAATGTAAAACAAAACAAAAAAACCCAAAACTTGATATCATAGAGAGCAGAACAGTGGTTGCCAGAGAAATGATAAATACATGGGGTTAATAGATATGCTAATGCTCATGCTAATACATGAGCTTTCTGGATCTATGGGTAGGTGTCTGACATTAATTTGTTAAAATCCTCAGTTATTTTTTTCAATGAATGTCAGACACCTACCCATAGATCCAAGAAGCTCAAAGAATGCCAAAAGGATAAATACCAGAAAATCCATACCTAGGCATATATCTTTCAAACTATAGAACATCAAAGATAAGGGAAAATACTGCAAAAAGCCAGAGGAAAAAAGATATTACCTTTAGAGGAGTAAAAACAGAAATTACATCTGACTCTCTTCAAAATCATCCAAGGAAGAAGATAGTAGAGCAAACTATTTTAAATAATCTCAACAGCCTAGAATTCTGTGTCCTGCAAAATTATCTTTCAAAAGTGAAGGGAAATTAAGACTTTCTCAGACAAACAAAAACTGAAGAAAGTTTTTACCTAGTAGACCTGCCTTGAAGGAAATGTTAAAACAAGTTCTTTAGAGAGAAGGAAAAATAAAATAGGTCAGAAATAGGTCTACATAAAGAAAGGAATCATATCAAAGAAGGAATAAGTGAGAGTAAAATGAAAACTTTTATTTTTCTTATTCTCAATTGATCTTACAGATGACTGTTCTAAATGATAATAGCAACAATGTATTTGAATATGTGTGTTTCCATATTACTCACATATCTTGAGTGTGTATATATTAATATAATATACACACATATATATGTGCTCACATAGAAGTGAAATAAATGACAGCAATGATGCAAGGGATCAGAGGGAGGAATTAGGATTATTTTATTGTTATAAAGTATTCGCACTACCCTACCTGTGAATTGGTATGTTATTTGAAGGTAGATTTAAATTAGTTGTAAATGTATAGTAGAAGGTTTAGGGCAACCACCATAAAAAGTAAAATAAGAAGAAGAGAGCTGAAGGAGAAGAGGAGGAGGAGGAAGAGGAGGACAAGGAAGATGAAGAAGAAAAAGAGGAAGAGGAACTAATATGCAAGAAAAATAGAAAATGGAAAAAATGCTCAAATCACAAAAGGCAGAAAAAGAGTGGAAGATAAAACTAGGAACAAAGAATAAGATCAAGAAATAGAACATAGTAATATGATAGATATTAATCAAGCTATATCAATAATAATTTAGAGTGGCAATGATCTAAATGCAGCAATTAAAAGACAAGGATTGTCAGAGTGGATTCTAAAACAAGACCCAGCTGTATGTTGTCTGTAAGAAACACACTTTCAATATAAACTCGCATACTAATTAAAAGTAAATGTGTGAAGAAAAATATACCATGCAAACATGAATAAAAATAAAATAAGAGAAGACACATTAATTTCAGACAAAGCGGCTCTCAAAGCAAAAGAAGTTATTGGGGATAAAGAAGGGCATTACATGATGAAAAATTGGTCAACTGTCTAAGAAACGTAATAATTCTTAGTGTGTATGCACCTAACAACAGAGTATCAAACTAGATAAAGCAAAAATCGATAGAAGTGCAAGGAGAAATAGATGAATCCATTATCATAGTTGGATAACTCAACACCCCTTTATCAGAAATGGACAAATCTAGTAAGCAGAAAATAAGTAAAAACGAAGTTTAATTCAATAACACCATCAATCAACTGGATATAATTTGATTTCCATAGACTATTTATTTCAACAATTGTAGAATACATATTCTTCTCAAGCTCACATGGAAAATTCACCAAGGTAGAACATATTCTGGGCCATGAAATCCACCTGAACAAATTTAAAAGCATAAAAATTAATGTCTGCTTCTGATGACAATAGAATTAAATAATAATCAATAGCAAAAGTATAACTAAAAAATTCCAAAATATGTGGAGGTTAAGCAATATGCTTCTAAATAACACATGAGTCAAAGAAGAAATCTCAAGAGAAAAAATATTCTGAATTAAATAAAAATAAAATCACAATTTATCAAAATTTGGGATTCAGTGAAAGTGCTTAGAGGGAAATGTATAGTCTTGTGTGCATATATTAGAAAAGAAAAAAAGATCTAAAATCAATAACCTAAGCTTCCACCTTAAGAATCTAGGAAAAAAGGAGCATATTATGTTCAATTTAAGCAGAAGAAAGAAAGGAAGAATAAGAATTGAAGAAGAAATCAATGAAATTGAAAATGGGAAATCAATAGAGAAAATCAACAAAACCGAAACCTGACACTTTTAAAAAGTCCATAAAATTTATAAGCCCCTAGCCAAGCAAACTAAGAAAAAAAGAAGGATACACATTAGTAATATTGGAAATGAAAGAGTAGATATCACAACGGGTCCTATGACCATTAAATGGATGATAAAGAAATACTAAGAGCAACTCTATGCCTACAAATGTGACAATTTAGATCCAATAGACCAATTTCTCAAAAGATACAATCTGCCAAAACTCACACTCACACACAAATGAACAATCTTAATAGACTATAGCTATTAAAGAAATTGAGTCAACAATTCATATGCTTCCAAAACAGGAAGTACTAGGCCCACATGGCTCCACTGGTGAATTCTACCAAACATTCAATGAAAAAACGTGTCAATTACTACAACCTTTTTCAGAGAAGAGTGTTTTTTCCTAATTCATTCTATGAAGCCAGCATTACCCCAATACCAAAATTAGGCAAAGACATTCCAAAAAAACAAAACTACAGAAAGAGGCAGGTCAAGATGGTAAAATATAAGGTTACACCAATTGTCTCCTCTGCAAGCACACCAATTTAACAACTTTCCACACACAAAAATAAACACCTTCATAAGAACCAAAAAAATCAGGTGAGCACTCACAGTACCTGATTTTAACTTCATATCACTGAAAGAGACACTGAAGAGGTTGGAAAAACAGTGTTGAATTACCAGTGCCACCCCTCCCCACATCCCCTGGCAGTGGCAACGTGGTGCAGAGAGCATTTCTGTGAAGCAGGAGAGGGAGTGCGCAGCAACTGAGAAGCACTGAACTCAGTGCTGCCCCATTATAGCAGAAAGCAAAACCAGAACAACTCAGCTGATGCTCACTCACAGAGGGAGAATTTAAACCAGCCGTAGCCAGAGGGGAATCACTGATCCCAGCAGTCATTTTTTTCTTTTTTTTTGAGGTGGAGTCTCGCTCTGTAGCCTAGGCTGGTGTGCAGTGGCGTGATCTCAGCTCACTGCATCTATGCCTTCCAGGTTCAAGCTATTCTCCTGCGTCAGCCTCCTGAGTAGCTGGGATTACTCTCCACCACGCCCGGCTAATTTTTTGTATTTTTAGCAGAGATGGGGTTTCTCCATGTTGGGCAGGCTGGTCTCGAACTCCTGACCTCAGGTGATCTGCCCTCCTTGGCCTCCCAAAGTGCTGGGATTACAGGCATGAGCCACCGCGTCTAGCCGATCCCAGCAGTCTTAACTTGAGTTCCCACAAACCTTGTCACCTTGGGCTAAAGGGACCTGGGCCCCTAAATAAACTTGAAAGGCAGTCTAGGCAACAAGGACTGCAACTCCTATGTGAACCCTAGTGCTGAACTGGGCCCAGAACCAGTGAACTTGGGGGGACACATGACCTACTGAGATACCAGCTGGGGCAGCTAAGGGAGTGCAGGTATCACCCCTTCCCAAACCCCAGGCTGCATAGCTTGTGCCTCCAAAAGAGACCTCTTCCTTCTGCTTGAGGAGAGGAGAGGGGAGAACTTTGTTTTGCATCTTGGATACCAGCTCAGCCACAGTAAGATAGGGCACTGGTCAGAGTCATGAGGCCCCCATTCCAGACTCCAGCTACCAGATGACATTTCTAGACATGCCCTAGGCCAGAAAGAAACACACTGTCTTGAAGAGAAGGACTCTGTCATGGCAAGATTCATCACCCGCTAACTGAAGAGCCTTTGGGCCCTGAATAACTAGCAGTAATACTAACAGACTGCACTGAGGGCCTTGAATGAGACACTGAGACTTGCTGGCTTCAAGTGAGATTCAGCATGTTCCCAGCTGTGATGGCTATGGGGCAACATTCCTTCTGCTTCAGAAAAGGAGAGGGAAAAGTAAAGGAGACTTTGTCTTGCACCTTAGATACTAGCTCAGCCACTGGGGGGGTAGAGCATCAAGCAGGCCCTTGAGGTCCCCGATTCCAGAACTTGGCTCTTGGATGGCATTTCTGGACCTGCTCTGGGCCAGAGTGGAGCCCACTCCCACTGGGATTCCCTGAAGGGTGAATCCCAGGCCAGGCAGCAATGACCGGAAGCTGACTTAGCTCTTGGACCTTAAGGGAAGATCAGCGGTAGCCTGGCAGTGCTCCCCTGTGTTCTGGTGGTGGCAGTGGCCATGGGGTGAGGCTCCTCTGCCTTTGGAAAGGGGAAGGAATAGTAGGAAGAACTATGTCTTGTGATTTGAGTGCCAGATCAGCCACAGTACAATAGAACTCCAGGTCGACTTCTAAGGTTTTTTACTTTAGTTCTTAGCTCCTGGATGGCACCTCTGAACCCGCCTGGGCACTGAGGGAACTGATGCCAGGGAAAAGGCACAGACATGGCTGGGTTTGCCACCTGCTAATTGTAGAGCCCCAGGCCTTGAGGGAATGTAGGTGGTAGCCAGGGAGTGGTTACAGTAGGCCTTGGGTGAAACCCAGTGCTGTTCTGGCTTCAGGTCTGATCCAGCACAGTCCTAGTGGTGGTGGCCCTAGAAGTACTGGTGTCACTTTATCCCCAGCTCCAGATGGCTCAAAACAGAGAGAGAGAGATTTTGGTTCTTAAGGAGAAAATGAAGAGAGCAAAGTCTCTGCCTAGTAATCCAGAGAATTCATCCATACCTTGTCCAAGACCACCAAGTTGGGACCTCTATTAGTCTACAAGAACCACAGTGTTACTGGCCTTGGGACACCCCCTAAAGCAGATACAGTTTAGATCACAACACCTAAGTCCTTTTGAATATCTGGAAAGCCTTCCCAGGAAGGCTAGGTACAAACAAGCACAGACTATGAAGACCAGACAGACACAGACAAACATCTGCAAGTATCAAGACCATCCAGGAAAAAAACGACCTCACAAAATGAACTAAATAAGGCACCAAGGACCAATTTTGGAGAAAGAGAAATAGGTGTCCTTTCAGACAGAGAATTCAAAATAGCTGTTTTGAGGAAACTCAAAGAAATCCAAGATAACACAGAGAAGGAATTCAGAATTCCATCAGATAAATTTAACAAAGACTGAAATAATTAAAAAGGATTACACAGAAATTCTAGAGCTGAAAAACACAACTGGCATAACGAATAATGCATCAGAGTGTTTTAATGGCAGAACTGATCAAGCAGAAGAGAAAATTAGTGAGCTTGAAGACATGCTATTTGAACATACACACTCACAGGAGACAAAAGAAAAAAAGAAAAAAACAATGAAGCATGCCTACATGATCTAGAAAATAGCATCAAAAGGGAAAAATCTAAGAGTTATTAGCCTTAAAGGAGAGGTAGAGAAACAGATATCAGTAGAAAGTTTACTTGAAGGGATAATAACTGAGAACTTCTAAAACCTAGAGAAAGATATTAATATCAAAGTATAAGAAAAATATAGAAGACCAAGCAGATTTAACTCAAAGAAGACTACCTCAAAGGGTTCAACTCAACAAGAACAGCTCACTGTCCTAAATATTTATGCACCCAATACAGGAGCACCCAGATTCATAAAGCAAATTCTTAGAGACCTACAAAGAGACTTAGACTCCCACACAATAAGAGTGGGAGGCTTTAACACCCCTCTGACAATATTAGACAGATCATCGAGACAAAAAATTAACAAAGATATTCAGGACCTGAGCTCAGCTCTGGATCAAGGGGACCTAATAGATATCTACAGAACTCTCCACCCTAAAACGACGGAATATACATTCTTCTCATTGCCACACAACACTTTCTCTAAAATTGATCACATCATAGGAAGTAAAACACTGCTCAGCAAATGCAAAAGAGCTGAAATCATAACAAACAGTCTCTCAGACCACAGCGCAATCAAATTAGAACTCAGGATTAAGAAATCCACTCAAAACCACACAACTACATGGAAATTGAACAATTTGCTCCTGAATGACTCTTGGGTAAATCATGAAATTAAGGCAGAAATCACGAAGTTCTTTGAAACTGAAGAAAACAAAGACAACATACCAGGATTTCTGGGATGCAGCTAAAGCAGTGTTTAGAGGGAAATTTCTAACACAAAATGCCCACATGAAAAATCTAGAAATGTCTCAAGTTAACAACCTAACATCTCAAATAAAAGAACTAGAGAACCAAGAGCAAACAAACCCCAAAGCTAGTAGAAGACAAGAAATAATGAAGATCAGAGCCAAACTGAAGGAGATAAAGACATGAAAAACTCTTAAAAAAATCAACAAATCCAGGAGCTAGTGTTTTGAAGAAATTAATAAAATAGACAACTAGCTAAGCTAATAAAGAAAGAGAGAAAAATCAAATAAACAAAACACAATCAGAAATGATAACAGAGATATCACCACTGACCCTACAGAGATACAAACAAACATCAAAGAATATTATAAACACCTCTCTGCACATAAACTAGAAAATCTAAAAGAAATGAACAGTGTTCTGGACAAATACACCCTCCCAAGACTGAACCAGGAAGAAATTGAATCCCTGAATAGACCAAAAATGTGCTCTGAAATTGAGGCAATAATGGCCTACCAACCAAAAAAAAACCTCAGACCCAGACAAATTCACAGCTGAATTCTACCAAAGGTAGAATTCAAAGAGAAGGTGGTACCATTTCCACTGAAACTATTCCAAAAAATTGAAAGGGAAAGGAATAGAAGGAACTTTTTGGAACACATCAAAAAAATTGAAGAGGAGGGACTCTTCCCTAATTCATTGTATGAGGCCAGCATCATCCTGATACCAAAACCTGACGGAAATACAACAAAAAAGAAAAACTTCAGGCCAATATCCCTGATGAACATAATGCAAAAATCCTTAAGAAAATACTGGCAAACTGAATCCAGCAGCACATCAAAAAGCTTATCCACCATGATCAAGTTGGATTGATCCCCGGGATGCAAGTTTGGTTTGACACACAAAAATCAATAAATGTGTTTCATCTCAAAAACAGAAATATAGACAACAACCACATGATTATCTCAATAGATGCAGAAAAGGCCTTTGATAAAATTCAATATCCCTTTATGTTAAAAACTCTCAATAAACTGGGTATTGGGGGAACATATCTCAAAATAATAAGAGCCATATATGAAAACCCACAGCGAATATCATACTGAATAGGCAAAAGCTGGCAGCATTCCTCTTGAAAACTGGCACAAGACAAGGATGCCCTCTCTCACCACTCCTATTCAACATAGTATTGGAAGTCCTGCCCAGGGCAATCAGGCAAGAGGAGGAAGTAAAGTGTATTCGAATAGAAAGAGAAGTCAAATTATATTTGTTTGCAGATTACATGATCCTATATCTAGAAAACTCCATAGTCTCAGCCCCAAAGTATCTTAAGCTGCTAAACAACTTCAGCAAAGTCTCAGGATATAAAATCAATGTGTAAAAATCGCTAGCATTCCTATACACCACCAACAAGCAAGCAGAGAGCCAAATCATAAATGAACTCCCATTCACAATTGCTACAAAAAGAATAAAATACCTAGGAATACATCTAACAAGGAAAGTGAAGGACCTCTTCAAGGGGAGCTACAAACCACTACTCAGAGAAATCAGAGAGTATACAACAAATGGAGAAACATTCCATGCTCATGGACAGGAGGAATCAATATTATGAAAATAGCCATACTGCCCAAAGCAATTTATAGATTCAATGATGTTCCCATTAAGTTACCACTGACATTCTTCACAGAATTAGAAACAACTATTTTAAAATTCATATGGAACTTAAGAAAAGCCAGAATAGACAAGTCAATCCTAAGCAAAAAGAACAAAGCTGGAGGCATCATGCTATCTGACTTCAAACTATACTACAAGGCTACAGTAAACAAAACAGCATGGTACAGGTACAAAAATGGACACATAGACCAATGGAATAGAATAGAAAACTGAAAAATAATGCCATATACCTACAGCCATCTGATCTTCTGCAAACCTGACAAAAACAAACAATGGGGAAAGGGTTTCCTACTTAATAAATGGTGCTAGGAGAACTGGCTAGCCATAGGCAGAAAATTGAAATTGATTTCATTTTTATATAGGGTTGGAGGTCTAGTTTCATTCTCCTGCATATGGACACCCAGCTTTCACTGCACCATTTATTGAAGAGACTCTCTTTTCCCTAGTATTTGTTCTCGGCAGTTTTGTCAAAAATTAGTTGGCTGTAAATATGTGGATTAATTTCTGGGTTCTCTCTTCTGTTCCATTAGTCTTTGCATCTGTTTTTATGCCAGTACCATGCTGTTTAGGTTATTATAGCTTTCTAGTATATTTTGAGGTCTGGTAGTATGATGCCTCAAGCTTTGTTCTTTTTGCTCAGGATTGATTTGGCTCTTCAGGGTCTTTTGTGGTTCCATTTGAGTTTTAAGATTTTTTTTCTATTACTGTGAAGAATGTCATTCATACTTTGATAAGGATTGCATCAAATCTGTAGATTGCTTTGGATAGTATTGTCATTTTAACAATATTAGTTTTTCTGATCCATTAGCATGGGATGTCTTTACATTTCTTTTCTTCAATTTCTTTCATCAGTATTTTGTAGTTTTCCTTGTAGAGGTCTTTCACTTCTTTTTTTTATTATTATTATACTTTAAGTTTTAGGGTACATGTGCACAATGTGCAGGTTTGTTACATATGTATACATGTGCCATGTTGGTGTGCTGCACCCATTAACTCGTCATTTACATTAGGTATATCTCCTGGATCTTTCACCTCTTTAGTTAAATTTGTTCCTAAGTATTTTATTTTATTTTATTTTTTGTAGCTATTGTAAATAAGATTGCCTTTTAAATTTCTTTTTCAGCTAGTTTATTGTTAGTGAATAAAAATACTACTGATTTTTATATATTAATTTTGTATCCTGCAACTTTACTGAATATCAGTTCTAAGAGGTTTTCTGCTAGAGTCTTTTGGTTTTGCTATATATAAGATTATGTCATCTGCAAACAGACAATTTGACTTTCTCCTTTCCAGTTTGTATACTAGAAGAAAACATAGGGAAACACTTCAGGACACTGGTCTAGGAAAATATTTTATGAATACGACCTCAAAAGCACAGGCTGAAATAAACAAATGGGATTATGTCAAACTAACAACCTTCCACACAGCAAAGAAAACGATCATTAACGGAGTGAAAAGACAGCCTACTGAATGGGAGAAAAATATTTGCAAGCTACTCATTCAACAGGGGATTAATATTCAGAATATGCAAGGAACTCAAACATCTTTTTTTTCCTTGATGGAGTCTTGCTCTGTCACCCAGGCTGGAGTGGAGCAGTGTCACCATCTTAGCTCACTGCAACCTCTGCTTTCTGGGTTCAAATGATTCTCGTGCCTCAGCCTCCCAGATAGCTGGGATTACAAGCATGCACCACCTGGCCCGGCTAATTTTATATTTTTAGTAGAGATGGGGTTTCACCAAGTTGGCCAGGCTGGTCTTGAACTCTTGACCTCAGGTGATCCGCCTGCTTCATCCTCCCAAAGTGCTGGGATTACAGGTGTGAGCCACTGCACCTGGCCATGGAACTCAAACATCTCAACAACAAAAAAACAAACAATCTGATTTTAAAATAGGCAAATGATCTGAACAGATGTTTCTCAAAACAAGACATACAAATGATCAAAATACATGAAAAAATCCTCAACATCATTGATGTTTCAGGGAAATGCAAATCAAAACCATAATGAGATGTTATCTTACCCCACGCAGGATGGCTATTATCAAAAAGACAAAAAAAAATTGCTGCTGAGGATGCAGAGTAAAGGAAACTCTTATACACTGTTGATGGAAATGTAAACTAGTATAGTCACTATGGTGAACAGTATGGAAGTGCCTCAAAGAACTACAAATATTACTATCACAGGATCCAACAATCCCACTACTGGCCATTTATCTAAAGGAAAGGAAAGCAAGTATCCAAGAAATACCTGTGCCCACAACTTCATTGCAGCACTACTCACAATATCCAAATAAGGAATCAATCCAGGTGTCCAACAACAGACAAGTGGATAACAAAAATGTGATACATATACACAATGGAATACTATTCAAGTGTAAAAAAGAATGAAATCCTCTTATTCATGGCAACATGGGTGGAACTGGAGGATATTATGTTAGGTGAAATAAGCCAGGAATAGAAAGTAACACTGCATATTCTCACTGATTTGTGGAAATGAAAAAATATTGATCTCAAAGAAATAAAAAGCAGAACAGGGGATACTAAAGGCTGGGAAGAGCAAGAAGAAGGGAGAGATAGAGAGAGATTAGTTAAAGGATATAAAATTGCAGCTAGATAGGAGGAATAAGTTCTAGTGTTCTATAACACTGCAGGATGATGATAACATATTATATAGACTCAAATAGCTAGGAAGAGAATATTGAATGTTCCTAACACAAATAAATGATAAATGTTTGAGATGGAAGATATAATTACTCTGATCTTTTCGTTATATATTATATGTGTTGAAACATCACTACATACCCCCTGAATATATACAATTGTTATTTTTCAATTAAAAATAAAAATAAAAAAGACGTGCAAAAAATAAATAAAAAAAGAATAGCCAAAATCCAGAACAACACCAAAAGCAGGTAAATATATGGAACAAGATATGGAACAACATGAACTTTCATTCATTGCTTATAAGAATGCAACATTATATAGACATTTGGAAGACACTTTGGCATTGTTTTACAAAACTAATCCTACCATACAATGCAACAATAATACTCCTTTGTATTTTACCCAAAGGAATTGAAAGCTTATGTTTTCAATCCTTTACACAAAAACCTGCACACAACGTTTTTAGCAGCCTTATTCATAATTGCCAAAACTTGGAATCAAAAGATGTCCTTCAATAGGTCAACAGATAGATAAACTGTGGTTCATCCAGACAATGGAATATTATTGAGCACAAAAAAGAAGTGAACGATCAAACATTGAAATGATATGGAGGAAACTTAAAAGCACGTTATTCAGTGAAAGAAGCCAATCTGGAAAAGCTACATACAGCATGATTCTAACTATATACGACATTCTGGAAAAGGCAACACTATGGAGACAGTAATAATGTCAGTGGTTTCTAGGAGTGAGGGTAGAGCAAGGGATGAATAGATGGAGCACAGAGAATTATTAAGGCAGTAATCTTTATGGTACTATAATGAAGGATATATATCATTATACATTTGCCCAAACTCATGGAATGTCCAATACCAAGAGTGAACCCTAGTGTAAACTATGGACCTTGGGTGATTATGATGTGTCAGTGTAGGTTCATCAACTGTAACAAATATATGACCCTGTGGGGGATGTTGATCACAGGGGAGGCTATTTATGCATGTGTGGGGGCAGAGACATATGAGAAATCTCTATACCTTCTTTTCAATTTTGCTATGTACCTAAAATTGTTCTTGAAAAAATCCTTTAAGGCAAAAAATAAATTTAAAAAAATAGAATAAAAAACTCCTAAACCAAATTTATTCAGATTTCTATTTTATAACATTTACCTTAAATCCTCTGTAGAAAAACTAAGAATATACATTAATAAATAATTCTCATCTCTTCCTCTGGCTTCTCTAATTTCTTATCACTTAGATATTTCCTTCAGATGTCATTTTATTCACATGCCTTCTTAGGCTCTGTTTATCTCTCATATAAAATCATTGATTAATAATTTGTGCACATATGTAGAAGGGAAGGGAGGTCTTTTCTTCTTCCTCCTATCACAACCTCTAATTTTTGCATGTAGATTTTGTTTGGCTTGTAGATGTTACTTAAGAAGAGCAAATCTACTGTGATAACTGCTACCCCATATCATACATTACTTCTTTCTATTCGTGGTCTTAACTTTGTTGGTGAGAACTCTATTTTATGTTTTCTGTATTTCTCTTTTCTTTTGCCTACTTTACTCTGCAATATGCCATATTTTACCTTGTGGGCATGAGTTCCAAACAAAATTCTTCCTGGATGACTGTGTGGGTACCCTACCTAAAAGCAATTAGTTATTGCAACCCAAATTACCAACACAATATAACTGGATCATGCTAATTTTTGGTTTAGTACTTTACTGTAGGTTATTGAAGCTGTTTGGCATTTTAATTTTTCAAAATGCTTCAGGAGGTTTTTGATCACTTTATAATAAAACTTTATTAAGCAAGATACACATATAACATTATTTTACAAAAGAGCTGAGACACTGGCATGTGGTTTGGTATAAGAGTGAAGGCCATGGCCTCTGAAATGGGACTACTTGGGTTTGAGCTCTAGCTTTTTCACTTAACTACTATGTGAGCTTGAATAAATTACTTAATCCTTCTGTATTTCAGTTATTGATCTTGTTTTGTAATCTGTAAAATGGGCATTAAAATAGTACTTTTAGCTCATAGATTGATGCATATGTATTATTACTTTGGTGATTTTTAATTGTCATAATAAAACAGTCAAAACTAGTCTGTAGTAAACTTGTACATAATTACATTTAATTGCTCTATCTTCTTGCCTCATGGCTCTTTGTTGTTGAATTTCCATTATCCAGAGAGAGCTGTCCCTTGCTCTCTCGCTCTTTACTTGGACTTTGGAGAACAACAACAAAAAGCTACCATGTGTAAAATGAAGCTAAAAAGAAGTTGATGATTTAAATAAATGAGCATGTTTCTTATAAAATTCAGGAAGGATAAAGAACTCCACTCAGTTCATTAACCAGTTACTAAATGGTGTTTGCATTATCCACATGAATACTAAATGAATTCATTATGATATGTGCTATTACAGTGAATAGCAAATGAACTCATAACTATGGGCTCCATAAAAATATTCCTAATGGAGAAGTTATGCATTGTCAAGCTGCTTTCTAGAGTAACTGGGGCTTATATTGAAATGGGCAAAATAAATAATATGAGGCACAACATTGGTTAGTTGGAGTTATTTTAGTAGGTTCTTTAGAACTGAAAATACAGTTTATGTCTTGATAAAATGTCAGTGGCCTCAGATCACTCCATTATTTGTTTATGTCCTTTATTACTGATGGCTGATGTCTAGCTTTGTCTGTGATTCAAAGACAAAGATACAATTATATGCAGCTGGTCAACAGGAAAGCTTTGGTCTGTGATAAGACAGACTATGTGAAAAAGTCTTGAAGAGTTTGCAACCTTTTCTGCTCAGAGACTATCCAAAGAAATGGTTAGCACACTTCATCAATCTCAGGTCAGTTGCTATACATAAAATCCAGTGAACCCCCTCATCTGCCAACTTTTTCTCAGTATAAGAATAAAATAATTTTTAGAATTAACAGCATGATTGGTGTACCCCTGAAGTAATATTTGGATTTTATTGACCATCATAAATAGATTATGAAATCATGGCAGCAACAAAAGCACAGATGGTGTCTTATAAACCTGCAAACTACAAGTGATGAGCCCTAAGACGAGTCAGAGGGCACTCGTGGGCCATCAGTGGTCTAGAAACCACACTACACACTATGATAACCTCTCATTTAAATGCAGAATTAATTTCTTAGGAAAAAAATGACACAGCATCTTGGTTTCATGGTAAAATTAAAATACTTCCTGTGCTGAATTTTCAAGAATCACCAGTTTTATAAGTAATCCTAATCTATGGATTACATTTGAGCCTATGAAAGTAAAATTTAGCAAGAAGTATAAACAGTAGAAATAGAAAGTAAAACTTCACTAATGTAAGCAGTTTAACAATTCAGATAACATTACTTGCAGGCCCACAATGCCCAAGGCATTATGGGGAATGCACAAATAAGACTGTATTAGACTTCCAGAAATTTTTAATGTAGTCTATCATGTACCTATTTAAACATGATATACATTAAACTGGAATAAGACTTAGAACCAATATACACATATGCAGTGTGAATAATAGCAGCAAAATAATAGCAAACATGTACATAACACTTTCTATGTGCCAGGAACTGTTTTAAGTAAGCACTGTACATAAATTTATTCATTTAGTACCCACAATAAGCCTGTGCTGTGGGCCCTATTATTATCTCCAATTTACATGAGAGGATACTGAGCTGCAGATGGTTAAGTAACTCAGAGGTAGGTAACTGACCACAACATTGTCATGCTTTACTTCCATGATGGAGGGTTGTTGCTGAGAAGCAGCTGCTGCATGTAGAGAATGATGAGATTGTAGAAGAGGGGAGAGCCACAAGATTCATGATACCGTGAGAAAGAATTTTTGCAGATTAGAGAGATCATGGAGCCTAGAGAAGGATTTTCCAAAAAAGGGTTTTTTTTTTTTTTTTTTTGGTTTGACAATTAGAACATCATGGTGTTTTTAAGTAAGTGGCACGTGGAAGTAGTAGGACATGGAAGTTATTTCCAGATTGTTTCTAGTTAAGGAAATACGAGGGCATAAAAAATTAAAGATAGTTTTTGAAACCTTTTTTTTTTTTAAGAAGTTTGGTCTTGAGTGCCAAGGGAGTAGGGATGAAATTAGTTTTCGGGTATTAAAAAAGTAGAAGGAGTTTTACAAAATAAGCATGAAGTAGATTTAAGAGTGATCATCAGAGAAGAGTCAATGGAGGGAGAGAGACTGAAGATAAAATCATCCTCTATGAAATCATATGCATACCTTCTAAGCTACTGTTAGCAGAGAAAATTGATAAAAAATACAGCTCTTTGGTTAATTACATTGGCTGGATATCACCATTTTGTGAGGGTCCATATGGTTTGTGGGTCATCTTCCCAGCTCAGAGTCTTCAGATGGTCAAAGGATCAACTTTATTTTTTGTTATGATCCACAGAGGAAAGGAAAAGAGATAATGACCAAGACAAAGAAAGAAGTGAACCCGGGGAGAACCTTCAGGGAATCTAAGAGAAGAGTTTTTTTAAGTTTTTCAATGTGTAGACCATTTTAATATCGTGTCAATGTTTCCTGAAGAAGTTGTTGGCGGTCTTTAAGATTCCTGGACTTTCACCAAAGAGAGTCTTAAAACACACACACACACACACACACACACACACACACACACACACACGCCTCCAATCAATATCATAGAACACAAGAGTTGTAGTTTCAATTTCCTCTATTACTTAAATATATTATATGTATTATGGTTCAAGTACGTTTGATTATTCTTAACTTTGTGAAAACATGGCATTAGAGACTAACTTAATAATGACACATTTCAGGAATGAGAAAGCTTCTAACACAGCACCTAGTAAAATGTTAAATGAATTAAACACAATTAAATGAGATTTGACACGCATTATCTCATTTAACATTCACAAGAATCCTGTGAAGCAGATGTTATTATCCTGTCTTATAGTTGAGGAAACATGTTAATGGCATGCCTAAAATAACAGAGGGGTAAGAGGAAAAGCATGGTCTTGAATGGATTCTACATAACCTACTAGTATTTTCTTATGCATTACATTTGTTTCATTTGTACTTAAAATTGAAAGTGTAAGGCAAGTATAAACTTCAAGGTGCTATTAAAAATTGTATTTTTTAGTGTAATGATGTCTGAAAATTGTTCACAAGTATTTTACTATGGCTTACACCTCAGCAGAAACAGCTCTCAGCACTTTCAAAGTGGGACTATTTTATACAGCCTAAAAATGCTCTCCAATAAGGCTTCTTAGTAGCAACTCCGCTGACAACCTCTTGAATGTAATGTTAAGTAAGACAGAATCTAGTCCGGGCGCAGTGGCTCACGTCTGTAATTCCAGCACTTTGGGAGGCCGAGGCGGGCAGATCATGAGGTCAGGATATCGAGACCACCCTGGCCAACATGTGAAACCCCGTCTCTACTAAAAAAAAAATATATATATATATACACACACAAATTAGCTGGGCGTGGCGGCGGGAGCCTGTAATCCCAGCTACTCAGGAGGCGGAGGCAGGAGAATCGCTTGAACCAGGGAGCTGGAGGTTGCAGTGAGCAGAGATAACGCCACTGCACTCCAGCCTGGGGACAGAGCAAGACTCCATCTAAAAAAAAAAAAAAAAAAGAAAAAAAAAAGAACAGAATGTAAATGGGAAGAAATGTTTTCCTGGGAGAAAAATGATACTGGTCTCTATTTCCCCTCCTGGAGGTAATTGACAATCAATTGCTTAATTGTTCTCAGAATCTTTCCTATTTCTACCATAAATGTCACAATAACAGCACAAATGTACTAATACAATCATTTATTCATTCAACAAACTCTTTTTGAGTAATTATTAGTGGCTAGGCATTGGGATTATCATTTTTGGATACAAAGAAAAATAGAGTACAGAATCCATTACCTCAAGGCTCTTGTTCTCTAGCATGTGTGTCTTAGGTATTTAAACATATGTTCACAGGTACAAAATATTGCACATAGAACTTTAAAATGCATAACAAAAGAAATCATATTTGTGATAACTTAGTATTATGCTCCAAACTAATAGTTGTCACAGATTATTCAAATTCTAAACCTTTCCGGGAAGAAGTGCCGTATACAGCACTTCTCTTCCATCCTCGCATCTCCCTTCCCACCAGTACAATGCCTTGGACTTACGTAAAGTGTAGATTTACTGAGTGCCAGACAAATGCAAAATTGGCTTTTCCTCTGCTCCTTTCTTTTACATGTAAAATGTAGATTCACAAAGCTAATCAGACCCTCACAAGAATGTAACCACTTGTCTCATTGCTTACCCACTCTCCTTTTTTGTTCCCCTCCCGCTTGCTCTTTCCCCTTTAAATATTGAAGCTCCCAAAACCATCTTTTGAAAAAGCACTGGTCACACATCCTGCTATGACTTGCATTTCTTCTTCCCAGGAGTGTCTTCAACCTTGGCAAAATTAACCTCTAATTGATTGAAATTTGCCTCAGTCACTGTTCAGTTTACAAAGTTACCCAGCTCTTCTGCTTAAATCTTTCTCTTAAGCTCCCTTTAACTACCTTTACTGGACTTCTCTACCTTGTTGTTTCTTAGACATCTAAAGTTCAGCATATTAAAAACCAATGTTGTGGGGTTTTTTAAACATAATGATGTCCCTTTATTCATTGTGGTACTTCAAAAACAAAATACATACATTATTAAGAAAATAAAACACAGCAAAGCAGAATTGAACATTTGAGTACTTTTTGCCTCTTCCTTTTCTCTTACCAGAAACCATCTAAAGAGGTAAAGAATGGTAATTGTTTTCTAGATATGTTGAAAATATTTTTTTCTTTTCTTTCCAACTTTTATTTTACTTTCACTGGGTACATGTACAGGTTTGTTATGGATACATTGCATGTCATGGGGGTTTGGTGTGCAGATAATGTTGTTATCCAGGTAATCAGCATAGTACCCAATAGGTAGGTTTTCAGTGCTCACCCTCCTCCCAACCTCCACCCTCAAGTAGGCCCTGATGTCTATTGCTCTCTTCTTTGTCAAGAAACTCAAAGTTTAGCTCCCACTTGTAAGTGAGAACATGTGATATTTGATTTTCTTTTCCAGCATTAATTTGCTTAGGATAATGGCCTTCAGATCCATGCATGTTGCTGCAAAGGATATGATTTCATTATTTTTTATGGCTGCATAGTATTCCATGGTGTATATGTATCATGTTTTCTTTATCTAGTCCAGCATTGATGGGCATTTAGGTTGATTCCATGTCTTTGCTATTGTGAATAATGCTGTGATGAACATATGCATCCATATGTTTTTATGGTGGAAAGATTTATATTCCTTTGGGTATATACCCAGTAATGAGATTGCTGGGTTGAATGGTAGTTTTATTTTAAGTTCTTTGAGAAATCTCTAGACTGTTTTCTACAGTCACTGAACTAATTTACATTCCTGCCAGCAGTATATAAGTGTTCCCTTTTCTCTGCAACCCTGCGAGCATCTGTTATTTTTTGACTTTTTAATAGTAGGCATTCTGACTAGTACAGGATGGTATCTCATCGTGGTTTTCATTAGTGATATTGGTTTCAGTAGTGATATCATGGTTTTCATTAGTGAAATGTGGTTTCGTTGGTGATACTAAGCATTTTTTTCAAATGCTCAATAGTCACGTGTACATGTTCTTTTGAGAATTATCTGTTCATGTCCTTTGCCCACTTTTTTAATGGGGTTGTTAGTTTTTTGCTTGTTGATTTAATTTCCCTATAGATTCTGGATATTAGACCTTTGTTGGATGCATAGTTTGCAACTGTTCTCTCCCTTTCTGTAGGTTTTCTGTTTACTTTGTTGATAGTTTCTTTTGGTGTGCAGAAACTCTTTAATTAGATCCTACTTGTCAATTTTTGTTTTTGTTGCAGTTGCTTTTGGAGTCTTCATCATGAAGTCTCTGCCAGGGCCAATGTCCAGAATACTAGGTTTTCTTCTAGAGTTTTTATAGTTACAGGTTTTACGTTTAAGGCTTTAATCTATTTTGAGTTGATTTTTGTATATGATGAAAGGGAGGGGTCCAGTTTCAATCTTCTGCATATGGTTAGCCAGTTATTGCAGCACCATTTTTGAATAAGAAGTCCTTTCTCTATTGTTTGTTATTGTCTGCTTTGTTGAAAATCACAGAGACATACTAAGTGTCTGTCTTTATTTCTGGGTTCTCTAACCTTTTCTATTGGTGTATATGTCTGTTTTTGTACCAGTACCTTACTGTTTTTATTACTGCAGCTTTGTGATATAGTTTGGAATTGGGTAATGTGATGCCTCCTGCTCTGTTCTTTTTGCTTAGGGTTGCTTTGGCTATTTGGACTCTTTTTTTCTTTCCAAATGAATTTTAGAATTTTCTCTTCTAATTCTGTGAAAAAATGCCATTCATAGTTTGACAGGAATAGCATTGAATATATAAATTGCTTTGGACAAAATGGCCATTCTAACAACATTGATTCTTCCTATCCATGAGTAGGGGATATTTTTTCCATTTGTTTGTGTTGTCTCTGGTTTCTTTCAGCAGTGTTTTGTAATTCTTGTTGTAGAGATCTTTCACCTCCCTAGTTAGCTGTATTCCTAGGTATTTTATTCTTTTTGTGGCTATTGTGAATGGGATTGCACTCTTGATTTGGGTCTCAGCTTGGACATTATTGGTGTATAAAAATGCTACTGATTTTTGTACATTGATTTTGTATCCTAAAACTTTGCTGAGGTTGTTTATCAGATCTAGGAGTTTTTGGAGAGTGATTATGCGGTTTTCTATGTATAGGTTCATACTGTCTGCAAGGACAGATAGTTTGACTTCTCTTCCTATATGGATGTCTTTTATTTCTTTCTTTTGCCTGACTGCTCTGGCTAGGACTTCTAGTAGTATGTTGAACAGGAGTGGTGAGAATAGGCATCCTTGTCTTTTTCTGGTTCTCAAGGTGAATGCATCCAGCTTTTGCCCATTCAGTATGATGTTGGCTGTGGGTTGGCCATAGATGGCTCTTATTATTTTGAGGTATGTCCTTTTGTGCCTAGTTTGTTGAGGGTTTTTAACATGAAAGGGTGTTGAATTATATTAAAAGCCTTTTCTGCATCTATTGAGATGATGAAGTGGTCTTTGTTTTTAGTATTGTTTATTTTATGAATCACATTTATTGATTTGTGTATGTTGAACCAACCTTGCATATCAAGGATAAAGCCTACTTGATTGTGATGGATTAGCTTTTTGATGTGCTGCTGGATTCAGTTTACTTGTATTTTGTTGAATATTTTTGCTTCTATGTTCATCAGGGATATTGCCCTGAGGTTTTCTTTTTTGTTGTGTCTCTGCCAGGTTTTGGTATCAGAATGATGCTGACCCATAGAATGAGTTAGGGAGGAGCTCCTCCTCCTTGAATTTTGGAATTGTTTTGGTAGGATTGGTACCAACTCTTCTTTATATATCTGGTAGAATTCAGCTGTGAATCTGCCTGGTCAATGCCTTTATATGGTCAGTAGGGTTTTTTTTTTGTTATTATTACTGATTCAGTTTTGGAACTAGTTATTGGTCTGGTCAGGTTTTAATTTCTTCCTGTTTAAATCTTGGGAGGTTTTATGTTTCTGGGAATTTATCCATTTCTTCTAGATTTTCTATTTTGTGTACATAGAGGTATTCATAATAGTCACTGGGTTTTTTGTTTTGTTTTGTTTTCTGTGTTTCTGTGGGGTTAGTCTTAATGTCCCATTTGTAATTTCTGATTGTGTTTATTTGGATCTTCTCACCTTTTTTCTTTATTAGTCTAGCTAGCAGTCTGTCAATATTATTTATTCTTTCAAAAAAAAAACCCAACTCGTGGTTTTCTTGATTTTTTATATGTTTTTTTCTTACCTCCATTTCATTCACTTCAGTTCTGATATTGGTTATTCCTTTTCTTCTGCTAGGTTTGGGGTTGCTTTGTTTTCATTTTTCTAGTTCCTCTAGGTGCGATATTATGTTGTTAATTTGAGATCTTTCTAACTTTTTGATGTGGACAGTTAGCAATGTAAACATTCCTCTTAATGTTGCTTTAGCTGTGTCCCAGAGATTCTTGTATCCTGTATCTTTGTTTTTGTTAGTTTCAAAGAATTTCTTGATATGTGCCTTAGTTTCATTGTTTACCCAAAAGTCATTGGAAGCAGATGTTTAATTTCCACGTAAATGTATAGTTTTGAGAGTTCTTCTTTGTATTGATTTCTATTTTTATTGTGCTGTGGTTTGAGAGTGTGGTTGGTGTGATTTCAGTTTTTTTTGAATTTGTTGAGAATTGCTTTATGGCTGAAAGCATGGTCAACTTTAAAGTATGTGCCATGTTCAGAGCAGAAGAATTTATGTTGTGTGTTTTTGTGGGGGTGAAGAGCTCTGTAGATGTCTGCTGGGTATATTTGGTCAAGGGTTGAGTGTAAGTCCCAAATATTTTTGTTAATGTTTGGCTTTGATGATCTGTTTATTACCATCAGTGTAGTGTTGAAGACTCCCACTATTATTTGTATGGTTATCTAAGCCTCTTTGTAAGTCTCTATGAACTCGTTTTATGCATATGGGAGCTTCAGTGTTGGGTGCATATATATTTAGCATTGTTAAATCTTTTTGTTGAATTGAACCCTTTATCATTATGTAATGCCCTTCTTTGTCCTTTTCAATCACTGTTGCTTTAAACTCTGTTTTGTCTGAAATAAAAATAGCAACTCCTGCTCTTTTTTGTTTTCCATTTGCTTGAAAGATCTTTCTCCATCCCTTTACTTTGAGCCTATGGGTGTCCTTGCATGTAAGATGGGTCTCTTGGAGACAGCATAGAGTTGGGTGTTGCTTTTTTATACAACTTGCCACTATGCGCCTTTTAGATGGGGCACGTAGCCCATTTATATTCAAGATTAATATTGATATGTGCAGATTTGATCCTGTCATTATGTTTTTAGCTGGTCACTATGTATACTTGATTGTGTAGTTGCTTTATAGTGTCAATGGTCTATGTACTTAAGTGTGTTTTTGTGTGGGTGGATAATGGTCTTTTGCTTCCAAGTTTAGCACTCCTTTAAGGACCTCTTCTTAGGCAGGTCTGGTGGTAACAAATTCTCTTAGCATTTGCTTGTCTGAAAAGGATTTTATTTCTCCTTTGTTTGAAGTTTAGTCTGCTGGACGTGAAATCCTTGACTGGAGTTTATTTTCTTTAAAGTTTCTGAGTATAGGCCCAGTCTCTTTTGGCTTGTGGGGTTTCTGCTAAAAGGGTCCACTGTTCCATTTGTAGGTGACCTGCCTCTTCTCTGTAGCTGCCTTTGAATTTTTTTCTTTCAAGTTTACCTTGGAGAATCTGATGACTATGTGTCTGGGGGATGGTTATCTTATACAGTATCTTGCAGGGGTTCTCTAAATTTCTGAATTTGAATGTCAGTTTCTCTAAAGAGGTTGGGGAAATTTTCATGGACAGTATTTTCAAATATGTTTTCCAAGTTGCTTGCTTTCTCTCCTTCTCTTTTAGGAATGTCAGTGAGTCATAGGTTTGGTCTCTTGACATAATTCCATATTTCCTGGAGGTTTTGTTCAATTTTTAAAATTCTTTTCTCTTTATTTTAGTCTAACTGAGTCACTTCCAAGAACCAGTCTTTGAGCACTGAGATTCTTTCCTCAGCTTAATCTATTCTGCTGTTAATACTTTCAATCATGCTATGAAATTCTTGTGGTGAGTTTTTCAGCTCTAACAGGTCAGTTTGGTTCTTTCTTAAAATGGCTTTTTCATCTTTCGTTTCTTGAATCATCTTACTAATTCCTTAAATTCCTTGGATTGGGTTTCAACTTTCTCCTGAATCTTGAGGATCTTTGTTGCCATCCAGATTCTGAGTAATTTCAGCCATTTCATTCTGGTCAAGAATCATTGCTGGGGAGCTAGTGTGATCACTTGGGATTAAGAAGACATTCTGACTTTTAGAGTTGCCAGAGTTCTTGTACTGGTTACTTCTCATCAGAGTGGATTCATGTTCCATTAACTGTGGTGAAATTTGAGTATAGTCAGTTGGCTTTTTTTCTGGATGTTTTCAGAGGGCCACAGCTTTGTGCAGGGTCTTTGTGGCTGAGTTCTTGTCCTTGGTTTCACAGATGCATATATTAGCAAAGTATTTTTGGTGTTGAAGTCTGGACTGTGGTCCAGTGGATGGTGCTTCAGCATAATGACCAGTAGAAAGACTCTTACTCAGCCTATGTCTCCTCTGTATTTCTTTGTGTTTGCAGCCATGCTACCTCTAAATGCTCTGAAATTGTGGGCTCCTCTCCCACTCAAGTGCTGGCCATAGATCTAGACTTGGCACTCCCAGGCTTCACACTACATCCCTGGGGTGAGTTAAGGTTTTATGTTTTCTCTTCAACTTGGTGGCACCAGGGTCAGGGACCTTTGCAGTGGCAATGGCAGAGGAACTTTCAGTTATCTCTTGGGGCACCATTTCCACCCCAGAGAAATGCAGAGCCACTGCCAATCAGAATGATCAGCTGTGGGTGGGGTGGCTGTGCTGTGAACCCAAGCTGTGGGACCCTTCCTGGTGAAGACCAGGATGGATGGGGGTCTCATGGGGAAGACAGTCTGGCCTCTTCTCCATATGGTGAGTGCAATGTGCTGGAGGTATGAGTGAAACACCATGGCTCTTTGTTCCTTCCCCAGCCCAAGGGCAACAAGAGCCAGTACAGCTGCAGCAGCAGTGGCAGAGGAGTTATCAGTCGCCTCTGGGAACTCCACTCTAGAGAGACACAGAAGGGCTGCCAATGGGAAGGTTCAGCCAGGAGTGGGCCTGCTGGAGCAGGGGGTCAGGGGTTCACAGGAAAGAGAAACTGGGCTCCTTTCTGTATGGTGGCTGCAATGTGCTGGAGGTGCGAGCAAAGCAAGCAGGTTCTTTGTTCCTCAACCCAAGGGCAGCAAAGATGGTACTACTGCAGCAGCAATGGCAGAGAAAGTCTGTGGGTTGTCTCTGGGTATTCCACTCCAGAGAAAAGCGGAGTTGCCACCAACTGAAGTTATCAAGTGAGGGCAGGGCAGCTGGGCTGGGGACTCAGGTGAGGAGGCCCTGCCCATTGAAGAGTAGCAGGGGCAGGAACCCTCATGGAAAACGGTCTGGCCACTTTTCCATAAAGCAGCTGCAGTGTGCTGGAGGTCTATGATAATAGTTCTTAGGCTTTTTTTTGTTCCCTCCCCAGCCTGACGGCAGTAGGGATGGGGCCTGCAGCAGCAGCAGCAAAGGCTGCAGTCCTGTTGGTTACCTCTGGGAGCACCAACCCAGAGAAATGCTTAGCTGTGACCAGTTAGTGTGCTCTGAGGGGATAGATTAGCTGTGCTTGGGTCCTAGGGCAGTGGCCTTTGCCGGAGGAGGTGCAGTGGAGGCAAGGTCTGCAGTCTGTCCACTCCTCTGCACTGTGGATGTGGCCTCTATCCTAAGGATGTGCATGAGAGCCTGGCCTCCCTTGTTGGCAGGGCTGTGGTCCCGGGTGCCAGGGAGCCCAGGGATCCAATTTCCTTGGGGCTGTACATAGGCCTGTGCTGCGGCTCTGCCCAGACTCTACCCAGCTCTTCGTTTCAGTCTGGAGATCCCATGGAGAGGCAGTAAGGGGGTATCTCCTGTGCCCAGGGTTGCAAAGGTCCATGGCAGAAGTGTAGGTCTCTGGGTTCTCTCGCTCACTCACCCTTTCCCTGCAGTGGGGAGCCTCCCTTGCCTGCATGCCAATCCCAGATGGGTGGCTGTACTGCCTTGTTCCTCTCTGCTCTACATGGGTCCCTTGGCTTCCCTGATGAATCCCAATGTGTCCCTAATGTTGTTATTTCTCTCCTAACTTTTCCCTTATCCTGTGCTCATGATTATTATTGAATACTTGCTCCCCAAATATCACTAGCACAATGTGTTGATAATTTAAAGTTCAGTTCATTATTTACCGAAGTAAGAGAGAATACCACCTTGATAGAACTTTGGCAGTGTGTGGGAAGCGGGAAAGCAAAATTTGAATTTGTTGAGACTTTTGGTTTAAGATGGGTGTTTTAATGTGGGGACTTGATTAGGATTCGGTAAGGGTCACCATACAACTGTTTAGGATTGGTGGAATCGGCAAGGTGGGGATTTTTGAGGGAAGGAATTTAAAGAATTCTAGGGTACAAACTGTTGATGCTTTCCATTGAAGACTTTAGCTGTTTCCAGAAAGTTTTCTCATGCAGAATCAAGTCATTTGTCTGAACTAAATTCTCCTGCAATTGTAAAGTCTTATTAATGATGGCAATAGAAAAGTCATGCTGATATTGTGCGTAAGTTAGGTTTGGAGGAGGAAGTGGGTAGTTTCCATCCACATTGATTTTGGACTTCTAGCTTCCAGAACAAGAAGACAATACATTTCTGTTATTTTGAACCATCCAGTTTGTAATACTTTGTTATAGCAGCCATAGGAAACTACAACTAATGTTAATGAAGCAGGTGACTACACATTTTTTTTTAACAACAACAACAACAAAATTACCTCCTATTAAGAATAACCACAAAATCATCAAACTGGATTCTTTCAACATGTATTTATTGAGCACACAGTGTCCAATCTGTGTGTGGACGTACATGGTTTGAGTTCTCATTATCTACAAACTTGCTTGAAACAACTGGGCAGCTGATGGTTATGTGAATGTATACTTGCTTCATATATTCACTGTTTAAGCCTCGATAATATTAGACCTCTCTTGTAATTTCTTAGAAGAATTCATTCACAAATGATCATTGCTAATAAAAATTCCTTTTAAGCCGTATTTAATTGGATGACACTTAGCTTGAACACCTAACAGCGAATTATATATAACCCCATTTGTGATCTTCTCCATGCACAACTCTTTGATCCCCCATTTACATCAGGTACCTAACTGTATAAAACTATCCATGACACTCTAGGGCACTGCTTTACCTGTATTTTGCATGGGCATTTTCTGTGATTGGCTGAATAATCTTTGAAGGCAGTTTTTAGCATACTAGCTGCAGAACAGACAATAGGAGCTTAATAAATACATACTGAAAGAACCCAGTTTGATGATTTTGTGGTTATTCTTAATAGGAGGTAATTTTTTTTGGTTAAAAAAATGTGTAGTGACCTGTTTCATTAACATTAGTTGTAGTTTCCCATGGCTGCTGTAACAAAGTATCACAAACTGTGTGGTTCAAAGTAATAGTAATTTATTGTCTTCCTGATCTGGAAGCTAGAAGTCCAAAATCAAGTTGTTCTCAGGACCATGCTGCTCCTGAAACTTGTGGGTTTGCCTCCTCCTAGCTTTTGATAGATTGCTGGCAGTCCTTGGCATTCATGAGCTTGCAGCTGCATAACTCCAATCTCTGCCTTTGCCACCATGGCATTCTCCTTGTGTGTGTCTGTCTTCACGTGGCCGTCTTCTTATATTGACGCCAATCACATTGGATTAGAGGCCCAGTCTACTCCAGTTATGACCTTGTTTTAACTTGACTGATCACATCTGCAATGACCCTAGCTCCAAATAAGGTCATGTTCTGAGGTACTGGTATTCTGAAGTACTTTCATGTATCTATTTTTGAGAACCAATTCAACCTATAACACTGACTTATATAATTCACTTTTGAACTAGAATGACAAACTATTGGCACCTAGTGGGTGCCACAAAATGATATTCCTTTCCTTCCTTCTTCATGCTGGGTTATAATTACAGTGACTATTCATGACTGATTTCTGTCTGTCCCAGTGCCTTTATGCTTGTCAGAAGGTGTGCACGCAATGTGGTGAAAATTGGGTCACCCATTTACCTGTTGATCCTCATCAACTGGCAGGTGGTTTCTGAGGACCTGGGCTTTTTAATGCTATTCGGTGATTTTTCTTAGAGAACCATCGGTCTGCCCCTCATGCAGTATGTAGCCACTGCTGGTTTCTTTCTTTGTCATTTTGTACAGTCTTGCTGCACTCCCTCCTACACCACAATATGCTTTTGTGCAAGGAGCCAGCTCATTTCAGGGAGAGGAGAGGCGTCCAGCTGCCCATGGACCCCACCAACACCAGCTCTGACATAGGAGGGGAAACAGCCCCGAGAGGTGCAAAGTATTCTAAGTTATGGATGTTCATAGAAGGGTAGTTTGTTTTATTTGTAATTCTTTACTTTTGGCTGTGCTTACCTCCTGCCAGATTTCTAACTCCCTTAACATTTAAGATTGCCAAATCAGGCCATCTGTAAACATGAAAAGTTGTAAAACTGGGGTCTTTCACCAAAGTGATAGTTTTAATATTCTGAACAGAAGAAAAACTAATATTTTAGTTCTGAAAGTCCCAAATAATATAGTTTGGAGTGGGTATAGCCTCTCTGTTCTCCATCCTCTGCATTTCTCAGGGTTTTCTGAATGTGGGTGGATCTTGGTTTGATGGCCATCTTTTTCTTCCTCTCTGTCGAGAATGTGCCTTGGCAAGCATTGGAGAAGCCCAGCACAGCTTTTGTGAGCCAGAAAGGTTAAAACTGAGCTGACAGGACAGCCCCAGCTCTCTGCTGTTGGTGAGTTATTCTGTTTATTCTACATATGTTTCCTTTTAATTAAAATGTCATTTTTAATTAAAAATGAAATGTCAAGAAGGAAAAAAATTGGCAAAGTCTGGATGATTGCAATGAATGCAAGCAGGAATAGTCAGTAGAGAGAAATAACTTTAAAAGAACGAGACTGTATCTTATTCACCATTTTGGTTAAAAAGAAAAAAAACAAACAAAACAAAAACAAAGAGAGCTTTGGAGGGTTTTGAATGCTCTCTGCTGTTCATGGCAGGCACACACACACACACACACACACACACACACACACACACACACATCTGCTTTATAGCTTGTTCCCATAATTAAAAAATATATATTTGATGTGTGGGCACATGCTTTAAGTTAATGAAGGATGCTGATGGGTGCCACATCTTTCATGAGTGACAGAGCCACTAATGAGATGTAGCATTGACTGTAGAGGGCACCAATAAATTGTGTAAAACACCCCTGCTGGCCATTTATTTAATTTATTTTATGGAAGCATAATGCCTTATAGTTTAATATGGAGCTTTTATTTTGTTATAAAGACCCAAGTCTACAATGGGGTTTTCAAGAATTATGCATCATTTATGCCTCCCATTTCAGCATGGCACTGATAGAGAATATTCTACATTATGATTAAATCCTCAAAGAGATGCTTCTATAGGCAAAAGCAACTGCACTAGAGTTTACATTATGTTTTCTGCAGAGTGGGAACTGACACGTGGTTAGGAATGTGGTGGGGCTTGTAGAAATCAGTTGCAGAAGAGCAACGAAAGGTAGTTTTGGTATGGAATAAAGGAAAGACCAATGAGAAGTGAGCCTCTCCGCAGCAGGTAGTGTCTTCATTTGGTCTTCCATCTTTATCTTTTTATGCCTTTTTTGCTCTTTTGATCATGCTGAGAAACTTCCTCTCCCTCTCCACATTTGGCAACTTTGCCTCATTTTCTTTCCTGTATGGTGCCATTCTTTTCCCTGACTTAGGTCTTTGCTTATGTTCTTTCCTCCGACATGTAATCATCCCACTATACCCTCCATGAACTCCCCACCTAACTTCTGCTACTTGCTCTTTGAAGCTCTGTTTATGAAATCAGTTCTCAACTTCAATGATTTCTATCCTGTAATGACATTTTTTCCCTTCCATCAGTAAGTCCTGTGAATATTCTTTCATAACTCCCTGGACTTCTTCCTTGTATCACTTATAGCACCTGTAATTAAATGCTTAATTGCCAACTGAATTTGGTTACATTTTCTAGAATGTAAGCTCCAGGAAGGCAGAAACAGTGCCTACCTTGCTTATAGCTGCATCCCTAGCACCTGGCATGATGTCTTGTACATAGCAAATTTCAGATAAATATTTGTTGTTGATTAAATATTTACTCTCAGTAAAGACTGTAAGTATTTGGTTAGTATGGTTTGCTTAAAAGCAAGTGAAAAGTAGTACAGGTTCATGAAAATTGTGAAAGGGCTTTATAAACCATTATACATACCTCCAGTTTAGCTCTCTCTCCAATCCTGCTTGCATTCTGTGAAAATGAAACTAAGAATTAGAGTTTGATTCTCATAATGATACAGAAAAAAGCTGTAATTTTATGGAAACATAATTCAATAAACCTATACTGAAAGTCTACTATGTGCCAGACAGAGTACTTGGCACCTAATGTCCCTACAGTTAAGGAGCTTTCAGTTTGGTAAAATTTGTTGAGCAAGTAAGAATTGAAAAACATTTTTATCTACATTGGCTGTCTTTTGTATTTCCCCACCAGTAAATGTTATGTAAAGGAAGCCCAGTTCTTACAATGTATATGACAAAATATACTTGTGTCTATCTACAAAACAAAAACCTGAAGGAAATTGAAATGCTATTCCTTGTTTGCTCTATTAGTTTATTAGTATGAAAGTATTACTTTATTGAAACATAAAATAAAATGGTTGAAATGATATTGTGTACACATTATTTTCTGTCTAGTACTCAATTTTGTAAATATAAGTAGTAAAAGTAAAGACATCTCTTATCCATTTCACTAGATTTTTTTACAGTTATCTTTAAACATTTATTGGAAAGATTCCCCCATTTTTCTTTATCTCCATGATAGTCAAGAAGTTCTGCTTTGTGTCCAGTTGAAATATCTTCTGCTTTATTAAACCAATTTCTGCTTGTTTGCACCTCTGTGTCCATGGAGAACAACTGATCAGCATCCTTTATATAAAACCTTTTATATTCTTGGAGACAGTAATTTCCTGTGAAATGTTTAGTTGAAAGTTCCATAAACTTGAAGAGAAACAAAAGGGTTGTGGTTACTTTACACTTCATGAAAATATTGTTGCAAAGCTTTGAATGTAAAGACAGTTACATTTACCTTTCTATGTGACAAATTAACTTTAGCCCCCTTTTTAATCGCATTTTGGTTTCATCATGATACATTTAAATTATGTATTTCCTGGCAAATGTGGTTAATTATTTTGGAAGTGTATGCACATAGCAACCCTCTTTGGTTTCTCTTAATTTCTCGGTAAATCTTTTTGACTGTATTTTATAATTTAAATTTATAATTGTCCCAATATGAATTATTATTCATTTGGAATTGATTTTGGCAATTTGATTCTAAAACCTTGAAATCTAATAATGGATAACCACTAAGAAAACATTCTCATGAGATATAGAAAAAAAATTTAGGGTCGAGTGATTTAATTGCACGAATAGGTTTTTTTATTTAGAAAATGTATTATTCCTATCATTAATTTCAATAGTCCATAATTGTCCACAGTAGTTTAAGAAATTCAAACAATATTTATGTAACATTAAACCCAAAATATCACTGAAACTGCAAACATTTATGTGGCAATATTAATGTGCAGACATTTTCTGGGATTGACAGCACACGGGCACATGGTATTAACTATCTCATAATTTCTTCATTCTTTATGTCAAGGGAGCTCTTCATGGAAGTTCTATGATTGGAGGGGGTCTCTATATACATTAGCACACTTCTGCCCAAGTGTTTCCTTGGTTTTGGTGAAAGGCTGCCCTCTTGTGCAGAGATGAGAAGCAACTGTTAAAAAGCCTCATTTAGCTTATTAGCTGATGCAATTTCTATTGGATTCTAAAATGGAAGTTAATGCTATGCTTGGAACCCACAAGTCATCTTTTAAAAATATCAAGAATTTACTCTTAACCTTCCTCTGGACTCTTTGTACCTTAGCAGGGATTATGATTCTCATGATTCCTCCATATGACTCAGACCGAAGATAAACTCTCACCTTCAATTCAAGGAAACAGCTCCCCATTAGGAACAGCCTATAGAGTTTTGCTCTCAACAAATAAATGATGTGTTTATTTCTAATTACAAAACATTCTCATCTATTACTGAATCATATAACTTAATGAAAAAGAAACCAGACCCACTCCTTTGGGTCTATTGAAGTCTAGGTCTTAGCTTTGTCACCGCTGGAAGAGAAGAAACTTGAAGAATCCTTCACAATGTTAGTACTGAGAAGTGAAAAATAGAGTGCCACTCACTTCTACTGTTTTAGGTCTTATTTATCTAAGCATCTAATTGAATTGAAGAAGTAGTATTTCAAAAATGTATATTTGATAAGTAGGTAAGATAGATTATTCTATCTGAGACTTTAGTAAGTTTTATTTTATGTAAATGCTTTCTTGTACTTTTTAAATTTAGGGTTTTAAAGAGCTTCAATAATTATTGTCACTTAGAAAAGAATGAGTTGAATATCTTCATGAAAGTTGTAAGAGTGGCTAAGAACCCTGAGCAATGGTGTCTGAATTAATCACTCTGTCTCTAACGTATAACTCACAGAATGTAAAAGTAAAGCTCTGATGTGATTATAGTTTAGAATTCCACAAGGTCTTTGGTCACCAGAGTATGTTTGAGCCCCACCTTTTTATTAGATAAGGATGACATAAAAACAAACAGAGCCTCAAGGAAAATGAAAACATGTGTCCCCACAAAAACTTGTACACAAAAGTTCATAGCGGGATTGTTCATAATAGCCATAATAACCAAAACGTGGAAACAACCCAAATGTCTGTCAGTGGACAAAATGTGATTTATACATACAATGGGTTCTTATTCAGCCATAAAAAGAAATGAAGTACTGATACATGCCACAGCATGGATGAACCCTGAAAATATTACACTAAGTAAAAAAAGCCAAACACTAATGGCTATATAATGTATGGTTCTATTTTTGTGAAATGTCCAAAATGAGCAACTCTATAGAGATATGTAGATTAATGGTTTCCTAGAGTTGGGGTGATTGGGGAGGGGAGGAGAGGGGAAAAGAAGACAATGGTGACAATGGGCACAAGGGTTTTTTAGAGAAGGAGGTGATAAAAAATGTTCTAAAATTGATTGTGGCAGTGATTGCACAATTTTGTGAGTACACTGAAAACCATTACCTTGTACTCTTTAGGTGAATTTTATGGTATTAGAATTATATCTCAGTCAAGCTGTTCTTTAAAAAGAGTAAAAAAAGTAAATAAATTAAAAATAAAAACCTCCTGTGTTCTGTAAAAAGTCTTTTCCTTATTTCAATGGTTGGTACAAAGTCTTTATTCAGTACTGAAAATTATTCATATGTGTGCAGTTAGCCTCACCAAACCATTCTTGGTTTAAAGATTTTATGTCTGATTCAAACCTGCTTTCTTGTTTTATGAGTTTAATTATTATGAACAATCTTCTCTCAGACTTTTCTCCCCCCTCCCAGGACAACATGCCTTGGAGGGAATGTAAATATTTTACGTGTTGTTACAATATTTATATGAGCAGAAACAAAGAGTTGAGGGTGGCACTTTCCCTAATGAATGCCAGCGCTGGCTTTGGGATCAGATCTATTAAGATTCAAATCCTACTTATTCATTGTGAAATCTTGTACAAGTTCTCTTTGAACGTCAGTTTCCTTCACCATAAAATGAGGATAGCAGTACCTTCTTCATATAGCTGTTGTTTCATGTATTAAATGAGATAACATATTTTAAGCACTTTGCAAATTTACTTAGACATGATAGGTGTTCAAAAAATATAGAAATTAATAATAATAATTTTGAAGAAAATAATTCAATTTATTTAAAGATAATCCTTATTTAGCTAAAGTGTATGAATAGAAAACAGAGTTAACAGATTCCTCAAACTATTTCAATGGTAATTAGGGAATTTTTGCATTGGTCTTTAAAAGTATGAATATTTATAGAGAGTTCCTTATTAAGAATCATTTTTTTTCCTTCAAAAGAAAAGCCAGATACAAACAAGTAGGGAACCATTGTAGCTTTTGGGGAATGGGCAAAATTATTATCTTGAGGTATTATTTTCAAAATAATGGATTTTACTTGTCGTAGGACACTTTTTCTGCCTTTTCATCACAATTGCAATCAGCACACTACCTGCTTTCAGCAGCAACAGAAACAGCTGGATCACCCATTTTGATGAGGGATTACTCTTCAGTATTTATAGTAACACCCATTTCACCAAGTAGGGCTCAAAAGAAGGAAAAAACAAACAACTGACTTCTCTTGTAACGGGTAACTGCTTTCTTTTGTACTAAATTTTCTTTCCTATTGCTTTCACTAGCTTCAGATCCTGAAGCTCATTTCGCCACTCAGGGGACACTAAAAAGCAGCCAAACCAACACAGCCAATAGAAATTTAATCTTAAAAACATAAGACTTTGCTTTGAAAATCCTGTAGAAACATTAAGCAAAATATTAAGGAATAAAAACAAGCCCATGAGCATGGCAAAGGTCTTGAAACCTGAACAGGGACTACATTCTAAGTCAGACACGCATAAATATGTGTCTTTTCTCACTGATATTAATGAAACGGTTAATTCTGTTGTCATGGCAACAAAGAACAGCTGTGATAAAAAGCTAAAGGTCTACACATAATGCCCAATACAAGGTCTCTAATTCTAAAGCTGATTTTCTTAGCTACAATAGAAGTGATGTGTTTTCAATATCATTCTAAGCTTTCACATCAAATCCTTCTAGTTAATCCAATAAATAGACCAGTAGCATAAAAAGGAATATATGTTTGCACATTATAAACCTTATAAAAGAAGTTTACCTATGTCCAATGTTAAGAGGGGATCTGAAAAGTAAATATATGCTCCTTCAGAATAAAAACCTACTCTGAGTGAAACCCTAAAATGTAGAATATGTTTGAATAGGATATCAAGGTAATTATCAAATGCACTATTATCTAG